>NC_000017.11:56935980-58185980 GCF_000001405.40 Homo sapiens | reverse complement strand
GTGTGTGCCTGTTTTGATGCTCACTGTAACCTCATTACCTAACACAATACCTGGCAGAGGCTGAATATGTATTTGTGGAATGAATGCATTTGCTCTCACCTTGATTTTCATGGCTGGCTCTTGAGTCAGGGAATGGATTGTGCCTGTACATCCGTCAGGATTCAGTGCCTTTTGTCAGGGGCATTGTTCTTTCGGGGCCAGGCCAGCCCTGGGTCAGTGGATGCTGTGGCAGGCCTGGCCCTGCCTGGTCAGTATCCAGCCCCTAGACCATGAGGGAGCTTTCCTTCCTGGGCATCTTTCAGCTGCAATACCCAATATCCTCCACACCTGCCTACCCTCCCCTGGCCAGCTCAAAACTTCAAGCTTCTGCTTTCACAAGAACCGTCCATGGTGGAGCTGCTGGCCACAGGCCTGATTAGATCTCTTTATCTGCTCAGCTCCAACGGCCCCAACTGAGACAGCAGGGACTGGCCAAAGTGCGGGGCCTGAAGGGCCTGCTTCTGCTCCCAGGGCTTCCTGAGAATGAGGTCCTTGGCCCTATTTTCATGAGAACACTGAGGGTGTGCAGGGAGGAGGGTTCTGGCTCAAACTGCAGTGGCCCCACACTGTACCAGAGGCTGAGGCAGGCCAGGAGTTTGTGCACATGTGTGCATGTGTATATGTACACATGTGTACATGTGTGGTCCAGAGATGAGGACTCTCCTGACCAAGGAAGCTCTCAGTCCTCTGCCTTTAGCAAGGCTGAAGAAAACTCAGTTCGGGGACTTGGAGAGCTGGCCTGGGGGTCTGGCACCACTTCTGACCGTGTGACGTTGAGCAAGGGCTTGGCCTCTCTGATCTGCTAGTAAAGTCACTAAAGGGCAAGAAGAAGATCGCGGGGGCAGGAGGGCTCTCTGGTGAGCACTTGGGAGGTGCACAGGTCCACACTAGAGGGCCAGCTGAGGGCAAGCACCTGTCCCCTCTCTCCTCCCTCCTGCCTTGGCCTGATGTGACAGTTTGTACCTCACCTCCTCCATCAGACTAGGAGCTCCCAAGGGCAGGGCCTGGGGCATGGGAGAGGGTCTGTGGGCTTGCAGAAGAGACAGACCTTGCTTTAGATCAATGAAGTAACGAGTAGGAAGGCTAGTGGGGCATGTGACCCATGGGGCACTGCCAGTGTGACTGGAGCCCTGGTAGTGCTGGACTCTAGCAGGAGGGGGCACAGCTGACCGGGGCAATTCCTTGCCCCTCGCCTCTTGCTGTATGCCAGCCCAGCGCCCTGTGCTTTACTGCTCTTGCCTGAGTCCTTATAACAACCCTCTGAGGCGGGAGCTGCTGACTGGGACTTGTTCGATGGTTGAAGCAGAGAGAAAAAAGAATGAGTCATGATCTTGGAGCCAGGAAGGGGATCGCAACCTGAGACTAATTCTAAACCAAGTTCCCAGATGTGACCCAATGGAAGGAAGCCACCTCCCACAGGTTGGGAGGATGCCTCAGGCCTGAGCAGGCCAAGGCGGGCCTGGTTTCCCCCACAGAGTCTGACAGGCCGCACTGGCTGCACCAATTGTACTGACTCTGCAGCTGGCCAAGAGGTGTTTCCTGGGGCCCCCTCCTGGGTGAGCCACGTGGACTAATTGCTTCTGTCCTGAGGAGGATAGAAGCTACTCAGAAGCAGGGGAAGCAGGAAAGGGGAAGGAACACAAAAAAGGTAGGGGCTGGCAGACGCCTGGGAGAGAGGGCTGCACCCTCCCCCAACCTCCCTTGACCCGCACATTTTTTTTTCAATTTTTGTTTTTTTTTTGGAGAAGGAGTCTCACTCTGTCACCCAGGCTGGAGTACAGTGGCAAGATCTCAGTTCACTGCAACCTCTGCCTCCTAGGTTCAAGCCATTCTCCTGCCTCAGCCTCCCGAGTAGCTGGGATTACAGGTGTGCACCACCACGTCTGGCTAATTTGTATATTTTTAGTGGAGATAGAGTTTCACCATGTTGGCCAGGCTGGTCTCGAACTCTGGCCTCAAGTGATCTGCCCTCTTCAGCCTCCCAAAGTGCTGGGATTATAGGCGTGAGCCACCGGGCCCGGCCTGACACATTTTAAATACAAACCCAACACAGTCTCTCCACGAGAACAGGCCCATGCTGCTGCATTTTTGCCTCTTAGCATCTCAATACACCTAGAAAGAATGAAGGCCTGAAGGTTATAGGAATCTAGACACCCTGTTGAATGAAACAGTCTCTTGCCTGGGCACTCAGAAGGCTCAAAAATGCAAATCAGCAATTTAAAAAATTATGCAGTGCCCCACCCCCAAGTCCCCAGCCACAGCTTCCTCAGTGTCTCTCTGACAGTGGTGGTGAGCATGCGGGTGGTGATCTTGGCAGTCCCAACCCCTCGGCAGCCCTGGAGATGGCTGCAGTCAGTGCCCAATGTCAAGGGCAGGAATTCCACTAGCTGGGGCTCTTCGTGCTATGGGAGGGCTGCTCTCTCTCTCCACTCCCCCTCCTATGGTGTCATCTTCTGGTAGGTGTCATGGGAAAAGGAGAGGCTCTTCTCGCCCCTTCTCACTGTCCCTGGAGAGTACGTTAGCCAGCCATGAATGTGCCACTTGATATTGCCTATAGTCCCCAGAGCAGACTCTCCTGGGTCTGCCACCCATGCTGGGCTCTGGGCAAGAGCCGGCCTTACTTTTCTTTGTGTCTATCTGGGCAGTGGTGATGGTTCTGAATGAAATCAGACCTCATGGACTTGAATTTAAGATGGGGCATGGAATTATTTCAGAAGAGATGGAGCCCAGAGCCTCCCCAATGTTCCTCCCGGATGCTACCCAATTCCTCAAAGCTTGTTGGGTTGGTGGGTACACTCCAGACCTGGAAGATCAGAGAAGTTTGACCTGAAGGACTAACACAGGGTTTACAATATTATATGTTTGTTTACTCTTTCAACAAATATTTATGGAAAGCCTCCCTATGCCACAGCCCATGCTGGGTACTAGGTACATGGTGGTGAGCAAAAACAGGCACCTGATGGAGGAGGACATGAAACAAACACTTTCCTGCAGGTCTTAGGTAAATCCTCATATAAATGCAACCCGGGTGCGGTGGCTCACGCCTGTAATCCTAGCACTTTGGGAGGCCGAGGCGGGTGAATCACGAGGTCAGGAGATCGAGACCATCCTGGCTAACACGGTGAAACCCTGTCTCTACTAAAAAATACAAAAAATTAGCCAGGCGTGGTGGCGGGCGCCTGTAGTCCCAGCTACCTGGGGGCTGAGGCAGGAGAATGGCGTGAACCAGGGAGGCGGAGCTTGCAGTGAGCCGAGATCGTGCCACTGCACTCCAGCCTGGGCGACAGACTGAGACTCCATCTCAAAAATAAATTTAAATAAATAAATAAATAAATAAATAAATAAAATAATAAATGCAAGAGAGTACCCCTACACCCTCCCGTGTTAGAAGACTTTCCCAGTGTAACATAGCTAGCTAGTGCAGAAATTTGAACTTGAATCAGGTCTCCTTCTCCAAGTCAGATTCTTACCCTGCTTCATTAGGCTTGACCTCTATAACCCATTCTCTGCCTAGCAGCCAACATGACCTTTGTAGGGCATAAATTAGATTATGCCAACACTTGCCACCCCAAACCCTTCAATGACTTTCCATTGCACATAGAACAAAATTCAAGATTTTAAAAATGACCTGGCTCCTGTCTTCATTGATGGTAATTTAAAAATATTTCCACAAATTCTTTGACATGTCTCACTTAAAGTGTGAGGTGTGACTCCCCTCCCTTGAATGTGGGCTGGAGTTGGCAACACACTTCTTTCTAATAGAATGTAGTACAAGTGAGGCTATGTGACTTCTGTGGCTGGGCGGTGGAAAGGATACAGTTGCCACCTGGCTCCTACCTCAGGATACTTGTGCTTGGAACACAGCTACCATGCAGTGAGGAATCCCAAGCCACAAGGAGAGACCAGTTGACAGGCACATCTAGGCACCCAGCCGACATCAACATCAACAGCCAGATTGAATGACCACGTGAAACTGCAAATGATTTTATCCCTGGCCTTTGAATCTTCTGGCTGAGGCCCAGGAAAGACATCCTGAACCAGAAATAAGCTGTCTGCTGTGCCATTGGAATTCCTGGTCCATGGCATCTATGAACGATAGCAAATGATTACTTTATTTTGAGCTCCTAGGTTTTGGGTTGATTTTTTTCTGCAGTGGCAGATAAATAATGCAATATTAGACCTCACCTCCTCCCAAGATCCTCTTTGTTCATTACACACCAGTTACAGCAGCCTCCTTTCTTTTTCCTTTAACACCAAGCTCATTCCCACCTCAGGACCATTGCACTTGCTGTTTCCTCTGTCCGGAATGCTTGTTCTTCATTCAGATCTTTTCCTGACAGGCTTCTTCTCATTGCCCAGGTCTTTGCTCAAACACCCCCTCCTCAGAGATTCCTTCCCTGACCACCTTTCATGATGCTGCCCACCCTACCAGTCACATGACTCCATGCATCTGCTCCACAGTTCTTGTTAGATGAAATTATTTATCCATTTGTTACTTTGTCAGTCTCCCCCATAGACCATATACTTTACGAAGGCTGAGCCCTTGTCTGCTCAGTTCAATGCTGTATCCTCGGTATTTAGAGCTGTGCTTGGCACCTAGAAATCATGCAAATATTGTGGGTAGAATTAACACGGTGGTGTGTGGCATCAAGGCAGCAGGAGCTGTTACAACTGAGGCCGTCCCAGGAGATGCTGGCCATGGAACTCACTATACAAATGGGAAGCAAGATCCTGACATAGGAAATGTGGCTGTGGGAGAAAGCAGAGTTGTGTCCATCTAGACGCTAAGACAGAGTTAGAAGAGGGCAATGTCCATGAGAGAAAGAGCAGAGAGGGCAGGCATAGGCAGGGGATGCCTTCAGACTGCAGCACAAGCCCAGCTCCGGTGAACAGGAGGGAAAAGGAGTGAGGAGGGGGCAGGAGGAGTCACAGACCATGCTGGGGCTCTGAGAAAGCTCCAGCCAGACTGGTGAGGAGCCCTGGCAAAAAGACAGCCAGAAATGGGGAGCCCTTCACCCACTGCCACACTCAGTCATCAACTGGGGCTGCCTGGGAAGTGTGTGGCCTTAGCTCAAAAGCTGGGTGGTCCCTCGTGTCACCCTATCAGCTGATCCTGTCAGCTAACTGCCTTCCTTGTGGGGACATTGGAGTGGCACCCCTCCACGCCTGCCACAGGGTGCAGGGAGGGAAGGGGGCTCTCCCTTCTCTGGCTGGTGACTTGCCAATCCAAACCAGAAGGGCACTTCTCTTTAGCACCCCGGGCCTGCAAGTATGTACACAGGTACAGCTACACATAGTAGGCCACTGCTGTATGCCAGAAACTGTATAAAACATGTTATTTACATCAGCCCCATTGGCTTTATGAAGACTCCATGACAAAGGGTCATCATTCTCATTTCACAAATGAGACTTGAGGAAAGATTTAACTAACCGAGGGCTAGTAAGAAGCAGAACTGGAGTTTCAACCTTGGCTGCCTTGTTCTAGAAACTTGTGTTGTTTCTACTATGCCTTCTTCTTTCCCACGGGGACACAATGAAGGGATCTGCACACAGTAGGACCTCCATAAGCTTTGTTGAATGAAAGGATGAATGAATGAATGAATGAAAAATCTTTTCCTTCAGGGGAAACCAGGACTTTGGACTAAGCTTATACGAAGGCAGACAGAGAAGGCAGGGGAACGTTTGTCAAGCTTACAGATGTCTGAAAGGTATGAAATAAAAAACTACCTTTCTACATTCCAGCCATGTTGATCTTTTTCTGTGCTGGTTTGAACATATTGTTTCTGCAAATTAAGCCCCACCCCAACGAACTTGACTGAGAGCAGGTGTGGGGGCTGAAAGCCAGCCTACACTATGCTCTCCACGCTGTGTCCAGGTGTTGGGTTAAATCAGCCTGGTGAAAGGGGTGCCTTTTTCTAATTCCCATAAAGGCACTAAGTGTGCCATCCATAGCCCTGCCACCATGTTTGGTGACAGAATCAAACTCAAAAAAAGAATTCTCCTTCTGCTTCGGAGGAAGAAAGTCACAAGGAACATGCACAGCTCCTAACAGAAGAATAAGTAAACACAGGGTAATCTACACAACATAAACATTTTATAAACCTATTAGAGAGATGAGGTCACAAGGCAGCCAAATGAGCTGAATTCTAAAGGGTCACCAGCCCCTCTTAGAGAAACAAGATACAGGAACTGCTTCACTCTGTGTATCAGTCAGGGTTCTCTAGAGGGACAGGACTAATAGGATAGATGTATATATGAAGGGGAGTTTATTAAGGAGTATTGACTCACATGATCACAAGGTGAAGTCCCACAACAGGCCATCTGCAAGCTAAGGAGCAAGTAAGCCAGTCTGAGTCCCAAAACCTCAAAAGTAGGGAAGCCACCAGTGCAGCTTTCAGTCTGTGGCTGAAGGCCCAAGAACCCCTGGCAAACCAATGGTGTAGGCCCAAGAGTCCAAAAGTTGAAGAACTTGGAGTCTGGTGTTGGAGGTCAGGAAGCATCCAGCACAGGAGAAAGATGGAGGCCAGAAGATTAGCCAGTGTAGTTCTTCCACCTGCTTTTATCCTAGCAGTGCTGGCAGCTGATTAGATGGTGCCCACTCAGATTGAGTGTGGGTCTGCATTTCCCAGTCCACTGACTCAAATGTTAATCTCCTTTGGCAACACCCTCACAGACACACCCAGGAACAGTACTTTGTATCCTTCAATCCAATCAAGTCGACACTCAATATTAACCATCACTCTGGCAGAGCAGGGGAGGACAACCTGGCTGGGTGTTGGCAGGGCCTCAGCAGGACAGACCTGTCCCTGAGGTGGGCATCCTGAAGCCTGCATTCAGAACAGGAGAGGGAACTTTGGTGGCCACCTTCCAGGATGACCCATCCCTCCTGCAGCCTCAGAGCTCTCTAGTTCTTCTCCAGATGAAGTCACATAGGGTTGGCCTTGAGAAGGGAAAAAATATCCTGGGGGGTGGGGGTAATACTGGAATAAATTCAGATCTTGGGACTGAGGATGGGATAAAAGAATGCTGGGAGTTATGAAACAGTGTTTAACTTGTTGCATAAAATCACCCACACCCTTTCAGAGACAATCTGGAGGCCAAAGTACCATTAACACAACCAATCATACCACTTCAGAGGAGCCTAGGATGAAGGACTATGATCTGGAAGGAGAGGCCCTTAATAAGAATAACATTGGTCTGTAGATAGTGCTTGACCTCACAGTCCCTTTAACGTGTTCAACTAAGCATAGAAAAATCCAAATAAACAATTCTGTGTGTGTGTGTGTGTGTGTGTGTGTGTGTGTGTGTGTTTTAAACAAGTACAGTCACACAATTTCAGTGTCCAGGTTTGTAATTGGGTTTACAATACAGCTGGCCTCAAATAATCCTGCCTATTTATTTATTTTGAGATAGAGTCTTGCTCTGTCACCCAGGCTGGAGTGCAGTGGCACGATCTCGGCTCACTGCAGCCTCCACCCCCAGGTTCAAGCGATTCTCTGGCCTCAGCCTCCCAAGTAGCTGGGATTACAGGTGCCTGTCACCACGCCCGGCTAATTTTTGTATTTGTAATAGAGACGGGGTTTCACCATGTTGCCCAGGGTGGTCTTGAATTCCTGGCCTCAAGTGGTCCACCCACCTTGGCCTCCCAAAGTGTTGGGATTACAGGCATGAGCCACTGCACCCGGCCTAGTCCTGCCTCTTTAAAAAATGCTACACATAATGCTTTGCTGCCTTCAGCACTGTTTGAAGGAAGGATCAAATGCAAAACGAAGTGGTGGGGAAACTGAGTCAAAACACAAGACACGTGGCAGAATGAAAATGTCACATTCAAAAACATTCCCAGATCAGTCGTATAAATCTGTTGCTAGTGAATTTTTTTTTTTTTTGAGACAGAGTTTCGCTTTTGTTGCCCAGGCTGAAGTGCAATGGTGCCATCTCAGCTCACTGCAACCTCCACCTCCCGGGTTCAAGCGATTCTCCTGCCTCAGCCTCCCGAGTAGCTGGGATTACAGGCATGCGCCACCAAGCCCAGCTAATTTTTGTATTTTTATTAGAGATGAGGTTTCTCCATATTGATCAAGCTGGTCTCGAACTCCCGACCTCAGGTGATCCACCCACCTCAGCCTCCCAAAGTGCTGAGATTACAGGCGTGAGCCACCGCGCCTGGCCTGAATTGTGTTTTTTGTGTACATTTATTTGCTTTCGTGGTCCCAGAAGAGAGAAGAATGAGAAACTTTTACATAGCTTTGTGTTTGAACATACATACCATCACAAAAAGATTTTAAGTCAGCAGTAGAAGTCCTCAATATGTTTTTTATTTCTTTATCTTTCCCCATATTACTCAGGTTTAAGAAACACGTTGTAATCCATGTAACAAGGTGTTGCTACTCACTGAGGAACAAACAAAAAATTCTTGTTTTCTCAAGACTGCTCCCAACGGTGCCTTGTCACCCCTCTTTCCTGCTGGGTGACTCTCTCCCTTCACAGCAGCTCAGTCCAGTCCTATACACTTTTCATCACTTTTATTTCAATAGTCACCAGTTTCATTCCAGTTTTTAAGACTGTCCTATTTAGTGAAAATGCCCTTCTTACATTCGACTCCAAGTCCACCTTGTCCCTCAACTTGGGAGGCTGTGGCCCAGGCCTCCGAGGGTGGAGCGTGGTTGGTGGTGCAGGACTCTGCTCTCTAACACTTCTTCCTCCTTCTTTCCAGCACCTCTTGCCTGGTGTTGGTGTGGGGAGGAGGAAAAGAGAAAGCGATATCTCCTTCCCTCTGAGCTCTCACTGCAAAGCAGCCAGGCTCCAGGTCTTCATGGCTTTTCTGTCAGCTGTGGGGCCAGGCCTAACAGCCCATGGGCCCCACTTCCGAGTTCCTGGAGGGCTGTCCAGGGGCTCCCCCTGTATACTCCCTGTCATCAGAGTCTGGGCTCCAGCTCAAACTCCTCCTCCCCCTCAGCCTTCACCTCAGTGGTCACTCGCAGTCTCGCTGCTTGATTGACACCTGTTCAGTCAGAGGGCATGGAGCCCCTCTCCCCACTCCTCATGCTTCCCTCTCTCAGGAGGCCTCTGGGCTTCACCCATCCAATTCTGATTCTTTCCTTGCTTACTCAGATCCCCTCTGCAGCACACACACACAGCTCGTGAACGGCAGGGCGGTGGGAGCAAATCCACAAGGCAAGGAGGAGTATTTTATCTCTAACATTGCTCAAGCATGGTGATCATAAAAATCCATTCTTAATAATTGTTGTCTTTAAATTCACAGAAAAAGAAACCCCTATTGGCTGCACAGAATTTTACAGATGGTGCTGTAAAAATGGTTATGGATTAGAAATCGCCCTTGGGGTCTGGTTGGTAGAATAAAAAAAAAGTTTAGAGGATTTAAGTTTCCAATATAATATACAAACATTTCCCCACCTATTACATTGCCCAAGTTGAAAAATTTTTTTTTTAAAGAAATCAAACAAGTTGTCTCTGGTGCTGTGTGAGAGAGCTGTCCGTTGTGCTGAAGAACACAGCACAACGAAACTTGAAATCAGCAGTCTCAAACTGTGGCCCCCAGATAAGCAATATCAGCATCACCCAACAACGTGCTGGAAATGCATATTCTCGGGCTCTACCCAAGACCTATTAAATCAGAAGCTCTGCATTGGGTTTCCAAGTTTTAGCAAGCCCTCTCGGTTGATTCTGATGTACGCTCACACACGTGAACCAGTGTGCACTGCAACAGGTCCTTCCAAAATTTGTTTCTTGTGAGGATACTTTTGTCCTTTCTGATCTTGACCTGCTTATCCTACATTTCATAGATCTCTGTGATTTTCAATGTCCTTGGCAGACCTCTCTAATGGTAAGTGTTTTTGAGAGTCTTAGAAACTTCTTAACAAAGTTAAAATAATTAGCTGGGCATGGTGGTGTGCACCTGTAGCCCCAGCTATTCGAGAGGCTAAGGTGGGAGGATTACTTGAGTCCAGGAGGTCAAGGCTGCAGTAAGTCATGATTGCACCACTGTACTGCAGCCTGAGTGACAGAGTAAGATCCTGTTTCAAAAAAAAAAAAAAAAGTAAAGTTTGAAAACTCTTCCCATATATAGAGGTTCAAATCAGCATTTTATTGCCTTACTCTTAAATGTAGCTAACCAAAGATCACTGAGAGTTTAAGAAAGGTCTCCAGTACAAAATAATAAATAAATAAGAAGAAAACAGAAGTGACACAGAAAGCAAAAGAGAACTTAAAAAAACTTCAGCTTATGAAATTAGTATCATTTGAGAGAAGAAAGAAAATATAATATCCACAAAATAAGAATAGAATGGCATAAAAAGGAGAACATGCAAGAGTTCTTGAAAACTAAAATTTGATTTAAAAAATAAAAACTTTAATAAAAATGTTGGAAATCAGAGTTGGAGAAATCTCCTCTTAATGTAGAACAAAAATAGTGTGAATAAGGTGTCCATAGGATGTGGCCCAGCATGGGTTGTCAGAGCCTGGGTGTCTACTCCTGTGAGCTGCCCATTGTGGGTGTTAAAGCAAGGTGAAGAGGGTATCCCAGCAAGGGCTGACTCACTATGGGGAGTCAGAGCATGGGAGGGCTAAGAAATGCATCCACACAGAGGTGCAGTTGGACATCAGGTGTTGGAGCTCAAGCAAAATGAGGAGGAGCATGGAAAGTGTCCTGATGTGGGATGTTGGAGCATGTGTGGGGTAAGAAAAGTGGCTGGGAAGGGCGCTGGCCTGAAGCAGGATATCAGAGCCCAAGCGGAGTGAGGAAAGTATCTGGTGAAGGAATGGAAACAGATATGGAGTGACTAGGAAAGACTGGTTGCATAGAGAAGTGAATTACATAAATTATTATCTTAAATATGATGATGTCATAAAAATAGCAGTCTGGGAATCCGAGGGCTCATCTCTCCATAGAAAGGAAAAAAAAAAAATAAAAGCAGAAGTGATCAGAATCAACCTTGTTGGAATTCTGGAAAATTGTCAAAGAAAATAGTCAAATAGCAACTAAATGAACTTTGTTTCAAAAGGTGACTGAAACACAGTAGGAAAACTTTTAACTTATTGTTGTTCCACACTCCTCCCAGCTTGGTGGTCTTGAAGATGGCAATGTATGTTCCTGGTGTGAGTCCCTGGTTCCGGAAGGAGCAGAATGAACCTTGTTCCCTAGGATTGTATTGTCTGTTTTGAAATGTCTGGGGGTTCCTGAAGGACTGATGTGAGGAGCTTGCCTTTGTTTTACCTAACTCAGAATTCACTATGGGCAGAAAAGTGGCTACGTAAAAAGTATTCCTCAAAAACACTGAAAATCAAATGAGCACGCCTCTGCCACCTGGGGCAATCAAACACACACCAAAAGCTTGAGAGGAAAAGTTAGGAACAGAGATACTTTGGTGAATAAGAACTTTGGAAAGTTCCTGTATATACTATGAAATCTAGAATGCCACATTCTGCATATAAGGGCAGGATGAAAACACAGACTTGGGACAGTCCTAAGATATAAGTTCTGGCTAATCTTTAGGCCCAATGCAAGCAGAAAGTGAAGGCTAAGGCAGAGCTGTAAACATCCTTGTTAAGTGTTGAGGGAGTATCCAAACACAGAGCCAATCTGGAAAGACTGGGAGAGTATATTTTCTTTCTTTTTCATTTCTTTGTTGTATTAGTTCATTCTCATATTGCTATAAAGAAATATCTGAGACTAAGACTCGTAATTTATAAAGAAAAGAGGTTTAATTGGCTCATGATTGTGCAGGCTGTACAGGAAGCATAATGCTGGCATCTGTTTGGCTTCTGGGGAGGCCTCAGGAAACTTACAATAATGGTGGGAGGTGAAGTGGGAGCAGGCACTTCACATGGCTGGAGCAGGAGGAAGAGAGAGTAAGAGGGAGGCACCACACACTTTTAAATGACCAGATCTCATGAGAACTCACACACTATTGCAAGGTCAGTACCAAGGGAAGGATGGTGCTAAACTATTCGTGAGAAATTCATCCCCATGATCTAATCACCTCCCACCAGGCATCACCTCCAACACTGGGGATTATAATTCCACATGAGATTTCATGGGACACAGGTCCAAGCCATATCATTTGTCTACAGGCATTTAACAAAGTTACTGTAAAGCCATTAGATGACTATGAACTAAGGAAACAGATTTCAGAGGCCATATTTGACAAAAAAAAAAGTTTTAAAAGTCACTAAACAAACAACTGCAACTCACAGCAAGAAAAAACAACAAATAATAGGGAGCAGGAAGAAAATTATTTCCACTCCTACAACATTATAATATTTAAAATGTGCGGTTTTCACAAAATATTATGAGACATGCAAACAAACAAGAGAGTATGGCCCTTTCAAGGGAAGAAAAGAAATTAGCAGAAACTTCCTGAGAAAAAACAGACATTTGACTTAACTAGACAAAGACTTTAAAGCAACTTTCTTGAACATAGAGTAAACTATGGGTAAAGAATTAAAGGAAGAAGAATGTTTTACATAGAAAATATCAAAAAAGAGAGAGAAATTGATTTAAAATAAGAAATAGTCTGGAGCTGAAAAGTACAATAAAAGTAACTGAAATGAAAAGTTCACAGGACGGTTTCAATAGGAGCTTTCGAGTAGGTAGAAGAAAGAATCAGCTGGGCCTGGTGGCTTACACCTGTAATTCCAGCACCTTGGGAGGCCGAGGCGGGTTGATCACGAGGTCAGGAGTTCAAGACCAGCCTGGCCAACATGGTAAAACCCTGTCTCTACTAAATATACAAAAATTAGCTGGGTGTGGTGACACGCGCCTGTAGCCCCAGCTACTCAGGAGGCTGAGGCAGGAGAATTGCTTGAAACTGGAAGGCGGAGGTTGCAGTGAGCCAAGATCACACCATTGCACTCCAGTCTGGGCAACAGAGTGAGACTGTCTTAAAAAATAAAAATAAAATCAATGAATCTGAAGATAGGTTAGTTGAGTTCCAAGATTTCTGTTTGACATTTTGGAATCATTTCAGTCTCTTTGTTAAATTTCTAAATTGCTTTTCTGTGTTTTCTTGGAGATCAGTGAGTTTCCTTGAAACTCCTATTTTGAATTCTTGGTCAGAGAGCTCACTAATCACCATCTTGTTAGGATCAGTGACTGGATTTTTGCTTTTTCCTTTTGAGGAAGTCATAGTTCCCTGTTTGCTGTTGTTTCTTGTGGGTATGTATCCATCTTTCCAGTTTTCTCTGTACAGCTTGTTTTGGTTTTTATTGAATACATTTGCTTATTGAATCTTCACTGCTAGGTCACTGCCTCTATTCGACTCTAGGTGGTGCCTTAAGCCCAGGTTCACCTCAGGACTAGTAAATGGTTGAAGCACTTCCTGTCTCAAATCAAGGAGATCCCAAAGAGATTATCCTGGCAGTGTGGGAAGTCTGGCTAGGGGTTTGTGCCCAGGGGACCTGGGGAACATGCCTCCTACAGCATGGTGCTGCTGGACAGCAACTCTGAGTTGGTGTCTCCTTTGGCTGAGTTACAGAGCAGAATTTCTCTGCCTTTCTTCGGGGACATTTCTTCTTTCAGGCAGTCATGATGCTATCTGTGGATTAAGGCAAGAACAGTTCTCCTGCCAGGGACCCCAAGAAGGTAAGGAAGCTGGTGGGCCACCTCAATTTCAGTTTTTCCAGTGTAGAAACTGTAGTTGGGAGGAGATTTTTTGGCACTTGGTGCTGGACAGAATGGGGATGAGGGGTGTCCCAGATGTGGAAGTCTGATTCTCCTATCAGCTGCTTGGACTTTTTTCATCCCTCTGTGGCCCCAAGAACTGTCTCACTCTTATACTTGAGCTCTGGGTTGTTTCTGGTGTAGATCTCAGTGCTATATATTTGTTTTTGGTTCTGTGGAAGTCGGGGAGTGAATCCAATTTTCCTCTATGATGGCATTTCGGAATCAGAGGTCTAGAGATATTATAGGTCAATTGAAATCATCCAGTCTAAGGAGCAAAAAGAAGAATAAACGAAAATGAACATAGGCTCAGAAGCCTGTGAGACACCATCAAGGATACCAAGACACACACATAATGAGAATCCTGGAAGAAGAGGAGAGAAAGGCGCAGTAAAAATAGTTTAGGCAATAATGGTCACAACTCCAACATGGAGAAACCCCATCTCTACTGAAAATGCAAAACTTAGCTGGGTGTGGTGATGAGTGAACTCCGGCCTCGGCAGCAGAGTGAAACTTCGTCTCAAAAAAAGCACTCTCCAATAGCCAAAACCTGGAAACAACCCAAATAAACTTATTTTCACAGTGGAATATTCTACAGCAGAGCAAATGAATGAATTAGAGCCAAACATCAACATGTTATGTTAGAAACATAACATGGAGTGAAAAAAGCAAATCCCAGAATATTATGTACAGTACAATATCTTTATAAAACTCCAAAGTAGCAAAACAATATACTGTTTATGTAAAAAAAGTGATGAAACTATTTTATACAAGCAATGAAGTGATAAACATGAAATTCAACAGAGTGATTTCTTCTGGATAGGAATCAAGGTGAACACAATGGAGAGGACAATACAGGTGAAGGCAAGTTATTGGTAACTTCTGGTTCTTGAATCGAGTAGTGTATACATGAGCATTTATACATAATGACATAAGTTTCATAATGTGCATGCATTGCCCATGATCTTTTATTCAAAATTTGTATATTATATTAAAATGTAAATATAGAGAGAAAAAGCTTGAATACTCATAATAATTTCATATTTGAAAATAAAATACAATCATTTTTAAAAGCTTGGAAGATAACATATAGTTATATGATTTACTTGTTGTTTTATCACAAAATTTTTTTATTTGAATCTCATAACAAACATAGAATATTTTAGGGGCACATACTAATTTAAGCAAATTGGTGAGGGAGAAATCATGAGGCCAAGAAAAGCTGGGTGGCTTACTCGAAGTCATCAGTTTGGTCAATGATGGGTCAGGGCCTCTAATTTAGAGCTTAAGACTCCAAATTCTGTGCTGTTCCCAACAACCCAGACTCACACCAAAAGGAAATATTGGGAAGAGAGCTCAAAATACGGAAAATAGAAATGTTCGCACAGGGGAAATGCTGTCAACAGGAAACTGTCCACCAAGAAGGTGAAAAGGAAGGTGTGGTTTTCAGGGGCCATGTGAACAATTCTCATTGTTGCGAGTGTGTTAAAACTCTTTATCACAAACCTTAACCACCAAAGAGGATACTTTCTTTTTTCCTAAAACACGAAGTTGCTTAGTTTCAAAATTCATTCCCTGCTATGATGAACCTCAACACACTATGAAGAGAGCAAAGGTAGTAGCTCCCTCTCCACTTCACAAAGGGAAAACAAAGCCAAAGAGAAGAAACCTACCATTGTCACTCTCAAACCAGCCGGTGTCTCCCTAATCTTCTCACTGCTGCCTGCATGTCCTGGTTCCTCAGGGTATAGATCATGGGGTTGAGCATGGGGGTCATGACTGTGTGGCCGATGGACACAAGCTTGTCCATAGGGAATGGAGTGAAGGGCCGGGCATAGAGGTAAATGCTTGGAACGAAGATCATGGAAACCACGATGATGTGGGTGGTGCAGGTGGAAGCTGCCTTCCTTCTTGCCTCCCCTGGATGTGACCTCAGCATCACCAGGATGAATAAGTAGGACATCAGGAGGAGGAAGAACCAGACGACATCCAGCAGCCCACTGTTGGAGATCTTGAGGAACTCCAGCAGTGAGGTGTCAGTGCAGGCAAGTCTCAGTACTTGGGGAACATCACAGTAGAAGTTATCCAAAATGTTGGGGCCACAGAAGGGCAGTGGGAGCATCAGAGCCAGCTGGACAATAGAGTGGACAAAGCCTCCCACCCAGGTGGCTACCACCAGCCCCACCCAGAGCTGAGTGTTCATGACGGTGACATAGCGGAGGGGCCGGGAGATGGCAATGAGGCGGTCAAAGGCCATCACTGAGAGGAAGAAGACCATGGCACCTCCCAAAAAGTGGAAGAAGAAGATCTGACCCATGCAGCCCTGGTAAGAGATGGTTTTCTTCTCAGAGAGGAGGTCCACTAGCATTTTGGGAGCAGTGACTGAAGAGAAACAGAGGTCTAGGACAGCCAGGTTTCGGAGCAGAAAGTACATGGGTGTGTGGAGCTGGGAATCAGAGGTCACTGTGATGATGATAAGGATGTTTCCCATAACAGTGGTGATGTAGACAAACAGGAACATTAGAAACAGGAAACGCTGGAGCTCCCGAGTCTGCGAGAGCCCCAGGAAGACAAAGTCTGATACCCACGTGAGGTTCCCTGTTTCCATGGTGTTTTCTCCATACACCTGAAGAAAATGAACCACAGACACAGATACATGAAGTCACTACTTTCCCTTTCAGGGCTCAGGGGCTCAGAACCAAGGTTTTAGGCCCATATGATGAGCATCCTTATGTGTAGACCATTATACTAGGTGCTGTCTTGTCTCTGGATCGTTTACAAGTGGGTGCTGGAATATACATTCCTGAAATCTTAACGCCATCCAGAAGTATATACAACCTGCCTTTCAAAGATTCATATAGTGGTGGGAAGACACTTGGAGTCAGATACATCTGAAGTCAAATTTCAGGTCTTTCATTTCATTGTGATTTGACCATGAGTAACTTACTTAATCTTTCTGGGCCTCAGTTTTCACGGGAATTTGTAAGGTAGAAATAAAAATACCTGCTTTGTAGAATTTTCTGAGGACTTAAGTAGAATGATAGATATAAAGTTCCTAAAACAGTGTATGGAATAATCAATGGCAATTACTCACCTGTGTGAATTCTCTTAATCTAAAGATATCCTCTCTTCCACTCTGTAATAAGATTCTTTGCCAATTATTTTTCACATGACATTTAATACATCATCGTGTTAATGGATTTTCCTTGTCTATATTTTCCCTCCACAATTCAACTATTAAGTCCAAAGCCTATATCTGGATCTCACAATTTATTTGTGCCCTGCAGTACCCATTCTTAATGACAGTTAACTTAAAAAGCTCTTGGTGTTGACTGCTGCATGGGTGAATAGCTATCAGGTGCACAAGTTCAGCACAAGGAAGACACTGGATGCAGCTGGATGCCTGAGACATCCAGTAGTTCCCCTGCCCTCCACTGTGGGCGGCCCCTTATGAGTGAGGCATATGTGGTGGTGCTGAGACAAGAGGGAGAAAAGGGAGGGAGAGTCATTGGATTGAGAAATAGATGATGAATATTGTATGAAGGGGACTCAGAGAGCTTCTGAATGAAACAGGAATTTTACAAGATGTTACTGAATCCAAGGGTGGGAGACAAAGGAAGTTGTTGAAAGAAAACAAATAGAAATAGACAAAGGAATAAAGGGAGATGAAGGAATAGAGCAAGTGAAGGTAAAGGAAGTGGAAAAGTGCTGGGGAGGTGGAGAAAACGGGACTAAAGGGACAGAAGAAGATGGAGGAGCCGGGAGAGGTGGCTCACGCCTGTAGTCCCAGAAATTTGGGAGGCGGAGGCGGATGGATCACTTGAAGTCAGAAGTTTGAGACCAGCCTGGCCAACATGGTGAAACTCCGGATCTGTACTAAAAATACAAAAAAATTAGCCGGGCGTGGTGGCACACACCTGTAATCTCAGCTACTTGGGAGGCTGAGGCAGGAGAATCGCTTGAAGCTGGTTGGAGGCTGCAGTGAGTGGAGGTCATGCCACTGCACTCCAGCCTGGGTGACAGAGCGAGACTCTGTCTCAAAAAATCAAAAACAAAAAAAAAAGAAGAAGAAGATGGAGGGTGACAGGGGAGGGGGTCAGTGGTCTCCCCCCTCCCCCTGCCCTGTCTCAATCTCTCTTACCCTCTCTTACCTGGCCTATTGCAATCTATTATCTACAATATTATAGGTCATTCTAATCTTATTCTGCTCCTTCAGTTTACTTCCACTCCAGGACACCTTCTTTTTTTTTTTTTTTTTTTTTTTGTGACGGAGTCTCGCTGTCGCCCAGGCTGGAGTGGCGCGATCTCGGCTCACTCACTGCAAGCTCCGCCTCCCGGGTTCACGCCATTCTTTTACCTCAGCCTCCCGCGTAGCTGGAACTACAGGCGCCCACCACCTCGCCCGGCTAATTTTTTTTGTAACACGGTTTCACTGTGTTAGCAGGATGGTCTCGATCTCCTGACCTCGTGATCCGCCCGCTTCCGCCTCCCAAAGTGCTGGGATTACAGGCATGAGCCACCGCGCCTGGCCTCACTCCAGGACACCTTCTACACAGCTGTCCATGAGACCCCTCTGACTCAGATGTGATCATATTCCTCATTGTTATAATATTTGATTTGCTCACAGCTTAAAACTCAAACTCTCAGAAGCCACCTAAAATGCTCTGTGGATAAACTGAGGGTGGAAAAACATACCTACATACGTGCATGCAACTCTCTCTCAGCATTTCATACAAGACTATAAAAAATAGCCTCCCTATACCTTTCTAATCAGTATCACTGTCACCTGGGAACTGATTGCTGTTCAAAGAACTCATAGCTTCCATGTAGGCAGTATATTTCATTATTTTCATATCTTTGGTAATAAATCCTGTTTCCTGAAATGCCTTTTGCTACCTTCTCAACCTAGAGGCGATAAGAGAAATATCACTTTCCCTTTGACTCCTCCCCCCATTTCTCTCATGCAGAATTAATTCCTTATTTCTCTGTGTTCCAATAGCATTTGATAAATACCTCCATTATAGCATTTATCATTTTTTCTATTGCTTCTCTTAACTAGATTGTAAATTCAATAACTTAGTAAGCCCAGAGTCTATGACAGCATCTCTGATTTAGCACTTGCTCAGAAATGTTTGCCAACTTAATATATTAGCAGGTAAATGTGACTTTGTTTTATGTGACAATGTCGAGAATCTTGTGATTTTCCTCACCGTTGATGTCCTTTGCTGTGAGCATCCTCCCTCTAAGTCTCATAGGGCGAATTCTGTGCTTTGTTGTTTTCCTATGTAATCGGAGGCATCCGTTTTCAACATCACATTCCCCTTGCAGTTTTTCTTGAGTCTCTGCTCATCCTTTAGACTTACTATCGTCAGGTCTATGTCACTTGCTTATTACTCCCACCCTCTAGCAGGTGTTGCAAGATCTTTCTTACAGCTGATCTCTGTGCAGCTGAGGAAACACTGGTCTCTCACCTCCCTTTAGCCCAGAATGGGGCTTCAGTGTACATCTTCTTGGAGATCCTTTGCTTCAGCCTCACAGTTTCTTAGCTCCTGCCCTTACTTCATGAATAATACCATGGGTGAGACCCCAGGGGAAGGGGGAATATCCTTTGGGAGAAACTATTGGACAGGGCTCAGGAAGCTGAGCTGGGCTGATTATCACTGGGGCCAAGGGAGCAATGGGAGTTGTTAAAAAGTTTCTAAATGTCTCAAAAGCACACACTCTTTGAGAGGTCTTCCTTGGGGGGCCCAAAGTACCAAGCACATTGAAAATTTTAGAGATTTGAGGAATGGGTAATATTCAGGCCAAGATCCAAAAGGACAAGAGGGTCTTCAAAAAAAAGGAGACTCTGAGAGTTTTAGGAGAATTTCTTTCTTAGACCAGTGACACCTACCCTTGAGAGAATTACCTGAAGGCCTTGTTAAAAGGCAGACTTCTGTTCCCAGCCCAGAATTTCTCATTCAGTACATCAATGGTAAGACCAAGAATTTGCATTTGTAGCAAGTTCTCAGATAATGCTGATGCACCTGTTCCAGGGACCAGACATTGAGAACCAACGACTTGCTCTTCAGCACAATGGATAGTTCTCTTTCATGGTGTTGTCAAGGTAACTGGTTTGATTTCTTCTCCTTTTAAACTGAATTGATCTTTACATAGGCAACGTCATGGATGGGAAAATGTCTGCATACTAAAATGAAAACTTAATTACCCCATAAATCTTGTTCTTCATCTTGTCAACCAATACCCCCACAGTTGATTCACTACCCATATCAATTATACTCACACCATCTACAAAGTGCTAGCATTATTTACATGTCAATTATTACTCCCTTTAATACAAGGATTGGCACAAGAAGCCCATATATTTTCTAATTATGAGGAACTGATTAAAAATTGGAATTAACCAACACTGTAAGCTTGATGTGCTGTAAAATCTGTGTGATTTCTCACAGCTCTCTGATCCACGTGAGGTTCTCAGGTTGGTCTGAGTTCTTTCATTGCGAATGTTTATACTTGGCAAAATAAAGACTCTGCCTCTGGGGATAAGAACACGAAGTGACGTTCTTTCACATACAAGAGATGTCAATTTAAAAAAAACACAAATTCTTCCCATTATTTGGAGCTTTAGTCTACTTTAAAATTGAGCCACTCAGGAAAGTAGTCTAGATTGATGGTGGGGATGGGCACAGGCCTTGTTAATGTTATTGACTCTCAGATGGGTGATTTTGAATTACCTGGATTAATTCTTTATGATTCCGATTTAGCTTTCAGTAATAGAGACCTGGTAGGTTCCAGTTTATATATTTCCCCTGTCAAAAGTACAGGTAGGTCGTAAAATGTCCATCAAAGCTCATCTTTACTGCAACCACTAGCCAGTATAATGGTTGCCAGTGTATGAATGGCCTGGATGGAGTAATTATGCTAAAGACTCAGTCATGGAAAATTGAGCTGAGAAAATTATTTCTATATGTATCACATTTCTAAGAAAATAAATGTTTGTCAGACTTAGCTACTATTATAATGTCAAGCCACTAAACGGATACAGGACACGTGTAGAGGAAATATCATGTAAATTCTCATGCAGGAAGCCCAGCATCATTGATAATTAATCATTCTCCCTTTGTGATGGTCTGTGTTATGTGTCAACTTGACTAGGCTATAGTTTCCAGTTATTCAATCAAACTCTAATCTAGGTGTTGCTGTGAAGGTATTTTGTAGATAAAATTGATGTCTATAATCAGTTGACTTTAAGTAAAGGAGGTTATCCTAGATCATCTGGGTGTGCCTGATTCAATCAGTTGAAAGAACTAAAGAGAAGAACTGAGGTTTCCCTGAAGGAGGAAAATTCTGCATGTAGACAGCAACTTCAGCTGATGGCCTGCCCTGCAGATTACGTACTTGCCTAGCCAGCTTCACAATCATGTAAGCCAAGTCCTTGCAATAAATACCTTTATCTCTCTCTCTCTCTCTCTCTCTCTCTCTCCTCTCTCTCTCTCTCAGAGAACATAGCCTCAGTAAGAGATGTCTTAAAGGCATAAATTCTCATAAATATAGCCATATTCATTTTAATGGGGGCATATTCAACAAATTCAATTAAGCACCTGGTGTTGTGGATTAACCATGTGTAAGATAAATCTGGAAGAAATTTTACTTATATTCCTTCCCTTTGTGTCAGTGTTGTAGATTATAAGCAGCTTTTCTGTGCTGTATATTACCTTTAGAACTGATATTCTGAATCATATAAAAGTAAGATTTTTATAAACTAAAAAGTGGCCCAAGACAACTTTTAAAAAATTAAATGAATAAATGACTTCTGGTTATAAGAAAACAAAGGTTTTTATTTTTCTCTTCCTCACTGGCAACAGAAATTCCACTTTCAATAAAATTAAGACATGTTTACAACTCAGATGACAACAAAACCCAAAATGAACCATGAAGGACTATCAAGTACTGTGAAGAGAGAGAGGCTTCTGCCCACAACAACTCCTGGACAATGCTGGCAGAGTTGGCTCCTAAGTAGGTGGTATATAATGAAGATAAAACAACCACCTTTGTGTGGATGGACCAGATCCGGGCACACAGGCTGGCTGCAAGAGCTTCCTTAAGTGATATTAAACACCAAAAAGGGATTGAGAGGCTGGGCTTATGCCACATTTATAACTGCACTATCCAGTAAGATAGAGAAACTGTGGGCTATGGGCACCCCTGCAGCTGCTGATCTTTACCAGCTGAAGAGATAGACTAAATTTACACGCACGCACACACACACACACACACACACACACAAACACACAAATGCCTCTATCATTCAGTGTTCAGTGCTGCACTGTGAGCCCAGGACAATTAACCCAGAGCACTCCCTGGCCTGTCTTCACTACCATCACCACCACTTTTTATTTTAACACATAACTAGTTAAACAAATTGCTTCTTTAAGAATGTGTAATAATTAAAAAGCAACTTGCAGAGTCTATAAAAAATAGGTCAAAAAGGAGGAAAGAAGGCAGGTGAAGAGCACAGAACAGAATAGAGAAGAAAATTTTTATTGAAAAGTTTTTCAAGAATGTAGATAACTCAGAAAAAAATGAATCAAACTTCTATCTATTAAGAGCTCAGCAGAATAATTAAATCTTAAGAATTGAATGATAATATGAAAACAGAGATGGAAAACGTAACTGGCAGAGATCAGGAAAAAAGAATAGGAAGAAAATAAAATCATCACAAAAAAATGGAAACAGTGAAAATGAGAATAGTCACTGCTTAAAATACAGTAAGATATCTGAAAGGCAGGCTTAAGAGAACTAAACACAATGAAATGGAAAAGAGCAAAAGTTTAAAAGGATGAGTAAGAAGTGTGTGTGTATGTTTGTACATGAAATATAGACAAAGAATATCAGTTTAATTAATACTTGGATGTCCTTGAAGAAGACATATAAATAATTGGAGCAAAAAATATCCAAAGATGTAATTCAAGAAAATGTTCCTGAAAATGAAATAAATGGAATCAATAGATTGAAAAGGCAGATTGTGTGCCAGGAAATGTGATAAATGTCAACAGATGCTACAACAGAACTGAATAAAGTTACAGAATTCCAAAGATAAAGAAAGAATCCTAAAAGCTGCCATGGAAAAAGATGAATCCATCTATAAGAAGAAGGCTGGCTTCAAACTTCTCAATAGCCCTAGAAAACGGAAGAACATCTACAAAGACCTAAGAAAAATAAAAAGTATTATCCAAAGATGCTTATTCAGTGAAATTGTCATTTATATATAAAAACAACAGATAAATTGTTTCAAATATTTAATTCAGAAAATATAGTTCTCATAAATCTTTCTTGAAAAACCTACCTGGGGACAAACGCCGGTCAATCAAGATATTAATAGAAATGCAAATGGCCTCTCTATGTGGCTACTTGGGCTTTTTCCTAGCATAGTAGCTTGCTTCCAAGAGTGGGCATTCCACAGAGAACTAATTGGAGTCTGTATTGCCTTCTACGACCTATCCTCAGAGGTTACATGGTGACACTTCCACCAAGATCACAAGCCCTTCCAGATTCAAGGGTAGGAAACAAAGATCCCACTTTGTGAAATTCATATTGTAATGAAGAGCATGTGAAATGGAAGATATTGATGTGGTCATCTTAGAAAAATACAGTATACCAAAACATATCTTTAATTTCCAAGAATTTGTTTCTCATCCTCTTATTGTACCCTTCTAAAATAGCATCCTAATCTTGTTTTATGAATACAGTGACTTATCTTTTGTGGATATTAATGGTAGGATTTTAAAAACTTTCCTGTTCTATGTCTTGACTGTATCAATGTTAATATCCTTGTGATATCATACTATAGTTTTGCAAGCTATTTCTGCCTTAGCCTGTTTGCACTGCTATAACAGCACGCCATAGACTGGGTGGCTTATACACAACAGAAATTTATTTCTCAGTTTTGAAGACTTGGAAGTCCAAGACAAGATGCTGGCAGATTCGGTGTCTCATCAAGGTCCACTTTCTAGTTTATGGACAGCTGTCTTCTCACTGTCCTCACATGGCAAAGGAGCAAGGCAGCTCTCCAGGGACTCTTTTATAAGGGCACTAATCCCATTCATAAGGCCCCTGCCTCATGACCTAATCGTCTACCAAAGGCCCCACCTCCAAATACCATTCCACTGGGGATTAGGTTTCAACACGTGAGTTTTGGGGAGACATAAACATTTAGCATATGGCAGTTACCATTGAAAGAATCTGGGTAAAGTGTACATGAGATCTCTATTATTTCTTACAACTTCAAGTAAATCTGCAGTTACCTCAAAATATAAAGTTAAATTTATAAAAACTTAGAAAGTTTTCTTCTATTACTTGAATTGCTTCTGTTTACTTGGACTTCTCTAATTTTCCGTTTTGTTCTGCTTTTGTGTCTGCCTTCTATATTGGAAATTTTCTTCATCTGCCTAGTGGTCTCCAGCTAACCACTGGTATTTAAAATCAAACCACTAAGATGCTGATTGGAAGCACTATGTGCATGAGTAGGGCTTGAGAACTTGAAGGCCTCTCTTAGGATTATCATGTCACCTGTTTTGTTAACTGGAGAAAACAGCCTGGGACTATTTATTTGGGGCTGTTTTGTATCTCTAAGTAAAATCCTTCCGATTTTTTTGTACAGACTTAAGTACTGGAATTCTGCATTAGGGTCGAAGAGAAGACTTGAAGTAGGATTTCCTCTTTTATCTGGATGAGCACCTCCAGTTCCCCTTAGTGTTCACTGGGCCCACTTAACTTATTGTCAGCTTCTCTAGGCATTTGATTTTATAATCACTGCCCATGATAGAGTTTTCTTATCAACAAGATTTCTCACTCAATCCAATTGTCTGTCTTCTTGCTGCCAGGGGCTTAGACATACGTGGCAGACACTGTTGGTTGCCATTCCCAGTACTCTTTTTCCTGGCTGAAGAAACCAGACATTCACCCTTCCATTCTTTTTTGCAGACTGGGGTGACCATATGATGCAGTTCTGGTCAACTGGGTCATACGATAATTCTGCTGGTGTGGTTCTTTTCTCCCCTGGTAAAAAGAAAAAAAAAAAGCACATGGATGCATTTTCTTATGCTTCTTGCTGAATCACTTGAAATAAAGGTGTGATGCCTGGAGCTTTGACAGCCGTATGGCTACCATGAGAGGAAAGACAAGGAATTGCAGAGCAGCCAACCCAGAGCCCTAAAATGTTTAAATTACTGAATTAACCAACTCTGGAATTGCTTATCCTTTAGTCTTCTGTTTAAATGAGATAATACTTTCTTCTTTATTGAAGCCACTGTCACTTGATTATTCTGCTACTTGCAGCTAAAAGCATTGTTATGGACATATATTTCAGAGGAGAAAATCATCTTTTCTCAAAGAAATTACAGCCCAGTGCAGCAGTATCATATGGTGAGCATCACACCTTAAGAGGGATGTTGCCATATGAGAGTAAATACAGAAGAGATGCCCGGGCTGGTAGAATCAGCAAACCTGTCACAAGAGGAACAACTATAGGAAGGCAGATGTTGCACGTGGAGAAGAGACAAATTGGAGGATGTGAAAAGCATCATTTGATATTTAAAGGATTTTAATGTGAAAGAGGAAAATGCTGTTCTAAGGGGCCACAGAGATCAAATAAGACAGAGAGTCCATTTTACCCTTCCTCATTTCCAAAGGTTGAGTGTAAATGTGGAGAAATGTGTGAAACGGAAACAAGGAGGAAGAAGTGGAGAAAGGATAAGTTCAGAGTTGCCATGATGGCTTCAAGAGAAACCAGGAAGAGCCTCTGACTTCCATTTCTTTTTTTTTTTCTTTCTTCATCTTCTTTTTTTTTTTTTTTTTGAGGCGGAGTTTCACTCTTGTTGCCCAGGCTGGAGTGCAGTGGCACGATCTCGGCTCACTGCAACCTCCGCTTCCTGGGTTCAAGCGATTCTCCTGCCTCAGCCTCCCGAGTAGCTGGGATTACAGGCATCCACCACCACGCCTGGCTAATGTTTTGTATTTTTAGTAGAGATGGGGTTTCACCATGTTGGTCAGGCTGGTCCCAAACTCCTGACCTCAAATGATCCGCCCACCTCGGCCTCCCAAAGTGCTGGGATTACAGGCGTGAGCCACTGTGCCTGGTGTCTGACTTTCATTTCTTGGATGGGATGGTTGCTGGGAGAGAAGGGGGAACAAAAAGCTTCTGCATCATCTTCTTAACTTTGGGTCCATATTATACATTGCCTGAGACTTTTACAAAATGATGCATACCCCAAGGAAGATGGAAGAAATAAATATACAGAAATTGACAGAGGGAAACTATAGGAAGCTGGAAAAATGTTAAAAAAAGATAAAAGTAAAAATGCTTCCTCTCTCTGTCAGGTACTGTTCAGGAGCTGGGAGGATTTAAAAATGAATAATGCATGGCGCCTGCCCTCAAGAAGCTCTCATTCCAGTTAAAGAGAAAAGCAGAAACACACATGAAGTAGTAGCCTTGGAAATGAATTCACTACCCTAGATTTGGAACACTGGTAAGCATGGCCCTGGCCTCTCTGGCCTTGGTTCCTCAATTATGTTATGCCATCCTCCTCTCAGCCATACTATACAAATGAGGGAAAGATTGTGTTGGGTAATGTCTTAGTCTGTTTGTATGATTATAGTGAAACACCACAGACTGCATGATTTGTAAAGAACAGAAATTTATTCTTTTGCAGTTCTGGAGGCTGGACAGTCCAAGATTAAGGTTCCAACAGGTTTGGTTGTCTGGTGAGGGCTATTCTCTGCTTCCAAGATGGCACCTTGTTGCTGCATCCTCCAGAGGGGAGGAATGCTGTGTCCTCATATGGCAGAAGACCAAAGGGCTAGCGAGCCTAATGCTGCATGAAGTCTCTTTTATAAAGGCCTTAATCCCATTAATAAGGGAGGAATCCTCATGGCCTAATCACCTCTTAAAGGCTTCGCCTCTTAACACCATCACACTGAACATTAAATTTCAATACCTGAATTTTGAAGGGGCCATATTTAAGCCATTTCAGCTAAGTAGCACAATGTGAAGATTATCCAAAGAGTATTTAGTAAAGATGGAACAAAAACAAAGGGCAAATGCCTTTTGGGGAACTATTTAGACAATGCTAAAAGTGAGATAACTTTCTCTTCTTTTTTTTGCAATAAAACATGTTTAATTTAATTCAGAATAAGATATAATAACTCTTCAATAAAATATATACAATTGTACAAGGCACCCTTTCAAAGGGGTAAAGGCATACTGGAGGGATGGGAGAGATGGAGAGGAAGGTGAAATACCAGGGAGCTTAATGGGCTGTTTGGCAACTCCATTTTCACCAAGTCAAAACATGGCTTTATCTTCTGCCCTGGACATGTTAAAAAGTATATAAAATTTTCTAATAAGTTTAGCATATACAGCAGGTACACACACAGAGAAAGCATAATTTTTTTTCTTTCTGGATCTACCAATTGTTCAAGAATATTTAGCATACAGGTAATGGTTACAAGGTACTCATTTTTTAAGCAGAAAATTACTGTACCCCCCCACCCAAATAATCTTTGCAATCTGTGAGGATGAAAGTACCTAGTATTTCTCAGAAACCATCAACTCCTCCCAACAGGCTTTAACTTTTTACTCTCCAATTATCTGAAATGAAGTAAAGCAACAGCCTTGAGAAGAATTAGGAAGTATTTCTAATTTTCTACCTCACCTCCAGGCATTCTCAGGATTCTTCTCATCCCGGTTATTGGTCTTACAAAAAAAAAATTCTTCAAAAAGGTAAAACTGTAAAAATGTGTGTGTGGGGGGGGGGTGGGCGTGGGGAGAGATAGGAACAAATATGGTAGTATATAAAAAGGTTTCTTTTAATGCAAGTAAAATGCAGAAATGTGATGTGTCCCCTTCACTTTGAAAAACCTCTCCATATCTAATACTTTCTATGTGCATTATGTCCAATTCTAATATTTGTTTTCCATAAGCAGAAGTCAATCATCCCATCAAAATCATTGACTTTAGCAAGTTTTGCAAATAATTTGTCTCCCTCTTTAAGAAAACACAACAAATGGACTTACACAGTCTCTTTAAGAAGGTGACATATAGGAAAAAAGCACATATGTATATAAATTTTGCCTTTTAAAATAATTTGAATTTTTACATCTACTGTATACAAATGTATTATATTTTATTATATATATATTTATACATAAAAACCATCAGAGCCAATCTTTGTGAAAGGAGAAGGGGGCACCTGGAAGATTACACCAAGAAAACAAGGCTTGGTGCCTCCGCCTAAAGAACAAACTTCAGCTGTGTCGTGTGGCCCTGCCGGCCTAGCCGCTTAGGGTGGTGCACTCAGGGTTTGCAGAACAGGAGTATTGGCTGGTCCTGCCTTCTTGGAGAGGGAGAGGAAACCCTTTGAAACAAACATCCATCATGGAGTCTATTGATCTGGTCTTCCTTAGGACAGGTGGTACATGCCATATCCCACTGGCGTGGCATAGAGTCCCACGGGCGGGATGGGAAGCACAGGTCTATGGAACGGGTAGGATGCTGCGTATATGGACGCTGCCTGCAGGGGCGAGCTGATGGGGAAAGGGAGACTGAAGCTGGAGGGTAGCATAGGTTTTGCAGCCATTTTCAGCTTTTCCAGTTCTGACTCCTGCAGTCTTTTCGTCTTGGCCCTTCGGTTCTGGAACAAGATTTTGACCTGAGTCTCCGTGAGGTTCGGAGAGCTGGAGAAGTCCGCACCCTCTGCAATGGAGAGGTACTGTTTCTGGAGCAACTTGCCCTCCAGAGCGAGGAGCTGGGACGTGGTAAAGGCTGTGCGCGGCTTCGGATTGGTCTTGTGTTTTCTCAGGGTGCAGGTGGTAGGGCTCACGTGTCTTGGCGGCGGCGAATTATCAGCAGGGTTCCTGCATCCACGCCGCTCCGTCTTAGGGAGTTTTCCCACTTGACCGAGGCGGTCTCGAAGGGCTTGATCAGCGGCCCGGGGCTGTGCGCTTCCCGAGCGCCGTGCCCCGGCAGCAGCAGTAGCCGCAGGGTGGCCCCGGAAGAGGCGCTTTTGGCCGGCACTGGGGATGCCTCCTTGGGCGGCTTCTTGTCCGACACGAGCGCATCCACACTGTAGGGCAGGCTGGAGACCTTGACGCGGCGCTCCTCCGCGGCCGCCTCGGCGTCCCCAGGCCCCGGACCTGGCCCGACCGCCACCGCTGGCCCCTTCTCATTGGACGAAAACAGAAGCCATGCCTTCCCTGCCCTACGTAGCTCCCGACGCGCGACTCCGCTAGCAACCCGCAGCGGCGACTCAAACTTTTTTTGTGGGGGAGGAGGGAGGGCGAGATAACTTTCTAAATTCCACAGTGGGGAATGAGGCAGGGAGGTGGGGAGCAGAAAAGAATGTAACTGTCCCAGAGTTAAGATGAAGCAGTTGACCATTCATCAGAGATACTTCTCTATAGACGAAGACCTCTCTAGGTTTTCTCTTGTGGTCGCAGGAAACTCTTGAGTTTCAAATCCCATTCCTATTTCTTGCCTCTAAACTTGGAGTCAAGAAGAACCAGGTTCCAGGGCAAGCTCTGCCACTCACTTACTGTTCACCTTTGAGCAAGTCACTTCTCTCTGCGTTTTCTCATTTGTAAAACTGTTTAACAACAATAATAATATATCTACTGTCGGTTTCATGAAAAGTAATGAGATAAAACTGTGGAAGTGTTAGGCCGGGCGCTGTGGCTCACGCCTGTAATCCCAGCACTTTGGGAGGCCAAGGCGGGTGGATCACCTAGGTCAGGAGTTCGAGACCAGCCTGGTCATTGTAGTGAAACCCCATCTCTACTAAGAATACAAAAATTAGCCGGGCGTGGTGGTGGGTGCCTGTAATCCCAGCTGCGCGGGAGGCTGAGGCAGGAGAATCATTGAACCCGGGAGGTGGAGGTTGCAGTGAGCCTAGACTGCACCACTGCACTCCAGCCTGGGTGACAGAGCAAGGCTCCATCTAAAAAAAAAAAAAAAGAAAAAAAGCGTGGAAGTGCTTAACACAGTACTTGACACAGCACTAGGTCCTCAAGAAATATAAGTGTAATCTGATTTGTTATGCTTTATAAAGACTTTCCTCCATTTTTCATGTGGGAAAATAAAAATCCAGAGAAATTTGTCATTTAAAGTCAACTTACTTAAAGTTTACTCCCTGCAAATTACTAGGCACTTGCCTAATCTCCTCATGGCTGCTTTCATGTCCTGGTTTCTCAGGGTGTAGATCATGGGGTTGAGCATGGGGGTCATGACTGTGTAGCTGATGGACACAGCCTTGTCCATGAGGAATGGGGTGAAGGGCCAGGTATAGATATAGATACAGGGAATGAAGATCATGGACACCACGATGATGTGGGTGGTGCAGGTGGAAGCTGCCTTCCTCCTTGCCTTTCCCGAGTGGGACCTCAGCATCACCAGGATGACAGTATAAGAGATCAGAAGGAGGAGGAACCAGATGATAACTAGCAGCCCACTGTTGGAGATCATGAGGAACTCCAGGAGGGAGGTATCAGTGCAGGCAAGTCTCAGTACTTGGGGAACATCACAGTAGAAGTTATCTAGGATATTGGGGCCACAGAAGGGCAGTGGAAGTATCAGAGCCAGTTGGACAATGGAGTGGACAAAGCCCCCCACCCAGGCGGCTACTACCAGGCCCACACACAATTGAGTGTTCATGATGGTGACATACCGGAGGGGCTGGGAGATGGCTATGTAGCGGTCATAGGCCATGACTGAGAGAAAAAAGACAGTCCCACCTCCCAAAAGGTGGAAGAAGAAGATCTGGGCCATGCAGCCCTGGTAGGAGATCGTCTTGGTCTCATGGAGGAAGTCCACCAGCATCTTTGGAGAGGTGACTGTGGAATAGCAGAGGTCTATGAGAGCTAGATTTCGGAGCAGAAAATACATGGGTGTGTGGAGCCGGCAGTCAAAAGTCACTGTGACCATGATAAGGAGGTTTCCCACAATGGTGGTAACATAGACTAACAGGAACAGAAGGAACAGGAATTTCTGGAGCTCTTGGGTCTGTGAAAACCCTAAGAGGACAAACATTGATACCTGTGTGGTGTTCTGTGGTTCCATAGGATCTTCCCCCACGTTCCTACAGAGAAACCATTGAAACAAACAAACAAACAAAAAAAATGAAAATTCAATCATTTTCCTTGGACAGTCAGGATTGAGTTGATTAAGTTGAGTTGTTGAGTGTCAATCCGAGATGTAGCTTAGGAAAGCCCTCCACGGGGAGGAAGTTCCATATGTTTTCAAGGGTTCCAGAGACTTACTTCCCTGACCACGCCCTACAGTATATTACAAGAATCTGGGTCTTTTTTCCCTTCGGCCATGCTGTCCTCAACCACAGGTTTCATGTCTGATTCTTTTTCATACCTGCTATGCCCAACATAGTGCCTTGTGAACCATAGGTTCCATAAAGCTAGTTGAATCAATCAGTGAATAAATAAACATATCAGCAAGTACCTGTGACCACAAACACCATCAACCTATGTGCATAAATCTTGATAGGATATACAGTTGAGAATAATGATTTTAGATAAACAAACAGATGCTTCTTTATGGTGGGAATTTGAGAGGATGTTTATTGCTGGAGAAAGAGAGGTGTGCATTAGAAGAAAATTGTTATGTACAAAATCAGAGGTAAATGTGAAGAAAAATAAGCAGATAATCTTGGTTGTAGCGAAGCTGGGATGATTAGTGTTTCTCAAATGTTTCCCTGTAAGTACTTCTGTAGTAGCATTTGTTGCCATGGGCCATCTGTGGGGGCAATTCAAAGAAGCCCAGGACAAATGCACTATCTCCTTGAACTCTCATGTTTTAACTTCTAAAATTTATGCGAATTTTCTATTATACACATATCCCTCGACAATCTTTGGGAGAGCTTTTAAAATGTAACTATTATGGTCTTAAAACTTTGACAAGACCAAAGTGTTGTTTAAAAAAAAAAAAAAAAAAAAGAGGGTTGGCTGGATGCAGTGGCTCATGCCTATAATCCCACTACTTTGGGAAGCCAAGGCAAGAGGATCACTTGAGGCCAGGAGTTTGAGACCAGCCTGGGCAACATAGCTAGACCCCTACCTCTATAAAAAAAATTTAAAAATTACCCAGGTGTGATGGCATGCAGCTGTAATCCCCAGCCATTTGGGAGGCTGAGGTGGGAGGATCACTTGAGGCCAGGAGTTTGAGACAAGCCTGGGCAACATAGTGAGATCACATCTCTACAAAAATTTTAAAAGTTACCTGGGCATGGTAGTGCATACCTGTAGTCTCAGTTATTCAGGAGGCTGAGGTGGAAGGATTGCTTGAGCCCAGGAGATCAAGGCTGCAGTGAGCTATTATGGCCACTGCACTCCAGCTGATCTTATCTCTAAAAAGAAAAAGAAAATTAGAGCATGAAGGGAGACATGATTCTTTAGTAAGTGAAAGTTTTAGAAGACATTAGCTTGAAAAATAAACTGAGTTCTTGGTGTTAAAACCCATTCTTTTGGATTATACCTTTCCACAAGTATTTTCTCTAATTGTTCAGAAAAATTTGTCCCAAGGCCCCATCCTGTACAGACAATAGAACATAAAAAGGTCTATTTTCCCTGATTCCCACCTGGCACATGGGTAGGGTAGCAGCAATTACACTGATGCTGTTACGTGGGAATTGGATGAATATATTTGGAAAGATCTCTATAAACCTCTATGGACAAATGTAACAGGATTATCTCAAAACTTATGAGGGATTTCAGTACTCAAAATATTGTCATATTATTCTTCACATAAAATTCACATTTATCCTCAGATATTTGTGCAAAAATGATATTCCAGGAAGATGTGCTGTGTTTGTTCTGTGGCTTCACCAACTCCCAGCCTAGGACTGTTTGAAAAATGTCCCCATAGGCAACTGAGAACCCCGGCAAGCTCTTCAGCAGGAAATGATGTGGTAAAACAGGGTTAGAATGGGCTTATCCCAGTGCACCAGGGCAGGAAGCTGAGACAGGCAAGGGTAGTACACACCCTTCCTGGAGCATTGTCGCAGCAACCACAACAGAGGGTAACACATTTTGGTCTCTGATTTTGTGTCCTTTCTCCACCACATGGTGTCAAGGTTAGACTGGGTGGGCAGCCATTTAAATGGCATGGTTTGGCCTCTCTGGGAAAGCCCCTGACCCTAATCCTTCATCCCCAACTCCAACTCTCACACCTGATTACTGATTCCTGAAATGTTAACAGCATACTTCATTATTTTATCTTAAGATCTTTATCCCTATTAAGATTACAACCACCATACTTTTTCTTTTTTTCAGACAGGGTCTCGCTCTGTCCCCAAGGCTGGCCTGCAGTGGTGCAATCTCAGTTCACTACAACCTCCAGGAGCCAGTCTCAAGCAATCCTCCCACCTCAGCCCCCTAAGTAGCTGGGACCACAAGCACACTTCACCATGCCTGGCTATTTTTTTGTATTTTTAGTAGAGACAGGGTCTGTCATGTTGCCCCTGCTGGTTTCAAACTCCTGAGCTCAAGCAATCCACCTGCTTCTGCCTCCCAAAGTGCTGGGATCACAGGTGTGAGCCACTGCACCCAGCCTACCACCCCCATACATTTTTATATGCTTTTATCAGTCAGAGATGAACACTGAAGTTTTTATGGATGTAAAGAAAAGATGTCTTGGTCTTGCCTTAAAATACTTTATTAAAGGTGAGAGGAGTATGTGAAGCAAGACTGGCAAACTGTTGGTAATAGTGGTAATTCTGAAAATGGTGATTCTCTCTACTTTGTAAATATATACAAATTTCCATGATAAAACATAAGATGAAAAGCCTCAGAGATACTCTAGTTTTGATCCTGATGTCTTTGTATTATTTGGGTATTTTTACTTTGAATGAACTATGTATAAATCATGATGGAAGGAAGGGATTTTAAAATAAAATAACATGGCTGCGTGCAGTGGCTCATGCGTTAATCCCGGCATTTTGAGAGGCCGAGGCGGCCAGATCACCTGAGGTCAGGAGTTCGAGAGCAGCCTGGCCAACGTGGTGAAACCCCATCTCTACTGAAAATACAAAAATTAGCTAGGCGTGGTGGCAAGCACCTGTAATAATATAATAATAATTCAAATGTATCTAGAATTTACTAATTATCCAAAAAGTTAAAGATAAAATATAATAAGGAACAATTTTTAAAAATTATGTTAACATTGATCTTTTAAAAACTTGTAATACTCAGCATTATTGAGAATTTAGAGCAATAGATAAATCACTGGTAGTACAATCTTTCTAGAAGACAATTTGAAAATATGTGCCAAATCCATAAATTATTTATACTCCCTGACCCAGTAATTTCTGTCTTAGGGATTTGTTTTAAAGAAACAATGAAAACTAATTTTTAAAAATGTATGCTTAAGGATATTCATCACATTATTATAATATTGATAAACTAGAAACAACATAAATGCATGACTATAAGATATTGGTTAAATAAAATATGGTTCCTCCATGGGATGAAATACTAGTTAAGAATAAATATATCCTAAAAGGATGTTTAACTCTATGGGATTTGATTTTACCATGGGAGGGGCAGCAGTGATTGCACTGATGCTCTTATAAGGGAATTGAATGGATACATGTGAAAAGATAGCTCTATTGATCATGTCCTTTGCGGGGACCTGGTTGGAGCTGGAAGCCATTATCCTCAGCAAACTAACACAGGAACAGAAAACCAAACACAGAGTGTTCTCACTTACAAGTGGGAGCTGAACGATGAGAACACACGGACACGTGAGGGGAAAAAACACACACTGGGGCCCGTCAGGGGGGAGGCGAGGGGAGGGAGAGCATCAGGAGGAATAGCTAATGGATGCTGGGCTTAATACTTAGGTGATGGGATGACCTGTGCAGCAAACCACCATGGCACATGTTTACCTATGTAACAAACCTGCACATCCTGCACATGTACCCCTGAACTTAAAATAAAAGTTGAAGAAAAAAAAGATCTTCATCAACCTTTACAGACAAATATAGACAGGATTATCTCTAAAATTATCCATGAGGGGTTTTAAGACTCAAAGTATTGTTGTTTTAAAGAGAGAATTACAAAATATTTTGATAAACTATAGTATAAATATAAAGGGAAAAAATGGACATGGAAAACCAAAATGTTACCAGTGTGAATAGTGGTTATCTCTGGTTGATGGGATTGATGGAACATATATTTTCTCTTCTTTACAAAATTTTTTTTATTTCTTGTAATTTATAAATTGTCATAAAATTTTAATCAAAAAAAGCAAAAGAAGTATTATAATGAGACCAAGAAAAAGAAAAGGTAAGAGCTGAAAAACTTCTTAGCATGAGCACTGTCGGGGCGAAAGACAACCGCAGGTGTGCAAGGGGAAGGGTTCGGGGAAGGAGAAACCTCAGAACACTGAGGAAAAGGGAGAGAGAGAAAAAGAGGAGGAGACGCAGTGTGGGAAAAGGGAAAGCTCTTCTGTAAAAGAGAGGAGAGAAGGAGACCGTGATTCCCAGGACTGTTGCAGAACCGCTGGATTCCTCCCCTCCTCATAACCAGTTCTTCAGTTTGAGTGTCACTGTAATGGCTAAAGCCCGTCAGTAACCGTGGGTTCTTTCAGCTCCATCTGGCACTGTGAGCTGCCTGTCATTATTATGAAATCATTCTTGCTACTTCTTTACTCTAAACCCAAATACCTCTCTGGCTCTCCTATTTCTGTCTGTTATCCCCTCACCCAGCTAGACTTCTCCCTTGAACTCCACATGTATTATCACCAAGGCATATTCGTTCTTCCTTTGAAATTACTGCCAAATTATTTTTCCTATCTGGCTTATTGCTGTGGGCCTCCAAGTGGGTTCTTGCCTCCAGGTTTTGGTCCATTTTAATCCACACTGTGCAACATAGTACATACATAAACTTCTTCAACAACATCTTCCCCCTCTATTTCAAAAGGTTTTCAAAAATTTTCCATGGCTCTTTATTGTCTACAGGAAGGAATTTGTACTTAGTTAGGATTTCAGGGGCTTCCACACAAACAGGCTCCTACCTTTCTTTCCAGGTCCATCTGCCACTTAATAGTAGTAGTAGTAAGCATTTATTGTAATTGTAGTAATGGTAATAACTGTGGTAGTAAGCATTTATTGTTGTAATAGCAGTAATTGTCATCGTAGTAAACATTTTTTGAATGCTTACTATGTGATAGACACTATACTAAATATTTTGCTGGCATTATCTTTTTTAATTCTCACATATTATTCCCATGTTTATAAGTATAGTAAGTACCATAAATTATCTCCACTTTACAGATAAGTAAACTGTGGCTTGAATAGGTTAACTAATTTCTCCCAGATCACATGGAGAAGAAGAAGCAGAGCTGGGATTCTGAGCCAGGTCTGATTGACCCAGAATTTGCACTCCTAATGACTATTCTCCTCTTACCTGCTCTCCTCTAAGAAGATTCAGCTTCAGCCAAACTTATCTCTTCTTCGGTCCCTCAGGTCTCAGTGCCTTCATCCAGTCAGTGCCGCATCTGAATTGCTTTTCTGTCCTGTTCACCTGTCTGAATTCTACCCTTCCTTCAAGGTTCAAGAGTAATTAGCTCTTCCATAATGTTGCTATGCCTTGGTATTTTTTCATGAGGATGGCTCTGTTCCTCACATGTGTTGTAATTTCAGTGCAAATCCAATATGTTAAGTATTACACAGTACGTGGTACACACAGACCCTTTCTCATAGTTGGTTCCCAAAAGAATGTGTGATTGCTTAATGGAGGACAGGGTGCTGGGATGGGCCAGACTGCCGTGAGAGCTGGGAAGAAAGAGAGAGTAGCCACTGGATAGAATGCAGTTTATAGGACCTCAAAGAGAATCCAAGAATCCTAATTCCCAGCATCACCAGATTTACAATCCTAGAAGCATCATCTTAGCATGGCCCGATTCTTTCCACAAACCCATCAGAATCTTTGCAAATGCTTCCTCCCCCTACATGCATAGAAAATAGATTTAGAGGGATTCTAGACAAGAAAGAAAATAGACATAGGGAGGGACATGGATCTGTATGGGGAAAGGGGAGGATTCTAGACCTCTTCTGTTGTTACTCAATCTTCTCTCCCATCTGTCTTTGCTCTTAGAAAATCAGCCCACACAGGACTAGGAGAGACGAGGGGAGAAGGAATAAGTGGGTTCCCAAAATGGGGTAGAATCTAGTCTGTTGTCATCCAGGGAGCATTAACAGGTATTGTTAAACACAAGATTTAAGAAAAGAGAGGATAAGATGGAGGGACAGCAATAAAGAAGGGAAGAAAATCTGGAGTGAGTGAGAGAAGCAGGCAGGAGAAGGGGGAAGATGGAGGAAGATGAGACTTAAAAAGGAACAGTAGAGGGTGGAAAGTGTCAGAGCAAGACCTGTTTGTGTTTTCTCCTAGGTGTGGGAAGAAGCTGTAGTATGTATGTGGGAGGCGGGGGAGATAACAGTGTATGTCTATATTCCGCTCTCCCTCCCACCCTCTGTTCTAAATTCCACCCAGCACATAAGCCAATACAGACAAAAGTCTTAATGTTAGATAAAATCAATGTTTCCCAAATCCCGTTCCCCTTGCATTAATGCCTGATGACTTCCCCCATGCCTTCCCTCCACCCCATGCTTGTCTCACGATAGGCTTTGTCGTGCTGATTTGTCCATGGGAAGGACAATGAGGCCATCACCTTCCTCCAGCCCACAGTGGCCAAGAGGACTTAGAGCCTCCCATCTCCCAGGTCACTCTTCTCCTGTAGCTCCATTCTTCTCCTGGCCTCTCTCAGACAAGGAACACATATGGGATTGGCCTTAAGGAAAGGGAAATTCCTTGGGGAGTAAAACTTAGGCTTAATTCATAAGATAAAGCCTGGCTCAGGCTGCTAAGGGCAAATGAGCAATGGGAGTTATTAAAAAGTATGTGAGATGTTGCATCAGATGCACATAATTATTGGGAGACTGTCTTGGGGCCAACATTTCAGAGTTACTGATCAAAGGACCAAGATGAAGAAGGATAAGAACCCTAAAGAGACGTGAATTCCCAGGGAGGTTTACAAGAACCAAATCCCTCAGCACCATGGGCAGTGCAAGGCCTCCACCCTCTCCTATCACCACTGTAGTTGGAAAAGTGAGTTATGTCCTAGGACACAGTCCAGGTCACCCCCTCTATAAACTCCAAAGCCTTTTTCATATGTACAGTCATTAAGGTACCATCTCTTATCCCAATCTCTGATCTGCTCTTCTCTCAGCCAAAGTGAACTCTCAATGTAAATTGGCTAAGTTCATCCTCAAGATATAATTCAACTACCATAAGCTTCACAATTATTAAATGATTTTAACCATTCAGTGGTTTTTAGTATATTCACAAACTTGTGTAACCATCACCACTACCTAATTCCAGAACATTTTCTTCGTTCTGAAAAGAAATCTCATATCCTTTAGCAGTCACTGCCCATTCTGTTCTCTCCTCAGTCTCTGGAAACCACTAATCTACTTTTTGTCTCTGGATTTGCCTGTTCTGGACATTTCCTAAAAATTGAATCATATAACACACATATGATGATATATGGCTTTTGTGTCCTGCTTCTTTCACTTATGTTTTTAAGTTTCATCTGTACTGTAGCATGTACCAGTACTAGTCATGTACCAGTCATTCCTTTTTATGACTGGATAATATTACATCATATGGATATACCACTTTTGTAAATCAGTCAGTCAGCTCTCGGACATTTGAGTTCTTTCCACTTTTTAGCTATTATGAATAAAGCTGCTAGGAATATTCATGTATAGGATTTTGTGTGGATGTATTCTTTCATTTTTCTTTGGTATATAGCTAGATGTGGAATTGCTGGATTTTATAGCAACTGTGCCTAATCTTTTGAGGAATAACCATCTTACTTAGAATAGTGAGAGTGAAGTGGCATCTCATAATTTTCGCATTTGTATTTATAAAGAATATGGTCTGTAGTTCTTTTCTTGTATCTTTGTCTGGCTTTGGTATCAAGATAATGCTGGCCTCATAGAATGTGTTAAAAAGTGTTCCCTTTGCTTCTGTTTTTTTTTTTTTTTTTTACAAGAACTTGCATAGTATTGGTGTTCATACTCCTTTAAATGTTTGGCAGAATTTACCACTAAAGCCATCTGGTACTGGACTTTTCTTGGTTGGGAGGTTTTTTAAACACTGATTCAACATTTACTTGTTATAGGTCTGTTGAGACTTTCTATTTCTTTTGAAATCAGTTTTGGTAATTTGTGTTTCCAGGAATTTTTCCATTTAATCTAAATTAGCCAATTTGTTGGCATATAGTGCTCATAGTACTCTCTTACAATCCTATTAATTTTTGTAAGGTTGGTAGTAATGTTTCTGATTTTATTTATTTGCCTCTTCTCTTTTTTTCTTAGTTTAGCTAAACATTTATAAATTTTGTTTATCTTTTCAAGAACTAACTTTGGTTACATTGATTGTATCTATTGTTTTTCTATTCTCTACTTCATTTATCTCTGCTCTAATCTGTATTGTTTTTTTCCTTCTGTTGGCTTTGGTTTTAGTTTGCTCTTCTTTTTTTAGTTCCTTAAAGTGTAAAGTTAGATAATTGATTTGAGACGTTTTTCCTTTTTTATGTAGGATTTTACAGCTATAAAATTCTAAGTATTGCTTTCACTGCACCCTGCGTATGTTGTGCTTTTGTTTGCATTCACTTCAAAGTATTTTCTGATTTCACTGCTGATTTATTCTTTGGCCCATTTGTTGTTGGAGAGTATGTTGTTTAACCTCCACATATTTGCAAAATTTCAAGTTTTTCCTTTGTTGTAGATTCCTTCATTCCATTGTAGTCAGAGAAGATACTTTGTATAATTTAAATCTTTGAATATTTATTGAAAATTTTTTATGGCCTAACGTATAGTCAATCCTGAAGATTGTTTCATGTGCACTTGAGAATGATGTACATTCTGTTGTCTTTGGGTGTTCTGTAAATCTCTTTTAAGTCTAGTCAGTTTATAATATTTTTCAAGTCCCGTATTTTCTTATTGATCCCGCTCCAGTTTTCTTTTGGCTACTATTTGCACAGAATATCTCTTTCCATCCTTTTATTTTAAACCTATTTTTGTCTTTGGAGCCAAAATAAGTCTCTTGTAAGCAGCATATAATTGGATTGTGTTGTTTTTTAATACAGTCTTTCAATCTCTGTCTTTTGACAAGCTTAATCCATTTGTATTTCAAGTGATTACTGATAATAAAGGACTTGCTTCTGCCATTGTGCTATGCTATTTGTTTGCTATATGTCTTACATTTTTCCTCCTCAATTCTGCAATATTGCCTTTATTTAAGGCAAAACTTCCATTCAGGTGTTTTGGCTTTCTTTATTCAAGTGTAGTATTTTGATTTTCTCTTTTTTCCTTCTCTGTATTTGTTTAAGTTATTTTCTTAGTGGTTACCATGGGGACTACAGTTAACACCTTAAATTTATGACAATCTAATTTGAAGCTAATCTGAATCTAGTATGATAACAACTTAGCTTCAATAATATACATTAACACTGCCTATATTTCATTCCTTCCCTCCACCTTTATGTTGTTACTCTCATAAATTCCTTTTTATATATGTGTGCATTTTAACATAAACTTATAATTATTATTTTATGCATTTGTCTTTTAAACCACATAGGAAACAAAAAGAAGACTTATATACCAAAATACAATACTACTAGCATTTATATTTACCTGTATAAATAAAAGACTTATATTTACATAACTCAAAGACACACAAAGATATAAAGATCACTGGTGTGATCACTTTGTGTGGCTTTGAATTACCATCTATTATCCTTTTGTTTCAGCCTGTAAGGCTCCCTTTAGCACTTCTCCTAGGGCAGGTCTATTAGCAATTAACTTCTCTTGCTTTTGTCTGTCTCAGAATATGTTTCTTACTTTTTCATTTTTGAAAGATAGAATTCTTGGTTGACAGTTTTTTTTTTTCTTTCAGCACTTTAAATATATCATCCCACTGCATTTTGGCCTCCATGATTTCTCATGAGAAACTGGATGTTAATTCTATTGAGAATCCCTTGAATGTGATGAGTCACTTCTCTCTGGCTCCTTTCAAGATTCTCCCTTTGTCTTTTGAGAATTTGATTATAGTGATCCTAGTGTGGATCTCTGAGTTTATGCTATTTGGAATTCATTAATCTTGGATGTGTAGATTCATGTCTTTTATCAAATTTGGGAAGTTTTTGGCCACTATTTCTTCAAAAAATTTTTTTGCCCCTTTTTTCTCTTCTTCTTCTGGGACTCTCAGAATGTGTATGTTAGTGTGCCTGGTGACTCTCCATAGGTCTCTGGGCTTTGTTCATTTTTCTTCATTTTGTCTCCTCCTCAGACTGGGTAATATCATTTGTCCTATCTTCGAGTTCACTAATTCTTTCTTCTGCCTGATCAAATATCCTATTGAACCTCTGTAATACATATTTAATTTCAGCTATTATGTTTTTCAGCTCCAGATTTTCTATTTTGTTCCTTTTTTTTGTGAGACAGGGTCTCACTCTGTTACCCAAGCAGGAGTACAGTGGTGCAATCATAGCTCACTCTAACCTATAACCTCAAACTCCTGGGTTCAAGTGATCTTTTCATCTCTTTCCTCAATAACAAGAACTATAGGTGTGTGCCATCATGCCTGGCTAAATTTTAAATTTTTGTAAAGAGGGGGTCTTGCTATGTTGCCCAGGCTGGTCTCAAATCCTGGCCTCAAGCAATCCTCCCGCCTCAACCTTCCAAAGTGCTGGGATTACAAGCATGAGCCACTGTGCCTGGCTGGCTCATTTTGATTATTTCTGCCTCTTTATTGGTATTACCTACTTGTTCATATTTGTTCCTCTGATTTCACGTAGTTCATTTCCATGGTTTCCTTCTGCTTATTTGAGCATGTTTAAGACAATTGATTTGAAGTCTTTGTCTAGAAAACTCAATGTCTGGGCTCCCTCAAGGATGATTTCTGTCGATTTCTGTTTTTCCCCTCTAAATGAGCCATATTTTCCTATTTTCTTGTATGCTTTGTAAATTTTTGTTGATAACTGGACATTTTGAATATTGTATGTGGTAATGCTGGAAATCCATTTGCAGAGATTGCTGTTGTTACTTGATGAAGGCCACAGTCATCCATTTCTTTGGTAATTTTTCCAAACTATCTTGCAAAGACCATATTCCTTGTCTTGTGCTGTGCCTGGCTGGTTCATTTTTATTATTTTTGCCTCTTTATTGGTCACTGAAGTCTCTGTCCCATTATTTCCATAGTCAACCAGTGACCTTACAGAGATTTCCTTAAATGCCTGGATCCAATAAGATAAGAAAAGGAGAAAAAAAAAAAAAACAGTGTCTGTTTTTCCATTCCCTCCAACCAGTGTCACTAGAGAAGCGACTTCAGCCCATGGGGATTAAAACAATGGCCAGCCTTTGTTCTGTCCCCTCAGTGATAAAAAACAGCAATCAAAATGTACAACCCCAAGTTCTGGAGAGCAATGTTTTTATTACCCACCCTGACAAAAGCAAGTCACACCAACAGTGCAGGCTGCCATCCCCATAGCTGCCTGCCATCAGGGTAGGGATGGTGAGGGTAGCCATTCATTAAAAACCAAAAAATTTACTAAAATTTATCTAACTCTTTTTTTTTGACTATTTAATTTTATTTTTAATTGTTTTATTTATTTATTTTATTATTTTTTTTTAATTGATCATTCTTGGGTGTTTCTCGCAGAGGGGGATTTGGCAGGGTCATAGGACAATAGTGGAGGGAAGGTCAGCAGATAAACAAGTGAACAAAGGTCTCTGGTTTTCCTAGGCAGAGGACCCTGCGGCCTTCCGCAGTGTTTGTGTCCGTGGGTACTTGAGATTAGGGAGTGGTGATGACTCTTAAGAAGCATGCTGCCTTCAAGCATCTGTTTAACAAAGCACATCTTGCACTGCCCTTAAACCATTTAACCCTGAGTGGACACAGCACATGTTTCAGAGAGCACAGGGTTGGGGGTAAGGTCACAGATCAACAGGATCCCAAGGCAGAAGAATTTTTCTTAGTACAGAACAAAATGAAAAGTCTCCCATGTCTACTTCTTTCTACACAGACACGGCAACTATCCGATTTCTCAATCTTTTCCCCACCTTTCCCCCCTTTCTATTCCACAAAACCGCCATTGTCATCATGGCCTGTTCTCAATGAGCTGTTGGGTACACCTCCCAGACAGGGTGGTGGCCGGGCAGAGGGGCTCCTCACTTCCCAGCAGGGGTGGCCGGGCAGAGGAGCCCCTCACCTCCCGGACGTGGTGGCTGGCAGGGTGGGGGGCTGACCCCCCCCCACCTCCCTCCCGGACGGGGCGGCTGGCCGGGCAGAGGGGCTCTTCACTTCCCAGTAGGGGCGGCTGGGCAGAGGCGCCCCTCACCTCCCGGACGGGGCTGCCAGCGGGGCAGGGGGCTGACCCCCCACCTCCCCCCAGGATGGGGCGGCCGGCCAGGCGGGGGGCTGACCCCCCCCACCTCCCTCCCAGATGGGGCGGCTGGCCGGGCGGGGGGCTGACCCCCACCTCCCTCCCGGACGGGGTGGCTGCCGAGCGGAGACGCTCCTCACTTCCCAGACGGGGTGGCTGCCAGGCGGAGGGGCTCCTCACTTCTCAGACGGGGCGGCCGGGCAGAGACGCTCTTCACCTCCCAGATGGGGTCGCGGCCGGGCAGAGACGCTCCTCACCTCCCAGACGGGGTCGCAGCCGGGCAGAGGTGCTCCTCACATCCCAGACGGGGCGGCGGGGCAGAGGCGCTCCCCACATCTCAGACGATGGGCGGCCGGGCAGAGATGCTCCTCACTTCTTAGATGGGATGGCGGCCAGGCAGAGACGCTCCTCACTTTCCAGACTGGGCAACCAGGCAGAGGGGCTCCTCACATCCCAGACGATGGGCGGCCAGGCAGAGACGCTCCTCACTTCCCAGATGGGGTGGCGGCCGGGCAGAGGCTGCAATCTCGGCACTTTGGGAGGCCAAGGCAGGCTGCTGGGAGGTGGAGGTTGTAGTGAGCCGAGATCACGCCTCTGCACTCCAGCCTGGGCACCATTGAGCACTGAGTGAACGAGACTCCGTCTGCAATCCCGGCACCTCGGGAGGCCGAGGCTGGTGGATCACTCGCGGTTAGGAGCTGGAGACCAGCCCAGCCAACACAGCGAAACCCCATCTCCACCAGAAAAACACGAAAACCAGTTACGCGTGGCGGCGCGCGCCTGCAATCGCAGGCACTAGGCAGGCTGAGGCAGGAGAATCAGGCAGGGAGGTTGCAGTGAGCCGAGATGGCAGCAGTACAGTCCAGCTTCGGCTCGGCATCAGAGGGAGACCGTGGAAAGAGAGGGAGAGGGAGACGGTGGGGAGAGGGAGAGGGAGAGGGAGAGGGAGAGGAAGAGGGAGGGGGAGGGAGACCGTGGAAAGAGAGGGAGAGGGAGACCATGGGAGAGGGAGAGGGAGAGGGAGAGGGACTAATTCTTTTTTTTTAATAAAGCACTTTCCAGAATTCTGCAAGTGTTTGACTAGACTTCAGAGTTCTAAAATAGTTGCTTCAGTTATCTTCCATGTTGTCATCCCACTAGCTATCTTTATGTTTTAGATTTCTAATTAATTCCACTGTGGTCAAAGGACACACTTGGTATGATTTCAGTTTTTGAATTTGTTGAAATTTGATTTCTGGCCTGTCTATTTTGGTAAATGTATCTTGTGCATTTGAAAATGATTTTGATGTCTGGATGCAGTGTTCTATAAATGCTAATTAGGTCAAATTTGTTAATTGTATTGCTCAAATCTTTCATATCCTTCTTGTTTGTTTATTTCTCTCATCCTATCAGTAGCTGAAAGAGACCTCTTTTAATTTCCTACCATGATTGTAGATTTGTCTATTTTTCTCTTATAACTGGTTTTACTTCTATCATCTTATTTAATGAAAATTCTCTAGTTTTAACGATTCTTTTGCATTTTATTTTTTACAAAAAATTTTTCTTTTTATGTTTTCTTATCTACTTATAAGCAGATATATGTATTATCAACTGAGACAGTATCTATTGACTATCCATATTAAAATATTAAAAAATTAGAATGTTCCCTTTCTCAGCTCCCTTCCCTCTCCTCTGTTTTATTCCCTAACTTTAGTTGTTTGTACAACTTTTGTTAGTTGGTCTAGTGGTACTATTAATTATTTATAAAATGTAAGTTAAACTCATACCTCCATTACTTGATTCATTAGCTTTAAACAATGCAAAAGGAAGAAATTAGTATGCTTAGATTACTTCTCATTTTCTTTTCTACTTCCAACTTTTACTAATTCTACCTCTTTCTGGTTTGTAACATTTACATTATATTTGGAAACCAAAATTTCTTCACGTGTTTGACTTTAAGTCTACTTTAAATAGGTTTAATGCTCAGCATCAATACTTTTGGCATAGTCTCTTATTTATCTTTTGATAGACTGAAGTTTGTTCCCTGTATTTTCTTCAAAGGAGTTGACTGGGAATATATTCTCTACGTCCTTGCATATTTTAAAATACCTGTTTCCTTTATTTTTGAATGGTAGTTTGCCTGGATGTAAGCATAGTATAACACCCTCTTTTTCTGAGGACAATATAGATATTGTCTCATTGTCTTATAATATTAATGGTTGGCCAGGCATAGTGGCCCAGTCATGTAATCCCTACACTTTGGGAGGCAGAGGTGGGAAGGATCGCTTGAGGCCAGGAGTTCAAGACCAGCCTGGGCAACATAGTGAGACCCCCCCCGCCCGCCACTGCCATCTCTACAAAATAAAAAATCTTAGCCAGTTGTGCTGGAGTGCTTCTTTAGTTCCAGCTACTCAGGAGGCTGAAGAGGGAGGGTCACTTGAGCCCAAGAGTTCAAGGCTGCAGTGAACTATGATTGCGTGACTGCACTCCAGCCTGGGTGACAGAGCAAGACCTTTTTGCAAAAAAAAAAAAAAAAAAAAAAAAATTAAATGTTATTGTTGGAGGCATAAATCCAGTCTTGTTTTTGTCCTTAAAGGTGGTTTGATTCTTCTGCATGTCCTAAAAGCCTGTCGTTATCTTTGGAGTTCTCAGCCTTTACTGGGATTCATTTTATTGTTTATCCTTCTGCATCAAATTTCCCTGGGATTATTTTAGGGACATAATAGTGGTGGCATCAGTATAGTCTCTTATTATCCCAGAATTCCCATGTTAAAATAGCAAAGCAGCAATGTTCTGGGTGTAATCTTACACTGCAATTTAATAAAATATCACGGCTATGGTTTTAACATGTTCCCCTAATTTCATGTGTTAGAAACTTAATCCCCAATGTGGCAGTATTAAAAGGTTGGGCCTTTAAAAGGTGATTGGATCATGAGAATTATGCCCCCATGAATGGATTAATCCATTCAAGGATTAATAGGCGAGTGGATTAATGGGTTATCATGGGAAGAGAACTGGTGGCTTTAAAAAAAGAAGAAGAGAGACCTGACCTAGCAGGCTAGCATACTCAGTCCCCTTACCATGTGATACCCTGTGCCACCTCAGGACTCCTCAGAGTCCCCAACAGCAAGAAGGCTCTCACCAGATATGGCCTCTCAACCTTAGACTTCTCAAGTTTTCCTATCTGTAAGAAAATCCTTTTCTTTATGAATTATCCAGTTTTGGGTATTCTGTCACAAGCAACGGAAAATGAACTAAGATAGTTACCATTTGAGAAAATTAGGCAAAGTATACAAGAAGTCTCTATTATGTCTTACAACAGCAGGTCAATCTATAATTATTTCAATAAAAATTTCAATTAACAACAGCAACAACAACAACAACAACAACAGACACTGGACCAGGATTCAGAAGGTATGTGTGCAAGTATCAGCTCCACTACAAATAAACAGTATGACTGGCTGGGTGCGGTTGTTCACGTTTGTAATCCTAGCACTTTGGGAGGCTGAGGCAGGCAGATTGCCTGAGCTCAGGAGTTCGAGACCAGCCTGGGCACTATGGCGAAATCCCGTTTCTCCTAAAAATACAGAAAATTAGTCAGGCATGGTGGCAGGCACCTGTAGTCCCAGCTACTTGGGAGGCTGAGGCATGAGAATTGCTTGAACCTAGGAGGTGGAGGTTGCAGTGAGCCAAGATCATGCCACTGCACTCCAGCCTGGGAGACAGGGCAGGAGTCTGTCTCAAAACAAAACAAAAACAAAAACAAAAACAAAAAACTGTATAACCTTTAGAAAACCACTTAAGCTTTCTCAACGTCAATTCCACAATCTCTAGAACTAAAGAATTAAAATAGAAAAAACCAGCAGAGGAGTAAATAGCAAAATTAAAATATATGGGCAGCATTTACAATAAAACTAAGTAACAAGGTAACCCCATGGGCCCCAACAAGAAAGTGGAGAAGATCCATGCACAAAATCTTACTCGGTGGTACCAACATCTGTGGAAGAAGCAGCGGGAAGCAACAGGGTGCCTGACGCATCCAAAAAGAAGAAAATAAAAAATAGCCAACAGGTATCCTCTGAAACGCATGGCAGGCCAATTCAAAAATGGTAGCTGAAACAGGGACTGGTTCTTCCAAATTCAGTGGAGGATGAGTAGCCAGGTGTTGAAACTGAAGGACTGGAGGAGTCTAAGTCACAGAAATTCTCAAAACTGATAAGCCAGAGCCTCCTTTCAGCACAAACTCCGCACTGAAGAGGGAGGATTAAAATTGATTCAGAGACGGACTATCAAGACAAAGAAGGTACAAATAGAAGGTATACATTAAAAATGGTGAGGCGGATAGAGCTAGAAAAATATCAGAAAGCAAGTCACCATACTTTTTTGTTTTGTTTGAGATGGGGTCTTGCTGTATGTTGCCCAGGCTAGTCTCAAACTCCTGGGTTCAAGCAATCCTCCTGTCTAAGCCTTCCCAGTAGCTAGGACTACGGGCACATGGGACAGCACCCAGTCATATTTTTGAATACTACATAAAAACAACTGAAGAGGGAAATGTGTGAATCATGTCCCCTTCTAAAAGTTTAGTAAAACTACTTTCACATGAAAATGAGCCGCAAAAAAATATGGAGGGAAAATTTTGTACAAAGTTGTTACAAGGACTAAAAGACTAAAGAGCAGAATAATTTCTGAAGATACTGTGGTCTGAATGTTTGTGTTCCCCCTAAATTCATATGTCGAAACCTAATCACAAAGTTGATGGTGTTAGAAGATGGGGCTTTTGGAATGTGATTAGGTCATCAGCGCTCCACCTCCATGAGTGAAATTAATACCTCTCTTAATTCATTTTATGCTGCTATAACAGAATACCTGAGATAGGATAGTTTATTTTTAAAAACACAGAAATTTAATTCTCACAGTTCTGGAGGCTGAGAAGTCCCAGATCAAGGCACCAGCATCTGGTGAGAGCCTTCTTACTGTGTCCTCTCATGATGGAAGGCAGAAGGTAAGAAAGAAATCAATTTCCCCTATCAAGCCCCTTTATAAGGACACCTGAGCCCATTCACGAAGGAGGCGCTCTCATGGCCTAACCACCTCTTAAAGGTCCTATCTTTTTATACTGTCACGTTGGCAACACCTGAATTTTGGAGGGGACGCATTCAAACCATAGCGATGCCCTTATAAAAGAGGCCCCAGAGAGCTGTCTTACCCTTTCACCGTGTCTCTTACCTTTCATTTTCTTTCAGAGAGTCTCTGTTTCCCAGCCTCCAGAACCATGGCCAATAAATTTATGTCGTTTTAAATTACCCAATCTAAGGTGCTTTGTTATAGCAGCCCAAATGGACTAAGACACAAGGACAATGAGATCACACCAGAAAGGTATAACCACCAAACAAATCAATGCTGTAACCTAGGGGTTCTAAGATTCCACCCAATTTCTCCCACCTATTGTAAATAAAAACTAAAGAACTCTGGAAAGTAACAGCAGTTTGAGGAAGGAAGTCAACACTTTAATGTAACCAATATGGTGGTGAGTTCTCTGATTTTTGTTTTTCCTTCCATAGCTACCTGCTGAGACCCTGTGGGGGGTGGGGGAAGTCCATAATATATTTTCTCTCTCTTTACTTTCACCAATTTGCCCTGAGACAGACCCAGTCATGAAAAGTTTGTGACAGTAAAGGGAAGCTAAAACCCCAGCTTTGTAGCCAGAGCACCAGAAAAAGCGGCCCCTAGGAGCCAGACTGTATGGAGTAAAGCATAGAAAGGAGGCAGCCATAGAAAGGGGTCCTTAAATCCGTGCATGGGTAGAAATGACTTGAAGCAACATCACGAAGGCTTTGGGAACTGAAATATGGTGTAAACCACCACCTGGGTCCCAGACTGGCCCCTAGGTGGCACACGCATGATGCAGACCCGAGCGGCATTGCAAAGGCTTCAGAAAGTGTGGACGTCGGAACCACACACCTCACTCAAGGCAGGTCAGGATTTAACAGGGTTAACTGACAGCTAAAACAAACAAACAAAATCAGCACTCCAGAGGACACTGACAGGATTCAAAGTCTCACAATATAATATTCCAAGACACAATCCAAAATTATGCAACATTAAAAGAGAAAAACAGGAAAACTCCAACAAATTGTAAGAGAAAAGACAATCAAAAAAACCTGACATAATGCTGATTTTAAAATTACCAAAGGCTTAGTAGTAGCTATTACAACCATGCTGGATGAGGCAGAACTAAACACCCTTGAAACATTGAAAGATAGCAGCTCTCAGCAAAGAAATGAAAGCTGCAAAAATAAACCAGGTAGAGATTTTAGAACTGAAAAATACAATAATGGAAATTAAAAATTTACTGAAGAGGTTTAATAGCAAAATGGGGATGACAGAGGAAGAGTCAGTGAACTCGAAGACAGATCAGCAGAACTGGGCCAGGAGCAGTGGCTTACACCTGTAATCTCATCACGTTGGAAGGCAGAGGCAGAAGGGTAGCTTAAGCCCAGAACTTTGAGACCAGCCTGAGCAACATGTTAAGACCCCATCTCCTCAAAAAATTAAAAAATTAACCAGTGTGGTGGTGAGCACCTGTAGCCTCAGCTATTCAGGCGGCTGAGGTGGGAAGATCGCTTGAGTCCAGGAGTTTGAGGCTGTAGTAAGCTATGATCATGCCACTGCCTCTCACCTGGGAGATGATGCTTCTGGGCCTCCTGGTGATATGAACTCAACATCTCCTCATCTCTCCAGGTCTCCCCTCTGTGAGTGTGTGCTTGCATGCACGTGTGTGTGTGTGTTCCCTTCCCTTTCCTACTTTGTCACCCTCTTCTTGCTGGCGTAAGTGGGAGTTAACAGGATCTCAAGAGCTCTGTGGTCTCTCAGCTTCCCTGGGTAATTGTTCCAGATTACTTTTCCTTATTCAAAGGCTCAGCTGATTCCAACTTTAACCTTGAGGCTATTTAACAGGTTCTCAAAGCTCTTGTATCTGCCTTTGGTTAGGTGCCTCTCCTGTCTCCTTCCCATACATTCTCTTCCAGAGACGTCTCTGCTTATGGAATCAGACTTACTTTTATCTCACTCTTTTTTTTGTAGACAGTATCACTCTTGTTGCCCAGGCAGGAATGCAGTGGCATGATCATGGCTTATTGCAGCCTCAACCTCCTTGGCTCAAGCAATCTTCCTGCTTCATTTTTATTTATTCGTGTGTGTGTGTGTGTGTGTGTGTGTGTAAGGACAGGTCTCACTATGTTACCAAGGCTGGTCTCTAACTCCTGGGCTCGAGCAGTCTTCCTGCCTCAGTCTCCCAAAATGCTGGGATTATAGGCATGAGCCATTATGCCCAGCCTTATCTCACTTTTTAGAAAGCTGCCTTCTGTCAAGGTGAATATGTGACATGGTTTGGATATGTGTCCCCTCCAAATCTCATGTTGAAATGTGATTCCCAATGTTGGAGACGATTGGATCATGGCAGAAGGGGATTGGAACAAGGGGGCGAATCCCTCATGAGCAGTTTGGCACCATCCCCTTGGTAATAAGTGAGTTCTCACTCAGTTGACAGGAGATCTGGTTGTTTAAAAATCTGGGACCTCCCCTCCTCTCTCTCTCTTGCTCCTGCTCTTACCTTGTGAGATGCTGGCTCCCACTTCACCTTCCACTATGATTGCAAGCTCTCTGAGGCCCTTGGCAGAAGCCGAGCAGATGCTACTACCATGCTTCCAGTACAGCCTGCAGAACTGTGAGCTAATTAAATCTCTTTTCTTTATAAATTTCCCAGCCTCTGGTATGTTGTATAGCAATTCAAGAATGGACTAATACAATACGAGACCAAGTTTTATTCCCTCCTCATCAAAAATGCTCTTAAAAGTGACTTGGTGGCTGGGCGCAGTGGCTCACGCCTGTAATCGCAGCACTTTTGGAGGCTGAGGCGGGCAGATCACCTGAGGTCAGGATTTGAGACCAGTCAAGCCAACATGGTGAAACCCTGTCTCTACTAAAAATATAATAATTAGCCAGGCATGGTGGCGCATGCCTATAATCCTAGCTACTCAGGCTCAGGAGGCTAAGGCAGAAGAATCGCTTGAATCTGGGAGGTGGAGGTTGCAATGAGCCAAGATCACACCACTGCATTCCAGCCTGGGCAACAGAGCAAGACTCTGTCTCAAAAAAAAAAAAAGTGACCTGGTCACTTTCCCCAAGATCATCACTTATGCCCTGGATCATTCTTCCTTATGACCCAGATTTAAGTGCAAAATGTTTCAACCATGTTTGTTTGTTTTCATCTACCCTCTCCTCCCATCTGGCTCCCTTCTTATTCTACCTCTTTAGCAAAGTCTTTCTATTCCAACAATGAACAGAGAGAAAGAGGTAGAGGTCATGGCATGCACTCATTCTGCTGAAAAGAGTTCTCATGGAGGAACTCACAGATTATTTGCCGAGTGATGGAATAAAACCTCAATTCTTGCCATGGTTCTGCCACAAACAAGCCAAGTAACCTTGAGCAGGCATAAAATCTTAGATGTTTGAAACTCTATGGAGCCTTAAGAGGTCATCTAATCCAGTTCTCTACTTTTACATATGCAGAAACTGGTGCCTGGAGACGTGATATAACTTGTTCCCAGTCATGAGATTGGTTAATGGCATAGTTGGGTCTTACACACAGGACTATCATAATGCTCTTTCCATCAACCCTTGCCAAGTCTCTCCATTTCATCCACAAAATGGACACAGTAAGAATTATAGATGAGATCAAATGTGCTAATGCTGATGTTGGAGTTTGGAAAATAGAAAATATTCAAATGAGAGGTTATTTACTTTGCTGACAATCCCCACTGGAAACTGACTCACTGCTGTGCCCCAGTGGAAGGTCAAGTCCCAAGGGAGGTCTAGGCTGGCTCGTCCACCTCTCTTGGGGCCTGCAAACTTTTAATGGCAACACAGTAGACAGCCATGGCTGCTGAAGCTAATGAGGCTCATAGGAACCACTTTAAAAGTTGTTCTGCTCAAATATACTGGAAGTAAATACCCAGATCTCAACAACAAATTTGTTAAGGGATGTGGGATGAAGATGGGTTGTCTTCTTTCTCTATTTTACAAGTTGATTACAATGTTATTTATTGTTTTTGGTGTATCATACCTGGCCCATTGTGGATATTATGCAAATGTTTGTTAAAGATGGAATCAATACTTTAAAATTTAATTTCTTGAAGAGTAGGAGAGCAGCAAGAGGCATGACCAGATATACCTCTATGCTCAATGCTGGGGATTCAAAAACAAGACATCCATTCTACTCTCAGAGAACTCACGGTTTGGTTGGAGAGAGAGACCCAGAAACACATAAACGCACTAAAGATAGAAATGCCTCACCTAGAAGAATGCTCAAAGGCTAAAGGGCTGAGCAATTAGCCATGCTCGGGAGACAGGGGAAGCCTTCCTAGATACGGTGTCATTTGAAGAAAGGAGAAGTTCAAGTGTGTTAGGCAGACAAAGGAGGGAGAAGTGTGTTTCTGGCAGGAAGAACAGAGGCTCAGAGATGAAATGGCCCAGCATACACTTTATATTTTATTTTATTTTTAATTATACTTTAAGTTTTAGGGTACATGTGCACAACGTGCAGGTTCGTTACATATGTATACATGTGCCATGTTGGTGTGCTGCATCCATTAACTCGTTATTTAACATTAGGTGTATCTCCTAATGTTATCCCTCCCTCCTCCCCCCACCCCACAACAGGCCCTGGTGTGTTATGTTCCCCTTCCTGTGTCCATATGTTCTCATTGTTCAATTCCCACCTATGAGTGAGAACATGCGCTGTTTGGTTTTTTGTCCTTGCGATAGTTTGCTGAGAATGATGGTTTCCAGCTTCATCCATGTCCCTACAAAGGACATGAACGCATCATTTTTTATGGCTGCATAGTATTCCATGGTGTATATGTGCCACATTTTCTTAATCCAGTCTATCATTGTTGGACATTTGGGTTGGTTCCAAGTTTTTGCTATTGTGAATAGTGCCGAAATAAACATACGTGTGCATGTGTCTTTATAGAAGCATGTTTTATAATCCTTTGGGTATATACCCAGTAATGGGATGGCTGGGTCAAATGATATTTCTACTTCTAGATCCCTGAGGAATCGCCACACTGATTTCCACAATGCTTGAACTAGTTTACACTCCCACCAACAGTGTAAAAGTGTTCCTATTTCTCCACATCCTCTCCAGCACCTGTTGTTTCCTGACTTTTTAATGATCACCATTCTAACTAGTGTGAGATGGTATCTCATTGTGGTTTTGATTTGCATTTCTCTGATGGCCAGTGATGATGAGCATTTCTTTCATGTGTCTTTTGGCTGCATAAATGTCTTCTTTTGAGAAGTGTCTGTTCATATCCTTTGCCCACTTTTTGATGGGGTTGTTTTTTTCTTGTAAATTGGTTTGAGTTCATTGTAGATTCTGGATATTAGCCCTTTGTCAGATGAGTAGATTGCAAAAATTTTCTCCCATTCTGTAGGTTGCCTGTTCACTCTGATGGTAGTTTCTTTTGCTGTGCAGAAGCTCTTTAGTTTAATTAGATCCCATTTGTCAATTTTGGCTTTTGTTGCCATTGCTTTTGGTATTTTAGACATGAAGTTCTTGCCCATGCTTATGTCCTGAATAGTATTGCCTAGGTTTTCTTCTAGGGTTTTTATGGTTTTAGGTCTAACATTTAAGTCTTTAATCCATCGTGAATTAATTTTTGTATAAGGTGTAAGGAAGAGATCCAGTTTCAGCTTTCTACATATGGCTAGCCAGTTTTCCCAGCACCATTTATTAAATAGGGAATCCTTTCCCCATTACTTCTTTTTGTCAGGTTTGTCAAAGGTCAGATGGTTGTAGATAGGTGGCATTATTTCTGAGGGCTCTGTTCTGTTCCATTGGTCTATATCTCTGTTTTGGTACCAGTACCATGCTGTTTTGGTTACTGTAGCCTTGTAGTATAGTTTGAAGTCAGGTAGCGTGATGCCTCCAGCTTTGTTCTTTTGGCTTAGGATTGGCTTGGCAATGCGGGCTCTTTTTTGGTTCCATATGAACTTTAAAGTAGTTTTTTCCAATTCTATGAAGAAAGTCGTTGGTAGCTTGATGGGGATGGCACTGAATGTATAAATTACCTTGGGCAGTATGGCCATTTTCATGATATTGATTCTTCCTGCCCATGAGCATGGAATGTTCTTCCATTTGTTTGTATCCTCTTTTATTTCATTGAGCAGTGGTTTGTACTTCTCCTTGAAGAGGTCCTTCATGTCCCTTGTAAGTTGGATTCCTAGCTATTTTATTCTCTTTGAAGCAATTGTGAATGGGAGTTCACTCATGATTTGGCTCTCTGTTTGTCTGTTATTGGTGTATAAGAATGCTTGTGATTTTTGCACATTGATTTTGTATCCTGAGACTTTGCTGAAGTTGCCTATCAGCTTAAGGAGATTTGGGGCTGAGACGATGGGGTTTTCTAGATATACAATCATGTCATCTGCAAATATGGACAATTTGACTTCCTCTTTTCCTAATTGAATACCCTTTATTTCCTTCTCCTGCCTGATTGCCCTGGCCAGCACTTCCAACACTACGTTGAATAGGAGTGGTGAGAGAGGGCATCCCTGTCTTGTGCCAGTTTTCAAAGGGAATGCTTCCAGTTTTTGCCCATTCAGTATGATATTGGCTGTGGGTTTGTCATAGATAGCTCTTATTAGTTTGAGAAAAATCCCATCAATACCTAATTTATTGAGAGTTTTTAGCATGAAGTTTGTTGAATTTTTTCAAAGGCCTTTTCTGCATCTATTGAGATAATCATGTAGTTTTTGTCATTGGTTCTGTTTATATGCTGGATTATGTTTATTGATTTGTGTATGTTGAACCAGCCTTGCATCCCAGGGATGAAGCCCACTTGATCATGGTGGATAAGCTTTTTGATGTGCTGCTGGATTCAGTTTGCCAGTATTTTATTGAGGATTTTTGCATCGATGTTCATCAGGGATATTGGTCTAAAATTCTCTTTTTTTGTTGTGTCTCTGCCAGGCTTTGGTATTAGGATGATGCTGGCCTCATAAAATGAGTTAGGGAGGATTCCCTCTTTTTCTATTGATTTGAATAGTTTCAGAAGGAATGGTACCAGCTCCTCCTTGTACCTCTGAGCATACACTTTATAATCCAGGAACCTGGAGAGCCTCCGTAAGGCTGGAGCACAGGGGAGCTGGTGGGAGCTGAGGGTACAGAGCAGGCAGGGAGAAGATTATGCAGAGCTTTGAGGAACTAGGTTAATAAATACAGATTTTATCTGTATTTATCATGTACATTACCTACACTTGAGTCTGTGACCCTGATATTACAAAAACTTTTCTGTACAAGACAGACTTGCAACATTCTCAAGGGTCTCCTGCTTTTGGTGTATCACATTCATTCCTGTAAGAGACATGAGGAACCAGGGGAGGACATTATGCAGGTGAAGGTCAGAAATCGAGGCTTTCTGACCCCTTCTCCAGTGTTTATCCCATCACTCTACAAATAATCTGTGAGTTCCTTCATGAGAACTCTTTTCAGCAGAATGAGTGGATGTCATTCTGATGAATGTGATCTGCCTACCTCGGCCTCCCAAAGTGCTGGGATTACAGGCGTGAGCTACTGCGCCCAGCCACCAAGTCACTTTTAAGAGCATTTTTGGTGGGGAGGGAATAAAGCTTGGTCCCATGTTGTATTAGTCAGATGAAGACCTCTATGGCAGCAAAGAAGAAGAAAGATGACAGACATCTCATTTGGACATCTCTATTGGACATAGGGGGAGCAGCCCATTTGCTTATTCATATCTCATCTTGTTTCAGAAAAGACCTAATGAGAACAGGTAAGGGCCTATAACTTTGTCTGTGTTTCCATCCAAGCTTCAGACTCTTTAAAGATCTGAAAGGATGAGAGAAGACAAGGGGAGAAATAGAAAACAAGACAGAATATTTAACTAAAAAGAAGAAGGAAGATTAAAAAAAATAATTAGGTAAATTCAGAGGATCAAAGCCAATGAGCCAGCTGTGACCCAGTGACTTGATGAGATCACAATACCAGTTCAGTGAATCTGTGATGCTCTTGTTTTTTTTCCCTCATGGTCCAAGATGGTTTCCGTGGCTTCGATCATCATATATGTCCTCATGCAATTTCATTCAATACTAGAAGTGAGGAAAGTAGTGTGGGCAGTGTCTTCCTTCATCTCTTGCCTTTAATCATGGAGAATAAATCTTTCCCCCAAACTCCCCAGTGGATGCCCCTATGTCTTACTGGTAATTACTGGATTTATCACATGACTACTACTAGCTGCTAAATGGTCTGGGAACATGAATACTTAGCTTTTTCAGGTAATTTAGCAGGAATCAGGCAAGGAAGAAGGAATTAGGCATGACTGCTGAGTAGACAACTTGCAATGTCCACCATGTTATGGTAAAGTACCTGACAACAGGAATGAATGTGATACGCCAAAAGCAGGAGACCCTTGAGAATGTTGCAAGTCTGTCTTGTACAGAAAAGTTTTTGTAATATCAGGGTCACAGACTCAAGTGTAGGTAATGTAAATGATAGAAGGACATAGGTGGGAACTTCCCTGACTAAAAGAAAACTGAATTTCATCTTCTTTCTTAATCCAGTGCAAAACTCTAGCATCTAACTTAAAGACAGGAAACCAATACTTTTCCCCCTCTGGAGAAACAGCAACCCCAGAAAAACAGGCCTCAATATATTGGCACTTTGGGGTCCTCCAGTGAATTGCCAATTTTCCACCTGCTCCCCTAAAGTGAAGTCCATCAGCATAAGAGCTCTGCCTATATATAGAAGTTCTAATCTAATTTTAGTGCCTTCCTCCTAAATGGATAAAGGCAACCAAAGATAACCAGGCATTTAAGAAAGGCTTTCAACATTAAAAAGCAAAAACAAAATAAATAGAAAAATGAATGAGAAGAAAACAAAAATGATACAGAGAATGTAAGAAACCTTTACAAAAAACCCTTTAGTTCATGTAATTAGTATCTTTAGAGAGAAGCAAGAAGATATAATACCTATAAATTAAGAATGGAATTATATTTAAAAACTAGAGAACAAAAAAAGAGCTTTTGGGAATTCAAATATGTTTACAGAAATTAAAACTTCAACAGAGGGATTGGAAAATCAAGTTGAGGAAATCTCTTCTGAATGTAGAATAAAAAATTAGGTAAGCAACTGAAGAAAATACATAAGAGGCTTAGAAATTATTTCAGTAGGAATTCCCAAAAGAATGGCAACTAAAAAGGTGAAAAAATTATCAAAGAAATAAAAGTCTCTCAGACTGAAAAACATCATCAGAAGAAATTTAATCCACACTAAGCACTTTTTCATAAAATTTCAAAACATTAAGAATAAAAACGAGGTCCTTAAAGTCTCCAGAGATAAGGAATAGGTCACCCACCCACAAAATAACAAGAAGCATAACAGCTTCAGATTAATCAAGAACAAACTGGATGCTAAAGGAAAATTAAGAAATACCTTCAGCCAGGCCTGGTGGTGTATGCCTGTAGTCCCAGCTGCTGGGGAGGCTAGGGTGGAAGGATCACTTAAGCCCATGAGTTTGAGGCTGCAGTGATCTATGATTACACCACTGCACTTCAGCCTGCATAACAGAGTGAGACCCTATCTAGAGAGAGAGAGAGAGAGAGAGAGAAAGAAGGAAAGAGAAAGAAAGAGAGAAAGAAAAGCAATAAAGAAAGAGAAAGGAAGGAAGGAAAGGAAAAGAAAGAAGAAAGAAAGAAAGAGAGAGAGAAAGAAAGAAAGAGAGAAAAAGAGAAAAATAAAAGAGTGAGGGAATAATATAACGACTCCCATTGACCTGTTTTTCAGATGGTTTCCTCAAATATCTAAAGATCCCTGGATAAACATTCATGTGTAAGATGCTGTGAGGATTGAAAAAAGCAAGGATGGTTACTCTCATTACTCCTATTCAACAACATACTGGAATTCTCAGCCAGTTAATTAAGGTAATAAAAAGAAATAAAAGGTGTATTAGTCCATTTTCATATTGCTGTGAAGAAATACCCAAGACTGGGTAATTTATAAAGAAAGAGAGGTTTAAAAGTCCACGCATAGTGGCTCATGCCTGTAATTGCGACATTTTGGGAGGCTGAGATGGGTGGATTATTTGAAGTCAGGAGTTCAAGACCAGCCGCGCCACCATGGTGAAACCCCGTCTCTACTAAAATTACAACAATTAGCCAGGTGTGGTGGCAAACACCTGTAATCCCAGCTACTCGGGAGGCTGAGGCAGGAGAATCTCTTGAACCCAGGAGGCGGAGGTTGCGGTGAACTGAGATCACGCCACTGCACTCCCGCCTGGGTGACAGAGTGATACTCCGTCTCAAACAAATAAATAAGTAAGTAAAAATTAAACTAAATAAATAAAAGTTTGGCCGGGCACGGTGGCTCACACCTATAATCCCAGCACTTTGGGAGGCCAAGGCGGGCAGATCACTTGAGGCCAGGAGTTCAAGACCAGTTCATAATGACAAGACTCTACTACAAGTACAAAAATTAGCTGAATGTGATGGCACACACCTGTACCTGTAATTCCAGCTACATGGGAGGCTGAGGCAGTAGAATTGCTTGAACTCGGGGGGCGGAAATGCAGTGAGCCGAGATCGCGCCACTGCACTCCAGCCTGGGTGACACAGTGAGACTATGTCTCAAAAAACAAACAAACAAACAAACACCCCCCCCACACATACTTAAAAATATTAAAATACTGACAATACCAAGTGCTTACTAGGATGAGAAGCAACTAGAACTCTGACATTGCTGGTGGGATTACAAAATGATATTGCCACTCTGGAAAACAGTTTGGCAGTCTTATAAAGTTAAATACACTTTATAATATGACAACAATTCTTAGGTATTTACCCTAGAAAACTTAAAAGCTTATATTCGCACCAAAACCTGTAAATAAATAGTTGTAATGGCTCCATTTATAATTTCCAAAACAACAATAAACAACTGGAAACAACCCCATGTCCTTCAGTGGTAAATAGATAAACCTAACATTCCTCAGTGAGAAAAAGCAATGAACTGTTGATACATGCAACCACTTAGATGAATCTCAAAGGCATTATTGAATGAAAGAAGTTAGTCCTAAAATGTTACATGCTGTATGATTCCATTGATATGACATTCTCAAAAAGACAAGCCTATAGTGATAGAGAACAGATGTGTGGTTGCCAAGACTTAGGGATGGGAAGGACAGTGTGATTACAAAGGGGTAGCATGAGGGAGTTTTCGGAGGTAATGAAACTCTTCTGTATCTTGTGGTGCTTACCTAAATCAACGTGTGTTAAAATTCATAAAACTGTGACCAGTCACGGTAGCTTACATCTGTAATCCTAGCACTTTGGGAGGCCAAGGCAGGAGGATTGCTGGAGTCCAGGAGTTTGAGACCAGCCTGGACAACATACTGAGACCCTGTCTCTACCAAAATTTAAAAAACTGTTTTCATTAGCCAGGTGTGGTGGCAGCCTCCCAGTGACTTGGGAGGCTGAGGTGGGATGATCGCTTGAGCCTGGGAGGTCAAGGCTGCAGTGAGCTGTGATCATTCTACTGCACTCCAGTGACAGAGCAAGACCTCATCTCAAAAAAAAAAAATTATAAAATTGTCTACAAAGTCAACTTTACTGAATGTTAATTCAAAATTAAAATGAAAACATAAAGCTGTAAAGGCAAAGATATTTTCAGATATGCCAGGTTTTAAAAATTTACCTCCCACACACCCTTTCTCCAAAAGCTACTGAAAGATGTGCTTTTGTGACGGCATGATGAAGAGAATAAAGAAGGAAAACACGGGATCCAGACGTGAGAATCAACACAAAAGGAAAATGATGGAAACTTCTTAGGCAGTGGTGAAGAGAAGTGCCAGGAAGATAACTGCTTCCAGGAAGACAATGTGTTTAAGAAGTAACCTGTCCAGTTTGTGGTAGGATGATGTACTGCTCCCAGAGGACTGATATCAAGAGAAAAGCAGAATTGATAGATCATTTGGGGTGTCTGAACAAAAATTCAAAGAAGATTTTCAGTTCTGGTGGAAAATTTCAGAATGAACTAGTGTATAGAAAACAACACAAACAAAAAAAGAGGCAATTATTAACTTCAGGAAGTAAAAAAGTTGGAATGTAATTATAGTACAGTTTATGACTCAACTATCAATATTAATTGCATTACCTTGATAATATAAACGCCGAACCAATGGCATACCAAAGATGGATGGTGAGAGCGGTCTGCCTCAAGCGCTGGCAATAAGAAGTGCATTACTGAGGGTAACTTTAAAACTATCACAAAACTAGAAGTCAGTGTGGTTTTCATTGTCACTGTGCACTAGCAATTCTAAATAGTGTCAATTATAAAATTCTTCTTTCCCCCCACTGAAAATTTTTTGTTTGTCTAATTTATAATTTATAAATAATTTCTGAAATTACTGTTGAGCTTTAACATTATATTTGCAAGCTTCAAATGAACACATTCTTATTATTTATCCTTTAATAAACATTTTATGTTTTACATGAAAGCTAATTGAGCAACTCCCAGTTGTACATTCCATCTTCAACACACACAGATTCAGCTACAGGCAATTGTTTGAGAGTAAACTTATAATAGTTCAGAATCATTGTTCAGGTTCATTTCTAGTGCAGTTTATGTCTCTACCCCTGTGGTACCACACATTCCTGCTTTTAAACAGTAGATTAAAAATAATTCAAGCACAGTATTGTAACGACAAAGAAACAGAACTTGAGTTACTTCATCTTGTCATTCTGTGCAAATCACTTGGAGTTTAAAAATAATGAAACAGTGCAAACAAAAAGGTACAATATAATATTTTTGGTTGGTAAATGCCAGTTTTTGTTCATATATGATATGCTTTACTTAATTTAAATAATTTTAAAAAAATTTTTTTGAGACGGAGTTTCGCTCTTGTTGCCCAGGCTGGAGTGCAATGGTGCCATCTCAGCTCACTGCAACCTCCGCCTCCCGGGTTCAAGCAACTCTCCTGCTTCGGCCTCCTGAGTAGCTGGAACCCGCTACCACAGGCACCCGCTACCACACCCAGCTGATTTTTGTATTTTTAGTAGAGATAGGATTTCGCCATGTTGGTCAGGCTGGTCTCGAATCCCTGACCTCAGGTGATCCACCTGCCTCGGCCTCCTAAAGTGCTGGAGGGGTGAGCCACTGTGCCTGGCCTAAAATTTATTCTTTTTTTTTAATTATTAGGTTTTTTTGTTTGTTTTTTTTTGTTTGGTTTGAGACGGAGTCTCGCTCTGGGAGTGCAGTGGTGGGATCTCGGCTCACTGCAACCTCCGCCTCCCGGGTTCACGCCATTCTCCTGCCTCAGCCTCCCGAGTAGCTGGGACTACAGGCGCCCGCCACCATGCCCAGCTAATTTTTTTATATTTTTAGTAGAGACGGGGTTTTACCACGTTAGCCAGGGTGATCTCTATCTCCTGACCTCATGATCCACCGGCCTCGGCCTCCCAAAGTGCTGAGATTACAAGCGTGAGCCACCGCGCCCGGCCATTAATTATTAGTTTTTAAAACTAAAGAATGAATCCAGAAAAATGTAATGTATAATTAGTGTTATTATTAGTACTTTCCTAAATGGTACCCTTTGGAGACATTTGTTTTATTTTTAAAGATCACTTAATAGTTATTGAACAATTACTAACCTAAAATATTAATATATCAGATTGTAACTAAAGACAAAAATTCTGTTACATAGATATAAGAATTCTTTGATAAATAGTTGTGCTTTTTGTCCTGCAGGAGCTTGGAAGAACTTGCGGTCATTTGTAATATTGTTGTGAAACCAGCAACTGATTCAGTTTGTAATTACTCTGAATTTTATAAAGAAACTTGAAGTGAGGTACCCATACTAACATGAAACAATATTAATCCAGTGGACTTCAGTAAGGAAAAAATGTAAAAAAGCAATGTATGGCTCTATCTTGAAATGTATAATACCTTCAACATTACATAAAGTTACTGAAAAAGCTAAAAAATTACAAGCTGGTGCATCCAAGGCACCTACACTAAAAAAGACGCAATATTAGGATGATTGCTTTTCCTTTTTTAGTACTGCAATATTCATTTTTTATTTTTTACTGTTATTAGTTATATGAAGTTCAATAAAAAAGGTTCACTGTTTCTTTTCCTTACTATTACATATTTGTTTTATTTCATGATTATTATATTTTTATCACCTCCTAGGTGATAAAAAATGATCCAGTACAGCTGTCACATATGTTGGCAGGCCTCTGCACTGGATCTTGATTTAATGAAAAGTGGTGATAATTATATGTGGAGGATGAGAGGATGCTGAGTGTATGTATATGTGTGTTAGGAGAGGTCTAGTAAATCATCGAAAAGCTCAGCTGCCATAGCAAGAAGTCACTGTTTGGGGGCTGTGAACATGACAACAAAGGAGATCGTTGTAAAAGGTAGGGATTACTCCCTCAGAGCTGTGAGGTTTGGATAAGTGAAAATAGGGAGCAGAGAAATGCAATTTTTCATTTAGGGCCAAGTGGTAAAACTTGACTTTTTAAACTATGTGCATGTCTTACTTTGAAAAGATGTCATTACAAAGCCAAAAGGACTTAAAAATGAAGAAGAGCCGGATGCGGTGGCTCACGCCTGTAATCCCAGCACTTTGGGAGGCCGAGGTGGGTGAATCACCTGAGGCCAGGAGTTCGAGACCAGCCTGACCAACATGGAGAAACCCCATCTCTACTAAAAAAAAAACACAAAATTAGCCAGGCTTGGTGGTGCATGTCTGTAATCCCAGCTACTTGGGAGGCTGAGGCAGGAGAATCGCTTGAACCTGGGAGATGGAGGTTGCAGTGAGCTGAGATTGCGCCATTGCACTCCAGCGTGGACAACAAGAGCGAAACTCTTGTCTCAAAAAAAAAAAAAAAATGAAGACAGTGCAAAAAGATTGGGAAGTCAGCTTTACACACTAATTATAAATGCTAGGAATTACAATTACAAAACAGAATATAAATAATATAAATCCCAACAAGAGAAAAATCAACATAAGCAACAAAATTGGGAGATTGGCAAAGGGAGGAGGGAGGAAGTGTAACTGTGCTAACCATCTCACCTTTTATAGCGGGGGATCAATCAATACTGTCTGAAATCGAAATGTGTGAGGTTTGAAAAATCAATGACTCCAACCTCTTTATGATTTTATGGTTTTTATAACCACTTGTCCTTACCCTTATAAGAATCCTTTTAGTAATTAATATCTCCTGGGGTGGAAACATTATTTAAATTATAGCCATTCCTTCAGATCTACTTCAATTTATTTTTCTTCTGTTGAATTTCATTAAAATTTCAGAAGCTTAATTTGCATTTTTGATAAAATGTAGTGATTAATTTTTACAAAATCATTTTTGTCTAACCTTATGTAAAACTTTCTCTTTCTATCCATTTATTCTTCTTGTTGTTTATAAGCACAGAAAGATATTTGAAATAATGTTTACCAGTTACTGTCTTCACCCATTCTAAAATACTGATTTTTTTTTTTTCACATATAAACAACTCTGAAATCTAGTGACCACACAATGGCTGACAGCCAGGTGGCAGCCATGAAGTAGTTGTCATTGCTGACATCTTCTGGTAAGATCAAGCAAGTTCCAGCATCAAAACTCCAAGCAGTGCCTTGGAAATAAAGTCCAGAGACAATAGCTGAGCACTCGTTTTTGTTTTTTTGTTTTTTTTTGAAACGGAGTTTCGCTCTTGTTGCCCAGGCTGGAGTGCAGTGGTGTGATCTCGGCTCACTGCAACCTCTGCCTCCCGGGTTCAAGTGATTCTCCTGCCTCAGCCTCCCGAGTAGCTGGGATTACAGGCGCCCACCACCACACCTGGGTAATTTGTTGTATTTTTAGTAGAGACAGGGTTTCACAGTGTTAGCCAGGATGGTATTGATCTCCTGACCTCATGATCCGCCCGCCTTGGCCTCCCAAGGCCTAGGATTGCAGGCGTGAAGCTGAGCACTCTTTTAAGAAATGCTGCATCATTGATACTCTTGATGCACAAAGGATATTGTATTCACACACACACACACACACACACACACACACAAACACACACACACACACAACGACTGAGCCAAAAGGTGATTCAGAAGAGTTGAACGCTAAATGTGAAGGTGTTTTAGAAATATATTGGACCAATTTATTTCTTATATTTTTTGTTTATGTTTGTATATGAGTAACATGCTATAAAATATATATTTATACAAGTTTAAAACAGTTCTTTTAATAAAAACTCTAGATTATGTAAAGCATTTTGTTATGGTTTAATTGGTAGGTTTTTTTTAGTGATACAAAAAATGATTTGAAGTATAATCAAAACCTAGATTTGATGAACTATCATATTTTTTTTCTGAGGTGGAGTCTCGCTCTGTTGCCCAGGTTAGAGTGCAGTGGCACGATCTCAGCTCACTGCAACCTCTGCCTCCTGGGTTCAAGAGATTCTCCTGCCTCAGCCTCCTGAGTAGCTGGGATTACAGGCGTGCGCCACCACGCCCAGCTAATTTTTGTATTTTTAGTAAAGACAGAGTTTCTCCATGTTGGTCAGGCTGGTCTCGAACTCCTGACCTTGTGATCCGCCTGCCTCAGCCTCCCAAAATGCTGGGATTACAGGCGTGAGCCACCACGCCCGGCCTGAACTATCATATTTCAGAGTGACAGAACTGGGTGGTTTGTTTCTTCTTTAAACTTTTCCATATGGCTTAATTTTATAATGAATATGTTATGAGGAATATTACATATAGTGTATATTATCATTACATATAAAATATATACAATGTATTATATATGACATAAAATATGTAATTTATATATTATACATATTATATAATGAGTATGTAATAAATATGTAAAATTCTCCATATGGCTTAATTTTATTATGAACTCTTTGATATAATAACTAGTATTTCACTTGAGCCATCTTGATATTGCCGTCCCAATATTGTTCATAGTCACCTTTGCTTAGCCTCATGCAGAAATTTCTCCCTATTCTTCAGCTTTACAGTGTCTTGGCCGTGTTCTAGGTCTAGGGTGGTTTCCTTCATGGTGGAAGTGAATACATATTAATATTTCAAAGCCAAAGAACTCCCTGACACTCTCTTGGGGCTGTGCCTTTCTAAGAGCCTCTGTGTATTCTCTTCCCACCCGCATATCCTATATTCCTCTACCTTCTTCTTCCTTACCTGTTTCAGGATTTTTGAAAGATGCTGGACACAAGTCACCAATGTTCTTGTGCTAGAAGAAGAATTCGTGTCCTAAAGAGCAATGGTGGTGTTTCAGGACCATGGACAGTAGCACATGGCTACAGACACCTAAAAAAGCTCCCAACGCTCACCTCACCCTGCAAGTTCCTCCAGAAGGGCCCGTCAAGGCTGGCAGTGGACACCTTGCAGGTTAAATCCATGGTCTTCCTCCAAGTCGGGCTTAGAAAACTCCTCCCCACAAAATATCACATAGTAGGCACTGAATAAATTTTTGTTCAATTAATTAACAAATTTATTACAGCAAAGGGTTGCACTTATGTGCTCAATTCACCCAACAAATATTTATTTAAGCCCCTATTGTGTGACATGCATGAACCTTTCAGACAGGATGTTTTGTGACTGAGGTCCCTGTTTCATGGTGTGTAGCTGGTGTCTTATGAGTATGACAGTAGGCGCTACATAGGGCTGCTTCCTGCCTGCATCTCTGGTAGAAAGTAAAGTCTAATACAATTTTTCCTGTTTTCTTCTGTTAAAATTCTGGACCACTTGTTTGTCCATCAACACTTCTTCTTCTCTTCTGATTTCTGTCACTCTCCCTAGAGTCTAAGACATCAGAGAATGCAAATAAGGTCTTTCTCCCTCGTCTTCATTCCCAGCCCTACAGCACCATCTCAGATTTTGTACTGTGCAACCAAATCTTTCCCCACTCCTACTCCCATTTCCATCACTCTCCCTAGAGCCTAAGACATCAGAGAATGCAAATAAGGTCTTTCTTCCCCTGTCTTCATTCCCAGCCCTACGGCACCTAACGTTTCAGATTTTGTACTGTGCAACCAAATCTTTTCCCACTCCTACTCCCACTCCCATCCCTATTCCTTAAACAAGTACAAATGTCTTAAAGGAAAAACACCTGCTTTTTGTCATTGTCTCTTCTGAAGTACCTAGCATAGAGCCTGGCTTGTAGTTGTGTGTCAGTAAATAAATGACTCAATCAATAAGAATAAAAGCCCCATGAGGATGGGGACTTTTGACTGTTTTATAATATGTTAGACATTCGATAAATATATGTTCAATTAACTGATTAATAAATTAACATATTTATCTGTGATAAATATCACAGAGAAAGGTTATGCTTATCTGCTCATTAATTCCACCAGCAAATATTTATTAAGCATCTATCATGTATCATACACTAAGATATATAACAGAAAAAAATCTTCGTCCTACTGGAACTTACATTCTAGTGGGGGAAATAGAAAAGAAACAAGTAAATACACAGAAAAACAGAATAATATAATTTGAGACAGTGCATAGTGATGTAAAGAAAATAAAGCAACAATGAACAGTGGTGGTTATTTCGGGTCACATGGTCAGGAAAGGCCTTTCTGAAGGATGGCATCTGGGCAGAGACTTGAATGTGGTGAAGGAAAGGCAAGGATCAGGGGAAGAGGGTCTCATGGAGAAAATCAAGTTTAAAGGCCCTGGGCTGGAATGAATGTTTGAGGAACACAAGAACCCAAGCTGTAGGGACTGAGAGTGGGGGAGGGTGATAAAAAATGAAGTCAGTGAAATCACGTTAATTATTTACATATTAATTTACAGATCAGCTCTGAACCACAAAAAACACACACACATCTCCACACACACAAAAATATAAAAGGGTAGTAGCCAGGCATGGTGGCTCGTGCCTGTAATCCCAGCACTTTGGGAAGCCAAGGTGGGTGGATCACAAGATCAGGAGTTCGAGACCACCCTGGCCAACATGGTGAAACCCCATCTCTACTAAAAATACAAAAATTAGCTGGGCGTGGTGGTGCACGGCTGTAATCCCAGCTACTCGGGAGGCTGAGGCAGGAGAATCACTGGAATCTGGGAGGCGGAGGTTGCAGTGATCCAAGTTCGTGCCACTGCACTCCAGCTTGGGTGACAGAGTGAAACTTCATCTAAAAAAAAAAAAGGTACATAGTAAAGTATCCCTCCCATCCATGTCACCCTGCCACCTAGTTCCCTTCCTGATAGGCAACTAATGTCATTGGTTTCTTGTGTGTCCTGTGCATATATAAACAAACACATACATTTATATATTAATCACCCTCTTTTATAGAAATAGTAATATACTGTACACTGTTCTATACTGTGTTCTTTCTCTTAACATATCTTGAAAATCTTCCTAAATACTTTGTTTGCAACTGTGTGTATTGTGAGGATGTCCTGTAACTTGTTTAACCAATCCCCTACTGGTGGTAATTATATTTTTAATATTTTGCTATCATGAAAAACCTACCACAAGCCTTTATACCTAAGGCTAAGGCTTTGGAGTAAGATCAACCAGGGTTCAAATTCTGGTTTTTACTTAGAAGCTAAGTGACTTTGGGATGCTATGCAGGCTCTGTTCTCTGTTTCCTCAGCTGCAAAATGAGGATCCTAATACTATCATGACAGCCTTTTGGGGAGATGTATGTGAAGTGCTCAGCACAGTACCTAGCCCAAGAGTAATATTGTCCTAACAAAATTCGCCACATACTGAGTGCTGCTGTATACTGGGCTCCAAGCTGAGAATTCACATGTTATCTCGTTTCATCTTCACAAGCCTAAAAGGTAAGGACTACTATTTCCACATTTACCAAAGAGTAACTGAGAGGTTAACCAATATGCCTCTCAAGTCCTGGAGAAACAGAAGAGGATTCAAACCCAGGGTTTGCTGACATCAGAGACCGGCTCTGAACCATTACATCCATCTGCTGGAGCTCAACAAATGTAGTTACCATCATCCTCACCATCATCATCACTGTAACCATCACCATCATCATCACCATCACTGTCACATCACCATCACCACCATCATCATCACCATCACTGTCACTGTCACCATCACCGTCATCACTATCATCATCGCCGTCACTATCACCATCATCACCATCACTATCACCAGCATCACCATCATCGGCAGCATCACCATCATCACCATCATCACTGTCACCATCACCATCATCACCATCACTGACACCATCACTATCACCATTATCACCATCATTATCACCATCACCATCACTATCACCATCATCATCATTGCCATTACTTGCTTTAGGCCCATTGATCTCTGACTTGGCCTGTGCCTGCCTTTATCTTCAGATTCCCAAGCAGTTGGTGCAAATTTTTCCAGAAACAATTTTTTTTTTTTTGCTAATTTCAGGCCATTGTTTTTTCTGACTTTGGCTGCCTGTGCATGCATGTGTGTGTGTACACACACACTCACACTCAGGCAGACCAAAGGGTCTGATCACAGACCACAGCATCTTTTGGGGATGGTCCACATGTCATCATTGTCTTGGCAACATCAATAGCTCAGGCCAGCTGAGCAAAGTGAGGTGAGTGGGGAGGGTGGTCTCAGATGGCTGTAGTCCATCTCTCCCACTCCCCACCCCACCACTGGGAATAGTAGATTGAGAAGAAAAAGAATAAAAATCAGCAGCCAGCTAGTGAGTGTCCACCACATGAAAAGAAGAGTGTTTTATATGTGTTACCTCAAATCCTCAAGATAGGTGCTCTCCAATCCCTTTTACAGACAAGGAACCTGAATCATAACAGAGCTAAGGTGAGTTGCCCAAGGCTAAAGCCAGTGCATGGCCAAGCCAAGATTCTAATCCAGGTCTGGGGAGATGGAGCATGGTTGCATTATGGGGAAACATCAGTGTTACCATCCCCAAATCCCAAGAACTAGGGTCAACTGGAGAGAGGCAGAGAGCCAAAAGTAGTCTCTGTCTTCCCAGACCCCTCCCCTTCCCTCCAGGCCTTCTCTGAGGCCGACACATGTGCCAGGAAATCCACTAAGGCTTTCTCTCCACTTCCTTCAACTTCTGAAATCCTGCCCTCTTCAAGTGTACCTTCAGGATGGGTTCGTTATGTCACTGTAACAAATGAACCCCAAATCTCATGTTGGGCATGGGAGGGCAGTTGGATCTGCTTATCTTCATCCCTTGGGAACCCAGGTTAATGAGACTTCATTCATCTTGGTGGGTAGGGGTTGTGGCAATTCAGCATGGGTTCTTACAGCTCCCACCTAGATGTGACAGACGTCACTCATCCACATTCCATTAGTCAAGGTAAGTGCGTGGTCCACCTACCTCAATGCGTGCCTGGAGGGGAAAAGAAATGTTCAGTGAGCAGCATTGGTGACTACCCCAACCAAAAGCAGTGCCCCTCACTGGCCCCTGGTCTGAGCCCCTCCACACCACTTCATGGCCTGCCCCAACTTCTCTGCTACCCCACTGGTGCATACACACTTAGCCTTTATGGGCACTCTCTCCCCTCCCCCAAGGTCACGAGGAGCAGTGGACATATCTACGGAGTCCACAGGGTGCTATTCAGCCACAGGGGTCCAGTTGCTTCGTTGCAGCACCAATCTTGGGCTAGAATAGCAGGAGGTCCCAGGAAGGCTCCCGTGCCTCTCACTGGGCTGAGAGTACCACACAAAGCCAGAGAGTCCTCCCAATCCCCTCCCAGGCCTGGGCTTTCTCAGTTGGTCAAACACAAATAAGACAGTCCGCCCTCTCAGGAAGTTGGGGCCTGAATGAAATGATCAGACATCACACACAGCCTGGAGCGCAGGTGGGTGGTGCAGGAGGCAGGAGGAGTGGGTGTGTGGAGATGGAGGGAAGGACCACCCAGGGGCCAGCCCAGGGGGACAAAGCCATGGTGCCCTTGACTCAATAACGGAGGACATTAGCATGGGTGTTCAGAAATAAAGCACAAAAGTAGGTTAGGGTGAGATCGTGGAAGGACTGGGTGCTGGGAAAATGAATTTAGTGTTTATCTAGGAAAAAAATCAGAAGCCACTGAAGGACCGAGGATGGAAGAGCACTGCCATCAAGCGTGGACCCTCAAGGGCCCACCTGGCTTCAACCCGAGGGAGGGATGGGGACAGGGAAGCCAGGGAGGTGAGGAGGCTTTTGAAACAGCCCAGGCAGGAGTAACAGAGGAGCATAGAGAGGAAGGAACTCACGACCCACTGAGGAACACGCTAGCTGGGGACATAGGTCATCAGCCCCGTGAGCTCCCCTACACAGAGACACTGACACACAGACATCTCCTTCAGTGTCCACAGGCCCCACAGGCACTGACAGGAGGGGCCCAGGGCCATGGCCTTCTGTTTGGGGTTGGGAGTGGGAGAGTGTCAGGAAGGATCTGGAGCATGGGCAGCTTCAGGGAGTGCCTCACATCAGGGACCAGGGCCAAGGATAAACAGTTGATGGTGTTGAATACAGAATCACACACACACACCACACCAGGCTCAGAGGCAGGCAGACCCTGGTCCAAATCCTGGCTTTGCTTCCTACTAGCTGTGAGATCTTATGCAAGTCTCTCAACCTCTCTGAGCCTCAGTTTTCTCTTCCGTAAATTGTCGATAATAAGATCAACCTCCTGGCTTCTTGTGAGGCTTACAAAGGAATAGGAATAGCTATGATAGGCATGGCAAAAATGGCTATGCATTCTTGCCTACCTGTACCTATGCCCCTGCAGTGGGACCTCCTAGTTCCTCCCATCAAGAGGTGAAGTCCATTTCTCAACCCCTTGGATCTGGGTGGATCATTGTCTTTGGACAAAGGGACAATAGCAAAAGTGATTCTAGAATAGACGTGAAAAGTGCTCATCACAGGGGCTTGCTCTCTTATGCTCTAGGAACCCACAAGCCCAGGCTAGCCTGCTGGAGGAGGAGAGACACATGGCCCAGTTGCTTTCTTCACTCCAGTCAACAGCCAGCAAATGCCCAGGAAACAGAGCCACCTCGCTGACATGAGGCTGACTGCAGGCCCAGGAGTGAGCCCAGCCATGGCCAGCAGAACTGCTCAGCCCAAATCACCAACCTGCCAATCGTGAGTAAATAGATGGCTGCTGTTTAAAGCTGTAAAATCAATTGATGGGCTTAGGCTTTGCCCAAGATGAAGTAACAGGAACCTGATTTATCTTCCTGCATGAAACAGCTAGAATAACCAGGCAAGAATCTGGACATTGGGTGGATCACAAAGGATGGTGATGCGAGAGATGGGAAAACCACATGAACTCCACGACAACCCCAGCTCACAGCCTAGAAAAATGTTTCCAGGCCACAGTACAGACAAAGGGAACCCAGGTGGAGCCAGGGAGCTTCTGAGTTGAGGAGACACAGCAGAGTCCCAGGAGATCAAGGTGGCCAGAGTTCTTAGGACAGAGTACTGGGGAGGAGAGAGCTGCACAGAGAGCCTCAGAGATGTGCAGAGGGTGCCCCTCAAGTATTCAGCAGTGTACTCATCAGCTCGTGCGTGTGATGAAACCACCCGAGGTCCTTCTGAAAGGAGGAGAGAACAGTGCCCAGGACTCACACAGAGCCAGAAACAGTGCCCGCTGCCTCCAGCTAGACTGGAATTGAGTAGAATATGCAGGAAGGCCATGCCTCAATAGTGGGGAATAATTGGTCCTAGACAGAACACTCCTCTGGAGGTCCCTAACAAAAGCAAGACCTAAAAGGATCAGACTGTTTCCAAATAATTGCATCCAAGAAAAGCTAACTGACGTAGAAACTAAAACATATGAGTGCTCGTGATATTCCAGCAACTTTAAGTATATGTAAGCATTTTACATATATTACTACATTTATATTACTTTATTTACAACAATGCTCTGAAAGAGCTGCTATTATTATCTCCATTGTACAAATGGTAGTCTGTACATACAGAGTACCTGGCACATAGCATGTTCAATAAATAAATGCTTTTTCCTTCAACTTGCCATCTTTGCTCCCTGTCTGCAACCATTAATAACCAAATGACTTTTCCCGAGTTCTACATCCACTACAAAGATTATGGCTTTAGGAAGGCAAAAACTTCAGCATTCAGGAGGAAAGTGGTCCCTGGAATTCTGAGAGTCCTGGATGAAGAGTCAGGAGTGAAGACTCCAGCCTGGCCCTGCCACCACCTTGCAGGGTGACCCTGAGCCAGCCTTAACTTCTCTGGGCCTGATTCGCCGCATTGCAGACGGGTGAATTCAGATTAGGTTTTCCCTAAAGCAAACTTCTCGCTCTAGAGGCCAGGATGCCTCAACCATCCTCAGGCTAAAACTCTGATAGTAGAGGATGGCAAAGTTGAGGAAAGAGTGCATTCATCTCCACTTGAATACACATGTACACACGCTCACACGCACACACGCGCGCATCCATTGCCAGCCTCTGATTGCCAGCCTCTAATTGAGCCGCTCTCTGGCCCTGTGCAGCATTACCCACTTCAGCCAGAAGATGGTGCTGCTTCTCCATGAGAGTTCAACTACATTCGTTCAAAACTTAATGGTTGAGCACCTGTGCCCAAAACGTTGCGCTGGGCAGTGTGAACACAAAGGGGATTACAATATGGATCGCTCTTTCCAGAACTTTACACTGTAGTGACAAACAACCAAAGGTACCATGAAATGAATTGGGACTTTGCTGGGACGAAACTAAACATTACTGAAAAGTGCCAGGCACGAGCTGCTTTACGACACTTCTTTTCAAGACTAGGGCTCCTTCCCCAATGTATACATATGTCAGAACATCATGGTGCACACCATAAATACATACAATATTTACTTGTCAATTAAAAAAAACATTAAAAATAAAAATAGGTAACCAGACACAGTGGCTCACGCCTGCAATCCCAGCACTTTGGGAGGCCAAGGCAGGTTGGATCACCTGAGGTCATGAGTTCGAGACCAGCCTGACAAACATGGTGAAACCCCGTCTCTATTAAAAATACAAAAATTAGCCGGGTGTGGTGGCGTGCGCCTGTAATCCCAGCTACTCAGGAGGCTGAGGCAGGATAATTTCTTGAACCCAGGTGGCAGAGGTTGCAGTGAGCTGAGATCACGCCACTGCACTCCCACCTGGGTGACAGGGCAAGACTCTGTCTCAAAGTAAAAATAAAAATAAAAAATAAAAATAGGCCAGGCGCAGTGGCTCACGCCTGTAATCCTAGCACTTTGGGAGGCCGAGGCAGGCAGATCACCTGAAGTCAGGAGTTTGAGACAAGCCTGGCCAATATGGCGAAATCTCGTCTCTACTAAAAATATAAAAATTAGCCGGGTGTGGTGGCTGGCACCTGTAATCCCAGCTACACGGGAGACTGAGGCAGGAGAATCACTCGAACCTGGGAGTCGGAGGTTGCAGCAAGCCGAGATTGCACCACTGCACTCCAGCCTGGGTGACGGGGCGAGCTCCATCTCAAAAATAAATAAATAATAAAATAATAAAATAAAATAAAAGTAAACAACAACAAAAACCCCAGGGACTCTAATTTTCAAGATGATAAAAGTACAAAGCTGGTAAATGTTTATTTGATTTCTGCTTCTCTGTGGCCTTCACAGCACAGGGCACCTGACTGATGATCAGTAAGTTTGCATTGATTGATTGATTGAATTATAACTGCAGACAGAAACCTAAAGGCTAAGTCAGAGTGGCAGGAACAAAGAGAGCCCTCAGCCCAAACGCTGCAATTCCTAGATGAAAAATGAGGCCCAGAGAGAGAAAGGAAGAAAAGCCATGTGCCTGGCCCAAGGGAGGAGCTCCCTAAACATTTGCTAAATTCATAAAGTGCTTTTGCCTATGTCATCACTTAGTCCTCGAGGTAATAGTTTTTATTCCTACTTTCCAGATGAGAAAACTGAGGCTGCCACAAGGGATCTGGCCAAGTGACAATGTGACTTCAAATTACTTTGTACCCTTCCTTCTAAGCGTAAGAGTTTACATTTTGATTGTGCTTGATAGTTTGGCAAGCACTTTCATAGACACACTTTCATTTCCTTTAATCCTCTGCTAAGGAACAGAGCAGAAAGTGAGGGCCACCACGTCAGAGACAACTGCTTTTCTCCTATACCAGTTTATTTTTAACTCAGGTGTTCTTGGGGGTATAAGAATCACTAAAATAAATTATTTGGTGTTTTCATTTGCTGTATTTTTTAAAATGAACTCTGGGCTGGGCACGGTGGCTCACGCCTGTAATCCCAGCACTTTGGGAGGCCAAGGTGGGCGAATCACCTGAGATCAGGAGTTCGAGACCAGCCTGGCCAACATGGTGAAGCCCCGTCTCTACTAAAAATACAAAAAGTAGCCGGGCATGTTGGCAGGTGCCTGTAATCCCAGCTACTCAGGAGGCTGAGGCAGGAGAATTTGCTTGAATCCAGGAGGCAGAGGTTGCAGTGAGCCGAGATCACGCCACTGCACTCCAGCCTGGGTGGCAGACTGATACTCTGTCTATGGCCATCTTAAAACAAAGAGCTGCCTCCCAGTTCCAGTGGCCCCATTTGTATTTATTTACCTGTGGCTTTGGCTACTTTAATTATTCAGAGCTAATGAGGAGGGAAAACACACACACACACAGAGATAGACCTGATACCTAAATGATGTGCTCACACCACGTGGAAACCAAATGACCCCAAGATGTGTTGTTAGAAGGGAAGATTTGTAAGGGTTCAAATCAAGGAAAACTGTGGGAAGAAGTGAGTGGCCCACCTGGCATGCCCCAGCACAGCATGTCCAGGGAGAACCTGTGCTCTGGCTGACAGGTGCTCATTACTGGCAGGAGGTGTGACTTAGATACAAAAAGAAAAAAATACATTTGTGTTTTTTCATTTGAATTTTACAGGTTTTGCAATTCTGTTTGTATTTAGTTTGTAAATTTGCTTTGAGTTTTATAGTCACATAAGAGCTATATGCATATAGTTATACATGGTTACATACTTAAGTAATATTACAACAAAATTGACTGGTCAACACCAGGAGTCCTTGGGAATTTTTTCCCATTAAAAGGATTGTGCACACAGACTGGAGACACACTGGTCATATTTCCTTCCCTTGAGGAAGGGACAGGAGTCACAGACATGTTTTCCTCTGAATGGGAAGAAGCCCTCTCCCTAGAGAACAGGGAAGGGGTTCACTCCCAGCACAGAAGCAGAGCAGGAGAAAGGTAATCCCTTCTCTCATACCCAGGCCTTCCCTGCAGGCAGGGCTGGGGGCTGTTTGCTTTGAGGCAAAGAGACGGTTCCCTGTAGAAGACGGGCAACTGGAAATATCAGCTACTGAATTACTATGTATCGGCTACATAAATAGTTACTAGTTATATACTAGTTACATATTGTATAACTAGTATTTACATAACTCTATGCTATGGACAAGGTGATGGTACCCTAAGAGGAGAAGATGTAGATTAAGGGGTGAGGGAGTGTTTGTGTGTTTCATGTCCTCTTCCTCCAGAACAGGCAGAGGGTGACCTGAGGCGGCTCTGTCCAGCTGGCGTGAGTGCTGAGGTCGTACCCTTGTGCCCTTCTCCTCCTTGTCCCGGGTCTCCCACAAGGGATAATCTCTGGGACTGGACACATCTTTTCCACTCATACCAGCCAACATTTATTATGGTGTCCTGTTATGTGCTAGACATTTCTCTATACTCCTTTATTCACACCAGTATTTACAAACCCACCGTATTGGTTACATATCACTATGTAACGAATTACCCCAAAATGTAGTGGCTTAAAGCAAGAAACATTTATTATCTCACAGGTTTTATGTGGTGTTTTATTCTGGCCTCTTTCACTTTCCATGTTTTCAACAATCATCTATGTTATAAGCATGAACAGTTATAAGCATGAAATGCTGTATTGTATTGTAAGCATTTTTGTGGCTGAACAATACTCCATTGTATGGAATACCACACTTGTTTATCCATACATCAGTTGACAGACATTGTTAATATTTGGATAGCATGTATTTTTCCTTCCTCATAATTACATTCTCTAGATAGATAGATAGATAGATAGATAGATAGATAGATAGATAGATAGATAGATTAGGTTGCCCTAAACTCCAACCCCTAAAGTCAATCCCTTCCCAGAGGATTAAAGTTTATCCAAATCTCTCTTTGTGCATGTATTTAAGTGCATACGTACCTGTGTTAGTTATCTATTGCTGCATAAGAAATTACTCCAAAACTTAGTGGCTTAAAACAATGATAAATATTTACTATTTCACACAATATCTGGGGGGGTCAAGAATTCCAGAGTGGTTTAGCTGAGTGGTTCTGTCTTATGAAGTTGCAGTCAAGATGTTGGCAGGGAGCCAGGCATGGTGGCTTATGCCTGTAATCCCAGCATTTTGAGAGGCCAAGGCAGGAGGATTGCTTGAGGCCAGGAGTTTGAGACCAGCCTAGGCAACATAGTGGGACCCCATCTCTATAAAAAAAATTTAAAAATTATTTGGGCATGGCAGTGCACAGCTGTAGTCCTAGCTACTCAGGAGGCTGAGGCAGGAAGATTGCCTGGGCCCAGAAGTTTGAGGTTGCAGTGAACGATGATCACGCCACTATGCTCCGGCCTGGGCAACACAGTGAGATCCTGTCTCAAAGAAATAAATAATAGGCCAGGCACAGTGACTCACGCCTGTAATCCCAGCACTTTGGGAAGCTGAGGCGGGCGAATCACCTGAAGTCGGGAGTTTGAGACCAGCCTGGCCAACATGGTGAAACCCCGTCTCTACTAAAAATACAAAAATTAGCCGGACGTGATGGTGCGCGCCTGTAATCCCAGCTACTCGGGAGGCTGAGGCAGAAGAACTGCTTGAACCCCAGAGGCAGAGGTTGCAGTGAGCTGAGACTGCACCACTGCACTCCAGCCTAGATGACAGAGCAAGACTCCATCTCAAATAACTAACTAAATAAATAAATAAAAAGAATGCAGGGGCTGCAATCATTTGATGGCTTGACTGGGACTTTCCAAACATTCCACTCACATGGATAAAGAGACAGTCATTGGGCATTGGCAAACCTCAGTTTCTCTCCATCTAAGGTTGCCATATTTAGCAAATAAAAATATGGAATAGGCAGCTAAATTTGCATTTCAGATAAATAACAAATACATTTTAGTATTAGTATATCCCAGATATTGTGTGAGACACAATCATACTAAAAATACTAAGAAATATGACTTATTAGGTCTGCTTGAGTACACTCACAATGTGGTAGCTGGCTTCCACTAGCACAAGTGGCTCAAGAAAGCATAGCAGAAACAAAAATGTCTTTTGTGACCTAGCCTTGAAAGTCACACACCATCAATTCTGCAACAATTCTTTTGATTACACAGGTCTGTCCTAATCAGTATGAGTGGGAACAATATAAAAGGATGAATACTAGAAATTAAGGATCACTGGGAGTCATCATAGGGTCTATCTACCATTGTGTTCATAGAAAATAATATTGTTTTGTGTGTGTATATGTATGTTATGTATTTTTTAACATGAGAATAATTCTGTATCTATTTGTTCTGCAACTTTTTTTCACTTAGCAATACATTTTGGAGCTCTTTACATATCAGAACATGCAGTATTGCTTGATTCTCTTTGCTTTCTGCCTATTATTTTATAATATAGATTGTCATATTTAGCCATTCCTCTATTGTTGTACATTTAGGCTGTTTTCCAAAGCTTACTACTACATTATATACAATGCTATAACAATCTTCTACATGCCTTACATTCATGTCCATACATTCAAAAAGTTAGAAGGAATATTGAGACTATTAGGTGGAGACATGGAAGATTTAAATAAGACCCATATTAACTTCTATAGGTAAAAACTACAATACATAAGATAAAAAAATACATTTAATGTGATCAATAACAGATTAGACATTGCAAAAAAAAAAAAGATTAGTGAACTTGAAGACAATACAAAATATCCAAAATAAAATACAGAGAAAGGAAAAACTGAAAAAGACGATACGTAAAGATAGATGGAGGACAATTTTCAGCAATCTAAATACATGTAATTGGAGTCCCTGAAGGACAGGAAAGGAGAGAGAGAACATATATTTAAAAAATAATGGCTGGAAATTTTCCAAAGTTGATGGAAACTATACAACCACGAGTTTTCTTAGTTCAAGGAACCTTAACACAAGCAACATGAAGAAAACTACATCATGATGTATCATACAGGGATAAGATTGATAACAGACTTCTTGACAGAAAAATGCAAGCATGTAGACAGTGGAACAGTATCTTTAAAGTACTAAAAGAAAAAAAACAACTATCAACCTAGGATTCTACACCCAGAAAATGTATCTTGCAAAATGGAAGATGAAAGAAACACTTTTCTGGAGGTACAAAAGCTGAAGTAAATCATCACTAGCTGATGGCCCCTAAAACAAAAATGTTAAATTATGTCCTTTGCGCAAGGGAGAAATAATACTAGACTGAAATCTGGATACAGGCAAAGGAGTAAAGATCACCAAAAATCATAACCATGTGGATATATTAAAAAAATTTTTTTTTCTTATTTAAATTTCTTGGCTGGGTGTGGTGGCTCATGCCTGCAATCCTAGCACTTTGGGAGGCTGAGGCAGGTGGATCGTGAGGTCAGGAATTCAAAACCAGCCTGGCCAACATGGTGAAATCCTGTCTCTACTAAAAATACAAAAATTAGCTGGGCGTGGTGGTGCACCTGTAATCCCAGCTACTCGGGACGCTGAGGCAGGAGAATCACTTGAACCCAGGAGGCAGAGGTTGCCGTGAGCCGAGATGGCGCCACTGCACTCCAGCCTGGGCGACAGAGCGAGACTCTGTCTCAAAAAAAAAAAAAAAAAAAAAAATCTTTAAAAGATAATTGGCTATTTAAAACAAAAAAATACAAACATACTGTGGAGTTTACAACATATTCAGAAGTAAAATATATGACATCAATAGCATAAACGCTGGGATGGTTTTTCCACTACAGTTATGGATCACTTAGCTTTTGGGAGACATACAGAGAAATGCATCATTAGGCAACTTTGTCACTATGTAAACCTCATAATGTACTTACTCAAATCTAGATGGTGTAGCCTACTACACACCTAGGCTATATGTTTAGCCTATTGCTCCTACACTACAAACCTGTACACCATGTTATGGTACCAAATACTATAGGCCATTGTAACTTAATGGTAAGTATTTGTATATTTAAACATATCTAAACATAGAAAAGACACCATAAAATATGATATAAAAGGTTTTAAAAAGTACACCTACATAGGGCACTTACCATAAATGGAGGTTTCAGACTGGAAGTTGTTCTGGATGACACAGTGAAGTTAGTGGTGAGTGAATGTGAAGCCCTAGGACATTACTGTACATTGGTGTAGACTTTATAAATACTGTACACTTAGGCTACACTAAATTTATTTTTAATGTATGTTTTTCTCTTTTTTTTTTTTTTTGAGACAGGGTCTCACTCTCATCCAGGCTGGAATGCAGGGGTGCAGTTATGACTCACTGCAGCCTTGATTTTCTGGGCTCAGGTGATCCTCCCACTTCAGCCTCCTGAGTAGCTGGGACTACAGGCACGTGCCACCATGCCCAGCTAGTTTTTTGTATTTTTTGTAGAGATGGGATTTCACCATATTGCCCAGGCTTGTCTCAAACTCTTGGGCTCAAGAGATCCTTTCACTCGGCCTCCCAAAGTGCTAGTGTTACAGGCATGAACCACCAGGCCGAGCCATATTTTTCTTTCTTCAATATAAATTAACCTTAGCTTCCTGTAACTTTACTTTATAAACTTCATTTTTTTAACTTTTTGACTCTTATAATAACATAACTAAAAACAAAAACACTTTGTACAGCTATACAAAAAATATTTTCTTTACAGCCTTATTCTATAAGTGTTTTTCTGTTTTTTTCTTTTTTTTTACTTTTTAAACTTTTTGGTTTAAAACTAAGACACGAACATACACATTAGCCTAGGCCTACATAGGGTCAGGATCATCAATATCACTATCTTCCACTTCTATATCTTGTCTTACTAGAAGGTTTTCAGGGGCAATAACACACATGGTCATCTCCTGTGATAACAATACCTTCTTCTGGAATATACCTCCTGAAGGACCTGCCTGAGGTTGTTTCACAGTTAACTTTTGATATAATTAGAAAAAGTATACTCTAAAATAACAGTCAAAAGTATAATAAACACATAAATCAGTAACAAAGTCATTTATTATCAAGTATTGTATACTGTACATAATTGTATTTGCTATACTTTTTATAACTAGCAGTGCAGTAGGTTTGTTTCCACCACCATCATCACAAATATGTGAGTAATGCATTGTGCTATGATGTTAAAATGGCTATGATGTCACTAATTATGTCAAAAGTTAACTGTCAAACAACATGCCACTTCACATATATAGTCATGCATCACATAACATTGTTTCAGTAAGTGATGAATCATATATACAATGGTGGTCCCATAAAATTATAATGTAGCTGACCACCATTGTATATACGATTCATGATGTGTATGATGTTATCACTTGAAGTTGGACTGTGGTAAGTTAGAGTTGTATACTATAAACTCTAAATCACTAAAATAACAAAAGAAAGAATTGTAGATGATAAGCCAATAAACTACAGACAGTCCCCAATTTAAGATGATTCAATTTATGATTTTTTGACTTCAGGATGGTGTGAAAGTGACAAGCATTCAGTATGCTCCTCAAATTGCAAAGGGGCTATGTCTAGATAAACCCACCATAAGTTGAAAATATCTAAGTTGAAAGTGTACTTTCAACTTACAATATTTTTAACTTATGATGGTGTTATTGAAACATAACTCCATCATAAGTCAAGAAGTATCTGTATTTATGGAATCATTAAAAAATTTATTAATCCAAAAGAAGGCAGAAAAGGTGGAAAGAGGGAACAAAGAAATGAGACAAATATAAAAAAAAGCAAGATATTGTGATCATCTCAATAATCACACTAAACATAAATGTTCTTAGCACAATTTAAAGAAAGATAGTGTCAGATTAGATTAAGAAAAGCAAGATCCAATTATATGATGCTTACAAAAAAACCACTTAAATGTAAAAACACAAATAGGTTAAAGGTAAAAAGGTAGGAAAAGATATACCATGCTAATAGTAATCAAAAGAAAGCTCTGAAGACCCAATAGACTTCAGAGTAAAGAATATTACCATGAATGAAAAGGGTCATTTCATAATGATAAATAATAAATTCATATAGAGGATATAATAATCCTAAATACGTGGAGTTTCAAAATACATAAAGCAAAATAAATGATAGAAATTTAAGAAAAAAGGCCAGCTACGGTGGCTCATGCCTGTAATCCCAGCACTTTGAGAGGCCAAGGCGGGCAGATCACAAGGTCAGGAGTTCAAGACCAGCCTGGCCAACATGGTGAAACCCCATCTCTACTAAAAATACAAAAAATTAGCAGGGTGTGGTGATGCATGCCTGTAATCCCAGCTACTCGGGAGGCTGAGGCAGGAGAATTGCTTGAACCCAGGAGGTGGAGGTTGCAGTGAGCCAAGATTGCACCACTGCACTCCAGCCTGGGCGACAGGGTGAGAATCTGTCTCAAAAAAAAAAAAAAAAGAAGAAGAAATTTAAGAAAAAAATGACAAATACATAATTTATGGTTGGAAATTTCAACACTTATTTCTGAATTTCAATTATTCAGAGAACAAGTAGATGGAAGATCATAAGGATATAGAAGACTATCAACCAAATTGGCCCAACTGACTTTTATAGAACATGCCACCAATAGTAGCAGTATATGCATTATTTTAAACTGTACATTGAAAATTTACCATGACAGACCAAATTTTGGTCTGTAAAACAAGTCTAAATACATTTAAAAGGATTCAAATCATATAAAGTATGTTCTCTAACCACAATGGAATTAATAATAAATCAATAACAGAAAAATAACTGGAAATCCTCCAATATTGGAAAATAAATAATTTACTTTTAAATAATTCATAGGCCAAGGAAAAATCAAAAAGAAATTAGAAAGTTGGGCCAGGCACAGTGGCTCATGCCTGTAATCCCAACACTTTGGGAGGCTGAGGTGGGTGGATCACGAGGTCAGGAGTTCAAGACCAGCCTGGCCAACATGGTGGAACCCAGTCTCTACTAAAAATACAAAAATTAGCTGGGCATGGTGGCGCTTGCCTGTAATCCCAGCTACTCCAGAGGCTGAGGCAGGATAATTGCTTGAACCGGACCCGGGAGGTGGAGGTTGCAGTGAGCCGAGTTTGTGCCACTGTACTCCCCAGCCAGCCTGGGCTACAGAGTGAGAGACTCCATCTCAAAAAAAAAAAAAAAGAAGAAGAAGAAGAAGAAGAAATTAGAAAGTAATTTGGACTGAAGAAAAATGAAAAAAACAACATATCAAAATTTATAGGATGCAGCTAAAGCTTAGAGTAAAATTTTATCACTAAATTCCTATATTCGAAAAGGAGAAATATCTCAAATCAATAACCTCAGTTTCCACCAGAGTAAGAAGGGCAAATTAAACTGAAAGTAAGTAGAAAAAAGGAAATAAGAGAGATTGGAATAGAAATAAAAAATAGAAAAATTGAGAAAATAAATGAAACTAATGTTGGTTTCTTGAAAAGATTAGCAATGTTAATTATTAATAACTTCTAGCAGAACTAATCAGGAAAAAAAGAGGGAAGATGCAAATTACCAGCTTTAGGGCTAAGAGATAACATCACTGTAGATTCCACATATAGTAAGAAAATATTATGAACAGCTTTATGCCAATAAATTCTACAAGTTAGATGAAATAGAGAAATAACTTTATCTAAGTTGACACAATACCAAACTTTACTCAAGAAGAACTAGATAACCTGAATAGCCCTAAATCTTGAATTTCCAGTTAAAAACCTTCCCACAAGAAATTTTGAGACACAGATGGATTCACCAGTGAATTCTATCAAGCATTTAATAAAGAAATAATACTCATTCTGCAGAAACCCTTGCAGAAAATTTAAAAGGGGGGACTAATTCCTAACTCATTCTATGACACTAGCATTATTATAATAATAAAATCAAACAAAGACATTACAAGGAAAGAAAGCTACATACAAATATCCATCCACAAATGTGTGCAAAACTTCTAAACAAAATTTTAGCAAATAGAATTCAACAATATAAAAAAGGATAATTATCATGACCAAGTGAAGTTTATTCCAGTAATATAGGTTGGATTTAACTTTCAAAAATCAATCAATGTAATTTCCCATATTAATAGAGTAAAAAGAAAAACCACATGATTATCTCAGTAGTTATGGGAAAAGCATTTGACATATTTAAACATCTATTCAAGATAAAAACTCTCAGAAACTAGGAGTAAAAGACATCTGATAAAGGGCACCTATGTATTTTTAAAAATACAGCTGCTTGCAGTGAGCTGAGATCACACCACTGCACTCCAGCCTGGGCAACAGAGTGAGACTCTGTCTCCAAAAACAAAAACAAAAAACACAGCTGGGCACAGTGGCTTATGCCTGTAATCTCAACACTTTGGGAGACCAAGGTGGGAAGATCACTTGAGGCCAGGAATTCAAAACCAGCCTGGGCAACATAGCAAGACCCTGTCTCTAAACATCATACTTAATGCTGAAAAACTGAATGCTTCCTTTTTGCTATAGAAAAAGATGTTGTGCCCACTGTGTCCACCCCTCAAAATTCATATGTTGAAATCCTAACCCTCAATGTGATAAGATTAGGAGGTGGGACTTTTGGGAGGAGGCCCCACCTCCTAATGCCTGATTCATGAGGGCTCTGGCAAAGGCTCTACTTTGGAATGTGGGACCTCTAGCAGAGCCCTCATGAATGGGATTAGTACCCTTATAAAAGAGACTCCAGAGAGCTCTTACTCTTGCCATGTGAGGACACAAGGAGAAGACAACCATCCATGAACCAAGAAGCAAGTCCCCACCAGCCACCAAATTTGCCAATGTCTTGATTTTGGAATTCCCAGCCTCCAGAACTTTGATAAATAAATGTTGTGGTTTAAGCCACCTGGTCAATGGCATTTTTGTTATAGAAGCCTGAATTAAGGCATCCTGTAAGATCCAGAAGCTGCATGTTCATGCCCACCACTCCTATTCAATATATATTGAAAGTTCTAGCAAGCGCAGAAAAGAAAAAAAGAGCATACAGAAAGGAAATAAAACTGTTTCCATTTATGATTTAATATGTACAAAATTCCACAGAATGTACAAATAAGCTCCTAGAAATTAAAAGTGAATTAGCACAGTCACACACAGAATATAAAGTTAATACACAAATATCAATCATATTTCTGTATACTAACATTGAACAATTGGAAATCAGTAGTTTAAAAAAAATAAAATTACTATTAACAATAGCATTTGTTATTAGAGCAATGCTTAGAAATCAAACTCAGAAATACTCAGAAATAAATCTAACAAAACGTGTGCAGAACCTGTATGCTGAAAATTTTACAACAGTCATGGAAAAAAATCAAAGAAGACAAATAAACAGAGAGATATACCATGTTCACGGATCAGAAAACATAATATTGTGAAGCTATCAATTGCCACCAAACTGATATATAGATTAAATGCAATTCAAATCAAGATCCCAGCAAGATATTTTTAAAATATAAATAAGCTGATTTTTAAAGTTATATGCAAAGCCAAAGAAACCAGAATAGTTAAAATAATTTTGAAAAATAATGATAAAGTTGGAAGATTCACATTACTCAAATTCAAGACTTACTATAAAGCTACAGTATTGTATTGGCAAAAGGATAGACACATAGATAAATGGAACAGAATAGAAATCTAGGAATCCACAAATATGGCCAACTGATTTTTTACAAAGATGCAAAGATAATTTAATGGAGAAAAAAGAGTCTTTTGAGAAATGATATTAAAACAATTGGATGGGATGACAATATGCAGAGAGAGAGGAAGAAAGGAATGAAGACAAAAGGAAGAAGGGGAGAGAAGGTGAAAGGGAAAAGAGAAGAAAAAAGAAATAAACCTCACAAAAGAAAAATAATGAAAGTAATTATATACTTTTGAGATGCAATAATGAATGAAGAATTAAAAAGTGAGCTAAAATAATTGTGGAATGCAATAATAATATGAATTATAATACAATCCCATAAAATGTACAAGTTGGAAGGGGATAAGTGGAGTTTAAAAGTGTTTTTAAGGTCTATATATATAGGTATTAATTATAGACATCGATATATTAATGCATATGTTGTCTTTGAGTAACTGCTAAAAACATAAGAAAATAATTTATAGTTTCCAAAATGACAGAGAAAAACAACAGAATGATTAAAAAATTGATCTATTCAAAAGAAAGTCTAGTCGCAGTGGCTCACGCCTGTAATCCCAGCACACTGGAAAGCCGAGATGGGCAGATTGCTTGAGCCCAGGAGTTTCAGACCAGTCTGGGTCTCAAACCACATGTCTACAAAAAGTAAAAAAATTAGCCAGGCATTTTGGCACATCCCTGTAGTCCTAGCTACTTGGGAGGCTGAGGTGGGAAGATGGCTTGAACACAGGAGGTTGAGGCTACAGTGTGCTGCGATCATGCCAGTGCACTTCAGCCTGGGTGAAGGAGCGACACCTTGTCTCAAAGAGAAAAAAAAAAACAACTCCAAACCAAAACCAAAAACAACACAAAAGAAAGCCACAAAGAAAAGGAGAAAAATAGGTGAGACAAATAGAAAATGTAACTGATCACATATTGCTACATAACAAATTATCCCCAATTCAGCAGCTGAAAAGTACAGATTGGATTTTTAGAAAGCAGAATATATCTATAATTTGTTTACAAGATAGATATGTGAATGATCATGAATAAGTATTTACCTATACATTATTATTTTCAAAGTTAAAATTGAAAGGTGTGTACATGTGTATTCTTGTATTTTGTTGATTTTCCTAATTAACCTATGTCATGAGCATTTCTCATGCCAAGGATATTTTACATCCTTGAAATAGACAGGCATGGTGCCTCATGCCTATAATCCCTCGTGAGGCAGGAGGATCTCTTGAGGCCAGTAGTTCAAGACCAGCCTGGGCAACAAAGCAAGACTCCCATCTCTACAAAAAATTTAAAGATGAGTCAGGCACAGTGGGAAGTGCCTGTCGTCTCCATTACTTCGGAGGCGGAGGCAGGAGAATTGTTTGAGCCAGGAGTTAGAAGGCTGCAGTGAGCTATGATGGTGCCACTGCACTCCAGACTGAGCAACAGAGTGAGACCTTGAGACCTTGTCTCTAAAAATTAAAAAAGAAATATCCTTAAAACAAAACAAAAACAAGAAAGAAACCTTGATTCATACCTTACATCATATACAAAAATTAACTCCAAATGGATCATAGATCTAAACGTAAAATGTAAAACTTTAAAACTCCTAGAAAAAACATGGGAGAAAATCCCTGCTACCTTGGGTTATGCAAAATGTTCTTAAATATAACACCAAAAGAAAATTGAGAATAAATTGGACTTCATAAAAATTTAATACATTTTTGCTATATAAAAGATAGTTAAATGAATGAAAAGACAGGCCACCAATTGAGAGAAAATATTTGCAAATCATATATTTGATAATGGACATGTATCCAGAAAATATGGAGAATTCTTAAAACTCAACATTGAGAAAACAAACAACCCAGTAAAAAGATGAGCAAAAGATCTTAATCAAAGATATATACATGGCAAATAATCACTTGAAAAGATGCTCAACATCATTAGTCACTTGAGAAATGTAAATTAAAACCACAATGAGTGGGGGAAGGGAAGGAGAGGGAGAGATTTGTTAAAGGATACAAAATTACAACTAGATAAGAGGAATAAGTTCTAGTGTTCAATACCACTGTAGGATGACTATAGTTAACAATAATATATAGTTTCAAATAGCTAGAAGGAGAATATTGTACGTTCCCAATACAAAGAAATGATGTTCGAGATGATGATATGCTAATTACCCTGATCTGATCACTACACATTATACATATCAAAGCATTACTATGTACTCCATGAAAACGTATAATTATTATTTGTCAATTCAAAAATAAAATTTTAATTTAGTTTGTTGAGGCAGGGTCTTGCTCTTTCACCCAGGCTGGAGTGTACTAGCACCATCACAGCACACTGCAGCCTCAACCTCCCAGGCTCAAACAATCCTCCCATCTCAGCCTTCTGAGTAGCTGGGACCACAGACACACACCACCACATCCAGCTAGTTTTTTTAATTTTGGAGAGACAGAGTTTTGCCATGTTGCCCAGGGTGGTCTCAAATTTCCTGAGTGCAATTGATCCACCTGCCTCAGACTTCTAAAGTGCTGGGATTACAGATGTGAGCCATTGCATCCAGCCAATTTAAATTTTTTTAATTAAAAAATGTGGTATTTAAAAAGCCCACAATTAGATACCACCACATCCTGTTCAAATAGCTAAAATTTTTAAAAAAGAAACTGACAATGGCAAGTGTTGACGAGAATGAGGAGTAACTGAGAGTCCCATACATTGCTGGTGGAAATGCAAAATGGTGTGGCTATTCTAGAAAATAGTTTGGCAGTTTCTTATAAAGTTAAACATATGCTTACCATAAGATCCAGCAATCCCACTCCTAGTTATTTATCCAAGTGAAATAAAAACCTACAAAAATCTGTATGTAAATGTTTATAGCAGCTTTATTCATAATTGCCAAAATGGAAACCCAAATGTCCTTTAATTGAGGAACAAATATACTTTAGTATATCCATACAATTGAATACTACTCAGCAATTTTAAAAAGGAACTATGATACACAGAAAAACAACATGGATGAATCTCAAAATAATTATGCTGAGTGAAAAAAAAACCAAAGCCCCAAAGAATTACCTACTGTACAATTTCATTTCTATAGGAATCTGGAAAAGTGGACATGGTGGCAGGGATGGAAGGTATTCAGGTGCTCAGCAACATGGACTTCCACTCACTAAGGCCAGTCTGAGTACAGCCACTGCTGAGTGCCCAATCTGCCAATCTGCCAGCAGCAGACACCAATACTGAGCTGCAGCAACATTCCCTGGGGTGATCAGCCAGCCACCTTGTGGCAGGTTGATTGGACTCCTTCCATCATGAAAGGGCAACACTTTGTTCTTACTGGAACAGACAGTCTAGATTTGGATTTACTTTCCCTGCATTTAATGCTCTGCCAAAACTATCATCTATGGACTTCCAGAATGCCTTATCCACCACCACTTTTTCCACACAGCAGTGCTTTTGATGAATAAACTCATTTCACAGCAAGTGAAGTACAGCAATGGGCCCGTGCTCATGGCTTACCATGTTCTCCATCATACCGAAGCAGCTGGCTTGATAGAAAGGCGGAATGGCCTTTTGAAGATCTAGTTACAGTGCCAGCTCGGTCGCAACACCTTGCAGGGTTGAGACAATGTCCTTCAGGAGACCATATATACTCCAACTCAGCATCCCACATATGGTACTATTTGTCGCATAGCTAGGATTCATGGTTCCAGGGATCAGTAGCAGAAATGAAACGGCACCCACAACTCACTATTACCCCTAGTGGTCCACTGGTAAATCTTTGCTTCCCATCCCTGTGGCTTTATGCTTTGCTGATCTGGAGGTCTTCATTCCAAAGGGAGGAATGCTTTCACCAGGAGTCACAATTATTTCACTGAACTGGAAGTTAAGACTGCCATGGGTCATTTTGCAATGAAGAATTACTCCACTGGCTAGGGTGATTCCTCCTGACTACCAAAGGGAAATTAGGCTGCTACTAAACAATGAAAGGAAGAAAAGTTATGTCTGGAATACGAGAGATCCCTTAGGTCATCTCGTAGTACTACCATGCCCTATGGTGATTAAAACCAGTGGAAAACTATAATAAACCAATGCAGGTAAGACTTCTAATTTCCCAGACCCTTCAGGAATGAAAGTTTGGGGCCCTCCCACCAGGCAAAGAACCACAACCAGCTCTGAGTTTCATGAGGAAGGCAAAGAAAATATGGAATAAGTCGTGAAGGAAAGTAGTTACACATACCAGCTATAACCAGTAATTTTGTAACACCGGTAGTTATAAAACACATCATGTGAACAGTTGCAGAAGTTAGTACTATAATTATTATGAGTATTCATTGTTTTGTTATGAATGTTTGTGTTTATGTATTTTTTCTTCCCTCTCTTATCCCCTTGTCATCTAACATAAAATTTATTAAAATAGCTACATTTACATAATATTATTAAAGTTACTGGATTATCAAGGATAAAAGTGAACACCAGTCAAGGACTGTGAATTCTCTCCCAGGAAAAGAGCATATTTTCAGTTGTACACAGATTAGCTGTGTCATGATAGGCAGAAGTTTTACTTTGTTATTGTCTTTATTGGGAGATTAAATGGTTTAAGGAAATGTGTACAGGTGCCAAGTTAACAAGACATGGACTGTGGTGATCAATTTTACGTGTTGACCTGGCTATGCTATAATACCCAGTTATTCAAAAACTGACCTAGGTGTTGCTATGAAGGTATCTTGTAAATGTAATTTACATCTACAATCAGTTAACTTTATGTAAAGGAGATTATCCTGGATAATATGGTTGGGTCTGATCCACTCCGTTGAAAGCTGAGGTTTCCCTGAAGAAGGAGAAATTCCACCAGTGGACTGCAATGTCAGGTCTTGTCTGAGAGTTTCCAGACCTCCCTTCCACACGGCCTGCCCTGTGGATTTTGGATTTGCCTAGCCAGCCCCTACAACTGCATAAACCAATTCCTTGCATTAAATCTAGGTAGATGACAGATACATGGATATGAAGACAGACAAGATAGAATATATCCTACTGGTTGTGTTTCTCTGGCGGAACTCTGACTGACACACAAATCATCTGAGAAAATCTTGCATCTCTTCAGTCAGAGCTTGTTTTTGACCCAAAAGGGATCACCAAGCTTTCATCAGACATGGCCCCAAAATGACTGGGCAAATCTCAGGAGTTCAAAAGATTATTCTGATGGAGGAGTCAGATTAGGCAGGTGTTCTCTCTTTTAGGGTTCTGTTCCTCAAGGACTTTTAGGGTGTACCCTCAGATATGTCCGTTCTTTTGTGTTGACTAAACTATCTGCAACACATTGGAATAGTATATAGCCACTTTAATGCTCATTATTAACTGTGTCTAAAAGGAGACACAAAATCTCATAACATTAACTGCTTCAAGGAAGGTAACCCCGTAGCTGGAAGACAGAGGTGGGAGGGAGAATTTTTGCTTTTTGTGCCTTTAGAATAATGTATCATGTGAATGTGTCATTTAGATTAAGGGTTGGTATACTATGGTCCACAGGCCCAATCTGTCCCCTGCTTTTTAAAAGTTTTATTGGAACATAGCCATGCTCATTTGTTTACATATTATCTATGGCTGCTCTCACACTGGAATGGCAGAGTTCAGAAATTGTAATCTGTATACCTAATGTCATGGACCACAAAGGCTAAAATATTTACTGACTCTTTACAGAAATGATTTGCCAACCTGTCTAGATTTTTTAAAAATAGAAAACTGACATTAAAAATAAAAGATGCCCCAAGATAATTGAAAACATATCTACACAAAAATCTGTACATCAATGTTCATAGCAGCACTAATCACAATAGTCAAAAAGTAGAAACAACCCAAACATCCCTCAACAGATGAATAAACAAAATGTGATATACCCACACGTTACTCAGCTAGAAAAAGGAACAAAGTACTGATAAATGCTACAGCACAAATGAACCTTGAAAACATGCTAAGTGAAAGAAGCCAGAAACAAAAGGCCACATGTACAATTGCATTTATATGAAATGTCCAGATTAGGCAAATTCATAGAGATATAAGGTAGGTCAGTGGTTTCCCAGGGCTGGGGAGAAGAGGGAATGGCAAGTGACTGCAAATGGGTACATGATTTCTTTTGGGGGTGATAAAAATGTTCTAGAATTAGATAGTGGTTATGGCTGCACAAATTCGTGTATATGCTAAAAACTGCTGAACTGTATACCACCACCAAGTACAGGGCAATCCAGAGTTCAGTACAGGGCTCAGAACCTAGTAAAAAATTAGTCCTCTCTGCCACTGCAAATCAAAATCAAACCTGGCCTGGGAGTCAGATCAAGTTCTGCATCCCAATTGTTGCGAACATCCATGTGACCTTAGACAAGTTTCTTCCCTATTTCCTTCCCTATAACATGGGTATAATTGAGCAGGGAGGGAGAAGGCTGGTGGTGCAATAGGGTGTGAGGGGGGGATTTTGTTCTTTCCCCAACTTTATTAGATACCCTAATAATCAGTATCATCATCATCATCATCACCCATTTCTAAGCATTTTCACATACATGATGTCATTTGATCTTTCCCCTTAGAAAAGACACATATTGTTTCCATCTTACAGATGAAGAAATCGAGGATCTGAGAGATCAAGCAGCTTGTCCACGTTCATCCAGTGGGTGTTGGAGCTGAGATTCGACTCCAGGTCTTCTGATTCTAGATCTTGTTCTGCCTACACTACCACACTGTTTTTGCATGTTTGCATTCTCTCTAGAAAGCCCAAAACAGCAGTGTCCAGCAGCCTCACCACAAACACTGTACACCTTTATCTGGGCAAAGGGAGGAAGGAGAGGCAGAACCTGGGGTTCTGCTGGTTCTCTTTTATCTTTCTTATGAACCTCTATATTGGCACAGTAGCAGTCTGTGGGTAGGAGTATTCACGCACATTGATGTGGACACCAAGCCCACATACATCACAGAGAGAGACACACAGGTACACCTGACCTCAACAGGCAACAGGTCATACTTGTTACTAGGGTAGTGAAGGGGCTATGCTTTTTGTTTAGGGGAGGCCCAAGAGGTCAGAACTCTAGGCGTCTGCTCTCCTTTCTAATACCAGGAGACCCATCTCTCCCAAAGGCCTTAAGGAGGAAGAGGTGGCTCCTTAATCCTTAGTAGAGAGGAGTAAGGAGGAGGGAGAGAGGAAAGTATCCTCGCTGTCCTTGCTAAACCAGAGCCCCAAGAGAGGGAACATCAGGGATTCACTACTAAGAGATCTGGGCCTACATCTTAAAGAGTATCCATGAGACCCTTGCTGCCAAACCCAGTTAAGCCTTTGTGCATCACAGTGCTAAGTTCTAGTAATGCCACCAGCTACATGGGCTTTGCCACTCACCTTCTCTGATTCAGTTTGCTTATCCAAAAATGTGTCTAATGATTACTGAGTCTAGCTCAGGGGGGCGCTCTCAGGTTTCAGCAACATAAACTGAAATGCTTTAAAAATAAAATGCACTTTATGAACACACTATTTCATCCTCCCATACTGCCAAGCAAGAGTGGCTCAGGCACTCTTGCTTGAATACACCTGGGAGTGACCCTCTCACGCCTTTCAAGGTGGCAAGGCTTGGGCAGCAAGGAGAGCCGTGCCTAAGGCAGCCATTCTCTTCAGAAAAGGCAAGGCTGCCCTGGGGCACCAGGCCTGTCCAGGCTTGCTCGCACCCTTCTTTTTTCATTTGAGCAATCTGTATGTATCAAACACTTCCTACAGGACAGGCACTGTTCTGTTTACTTGAAGATAAGCAGTTAAGAGAAAAATGCTCTCACAGAGCTTATATTCTAGTTGTCACAGGCCAGAAAGTAAACAAAAAACAAATATGTCAAGCGTTGGCAGATGCTACGTGGAATTAAACTGGGTAAGGATAACAGCGATGGGGGAGAGGTGCTATCTTGCACAGGATGTCAGAAAGCCTCTCTGATAAAAGGATGTTTGAGCAAAGACTGAAAGGAGGTGAGAGAATAATTTAGCGGGGAACCACACCTTAAATCTAGTCTGGAGGACACTAGAGTTCAGGGAACAGAGATCGACAGTGCCACAGCAACAAAGAAGATTCCCTACCATGCTGGTTATTATCCATTTGCCTCCCTTAGATTGTCACCACCTTGCCCTTTCCTGCTGTTCCCAGTGGGGAGGGGGACTGAACCCTACAGACTGCATCCTGGGTCTGCCTTGTCATCTGCCATTTGGTTGGGTTCAGTCAAAGGGGGTCCCCAGAAGACTGGAGAACAGGATACAAGGAGCAGGGATATTGATGCTCCTATGGGCACAGTTCTAATAATGGCTGCATTGTTCCGAGAGAATTCCACAATTTCCATCTGCTTTCCACAGTCCCTTCAGTGACACATGCTCACATACTTTCCCATCCTGGGCCCCGAAAAGTGGAGGCTCATCTCCTCCAGGAAGCCCTGCAGGATTAGTCTTCCAGATGAGCACTGTGCACCTACCTGTGCAGGAATGTGTTGTTCACAGATGCCACCTGGACTGCCTCTTTCATCAGGGAAGAAAGTAGATGAGCTTTGGCCCTGGAGACACTCATCCCTGATGAAATGTGAACTGTGGCCTCACTCTCCCTCCCAAAGCTCCAGCTCTGTCAAATTACTCACGACAGCTAAAGCAGTAACAGAAGTTGGGGCTCTAGAGTCTCTCAACTTAATCCCTTAGGACCTCACTGCCCCAGAGGTAGAACTTCTCCCCAAGATCAGCCAACCACCTTCCTAACTGGAGGAACCCTATCTACCTACCTCCAACACTCAATAGCTCATTGCCCAGTTCATTTCCTTGATAACACATTTATCACTATTGGAAAAAGTTGATCAGTGTGTGTATGTCTGCTCTACACATAAGAATGTGTATGTCATAGAAGCCTAGAACTTACTTGTCTCATTCTCCTCTGTGAACAGCATCCTAGGCCCAAGCATACAAGAACTCTTAAATATTTTTGAGTAAAGAAATAGTAACACAAAGAGGGCAAAGCACCTCTGGCTCCCTAACACCTCCAAGAGAATTGCAGTCACACGATGGTGGAGTCAGGGGTGGGCAGACACTCTCAGAAGTCTTGGCACTGCTGATTTCTCGAGTTGTGTGTCTGGGCAACAGAGGATTCAGAGAATCACTTAGGTTCCACCAAAAGAGGTGCCATCTTTCTAAATATCCCCAGCTTTCCATTTCTGAGTGGCCAGACCCTTTGCTAAATAGTCTCCAGGTTCAGGAAAGCCGAGAAGGGAGGAGTATGAAAGATAAGAGCTTTGGGCAAAAGTTGAAGCAGCAAAGCTCAGGCAGGTCCATGACGGCAGCTGGGAAGGTAGCAGTTACTATCCCAAAGACACAAAATATGATTCACCTGGCCATCACCACCAAGGAAGGCAGAACCCAGGAGCCCTTAAGGGTGAGTGCTGCTGGTTAGTTTTCCTCTACTTAAGGGGCATAAGCCTAGGCACAAATAAGTGCTGCTACAGGCCAATCAGTATCTAGTGGCTGGTCTTCCCTTCAGTCCCCATTCTATTCCACCCTGGAGACTCTCCACCCTCACCCACTGTGTGGCACCACTGCCACCATGCCAACCCCTCATCCCCAAAGAGACCCAAACAGTGCAGAGGTGCATCAATCAACCTTTAATGTCCAAAAGAGGCGTGGATGCAGAGCATAGGAGATGTGGCAGGGTCTCAGGCCCTGCTCCAGAAATGAGGGAGAGATGAACACAAACCAGACACTTTCAACTGGCCACACAGTCTGGGAGGGCAGGGGGAAACACAGATTTGGACATTCATAAAAAAATAAAACCTAAAATCAAGCACTCAATTTTGTGCCCACTGAAGGGTTTGATAAAGGGAACTCAGTCACCACCCAGGTCTCCCCTCCCCTGCCAACATCACAAAGCAAGCTCGGCACACACTAAGGGCTTAGGGAGGGGTATTCTCCTGCCTCCCCACCAGCCCCAAGAATGGACTTGAAAATAAAAGAATAAGCTGGATCCCCCACCCCCCCACATTGTCAACCCTACACGAGAGTTTTGAAGGCGACTCATGAAAATCAGCAGCTCAAACGGCAATGACCACCCCACCCCAAACCCCACCCCACTCCTATTTCATTAACAGACAAGATTTCCCCTGCATCCTCCTCAGAATCTCCTCCTCTCACAGCCCTGCTCCATCTCCTATGTCCTGGCTTCACCACTGCAAGACTGACCTCCTCCAAGGCTCCCAGAAGCTCCTCTTAGCTCTTTATCACTTCTATCCTCACCTCCCACCAGAGACTGCAACCATCCACAGTCACTGTCCCTCTGCACTGAGACCCAGCTCCAGAGCAGATGGCAGCATGGTCATCCTGTCCTGGGTGGTCCTCCTAAAGCCTTCCCAGGGAGCAGACAGCCAGAGAGCAAGCAGAGTGTCTGGGCTAGATGACAGCAAGGAGGGGACACCTATCTTTATTTTCAAAACAGATATCCCCAGAGGCTTTTAGCATAAAAGCCCACTTAGAACTAACTGTGCCCCCTACCTACCCATACACCCTAGAGATTCCACACTGTCCTGCCCCCTCCCTCCCTTCTACCCCAAACCCCACACACACATACACACACATATACACACATATTCACACATATACACAGAAGAGTCAAGGGAGACATCAATTTGGTTTGATTGCTAAGACCTAACTAAGGAACTACAGTCACCAGAAATTCCCTTGCCAGCCAACTAACAACAGGGGCTGCTCTAAGAGAACTCCAGAGGAATGAGGAAACTGAGGGCTAAGCAGGGAGCAGACAGGAGAAAAATGTAAAGAAAAAAAAGATTCAAGCTAATCCTACCCCAGCATCCTCCTGTCATGATCTCTGGCAGGAAGAACAAAAGAAGGTAATCCACAAAGACACAGCCCTTACTTAGAAATTCTGACAAAGACAGCAAGACAAATCTGCTCCCCACTCCCACACACCACAGACAAACACATCTCAGGGCCCCTAAAGAAGGCATCCCCACCCCACCCTCCGCCCCAAGCCATAGAATCACAGTTCAGTGGAATATTCTCCCTGGTACTAGATCAATCCCTCCACCTTCCTTCCTACCCCTTTTTCCTTGACAATCCCAACACTGTCCCCCTGCAGCCTCCCTGGCCCTCCCAAAGCAGCATCCACCGCCAGGAAGAGGCAGCTGCACAGTTTTAGTTCCACCTCCAGAGACCTATTTCTTTTCCTCAGCCCTCCTAGTCTTTCGGCCGCCTAGTCTCTATGGTGGGCCTTTTATTTTGTATAGGGAAAGAAAGAGAAAAGGGAGAGGTGGGAGAGATTTCCTAGTGCAATACAACCAAAAAATATTTTTAAAGTCTTGAAAAATAAACATAAAGCAGCCTTCTTCCCCCAGGCAACTAAACAGAAAGAGGTTTGGTTTTGTTTACTGCGACATACACATGAAATCGAGTATACAGTCCATGCAGTAGCACAGCCATTGGAGAGGACATCCTGATGCTGGCTCCAGTGCAAAACAGTCCCAGCAACGCCGCCTGCTTGCCATCGCTGCCGCCGCCACTGACACCTTCACCATGGCCACCTAGCCTGACTTGAAGAGGAGGATTGCAACTTGACCCAAGTAAAAATAGATGAAGTGCTTTGTCTCGTGTGTGACGTAGCTGCCAAAATTTCGGCCCACGATACAATGCCAGGTAGGGTTATATTTCTTGTCAAATTCCTAAAAAAGAACAAAGGTAGAGAAGAAAGGTAATTAGGGTAGCTGGAGAAGGAGAAATCAGAATGGGAGTCTCTCCCTGCAACTCCAGCACCGACACGTTTGGTTGTTATCACCCCCACCCCATCCCTCAGCCTCAGCTCCCCGAACCTCAAAAGCTCAGGTTTTAAAGCTGGCCAGGACACTCTTCCCCTCATTAATAATGGAACACCACAAAGCCTCCATTATTCGTCTCCCCTGAGCCTCCAGCACTCTACACCCTGATCATCTCTCCTCCCTCTAGCTACCCCACCCCCTCACGCCACCCCTAGCCCACCCTGGGATTCTTCAGCAAGGGAATCAAGAGGCCAGTGGAATAAAGGACCATTTGTCAAACACATGACACAAATGGGGAGCCACCACCCGCTGCCTCACACATAATTAACCAGCATTTCCAAATGCTAAACACCAAGGCATTAGAGCAAAACAAGACCAAACATCGGGAGTACCAGGAGGCACTACTATATAAGACAACATTAAAGGCATTCCCGTGTGCCATGCACTGTGTGGGCTGTATGTACCAGAACAAGGACCTCCACCATGAGATCAAGGCAATTCCCTAAGGGGCACAAGTTCAGCATCAAAACCACAGGAAATCTTTAGAGCTAATCAGCTCCCTACTACCTTGTGGCTCAGCCTGCAGACTCAGTTCTAGAAGCATCCTGCCATGGCCATGAAAGGGCAGCAGCCCTCCACCATGGGCCCACCAACGCTGCCAACTCTGGGGTTCTATCCCTCAATATGCTCAACATACAACTTCTCTGGCCTCTTCACAGCCCCGATACCACACAACTCTCCAAGTACTAGGAGTAAATACTAAACCCAGCTTCAATCTCGGCTCAAGACTATGTGTAATACAGGAGAGCCAGTCACTTCCCTGGTTCTCATTTCTCCATCAGCAAAAAAAGAGCGCAGACCAGAAAATCTGGGGATTCTTCTGGCTCTCAGAGTACAGGACAGCGAGAAGGTGGGCTCCCAAATAGCTCTGCCACCCTTGGCTCACACCCAAAAAAGTCCCTCAGGACTCCAGGAGTTCTTCTTTTCATTCCACCCATTTGGGTAGGAAAACACAGTTCTGTAAAACTCAGAGACCCTACCACTTCCACTTCAATGGACCAGACTGCCACCATTCTTACACATGTTCTTGGGATGCCAGAGCTGAGAATATCAAATGCTGGGACTATGCCTCCAATGGATATGGATCCTGACTGGGAATCAGGGGGTCCCAGTACCCCTTTTCTTACTTTTGGCACAGCTGCTTCCTCACCATGTTAACCATATCCAGTGACAAATTCACTCAGGAATTTTTCAGGGACCAAACCTATGGCCCCATTATTGCTCATCCATTTCTTAAAAATTATATATTTGAGCCCACCCTTTTCTTAAGAATGTAGACAGAAAGGGGTGATGTAGTACCTGAGTCCTTTTTAAGGAAAAGAAAAGGAAACCTCCTACATGATGAGGATTATTACAGGCATATCCACTTTAAATGATGTAGTTCCCTGAAAATTTGTACATCTTATTCTTTCAAATATCCTAGATTTTAATTTTGAATAGTTCTGAACTGGGCCAGAAATATTTAATTCTGAAGTTTCTCTGCATAATCTTATCCTTCCCCAATGCCTTGCAGTAGCATAATTACCTGTAAAAGTAAACATACACACACACACACACACACACCTGGCAGAGCTATTAACAACTCCTAAGGTGAATGCTTGGGCAATTCGGAATCACTCGCTAGTTTGTCTGCTTTGCAAGTTCCTAGGGTTTTGCTTGCACAGGATATACGGGCTTTCTTATGTCCCCAGCTCCAGATCTCCCTGGAGGTTAGCTCAGCTGTCGATCCCCACCCCTGGCCATCAGTCCCAGCTCTCCCAGCACACCTTCTTGATATAGGCAGCAATGTCCTTCTCTATATTGTACTTCTCCATGGCCTGCGTGGCGCAGTCAACGGCATCCTGTTGCATGTCCTCAGACATGTCTGCGTTCTTGATCACTGCCTTCCGGTCAGACATGGTGTGACACTACAGAAGGAGCAGAGAGGTAAGGCTGACAACTCCTTGCTCTGGGCAGTGAACATTAGCTGCTGGGTGTGGGGTCTCAGTGCAAGAGGGGAGTATAGAAGGTGAGGGCAACAGAAAACACGGATGTGAAGCATTAGGAGAGGGAGCCCCTAAGCTTTGGCAGAGACATTGTTCCCACCCTGGGAAATACAGGGCCAATAGGACATAATAACTCATCAGTTTTTATCATAAGTAAAATGAGATTTTCCAACTCTAAAATTTACTTCCGATATTCTGAAGAGCACCAATAGTCAAGATTATATTACAGTGTACATCTACTAGCTGTGTCGTTGGGCAAGTTACTTAATCCTTGTGTTTTTATGTCATTATCTGTAAAATGGGGACTAAGGGTTGTCCTGAGAATAAACCAGGTGTCCTAACATTTGAACAGAATTAAGTCCCTGATTTAATGACCATTCATTACATCATTGGCATCATAGCAGAAAGAAGCTGGACTAGGACTCAGTAGGCCTGACTCCTGGTCCTGAGTTTATCTCTCGTGGTCTTAGACAAGTCACTTGGCCTTCCTACATTTGATTATTTTCATTTTAGCAGGTGAGGATAGCTCTCTATCGCGAGTTGTTGTAAAGATTAACTGAAGTTATATGAGAGCATCTGCACACAAGGACAGTCTACAAGGGACTGTCCATCAGCCAGATCCAGCCTACCACCTGTTTTTGTAAAATAAAGTGTTGCAGGAACATGCTACGATAGCAGAGTTGAGTACTTCCAAGAAACTATTTGGCCTGCAAAGCCAAAAATATTTCCTATCTGGCCCTTCACAGAAAAATGCTGCCAACCCCTGCCCTATACAGGCCCTATTCCAGGCCACCAATGTCCAGTGGGGCAGAGATAATGATAATTATGCCTTCTCTCAAGTACTCCAGGCTGAGATGCCCGTAAGAGGTAGAGAGGGTGGGAAGGCAACCTCAGACTTGGCTGGTCGGTCACACAGGACATGTCTCTCTCTGTCCCATCCTCCCCTCTGCTTCCCCACTCTCCTCAGTACAATGTTCATTCTTTAAAGCCCAATATAATTTTTGAAAGCCCTAGATTTTGGACCCAGCTTCAACACTGATTTCTCATCTCTTTGGTGCGTTGCTTCCTCATGTCAAACTTATTCATTCATTCAAAAAGTACTGACCTATTAGGTGATGTGAAAGGTATTATGTTAGGAGACAATATCTTATTTTCCTCAAAGGAATGCTGAAGCCTTCCTTCCCCTAAAAAAACAGAGGCTTGGGAAAAACCTGGAGATAAAGCATTTTAAAAAGGTGCCTAAGAAAGGTAAAGATTTTAATAGCCTTGTTTCATATCCCTGCTATCAAGGCCATGCCATTCATGCCATAGCAACCACAGGTTCCAGGCAGACCCTGCATGGACCCTTCTTGGGACGAGCGGAATCTCAGGACGTGCCTGACAGGTGGCAACATGTGAGGTACTATGCAGGAACAGAGGGGATGAGCCCTTTGTCCTTGACCACAGTCCCAACACATGGAGCAGTAACTATCTCCCCCATCATCCCACCCCTAAAAGCACCCCTCTGTGGCCCAGCCCAATGGACAAGAGATGCTGTCATTCCAGCTCTATCTGATGGAAGGCTACACAGGAGGCTGCCTGCTCAAGGACATATCCTTGGTATCATTCCAGGCCACCTTGATCTCGGAGTTCACAATAGCCTGTGGGCTAGATGGCTGAAAGGGAAAACAGAACTCACCACCACCATTTCAGCCTGCACCACATGCAGAGAATGCACACATGCCAGCTGCCAGCCAGGCAGCCCTTGACCGCATCCAAGGCCCCTTCATCTAGATAGCACTGCCAAACTAAGCAGGGCTGGTTCCACTTCGGCAGAAACTGGCAGAGCAAAGAGGTAGTAGACCAGCACCCTCTGCCCCCACATTCTGGAGAGGAAAAGTCAGAGCCTCAACTGGAGTCTGTGAGCACCATGTGGTGCTGAGGAAAGATTCGGAGAACCCTGTTCAAGGAATGACTAGTTACGTGACCTTGGGCAAATCAACATCTTCATTTTAAATACTAATGGTTGAAATGAGATAAATGGGGTAAACTCAAATGGGTCTGAGCAAAGGTACAACAGCAGCACAGGGAGAAAGGTTCTTACATTATAAGGCTCTGTATAAGTGAAGAAAAACTAGTGTCACCTGGTGGCCTATTCCAGGTTACCACTCAGAAGGGGGCACTGTTTACAAACCCAGGGGTGGGGGTGGGGCCTGGTTAGACAGCAAAGTGAAAGTATGAAATTGGCACCATTTTGCCTGCAAGCTCACCTGCTCCACTGCCTCATTCCCAAAGTCCAAAGGAGCAACTTTGTTACAGTAATTAAAAGCCACCTTACTCTCCAGGAAAGAGCCTGCGGTTACATAATATTGGTCTTACGACTACAATGGCCCCCCAGGCATCTGAGAGAGGTGAAGCCCAACCCCTACCACCCCTGTCCAAGGTGCCGGTAAGCAAAGCACAGGAAGGTGTCCAGCCTAGCCCCTCCCTCCTTGGGAAAAAGCAAGGGACCTGGGCCTCCAGATAGGAGGAAGATGGCCAGAGGGCCCCAGGCCAGCAGCCTCAGTCACGAGCCAAGGCTCCTGTGAAAAGCACAAAGGGCACCCCAGGACAGCTCCCATCCTCTATTCCTGGTTTTGCAACCAAAAAAAAAGGCTAAATCTCCGAATGACACGGACCACCATCCCCACCCGCCAATACACACACACTTCTACTTCCCTCTTCGGGCTCTCCAAGTGGGCCGTATCCCTCCACTATCCCATCCTCCAGAGCGCTGCGGTCCCGAAGGGCAGCACCTGGGGAACGAGGAAGCATCCTCCTTCCCCCCGACCTCCCGCCCGCGCCGCCGGCCAGGTCCGCAGGCCCCGGCCGGTCGGCCGCCCTCCCCCACCCGGCCTGGAACAGCGCCGGAGTGACTGGGCGTCCTCGCTGCAGGAAGGACGCCCCAGAGGGTGGCGGTGGCGGCAGGAGGAGCCGCGTCACGCCCGAGCCCTCTCCACCCCCTCTTCCCCGGCCCCTGACATCAGGGGCCTCCACGCAGCGCAGAGAGACTCCCGGGGGCGGGGGCAGCGGCAGCTCCGCAGCCCGGGCCTCCAGCAGCGCCACGAGGGTGGCCGGGGCAAAGGGTGGCGCAGCCCGGGCTGCGCCGAGAGGGAGGGGCGGCGGGGGCGCGCTGCGCTGCCCGGACCGTCAACGCCAAGGGCTGCGGGGCCAGCCCTGTTCCAGGCCTTGGGGCCGGCTAAGGAGGCCGCAGGGCCACCGCGGCGAGGGCCGGGTCGTGTAGAGTCGCACGCGACGGACACAGGCCCGCCACCCGGGGGACGCCCCCACCCACCGCTCACCTTCACGGAGGCGAGTCCGCACTGGGCCCTGGGGAGGAGCGATGGCCCGAGGCAGAGCACAGGCAGGGGCGGTGTTCCCTGGGCTCCTCCTGCAGCTGCAGCAGCCGCCGCCGCCGCGGTCTCCGGCTCCCGCAGCCCGAGGCCGATCGCTCCCTGCCGCGGTCCGCCCTTGGAGTTTCGCCGGCCGCCCGCGCTCCGCCTCACGCCGCCCGCCCGCCCGCCCGCTCCGCACTGGCGCCTCACAGCTCCGCTCCGCTCTGCCGCTGAGCGCGGCCGACGCGCGGCCCCCGCTGAAATAGTGCCCCGCCCCCGCCCCCCCGCCGCGCGCGCCGCCGTCCGCGCTCCCCATTGGCTGAGCCCGCCCGGCCCCGCACTGCGGGCTTCTCCCCGCGCCGCTCTCGCCCCACATCTTGTTTCCTCCCACAATGCCTCGGGGCGGAGGGAGGGGGTGGGGAGGAGGAGCTGGAGCGGGTGGGGGAGGGAGCCGTGGCCTTAAGAAAGGAGAGGAATGCGGACCCCTCCCCCCGGGGCTGGAGAGGCCAGGCCTGAAAAGGAATAAAGAGACATGGTCCTGAGAGAGGAGGAGAGGGAAGGGTGTGGAGACCCCCAGTCCCAAGGAGAAAAAAGGGAGAGGGGGATGGAGATTTCAGACCCAGGGAACAGATGGGGCTGAGGTAGAGACCCCAACCTTAGAGAGGGGAGGAGATGAAGTCACCAGCCTCAGAGGAAAAGACAGGACACTCCCTCCTCCCGTATCTGTGAGAAAGAGAGGGACAGCCAGCCCTATGGAGAGGGAGAGGCATAGGAGCCCCAGGACTCCCTCCCCTCACCTTCCGGGAAGGTCCCTTCTTCCTCCTTTGTTCTTTGAGGCTGAAGGACCTAAACTCCCAGCTGGGCCCCCAGCCGGTATTTGTCTACAGGAGCAATGGAGACAGAGCCGAAGCAAAATTGATGGGGATGTGTCTTTGGTACGCAGGCCTCTGCTGTCCTTGCACATTTATGGCCTTGGGGTCCTGGGATGGGGGTGAGAGTGAGCGATTTCTTGTCGTCTGTCCCTGCCTGTCCAGGTAGACAAGGTTGGAGGAGAGTGAATAGAAGCCCCCAGAGGTGGTGCCTGTCAGAGCTGTGAGGAGCCTTCAAAAACCACCCATCCACACCCCTCACTTTATAAAGGAGAGAATCCAAGTACAGAGAGCCCTGCCAGATCCCGCAGGTCAGGCTTGACTTGCTTCTAGCTGAAAAGAGGTGCACCCAGGAAGCAGCCCCTCTGGAGGCTCAAGAGACTACTTCTGGGAGAGTGGGTGTGAACGTGCGCGTTGGGAGCCTGCCTGCCCTCACTCCATCCCACTCCCAGGAAAGATCCTCAGGCCTGCGGTTTTCTTTCTGGTCTGTTTTATACAGAAGTGTCTACCTCAAGGGCTGACGAGCCTTTATTGGGAACCAAGCATTTTGGCCATACAGTAGGGATTAAGAAGCTGCCGGGGATAGCTCCCACTCCCATCTTTTCCCCTTCGCCTCTCCAAACCATGGTCAGGAAGTCAGACTTGCCCTGGCCCTGGCCTGCTCTGGTTTGAAGCATCAAAAGTTAGTGTTCGTTATGTGTCAGGGGAAACCTGGAAAAATCATTCCCTCTGGTTACTGCTTTCCACAGTTCTGTCCTCTAACAACCTCAGTTGGGGGATTTCAGAGACCAGTTAAGGCCTGGGGTATCCCCTCACACTAAGGGTTTTCTGATGTCAGTCTTTGTGTTCATGAATGGGAGGCGTGGCCTCTATGGGAGGAAGGGAGGGAGACGAGGAAGGATGATTTATACACTTAGGGCTTGTGCGGGGCTAATCGCCTGGACTGCCTGGAGAAAGCGAAGCTAGTACCCCCTTTCTCCAACAGTCCTTAGTTTCCAGGCCCTTCCAGGGCCTGAAGGTCAGATCTGCCACGTATGGTTGCACAGGTCATTCACTGCGCAAGAGTATCCAACCGATGGAGCAAGCGGGTGCTAAAATACAGCCGGCACACTGCTTGCTAGCCTGTGTGTCACGGTACAAGCCAGTGTCCAACCAGAAGATGACTTCTTTCAAGTGTTCCCAAGGGTTACTATGAGCTAGCAGTGGCCCTTCAAAGGCCATGCTGCCAGGGCATAAATCCTCCCTCTCCCTGCTCCCCTTCCCTGAAGTATAATAGGGATAAGAGCTTGCTCATTTCCAGGCTGTGGTGTGGTGGACAGAAGGGCACGAAGAACTTCAACTAACAGAAGTCAGAGCCACGGGTTTTCACTTTTAGGAAATGTGAATATCAGTGCTCTTGTGTGTGTGTGTGTGTGTGTCAAGGACTAAACTGTAGAATAACAGGGAGATGTGTTAATAGTATGGTTTATAAATAATAATAAGTAATCCTCATGAATCCCTTGCTCTATGTCAGGCTCTATTCTAAGTGTTTTAAATGCAATGCGTTCCATTTAATCCCAGAAGCTGCCTTTTGAAGTGCATATATGACTATCACCCTGTACAGATGAGCAAACTACAGTTTAGAGAAGTTCAGTAACTGACCCAAGATTATCCAGTTTGTCAGCGGCAGGATTCAACTCCAGATTGTTTCCACTGCCTACAATCTTAGCCATTATACTATACTGCATCCTAACAGAGAAAAGAGGAGAGAAAGTGTAAAACAGAGTTTGGCCCTCTATCTAAATTATACCAGTATTCCTTAAACTTATCTGACTCCAAAGCCCTTTTTTTAATCCAAACATTTATTAACATCTCCAGGAACTACTATTCCACAGGACACAGTTTGGGAAACTTGTGATATACTAATTACTGCTATTTGTGTAAAATGCTTACTGTTCAGGATAATTACTATGCAACATAGTCACTGTTATAATTAATATGTTAGCTTAACTTGGTGAATGTTTTTATTTGATACAGCTACACTGTTTGTGATTGCCCAGTTTCCTGTTGCCCAGATAACATGGTCATGTCTTCTGACTTAAAAATCAAAATCAGACTATTGTTTTTGGCTCTTTGGTGGACCCCTTTCCATCTGGCTACTTCTTTAACTTCGGGGTTCCCCAGGGCTCTTTGCTTCCTTCACTGCTCAACTTAGAAATTTCACCCACATTCATGGTTTTTACCATGATCTGGGCCCCGATGACCCCCTAATGCCTGGACCTCTCCACTGTGGATGCCCCACAGGCTCTTCAGACTCTTCGCATACACACATATAAAGCAGTGGGCCAGAATGCATGGATTCTGACCTTTTTCCACCACTCTACCAGCTGTGCAGATTTGGCTAAGCTATTCAACATTTCCAAATTTCATTTTCCTCATCTATAAATTGAGAATCATATCCACTTCATGGAGTTAAGAGAAAATGCATGAAGAAGTCCTGGCACAGTGCCTGGTTCATATATGTGATTAATAAATGTTAGCCATCGCCAACATCTCTGTCCCAGACTTGTTCCCCTTCCCTGTATTTCCTATCTCAGTTTATGGCCCCATTATCCACCCAGGCACAAGCCAGAAACCCTAGATTTGTGTCTCTCCCTCACCCACCATGTCTCCATCACTGCTCATCTCTTGGATATTTTTCCAATCCATGCCTTCCTTCTCATTATGAATCCCCTGCGTCAGACACTCATCATCTCTTCCAGTTGGTTCTCTGTCTCCATTCTTGGCTCCTCTGCCTTAGATCTACACTGCTGTGATCTATCTAAAATGCAGATCTCCTCAGGCACGCCCCTCTTTCCTGCTCAGAATAAACACTAACTCCTTTCCCATAACTTAACCTCCACACGTGCACACCTGCTTCTCTGCCTTATGTCCCCACACTTTCCATCTCGTTCTTCCTGCTCTAGTAACACCATCCACCGCCTGTCGTTTCCCTACATGCAGATTCCACACCTGAGCTCATGTGGCTCTCTTGCCTGTGAGGCTTGGAGCTTTTTTCCTGGCTGACTCCTTTGGATGTCATCTACCAAGCCCCTGAACCCCAGAGGGAATGCATACCCCTCTTCTGTGCTCTGTAACATCCAGGAGTTTTCACTGACCACTTACCATTAAATATGTCAGTCTTATGTTTGTCTGTAGTTCCTTTCAGGTGAGAATCACGTCTTACTTATGTGTGGCTGCAGGACCTAGCATAGTTCCTGAAACATGGGAAGTTCTCTGTAAACATTCTATAAACTAATTGTGCCCATTAATGACTGAAAAGTACAGCTTGGAAGGACACTGTTTCTCCACCCCAAAGAACAGTGTCCAGGCTCTCTTTGTCAAGAACCAGCAATGTATACTATTAACACTGGGCCCTTCCTGCCCTAAACAAGTTGCCAGGTAAAATAATTCATTGTTAGTCCTAGTGAAACTCCAACCCTGGTTTGTCAATTGATTTCCTCCTCACACTGTCTGCTGGGTATTTGACTAATGTCCTTACAGGTAAAGACAATCCAACTCCAGCTGACTGGATCATCTAGAGGAAAGAGACCGTGGAGGTGACAGAAGTTGTTTTGCCTAGCCCTTTAGCATTGACCTGCTTCAAGATCTCCAGGAAATTGTAGAAGGTTGGGAAAGACACACCTTGACACTCCCATTGCAATGCAGACCCTGGTGCCAGTCTCCCCTCTCAAGTCCCATGTGACTAGAACTGCTGAAATCCACCTCAATTCTTTGCTGATTTCTTGGGTGACCTTGTAAGACATATTTCCCTGGGCAACTATTTACCAAGCCCTAAATATTGTCCCTCCTTGGCTGGGAGCGGTGGTTCACTCTTGTAATCCCAGCACTTTGGGAGGCTGAGGCAGGCGGATCACAAGGTCAAGAGATCGAGATCAACCTGGTCAACATGGTGAAACCCTGTCTCTACTAAAAATACAAAAATTAGCTGGGCATGGTGGTGGGCACCTGTAATGCCAGCTACTCGGGAGCCTAAGGCAGGAGAATCACTTGAACCCAGGAGGCAGAGGTTGCAGTGAGCCAAGATTGCACCACTGCACTCCAGCCTGGGCGACGGAGTGAGACTCCGTCTCAAAAAAAACAAAAAATTTGTCCCTCCTGTCTCCAGACTCCCTGAGGAACCAGCCAAGTTCAACCACTTGAACCGGTGAGATAAGCTCTGGACTAAGAGTCAAGGAGGAAGTCCCAAGCCATATTCAGCTGCTAGTCAAGTCATTTCACCTCTCAGACTCTGGATTTCTTCATCTGAAAGATGTAGGACTGGCTGATCTGTAAGGTCCCCAGAAGCCCCAAAGTCTATGATTCTCTATTTCAATAACCCCATTACAAAGGATACCTTCTCTGATCCACTCAGTCAGAATTCACACCAAATGAGTTCCTGGAGAGTTGGGATATCATTTTGCTCATCTTTTTATTGCCCTAAGAAACAACATGACTTGATCTAGTTTAGATTCAATGAATTGTTTAGAGTTTCAATTAAAATATTAAAGCAAATGATCACCAAATAGAAACTACAGAGAAGATGCCCAGTGGAAGTCATGGTGTTCAGGTCATGACTCCTCATAATTTAAAAGTTTTCCTCCTTCATTTTCTGGACAACCCTGAGAAACCCTGTCTTTGCCATCAAGAGAAAATCAAGACAATGATATGGAAATGACTAGCCTTGAATACCTGAAAAGACCAAGTTAGTGTTCTTAGGTGCAAGAAATACCTGAAGGAAAACAAACAGGCCTGGAGTAGCCACCCTGACTCCAGGGAGCAGCAGCCAGGGAACAGTTGCCTCAGAGCATCCCAGTAAGGCAAATCCACTGTTCTCCTGGAGTCTCCCCACTCTCCACTCAAATTCCCGGTGAAGTCATATGTCCACCTTTTGGTCACAAAAGAGGAGGGCAGAAAGCCTGATTGACAGACCTTCTGAGATCGAGGAAGGAAGAGCTGACAGGGGAAAGTCCAGCAGTGGTTATAAGAAGTAAGAAGCCGCCGATGTCCACTCTCTTGAGAGCCTCAAGAGAGGGAGGCAGAGTTACATATGAGGGAAATCCTTGTCCCCACTGTCATAAAAATGTACACTATGGTCTTTCACCGTTGGTCCCTGACAGTGAGGTGGGGAATGGGGGTGGGGAGCCCTACCAAATGAGACTAGTGCAATTTTGCCTGCCTTTTTGAGGATAATTTTGAAGAAAAACTTTGCCTTGTCAGGCATGTTGTAGTTTATTCAAGGTGACAAAAAAAAATTATTGGGAAGACAGAAGTGGTCAGATCACTTGAGGGCAGAAGTTTGAGACCAGCCTGGACAACATGGCAAAACCCCGTCTCTACTAAAAATACAAAAATTAGCCAGGTGTGATGGCACATGCCTGCAATGCCAGCTACTCTGGAGGCTGAGGTATGAGAATTGCTTGAACACAGGAGGCAGAGGTTGCAGTGAGCAGAGACTGTCACTGCATTCTAGCCTGGGTGACAAAGCAAGACTCTTTCTAAAACTAAAACAAAAACAAAAACTTTTTTGGGATCTTCTCACCAGGAAAATGGAGGGCCCCCCCTTACATTTCAACTTAATATTACACACACACACACACACACACATACACACACCCCTCAGCTTAATTGAGATATAATTCACATATCATAAAATTTATCTTTATAATGTGCACAATTCAGTGGTTTTCAGTATATTTACAGAGCTGTGCAACCATCACTCGTTATCTAATTTTAGAACACTTCATCACCCCCAAAGAAACCCCAAATCCTTGGCAGTCTCTCCCCTATTTCCTCCAATTCCCGCTAGTCTACTTTCTGTCTCCGTGGATTTGACTATTCCGGACATTTCATATAAATGGAATCATACAATATATGGTCTTTTGTGATTGTGGCTGACTCATTTTACCTTAGTATATTTTCAAGGTTCATCCATGCTATAATATGAATCAGTACTTTATTCTTTTTATGGCCAAGTAATATTCCATCATATAGGTATACCACATTTTGCTTACCCACCAGTTGATGGACATTTGGGTTGTTTCCACTTTTTAGCTATTATGCATAATATTGCTAGGAACATTCATGGGCAAGATTTTGTGTGAATATACTCTTTCATTTTGCCGGGGGGTAGGGTGGGAATATACCAAGGTGTGGAATTTCTGGGTTTTATGTTAACTCTATGCTATCCTTTTGAGGAATGGCCAGACTGTTTTCAAAAGTGCCTGCATTTTATATTCCTACAAGCAGTGTTGGAGGGTTTCAATGTCTCCTCATCCTCACCAACACATTATTATTTGCCTTTTTTATTATACCCATCCTAGGGACTGTGAAGCGGTGTCTCATTGTGGTTTTTATTTGCATTTCCTTAATAGCTAATGATGTTGGCCATCTTTTCTCATATGCTTATGGACCATTTGTATATCTTTTGAGGAGAGATGTCTATTCAGATTCTTTGCCCGTTTTTCATTGGATTTTTTATTATTATTATTGAGTTGATGGTGTTCTTTATGTATTGTGGATACTAGACTTTCATCAAAGATTTAATTTTGCAAATGTTTTCTCCCATTCCTTGGGCCTGTATTTTCACTTTCTTGCTAGTGTCCTTGGAAATACAAAAGTTTTACTTTGGGTGAAGTCCAATTTGTCTGTTTTTTTCTCGTCACTTGTGCTTTTGATGTCACGTCCAAGAAACTATTGCCTAACCCAAGATCACAAAGATTTACTCCTACATTTTCTTCTAAGAATTTTAGCTCTTGCATTTAGGTCAGTGATCTATTTTGAGTTGACTTTTGTGTATGGTGTGAGGTAGAGTCCAACATCATTTGTTTTACATGTGGATACCCAGTTGTCCCACATCAATGGTTGAAAAGGCTATCCTTTCACCACTAAATTGTCTTGACACCATTATAAAAAATCAGTTGCCTATAAATGTAAGAGTTTCTGAACTGCCAATTCTATTTCAATGATCTACATATTTATCTTTATGCCAGTACCACACTGTCCTCATGACTGTAGCTAAGTAGTAAATTGTGAAATCTGGAAGTGTGAATCCTCCATCTTTGCTCTAATTTTTATGATTTGTTGTCTATTCTGAGTCCTTTGCATTTCCATATGACTGGTAGGACCAGCTTATCAATTTCTGTTAAAAATCCAGCTGGGATTTTTGATAGGGATTGTGTTGACTGGTAGATCAATTTGGGGAGTATTGCCATCTTAACAATATGAAGTTTTCCAGTCCATGAACATGGATGTCTTTCCATTTAGTTAAGTCTTCTTTAATTTCTTTTAATAATGTGTTCTAATTTTCAGTGTACATGTCTTGCACATTTTTCACTACATATATTCCCTGAGTAATTATTTTTGATGCCATTTTTAATTGAATTGTTTTCATAATTTCATGTTCAGATTGTAATCATTGCTAGTATATAAAATACAATTGATTTTTGTATATGCATTATAATTTGTAACCTACAACCTTTCTGAGCTCATTCATTAATTCATAACAATGTGGCTCTCCCTCTCCATCCCCCTCCCCCTCCCCCTCCCCCTCTCCTCTTTCCACGGTCTCCCTCTGATGCCGAGCCGAAGCTGGACTGTACTGCTGCCATCTCGGCTCACTGCAACCTCCCTGCCTGATTCTCCTGCCTCAGCCTGCCGAGTGCCTGCGATTGCAGGTGCGCGCCGCCACGCGTAACTGGTTTTCGTGTTTTTTGGGTGGAGACGGGGTTTCGATGTGTTGGCCGGGCTGGTCTCCAGCTCCTAACCGCGAGTGATCCGCCAGCCTCGGCCTCCCGAGGTGCCGGGATTGCAGACGGAGTCTCCTTCACTCAGTGCTCAATGGTGCCCAGGCTGGAGTGCAGTGGCGTGATCTCGGCTCGCTACAACATCCACCTCCCAGCAGCCTGCCTTGGCCTCCCAAAGTGCGGAGATTGCAGCCTCTGCCCGGCCGCCACCCCGTCTGGGAAGTGAGGAGCGTCTCTGCCTGGCCGCGCATCGTCTGGGATGTGAGGAGCCCCTCTGCCTGGCTGCCCAGTCTGGAAAGTGAGGAGCGCCTCTTCCCGGCCGCCATCCCATCTAGGAAGTGAGGAGCGTCTCTGCCCGGCCGCCCATCCTCTGAGATGTGGGGAGCGCCTCTGCCCTGTCGCCCCGTCCGGGATGTGAGGAGCATCTCTGCCCGGCCGCCCCGTCTGAGAAGTGAGGAGACCCTCTGCCTAGCAACCGCCCTGTCTGAGAAGTGAGGAGCCCCTCCGCCCAGCAGCCGCCCCGTCTGAGAAGTGAGGAGCCCCTCCGCCCGGCAGCCACCCCATCTGGGAAGTGAGGAGCGTCTCCGCCCGGCAGCCACCCCGTCCGGGAGGGAGGTGGGGGGGGGTCAGCCCCCCTCCTGGCCAGCCGCCCCCTCCAGGAGGGAGGTGGGGGGATCAGCCCCCCGCCCGGCCAGCCGCCCCCTCCGGGAGGTGAGGGGCGCCTCTGCCCGGCCGCCCCTACTGGGAAGTGAGGAGCCCCTCTGCCTGGCCGGCCGCCCCGACCGGGAGGGAGGTGGGGGGGTCAGCCCCCCCACCCGGCCAGCCGCCCCGTCCGGGAGGGAGGTGGGGGGGTCAGCCCCCCGCCTGGCCAGCCGCCCCGTCCGGGAGGTGAGGGGCACCTCTGCCCGGCTGCCCCTACTGGGAAGTGAGGAGCCCCTCTGCCCGGCCAGCCGCCCCGTCCGGGAGGGAGGTGGTGGGGTCAGCCCCCCGCCCGGCCAGCCGCCCCGTCCGGGAGGGAGGTGGGGGGGGTCAGCCCCCTGCCCGGCCAGCCGCCCCGTCCGGGAGGTGAGGGGCGCCTCTGCCCGGCCGCCCCTACTGGGAAGTGAGGAGCCCCGCTGCCCGGCCAGCCGCCCCGTCCGGGAGGGAGGTGGGGGGGTCAGCCCCCCGCCCGGCCAGCCGCCCCGTCCGGGAGGTGAGGGGCGCCTCTGCCCGGCCACCACCCGGTCTGGGAGGTGTACCCAACAGCTCATTGAGAACGGGCCATGATGACAATGGCGGTTTTGTGGAATAGAAAGGGGGGAAAGGTGGGGAAAAGATTGAGAAATCGGATGGTTGCCGTGTCTGTGTAGAAAGAAGTAGACATGGGAGACTTTTCATTTTGTTCTGTACTAAGAAAAATTCTTCTGCCTTGGGATCCTGTTGATCTGTGACCTTACCCCCAACCCTGTGCTCTCTGAAACATGTGCTGTGTCCACTCAGGGTTAAATGGATTAAGGGCGGTGCAAGATGTGCTTTGTTAAACAGACGCTTGAAGTCAGCATGCTCGTTAAGAGTCATCACCACTCCCTAATCTCAAGTACCCAGGGACACAAACGCTGCGGAAGGCCGCAGGGTCCTCTGCCTAGGAAAACCAGAGACCTTTGTTCACTTGTTTATCTGCTGACCTTCCCTCCACTATTGTCCTGTGACCCTGCCAAATCCCCCTCTGCGAGAAACACCCAAGAATGATCAATAAAAAAAAAAAAAAAAAAACAATGTGTATGTGTGTGTTTCTTAGCATTTTCTGTATGCAAAATCATGTCATCTACGATAGTTTTACTTCTTCCTTTAAAATCTGGGTGTCTTTTATTCATTTTTCTTGCCTAATTGTCCTAGATAGAACCTTCAGTATATTATTCAGTAGGGTTAGTGAGAGCAGTCATCCTTGACTTCTTCCCTATCTTAGGGGAAAAGCTTTCAGTCTTTCACCATTAATGTTAGATGTGGGAGGTTTGTAGGTGCTTTTATCAAGTTAAGGAAGTTCACTCCCATCCCTAGTTTGTTGAGTGTTTTTATCATGAAACTTTATCAAATTGTCAAATGCTTGTTCTGCATCTATTGACATGATCATGTGGCTTTTGTCCTTTATTATTAGTATGGTGTATTACATTGATAGATTTTCTTTTTTCTTTCTACTTATTTTTTACTTTTTTTGAAAGGGTCTTACTGTGCCACCCAGTAGTGTGATCATGGCTCACTGCAGACTTGACCTCCCAAGATTCAGTGATCCTCTCACCTCAGCTTCCCAAGCACCTGAGACCATAGGCACATGCAATGACACCTGGCTAATTTAAAAAAATTTTTTTTTTTTGTAAAGACAGCGTCTCACTATGTTGCTTAGGCTGGTCTTGAACTCCTGGACTCAAGCTATTCTCCCACCTTGGCTTCCCAAAGTGCTGGGATTACAGGTGTGAGCCACTGCACCTGGCCTATTGAGTGATTTTCAAATGTTAAGCCAATCTTGCATTCCTGGGATAAATCCCACTTGGTCATGATGTATAATCCTTTTTATATGTTGCCATGTTCATTTTGTTAGTATTTTGTTGAAGATTTTTGCATCTATATTTATAAGTGATATTGATGGGTTTTGTTTGTTTGTTTGTTTGTTTGTTTGTTTTTGAGATGGAATTTCTCTCTTGTCGCCCAGGCTGGAGTGCAATGGCACAATCTCGGCTCACTGCAATGTCCGCCTCCCAGGTTCAAGCAACTCTCCTGCCTCAGCCTCAGAGTAGGTGGGATTACAGGCGCCTGCCACAAGGCCCAGCTAATTTTTGTATTTTTAGTAGAGACAGGGTTTCCCCATGTTGGCCAGGCTGGTCCCGAACTCCTGACCACCCACCTTGGCCTCCCAAAGTGCTGGGATTATAGGCATGAGCCACTGTGCCCAGCTGATAGTTTTCTTACGATGTCTTCTGGTTTTGGTATCTGGGTAATACTGAACTCATGAAATAAGTTGGAAAGTGTTACTATTCCATTTTTGAAAGAGTATAAAGGACTGATTTTAATTCTTTAAACATTTAGTAGAATTCACCAGTGAAGCCATCAGGGCCTGGAATTTTCTGTGTGGGAAGTTTTTGCGATAGTATAGTGCAATCTCTTTTCTTGTCCTATTCAGATTACCTGTTTCTTGAGAGAGTTTTAGTAGTCTGTGTCTTTCTAAAAATGTGTGTGTTTTATCTAGGCTATCCACTTTGTTCATAGTATCTCCTTAAAATCTCTTTTACTTCTTTTTTTAAGTTTGTATTTTAGGTTCAGGAATACATGCGAAGGTTTGTTACATAGAGAAACACGTGTCACAGGAGTTTGTTGTACATCACCCAGGTATTAAGCTCAGTAATCAATAGTTCTCTTTTCTGCTCCTCTCCCTCCTCCCACCCTCCTCCATCAAGTAGACCCCAGTGTTTGTCGTTTCCTTTTTTGTGTTCATAAGTTCTCATCATTTAGCTCCCAGTTATAAGTGAGAACACACAGTATTTGGTTTTCTGTCCCTGCATTAGTTTGCTAAGGATGATAGCCTCCATCCATGTTCCTGCAAAAGACGTGATCTTGTTCTTTTTTATGGCTGCACGTTTTTATTTCTTTAAGGTTGGTAATAATGTTCCCTCTTTCATTCCTAATTTTAGTGTTTTAGTAACTTGAGTCTCTCTCTTTTTCTCACCTCCTTCTCTCTCTCTCTGTCTCTCTTTTTCTTGCTTTGGTCAGTCTAGCTAAAGATTTGTCAATTTTGTTCATCTCTTCAAAGAACCAATTTTTAGTTTCATTTTTTTTTCTATTGCTTTTCTATTATTAAGGTGGTTCTTGATACAAGCTACTTGAGTCAGGGAAACACAGACTAGGACAATTTCTTTGAGCAGCAGGATTCAAACTCAACATGTCTGTTTTCCTCCATACCAGGGTTCTCTATATTAGTGTCTCCCCTATCATTTCTACCCCTGGAATACTATGACAAAGAAAACAGAGATCACACTATTACTTGGGGTCTGTGGGAGGACAATAGTTCCATTAAATCCATAGACATTTCTGAAACATCTCTAACAAGCTCTGCAGGAGGCACCGAGGGAGATGGAGATGAACAGCTAGAAGCAGCTATGACTGCTCAGACCCACAGTGTCAATGGGGAGACACACATATGTACAATCAATTTTATTAGCACAGGTCAGAGTACAGTGGTGGTTGCGACTAAGAGTGAGCAAAATGCTCTGGGAACATGGGTTAGGGGTAATTAATCTGTATGGAAGAATGAGGGAACAGAGGGGTTAGCATTTGAGGTAAGTCTTGAAGAGTGGGTAGAATTTTGGAAAAAATCATGAGCCAAGGCAGGGAATGGTGGGAAGCCAAGTCTGGCAGGGACACAGTGTACGGGGGAAAGGAACAGGCTGGACAGAAGAGTTAGGGCTAGACTTTGGAGGGACCCAAAGGATCTGCGAAGGAGCTAGAACTTCATCCTGAAAAAACTAAGAATCCACTGAAGGGTTATGAGCAGAAGGATGACATGACTAGTCTGTTGGGATTTGGGACAGCAACAGAACCCTAAGTTGTTTTTTTCAGACCCTGTCACACTCATAGCAGCAAGCAGAGATGGCTGCTTTCTGTTGACCAGTCCCTCCTTGGGACTCTCTCCTCCCTAGCCTTCCATAGCGTAGCACTTCCCTGGTTTTCTTCCTACCACTCTGGCTACACCTTTTGTCTCCTTAGCAGGCTCCTCTTCCTCTGCTCATTCTTTAAATGTTGGTGTTCCTCAGAGTTTTGTTCTAGATCCTTTTCTCTTCTCACTAGACCATTCTTCCTTGGAGATCTTATATGTTGCTATGGCTTCAATGACCAACTATAGACTGGTAATTCCCAAATCTATATATATCCTGTCCAGACCCCTCTCCTTAGCTTTAGACCCATAAGATCCAACTGCCCTGTGAACATCTCCATTTAAGTGCTATATTCATTAGAATCCCTTTCCTGTGAATAAAAGGAAATCCCAAATAAAATGGCTCAAACAAGATAGAAGTGCAGAGGTATTAAATCCAGGCCTGGTGTGACGGATCCACAGTGTCAGGGTCTCAGGATTCTTCTACCTATAATTCTGCCACCCTCAACCCTCAACTGATCCAGGATGGCCACTCAGCCTCTAGCAGGAAGGAGAAAGCTGTGACAGAGCATGCTCTTTCTCTTCCAAGACACTTCCCAGACAGGATTCACAATACATGTGCCTATATCCCTCTGGCCAGAACTTAGAGGTCCACACATGGTTTTTATTCTGAGTGACCATGTACCCAGTCAGAAAAATTGGAGTGAAGAAAAACTATCAAACAAATTCCGCAGATGCCCCACAAATACCTCCAATGCAACATGTCCAAAACGGAACTCCTCACTTTCAACCACTTTCAACCCTTCCACATCCACTCACCCCCAAACCTCTTTCTGACTTCTCCATCTCATCATGGCCCTAGCATCCAGCTGGCTGCCCAAGACAGAAATCTGGGAGTCATATCTCTGAAACCTGTCTCTAGCCTCAAGTCATCATGATCTTCCAGGTCAATTGCAACAGTTTCATCCCTCGTCTCCTAACACCCATTCTTGCTTCGTCAAATGCATTCTCTACATCTGCATTGTCCAATATGATAGTCTCTAACTGCATGTGGCCTGGAGCACTCAAAAGGTAGCTAGGCCAATTCAAAATGTGCTACAAGTGGCTGGGCGCGGTGGCTCACGCCTATAATCCCAGCACTTTGGGAGGCCGAGACGGGCAGATCACGAGGTCAGGAGATCAAGACCATCCTGGCTAACATGGTGAAACCCCGTCTCTACTAAAAATACAAAAAATTTAGCTAGGCGTGGTGGTGGGTGCCTGTAGTCCCAGCTACTCGGGAGGCTGAGGTAAGAGAATGGCGTGAACCCAGGAGGCGGAGCTTGCAGTGAGCCAAGATCGCGCCACTGCACCCCAGCCTGGGCGACAGAGCGAGACTCCATCTCAAAAAAAAAAAAAAAAGTGCTATAAGTGTAAAATACACACCAGATTTCATAGACTTAATATGAAGAAAGTAAAATATCTTAGTATTTCTATGTTGATTATATGTTAAAATCATAGTATATTTATATGTTGAATTAATTTATTTAAAATTAATTTCACTTGTTTCTTTTTACATTGTTTATGTGGCTACTAGAAACATTTTAATTACATATGTGGCTCCCATTTGTGGCTCTCATTATATTTCTATTGAAAATTGTCAATCCACACAAAAGCAAAAAAATCTCTTTCTAAAACATGCATCTGAACATGTCACATATCTTCTTAAAAGCTTTCAGTGGCTTATTGTCTGTAGGATAAAGTTTATTCTACTCAACATGGTTTTCAAGCCCTTCTTGACCCAGTCCCTGCCCCACCATCCAGCCTCATTTCTTACCCCCTCTTCCCCTCATCTGCCGCTTGCATGCTACACTCAGGTCATGTGTGCTTCTTTCAGTTCCTTCAGTGTACTATGGGTCTGTAGCCTCTGGGTCTGCACACATGCTGTTCACTGTGCCTGGAACACTCTTGCCCCTCTTCGCCTGCTTAAAGGTCTGCTCATCTTTCTAGCTTCAGCGTAGACAAATGTCTTCCCTGAGAGGCCTTCTCAGCTATCCTGCTTCTCTGAGCTCCCATTACTTCTCTATCCTGCCCACCCCACCTCACCGCCAAAAACAGTATGCCAAAGAACAATGTTCTTTTCTCAGACTGTTTGGAATCTTGCCTGTCACGTTCACTGTGGTGTCGACAGCACCTACAGCAAACGTTGGTGCATAGTCAGCCGTTAACAAGTATTTGCTGAATAAATGAATGAATCAATGCATAACATCCCAAATGTAGACAAAGTTTCAAATGGAGGGTAGAGCCAGGCTAGATGACTTCTTAGTCTTAAAGAGGTGGCCATCCAGTGACCATTAGGTTACCAGTCTGGGAGGTGTGAGGAAAAGGGAAACTTGTAAGACATCACCCTGTAACTATTTAAATCATATCCCTGAGTTTCCTTACACATCACCCTGTCTTCAGCCCCTCTCCAGGCCTGGACAGGCCATTTATTGGGACCCAGGCCACCGCTGTCTTTTCCTCCTTCCTAGGAAGGACAAACAGCACTGGCTCTCCTCCCAGGAAAGCACCCTGGCGTTTACCCCACATTTTCAGCAAGAGCCATATTGAGGATTCTTGCTGGAGATGAGCATCTTAAGAGTGGGGTGGAGGTGGGTAGAAATGGAGGAAGGAGATAAGGAGGAAAGAGTAAGGAGGGTGCCAGTTTTGAGTTGCTTTTGACCCAGAACCAGGAGAATTGATGTGCATGTTACTAATGAAGCGTGAGCTTCTCTGTGAAGATTTCCTTTCAGGAGACAGGTGGGTAGGGACCTAGAACTGAAGAAGGAAAAGAACTTGGAGTCATGAAGCCAGAGCAGTGAACCCTGGGGCTCCATTGCTAATTTGCTGCGTGACCTGAAACAAGTTACACAGCCTCTCTGGGCTTCAGTTTCTCACCTATAATAAAAAGAATCTTTGCTTTCTGTACCCCTGGAGGGCCTGTTATAAGAATGGAAGCAGGCAAATGGGTGTAAATGGGCTCTGAAAATACAAGTATCAGAGTAAAAGTCAAGTGAAGTCATGTGAAGGCAAGTGTTTTGAGGCTGTTGTTTGGTTTGGGCAGGAGGTGAACAGGCAGTTGTGGAAAGGAGGCTGGGAATGGTGGGTGAGAGTGCACTTTCTCTCCACAAAGGTGGATTCATATCAAGGCAGAGCCCCATCCTCCTAGCCACGGCTCAGGAGCCAGATCTGCCTGTTCTAAACCTGCCCAGAAAAGCCAAATCTTGAACAGACCCTTGGAGAAAATAGACCCACCAGGGAACCTCAGGGCCCTGAAAGGACGGAGCACAGTCCCATTTTGGGCACCCTCCCTTAACTCAAGCAAGCGTGAACACAGACACACACACACACACCTCCTTTGCAGATGAGGCCCACACTTCAGGTCCTCTCCCCAGAACTTTACACCTTACCACCTCCTGCAACCTCTTCCCAAATTGGAAGGTTTCCCGGTGAATTGACACTGCCCTTAACCCAGCCGGAGACCACCCTGCCCTGGGCTGCTCCATGTGGAGATCCTGCTCCCAAAAGGGTCCAGCACAGACAAGGTGGCTAGATTCCCCTCTGCCCTACCAAAAGCGAGTCTCAGTGGTGGGGTGCACACTGGAGGCCCTTGCTCTTGGAGCAGGCCCTACAGCTGGCAAGGCCACTGCTCGGAGGTTTTATTATCCCCTTCTTTCTTTTCCTTTCACAGCCATGTCAGATCACACAAAGCAATCAGTAGTACCAGCAGTTCCCAACCTGGAGGACTGAAAACACGTTCCCCAGCATGCTGCCAACAGCAGCCAGCATCAAGAGGCTCTGTAATTACAGACATGCAGGGGTTTGTGCTCCTGCTCTCACTCATCTATGAAACTCTTCCATTCTCCTCCTTTCCCATGGTGCCTTTTAAAAGGCGGCGTGAGGCTGAGGCCTTCAGAAAAGCAAGTTCCAGCTCCCTATTCCACCATGGACAGACTTTAACCCTCACTACAATTCAGATTCACTCAGTCATGTGTTCATTCCTTCATTTGAAATGCAGTTAATTAAACCTGTCTGTGCTAGCGCTGGGCCTGGTGGTGGGGACACCAAATGTCACCCAGCCCTTACTTTTGAAGAGCTCGTGGTCTAATAAGGAAACTAAGGGATATGATTTAAGTAGTTACAGTAAAAATCAAAAAGTGATGTGTGGTAAGGGACGTGCTAATCAAATCCTAAGTCAGAGAAAGGTAATGTAGGGAAGGACACCTGTTTCCTGAGAGGCAATATGGTGTAGCGGCTGTGAGTATGGACTCTGAAGAACACAGGCCAGGGTTCAAATCTTGACTTTGCTACTCATTGTATAACCCTAGGATACATTGGGAGAATTTTGAGGTCACTGTGAGGAAAAGGTGCAGTGCCTGGCATATAGTAGATGCTCAACAAACATCAGCTGCTATACTCAGGGAAGGTAGCTTATAACATGAGTTTTCGACTTGTGTGGAGCAAGAAGGTAGGACATTATAGAACAATAGGAATAAAGGAAGAAAATGCAGTGCTTGTATGAAATTCCTTTTGGCTATAGCATAGCCTGTAGGAAGGGAAGAAATATGAAATAAAGACAGTAAGTTGGGCTGGGGTTAAACCCTGGAACAACGAATGGCAAAATGAACTTAAGGAGAGGTAGAGGGACATAGGCAATCTTTTGTTTTTGTGTTAGTCTTTTTTTTTTTTTAAAGAGATGTGGTCTTGCTATATTGCCTGGGCTGGCCTTAAACTCCTAGGCTCAAATGATCTTTCCACCTCAGCCTCCTGAGTAGCTGGGACTACAGGTGCATGGCCCTGCATCTGACAGAGACAATCTTGATAGGGCCAAGAGCCAGCCCAGCCCTAAGCAATGGCCCTCATCTTTAGAGCCATATCCAATTAGGCCAAGATTCAGGGTCTCCAAAGTTGGGGAGGCAGCCTTCGGGGAATGGTGCAGTGTTGGCCAGCATCCTAGATTCTGTCCATCTGGGCAGGCCTCTTCCTGCCTCTGCCAGGAGACTGAGCTCTGCAATCAGGGCCAAGAGAGAAGAGCCATTTCTGTTCACAGGAACTAGTGGACATGGCATCTCTGCTCACCAGAAGGCTAGTGTTGGGGCTCAAAGACTGGAAGAGGCCTCAGGAAAGGTGGCCCATGGGGAGGCCAGAGGGAGAGGCCAGGCGAGGCTGATCAGGCCTGTGGTCATTATCACGACCCCCTGTTTTGCTCTGCAGTTAGCAGAACCTCCTCGATCCTCTTTGGGAGTGGGGAAGACTGAGAGCAAAGATGTCATCAAGTGCAAAACAAAATAAGGAGAGGCCTGCTGGGGGAATGCCAAAGAGAGCAAGGGCTCCCGAGAGTGATTCCCAGCTCAGGGGCACCCCAACCCTGGACTGAGGGGGAAGAGTGGGCATTAAGGATCTGTCTGGGGGTTCACTTCAAGTAAAAGGGATCCTGTTGGGAGGCAGCGTGCTAGAGTGGAAAGGATTGTCGCCTGGGGGAATCGAGAGGCCTCATTCTTGTCCAGGTTGTGCCTCTCACCTTGTGTGACTTGGAAGAAATCACTTCTCCTTGGCCTCTGTTCCTTCTCAGTAAAAAGGTGTTTTGCTAGGAAGATCTCAGAGGCCTTTTATAACTGAGAAATCTTTCATCCACTCATGTGGAGCACATAGCCTGTGCTCTCAGGATTTGGGGTATTGGAATATGCCCTAAATATTGGAAAGAACCCGGAACAGCCAGACCCGAGAGACTAGAGGAACTCTCTGGAGCCTCCATCCTTCAGGGTGTGCAGAGGTGAGGGCTGCAGAGGGGTAGGGAGAGGAGAGAGAACCACCAGGGAGGGAGGGAGGCAGCCTATCTGAACACCTGACATCTCCAGGACAGAGAAAGTGAACTGGTAGGAGGTTTCTTCTCCCAACTCGAGCTGCCTCAGGATCCTGTGGAAAAGCTGCATTATAATCGATAGCCTCATAAATAAATAAAAAGTCAATGCATCCTGTCTCCAGCTCAGGGCTTCTTCAGGAAAATTGAACCTTGACCCACTTCTGCATGCCCATTCTGGCTTCCTCCCAAGGCCTCCAGAGGGAAAGAACTCTCTCACAGGTCATCCGGGCATCCCCCTGCCTCTGCGCTGTGCCCTATCCCAGGAGGTCAAGTGCTAGGGAGCATGCCCTCTTCCTGACACCCAGTCCCATGGGGTTCTCTCACAGGCAGGCAGGTAGGCAGGTGTCCACACCCTGTAGCTCTTGCCTTGACCTTAATTTTCTCATTCATGGTCAACTCTGCCCTCTGCTTTCAGCTCCGGCTTTTTGCTCCTCACCTTGCCTGGTTTCATGCCTTTCTTCTGACTGCTGCTTGGCACCAAATTGAACCAGCAGCGGGAAGCAGACAGTTGTTCTCCACTCCTCGAGAGAGTCTCCCACTACACCCACCCCTCAGACGATTTGTCATGTATTGTGAATGAGCCCCTCAAAGTCCATAGAATAAATGCATTTCTGGGCAGAGTAAACTAAGACCCTTGTAACTTACTTTACAGAACAGGTGTGTGCCAGCGAGTTGACTGTAAGGCATTCTTTTCTCTTTCTGACTTCTGTTACAACACTGGAAAAAGCAAATCTCCAACAAACCAAGTTGAATTTTTTTTTTTTTTGAGACAGGGTCTCACTCTGTTGCCCAAATTGGGGTCCATAGCACGATCACAGCTCACTGTAGCCTCAAACTCCTGGGCTCAAGGGATCTTCCTGCTTCAGCTGAGTGGCTGGGATTACACGTATGTGCCGCCATGATGCCTGGCTAACTTTATTTATTTTTTATTTTTAGTAGAGATGAGATCTTGCTATGTTGCCCAGGCCAGTTTTGAACTCATGGGCTCAAGCGATTCTCCCACCTTGGCCTCCCAGAGTGCTGGGTTTACAAGAATGAACTACTACCCAAGTTGAATATTTTAGATCCCAGAGACCAAGATGGTGATCAGCCCTGTGTGGTGACGGGCAACTACCTTCTATGTGTGCCTTGAAACATCTCAGGACCTCTCTTCTACTTTGGTGCCTCAGTTTCCTTTCCACCTCCCTGGCCCAGGCAGAGAGTACTCCCATGCCTAAGGAGTCTTAAGTGCTGCTTGTGTAGTGAGCATCGTAAAGGAATTGTTGGGTTGTGACTGTCCTTTTTGTTCATAATTAAAAAAAAAATTTAGAGATGGGGTCTTGTTATGTTGCCCAGGCCGGCATACAGTGGCTATTCACAGGCACAATCGTGGCATACTGCAGCTTTGACCTCCTGGCCTCATGTGATCCTCCTGCCTCAGCCTCCCTAGTAGTTGAGATTACAGGTGCACACCACCATGCTCAGCTGTTTATAATTATTGACCATCATGTTCTAGCTGATCCCTATGGAGTGAACATTCTTTTAATTAAAAGTTTCTAACTAGAAGATACTGTATCCTTGCTGTGTCTATTCTATAATATTTAGAATATTCCATTTTCTTCTGAGTCCATAGCAGAGTTTTAGCCCCAGCTTCCCAACGCTACCTGATCTCCTGTCATCAGTTCTCGTATGTGATGGAAACAGGGGGGTGACTCTGTAGCCAGCACACCCACAATGCCTCACAGCTTACATAAACAAAACAGTGTTGTTCTGAGATGTCCACACTGCAGTTCCTTTCCCCCACACAAATGCCTGATGTTTCATCGTCCCAGGGAAGAATTCGGGCCTAGGGAGCAGTCAGTAATCTGGGCTCCTGGCTGTGGTTTGGCTATCTCGCAGCTGACAGGAGGTAGCTCTGGCCACGCAGAAAGTGGCACAGGATTCTTTGTCTGGCACCTTAGGGTGGCCAGTAGCACAGTTTAGTGAGCTTGTAAAGCTGGTTACCAATTTGCATGGCTGTATTAATGAACCTTCCAAAACTGAGAACATGTTTATACAATGGATTTCCTACCCTAAAAAGAGTCTATGCGGCCGGGCACAGTGGCTCACGCCTGTAATCCCAGCACTTTGGGAGGCTGAGGCGGGCAGATCACGAGATTAGGAGATCAAGACCTTCCTGGCCAACGTGGTAAAACCCCATCTCTACTAAAAATACAAAAATTAGCTGGGTGCGGTGGCGGACGCCTATAGTCCCAGCTACTTGGGAGGCTGAGGCAGGAGAATGGCGTGAACCTGGGAGGTGGAGGTTGGAGTGAGTCAAGATCGTGCCACTGCACTCCAGCCTGGTGACAGAGAGAGGGACTCCGCCTAAAAAAAAAAAAAAAAGAAAGAGTCTATGCATACAGCACACCAGCCTTCAGTCACCACTCTTACAGCCAGAGTCTTCAAGAAATTATGTGGGCCATGCCTCTCCCTCTGAGTGGCCCCCAAGGCCCAGCCTTACAGTAACTGACCCAGGCTCTCACACAGGGCACTGGGGTCCTGCCCCAGGCTCCGGGCTCTACCCACAGCACAGGCTGGGGCTGATGCTGAGCAAATGGGTTGTGGCTGTCGCCAGAGAGGAACTGGCAGCAGACGCAGCAGACTATGTTTTCTTTGCAGGCTGAGGGTAACTGGAAGAAGCCGAGAATTCCTCTGCTCTGCCTTCGGGAGGAGGGGATGAGAGAAGCAGGGAAGACCAGCAGCAATCTCTCCAAAAGAGAAGTTCCTCCAGCTCCTAGGATGAGCAAGATAGTATAGACAAAAGATGGAAAGAGGACAACCTAGGACCCCAGGGAGTCCCTGGTATAGATATCAGGAGCCTAGGTCCCCTGTCTGGAACTGCTCTAGGGGAGTCATGATAGTAGCTAACATTCATTAAATGTTTGCTCTGTGCCAGGCACCCTGCTCAGAACTCAGTTGCACTGTGAAGACAGTTTCTACAGGGGCTGAGAACATAGGCCTAAGCAACACACCACTAGGTTCAAATCCCCATTGTGGCTACTCATTAGCTCTGTGACACTGAGTAAGCTGCTTACCCCCTCTGTGCCTCAGTTACTTCATTCATAAAATAGGAATACAAATAGTACCCACCTGATAAAGTTTGAGGATTAAATGCTTCACAAACAGAAAGCTTTTAGCACCATGTCTGCCCTGGAGTAAACAGGAAACAAATTTTTGCCGTCACTACTTTATTGAATCCTCACACAAAGCTTTAAAGTAAATGTTCTTAATCTCCGAGGCTCAAAGGATTCAAATACTTGCCCAAGGTCCCAGGTTCGTTTGATTGACAGAGCATGAGTACCCTCCTAAATGCCCCTTGAGGTCTCTATATTTAGGAGGAAGCAGCTTCAGAACTCTAGCTCCCCACCCCAGGTCCATTCCAGTTTAGAAACTCCACAGCCACCTCAACAGCAGGAACAAAGGTGGGTCTCTGTCCTGCCTCTGGGGCCAGGCTGGCTGATGGCTTCAGGCCCAACCAAAAGATCCCTTCCACCCACCCGACTCTAGCAACACCCACATCACCAACCCTGGGCCTCCCACCAGAGCCTCCACCTTCTAGGAAGTCACCCTCCCTCCTGCAAGATGCTGGTGGCTGAGACTGGAGGGACCCTTTCAATTTCAGGATAAACAAACTGTCGTTCTGGCCCAGCCCTCTGCCGGCTTGCTGCTTCCCGCCCCCCTCCATCCGCAGTGCACAGTCGCTCTGTTCTCCTGCCAACTTGGCAGCTCATCGCTGCTGTTACTATCAACACCTCCAAGGGAAAAGGGAGAGGAGTCAGCTCTGATCGCCTGGCGCACTGTGCAGCAAATTCATGTCAGAGCCAGCCTTGGAATGTCTCCCAAGCTCCCAAGGCTCCTGGTGAGGAGGAAAAGGTGGGACTCATGTTGCTGAGGACAGATGGGGCTGGGGAGTGACCCTGGGCCTAATTAGAGCAGCCTCCCAGCAGAGCCACTCACTGGTCCTGGCCAAAGCTGCAAGCCCCCAGGAGCAGGTGGCTCTGATAGAAAGCATTGTAGAAGAACACTCTGGGGGCCTTGTAGATGTGTAGGAGAGAACTTGGGGGGTCTGGGTCTCACCCTAACTCTTGCCAGAGTCCAGGGCAGTTCCCAAGATGGTTGGGACCTCTGGGTCTGTGGCCAGGATCGGGAAAAACAGGTCTTTCCCTGTCCAGTCTGTGAGCTCCTAGAATCTCTGGCCTGTGTCTTCTTTCCTCCATCTTTCTTGGACTCCATGTGTGCAGAGCTCTTGTCTCTCCTGTCGGATTGGATTGAGAGCCCCTAAGGGACCACACTTTCTCTGCCAAATGGAAACGTCCCGCAGGCAGACAACCTTTTCCTATTCCCAACTCCCTCCCCCAGCCTCTTAGGCCCCACCTATTGGCTCCATAAAGCAACTGATGCCCTTCTCTGGCTCCTGATGTGACTCCTGGAGCCCAGCTGGGAAGAACAGAGAACCTGTATCTTCAAGGACCCAGTGTCCCTCCTGGACCATAGCCTGCCCGCAGCACAGGGTCGTGGTCAGTCATCCACCCTGACAGGACCCAGGGGAGTCAGCATGCAGCTCTCCCAGGAGGAATGGCCTCTCTAGGTTTCTCCCTGCTTGTCAAGAGAAGGCCTTTGTTCCCTGCTCTAGGGTTTTTGGTGTCAGCCAAAGTGGTGGTTTCAGGGGAAGCTTCCCAATCCTTGCACCGCTGGCCATCTAGTCTACCCAAGGATGTGGTTGTCAGCTCCCCTCTGGGTGCCGCCAGCCTGTTTCCTTCTCTGTAACACAGGGATAACCTTAGGTACCTCACTGGGTTACAGCCGATGGTGATGAAGACATGAAGATGATGCCTGTGTTCTCCTTGGGTAGGTCCTGGCACTTAGAATCAGTATGTTTTCCTTCCTTCCCTCCTTTTCTTCCTTCTTTACTTCATTCATCTCTCCACTCTCTCCAGGAGCCTTTCTCCCAGATGTGAAACTGATCCTAAGACCCCCTGTAATTTCCTGCTGAAAATCTCCACCAAGAAACACAGCCACAGCCACAGTTCTTCCTGGTAAGAAGCCCCCAGGGCCAGGCAACAAGAAAAGTGAGCTCGTTCAGCAGGCTGGGATGTAAATAAGCCACAAGAGGCTGTGCCATTCTGGGTTGCACCTGTGAGCATCACTCAGCTGAAGCCCCATCAGCGTTTCCATGACAAACTCGTATTTCCGGATGCCTTTCTTCCAGCTTGAAGAGCCTGCCTCGTGGTGAGACTTGACACTGAAAATGCTTCCATATTTTTTTCCCTAAAAAAGCTTGCATGCTCTAAAAATCCACATGTTTATTAGATGTGTTTGCTCTTCATTCTGAGAGTTTTGTTGACATTATATGTGTATAGTATACACCAAGCAGGTAATATTCATGTGGGAAGTTCTGTGGTGGAGAGCCATGTGGCAAATACACAGCTACCACACATCATAACAAGATGTCTCCCTTCCCCAAAATATATCCTGCATCCATTTGTCTGCCTCAAAGCCTGAAATTCCACCACTAGAGATTTGCTACTTTTGCCTTTTTTTTTTGGAAACAGAGTCTTGCTCTGTCACCCAGGCTGGAGTGCAGTGGCACAGTCTCTGCTTACTGCAACCTCGATCTCCCAGGCTCAAGCGATCCTCCCACCTCAGCCTCCTGGGTAGCTGGGCCACAGCTGTGTGCCACCCTGGCTAATTTTTTTTTTTTTTTAATTTTCTGTAGAGACGAGGTCTCCTTATGTTGCCGTGGCTGGTCTTGAACTGCTGGGCTCAAGCTATCCTCCCACCTTGGCCTCCCAAAATGCTGAAATTACAGGTGTGAGCCACCATACCCAGCTGCCCATCTTTTAAGAGTCCACTGTATCAATGCACCAACCCCTGCAAGGGCCAAATTCTAAAAACCTAAATAGTCTTCAGTTTCACTTGGGGTGCTTCCAGAAATGCAAATACCCAGGCCCTGTCCTAGACATCCTGAATCAGAATTTCTAGAACTGGTGTGGAGCCCAAGCATTTTAAAGAAGCAGCCAGGTGATACTGATGGTCAGCCAGGTTTAGACTAATATAGGGCTTAGTGCACCAGGTAAGGAAACAGAATACGTGAATTTCATTTACAGCATCACCATTTACGGAGAGATGGTGAAGAAGGCACTTCACCTCCTGAACCTTGGGGAAAAGTGTGAGACCCAGCTCCCATTGTCTGTATGAAGACCAAATGAGGCAATGTTATGAAAATACTTGTTGGAAACCATCAGACAATGCAAACGTTGTTATTCCATATACATACATGACATGCAGCGTATATGTTCATGTGTATCCAAGTACCTGGATTTCCTACAGAAAGGACATGTCTGACTTTTGTCATTCTTCTTCATCTATGCTCCTGGCTGTCTTCAGTTTCAGATGGACTTTCTCACTTCAGGACACCCCTGAAGTCCTCTCCTCATAGCTTGGCTCTGTCTGATAATTTAAAAAAGATGTTTTCCATCTAATAGGTTTATCCACCCTCTAAGATCTTTCATATGTTCATCCCTTCTGGAAAGTAAGAAGAAAAAGGACTAGTCATCCTGTCTGATGACAAGGAGAAATGGAGGCAGATGGGTTTAGAGGGTCATATACCATTTAAACATAGGGCAGTAATTCTTCCATTTTGAAAACCTGATGAAAATGCACACATACAAAATTCTTCATACGGTTTCAGGGTTTCATGGACTTCCTGACACTCTTCCATGGAACCCTAGGAGTTCAAGAACCTCAGGCAAAGAACACCTGCCCACATGGATCTGGCAGCCCAAGCCCTCTAAGCCCCCAGAGCATCATGTTCAAGTACGTGAGGCATCCTTTCAGCCATGCCTTTGCCAGATGACCTAATTCATCACTTCTTCTCCCCAAGCTGCAAGATGAACTTGCCTGACCTTTCTGCCACCCACCAAAGAAAGAGCAACACATTACCTGCATCAGGACAGAATCTTCTCAGACCAGACTGTGCCTTCCTGTTCCTGAGCCTACAGCGTGGAGAATCTGAGCTGCCATAATGTATCAGTATAATGGATGGTTTTTACTGCAGTAGCAGAAAGCACAACTCAAACTGGCTTAAACAATCAACCTATTGGTCCTTTACAATTAAAAAGAAGTTTGAGGTAGGGTGGGCTTTATGCAAGATCTGATCCATCTGCTCTATGCTGTTTCTTTTTGTCTTTCCACTCTGTCTTCCATGATGTCAACTTCATCCTAAAACTCTCAATCCTCTAGGTTGCAATGTGGTTGCCAGCAGCAACCAAAGCTGTCTGCAACTTTGTTCACTCTCAGGAGAGACAGCAAGCTGCTTTTTAAATAGTCATCATGGAAGAAAGTAGAAACTTCTTTCCAGAACCCCTCAGTCAATGTCTCCCCATATCTTATTAGCCCAGATTGAGCAATATCTCATCCGGATCAGAGCCCACATCTGACAGAGTATGCTGCATAGCTGGGAAATTCAGATCATGTTATAGTCATGCACCCATGCTCAGAACCCCCAAGTCCTAGTCCTAGGGCTTAGTCTCCTGCCCCTGCACACTTTAAACTGCTTTCAAGAAAGGAACTAAGAACTAAAGGAATGATTTTGTAAAGGCTCAGAATCTGGTCTTGTCCCACAGTCCCTTGGTGAAAACCTAAACCAAGCAGGCCTGAGCCTTCTCAGGAAGGAGAGGGGAGAATTTTCATTTCCTAGAAAGGGAAGGAAATAGAATTTGCAGCCAGCCAGCTGAGCAGAATGCAGGCCACACAGAGTCCAGAGACCTGGGTTGTGTCTCCTTGCATCTGTAGATGACTTATTGAGTGACTAACAACTTGTTTACCTGCTCTGGCTTCTGTGCCAAAGGTAAAATAATCATCCCTTCCATTTTGCAGCAATCATTGGGTAAGGTTACAACCCCTTGGAAGGAAGCTAAGTCCTCAGAAGCTTCCAGGCTTGTGTGCTATCATGCAGAGGACAGAGGATGAGGTGTGTGGAGTGCTTTCTGGCCAGTCCTTGGTTGCCAGAACCATCCAGAAGGTCTTTTATTGTGACTCCAATAACAGTTGAGGGCCCACATGGCCCAGACTCTGCTTGGAGGCTCATAGAGAAAGGAACATAGTTCAGCAACTGAAAGAAATTTTAAAAGAAATTCCAAGTATTTGTTGTATCTTTTGAAGAGATAGAAACACTTGGCAATGTTTTTCTAAAGCCACTTTTTCCTTAATTCTCTCACGGCCAGCTGCTTAAGGGCTTTTGACATGCCTGAAGCTCTTGTACTCTGTCCAGCACCTAAATATCCCCCTCCTTCTGAGCTGTTTATTATGTAGGCTGACTTTACCTCTTGTGTCAGGTCCTTCCCTCTTCTCCCAGTCTTTCTTCCCATCATTCTCCCAATTCTGTACCCCAGGCCAGGTGCAGTGGCTCACGCCTGTAATCCTAGCACTTTGGGAGGACCCAAGGCAGGAGGATCGCTTGAGGTCAGGAGTTCGAGACCAGCCTGGGCAACATGGTGAAACCCCATCTCTACTAAAAATACCAAAATTAGGCTGGGCTTGGTGGCTCACGTGGGTAATTCCAGCACTTTGGGAGGCCGAGGTGGGTGGATCACAAGGCCAGGAGATCAAGACCATCCTGGCCAACATGGCGAAACCCCATCTCTACTAAAAATACAAAAATTAGCTGGGTATGGTGGTGTGTGCCTGTAATCCTAGCTGCTCAGAAGGCTGAGGGAGGATAATCGCTTGAACCCGGGAGTTGGAGGTTGCAATGAGCCGAGATTCAGCCTGGAGATGGAACAAGACTCCATCTCAAAAAAAAAAAAAAAAAAAATTAGCCAGGCATGGTGGCACGTGCCTGTAATCCCAGCTACTTGGGAGGCTGAGGCAGGAGAATCACTTGAACCTGGGAGGTGGAGCCAAGATCACGCCACTACACTCCAGCCCGAGTGACAGAGCAAGACTCCATCTCAAAAAAAAAAAAAACAAAAAAAACTGTACCCAGAAGATCCAGATATGAGATTATCAAGCTAAAATGTTCCTTAGAATACTCACACTTCAATAAATCTTGTCCCTGTCACAAGATTTATTGATGCTCCCTAATCAGCATCATTAGGGAGCAGACTTCCAGTCTCATATACATGAGGGTTATTCTAGTACCCCATCTTGAAGCATAGAACATCGGCTTTAGTTGTTTTTGCTGGTGGAGACAGGGGTCCATGAACCATCTACCTTGAGAACATTGCCTTCTAATAGGTTTGGACCCTGGAGTTGTAATTCTGAACAAGTCTGTGGGATATTCACTGTTGGCTCCTTCAGCTGCACTCTCCAGACTTCTCCACTCTGCTCCGAGATCCAAGAGGTTGCCTTATGTGGTCTATACCAATAGGCTCCCTTGCCATCTGGTTCCTAGTTGGGTTTGGCCAATGGGAAGCATTTATAAGAGATGGAAAGGACGAAGAGAAAGTCAAGATGTTCATTCTGTCATCTCCCATCCTGCTGGGCTGATGGGTGGCCAAGGCTCCGGTCACAGGCAGCTCTCCAACAGCCGTGGCTGTCCCTGGAATCTGGTCAGTGCTCCCCACCTACACCTTCAGCCTAGAGGCGGTAGTGACTCCCTGTTGTTGCTGGCCCTGGGTGCCTCCCTGCCCAATGTTGCTTCCCTTGGCCCTATAAATCGCCCCTTTGTCCAACCCGCCTCACTGCCTTGAGTGACAGGACCTTGACTGATCCAGTGCCCCAGGACTTCCACAGCTTTGTCACCTCATTGACTCTCACTTTATCATGGTAAACTAGAGAGGGCATGGGAGAAGGACTGTACTCTTATTTATGGACGTTCTGACCTTTGAAACTTTTTAAAATGATTCAGCCAAATGTCAAGGTCTAACTTTGAATCTTTAGGCTGGACTATGTGCCAATTTTTGACCAAGTTAAGGGATCAATCAGTGGCTGAAGAACAGGGTCTCTCTGTGAAAAGCTAAGTGGAAAATGAATCTGCAGCCTGTCACTACTGTGGTCTAACCACTGGACTAACACCACCAGGCAGCCACCACTAAAACTCAGGGTGGGGCTTTGCCAAGCGACCCAGGCATTCTATTTCATCTTGGCCATAACAACACCAAAAAAGGTAGAGAAAACACTAAGTACACCCTACAGAAAGGCTGAGTCTGTGATCAGCTTGATTTAAGCAATTCTAGAAAAGCCTATCACCCTCAAAAACCCACACCCCATCCCCCCATTTCCATCCCAGGCCTGAGTAGGATTAAACCATCTATGCCCATATCTGAAATTTCACAAGTAGAAAGGCGTAACTTTGCCTTTAGGCCAAATATAAATATTGTTCCCTGAAAGGAGTAATTTAGTTACATTTGATTAATATTTCCATTATGTGTGAGGCAGTGTGCTAAGCAGTAGGTAATGTTTTAATCCTATCTATTACCCTTGAGTATGAATAAACTGGATATCAGAAGAAAGGAAAACCACTGAGAGGTGAGGAGAGATGTGCCAAAAAGGGAGGAAAATGAACACAAATTTTGCCTTTATTCATCCTGGGCTCAAGGGAGATGCTCTAGATTAGGGACATAAATAGGAGGTCTATAGCATGTTGATGGTGTTTAAAGCCTTGGGACCACATAAGGCCACCCAGAAGAGGGAGCATAAGGAAAGGAAAGAGAAGAGAACAGAGGCTATTCAAGAGCTAAGGTCTAGGCCATTCCAATTTTACAGGTTGTGAAAAGTGAAAAAGAAAATCTAAAAAAGACAAATGGAGAAGGAACAGCTAGTGAAGTCAGAGGAAGATTGGAAGACCCTGGTGTCCTGGAAGCAACTGAAGAAAGTGTTTCAAGAAGAAAGGAGTGATCACATGACTTAAAATGCCACCGATGGGTCAAATAAGAACAGAGAATTGACCATGGAATCTGTCAACACAGAAGTCATCAGTGGCCTTGATAAATGTAGTTTCACTGCCATGGTAAGGATGAAAGGCTGATTGGAGCCTGTGACGGAGACTAGGAGGTGAGGAAATAGAAACAGTAGTTTTGCTCTGAATGGTTAGCAAATGGTGAAGCAACTGGAGGGAATGTGGGGTCAAGGATATTTTTTAAAGCTGAGAGTTATTATATCCTATCAGTATGCTGATGGGAATGATCCAGTTGAGATGGAAAATTTGATGCTGCAGATGAGAGAGTGGATAATTGCTGGAGTGATGCTTTTTAACAAGCAAGAGAAGAAGGGATCCAGTGTGCGAGAGGAGGGGCTGGCCTCAGACAGACACATGGACGATTCATTCATCATGAGAGGAGGAAAGGTGGGGCACGTGGGCACAACTTCTGGAGGCTGGTATTTTTGGTTGTGGGAGGATGTGATTTTTTTTTCTTTTCTGATTTTTTTTTTCAGTGGGGGAAAAATGATGTCATCAGCTGAAAGTGAGAAGCAAGGAGAACTGCGTGCAGGCCTGAAAAGAAAGGAGGCGTGATGCAGTCATCTGCCAGAGGGAGTAGGAGAGGCGACTTGCCTGGGGAAAACAGTGTAGGATTGCTGGGCAGCAATATGGCAGCAATGTGGTCCTCTGAGGTCAGTGGTGATGAATTTAAAGGGAAACCTTTCAGTACAGCTCTGTGTTTTTCTCCAGCCACCTTTAACACCTGGAGTGCAGGCATTAAATAGCTAAAAGTCACATTTGACAAGTGTTGATTTTGCTAGGCCTATAGGTTGGGAGAGAGAAGGTCAGAATGGTTGTCATTGTTATCTATTGCTGTGAAACACATGACTCCAACACAATTACTCCCAAACAACAAATATTTATTACCTCATAGTTTCTGTGGGTCACAGTTTGGAATTTGGAAGCAGCTCAGGCTGGGCAGTTCTGGCTTGGGGTCTTTCACGAGGCTGCAGTCAAATGTTACCTCAGGTTACAGTCATCTAAAAGCTTGTATAGGGCTGGAGGATCTGCTTCCAGGGTGGTGCACTCACATGGCTGGCAAGTCAGTAGTGGTGGTTGGTGGACAACTCAGTTCCTCTACAGGCTGTCAGAGTGTACTTACAGCCTGACAACCAGCTTCTCCCAGAGCTACCAGTCCAAGAGGGAGACCTAATCAGAAGCTATCCTTCTTTGACCTATGCTCAGAAGTGACATTGCGTTCCTTTTGCTGCATTATATTTGTTAAAAGCAAGTCACTAAGTCCAGTCCACATTCAAGGGGAGGGGAATTAGACTCCACCTTTTGGAGGGAGTAGTGTTGTTATGGACTGAATGTTTATGTCTGCCCCCGCCACAAATTCCCGTGTTGGAGCCCTAACCCATAGTATGGCTCTATTTGGAGATGGGGCCTCTAAGAAACAAATTAATGTTAAATAAGATCATAATGTTAAATAAGATCATAAAGCTCTGATCCAATAGAATTCATCTCCTTTTAAGAAGAGACACCAAATAGCTTGCTGTCTCTCTCTCTGTGCTCACACACCAAGGAACGGCCACGTGAGGACACAGCAAGAAAGTAGCCATCTACAATTCAGGAAGAGTCTTCACCAGAAACCAAATTGGACAGAATCTTGGTCTTAGACTACTAGTCTCCAGAGCTGTGAGAAAAAAAAAATCCATGCTCAAGCCACCCACTCTATAGCATTTCGTTATGGCAGCCAAGCTGATGAGTACAAGCATCAAAGAACTTGCAGACATATTTTAATGTCACTACAAGGCCCCAGGGTTTATGTAAGTATATTTATCATGCTGGACCATGGATTATAAGCTGAGAAGTGAGGGAGGTGACAGCATGGAGGAATGCGTGAGTGAAAGGACTGGGGAACCAGTGTGTGGAAGGAAGTTCTCTGAGGGGAAGAGTGTAGGAGTGGGTGTACAAGGGAAGCAAGTTGAACAGATATGAGGTAGTGGTCAGAGAAAGCTGCTTGAAATGGAGATCTTGGACATGGCACAGTTACTGCTGGTGATAAGATCTAGCATTAGATGATGGGAGTGGGCAGCTGAGGCAGGCAGGGAGGGACAGGTCACTGGTGGTGAGAAGATTAATTAACTGGAGGCAGAATGTTGGAGGGGTCATCTAATAGACACGGACCAGGAATGATGCTGAGTATGGTGATGAACAGACTGATAGTGAGCCAGGTGCTCATGTCTTTCACAAATGGGGGAGTGATGGGGAGAGAGTAGATGATTGCCACAGGGAGCAGTAGCAGGACAGAGCCTGACAGCCAGTGAGACACAAAGGGACAGTCCAGGTTTTAATTGAGGGGGTGGGAGTTACTACTGGGTTGGCTATTAAGGAGCCATATGCACAACCAAGTTAGGAGGAGAAGCAGAGGATCTGAGTGCATGCGTATGCACACACACACACAAATGCATGTGCATGGCAGATGGTAATAGCATGTATCTCATAGGGCTGTTAAAAGGACCAACTGAGCTAATACTTAGTGCTAAGACAGTGCCTGTGTGGGGTGTTTTCTGACACCAACCAACTCTCCAACATCAACTGGGTGTCCAGCAATTCAATTCAATTCAGTTCTGACACTACCGGGAGTTAGCATCAGTTCCCACAAGTTAAAGGGATCAATCCCCCCACTTCCAGTGCCAGCTGCAAATAACAAGCTACCCACACTTCTGCCCAGATGACTACAAATTTAGGCATCCCCACACCACCCCCGAAGAGGTTCAGTAATTTATTAGGACAACTTGCATTTATTGGTTTATTATAAAGGATACAAATAAACAGCCAGATAAAGAGCTACACAGGGCAAGATCTGAATGGATGCCGAGTATAGAAGCCTCTGTCTTCTGCATTCACCAACCTTGGAACTCTTTGAATTTCTTTGTTCAAAAGATTTTCTGACCCAATCTCCAGCCCTCCTCCGCCTCCAGGAATTGGGGGTGGTGGGGAGAGTGAGGCTGAAAGTTCCTACCCTCTTCCCTCTAATCGTGGTCTTTCTGGTGGTCAGCCCCCATCTTGAAGCTCTCTAGGGACCCCATCCTGGGCCATCTCATGAGCATAAACTCAGGTGTGGTTTAAAGAGGCTCCTTATCAATAACAAAAAATCACTCTGGAAATTCCAAGGGTTCTAGGAGCTCTGTATCAGGAACTGGGCATGAAAACCAAATTTTGTTTTTTTGTTTTTTTGAGACTGAGTCTCACCCGGTCGCCCAGGCTGGAGTGTGGTGGTGTGATCTCGGCTCACTGCAATCTCCACCTCCAGGGTTCAAGTGATTCTCCTGCCTCAGCCTCCCAAGTAGCTAAGACTACAGGTGTGCACCACCACGCCTGGCTAATTTTTGTATTTTTAGTAGAGATGGGGTTTCATCACATTGGCCAGGCTGGTCTTGAACTCCTGACCTCAGGTGATCCACCCGTCTCGGCCTCCCAAAGTGCTGGGATTACAGGCGTGAGCCACTGAATCCGGCCTGTTATATTTTTTATTATACTGCCTGCCACCTAGGAAGTTCTATGTGATAAAAGCTAGTAATATCCCCTTGTTACAGATGAAGCCACACTTATGTCACTTGCCTATGGGCACATAGTAAGGGCCAGAGTCAGAGACTAAAACTCAGTATTGGGTCAAATGAGAAAGAAGCCAGTCTATTGAGGAGCAGCCAGTCCAGAGGTATTTTAGGTGGGCCTCCTTTGAGGCTTACTTCCCCACATCCAACAATATCTGCTACCATTTAAAAAAATTATTCTTCTTGAGATAGCCTGAGTTGGTTTTGTTATTTACAACCAAAAATGCTCTGACCAGAGTAACCGCACCAAGGGGCAGAACAGCCTACGCACCGTGTGAGTGATGCAAGCTGAGAATGACTAGAAAAACTAGCTTAAGGGCCAATGGCAAAATTCCTCTGTGGGAGAGAATTGTTGGCATCTAAAATATAGGCTTAGGGAATAAACCTGAAGTGGAAGGGGGACAAAAGGAGAGTTGAATTGCTTGGCTTAAAAACTGGGTGGGGGCCGACCACCAGAAAGACCAGCAAGAAATTTGTTTTGTTCATTCAGCCTCCTAAGAGGAAATTTTGGGTTGACACCAATTTGACTTTATTTATTTTATTTTGAGACAGGGTCTCTTTCTGTTGCCCAGGCTGGAGTATGGTGATGCAATGTCGGCTCACTGCAACCTCGACCTTCTGGGCTCGAGGCCTCCTCTCACCTCAGCCTCCTGAGTAGCTGGGACTACAGGCATGTACCACCACGCTCAGCTAATTTTTAAATTTTTTGTAGAGATGAGGTCTCACTATATTGCCCAGGCTGGTCTCAAACTCCTGGGCTCAACGATCCTCCCACCTTGGCCTCTCAATGTGCTGAAATTACAAGCATGAGCCGCTGCGCTCGTCCTCCAATTTGACTTTATTATGAAGCTGTAATAAGGAAATAAGCATCCTTGCACCCCAAACTTTTTTTTTGAGACAGGGTCTCACTCTGTCTTTACCCAGGATGCGGTGGCTTGATCATGTCTCACTGCAGCCTTGATCTCCTGGGCTCAAGTGATCCTCCCACCTCAGCCTTCCAAGTAGCTGAGACTACAGGAGCACACTACCATGCCCAGCTAATTTTTTTATTTTTGTAGAAAGGGGGTCTCGCCAGGCACAGTGGCTCCTGCCTGTAATCCCAGCACTTTGGGAGGCCAAGGCAGGCAGATCACCTGAGGTCAGGAGTTCAAGATCAGCCTGGCCAACATGGTGAAACCACATCTTTACTAAAACTACAAAAATCAGTGGGGTGTGGTGGCATGCACCTGTAATCCCGGCTGCTTGCGGGGCTGAGACAGGAGAATCACTTGAACCTGGGAGGCAGAGATTGCAGTGAGCTGAAATCGTGCCACTGCACGCCAGCCTGGGTGACAAAGCAAGACTCAGTCTCCAAAAAAAAAAAAAGAAAAGAAAAAAAGAAAAAGAAAAAAGAAAGGGGGTCTCACTATGTTGCCTAGGCTGGTCTTGAACTCCTGGGCTCAAGCAATCCTCCTGCCTCGGCCTCCCTAATTGCCAAAATTTGATCATATCTCCAGTTATTTCCTTAAGGCCAAATTCTAAGAAAACAGGGCATAAGGTATCTATGCCTGGTGACCAAACAATTTAAAACCTGGAACCAAACTTCCCCACCAGAAAGACTGAAACAGTTTAGATTTCTGTCAGCAGTGAATGAAAGTGCTTGGTTTCTCAGGGTGTTCCCATGGTGTTAAATCCTTGAGAAATAGGTGAAAATTGCTTTAGTTTGTATTTTGTTACTGGTGAGTCTGAACTTTTTTTTCATATATGTATTGGCTCTGTCTATTTTTCTTTTAAAAATTGCCTTCTCCAGGCCTTTGCTCTCTCCCCTGTCTGGTGCTTCCCATCTTTTTTGTGCACAAAAATCCCACCTCTTCCCTGCCTTCTCATACAGCTCATACTGGTTTATTCATCACAACCCATCATAAAGTGACCAATTTGCTTGGTCTTATAACTGAAAGTCCCATATGCTGGAAATGCTCTCAGTCCCTGGCACACTGGAACAGTTGGTCACCCTACTTCTGGGCCTTAGATTGTTTTTCCCCCGCAGCAAAATGAGGACCAGATGTTCTCTGGTGTTGCTCCCAGCTCTTCATTCATTCGCTCCACAAATATGCACCATGCTATCATGCTCTACTGCTCTGGGCAGTCATTCTGCTAGGGAGGCATCAAGGACTCCTCAGTAAACAGGACCCGACTATCCCTACCATCCATGATGGCTCCCTGGAGGAATCATATCTTGATGAATTTGCAACAAAAAAACCTTAATGTGATTGGTTGATGGCAGATAAGGAAGCCCTAATAGGGGGCAGGAAGAATGTCCCTTGGATACACCAGAAGGAATTTAGATGCCAGGAAGCGTGAGAGAGAGATGAAGGGACCAAAAGATAAATCTGACTTACTTTGAAGTTTGGCTGAAGATCAACCCAGAAATAGCTGTGTGTATTTCCCCAGAACCAGAGGCAGATGTCCCACCATCTGAGGCTGTCTTTCCCCTCACACCCTTCCCAGATTCCTGAGCCCTCAGCATAGGCATTTCAGAATCTCCTTCTCTGGGTTCCAAGGCCTGTAATGTCTTATGCATCTCTTATATTGGCCCAGGTGTACATTCTCCAAGATTTTGGAAAGAGTTTCTCTCCCTGGGACAAATGAGCACCACCAGAGATCATGTATGCAGAGCAAGCACTTTTGTGCCCTCACATTATCAAATGGCAGAAAAGAAATGTCACAAAACCCAAGAAGGGGCCTCAAAGAAACTGTCAGGTACACAAAGCTGAGCAAAACCTCTCTTCTCACTGCCACAATCCATTGCGCCTGGCTTTTAAAATTCTAATTAAGAGAAAACGAAGACGGTGAACTCACTGAAGGCAAGAACAGAGGCCTGGCTCTAATTCCACCCACTCCGCACCACCCTCAAGCACTGAACCCAGAGCCTGTACACAGTAGGAGCTAAGTAAATACTAATGGAATTGAGTGGACCCGGCCCAGAGCAGAGGGAGCGGGAAGGGGAGGAGGGAGCTGGAGCCAAGGGCTCCTGCCGCCACCGCCTTCAGGCTGCGGGGAAAGTCGAAGGAAAAGCTTGCCAGACCTCTAACGAGTGCTCCACCGCCAGCAGGCTGCGATTGCTCATTGTGTTTGGTTATAATTAGCAGCATATTCTGCGATGGCAAAGCAGGCAGCGAGCAGGAGCAGGGCTGGAAACAGGCTGCCACCCTCGCAGCCATCAGTCCGGGGGCCCTGGGCTGCAGAACTTGGGCTCCTTCACTTCCTGGCCCTGCCTGCCCTGAATCCACTCTGGGTGTGGGCTGGCAGACCTTGATCGGTGATGCTGGGCCAACACCAGACCCCAAAGAGGAACTGTTTACTGTGATTGCATGAGAGCATGGCCTGAAAAATTGGGCTCACCTGGGTTTAAGACAAAGTTTCATTTGCAATGTACAAGCAATGTGACCGCAGGCAAGTAAGCCTCAGTTTCCCCATCTATAAAATGGGACAGTAATAATAGTACTCCTCTTTCTTATGGTGTGTGGTGAGACTTGAAACGGACAACTCATCTAAGGCACTTGGCAGAAGGCCTTGTGTGCTGTTGGCACTCGGTGCCTTGCAGCTACTATTGCAAAAGGGACAGAAGTGGCTTCTACTCTGGCCCTTTCCTCTCCCCTCTCTGCAATGTTTGTCTCACCCCTGCACAGGTGCTCAGCAGCCTGCAACTCCTTTCTCCACGCCTATGGAACCAGCTCTCAGGGGAGGGTCTGCCTTAGCAGTGTCAGTTCAGTGTGAACAGAGGGAACTGCATGACCTTTCCTAGGAGAGTGGCCTCAAATTTTTTAAACTGTGATCGACAGGACAAAATACATTTTACACAGTGACCAAAGGCACACATACCTATCAGTAAATAAAACAGAAACATAAGTTTCATGAAACCACACTCACACAAACCAAGTGCAATGCATTCTGATATGTTCTGTTCTCTTCCCTTCTATCACATTCTATTTATACATAGTCTCCAATTTATATTATATATTTTAATTTATGTTACATATGTTTACATTATATATTTTATATATTCTTCTAGCATATATATAACAGTTTTAAAGTTTTGCCAAAGGTCAGGATCCAGAAACCTTCAGTGTGAAAAACAATGCCCCAAGAGGAAGAGGTGACTTAGCTTTCATCTCTCACCATGGATTAAAAGCCTCTGTTCCTAAACTATCGAAAGAACAAAAAACCAAACACCGCATATTCTCACTCATAGGTGGGAATTGAACAATGAGAACAACACATGGACACAGGAAGGGGAACATCACACTCTGGGGACTGTTGTGGGGTCGGGGGACGGGGGGAGGGATAGCACTGGGAGATATACCTAATGCTAGATGACGAGTTAGTGGGTGCAGCGCACCAGCATGGCACATTTATACATATGTAACTAACCTGCACATTGTGCACATGTACCCTAAAACTTAAAGTATAATAATAATAATTTTTTTTAAAAAACTAACTTTTTAAACATTAAAAAAAAAAAAGCCTCTGTTCTCCATTCTTTTTTTTTTGAGATGGAATCTCGGCTCACTGCAACCTCCCCCTCCCAGACTCAAGTGATCCTCCCACCTCAGCCTCCCAAGCAGTTGGAACCACAGGCACACACCACAACACCCAGCTAATTTTTTGTATTTTTGGTAGAGATGGGGTTTCACCATATTGCCCAGGCTGGCCTCGAACTCCTCAGCTCAGGTGATCCACCTGCCTTGGCCTCCCAAAATGCTGGGATTACAGGCATGAGCCACTGTGCCAGGCCTCTTTTCCTGTTAAAGGGATTTTTTTTTCATCAGAGAGCTATTGAGAGAGAGAGAATTCTGAAAACCTGGAAGCTTTTCTCTAAAGCCACAGAGCATAATGAGAATGGGTTTTTGCATAAGTTCTTTTTAGGGGGGCTTCAGAATTAAGCTATTTCCCAAGAAACATGGAGGTCACCCATCCTTTGCTCCTATACTAACTTGCAAGCTAACTTTTCCTTAGCTGGGATTCCAGCAAATCTTCCAAATACCACTATGCCTAGGTGCCAGGGAAGGGCAAGATTTATGTAAACTCAGCCAAACAGGAAATACTCTGAGCTAGGATTATTGTACTTATGGGTTTTCTCCATAACAAAATCAGGGCATGTGGCCTCACAAGTACCTATGAGGACAATAGGATAAAATATTTAAAACTGAAACTGTCCTGGAAAGTCTCCAACTTGGGACTGCATGGTTATCATGAGAAGTGGAGAATCTGATGCCAAGAGAGTCAGGAGGGAGAAATCCTCTCTCCTATGCACCCAGGTCTTGCCTTCTGGTTTGGGGGAAGGAGCCTTGGGTTTCCAGAACCTTCTGGAATACCAGAACTCTCTCCTAATACCCTTGAGCATTGTATTAGTCTATTCTCATGCTGCTAATAGAGACATCCCCGAGGCTGGGTAATTTATAAAGAAAAAGAGGTTTAATGGACTCATAGTTCCACACGGCTAGGGAGGCCTCACAGTCATAGCAGAAGGCAAAGGAGGAGCAAAGTCATGTCTTACATGGCAGCAGGCAAGAGAGACAGCATGTGCAGGGCAACTCACCTTTATAAAACCATCAGATCTTGTGAGACTTATTCACTACCATAAGAACAGCACAGGAAAGACCTGCCCCCATGATTCAGTTACCTCCCACTGGGTCTCTCCCACGACACGTGGGAATTACGGGAGCTACAGTTCGAGATTTGGGTGAGGACACAGCCAAACCATATCAAGGATATTCAGTTATTAAATACTTTCGTGGATTTATAGGAGGACTGGATCCTGACTGGTAAGAGGAGAAGTAGAGAGAATAAAGGGAAATGGGAGGCCTCCAAAGTTTTTCCTAATTTCACTTACAGCTGCTTGGGCTCCCAACTTCTTGCACCCCCTGCCCTGCTCCAACCTCCCCTCAACTCTCTACCACATCCCCAGAGTGCCCTCAGCTGTCTCTGCCATTAACAACTTGACTATGGCCAAAGAGGGACTGGGTTGGGCTGAACTTTCACAATTGACTGTTTTCTTCATGGATCAGTTCCACAGTAGGAGAGTGATGTAATAGGAGAGGCTTAAATGCTTGGGTTCCTCCCTTCTACACTGGGACCCAGGTTTTGAAGCTTGAGTGGGAAAACAGACCTGTGGGAGGATCTAAGGACACCCTCATCCAATCTTCCCTACCTCACAATTAATTCTACTTCTACATATATACCGCCCTCATCTATACTTCCCAGTAATATACATAGCCACGGAGAATGGTCATCTCCAGGCCTGAGTCTTCTGTGAGCCCCTCAGAATGGTCAGAGCAGGGCCACGGAAGGGATGTTGATTGCAACATACACTCAAGAGACTGATTTGGACCCCAGGGTGCAAAGCCAGATGAAACAATGGAGAACCTCCTCTAAGAACCCTCTCTGAGAACTTCCTCCCCACAGTTTCCAAGGAGAGGAAGTGAAGGAGAAATGGAATCACCTTCTGAGACCTCTTTCAATCCCTATGGATATCAAACAAGCCCAGCCCCGCACATGAGATCAACATTTGCCAGTCCCCAGCCTCAATGCCAGAAAATAAAACTCAAAGTCTCATTAATCATTTACCCATTTGCCTTGTTCCAAGCTCCAACTCCACTCTTCCTTCGCCCTGCACTTTCTGAAAACAGTGCCTTGAATGAGAATCCTCCAACTGTTGTTGCTTTCTGCCATCTGCCTCCTTTGCCCACCTGTTTCCTATGTCTATGTTCCTAGGAGACTAATTGTGATTAAATCACAGGGCAATACTAATAGAGGGGTGAGAACCCAGCTAATGGCTCACTGTTCCACTAGGCAACAATTGTAGTAATCACCAAGCTTAAGGCTCCTGTGCATTAGCTGGGGGTTGCTGGGGGTTCCTGGCCCACGCTTCCTCCACACCCCTGTCTGAGCAAAGGAATGCAGTTCACAGGGCAAACTGAAAACCCAGAGGCAAGTGAAGACGCAAATGACATGATTGAAATAATAAGAGGGAAAGCAAGAAAGCCCTTTCAGGAGTAAGAATTTGAATCACAGCAAAAGTAGAAGCAAAGTGTACTGGGTTCAATGTTTCAAAAATATCTTGGAAAATGAAACTAAGTAATCCCATAAATTATTAAAGGAGCTTTGGCTTGGGTTTTCCAGGTTGCAATGAGGCTGGTCCTTAACTCACTTTTTTCAGATTTGACCTGATGGAGGTATGTGTAAGTTAAATATGTAGCTCTGCATAGCAAATCCACACCCCAAAACATTCCAGACACATGGCAAGAGCATCACAAGCCCGTTCAAAAAATTGTGTTCAGCCGGGCGTGGTGGCTCACTCTTGTAATCCCAGCACTTTGGGAGGCCAAGGCGGGCAGATCTCTTGAGGTCAGGAGTTTGAGACCAGCCTGACCAACATGGAGAAACCCCGTCTCTACTAAAAATACCAAAATTAGCCAGACATGGTGGTGGGCACCTGTAGTCCCACCTACTCGGGAGGCTGAGGCAGAAGAATCACTTGAACCTGGGAGGCGGAGGTTGCAGTGAGCCGAGATTGCACCATTGCACTCCAGCCTGGGCAACAGAGCAAGACTCTGTCTAAAGAAAAAAATTTAAAAAAAGTTGTGCTCACATTGGGATGGAAGGAAAACAAGTCATGGTCCCTGACTTCAAGGTCCTCACAGTCCAAGACAGGAGATGAAATCAAATTTAACTGTTAGTACCTATTGCTGACACTTGTGACCCCTTTCTCAATTTAGGAAGCACTTCACAGGACCTCACAGGATCTCATCTGTGAGGAACATAGGGATGATTATTCACATTCTACAGATGTGGAAACTGAGGCTCACAGGGATTAAGTGACTTGCTCAAGGTCCTATACAGCCCAAATTTTGAATTATTTTGACTCTTGCCTCTTCCCAGCAATGTCTCAATCCGCTCTTGAAGAAGTCTGTCCTTGCACACTCACACTCCTGGAGATGCTATAAAACAGGAAGACACAGCTCTCTCCCCTCCAGGGTCAGAATATCATACAGGGATGCCCCAAGGCCTTACAGAGTTTGGACCAAACAGTGGTGCTCTCTCTTTTTAATTAGAGTTCCCTCTCTCTCGCTAAAACCCAGACTTGGATGCACGGAGCCCTAGCCTAGGAAATACATCCAAATGGTAGACGGTATCTTATGCTTGAAAAAAAAAGTAAATGTCATGTTAATGCTCAGCATTCAGAAAATAGAAGCATTTGAGTTCAAAATGTGTCATAAATCAAATGTAATCAGATGTTAAAATAGGAATTTCAGCTGAATCACAAATAGATACCAAATTCCAGAGTGAAGTGCTAGACCAGGATTTACAAAGTAAGTGGCCAAGAATATATATGTACAAAAGAGTTGAGGGGAAGATTTAGATGAGAATTTCTTTGGAGAGAGCTGTGCTGCGAGTCCTACCCCATCCCTATCTCAATCATAGGTGTCAAGCCTGAGAAACCAAAATGGCAAGAGGTACAGCAGAGTACACACGGGAGGTACACATGAGGGTTACACATGGGAAGTAACTGTACTCACAGCGTTGCTGGGGCAAAGGTGTGAGCCATGACCGAGAGAGGGTTCTGCCCTGGTGTGGTCAGAGAACTCTACTCGAGAGAGTAGCCTGGAGGGACAAAGAGATCTCAGCCAAGAGAAGCTGGAGGTGTGGCCAGATTATGAGGGATGTGGATGGAGTAAGCAGAGAGCCTGAGGAAAGCATATCACCTGAATTGAGAGGTCCCCAGCAATTGGGGGGGTGGGGGGGGGCCGAAACCACCCACAAAAGTGTCACCATTAAATACTTGCCAAGTATAGGAAACCTCCCTGCCAGATCCTCACAGCAGGACAAATCCCATGGAAGCTTTCCTGCTTCTTTCCACTGCAAGGATCAGAAATCACAGTTTAAAAGAAGAGAGAGGGGGGACAAAAGTGCCCCCTCCTCTAAGTGCCCAGCCTGAACTGAAGGAGAGGGGAGAAGCCTCAATTTTATGTCATATTTGGAGTCTTAACGATTACATAAACATTTTAATCACTGAGTTGAGAACAGACAAAAGGTGACTAAGAAAGACCTAGAAAGTCATGGGATCTGCTTGAATTTTTATCCAGGTGCAGGTGACGTGCCAGCTCCACCAAATTTAAAGGGTTAATGAAAGAGGAAACTTGAGTTTCTTTAGAAATACATCCCATGAGTTATGCTTGTTTAATGTAACAGTTGTTCAAAGAATGTACTGATTTGTTAAATTGCTTTGCTACGAAAGCTAGAAACAGTTATGCCATTTATAAATAGACCCCGCTCCTGGGATGATGTTCAGCTATTGGGAGGAGATAGGCCAATGAGAGACAGATCTCCACTCTCAACGTCACAGCCTTGAGGGAAGTGTCCAGGCAGGAGCAGACCTGCTTCTACAGGCCTGGGGAAATTGCTACCCAAGGTCAGGCCTTCGTCATGGTCTGCAGCCGGTGGAACACCACTGGCCTATTCTGAGGATGCCCTGAGACTTGAGACTCTGCCAGCTTGCCTTGGACAGGAGAGACGGAGAATTATGCGGCTGAGCCTTGGTGCAAGAGGAGCCACGAGCACAGAATCTGCTCCATTTGTCCAGATGGGAGAAATTCTACCCTGAGCTGGGTTGAAGGGGGTGTGGAGCCATTGGTGCCACTTGCTTCTTGGTTCGCAGTGTGCCATCAATAGCCTCCTTGTACATCTGACTGCCTGGTATAAGCAGACTCACTTCAGCTGGAGCATGCTAGTGGGCAAGGGAGGATGGAAATAGAGCATGTGGAAATTACTCAAGTTGGCTCAGAGGTCATGCATCTGGAAGGCAACCCAACGTGTTCATCAGACATGTCCCAGCAAGTTTGAATTCAAGCTGAGACCTACCCCCCAGGTCCCTTCTCCCTGCCCCATCACATACATACACACTCATACATGCAACATTAGGAAGTAAAATATGAAAATGCCAAGAGTGGAACCCAGGACTTCTGGCACACTCCTGCCCACTGCAATAGTGTCCCCAGCGGCCTCCTTGCCTCAAAATTTTCCTCCTCAAATGAGGCCTGCACATCACCACCAGATTAATATTCCCAAATCCCTGTTTTAACCTTTCCCGTTTCTCAAGTATTGATCTTCCTGCCCTGGGAGGGCTCAACTCGTCTACCTTTTTGATCTTCTCTGGGGCTTTTCTCCCATACAGCCCTCCTTCTTCTGTGGCTGCACCTCTCTCTTTATTGGCCCTGAACAGGCTTCAAGTTTCCCTCTGACCTGTTCACACACTTCCCCCAGTGCGCAGAATCCCACCAGCCTCAGGCACATGAGCCAGAGAAGCTGGCAGTGGACTGACACTGTGAGACCTAATCACCTCTTCTGAGTCTGCCACTCCACTCTTCAGACCTGTGACCTGCAGGAAGCAGCTTCCATCTCTAGGTCTCCTTTCTTCTATCATAAAATTATTAGACTGGATAATTTTGAAGTTTTCTTTTGCAGCTCAAAAATTCTATAACTGCCCCAGTCAGCTTATGTCTGAATACAGTCTCAACTCAGTAACTAAAATGTTTATATAATCATTACATGTCTCTCCTTCATCTCTGCTGAAAACCCAAGGAGAGAAATCATATTTAGAGGGTAGCACAAAGGATAAAACGATCTGTCATGGGATTTAGGTTCACTTGGGTCTAGAATTACCTAAAAGGCAATTCCAGACCCAAGTGAACCTAAATCCCATGACAGATCGTTTTACCTTTTGTGTCACCCTCTAAATGTGATTTCTCTCCTCGGATTTTCAGCAAAGATGAAGGAGAGACATATAATGATTATATAAACATTTTAATTACTGAGTTGAGACTGTATTCATACATAAGGTGACTAAGAAAGACCTAGAAGGTTATGGAATCTGCTTGAATTTTTATCCAGGTGCAGGTGACGTGCCAGCTCCACCAAATTTAACTTTGCATTACTTTTGAGCATCTCAAATTTTCTTTGCTTTTGAGCATCTCCACCAGCAAAGGAAACTTTGTCTTTTTTTTCTTAGCATATTCTGGGTCTCCAAATTTGTGTTGTTTATGGCAACAGCTTGACTTGAGGCCCTGCTTCAAATGGTTGAAGGATTTTAAAGATTCTGCTGTCCAAGCTTTAATTAGACACAAAAGTTTCTGGGTTCATTTGGGGCCACAAGAATGGATTTTTTTTTTTTTTTAAGAGAGACAAGGTCTTGCTCTGTTGCTCAGGCTGGAACACAGTGGCACAGTCTTGGCTCACTGCAGCCTCAATCTCCGGGGCTCAGGTGATCCTCCTGCCTCAGCCTCCTGAGTACCTGGGACTACAGGTGTGTGCCACCATGCCTCACTAACACAAGAATAGGATTCTAAAAGAGAGAAATGGCAGAGGTTTAGCTAGAGTATTTTCCGACTAAATTTTCATCACTCAGGAAAGGCTAGAGACTACCACATAACAAGAACCTTGCCAAAGACGTTGAGATTTTGCCTGCTTATCTGCTCTTGGCAACTGTTCTGCTTCCACTCTGGGGATCAAGGATCACAGTGCCTACCCTCCCTTTCAATCATAAGTCTATTTGAGAAACCCATTCAGATGGACATAGGAGCATCAAAAATGCAAACATTTGCATTAAGGACTGGGCTCCCTGGGTACCAATCCTAGACAGCTGTTCTGTTAGTTGGATGACCATAGGCTAGAGTCGTAACCTCTCTGTGCCTCAGTTTATTATCTATCAAATGAAAAATAACAATAGGATTATCATGAGGATTAAATAGAATAATGCATGTGAAGCCCTTAGCACAATGCTTGGCACAGGTGATTCATAGTACGATAAGGTATAAATAACCACACCAAGTGCTCACAGTCACTCAGCTTTGTGCTCCTGAGAGTGAGGTTTGATAATGACAGAACACAGAGAATGCAAGGGCCCAGGGTCTAATCCTTGTTCTCCTTATCTCCTTGCCTTTGACATGAGTTCCAAAGTATCCCTCCACCTATCTACCCTTCAGCACCATGCTACAAAAATAGGAAGTAACATGCAGGCAGCAAGCAGTATGATGAGTTATTACGAGTGGCCCATAGAAAAGGCTTAAGAGGGCCAGCCACGGTGGCTCACGCCTGTAATCCCAGCACTTTGGGAGGCCAAGGCGGGCAGACCACTTGAGGCCAGGAGTTCGAGACCAGCCTGGCCAACATCATGAAACCCTATCTCTACTAAAAATAGAAAGAATTAGCTGGGTGTGGTGGCAGGTGCCTGTAGTCCCAGCTACTTGGGAGGCTGAGGCAGGAGAATCGCTTGAGCCTGGGAGATGGAGGTTGCAGTGAGTTGAGATTGGCCCACTGCACTCCAACCGGGATGACAGAGTGAGACTCCATCTCAAAAATAAAAATAAAGAAAAAGCTTAAGAGAAAGTGAAGGTAAAATGTAAGAACTGGGGCAGGGCAGGGGGGTGAGAGGACCTGGACTCCATTCACCCTTGAATTCTCTCTTTACAGATAAGCAAAGGAAAATCCATACAGTAATAGTGAATCAATGGTAGGACTAATTCAGGGAGATCTTGGTAAATGGCAGACCCAGGGAAGTAGTGCTAAGTCAAGTTTAGGAAGCTGTGAAGAAACTAGTATTAGTTTTTGCCATTAATTGCCATTATAATTGCCATTTAGATTTATTGCCTAATAAATCTAAACCATTTTCATTAACCACCCCAAAAACTCTATACCCATTGGCAGTCACCTCCGATTTTCTCCCAATTCATACCCTAGGCAACCACTGATCTACTTTGTCTCTATGGATTTGTCTAATTAGCTTATTTCCCTTAGCATAAGGTTTTCAAGTTTCATTCATATTGTAGCATGTATCAGTACTTCGTTTCTTTTTATTGTGAGAGAATATTCTGCTGCATGGGTATGTACATTGTGCTTATCTACTCATTAGTTGATAGAAACGGGTTGTTTCCACCTTTTGGCTGTTGTAAATAATGCTGCTATAAACATTCATGTACAAGCTTTTGTGTGGCCATGTATTTTCCTTCTTTGGGGGATATATACCTAGGAGTGGAAATGTCAGATTATGTGGTAACTCTGTTTATCCACGTGACGAGCGGCCAGATTGTTTCCCCAAGTGCTGCACCTTTTACACTCCTACCAGCAGTGTATGAGGGTTCCCATTTCTTCACGACCTCATCAACTTGCTACTATCTAACTTCTATTATTATTATTATTATTATTTTTTTTTTTTTTTTGGAGATGGAGTCTCGCTCTGTCACTAAGGGTGGAGTGCAGTGGCATGATCTCGGCTCACTGCAACCTCCGCCTCCCAGGTTCAAGCAATTCTCCTGCCTCAGCCTCACGAGTAGCTGGGACTACAGGCGCATGCCCCCATGCCCAGCTAACTTTTTGTATTTTATTAGAGACAAGGTTTCACCATGTTGCCCAGGCTGTTCTCGAACTCCTGAACTCAGGCAATCCGCCCGCCTCGGCCTCCCAAAGTGCTAGGATTACAGGTGTGAGCCACCGCGCCCGGCCTATCTAACTTCTATTATACCCATCCTAGTGGCTGTGAAGTGGTATCTCATTGTGGTTTTCATTTACGTTTCCCTGATGGCTAATAATGTTGGGCATCTTTTCAAGTGCTTATTGGCCATTTGTATATCTCCTTTGGAGAAATGTCTATTCAGATCCTTTGCCCATTTTTAAATTGAGTTGCTTGTCCTTTTATTTTATATATATATATATAGAGAGAGAGAGATGGGGTCTTGTTCTGTTGCCCAGGCTGGTGTGCAGTGGTGCAATCTCAGTGACTGCTGCCTCCAGTTCCTGGGCTCAAGCGATCCTCTCACCTCAGCTTCCTGAGTAGCTGGGACGACAAGTGTGCACCATCATGCCCAGCTAATTTTTAAATTTTTTATAGAGATGGGGCCTCACCATCTCACCCAGGCTGGCCTCAAACTCCTGGGCTCAAGCAATCATCCCAGCTTGTCCTCCCAAAGTGCTGGGATTACGGGCATGAGCCACCGCACCTGGCCCTGTCCTTTTATCATTGAGTTGTAAATGTTCTTTATATAATCTAGATACTAGACTGTCATCAGAGAGATGGTTTGCAACTATTTTCTCCCATTCTGTGGGTTGTATTTTCACTCTCTTGATGGTGTCCTTTGAAGCCTGTGATGGTTTTACTTTTGATGAAGTGCACTTTGTCTATTTTTTCTTCCGTCACTTCTGCTTTTGGTGTTGTATCTGAAACACCGTTGCCTGATCCAAAGTAATGCAGATCATTATTTGCTTCTCCAGGCATTTTGTTAGTGTGCAGCAATTTTGGGTGAATTATAAAATAAAGATGTTTAATTAACAAATTATATTTTATTCCATAAAATTTATTTTATTGTCTTTATTTCAGCAATATCACCAACTATGTTGCTATAATCTAAATTCTTCACATAACTTACATTCTATTGATCTAAGGGGTCAGCAAACTATGACCCACTGGATAAATTCAGCCCACGACATGTTTTTGTAAACATTTATTGGCACATAGTTACACTCATTCACTTATTGCAGTAATCACCTATAACCACAGAACTGAATAGCTGTGACAGAGATCACGTAGCTAAAATACTTATTAGGCATGCTAAGCCTAAAATACTTATTATCTGGCTCTTATTACTTATTATTACTATCAAGCTCTTTACAGAAAAGGTTTGCCAAGCCCTGATCTAACAGATTAAAAAATAAAATGTAATTTTGTTCAAAAGATATACAATTTAAATACATTTCATCAAAAATGTACATTAAAGGTCTGGGTGCACTGGCTCACGCCTGTAATCCCGGCACTTTGGAAGGCTGAGATGGGTGGATCACCTTAGGTCAGGAGTTTGAGACCAGCTTGGCCAACATGGTGAAACCCTGTTTCTACTAAAAATACAAAAGTTAGCCAGTAAGTTAGCCAGGTGTGGTGGGGGGCTACGCACCTGTAATCCCAGCTACTCGGGAGGCTGAGACAGGAGAATCACTTGAACCTGGGAGGCAGAGGCTGCAGTGAGCCGAGATCGCCCCACTGCACTCCAGCCTGGGTAACAGAGTGAGACTGTCTAAAAAAAAAAAAAAAAAAAAAAAAAGTACATTAAGGTCAGTGTCAAATATTGAAAAATTTAAATTATATTTCTGTTATTAAATCTTAAATTGCCTATTAAAATTAAGACAAAATTCAGACCAGGCATGGTGGCTCACGCCTGTAATCCCAGCGCTTTGGGAGGCCAAGGTGGGTGGATCACCTGAGGTTAGGAGTTTGAGACCAGCCTGGCCAATATGGTGAAACTCCATCTCTACTAAAAATACAAAAATTAGCTGGGCATGGCGGTGTGCACCTGTAATCCCAGCTACTCAGGAGGCTGAGGTAGGAGAATCACTTGAAGTCGGGAGGCGGAGGTTGGAGTGAGCTGAGATCATGCCATTGCACTCCAGCCTCGGTGACAGAGCGAGACTCCATCTCAAAAAAAAAAAAAAAAAAAATTCAAGCTATCAACAAATAAATATCAATATTTTAACTAAAAATAATTTAAGGCTGTGTACAGTGGCTCACGCTGTAATCCCAACACTTTGAGATGCCGAAGCCAGCGAATCACTTGAGGCCAAAAGTTCTAGACTACCCTGGCCAACATGGTGAAACCCTGTCTCTACTAAAAATACAAAAATGAACTGGGTGTGTGGCGTGTGCCTGTAGTCCCAGATACTCGGGAGGCTGAGGCAGGAGAATCGCTTGAACCCAGGAGACAGAGGTTGCAGTGAACCAAGATGGTGCCACTGCACTCCAGCCTGGGTGACAGAGCAAGACTGTCACAAATAAATACATAAATAAATTAAATTAAATTGACATTTTGTTTTTGGACATTTTAATTAAATCTTAATATTTTTATTAAAATAAAACTATTCTCAATTTGTCTTAGTCCCTTAAGACTGCTATAACAAAACATCTTTGAGTACCTTAGAAACAACAGAAATTTCTTGCCTACTGTTCTGGAGGCTGGGAGGTCCAGTATCAAGATGCCAGCAGATTTTATGTCTGATGAAGACCCACTTCCTTGTAGATGGCACCTTCTAGCTGTGTTCTCACATGGTGGGTGGAAGGAGTGAGTGAGTTCCCTCAGGCCTCTTTTAGAAGGGAACTAATCCCATTCATGAGAGCTCTGCCCTCATGACCCAGTTACCTCCTAAAAGCCCTACTTCTTAATACTATTACTTAGTACTATTATACTTAATACTATTATGCTATTGGGGGTTTGGTTTCAACATATGAATTTTAGGTGGTGCTGTGGTTTGGATGTTTGTCCCCTCCAAACCTCATGTTGAAATTTGATCCCCAGTGTTGAAAGTAAGTCCTAATGGAAGGTGTTTGGATCATGGGGGCAGATGCCTCATGAATAGATTAATGCCCTTCCTTGAGGGTGAGTGAGTTCTCACTCTATTAGGTCCCTGGAGAGGGGGTTGGTAAAAAGAGACTGGTACCTCCCATCTCTCTTGCCATGCAATCTCTACACATGCTGATTCTCCTTCCCCTTCCACCAAGAGTGGAAGCAGCCAAGGTGCTTACCAGAAGCCAAGCAGATGCCAGTGCAATGCTTCTTGTAGAGCCTGCATAATCATAAGCTAAGTTAGCCTCTTTTCTTTACACACTACCCAGCCACAGGTATTCCTTTAATAGCAAAACAAAACAGACCAAAGCTGGAGACACGCACATTCAGACCATTGCACAATTCTAGTATACAATGTTCATCTAGTGACCAAAATAAAGAACCTGTATCATGCATCGCAAATCATGTTACCTACACATAGGCACATTTAAGACTAATATGAATTGTTTAATATTGCAAAATATTCCTCAGTCACAATGTGAAACTTTTGCAAATACCACATTAATTAGCATGAGCCACAAATGGAACAAAAAGAGAAGCAAGAAAATAGATGTGTGGTACTCCTGGGAAACAGTACTTCATTATGCAAGAATCTATTGCATTCATGTTATCTGAGAGAAAGGATTTGACAAGTTAATTTGTCTTTTCTCTTACCTAATCCCCCGATGCTCAAATCCAAAGCGTTCTGTCACCAGCACAGGCAGCAGCCACAAACCATTTTGTTTCATGGATACTGGGCACAGGCAGTGAAAAAGCATTGCCCTGGGGCCTGAAGAGCATTCATCGTGAGAATGGATGTTTAGGATGATAGGTCATGCTGGTTCCATGCTGAGCATAGAATTCAGAATGACAAAGGCATATTTTGTTTTTTAAAATAAACGTGTGCTTGTGATATGAAGTGCTATAAAGCATTGAACCCAGAGCAGGGGTCACTCTTTCCTGCATCTAAAGGTGGTATTTCCAAGACTGTTAGAAGGAATTGGCATGAAAATCTGGAGTTTAGGTAGAATCATCTTGTAAATAGAGCTATGAACCAATATTTTAGTACAGAATATCTTACTGTAACCCAAATCTATAACTATATTGTGGTACCGAGTCTTCGACTAAATAAGCCTAGTTGGTTAGCTTCTCTTGGATAAGGGACTTTATCTCATGAAGGTATAGAAGTAGATATTTGAAATGTTTTAGAAAATTTAAATCCTCTAAGATGTTAGATAATTTATTATATAAAATTTATTATTTCAATTTGAAATGCTTAATGTCTTTAAGCATGATATTTTTAATTTTTGTTTGTTTGTTTTGTTTTTTTGAGACAGGGTCTCACTCTATCACCCAGGTTGGAGTGCAGTGGCACAATCACAGCTCACTGTAACCTTGACACCTCCTGGGCTCGAGTGATCCTCCCACCTCAGGCTCCTGAGTAGTTGGGACAACAGGGACATGCCATCACACCCATCTAATTTTTTTGCATTTTTTGTGGAGACAGGGTTTTGCCATGTTGCCCAGGCTAGTCTTGAACTCCTGGCCTCAAGTGATCTGCTCGCCTTGGCCTCCCAAAATTCTAGGATTACAGGTGTGAGCTACCACATGTGGCCGATATTTTAAAAACCTTAATCAAAGTTCTCCATGCTTAGGGATGTAAATATGTTTTTGTTTGTTTGTTTGTTTGTTTGAAATGGAGTCTCACTCTGTCACCCAGGCTAGAGTGCAGTGGCGCGATCTCAGCTCACTGCAACCTCCGCCTCCCAGGTTCAAGCAATTCTCCTGCCTCAGCCTCCCAAGTAGCTGGGACTATAGGCGCATGCCACCACGCCCAGCTAATTTTTAGTATTTTTAGTAGAGAAGGAGTTGCACCATGTTAGCCTGGATGGTCTCGATCTCCTGACCTCGTGATCCGCCTGCCTTGGCCTCCCAAAATGCTGGGATTACAGGTGTGAGCCACTGTGCCTGGCTGTAAATATGTTTTTAAAGATAACTTAAAAAGTGAAATAAGCTGAGTGCAGTAGCTCATGCCTGTAAAACCAACACTTTGAGAGGCTGAGGTGGGCAGATTCAGAGTTCAAGATCAACTTGGGTAACATGGTGAAACCCCATCTGTACAAAACAAACCAAACAATGACAACAGCAACAACAACAACAAAATTAGCCAGGTGTGGTGGCATGTGTCTGTAGTCCCAGCTACTTGGGGGGCTGAGGTGGGAGGATGGCTTGAGCCAGGGAGGCTGAGGTTGCAGTGAGCTGAGATGACACCACTGCACTCCAGTCTGTGCAATAGAGTGAGACTCTGTCTCAAAAATAAAAAAAATAAAAATTTAAAAATGAAATAATAATTTAAGGCTTAACAACAATAACTATAGTTCCCCATCAGTTCCTAGTAGCATGCATTTCCAATCTTTTAGTTCTAGTAATTACTTCCATATTTCTATAGCATATTGCTCTCTTGTTTCATCAATTGCAGACAACATCTATGACTTCCTATTATGGTAGATGAGAATGTTTAACTCTCTTACAGCCCCCATCCTATTTCCAAATATACTTATATCACAATTTTGCTTGGATTCATGTTTTACTTTTTATTTTTTTTTTTTTGAGACGGAGTCTCGTTCTGTTGCCAGGCTGGAGTGCAGTGGCGCGATCTCGGCTCACTGCAACCTCTGCCTCCCAAGTTCAAGCAATTCTCCTGCCTCAGCCTCCTGAGTAGCTGTAGGGACTACAGGCACGTGCCACCCCGCCTGGCTAATTTTTGTATTTTCAGTAAAGACGGGGTTTCACTATGTTGGCCAGGATGGTCTTGATCTCTTGACCTCATGATCCACCCGCCTCAGCTTTCCAAAGTGCTGGGATTACAGGCATGAGCCACTGCACCCGGCCCATGTTTTACATTTTAATTATGATGATGATGTAAATATTGCTCAAGGTTGAGCCAATGTTTTACTATGATTTTTCTTCATTTTTTGTTCATTTGGTTCTCTTAGAATCAATATTGCCTCATTGTTAAAAATAAACTCTTAAAATTTTAGAATAGTTTTAGTTCACAGAGTTGTTGAGAAGATAAAACAGAAAGATCCCATATACCCCACACCCAGTTTCTCATATTACATTAGTGGGTATATCTGTCACAATTAATGAAACACTAATGATACATTGTTATTAACTAAAGTTAATACTTCATTCAGATTTCCTCAGTGTTTCCCTAATGTCCTTCTTCTGTTCCAAGATCCCACGCATGATACTTTGTTACATTTAGTTGTCATGTCTCTGTAGACTCCTCTTGGTTATAATAGTTTCCCAGACTCTCTTTGTTTTTATAATGTTGAAAGTTTTGAGGATTACTGGTCAGGCATTTTGTAGAATGACTCTCAATCAGGATTTGTCTGATGTTCTTGTAATTAGACAGGGGTAACATTTTTGAAGAGGAAGATCACGGAAGTAAAGTGCCATTTTTATCATGCCATACCAAGGTTACGTGTTATCAATATGACTTATCATTGTTGATGTTAATCTTGATTGAATGGCTTGATGGAGTTTATCAGTTTTCTTCACTCTAAAGTTACTTTCCCCTTTTCATTTGTCTTTTTTTTTTCTTTTTTTTTTAGATGTTGTGTCGCTCTGTCACCCAGGCTGGAGTGCAGTGGCGCGATCTCCGCTCACTGCAACCTCCGCCTCCTGGTTCAAGCAATTCTCCCTGCCTCAGCCTCCCAAGTAGCTGGGACTACAGGCACCCACCACCACACCTGGTTAATTTTTATATTTTTTAGTAGAGACAGGGTTTCACCATGTTGGCCAGGCTGGTCTTGAACTCCTGACCTCAGGTGATCCACCTGCCTCGTCCTCCCAAAGTGCTGGGATTACAGGCAGGAGCCACCACACCCAGCCTGCCCCCTTCATTTCTATACTGTACTATAAAAGAAAACCACAGGCTGGGCTCCTAATACATTTAATCATGTATTTATATCATTTATACTTTGGTGATACTCCAATACTACTTTGTGTATTTTTTTTCTTTGTTATTTCTCAGATTGTTTTAGCTTGGGCCATTGGGTGCTCTGTCAGTTGGGTCCTATATCCTTTATACATATCCCCATTATTGTGGTGGTTTTTTTTTTTCTTTCTTTCTTTCTTTCTTTCTTTCTTTTTTTGAGACGGAGTCTTGCTCTGTTGCCCAGGCCGGAGTGCAGTGGTGCGATCTCGTCTCACTGCAACCTCCACCTCCTGGGTTCAAGCAATTCTCCTGCCTCAGCCTCCTGAGTAGCTGGGATTACAGGCACATGCCACCACCATGAGCTACCGTGGCCGGCCTCATGGTGGGTTTTTAGTTTGGTTTTGGTTTTGTATGCACTTTCTTACTTTACGGCACTAAAAGATGCTCCAGACTCATTACGTATATTTCCTGTCCCAGTCCTACAATCAATCATTTTTCCAAGGAACCCTGGCTCTTTTATTGGAGAATGGTATTAGAAACCAAGATCTGGGTGCTAGGTGTGCTCATTGCTACTGGGGTGTCTTGCTTCTAGGCCCTCTCAGCTGACAGAGCAAGGAGAGATATGTGTGTATACTAACATGTGTGTGTATATATATATATATGCATATTTATAAATATATATATATGTAGCCATCTGTGTTAGTCAGTTTTTGCATTACTAAAAAGAAATACCTAAGGCTGGGTAATTTATAAAGAAAAAAGATTCAGTTGGCTCAAGATTCTGCAGGCTGTATAGAAAGCATGACACTAGCATCTGCTTGGCTTCTGGTGAGGCCCCAAGGAGCTTTTACTCATGGTGGATGGTGAAGCAGCAGCAAGCATGTCACATGGCAAGAGAGAGAGCAAGAGAGAGAGAGAAAGTGGGAGGTCCCAGACTCTTTTTTTTTTTTTTTTTTTTTTGAGGCAGAGACTTGCTCTGTCACCCAGGCTGGAGTGCAGCCATGTGATCTTGGCTCACTGCAGCCTCTGCCTCCTGGGTTCAAGCAATTCTCCCTGCCTCTGCCTTCTCTGGGTGGCAGTGGGGCTTCTTTCTGGCAAAGAGCTTTAGGAGTCCTTTTATTAAATCCTCATGGTTTGGTTTTGTTTAGTTTTGTTTTTGAGACAGAGTCTTGATCTGTCACCCAGGCTGGAGTGCAGTGGCACAATCTTGGCTCACTGCAACCTCCACATCCTGGGTTCAAGCGATTCTTCTTCCTCAGCTTCCCAAGTAGCTGGGACTACAGGCACACACCACCACACCTGGCTAATTTTTGTATTTTCAGTAGAGACGGAATTTCACCATATGGGCCAGGCTGGTCTGGAAACGGAGTTTCACCATATTGGCCAGGCTGGTCTGGAACTCCTGACCTCGTGATCCGCCTGCCTTGGCTTCCCAAAATGCTGGGATTATAGGCGTGAGCCACCACGCCTGGCCCCAGGCTCTTTTAAACAACCAGATCTCACATGAACTAACTGAGCAAGAACTCACCCATTATCACAAGGACAGCACCAATCCATTCATGAAGGATCCACACCCAAGACCCAAACATTTCTCATCAGGCTCCACCTCTAACATTGGGGATCTCATTTCAACATGAGCTTTGGTGGAGACATACATCCAAACCATATTAAGGTAAACACGAGTTCATGCTGATTTCTCTAATTCTAATTACCACACAGATTATTCTAGCCTCTGCCTCTTGCTTGTCTGTAAGCTTTCCTTCTAACAAAGAGAACCCCACTTTCACCATTGGCCATCCATTTTCTTAATTGTTCAATTCCAATATACATGTATAATGATTTTGGAATTCTTAACCTGTATCCCTGTGAGAAACAACTAGTTTTTTTTTAATTAACTAGTATATTTACGGTGTTTATATAGAATGCCTTTTGCCTTATAATTACAGACTCCACTCATTTCCAAAGTTACAGAGGTCAGACCCTTATTCCCTCATCCTCTCTGGAAAGATTGCTTTGTATGTTCGCAACACATTTAGATTCCTTTGTCACATTCTGCATTTCGTGCTGAGTTCCCCCAACCTCCTAAATGATTTAAATTTTCATACATTAAACTTTACTTTTTGTATAGTAGTTTTAGGGTTTTAACAAATGCCTAATGTCTCATGTTCACTATTACAGTGTCATGCAGAATCATTTCATCTCCCCAAAAAACCCTGATTGCTTCACCTATTCAACCTTCCTCCTTGAGACCCTGTTGACCACTGATCTGTTTACCATTTCAGTAATTTTGCCTTTTCCAAAATGTCATATAATTGAAATACAGCATGCAGTTTTTTCAGACTCCTCTCTTTCACTTAGCAATATGCATTTAAGATTTTTCCATATCTTTTCATGGTTTGATAGCTCATTCATTTTTATTGCTAAGCAATATTCCACTGTATGAATGTATCGATCCCATTTTTCATGCACTTAGATTACCTTAAACTTATAGTTAAATCTTGCAACACTACCCAACATTGAAGTGTTTTCATGCAAGTTTTACACGGTCAGTTGGTCAATGCTGTCAGATGATCTACCAGTTCCTTCTCTCCCCACCTCCTGCCCAGAGATACCACACCTGCAGTTTTCCATGGTCACCCCTCCAATCTAAACTAGCAGTCCTTGGCCAGGCGTGGTGGCTCACACCTGTAATCCCAGCACTTTGAGAGGCAGAGGCAGGCGGATCACCTGAGATCAGGAGTTTGAGACTAGCCTGGCGAAAATCCATCTCTACTAAAAATTCAAAAATTAGCTGGGTGTGGTGGCACGTGCCTGTAATCCCAGCTACTCAGGAGGCTGAGGCAGGAGAATCACTTGAACCTGGGAGGCAGAGGTTGCAGTGAGCTGAGATGGCGCCACTGTACTCCAGCCTGGGCACCAGAGTCAGACGCCGTCTCAAAAAATATAAAATAAAATAAAAAATAAAATAAAATATAGAATAGAATAGAATAAAATAATAAAATAAAGCAGTCCTCTAACGAAGCTATAGAATCGTTGTCCTGGATCTGTTCCTTGATATCATGCTGAAAATTCCTTTGTCTCTCTCTGTAAACCTCTTGTTCCCTGCATCCAATGTCTTCCTTTTTCATGGTTTGTTTCTTTATTTTGGTGGAACATATCCTCCAGCAGCTTCTGGAGAAATAGTAAATGGAAAATGCACTTTAATAATAAGAGCAAAAATGGGCAAAAGTCACAGATAAGCAAAAAAGAAGGAAAGAAAGAAAGGAAAGAAAGGAAGGAAGGAAGGAAGGAAGGAAGAAAGAAAGAAAGAAAGAAAGAAAGAAAGAAAGAAAGAAAGAAAGAAAGAAAGAAAGAAAGAATAGAAAATGCACTGCTGAAAATTGTGGCTTCACTCACGATTGAGAGTTTGGCTAGATTTAGAATTGAACATTAAAAATAATTTTTACTCAGAAATGTAAAGAAATTGCTCCATCATTGTTATTGTTGATTTTAGCTCCCTACATTGTTGAGAAATCTAATGACATCTGATTCCTGTTTTTTGTGTGTAACCTATTTTGTTCTTTAAAGGCTTTTAGGATATTTTCTTAATCCATAATGTTCTAAGATTTCATGGTGTTGCGCCTTATCAATTTGAAGATTAATGTTCTTCTGTTCTGGAAATGTTTTTGTACTCTCTCTTTAATAACAATATTTTCTCTACCACTCTGCTTTTTTGGAGTGCCCATTTGTAGTTTTTAAACTTCATAAATCTTTTATTTTTTTATCTTTTTTCTCCTTAGTGTTATCTATTTAGTTTATCTGTTCTAATTTCTAAGAAGCATGCTTGATTTTATCTTCTAACTCTTCTGTTTAGTTTTTCTTTAATTTTTTCTATCATATTATGAATTTTAAAGTGTTTCTCTCTTATTCCCTGATTTTTAATATATATACATACATATGCATGAATGCATGGATGTGTGTGTGAGAGTGTATACATATGTATAAAAGATAGATGGCAGATAGATAGATATTCCTGTTACTAGTTTGTAGAGATATATTATCTTTTATCCATTTGGGGAAACTAATTATAGTTTCTTTGAAGTTTTTTCCTGTACCTCACATTGTATCTGTTTTCTCTGAACCCTCTTTTTTTCCTGTGTTCACTTCAATCTCTCTCATTGGACATTTTCCTTAAACATCCCTAGCAATCCTAGGCTGGCTATTCATACTTATAAGGCATTAAAAGTTTATTGAAAGCACCATATATATGGGTGGGACTTCACTGAAAGGAAATCTCTGGCTGTAGTCTTTCTGCTTTTTGTCAAATCAAACTTTTCCAGAGATTTTATATTCTGTGCTAACCCCACCTTCCCTGGTACCTAGAATCTGTTTCTGAGCCTTTTATGGGTTTTGAGAGGGAACCAGCTTGTTATTTAGGGTGCCCACATTTGCCCTTCTGTAACTCTTCCAGCTTGCCAAGTCACCCATCACTTCCCCCTCTACTTTCTATTTTCCTATATGGCTCAAACCTCAAGTGTCTTCTTACTAGTTTTCTTTACTTTTCTTTTTCTTTCTTTTTTTTTCCTGCAAGATAGGGTCTTGCTCTGTTGCCTAGGCTGGAATGCAGTGGTGGCAGTGCAATCATAGCTCACTGCAGCCTCAAACTACTGGGCACAAGCAATCCTCCTGCCTCAGCCTCCCAAGTAGCTGGGACTATAGCTGTGCATTACCACACCCAGATAATTTTTTTTTTTTTAGTAGAAATGAGGTCTCATTATATTGCACAGGCTGGTCTCGTCGAGCCCTGGGCTCAAGTGATCCTTTCCGGCCTCGGCCTCCCAAAGTGCTGGGATTAAAGGTGTTAGCTACCTCACCCAGCCAATATTTGTGATTTTAATTTTTAAAAATTAAAGACAATTTGGTTAATTTAATTTATTTATTCATTTATTTTTTACTTTATAGCTCACTGTAATGTTGAAAGCCCTTTTTGTTTTCTTCTGTGGGGAGTGGAGTGGAGGGGAGGTATGGGGCAGGGACAGTTGTCTTGCTCTGTTGCCCAGGCTGGAGTGCAGTGGTGCAAACATAGCTCACTGCAGCCTTGGATTCCTGGGCTCAAGCAATCCTTCTGCCTCAGTCTTCTGAGTAGCTGGGACTATAGGCATGAGCCACCATGCTGGCTAATTATCTAAATTTTTTGTGGAGACATATTCTTACTATATTGCCCAAGCTGGTCTTGAACCCCTGGGTTCAAGCAATCCTCCCACTTCAGCCTTTCAAAGTGCTGGGATTATAGGCATGAGCTATTGCACCCAACCCCTAATTTTCTTTTCTTTTCTTTCTTTCTTTTTTTTTTTTTTTTTTTTTGAGACAGAGTTTCGCTCTTATTGCCTGGACTGGAGTACAATGGCGCAATCTTGGCTCACTGCAACCTCCGTCTCTCGGGTTCAAGTGATTCTCCTGCCTCAGCCACCCGAGTAGCTGGGATTACAGGCATGCACCACCATGCCCGGCTAATTTTGTATTTTTAGTAGAGACGGGGTTTCTCCATATTGGTCAGACTGGTGTCGAACTCCCAACCTCATGTGATCTGCCCGCCTCGGCCTCCCAAAGTGCTGGGGTTACAGGTGTGAGCCACTGCACCCGGCCAATTTTCTAAATATAATTATGTTATTATTGGATTGGTAAGTAGTGTTACATTAGGACATTTTTCTTTATATCAGATTTACGTGATGGCCGTGAGTGTCATTCCCAACACACTTGTGCAGCTAGCATTCTGGGTGTAAATTAAGTTACACCAATTAGATCTATAGGTGGACTATGCAGCAAACTAAAACTTTTAGCTACAGCCAACCACTACCAAACATCTACTATCCACAGCAAAATAGCTACTTAGTAATGTCTGCAGTGGATGCCTCTGTTTTTAATTGGAATTGGAAGTGCCAATGGAAGTGACCCAGTTATCCTTTCCCATTGCAATAGTGCTTTCTGTGTAAGCTCATTTGTTTTTGGCTGGTGTACTGAAAATCGAGCTAATGAATCTGGAAGATGAGGATAATCCATCAAAAACCAAGGCATCAAGATGACAGTATCAAAATAGAGAATACCCAACCATCAAAGTCCATTTACTGAGCAACTTCTGTTTGCCTGTGCCTCGGGCTGAAAACTAAAAAGTCACAACACCTTTCCTCATGGAGGTTTCAATTCACTTAGACAAATCACGACATGTATATGAGCAACAATTACCAAACAAGACCGTGGAGAAAAGCGGCAAGGTCCCTCTTCCTGATGCTACGCAGTATGTACTGCTAGTGACATTTCGGCTTCAGTCTCTATGGTGTTGAGAATCCACTGCAGCAGTGGCAGCCAGATAGTACAATTCAGTGATGAGACAGTTGTGGTGGTGGCTTCTACAGCTTCCTGATCCTGGCTTTATGATCTCTGAATGGCATTTTGGTCAATATGCCAGGAATCTTTTGATCCCAGTAGTTTACTTTTGGCCTCTGGATCTCCACTTTCCTGTCTGTAGCAAAGGAAGCATCATTCTTGATAGACCAGTTCTGCAACATTCTGGGAGTCATGCCAGAGATATGCCTAGAGCCTACCCCTCCATCTCTTCCAAAAAGTTTCTAAATACCTAATCTAATCTACTGTATTTAATCCCTTTCTGCTTAAAATACCTACAGTAGGCAGGGCGAGGTGGCTCATGCCTGTAATCCCAGCACTTTGGGAGGCCAAGGTAGGTGGATCACCTGAGGTCAGGAGTTCCAGACCAGCCTGACCAAAATGGAGAAACCCTGTCTCTGCTAAAAAAATACAAAATTAGCTGGGTGTGGTGACACATGCCTGCAATTCCAGCTACTCAGGAGGCTGAGGCAGGAAAATCCCTTGAACCCGGAAGGCGGAGGTTGCGGTGAGCCCAAGATCGCGCCATTGCACTCCAGCCTGGGCAACAAGAGCAAAACTCCATCTCAAGAAAAAAAAAAAACTAGAGTGTTTCTGTTTCCTGCATTGAACCCTGACTAATGAACCTTGTTAGGAATTTGAAGTGTTTGAGGGAATAAGATATATTAAATTTTTAATTACTTGAAATATTTAATAAAAGTTAATGAACTACTTATATAATATGCTAAATGTTTAGGGATTTAATCTTTTTTTTTTTTTTTTTTTGAGACAGAGTTTTGCTCTTATTGCCCAGGCTGGAGTGCAATGGTGCAATCTCAGCTCACTGCAACCTCCACCTCCCAGGTTCAAGCAATTCTCCTGCCTCAACCTCCCAAGTAGCTGGGATTACAAGCATGCGCCACTATACCTGGCTAATTTTTTGTATTTAGTAGAGATGGGGTTTCACCATGTTGGTCAGGCTGGTCTTGAACTCCTGATTTCAGGTGATCCACCCGCTTCCGCCTCCCAGAGTGCTGGGATTACAGGCGTGAGCCACCGTGGCCTGGCCGGGATTTAATTTTTTACATATAAGTATTTTTTAAAATAAGTATTAGTTGAATATTAATCACAGAACAAGTAAAAATAATGAATCTTATTTCTTATATAACATAGGATTAGATTAATAATTATCAAGATTTGTAAGTTGAGTTTGAAGACTTAAGAAAAACTACTGGGTTTAGTGGCTTACACTTGTAATCCCAGTGAATCAGGAGCCTGAGGCAAGAGGATCATATGAAGTCAGGAGTTCAAGACCAGCTTGGGCAACATGGTGAGACCCTCATTACAAAAAACCCAAAAATTAGCCAGGGGTGGGACATGGTGATGCACAGCTGTAGTTCCAGCTACTCAGGAGGCTGAGACAGAAGGATCATGTGATTCCAGGAGTTTCAGGCTGTAGTGAGCTATGATCACACCACTGCACTCCAGCCTGGGCAACAGAGAGACTCCATCTTAAAAAAAAATCAATGTTTTTAAAAAAGAAAAACTAGGCGGGGCACGGTTGCCCCGCCTGGAGTGCAGTGGCGCAATCTCTGCTCACTGCAAACTCTGCCTCCCGGGTTCAAGTGATTCTCCCACTTCAGCCTCCTGAGTAGCTGAGATTGCAGGCACACACTACCACGCTTGCCTAATTTTTTGTATTTTTAGTAGAGACGGGGTTTCACCATGTTGGCCAGGCTGGTCTGGAACTCCTGACCTCAAGTGATCTGCCTGCCTCAGCCTCCCGAAGTGCTGGGATTATAGGCATGAGCCACTGCGCCCAGCCTCATAATATCTAATTAGTCATAAGACAGACTGACTTGAATTTCGCATCTTATTCCTTCTTCCAAAGAAGAGTAAAGTTGATCAGTCTAACCACAAATGTTGAAAAAGCAAGGAGATAGGTTTTTGCAGCCTTAATAATAACCACTGTTTATTATGGTGCAGGGCACAGAGTAGCGCAGAGCATAGAGTGCTACTATATTCAGGGCACTCAACGACTAGTTGATTTCCATGTTATTTCATTTAATCTTCACAACAGCTCTATAAGTGCTATTATTGACCCCATTTTATAGGTGAAGAAATACAGGCTTAAGCAGGTTAAGAGAGTCATGCAAGATCACACAAGTAAGAAGTGGTATTGGGGATTTAAGCCCAAATCCATCTCGTTAAAAGCCCATCTTTCTGCTGCACTTTCATGCCTTTTAGTGATAAGATACATGGGCTGTGCCTCTGCCAACTCGTGGCTACCAATATGTAACATAAGCAAGAAGCAAACCTCGGTTATTTTCTTAAGACACTGATATGTTTGGAGTTGTTTATTACTGCAGCCTTATCTAACAGAAGCTGGCTGATAACAGGTATCTTTATTTTCTATTTACAGTGGTGTAAACCTTGGAAACTGTTTTAGTATTAATAACTTAGTACAGTGCAAAACATGCTTGGTGAGAACCTCTAGTAATTTATACCATCCCCAAACAAGTACTTTTTTTTTTTTTTTTTTTTTGACAGGGTATCACTCTGTCGCCCAGGCTGAAGGGCAGTGGCGCAATCTTGGCTCGCTGCAACCTCCACCTCCCAGGTTCAAGCGATCCTCCCACCTCAGCCTCTTAAGTAGCTGGGACCACAGGCGCGTGCCACATTGCCCAGCTAATTTTTGTATTTTTTGTAGAGGCAAGGCTTCGCCATGTCGCCCACGCTCTCAAACAAGTGTTTTATTTAGACAAATGCTCAACAATGATTGATGCTCTCTGGGGAAGACAATGAATCTGTTGGGGGCATTGGCTTTGCCATTCAAATTTGTGGCAACACAAATCCCTGTATAAATATCTAGAGAAGTATATTTTCTTAAGAGCAATTAGAGAATTTTAAAACTGTATTGTCAGATGGGAAATGTAAATAGAGCCCCATATTTTCCTATGTGTATTTGCAAAGTAATTAAGAATTTATAAGAAACTTACTAGAATTATGACATAACATTATTAACAAGGTGCCCAGGCAAATGCCTATAATTTTCCTAGCCTGGATTTAGTTGAGGCTAAGAAAATGTATACTAAGGTGATAAGCAGTTATTGTATCTATAGAGGTGGAAAACCTGAATAATTCTTTAGGACAGACTGTTTCCTTTGTGTTAGGAAGTCTGCCTAAAGAGGCTCTTCAGTTGCACAAATTTAAAGCAACACTCACTTCTCTTGGGAAAAGTTATAAACAAACCTTTTTTCTGAATGCAAATATATATATATATATATTTTTTTTTTTTTCTGAGACAGAGTCTCACTCTGTCGCCAGGCTGGGGTGCAGGTACAATTAGAGCTTACTGCAGCCTGGAACTTCTGGGCTCCAGTGATCCGCCACCTCAGCATCCTGAGTAGCTAGAACTACTGGCATGTGCTTCCCTTGCTGTGTGTGTATCTGTAAACAGGGTCTCTCAGGTCTCCAAAAAACTGGAGACTCAGAGCCAGGGGAAATAATTTTTTTCTCCCCTGGAGTCTTAATTTGATGGAGCAGAAATTAACCTGGAGTGAATTGCAGCTGGTGAGCAGAGTGGCTCCTGGCCACATGGAAACAGATGGGAGGCAAACAAGGAAAGACCCCCTGGACATGGGTCTGGACTGTAAACTGTAAACACATCTAGTAGCCTCCTGGGGACAGGGTGGTGGTACCAGCACCAGCCTGAGAGTGAATGATCCCAGTATTGTAGAAAAACAATATGAACATTTTGGAAATTTCACTTGCAAATTCCATAGTGAGTGGACACTAATATTTACTTAGAACAAAACCTGTCATGGACTCATTGTGTGCCACATTACTTCAACGCAAGAATGGTTACAGAAACCTGCCATCATTGAGCAATTTTGATCAACTAGACTTAAAAAAGAAAGAAAGAAAGAGAAAGAAAGAAAGAAAAAGAAATCAACTGCAGTAGAGCAATACCTCCTCTTCTAGGCTGGGCAGATGGGCAGGAGAATTTCTTTCCACCAGCTCTCAGTACCTTATCACTGAACTGTAGTAGTGGCTGATGAAACACGTGTTAGCAACCTATCGCTTGAAAAGGTTCATTATTTATGTTGACAACTAATAATATATTACCCATGACAGAAACATCTGCAAGAGGAAAAGGACACGCATGACAAAGCTGAATATTTGAATTAGGTTAAGCACAAATGACAGAAGCAGGTTATTATTTTCCTTTTGGTAAGGGGTTGACAAACTTTTTCTGTAAAGGGCCAGATAGTAAATATTTTGGGCTTGTGAGCCATGAAGTCTTTTTTTTTTTTTTTTTTTCCTGAGATGGAGTCTTGCTCTTTCACCCAGGCTGGAGTGCAGTGGCGAGATCTCGGCTCACTGCAACCTCTGCCTCCAAGGTGCAAGCGGTTCTCCTGCCTCAAACTCCCGAGTAGCTGAAACTATAGGCACGTGCCACCACACCCAGCTAATTTTTTGTATTTTTAGTAGAGACAGAGTTTCACCATGTTAGCCAGGATGGTCTCAATCTCCTGACCTCATGATCCACCCGCCTCAGATTCCCAAAGTGCTGGGATTACAGGCGTGAGCCACCGCGCCTGGCAGAGCCATGAAGTCTTTGTTGCAACTACTCAACTCTGCCTTTGTTGAATGAAACCAGCCATAGACAATATGTAAACAAGTGGTCATGGCTGTGTTCCAATAAAACTTAAATATGGACACTGAAATTTGATTTTCATATACTTTTCACATGCACAAAATATTATTCTTCTTTTGTGTGTTTTTTAACCACTGAAAAATATAAAAAACATTCTTAACTCATGGGCATTCCAAAGAACAGGCCGTGGGTCAGAGGACTGTAGTTTGCTGACCCAGTGCTCTCGGTCTAATAAGCTCTGCAATGGTCCTGCAAGTAAATACACAAAAGTAACTGTGAGAGATTTTTAGCTCACCTAATCTGGAATACCTTTTGAAAAGAGTAAAGAGGAAAAAACTGTCACATACTCAAAACCTGAAACTAAAAAATTTATCAAAATTAATTTTCTAACATACTTGATAGTAGTAGTAACACAGAATACCACTATTACTATTAATAAAGATAGCTAACATTTATATAGGACTCACAGCATAAGAATCACAAAAACGGCCGGGCACGGTGGCTCAGGCCTGTAATCCCAGCACTTTGGGGGGCCGAGGTGGGTGGATCACCTGAGGTTAGGAGTTCAAGACCAGCCTGGCCAACATGGTGAAACCCCGTCTCTACTAAAAATACAAAAATTAGCTGGGCACGGTGGCGTGTGCCTGTAATCCCAGCTACTTGGGAGGCTGAGGCAGGGGAATTGCTTGAGCCCGGGAGGTGGAGGTTGCAGTGAGCCAAGATTGCACCATCGCACTCCAGCCTGGCCAACATGATGAAACCCCATCTCTACTAAAAATACAAAACTTAGCTGGGCATGGTGGCGCGTGCCTGTAATCCCAGCTACTTGGGAGGCTGAGGCAGGGGAATTGCTTGAGCCCAGGAGGTGGAGGTTGCAGTGAGCAAGATTGCACCATCGCACTCCAGCCTGGGCAACAGAGTCAGACTCCATCTCAAAAAAAAAAAAAAAAAAGAATCACAAAAACAAAGGTAGCATTTTTCGCAAATAAAGTATGTCTGCAATATGTTTTTATAGGACCTTAAAGAGCTACTTACTCTAATTAGGAAATGTATAATATGAATTGGAGTTTGAAAAAGAAAGAACTAGGCAGAAATAAGGGGAGAGCAATTATAGTAGTAATAAGAAAAGAAAAACATGGTGAAAATACATCTTTTCATAATCGATTTTTTTTTTTTTGAGACAGAGTCTTGCTTTGTCACCCAGGCTGAAGTGCAGTGGCACGACCTTAGCTCATTGCAACCTCCACCTCTCGGGTTCAAGTGATTCTCCTGCCTCAGCCTCCCAAGTAGCTGGGATTACAGGCGCATGCCACCACTCCCGGCTAATTTTTTGTATTTTTCTACAGATGGGGTTTTGCCATGTTGGCCAGGCTGGTCTTGAACTCCTGATCTCAAGTGATCCATCTGCCTCAGCATCCCAAAATGCTAGGATTATAGACATGAGCCACTGCACCCAGCCCATAATAGATCATTTTAAGAGCTGTTTCCTGCCAAAGTCATATTCTATTATTATCAGTAACGGGACAATAAAGATGGAAAGAATTAGCCAAAGATGAAACAAAATGAATGAAAGAATGAGGTGGGCAAGTCCTAAAATAAAATTACTAAGACTATATTATTAGATGACTTATTTGGGCTTAAAAGGTGGCCATCTTTTTTTTTTTTTTTTTTTTTTTTTTTTTTTTTTTTTGAGACGGATTCTTGCTCTGTCTCCCAGGCTGGAGTGCAGTGGCGCGATCTTGGCTCACTGCAAGCTCCACCTCCCAGGTTTTACACCATTCTCCTGCCTCAGCTTCCCGAGTAGCTGGGACTACAGGCATGCACCACCTATGCTCAGCTAGTTTTTTTTGTATTTTAGTAGAGACAGGGTTTCACTGTGTCAGCCAGGATGATCTCGAACTCCTGACCTTGTGATCTGCCTCGCCTTGGCCTCCCAAAGCGCTGGGATTACAGGCGTGAGCCACCACGCCTGGCTTGGCCATCTTTATTATACTGTGAAGTAAAAAAACAGGCTGGGCATGGTGGCTCACACCTGTAATCCCAGCACTTTGGGAGGCTGAGGTGGGTGGATCACGAGGTCCGGAGTTCAAGACCAGCCTGGCCAACATGGTGAGACCACCCCCCCCAACCCCATCTCTACTAAAAAAATAAAAAATTAACCAGACAAGGTGGCACACACCTGTAATCTCAGCTACTCAGGAGGCTGAGGCAGGAGAATTGCTTGAACCTGGGATGCGGAGGTTGCAGTGAGCTGAGATTGTGCCATTGCACTCCAGCCTGGGCAACAGAGAGAGACTCCGTCTTAAAAAAATAATAATAAAAATTAAAAAATGAAAAGAAATAAAAAAATCTTTATACCCATTGTGTCTATTCACTGACAGCAACATGATGAAGTTTCCATATAAACAGCATTCTGCTCACCTAACTTCCCAACTTTTTCAAAGAGCAGTCAGTAAATAGTCAATAATATTCATTTTAACAGATAATATACTGGTAATAAAGGGAGTTACAGCAGAAATCTGTCCTCAATATAACTTACTAAGGAAGATGAGACGAATATAAATGAAAATTTAAAATACACGGTTTCTTTCCTTTTCAGAGAATATTTATCCCTGAATCAAGTGGAGCAAGGGAACAGAGAATCTTGCAAGTGAATTGTTTCTGGAAGTAAACTCCTGTACACAGTGGAATCGAGTGGTAATCCCAACCTTTCTAAGTGTCTCTTTACCTAGTAGTAAAAATAAGAATTATGCGCTCAAAAGACAGTAGGGTTGGCACAAAAAATGTTGGAAACAGAGTTTCCAGATTAGGAAAGCCGTATTTCAGTGCAAATTACTCTTGGACTTCCCCCACTCCCAATAATACCTTTGGAGGATTGGTACTGGAGAGAGATTTTTCTAACTGTGGAGATACAGAGGTATTTCTTCCCCCAGTCATTTGGAAAAAAAAAGTTACTGAGTTATAATTTACATACCATACAATTCATCTGCTCTAAGTAGACAATGCCATGATTTTAAATATGTGCACAGTTATGTAACTATCACCACAGGTGGAGTTTTGAGTAGTAAGCAAATCACTGAAAAATTGTGTCTCGTGGCCGGGCGCGGTGGCTCATGCCTGTAATCCCAGCACTTTGGGAGGCCGAGGGGGGTGGATCACGAGGTCAGGAGATTGAGACCATCCTGGCTAACACAGTGAAACCCCGTCTCTACTAAAAATACAAAAAATTAGCCGGGCGTGGTGGCAGGCGCCTGTAGTCCCAGCTACTCGGGAGGTTGAGGCAGGAGAATGGCGTGAACCCGGGAGGCGGAGCTTGCGGTGAGCCAAGATCACGCCACTGCACTCCAGCCTGGGCGACAGAGCGAGACTCCGTCTCAAAAAAAAAAAAAAAAGTGTCTCGTGATTTCAGCTCTTACAGCAGTTAACTCTTTGAATTTCTTTCTTCTCCTACCCCCCAAGTAATCATTTCCAGGGTAAAGTATGGTGCTGACACTAATATGAGGGAACTTCAGGAAGTTTATGGAAAAAATGGAATTAAAAAATAAAAATAAAAACTTTATTTCTCCATATAAGCTCCATCAAGCTCAAGACACTTTCATAAGTAATGATACCAGCCATTTAGTCCATCCCTAAAGAACTTCAGGTCCTGGGAATTTAACCATGTCAATGTACTCTTTTTCACTTTTTAAATTTTTTAAAATTTATTTTGTTTATTTTTTTTAGATGGAGTCTCACTCTGTCGCCCAGGTTGGAGTGTAGTGGTGCAATCTCAGCTCACTGCAACCTCTGCCTCCCGGATTCAAGTGATTCTCCTGTCTCAGCCCCCACGAGTAGCTGATTCCAGGCGCACGCCACCATACCTGGCTAATTTTTCGTATTTTTAGTAGAGACGGGGTTTCACCATGTTGGCCAGGCTGGTCTTGAACTCCTGACCTCAGGTGATCTGCCCACCTTGGCCTCCCAAAGTGCTGGGATTCCAGGCATGAGCCACCGTGCCCAGCCCTTTTTCACATTATTATTAAAAAAAAAAAGGGGTGCCATTTAAACATTTTTAAAGATTAAGAAACAAAAAGATGTCAGAAGGAGTCAAATAAAGACTGCCAGGTGGATGCCTAATGATTTCCCATTAAACCTCTTGCAAAATTGCCCTTGCTTGAGAGGAATGAGCAGGAGCATTGTCATGGTGGGGAACTCTCCAGTGAAGCTTTCCTGGGCAGTTTTTTTTTTTTTTTTTTTTTGCTAAAGTTTTGGCTTTCTCATAATAAGCATATCTGCTTATTCTCATAATAAGCACAAATTATCATTCTTTGGCCCTCCAGAAAGTCAACAAGCAAAATGCCTTGAGCAGCCAAAAAAAACTGGTGCCATGATCTTTGCTCTGGGACTGATCCATTTTTGCTTTGACTGGACCACTTCCACCTCCTAGTATCCATTGTTTTGATTATACTTTGCCTTCAGGATTGTACTGGTAAAACCATGTTTCATGTCCTGTTACAATTCTTCAAAAAAATGCTTCAGGATCTTGATCGCACTTGTTTAAAATCTCCATGGAAAGCTCTGCTCTTGTGTGCAGCTGATCTGGGTGTGCAGTTTTAGTAACCTTTGAGTGGAAAATTTGCTCAGCTTAAATTTTTCAGTTAGAATTGTGTGAGCCAAACCAATTGAGATGTCTATGGTATTGGCTTTGGTTTCTGCTATTAATTGTTGGTCGTCTTTTATGAGAGCATGTGAGAAACAAACTTACCCATCCAAACCCAAAGAATTGTCTCAGAGACCCAGAGAACAGCAAAAGTGAGACTTTTAATGACAGTCTTGCAAGATTGGGTGTCTGATAGACAGGCACACCCAGCACAGTTTTTTTTAAATTAAATTTTATTTTTTTGAGATGGAGTTTTGCTCTTGTCACCCAGGCTGGGGTGCAGTGGCACGATCTTGGCTGACTGCAACCTCCGTCTCCCAGGTTCAAGTGATTTTCCTGCCTCAGCCTCCCAAGTAGCTGGGATTATAGGCACCTGCCACCATGCCCAGATAATTTTTGTATTTTTAGTAGAGATGGAGTTTTGCCATGTTGGCTAGGCTGGTCTCAAACTCCTGACATATGGTGATCCACCCGCCTCAGCCTTCCAAGGTGCTGGGATTACAGGTGTGAGCCACCACACCAGGCCCCAGCATAGTTGTTTTTTTTGAGACGGAGTCTTGTTCTGTCAACCAGGCTGGAGTGCAGTGGCGCAATCTCAGCTCACTGCAACCTCCACCTCCCAGGTTCAAGTGATTCTCCTGCCTCAGCCTCCCGAGCAGCTGGGACTACAGGTGCATGCCACCATGCCCAGCTAATTTTTGTATTTTTAGTAGAGACGGGGTTTCACCACGTTGGCCAGGATGGTCTCTTGACCTCATGATCTGCCTGCCTCAGCCTCCCAAAGTGCTGGGATTACAGGCGTGAGCCACCACACCTGGCCCCCAGCACAGTTTTTTAACAAGCAATTTATCCCCTAGTGTGCAGGTCCCTCCCCTGGTTTCTCACAGGCTGCGTACTATGGGGTCACAATCTTCCCAGACATTGACTATTAATTGTCGGGTAGGGGCTTTAGGGTTTTCTTAGGGTTGTCTTGCTGCATTTTATTGCAGCCCACAATGCATTGCAATCCTAGTTAGGTCAGGGGCAATTCAAGTATTTAACTTATGACCTAAGTAGCTGGGCAGGCTGATAAGAGAAGACAAAATGAGCTATTTTGCAGACTAGTAAACTTTCATCTTATACTAAACTTTTTTGGTTTGGGTGAAGGCAACTAAGGGGGGAAAGAGAAGTGCGGGGGAAGAGGGAGGCTGACAAGCAGGCATCAGCTGTCCAAGTAGGGGTCTAGTATGTTCTGTTTCTTCTGTAGTTTGCTGACCTAAGCCCATGTAAGGCATTTTGTCTTGAAAACGGACCACTGTATTTATTATTGCCTTCAAGCATGACAAGATTAATTTTTTCCTTGCAAATTGATGTGGGTAGTCTGCCACTGCAGGCTTCCTCTTCAACAGTGTCTCATCCCTTTTTTTTTTTTTTTTGAGACGGAGTTTTGCTCTTGTTGCCCAGGCTGGAGTGCAATGGCGCGGTCTCAGCTCACCGCAACCTCCACCTCCCAGGTTCAAGTGATTCTCCTGCCTCACCCTCCCTAGTAGCTGGGATTACAGGCATGTGCCACCACGCCTGGCTAATTTTGTATTTTTAGTAGAGACGGGGTTTCTCCATGTTGGTCAGGCTGGTCTTGAACTCCCGACCTCAGGTGATCCGCCTGCCTCGGCCTCCCAAAGTGCTGGGATTACAGGCGTGAGCCACCGCGCCCAGCATCCCTTCTTAAAGTGAACTCTCCAATTATAAAATACTGATTTCTTTGAGGCATTGTGCCCATAAACTTTTGGTAAAGAATTAATGATTTCACCATTTTTTCACCCAAGGTTCATCATAAATTTGATGTTTGTCCTTGCTTCAATTTTAACAGAATACATGTTGCTCTGATAGGGGCTCTTTTCAAACATATGTCTTATTCTTTTTAGTACCTCAAACTAGATCCTGTTCATACATGTTATAACAAGTTAGTATGAGTTTATTTTGGTGTAAAAAAATTTTGAAATCCATGCATGATTTGTTCATAATACACATTTTCCATGAACTTTTAAAAGTCTCCTCCTGAGATTATTGGATTGAATCAAAAGTATTTAAAAAGTTTCTCTTGGAGGAAGGAACTTTTAATAAACAGTAATAGTGTTAAAAATTAGGTTGCTTCCGACAATGAAGTTGGTAAAGTCCATGCTTACTAAATCAGCTGGTTGTGGCAGCAATTAATAAAAATGCCAGTGAATGTATAACTAAGGAGTTTAGAAAACCCTCAAACTCCAATTAAGATGAGAATGTAATCTTAGGAGGCAAAACTGGAAGTGGTTGTAATTTGCTCAGCACAAAAGGAATCAACCATCTAGTATATTGTTTAGAGAACTGTGTGAAGATTAGCCTGTAGAAAGATAATTGCCAGTCTCTACCCAGCACTGCCCAGGAACAGAGACACAGAATCCAGGTGCTGTGAATTTTCCTGTCTTGGAGAGAAATACTTTGCTGTGGGGGCAGGGATCGTTTATCAGGTCTCAGGATCTGAATGAAATATCCCTCAAAATGATTCACCTTGTTTTGTTCTTATTTCCAAATAAATTGTTTACTTGCTTTTTTGATGTTTTACTCTTGTGGACTGAAATATGTTAACTCTGGATAACTGGTAACATCCTTAATTGTAATCATCACAAAGCTAACGCCATCCTGCAAGACCTGATAAAACAGCCGTCAAGACTTTTCCTGCCATATACTGACCTCATCATCAACTCCAGAACAGTTGGTTACATTCAAATACAAAAAAAGATGCCAACAGAAATAAGAATGTCCTATTCACTCTCAATTAAGTTTTACTTTGTACTGTGCTGAACTGAACAAAATCAGAAATTACTGCATTAAATTAGACAAGAATAAATCAAAGCAAATTCAGGTTGGGTGTGGTGGCTCATGCCTGTAATCCCAGCAGTTTGGGAAGCCAAGGTGGGCAGATCACTTGAGGTCAGGAGTTCAAGACCAGCCTAGCCAACATGATGAAACCCCATCTCTACTAAAAATATAAAAATTAGCCAGGCGTGGTGGCATATGCCTGTAGTCCCAGCTACTCAGGAGGCTGAGGCACGAGAATCACTTGAACCTGGGTGGAGGATATTGCAGTAAGCCGAGATCCTGCCACTGTACTTCAGCCTGGGTGACAGAGCGAGACTCCACCTCAAACAAACAAACAAAAAGCAAATTCAATTATATTTTTCTGGAATGAAATTACCTTGAAATTAAAAGTACCTATGTGTATTGTCTCATCCCTTCTTAAAATGAACTATCCAATTATAAACTACTGATTTCAGTTATCACTTCAGTTATCATTGACTTATGATTAACAGAAGCTTTGCCTGCATAAATTTAAACTGATGTATAAAAGAACAGAAAGAAAATGTGTTCAGCAAATAACTGTTGAATGAAAGAATCAACAGGCTGCAAGTTTTTAAAAACTCTCCTCTTTTCTGCCATTCACTTAATGGAACAATGCTAGAAACAGTAGATTTGTTGAAATAGTATCTTTTTTGGTCACCTTCTCATTTAAAAACATATCAGGCTCTGGCCAGGCACAATGGCTCATGCCTGTAATCCCCCCACTTTGGGAGGCCGAGATGGAAGGATCGCTTGACTTCAGGAGTTCAAAAGCAGCCTGGGCAACATGGCGAGACCCCATCGCTACAAAAAATACAAAAATCAGTCTGAAGTGGTGATGCATACCTGTAGTCTCAGCTACGAAGGACACTGAGGTGGGAGAATCGCTTGGGTCCAGGAGGTCGAGGCTGCAGTGAGCTGTGATTGCACCACTGCATTCCAGCCTGAGTGAAAGAGCAAGACCCTGTCTCAAAAAAAAAAAAAAAAAAAAAAAAAAAAGCCGGCCAGGTGCAGGGGCTCATGCCTGTAATCCCACTACTTTGGGAGGCCAAGGCCGGAGGATCACTTGAGGCCAGGAGTTCGAGACCAGCATGGCCAACATGACGAAACCCCGTCTCTACTAAAAATACAAAAATTAGCTGGACGTGGTGGCTCATGCCTGTAATCCCAGCTACCAAAAATACAAAAATTAGCTGGGCATCGTGGCACATGTCTGTAATTCCAGCTACTCGGAAGGCTGAGGCACAAGAATGACTTAGGCCAGGGAAGCAGAGGTTGCACTGAGCTGAGATCATGCCATTGCACTCCAGCCTGGGTGACAGAGGGCAACTCTGTCTCAAAAAAAAAAAAAAAATATATATATATATATATATATATATACACACACACACACAAACACACATCTATATATATACTTAAAGGATGGTCTGAAGAATAGGCAATCTATCCTTCCCTTGACAAATTTCAGAAGTTCTTTTTCCTTTTGGGATCTATGGACTCCTTTAAGAAGTTGATTAAAATTCCAAATCCTCTTCCCAGAAAAAAGTACACACATGCATATAATTTTGTACATGCACACATGCATATAATTTTCGAAAATATTACAGAAAGCTCAAGGATTACCAAAGGTCATCTGTAGATATACCGAGGATCTACGGCCACAAGACCAAGCATCCCTGCTCATTTCAAATTGAATTTGTATTTTGGGGTCACCGAGAAACATTTGTAAAATATATTTCATCAGCTTTTAGAATTAAGAAAACATGTCCTTCTCCTGAATGACCTATTTACTTTTATCCCAAAGGCACTTTGGATTTTGAATACACAATACTTCTGTACCCTTCTTTACCGTGACTTCTGGGAAGACTAAAGTAAAATTTGCAATCTATCTCAACAAATTCAACGGGCTTTCACTGCAGGCATTTTGTATAGTAATTTATGCGTATTTCATTTAATCCACCCCTCATTTTCCCATTCCTCTGATTTCTTACTCTAGCATTTTTTTTGTGTGTGTGTGAGATGGAGTCTTGTTCTGTCACCCAGGCTGGAGTGCAGTGGCGTGATTTCCGCTCACTGCAGCCTCCACCTCCTAAGGGTTCAAGAGATTGTCCTGTCTCACCCTACCGAGTAGCTGGGATTACAGGCACGCGCCACCATACCCAGCTAATGTTTTGTATTTTTAGAAGATACGGGTTTCGACATGTTGGTCTCCGACTCCTGACCTCAGGTGATCCGCCCGCCTCGGCCTCCCAAAGTGCTGGGATTACAGGAGTGAGCCACCACGCCCAGCCTCATCTAGTTTTCATGTTTTATGGTATCTCTGTAAGTTGCCTCACATCCTTGCGGAAAGGGACTACTGTAAATAAATAACATGAAGAAAATTATCCCTTAAATTCAGTGTGTAGATCTGTTATGGCAAATTTATGACTGCAGGGTTTGATTTTAATTTGTTGTTGTTTCCCCCTCCTTTTTTTTTTTTTTGGAGGAGTCTCACTCTGTAGCCCAGGCTGCAGTGCAATGGCGCCATCTCAGCTCACTGCAACCTCCGCCTCCAGGGTTCTAGCGATTCTCCTGCCTCAGCCTCCCGCGTAGAGTGGATTACAGGCGCCTGCCACCAAGCCCGGCTAATTTTTTGTTTTTTCAGTAGAGACGGGATTTCACCATGTTGGCCAGGCTGGTCTCGAATTCCTGACCTCAAGTGATCCAACCGCCTCGGCCTCCCAAAGTGCTGGCGTGAGCCACCGCGCCCAGCCTGATTTGAATTTTAATTCATTAGCGACGTTTAAAAATCCCAGGATTTCACATAAAAATCCAGATTTCAGACGTCGAAAAAAAATGTAAAATGTTATCTCCCAATGCCGCAGGCAAACAGGATCACAGTCCTGAATAGCAACCGCGGTATCTAGTGGTTACGGTTCTCACATCCATTTTGCTCCATTTTATTACCTGAGAGGACCGGTATTTTCAAAACCTGGTGTATCAGTAACTTTTAGGGAAAACTTTTGAAAAAAGGACTGCACACACGCACCCTTTCTTCCTTCTCGTTCTTTGAAAGGAAACAACAGAAACGATTCATTCTGCAGGCATTCTGCGCTAGTCCCACGGACAGGCGACTAACAAGAGATAAAAAGGTGTGGGTCCCATAGGCGGTACGGTGTTACCCCTTCTGGTTGGCGGGTACCACGTTGCCGGTCGGGATACGGACCCACTGCGACTAGCACTAGGAGTGCTGACCCGAGCTATGCAAAGTTCTGACGAGAAGGCGGAACGGTACTTAATGAAGAGGATTAAGGAATCTAAATCGGTTTCGCTAAATTAGACACATCTGTCTAAGCAGCCACGGTCTATTCGCAGCAGGGGCGGGAAGACAAACCAACGCCCCAGCTCTCCGTTCAATCACCCGCAACTCAGCTCTGGATTAGACGCACCCTACGAAGATACCCGGGTTTCCGGAGCAACCGCCCGGGCCGTCCCCCTTTGGCCCCGCCTCCGAGACTCTTTCCCGCCAAAGGCCGTTATCGCCGCAGAGCATGGTGGGACAACGCTTTAGGCTAGGTTTCACCAAGTGCTTTGAAGGCGCCGAGTTGCTTTCAAAGATCCTCATTCCTGGAGAAATCGACCATCCTTCAAGACCCGACCTGGATGACTAGCTCCTTTAACGAAAGTTCGTTATTTAACTTTTACCAAACGGCTGGTCACTCTGTTCGCAAACCACCCCAAGCTGGGAACGCGGGGGACTTTTTTACCCCCTTCGTGGGGAGGGTGACGTCGCGCGTGCGTGCGCGTGCGCTGAACGTAGCCCTCGCAGCACCCGTTGCGCTCCCGCGCGTGCGTGTTGGGATCGAATCGCTGTTTCCTTCCGCTTCTCTTCCTCTGTCTCCCCCCCATATCCGTGCGCCGAGCTGATAAAGGCGCCATTTTGGAGGGGCCGCGGGAGACGTGGTGCCGCTGCGGGCTCGCTCTGCCGTGCGCTAGGCTTGGTGGGAAGGCCTGTTCTCGAGTCCGCGCTTTTCGTCACCGCCATGTCGGGAGGTGGTGTGATTCGTGGCCCCGCAGGGAACAACGATTGCCGCATCTACGTGGGTAACTTACCTCCAGACATCCGAACCAAGGACATTGAGGACGTGTTCTACAAATACGGCGCTATCCGCGACATCGACCTCAAGAATCGCCGCGGGGGACCGCCCTTCGCCTTCGTTGAGTTCGAGGACCCGCGGTGAGGCGGCATGGGGCTTGCAGCCTTGAGGAAATAGGTCCGAGTAGTTGGGGAAGGCTCCAAGGCCTTAACATAGAGAACGGGGAAGCGGGGGCTCTTAGAGAGGTTGGGGCGAGACTGTATCGCCCATGCAGGAGTCGAGTAAGGAGCTGAGTTGATGTGGCTTCTCTGGCGCCTCGCCTTGGACGTCCCCGGAGCCCATTCGCAGGCTGGAGCGGGAAACTGAGGCGCTGAGGGCTGGTGTAGTGGTTGGGAGCCTGGCGTGTTTCTGGGTGGGGGAGGGGCCATTCCTATTATGCGGCGCATGTGGGCTCTTCCACGTTGGGTGCGCATGTGCGGGGGGTTTGCTGGTTCCCAACTGAGCGAGCTTCTCCTCCTGGTGTTTCTCATCCCTTTTACTTTCTGCGATCCCGCAGAGACGCGGAAGACGCGGTGTATGGTCGCGACGGCTATGATTACGATGGGTACCGTCTGCGGGTGGAGTTTCCTCGAAGCGGCCGTGGAACAGGCCGAGGCGGCGGCGGGGGTGGAGGTGGCGGAGCTCCCCGAGGTCGCTATGGCCCCCCATCCAGGCGGTCTGAAAACAGAGTGGTTGTCTCTGGTGAGTGTACTGGTTGTGTGGATTGATGTGAAGGGACGAAAACTACCTAAAATTTTTCTCTTGCGTGACAGGTTTAATAATTGCAAATTTTTCATGCTAGGTCTTAAATTGCTTTAGTTTTTGGGTGAATTTAATAAACGAGGATTGCTGCTGTGGTGATTTACCAAATTAGGTTGCGGTACTAGATACGAAGATCGTTACAAATAATTTTGGACTCTGGATTCCAGAATCTTACCAGCTCTCTTTACCTGGTATCACTTAAGTACACCTATTAAGTACTTTAAAGTACTCTTTGTCCTAATGTACCTTACCAGCTTAACGTGAAATTTAAGATAATTGGTACTAAGAAAAAAAAAATCACTTTTTCAGGACTGCCTCCAAGTGGAAGTTGGCAGGATTTAAAGGATCACATGCGTGAAGCAGGTGATGTATGTTATGCTGATGTTTACCGAGATGGCACTGGTGTCGTGGAGTTTGTACGGAAAGAAGATATGACCTATGCAGTTCGAAAACTGGATAACACTAAGTTTAGATCTCATGAGGTAGGTTATACACGTATTCTTTTCTTTGACCAGAATTGGATACAGTGGTCTTAACAGTGGAATTTCAAGGTAAGGATTCAGGCAAGGTTGTCCAAGTAAATTGCCAGATTTCTGGTTTTAGTTACATTGTATTCATTCAGCATGTCTGAAGATAGATGAAAGCTTAGATCTTTCAATGGAAAGTTCTGTCTATCCAATAGGGAGAAACTGCCTACATCCGGGTTAAAGTTGATGGGCCCAGAAGTCCAAGTTATGGAAGATCTCGATCTCGAAGCCGTAGTCGTAGCAGAAGCCGTAGCAGAAGCAACAGCAGGAGTCGCAGTTACTCCCCAAGGAGAAGCAGAGGATCACCACGCTATTCTCCCCGTCATAGCAGATCTCGCTCTCGTACATAAGATGATTGGTGACACTTTTTGTAGAACCCATGTTGTATACAGTTTTCCTTTATTCAGTACAATCTTTTCATTTTTTAATTCAAACTGTTTTGTTCAGAATGGGCTAAAGTGTTGAATTGCATTCTTGTAATATCCCCTTGCTCCTAACATCTACATTCCCTTCGTGTCTTTGATAAATTGTATTTTAAGTGATGTCATAGACAGGATTGTTTAAATTTAGTTAACTCCATACTCTTCAGACTGTGATATTGTGTAAATGTCTATCTGCCCTGGTTTGTGTGAACTGGGATGTTGGGGGTGTTTGTGGTTATCTTACCTGGGGAAGTTCTTATGTTTATCTTGCTTTTCATGTGTCTTTCTGTAGACATATCTGAAGAGATGGATTAAGAATGCTTTGGATTAAGGATTGTGGAGCACATTTCAATCATTTTAGGATTGTCAAAAGGAGGATTGAGGAGGATCAGATCAATAATGGAGGCAATGGTATGACTCCAAGTGCTATTGTCACAGATGAAATTGGCAGTATTGACCTTATACTAAAAGGCAGGGGTTAAAAATGATTATATACATTTTCCTTAAAACACTTGCAAACATTTTATTCAGTTGTCTTTAGCTACAATTGCTTTGCTTTTTAAACCTTGGCAATTGTGGCAAAATTATATTGCCCATTTTGTAGCAACTTATTTTGCTCCCTTCCCCCCATTTTTGTTTTAATAGGGACTAATGTGGGAAGAACTGGCTAATTTGTCACAGTGCTTAGTTACAACTGTTAATGTGTGACCTGCTGTTGGTGTACATGTGGGTACAGGGTGTTTTTAAATCCAACAAGATAGAGTATAATATCAATACTGCTAAATCTGCATGTCCTCTGTGTGACTGATAGAGCGTTGCTATTTCATTTTTTTAAGACAAAATGAAAGCAAAATATAGAGTTCCAATGTATTGGTGTAGATAATCTAGTTGGGAATACTTTTAAGTCTCACCTTCCCCTTTAAACTAATATTCATAATTGGTTCATATGTTTAAAAGACTTTAATTTACAAATTAAATTGCAAATGGGAGCATTAGATTTAGTTTTAGACTTAGGTGGGTAGCAATGCCAGTAAACTTAAATTACGTAACTTCTTGCAACCACGAAACCTGTAATACGCTGTACAGTAACAAGTGTTGGCATTATCAGTTGAACTGTAAATACAAAATGCTTCTTCCAATTAGTCTCTATGATGATTAAGTTTCTAAAATTTATCTGAACACCATTCAGAAACTTGTTTTGGGGAATTTGATAGTTATTGATGTGCATCTGTTAAACTGATGACAGACATAACTCATCATTCCCCAGAAACCTTTTTTGATTACAGTATCTAACATTTTGCCTCCTCTTTTTTGGTTTTGCTGGTTATAAAGGTTTGGATTGGAGAGGGCTCACTGGATCCCAATCCTTGGAGCTGGATCATTGGATTCAAATCATAATGTGGATAGGATAGGGAGGATGAATTACCAGGATTCATGGAGCGGGATCAGATTACCAGGAACATAGGAGTGGATTCCTGCCCCAACCAAACCGCATTCGTGTGGATTTTTTTATTCAACTTAATTGGCTATTCCAAAGATTTTTTTTTTCCTATTTTTGACGATTGGAGCCCTTAAGATGCACGATGGAATTGTGTTTTGCGTTTTTTGGTAAAAGGAGCAAAGCGAGGACCTGGAGATAAACGCTGGAGCAATCTCCTTGGAAGGATTCAGCACGAGTAGATGGTAAACATTTAAAGGGGAAAGGGGGGGTTTGTTTAAAATAGTAAATCAGTAAGTCACTTCTAAATTTAAAGAAAACAAAATTGGAGTTGAAGAATAAGTAGGTTTCCAATTGGCTATTGCCGTTTTCTTTGAAAAAATAAACATTTTTTAAAAAACTATGCATGGTTGTCCTTTTTCCTCTTCATGTAAGATTCTAACTGGGTCTATCAGTTAATCTTTAAATTGTTAAGTAAGATAAGATTTTGACTCTTGTGTTAATGTGTTAGCAAATTAAAAGTTCTTAAAAGGCAATCTAATGGTATTAGCCATCTTTTATTGTTAATTGTAAAAGTCTTCAGGGGAAAGCAAAAGGGGAGAATAAGGCATTTGTGTATGTAACTTGGTAAATGACGGTGGGGGATGGATCTAGCATCTGAAAGATAAGCTTCTCTACTTTGTTATAAAGTGGTTAAAAAACTATAGATGCTGCTTATTTTCTGGTGGTCATAGACAACATAGGCTTTTGTGCAAAATTGGTTGATGGCTACTAATGTTCACTTGGAGATAGCTTTTGATATTCTCAATGAAACTCATCTCAAAAAAAGGTAAGTATTAAATGTTAACATCAGCACAGATGTATTAGAACTGTTTTTTGTTTTTGAGACAGAGTCTCGCTCTGTTCTCCAGACTGGAGGGCAGTGGTGTGATCTAGGCTCACTGCAACCTCCACCCCTGGATTTGAGTGATTCTCGTGCCTCAGTCTCCCAAGTAGCTGAGACTACAAGTGTGTGCCACCCTTGCCCGGCTAATTTTGTATTTTTAGTAGAGATGTGGTTTCTCTGTGTTACCCAGGCTGGTCCCAAAACTCCTGGCCTCAAGTGATCTGCCTGCCTTGGCCTCCCAAAGTGTTAGGATTACAGGTGTGAGCCACCATGCTCAGCCTGTAGAACTTTTAACCCAAGTCTCATTTCTTTTTTGAAAGGGAAGAGTGCACAAGATTAACTGCTTCTTTGGATGAATCATTGTTAATAAAAAGCTGGGCATTTAGAATTTTGCCTTATAAGCCCTTCTCCAACCATAAGATTATTTTGTACCAAAAACTTTGGTGTTCTCTACCAAAGCAGTTAAAAACTTTTAGCCTGCTACTTCTTGTATTTGTCTACTGACAGCCCCTTGGTACTATTTAGGTTGGGGGAGGGGACCTAAAATAAATAGACTTTAACATTTCCCTTGGGTGCTAATCATAGTTGGAAGTTGAATTTAAGGTGATTATTTGGGTGACAATTAAAAACCTAAGGAAAACCAGAAATCTTGGTAGTGGAAGAAATGTGTAAGGTCACCCCAATCGGTAGATTTTAATGAACGTTGTGGAATGTTGGGAAGAGGGGATGTTAAGTTGAATGCAGAATTTCACTAAGTACTTAGTGTAAGTTTAAGGATGTAGCTCTTTTTATCTAAGAATTCAATGTAATGGCCAAAAGGCAGATTTACTGTTTAAAAATTTGAATAATTTTACATGACATTCTTGAAATTCTAAGAAGTTTTATGTGTAGAACATTTTAAAAATTCATCAGATTATTAAAGGGAAAATAAATGATTAATGATAATTTTGGAAGGTTAATGTGAGCTAGACTTAAGTAAACTTTGGTTCATTTGTGTTCATTGAATGTTTTGGAAATGACCAAAAAATGTAAATGGCCTTCACTCAAGTTTGAGTGTTTAAAGTTGAAAGATGTGCTCTACTAAAAGTTATAGTAATTCTAACCTCACATTGAAATGAGACAGTATTCCTTGTTATACAGGCTGAATTTGAAGATTAGAGAGGATCTAATGTTTACTTAGGTAAAGGGGCATAGGTTTTGTAGTTAAGATGACCAGACAGCTAAAAGCTGTGATGGGAAGTATGGACTGCTCCTATTTATAGTCTCAGAAAATGGACCTTTAGGTCTCTATCCGTATTGGCAATTATTAGAAGAAAGTTACACCCTTTTGAAACTACAAAAGCTGTCTTGGAATTTCCCCCTCTTCTCCCTATTTATGTCCCCTTAGAATATTTTAGGGAGCCTATAATTATTTTCTAACCAAGGAAAAACTTAAGTCTCTTTAAGAAGCAATTACTTTTCATAACATCAGATTGAATAACCCACCTTGCTGTTCAGCCCACATCCTACTGGAAACAAAAGGTAAGAAACCCATTTTCTGGTTCTTGATTGTTTGGGTCTGAATTTTGTTTTTAAAACTAAGCTAAGTTTAATGTTTTTTAAAATGCTGTTTGGAATATGAATAGATTCCCCGTAAAATGATTTTTCCTAAGTTTTATGCTTTAGTAAATATTCAGTGCTCACGTCTGTGCATCATAGTGCTTGCGTTTAATATGATTTATTGTAGAATCTCAACTTTTCTTGGTGTTTGTTGTCTTTGAAACATTGTCTTGGTCATTAGGGCTGGTGTTTTCACATTTCTGTGGTCAAGGTGGATTTCTTATGTGTGCCTTTTTGCTTACTTTGTATATGAATTTTGTAATTTAAATTGCAAGTAAGTTATATATATGTATTTACCATAAATAGTATTAAAAGATGAGAAACTGTTAGACTGAAGTTCTGTTGTAACATAACCATTATTTCCATCACAGTATGAAGACTGCAAACGCAGAAAACAGATTACAGTCTCTTATCCATTTTTTGAAATCCAAAAACTACGAAAACAAAAGATTTTCTGTTGTTGAGCTAATTAAATGTGAACCCTGACCAGAATTGCTGCCTTCATTTTGCACTTAGTGTGACTAAACTGTTTCCTGTTGAACTTCATTATTCATTGCACAGTTGCCACAGACTTTGCTGAGGGTTTTATGTAATACAGGGTATATATGTACCTCATAAAGTGCATACAGCTCTGAATCCCAGATATGTCTGTCTCCAAAGAGTTCATATAAGGGATTGTAGGAACTGTACTAGCATACACAGGCCTAATGCTTTTGTCTGTAACTGGGGTGTCTTGACTGAAAAACCTGTTATTGTGAATCCTTTGTTGATTGAATTTTAAGTTCCCCCATCTTTTTAGGCTGAAGCAGCCACAAGAAAAAAAGGTATGGCCCACATTTCTTTACATTCTGTTGTAATAGTGGACTCAACAATTATATCCCATTGAAGCAAATACTCAGGCATCCTAGAGTGTACAATACAACATTCTTTTGAGTTATTGTTTCTGTATCAGTACTTAAAGGAACATTGACCAATTAGATCCTATAGGAAAAGCTGGGATTGGCATGAAGTAAAGAGATTATCAGGAAACATCTGTTCATTATGTCTATCGTGATTGTCTATTGAATGAATAGTAATGCTGCCAAAAGTAACTTGCTTTAAACAAACCCCAAGAGATTATAGTATACTTAAACCAGTACTTATTCCTGTTATTGAGACCTTCACGGTGCTTCTTGGTAGCTTTGAAAGCTAATGCCTAACAACCCTGAGGGTTCTTGTGAGCTTGTAGTGATTAAAGGAAGGATTTTTTAATTATTATAAAAATCACTCCGTGCTTCATTAATGCACAGAATAAAAATTGAATAAATGACTCTGTCATATAGAAGTTAATTTAGGCAAATATAACATTTGTAATTTACAACATTTTAATAGGTGCTAGGCTGGGATTTCAGGGGGTGAAAAGTCATTCATGACTTTTCATAAGAAGTTTACTGTTTAGGTAAGCAAAACAACACTTAGTTCAGCTTGATACTCAAGCATCGGGTTAAAAAGCATCAGACTTCTGTTACCAGACAACTTATAAGTGCCAACTATTGGTAGAACTGTGGACATGAAGATAGTGGAAACAGCTTCTCTAGGATGCTATACTCATCTCCACCAAATGCACTTTGAACAAAAACAACTTGTAGAAATAGGTCTTAATTTTTTTTGTTTGTTTGTTTGGTTTTTTTACAACATGCTGTACTGCTCTCCATTGGTAAGTGCTAGGGAAAATCACTTAGCCACTAGAGGGAGCTATAACACAAAATTAAGCAGGAAATAATCCCCATTATAGATACATAGAACAAAGTAGAGACCAGCTAACTACCTTGATCCTCTGTATCAGCTCTAAAGTTAGATGGTTTGGGTAAGTTTTCTTGCAACTTTACCTTTGTCTTCCCATCTTTTGTGTAAAATTCTTCCCCTTTTCAGCTTTTGCATCCATTTAGGTTTTCAGAGTTTACCTTACAGGCACTCATTTTGTAACAAATCTAGGTTCTGGGACTAAGAAAATACTGAAGACATAAGTCTGCTTGTTTTTCTGCCTACCTTGTACATCAGGTATGGAATAATAAGGCCATGAATGTGAGAATTGGGAACAGGAGTTAGGTGTGCTGGGGAAAACTAGACATAACAATTTGGTTATGAACTAGAAGAAATGAATATGCTTTTAGAGACCTGCAGTTTGCTTTTATGGAGTGACAGTTTCAGGTGTGATGATCTTCTCAGTATTACTAAGAGGTTCTTAAAGTTTGTCTTAAAATCCTACTTATGTGTCAGCTTAGCTGTTTTCTATTTTCTAGGCCTCACTTAAGTAGCAGGTTGTCTTGTGATCAAAAAGTCAGTAGACACAGTAGTTAATGCCATATTAACAGCTGAAAATTACTGAAAATTTAACACTTTTAGTATCTGTCATTCCCATCACCGCTTTCTCCCCAGGTTTCTTTTATAAAAAATGGAAAGGACACAAACTTGTCTCCTGTTTACAGTATAAATTGTCATTGAGAATACTAAACCTTTTAGGCCCATATGATGGGATTTAGTCATCCAGAAGACAGGTGTGGGACAACTGGCCTTAAAATGTTAATTTTAGAAAATCAGTCTGTTTCAAAGAATAAAGCACTAAAAGTGGACAAAGTGGACTTCTTGTGGGGGGAAAAGTAATCAAGTTTACACAGTAGAGATTTCCCTGCCTGCTAAGGTAACACTAAGTAGCAAGGAAAGCTACAGAAGGTAGTTACTGTTAACTAGTAGTCTTGCTGCAAATTGGATTGACAGCTGAAAGGGCACTAACTAGATTGAAGCCTGTCTTTAATCCTGTAAATGTTAGCTCTGGTGTCCCTTTGATAATTTTTAAATAACTTTTGAAGATGCACTCTGAAGCCACAAATTAGGCAAATGAAAATTCAGAATTCTCCTTGTAGAAAGAAAAGTGCTAAACCTGGAGATTGTAAAGTGCTAAGAAAAACCATGGTAGAATTGTTCCCTCAGGTGCTGTGTATTAGAGGAGGAGTCTTTATATGTCATTTTGGGATAAGCTTTCAACAATTATTAAGGCTTAATACATAAGATTATAGGATCAGTCAAGCAAAAGGGAAGGTATAACCTTTAGATAGGACTGGGAAGTGCTGGGTGAATGTCTTCTACCCTTAACGGTGGTAGAAATTTGAACTATAAAATAACACCAAGAGTGACATTCACATTTTTTTTGTCTTTGTTTTTGACACAGGGTCTCACTCTGTCACCCAGGCTGGAGTGTAGTGGCACAATCTCGGCTCACTGCAACCTCCGCCTCCCGGGTTCAAGCGATTCTCCTGCCTCCCAAGTAGCTGGTATTACAGGTGCCCATCACCACACCTGGCTAATTTTTGTATTTTTCATAGAGACAGGGTTTCACTATGTTGGCTCAGCTGGTCTCTGAACTTCTGATCTCAAGTGATCCGCCCGCCTCGGCCTCCCAAAGTGCTGGGAATACAGGTGTGAGCCAGCGCACCTGGCTGACATCCACAACTTAAGGCTAGAAATGTAAAATGTTGGTTCGCAGTGTAACAAGCACATTCCAAAGAAAACTCAAATGGCTCCTTTGTACTCTAAAAATAGTAAATTTGCAGCAAGGTGATAGTCAAGTTCTGTGTCTTCAGGGTGCCACCGCATCTATGATTTAGATTAACCTAGAGATGTGTTTACTTGCCAAATAGAGTTCTTCAAGATGCTGTTTGGATTTGTCTTCCCATCTCCAGTTGCCATATCAGCATTTTTGTCTGTACCCAAATTCATATTACTGAAGTGTTAAAGCTGGTTTCAGTGACTCCAGATCCTTAAAACATGTCACTCCCTTAATATGAGTTAACAATGGGTTATATTCTACCTTTCCAATTTATCCTGTTCTCAATCACATCTTCCCCTACCCTGGTTGATTTGGTAAATACATGTATTTTTTAACTCTACAGACCCAGGAACTGAATATATTTATATTTCCCAATGAGCTAAATGCAGTGCTGACAGTTTTAATATTGATGGGCGAGATGGGAAGAATTTAGTATTCCCTAAAAGCAAAGCACTGTAGAAGTCTGTTTCACAAGCTATTCGTTAACTGGGTGGATTATTGGAGAAGGTATTTTAATACTAATAACTCCTCAGATGTGAAGCCAGAAAATTTGAATTAATCTAAATGCTAGCCTAAGTCCAAGTATAATTGGATAAGTAAATGTTGCTCCCAGAATTGGTCTTGCAAAGTAAGACCAATTGTAAGACCAAAGTAAGTGGTTTTGATGTAAGCTGTGCACACTTTCAGTACAGATCACCAAGAATTGATGACATTGTCTCCAAAAAGACTAAATAGTTGCCTCCTAGGTATCCTTTTTCAGTCATTCTCTTTTAAGCTTCTTACAGAGGAAGCTTTAAGTTGCCTCAGAATTTAGTGGTATTGCCTCAATGAGAATTCCTGCATATTTCTCTTTGGGATGGAATCATTTTGGTTGTTTTTTTGTTGTTGGTAACTATTCATAAAGAGATTAATACATAACGATGTATTGTGAAGAGACTAGATAGCATGTATATTATTCCTTGGGTTGGGAGTCTTAAGCATTAACTTTAGGACCCTGACCCTGGTCTTTAGGTTTATAGGATCAGCTAGCTTAAACAATTCTCTCAAAACCAAGAGACCCAGCATCCATACATTTTAACACCCCACATCATAAATCCCATAAGCAGCCCCATTCCTTTTGCCATTAAAAATCTCACCCCTTCATGATCACACCTAATGACTGAAGCATTCTTGAACTAATTGCGTTGTTTCTTATTTGCTTTTCTTCATGTTTTAAAAAGTGCTATATGTGCAGGTGGACATGTTGCCCTTAAGCTGTTCTCTAGTTTAATGTGTATGCTTTGTTTTCTTCAGCTACATAGTAAACTGAGAGCAAAGGCTGTTTTTTTTTTTTTTTTTTTTAAGACAGTGTCTTGCACTGTCACCTGGGCTGGAGTGCAGTGGCGCAGTCTCGGCTCACTGCAACCTCCACCTCCTGGGTTCAAGCGATTCTCCTGCCTCAGCCTCCCAAGTAGCAGGGATTACAGGCACCTGCCACCACACCTAGCTAATTTTTTGTATTTTTAGTAGAGACAGGGTTTCACTATGTTGGCCAGGCTGGTCTCAAACTCCTGACCTCGTGATCTGCCCGCTTCGGCCTCCCAAAGTGCTGGGATTACAGGCATAAGCCACCGCGCCCGGCTCCCCAAAGTCTTATGTTTTAAACTTTTTGACATTTCTTCTAAGATGTCCAGAATGCTAGTACCTGCACCTTAATAAATGTTTGTGAATAAATACATTATTGAAATCTTAGGCAGGTGTGCCACATAGCTTAAATCTGAGACACTGTGTTCTTTAGTCAGATCATGCATATTCTTAGAATAGTAACCTCAAAGGTTTATACCCTTGCTACCTTTTTTATATTTTTTGTAGAGACAGGGTCTTGCTCTGTTTCTCAGACTTTTTGAACTCCTGGGCTTAAGCAGGCCTCCCACCTTGGCTTCCTAAAGTGCTGGGATTACAGATATGAGCCACTGCGCCCAGTCCTGATACTGTGGCTCATTTTAATTCTCACGTAGTATTTAGTTTCATTTTGCAGTTTGAAGAAATAGGCCCAGAGATGTTAAAGGGGCAGGCCCAGAACTTGAATCCAGATCTTGTGGTGAGAAATTCTTGTTTTACTATCACGTTGCTTTTTAAAGCCAGCCTGCTTTTTCCAGTTGGGAGGCCTCGGGGAGAAAAGTCTGACCCAAGTGAGAAACACCTGTAATATCTACCAGATGCCAGCAGGGTGTCCCATGGTGCTGTCTTTGATCCATGTTCTTACCCTGTGTGCTGAGGGTTGTTCTAGAGTAGGACTACATCTAGTCACAGTGGCCATGTTCCAGAGCCTGGCAGCAAGAAAGAGGGATGCCTAGCTCCTTGGCTTTCCAGTGTGCAGTGCACAGCCAGCTCTCTCAGAGAAGCCCTGGCCCTCTTTTGACCCCTACTATTGAGGCTGGCCCCACAGGAGGACAGCTGGTCACACAGTGGCTGGGGCCTGGCTAGCCACTCAATAACTACACAGCAGCCCCACAAAAAAATCATAGAAAAGAACCTGTGAAAGGGTAAATGTTTAAAACATCTGCATTTGTGTTGATAGCTGAGTATACACTTAAATTTGTATTAGTAACAGATCCACAAAAATGAACCACTCTAGGAATTTTAAGTTTTAAAAGCCAATGTGTGGTAACTTCCAGTTTCCAATAAAAATGTTTGCATTACACTTAGCCTACACATACTATCTCTTAGGTATCAGTTTTTGTATTCAGCAACCCTAGTTGGTAATCTACAGTGTCAAAACTATCACTTATATGAAAACAAATGAGCAAATAGCCCTTTAAAAATTTCCTTTCCCAGTGCTCGTTACGCACTTTGTACAAATGTCTGTAACTGTTTTATAATTATTTCTTTGCAAGGCTTGGTTTCTTCAGTAGAGAAGATTCTTAGAAGTATCCCCAGTGACAGTACAGCTCCTGGCATTTAGTAGGTGCTCAGTAATTATTTTACTGAAATACTCATGCTTCCATAATAGTTCTGGGATAATTCTAAACACAAGCCATTTTTCTAAGGAGAGTCCACATTAGAGAGGTCTTTGTTTTGTATTCAAGATGATTAAAATTATGAACTGGGAAGTTAGTCCCTGGGGTGTCCTGGCTGGCCTTTGGAAATCTTCACTACATCTTTCTGGGTTGGAATTCTCACCACAGCCTGAACGTGGGGCTGTATCTGAGCTGTCTCTGAGTGCTGTCCATTTGATATATCGAGTACTGGGTGTTTACCAGGGCTCTTCAAGCCACTGGGAGAAACAGCTAAAGAGTAACCTACTGATTTGAGATGTGGATTTGTGCCCCATCCCTTTCTCCTTGTTTCCCACAGGAGTTTTATCTCAAACTCCTAAGCCATTTTTAAGGAGATCACTGGAACAAACTCCAAACCTACCCTCTAATAGTCAAGTTTACCTGAATTTTCTCAGTTCTCTCGGGAGAAGACTAATCACACATTGTAGTACCAACTTGGACTCTTCATGTGCTTTTCTTAACTGATTAGAGTTAACACCTCAGCTAAAGTGTATAGAACATACATGGGGCTTCATCAGGCTTCAGAATCAGTTTCACTAGATGTGCTATGTAGGAGGCCACGGAAAAATTACTGTAGTAGTAAAAGTTATCAGTTCTGATGTAAACAATCATTTTGTCCCATATTATAAATAAATTGGCCTGAAAATATCTTTTCATATGTGAGGAATAAGTATATGATGCCTTTCTCCTTTAAAGTATGAACTGCTAAAAGACAGGGATAACGTGTATTCTGTATTCCAGCAGCCACAGTGTGTTTCTGGTCTTTGTACCAGGTGCTCAGGAAGTGTTTTCACTGGCTTGGGTTGACTACTTGCCATCTGCTCTCTGAGCATTCATTTCTGAATGAAAGGGGAGAAAGTGAAAGGAGAGGTGGGAAGAAAGAGGAAGCTGCAGAAATACGAGGAAACAGCTGGAGGAGGGAGGTGAAGTTGAGGAGGTAAGGTCAGTAAAACAAAAAGCTAGCAGAGGGCAGGGTCAGGCCCTTGGGGTAGAGGGCTAATTAACTTCTGTCAGCTAGTTGAATAGAGCCTTGTGTGCTTTGTTAGAGACCAAAGGTACTTCAAAGGAAAAAAATCTAGATTCTTCCCTGTGTACCTTAATAATTGTTCATCAGGTCAAAATCTATCCTGTCCTCTAGGAATTCTGGTCTTCCCTCAGGCCTAGCAGAGAGCTTTCTGCCACTACTCAGGCAACCAAGGGTGAAGTGCTTCAAGTAGTATTTGTGGACAGCAGCAGGTAAGCTTGATGTGTTATTCACAGCTTAAAGAGTAGATGCTGAGTACAGCTGTTGTCCATGTGTAGAGCTTTTAATAACCAGCGCAGCAGGCCCCTTCACCTGCTTTTATGCCTGGACCAGATGACTGAATGTAGAACTTTAGGCACTTTTTTTTTTTTTTGAGACGGAGTCTCGGTTTGTTGCCCAGGCTGGAGTGCAGTGGCGCAATCTCGGCTCACTGCAAGCTCTGCCCCCCGGGTTCACGCCATTCTCTTGCCTCAGCCTCCCAAGTAGCTGGGACTACAGACTCCCACCACCATGCCCGGCTAATTTTTATATTTTTTAGTAGAGACAGGGTTTCACCGTGTTAGCCAGGATGGTCTCAATCTCCTGACCTGGTGATCCACCTGCCTTGGCCTCCCAAAGTGCTGGGATTACAGGTGTGAGCCACCAGATCGGCCCTTTAGGCACTTTCTACTTCTCAAGGTCAAGAAACATCCTTTAAAAAGTTAATTCCCTTTTCTGGAGCCTAAGCCAGATCTTATCTAGGCCTTGTGTTGCCATCTGTTAGCATTGATTTCTGGAATGGAGCAGCTTTCTCAAAGTTTGGTCTTGCTAGTCATGAGGTCATGTCAGTGTCTTAGGTCACTGCTGCTCACCTTCCTTACCCAGGGAGTATACTGCATAGGTTTCTGAACACCTGTTTTCATTATTCACTGTTCCTCTCACTGCCAAGAATGGAGGGACCCTCAGTTGAAGATCAAATTGACTCTGAAGAAAAACTGGAGATGTTTCTCTTGGAGTTTGGATAGAGTATTCACTTGATAACATGTTTTTCCCCTGCCTTGCTCTTCACAAGAACATCTGGCCAGGCATTAACAATTAGTAAATTTTTTTGCATATGAACAGTATTTTTCTGGTCATGTAGATGGGTGCACATGACACTAAACAGCATTGTTTAGTGTTATCCCTCTTAACTGGTGGGTTGTATTTGGGGTGGAGGCTGTAGCCGAGGAGAAGACATTCACCTCTGTACTCGAGAAACTTTGTGTAGGAATTTAGTTTATTTTTTTATTTTTTTTAATTTTTTATTTTTTACTACTTTTACTGTTAGCACAATGCTATAATTGAGCTAATCTTTGTAGTTTGGTGCAGGACCACCAAGTTTGTGTGACCCATTACCTACTTTTTCCATGCTCAGCCATTACCCTGTCCTGGGGCATCTGAGGGCAGTAAGGAACAGGTGTCCAAAGGAGGAATGTTGGTGCCTATGAGTATGTTTTCCAGTTGTATTGAATTTCTTACTTGGTGTATTTTTGACTTGTCTTAGTTTCTTTCCTTGTGGTCTATGCTATTTTACTTGCGATTTGTTGGATATTCTCCCTGTCATTAAAGAGTTGTAAAATGGAAGTTAGTTTCTCTATGCAAATGCTTTAATGGATGAAGCTGATAGGTTTAGCATTGATTTTTGCTGGTGTCCTTCAACAAGCATGAAGGTGATAAATGTGTTTCCATGGCTTTAGACTCATTTTTGAAGTCTTGGATTGTGTGAACATTCTTAGAAACAATAAAATGTTTTAATTAAAAGCCCTCGACTACCAGCTGAATTCAGTGTCTACTAGGAAAATGGGTAGATTTGTTACATTGTCCCTTTGCTCTCTATGACTTTGTTCCAGTTGTCAAGGAACTTAAATGGGTATTCAGGAAAAAGAATTCTTGTTTCCCTTTCCTCACCTTGCCAGTTAAATAACTCCTGGTGACACTTCAGGTGGTAGAATTGAAACACAAACCTGACTTCTGACCACATGGGTCAAAGGCAAAAGGCAAATGGCTTCAAAGCCCTTAGTGTGCTTATCCAGTTCAGGCAGTGAGGAGATAACCTCTGCTTTCCTCCCTGAGGAGTTTGGAGTATTTAAGGGGGGATGGGGGGGGTGTCACTTTGAAAATATGTTGCTTTTTCTCCTGATTGTATTGAGGCTGATATGGAAGGGTTATTTCTTTCTGGCCAATACTTTTTGGTATTTCTAAATATTGCAATCTTGATTTTTACTATTAAATTTGTTAATTGTCAGTTCTGGCTTTTTTGCATAAAGAGTTGGTCCATTAACTTGCCAATTTGAAGCTTCTAACTAGATATTCCCTACTGAAAGTTTTGGATTTGTTTTTAGTTTGTGGAGCAGTCTTAGCTGGGGACAGGTAATTGACAACGGCAGAGATACTTTCTTTTCCTAGGATTCTAAGTCTGTAATCCACATCCTCAATGTATTCACAGGACTTTAAAATTCTCTCCAAATGAGGAAGGAAATATCCTGTTGCTTTCTAATGTTTACTAAAAGTTGTGTTTAGAACAACAGATTTTAATAGGCATCTTCCTTTGTTATGTGTCATTAGCCCTTTGCCCGTTTACCTTAGGGCTCTTTGAAGGAGAAATGGATGGGAGAAAACCTGTCACTTGGCGAAAGTAAAAGGGATAATTAACTGGCTCAGAGCTTATGTGCAGAGTTCCAAGCCCCAAAGTTAATCTAGAACCACTCGATAACACCAATAAAAATATTTATTTCACATCTGTTATATATCTGGAAAATGTTCTAAGCATCTTACACATATTTCTCATTAAATCCACAGGTGACCATTGTGAGGTAGATATTTTGTTCTAATTTTCCAGATGAGGAAGCTGAGACCCTAAAAGGTTAGGTGACAGGTTATACAACTTGGAGTGTGGGAGGAGGAGAGAGGAACCTGAACAGGGCAAGTTGGGGATCTGACTTTTGTTTGGGTAGATGTAGGCACATTGTATTTTTGGCTTAGATGCTTTATTCATCATGGCTGAAGGTAATACCATTTACTCACTCACCGAAAATTGTTTACAATAATCTAGATGAATTTGCTGTCTTTGGACATCTGTCTTTTGACTGGACCCCAGTATATAGTCTGTGGAAGCTCACTTAAGGAGAGAGCTCCTTTTTGTTTGGTTAGAGAAATTTTCTGTCCTAAAAGTAGAAATAGCCCCTTCTAGGTAAGGATGGAGCATTTGATCATACTGGTTTCATTATATTCCTCTAACAGTTGGAACCGATTGTTTTTGAGTACTTGTTTCAAACTTCTGAGTATTTTCCTTCTGGAAAATAGCTCAGTGTTTAAAATTTACATGAACTTAAAAGGTTAATTTTTTTTTAAAGAATGTTTGAGGAGCAATCAATTCTGATTTTGTCTTATGGATAGAAATAGAATTAGCCATTTTCCTCAAGAAAAGTGATTCTTCTGAATCTTAGCTTTTCAGTAATGAGAACTGGACTGTTTCCACTTGACCTCTATTTCCTGTTAGTGGGAAACCGCTTCCCAGAGGTGCTGTGTGAAAGATTGCTGGGGAAAGGGTTTCTAGATCCCAGCATAACAAGTTCAAGAGTCCAGCGATATTGTCATTAGAATAATGGTCTTCATTAAGTACTAGTTTTCATAATCCTGAAGCTTCATTTTCACCAATTTGAAAGGCAGCTAGGGAGGAGAAGACTATGCAGGGAAGGAGGAAAACTCTGGAGTGCATCACAGAGACCTTGAGTGAGTTAAGGCAGGGAAGAAGCAGATTTGCTATCCACTGAATGAAAATAAGAAGAATTCCATTGTCCAAGGTCAGAGCAAGAACACAAAGGTTTTAGTTTACTTAGTTAATTCCTTAGGTTTGGACATTACAGGAGACATGGGGGTGACCATAGCAATTTAGCTGATAAATGTATCAGAAACTCTTTCATCATTTTCTGTCCCCTCCTATCTTAGGCTGACCGGTTCCCTGATGTGTTACCTGCTTCTGCTACTGATCCAAACTGCAGAACTTCTCATTCATCCCCAAGGCCTCCAGGCAGTATCCAATGGGGAATCAGCTCTAAAAGGAACCAGACCAACGTTTTCCAGCCCCTTCATTCTGGTGACTGAGGGGAGGAAAGAATGGGAGGGGGTATTCTTGTCTAGTGGATGGAAAGGAAACACACTGTCAAATTACTATATCTCCTTGGTTTTCTATTACAGTAGAATTCTCCAGCCATATTTTTATTGTCTATGGGGGAAGTTGGAGATGGTGACCTTGATTAGAAGTGTCTGGAGGGGGATAAATGGAGGGGATAAGATTCAGTTGGTTTTGGAAAATGTTAAAGTCTTAAAATAATGCGTCCATCTGAAGAATTTTTTCTAAAACCAGAGTTTATAAAAATATCACTGATACAGCCTGCCCCCTCATTTCCCTGCCACAGGAGATGTCTTGGACTAGAGACACTTGTTTAATAATAGCTTGTCTCTGATATTCCCAGTAGCTTCCCTCTGTGTGAGGAAAGGATAGAAATGTTCAGGACATCATCATACAGGCTCCTCATCTACAAAGTTCCAGTAGCAGTGACGCCTACACGGAAGACTTGGAACTGCAAACAGGCTGGGGTCACCTCAGTGACATCTGACGCTGTCCAACCAGAAGTTCGATTTTTGTTCTGGGGGTGAAGGAGGAAACAGACTGTACTAAAGGACTAAAATAATTTGTCTATACTATCTCACTTGTTTTTATTTTTGGCGGGAGAGGAGGGGTGTTGGGATAGAATTTCACATCCTATCTTGGAGTGAAGGGGAGGATGGGGAGGCTCAGCCCTTCACCCAAGAATAACCCAGTAATGACATCTCTACGCGTGGGAAGTGTTTCCCTCCACACTGAGAGGATCTGAGGCTGCACCCCAGTGGGATTCCCTGCTTGAGTTGGAAGGCCATCTCGCCATGAGATGCATATCATAGCGAGAGCGCAGAGGGCTTAGCCGGCCGGGGAGGAAATGCCAAAAGGAAGAGAGGCTCGAAGTCGAAAGGGCTTCCCCCAGTTTGGAGGTGGGGACCATGCTGTGCATGAGCGACTGAAGAGCCGAGTGTCCGCCGTGGCCTGTGCCCTCCGCTGAGGGTCTAACAGGGACGCGACGGTGCTGGACACCGTGTCTGAGTCACGGGAGACGGCCCAGCTGTGCCCAGCGGGCCAGCGCCAGACCCTGGCGTCCTCCATCTTCTCTCCTGAGCTCCCCCTGCTCCAGCTGCCTGAGCCACGGACCGCAGCACCACACACCCCCGCGGGGGGGGACGCCGCGCCCCATCCCCGCCCCGGGCCCCACCCCAGCCCCCCCGCGGGGGCCCTGACCCCACCGCCAGCGGGCACTGGCTGAGCTCCGAGGCGGCGAGCCGGCAGCGGGGACGCCCAGAGGGGGTCCGGGCGACTGGGGGCGGCGGCGGCCGGGCCGGGGCTCCCCCCCCGCCCGCGCTCGCCGCCGCGGTGGTGCGTCCCGGAGGTTACCGGAAGTGGCCGCGCTCGGCGCTGCCATGTTGAGGAGCCGCCGCTGCCGTTGCCGCCGCCGCCGCCGCCGCTTTGTTGTCGCCTCCTCCGGCTGAGGAGGCTCCCCGAGCGGGGGGAGTGGGGAGGAGGGGGGTCGGCCGCCGCAGCCATGGAGGCCAACTGGACCGCGTTCCTGTTCCAGGTACTGGGGGCCCCCCCGGGGGGGCACGGGGGGGACAGGGGGGCCGGGCCCCGGGCTGGCGGGCGGGCGGGCGCTCCTCCTCCCCTCCCTCCCGGCTCCGCTCTCCGGCCCGGCCTTAATCCCCCTTTGTTTTTCCGCCCGCCCGCCCCGGCGAAGCGGGGCTGCTGAGGTGAAAGGAGGCGGCCTCACGGGGTGCGGGGGAGATAGCAGGCCGCGGGGTGAACCCGGGGGCCCCCCAGCACACACACGCACACACACACACTCACACACACCCTTCCCTCTCGCTCTGAAGGGGAAGGGAGGAGGCCGGTCGCTGTCACCACCCCGCGGCCCAGAGAAAGGAGGGCGCCGGGCCGCTGGATAGCGCGGGCTGCTGGGCCATTGCGTGCCGGCCCGGTCCCCCACGGTGGGGTGAGGAGGTCCCCAGGTCCTGCCCTGAGTCTCCTCCCCGCCACTTCATCCATCTTTCGCTTGTTCTCTTTTCACCTTCCTCGTCTTTTTGTGTGTGTGCGTGCGTGTGTTGACTTTCTGACCCCCTCCCGTGTCCCCGCGAATAGCGGGTATCCCCAGGTTCCCCGCCACTCCCCCTCACCGCCACCACCCCTCTCGTGTTTACCCAGTTGGGGGGGCGGATGTTGTGAGTGTGTATCCCCTCCCCAAACTTTTTCACTGGATTTACATTTTTTTTTCCCAAGTCTCAGCCGAGCCTTGGCAGCTGACACCTTCTCCCTCTGTCCAGCTCTCCCGCCGTCCCATTCAGCCTGGGGAATCCCCCAGCCGGGCCGGCCCGGGGCAGGCGGGGAGCGGTGGGGGCCGGGACTCCTGGAGGCCCGACCTTCTCCCGAAGCGCTTTTCTTTCTCGCCCACCTCGAACGTTTCCTCCAACCAAGTGGAGAGAGCAAACAAAGTCCGCTTACAAAGCCCCCAGATGAGTCACTCTCTGGGATGTTGGTCTTCGCTTTTTTGCAAGAAACTTGAAAGTGACTGTAGCCGATGTGTTTTGGCAATTCTCTTGCCCGCCCACTTTAGATGGGGGACCCCTGTTTGGCAGATCTAGGCTGGAACTTATTTTTTTCCTACTTCGTTTCTGTTTGCAAAACGAAGCATTCAGTGGGCAGTAGCGATGAGCTCACGGGGAAACTTCGGAACTGGAGGAGGTTAGGAAGCTCGTCACTTTTAAGTGCGTTCTTCCCGCCTCTCTGAGTTATTTTCCTTTGAATACTTCGTGAAATCCCAAACGCGTAGCTGGGGCGCTTGATACCTTTTGAAACTAACAGGAACGGATGCAGAATTTTCAAAAAATTATTCTCCCAGCCACTGGATTCATCCTAGTGGAGTTAATATAGAGAATTGGATAACTCAGAAATTACCTACTGTGTAGACTGGCCTGTTGTTTTAAGACATATTTTTTCAAATGTGGGCAATTTGATCTTTAAGTAGTTATGGAAATATATTTGGGCTTCTTAAAATCTAAAATACCCAACATTATGGAATTCATGAACTTCCCCCTTTTCTCATTCTGATCAGTGTTGTTTTATTGTACTTTGATGAGCTTGCTAATAATGTGATAAACCAACTTGAAAATGCATTGGAAAAGAAATGATATATAACTAGCATGCATCCAGGTTGGTGTAAAGGTGGCAAATACTTTCCCCAGAAAAAAGCTCAAATGGTTATTTTAAAATATGGGATTGATGTGCCACTGAAGTGATTTTCGTGTGATTAAAAACCATATTAAGCATGGTGTCTATAGAGATTGAAAAAAAAAAGTGTTCTTCATGTAAAGGAAAAACCCATAACACATCTTTGGAAAGCTGGTTGAAAAATCTTTTGAAATACTTTTTTAAAGATTATTTTTCTCCTGGGTAAAACAAATGCCAAGCGTTTATTGATCAACTTTTTAATTAGATTTTATATTATTTAATTTTTTTCAGCTATTAAAATCTTTTTTTCCACCTGATGGAGAAGTGTGAAAACAAATATTTAATCCTGGGCTTGGCAATGTGTGCAGTGAAATTTGTTGGAAAACTTAAAATTTAGAGCCGAGAGCAGTTGAATGGGTAAAGAGAATATTTCAGTCTTTTCTATGGAAAGGTATGAATAGACTTAATCAGTTCTGGTTTTAAGTAATTTTCACTGGGGATATGGAGTTAAATTATCTTGTTTGTTTCCTGGAGCATCCTGTTGAATTTATATTTTGAAACAATTTAATACCTGCTTGCTTTCCAGATAACTTGGTGGAAAGTGAAAGCTATAGCTATTAAAATGTTTGATGGATGATTCTTCTAACAGGACATTCAAGATGTGACTCACCGATGTTAATTTGTTCAGTACAAAATCTTTTACCCTCTGGCACTGGAGATTTCATGGTGCCATATCCTACTACCCTGGGTGATGAAATAACATTTCTGTTTTGTTTCTTGCCAGCCCCAGGAAAAGGAAAGCTTGGGCAGGGTTAAAAAGCCTTGCAGTTGAAAGAGATGGGATATAAAATTAAAACTTTGGTTTGATGATGCTAGTCAAATAAAAGCCTACCCAGAAGTTATATTTTTAAAATAAATCACTTAACTGAAGGCTGGCCGTGGTTGTTATTTTACTCTGTCTCTCCCCCAGAGAAGAAGTTGGGAAAACCCAGTTCCCCCTTAGAAGGCTTCTTGTAGAAGTGTGGGGATCCTAGGAATCCTCAGAGAGTGATTCCTGTAGTGGTTCTGCAGCATTTCACCCAAGAAGCAGGGACCTGGTGTGACCCTCCTGTGAGAGTGAGCTTCAGCAATGCTGTAAAAATACTTTATGTTGCCACAGACATCTGAATTGGTAAAATGGCAGTAAGTGCTTTTAGTACTCCATCGTACTAATGGTTGTTTAGAGTTGAAAAATGCCTCTAAATGCTATAAGTCTGAACTTTGTCCAGAAGATCTGCATTCCCTATTATCTGATCTGTTAGCCTTTGAAATTGTATATCTTCAGCTATCTTCAGCTATTAACTATTTGTATACTGTATGGAAACGAGTATCCTACAGCCAGGTTGGAAAAGGGGTTACAACTGGAGTCCAAATTCTGTAAAGTTTCTGCTGATGTCACCTGGGTAGATAGACCCTTACATTTACAGGAGCTTCACAAATTAGATTAAAAGCGGACTGTAATTTGCTAGGAGCAGTTAAGTCCAGAAAGAGACTCATAAGTAACCACATAATTTCTGAGAATGCTTCCAGGACTCAAAGGGTGATTACATCAAAATTATTAAATTGAAACTGAGAACTCTGGATACCACACCTCCTAATCGTTTGGGGGAGACTAGTTCCAGGCTTAACTGTTATGCTGCCATCAAGTAAACATAGAAGCAATGTGTGGTAGATGTTCTTACCCATCAGAGGAGGAGCTGTGAGTGTGTGTGTGTTTCTCTTTGTTTTTTTGTCCTTAAGTTAGCTGTGGGACTTGTGGTTATAGAGTAAGAAGGGTAAGTAACCGTCTAAAGTGTCTAAAATGATGGGATGGGCCCCTAGTAGGACATTGTATGCTTAAAATATTTGAAACTCCTCTTGAGTGCATGCATCTTATTAGGATTACAAAACTCAAGCATAGGGGCTTGGGCTCACTGTCAAGAGTTTCAAAAATAATGTTGGTAAAGAACAACGTATTAGGAAGAACTATTTCAGGAATTTTTTCCATCATTTCCTAAATGTTTATCAGTATGGAGAATTTTGAAAGTATCAGAACCAAGAGAGTAACTACTCATAAATGTCAAGAACCTGATCCATGGTGAAATTTTGGTTTCATTGCGGCTAAAAGAATTTCCAGTGTGCAGCCTCCAGTTTTGGGAGTGGAGAAGCACATCATAAGAGCAAATGTCTAATACTTTATTGAAACCTACAACTGCTGGAAGAAGATGAATATGAAAGGAATTTAAGTGTTTATAGTTTGTTTTTCTCATTAGTCTGTCTTTGAGAGTTTGGGATTTGAACAGATAGTGTTGCTGAAAGATGCAGACTTCAGTATACAATTAAATGACCTGAGAAACAACTGACAGGTGTTTGCTATGGGCTGCCTTCACAGATGCCTTCCAGGTTGCTTCATAGCAGATTTTGTTTCAACCAAACCTTTTAGTAGAGTCAAGTGAAAACTTAACGTTAACGACTAGCAAATGTATTTAGAGAACTAGATTTCTTTCATCACTTAGCAACAGCCCCTTCCTCAATCTGAGTTTTCTGATAGAAAGACATGATGCTTTTCTTCTGGATAATAGACAAATAGATGATTGTGTTATTGCATGTATGTGAGTGTGTATGTGTGTATTGCTGCAGTAAGGTACTATTAAATACTTAAATCTGGAGTGGTTTTTTTAAGTAAGTTATTTAAACTTGGTTTCAGCGCTGACAGACTAATGCAAACTGATTTCATCAGCTGGTCTGTCCCTTATGAACCAGGATAGTGTGTAGTTTAGTCAGCTGTTTAAAAGCAAGATCACTGTCAGCAACTTAGTTGCAAAAGTTTTGTGTCTGCACAGTGATTTTTCAATGCTTTGTATTGTGAGCTCTTAGAGTAACTAGGTGGTTGCTGGATTACCACTGCAGAGTAGCTTATAGGTTCTTTGACTGTTTCTTCTGGTCTCTATTGTCTGGAGCATGTTGAATTTCGAAGGCCATTGTGAGAGGCTGAGTTTCTGAAGTGTAAATGTTTGGTTTTAGGCCCATGAAGCTTCCCATCACCAACAGCAGGCAGCACAGAACAGCTTGCTGCCCCTCCTGAGCTCTGCCGTGGAGCCCCCTGATCAGAAACCATTGCTTCCAATACCAATAACTCAGAAACCTCAGGGTGCACCAGAAACATTAAAGGATGCCATTGGGATTAAAAAAGAAAAACCCAAAACTTCATTTGTGTGCACTTACTGCAGTAAAGCTTTCAGGGACAGCTATCACCTGAGGCGCCACGAATCCTGCCACACAGGGATCAAGTTGGTGTCCCGGCCAAAGAAAACCCCCACCACGGTGGTTCCCCTTATCTCTACCATCGCTGGGGACAGCAGCCGAACTTCGTTGGTCTCGACCATTGCAGGCATCTTGTCAACAGTCACTACATCTTCCTCGGGCACCAACCCCAGTAGCAGTGCCAGCACCACAGCTATGCCAGTGACCCAGTCTGTCAAGAAACCCAGTAAGCCTGTCAAGAAGAACCATGCTTGTGAGATGTGTGGGAAGGCCTTCCGAGATGTGTACCATCTCAATCGACACAAGCTCTCCCATTCAGATGAGAAACCCTTTGAGTGTCCTATTTGTAATCAGCGCTTCAAGAGGAAGGACCGGATGACTTACCATGTGAGGTCTCATGAAGGAGGCATCACCAAACCCTATACTTGCAGTGTTTGTGGGAAAGGCTTCTCAAGGTACTGCATTTTGCTTTGCTTTGCTTTGCTTCATTATGGTATCAGTGTACTTCAGTTTTGTCTCCATGTGATCTAGAATGTTTATGTGAGAACAGATGTGGGCAGACCTGTGTTATTAGAGGAGATTGGTGATAGATAAGTATTAACACCTCCAGGTCTAACCTCAGTTTGGTGTGATTGACAAGTGGTGACATAGTGATTAACCTGTTTTTTTCACTTAACAAGTGCCTCGGTGGACTCAGGCTTTCATTTGGCACATGGATACTTATCACTGCAAAACCACCAGTTTTCAGTTCAGTTGGGGGACTAGACATGAGGCTCACTGGGCAAATTAAAGTAACATTTCTTGGAAGTTGGGATGACCTTGGATACTCTTAATTAAACTTTTAGAATGTTTTTTCATTTTTCTGAGAGCACCAACATTTCACTAATTTTCATTTATAAAAGCTTTTAGAGTTAATATAGTGGTAGCTGTTTCTGGCAAGTGTTAAGACTAAAACTTCGGGTATTTTGTAATTGTAAAGAATCAAGACCTAATATGATTTGATGTTGACTAGGAGAGAAAATTAACAGGTAGAGGCCTAAGACTTTGTTCATGGTAAGAGAGGGAAGGAGACTTGCACCGGGGGAGGGAGGTTGGTAATTCTGCTAGCTTTCCCTAAAATGCACCCCTTCCCAATCTGCCAAGCATGTGAGCATCACATAAGTAGCATTTCTCTATGTGTTCGATTATATCTTCTGTTGAAACTCTCTTTTTCACAGGCCTGACCACTTAAGCTGTCATGTAAAACATGTCCATTCAACAGAAAGACCCTTCAAATGCCAAGTAAGAGTTAAAATGACTTATCCTTAGTGTAGCACTTAATGCACATTATCCAGAAGGTCTGAGCCAGTTGAATCTCACCATTCTTGAATAGTCTTAAAATCACTGACCTGAGTAAATGTGGCCCATTTGACTTCTAGTTTTATAAAATATAACTGACAGCTTCTGTTTCTGTAAAGCAAGATCATTTAAAAATTTAAGCGTGTTGTTTTTTTTAAGCTATATTTCCCTTTCTTTGGGCAATAGTATTTTTTGTTAGGAAAAAAAAGTTACAGTCTTGCAAAGGTGGTTGTGTATTTGAAATGAATAAAAGAATAAAGGGCTTTAATTTCTGGGTTGATTATTGAAGTTGTTTTAACTGTAATAGGAGAAAATAATGAATTTTTCTCCCAAATGTTACCACTTACTAGATTTTTGTTTGTTATTACCAAATTGGAACACTTTCTAGTTGTTTAAAAATCTATTCCAGTTAATGATTTTATTTGACATCAATTATAATAACGAAAACATTAAGAATTTTGCTAAATCAAATGACTGTTTTAGGCATTGGTAATTTTAGTTTGTTGCTGGAAGTCTTTTAGTACACCTTTCAGTTAAGTTTGTTAATGACTGATTTTATTAAGTAAATGATTTGAATGCTAAGAAAGATCTAATTGGAGGAAGGAAGCTAGTGTCATTGAGTGAGTGCCTGCTGTGTATACCAGGCTTTTCTTAATCCACCAGTAATTTTGTGAGAGATGTTATCCCCATTTTACAGATGAAGAAGCTTTCAGATAGGTTAACCAACTTGTTCAACATTACACCATTTAGTAAATTGTGGAGCTCAACTTAAACCCAGGTTTAACTTACCCTAAAGCTTACATTTTTTGTGCTACTCTGTGTTGATGTATTTTCTTCCTTCAAAATGGAAGAGTCTAAAATTTATCAAGAGTTTTATTATGATTATGATTCTAGGTAACATATGCAATTAAAATTCAACTAGTTGTCAGCTTGCTGATGTGGATAGGGTAATGCACAGAATATAACGTACTTCAAAATGAGTAGAACAGGATAGTCTATATTTAAAAAAAGTTTTCCTCCCTCATGCAGACGTGCACTGCTGCCTTTGCCACCAAAGACAGACTGCGGACACACATGGTGCGCCATGAAGGCAAGGTATCATGTAACATCTGTGGGAAGCTCCTGAGTGCAGCATACATCACCAGCCACTTAAAGACTCATGGGCAGAGCCAAAGTATCAACTGTAATACATGTAAACAAGGCATCAGTAAAAGTAGGTGGTGCTTCAGATTTTCTTTCTTTTATATTTCAGATGGGTGAAATATGCATGTTTTCATATTGTATCAAAGGTATTAATATTCACCTTACGTGTTTCCTCCTATTGCCAACATGTGCAAACAGGCAACAATGGACAGAGTATATTAATGTCAGAACTATGCTTTACTTTCATGTATGCAAACAGCATTGATAAGCTAATAATAACCTTTAAGGTGAAAGCAGTATTAATAAGCTTGCTTTTCAAACCCAAATCTGTAGAGAAATGAGATATCATATCCACTTGAAGGTTTAAATGCTTTGCTTGCCTTAAATTCAGAGTTGAAGATAGAATACTTGCATTTACCCAGGCTTTTTCTTTTAAGATTGCCCTAACCACTAGAAGAAGGCATTTTCCTAATCCTTTATTCTATTATATATGTACTTTATGCAGTAGAAACATCAAATTCTCAAAAAAATAGGTGGCCACAAGAGAATGGGGAAGAAAGCTTAATGTGTGTTAATCTATCCATTTTTACTTCTTTGTAAGTACACTGGGTTTGTAAGTACACTTCTTTGTAAGTACACTGGTATGTTGTACTTTATAAGCATTCACTTCTGTTTTTTTTGTTTTTTTTTTTTTTTTTTTTTGAGACGGAGTCTTCACACTGTTGCCCAGGCTGAAGTGCAATGGCACGATCTCGGCTCACTGCAACCTCCGCCTCCTGGGTTCAAGCGATTCTCCTGCCTCAGCCTCCCAAGTAACTGGGATTACAGGTGCACACTGCCATGCCCGATTACCTTTGCTACTTTTTTTGTATTTTCATAGAGACGGCGTTTCACCGTGTTGCCCAGGCTGGTCTCGAACTCCTGAGCCCAGACAGTCCACCTGCCTCGGCCTCCCAAAGTGCTAGGATTACAGGCATGAGCCACTGCACCCGGCCTATAAACATTCACTTTTAGTGTACATTATTGTGATCAAATAAAAAATTTTGTTGAATGTTGATTAGTCCTATATTAATAATATCAAACTTCCATTTTTAAAGACACTTGCTTTTTTTTTTTTTGATGGTTTTTTTTTTATAGCAAAGAGTCCTTTTCTCTTTTATATTGATTTTTGCTAGTTCTCTAGACTTTTTAGTGCTTGTTTATTTTGACCAATATAGACACAGCAGCAAAAAAGATGCACTTACTAAGAGCTATCAGGTTAAATGGTTAAGATCACAGAAGCATGAGAAGTCAATTTTGAAAAAAAACGGCAACAGTTTTACAGGTAGATACAGTGTTTTTGGTTTGTCTTTGTAATAGCATGCATGAGTGAAGAGACCAGTAACCAAAAGCAGCAGCAGCAGCAGCAGCAGCAGCAGCAGCAGCAGCAACAACAACAACAACAACATGTGACAAGCTGGCCAGGGAAGCAAGTAGAAACACTGAGACTGTGGGAAGAAGCTGTTAAAGCAAGGAAGAAAGGTAAGGCACAGCTTCCAGTGTTGAAAATATGGCTAGAGAAGTGTTTTCATTTAGTATGCCAAGTGATCAAAGTAGAGAAGCCACAGTTTTAGGAAATCTAGCTTAATGGAAACATGGAAATAGTGCATGCTGGGAAATATCTGGTAAAGTATAGTTATTGGCAATAAAGTGTCCAGATAAGTTATTACTAGGAATTAAAAGTTCTCAGTACTTCCTATCATGTTCTTTCTTTTGATGTACTTTTTGCTACAAACCTGGATCCAAATTTGGTCCTTTGCTATGCTCAGAGTTGCATTTTTATATTCAATTTGATGTCAACCTCCATGCATTATGGGCTTTTTTTTTCCTTTCTAAAATATTCCCACTTTTAGAGGTGGATATCCTTGTGTGTACATAAGTTCATTTTCTTACAACTGTGCTATTTTTGCTCTGTAGTGTTCTTTTTCATTGTATTATTTATTACATGTTTCAGATTCTGTAGTGTTGATGTCTTTTCTCTTGGTCACACCCTTAATCTCCTTCAGTCTATCACTGGCTGGCCTTAACATATCTAGTCTTCTGCTGCTGAGGACTTTACTGTAATTGTTTAAAAAATTTTAAATGGTTTGCTTTTCTCTCGTGTATATTTTCTAACGAATCAGTTGGAGTATCAGTTTTCAACGTACTTTTCAACTTACTAGTACAGCTTTGGCTTCTGGACTATTGTGCAGCCATTTCAAATGAATCATTTTGTCAATGTATCATGAGCCAAAGGACAGATTTGTAAATTCCTTCTTCCTCCTCCACCTCTACAATGTCTTACTATGTTAAATGTTAAGGAATCCTCTATCTGTGGGCTCCTCTGTATGTAATTCCTTTTCTGTGTAGTTTCTTCCATCTTTTGCTTTCATGTAGTGTGGCTCTTCCCTTCCTCAGAGTGATCCCTTCTGTTTTTTTTTTTTCTTTTTTAGACAGAGTCTCTCGCTCTGTTGCTCAGGCTTGAGTGCAGTGGCGTGATCTCGGCTCACTGCAGCCTCCGCCTCCTGGGTTCAAGTGATTCTTGTGCCTCAGCCTCCCGGGTAGCCAGGACGACAGGTGTGTGCCACCACACCCGACTAATTTTTGTATTTTTACTAGAGACAGGGTTTTGCCATGTTGGCCAGGCTAGTCTTGAACTCCTGATCTCAAGTGATCCACCCGCCTCAGACTCCTAAAGTTCTGGGATTACAGGCATGAGTCACCACACCTGGCCAGAGTGATCTCTAAACCTCCTATACTTGGATAAAAATAAAAGGAATAGCATTCTTTTTTTTTTTTTTTCTTTTTTTGAGATGGAGTTTTGCTCTTGTTGCCCAGGCTGGAGTGCAATGGCATGATCTTGTCTCACCACAACCTCCGCCTCCCAGGTTCAAGCGATTCTCCTGCCTCAGCCTCCTGAGTAGCTGGGATTACAGGCATGTGCCACCGCGCCCAGCTAATTTTGTATTTTTAGTAGAGACAGGGTTTCTCCATGTTGGTCAGGCTGGTCTCGAATTCCCGACCTCAGGTGATCTGCCCGCCTCACCCTCCCAAAGTACTGGGATTATAGGCGTGAGCTACTGGGCCCTGGCGACATTCTTTTTCATACATTTACTGGCATTGGAAGAAAAGAATGCAGCAGTCCGTATAGGCTTTTCATCATTCCTCAGGTGCTGCTTGTTCCTAGCTTCCATCTGAAGATTTGTCATTATTTTAATAAAATGTTTTGGCCAGGTGTGATGGCTCACACCTATAATTCCAGCACTTCAGGAGGCCAAGGTGGGAGGATCACTTGAGGCCAGGAGTTTGAGACCAGCCTGGGCAAGATGGCAAGACCCCATCTCTACAAAAACAACAACAACAACAAAAAATTAGCCGGACGTGACAGTGCGTGTCTGTAGTCCCCGCTACTCAGGAAGCTAAGGTGGGAGGGTCACTTGAACCCAGGAGTTTGAGGCTGCAGTGAGCTACAATTGCATCACTGCACTCCAGCCTGGACAACAGATTGAGACCCCCATCTCAAAAAAAACAAAACAAATGAACTTTTGTGTTAGAATGGGGAGAGGGGACGGGCAATGGGGAGGAAAAAGTGTAGTGCTGTGATAATTGTATAGTGGGTTGAAAGTATATTATGAAGGGTATTTTACTTAGAGAAGGAGTAAAAATGTTTAAGTCATAGTAAAAGGACACTCTTAGATTAAAAAGAAAACACGGAGGAGGAGGTAAGGGGGTCAGCAGATAAGAGAGTAAAAATTCTTTGGTGAAAGCAGGTGGAGAATATCCTCAGCAATACTCCCAGCACCTTAAAGTGAATTGGTTTTCTCTCTCAATCTCTCTCGGTGTACTCCTCTATTTGGTATTGTATTTCAATTTGCTTGCACAATAAGACTTGGTTGTTTAGCTCATCTTCTGACTTCCATGAAACAAAATGTTATTGTATTCCCATTTGTAGCGTGAATCTCTCTCAAAAAGACCACTGATCTTAGAAACCTCTGTATTCATGTTAGTAAATGTCACATTTTAGAGGAGAGGAGACTCCTGACCTGAAAATCTAAGCTTGAATCTATAACGTCCTTTAAATATTAGGCCTAAATAAGGTAACATAAGTTTTCAAACCTGATCGACAATCATATTGTCTGGGAAGCTTTTTAAAAATACACATTTCCCAAGTTCCATCTAAATTTCACTATTGATTCTCCTGGAGTCCTTTGTTTTTGTTTTGTTGGGTTTTTTTTGTTTGTTTGTTTGTTTGTTTTGAAGTCCTCTAGATAGTTGATTTTGATAATCAGCCAGATTTGGGAATCCCTGATAGGGAGAATGGTGTGTGCCAAAGTTACATTGTATTGATCAAGTAAGGGCTGCTTGACTCAAGGGTCCCCCTGCGGTGATAAGACCTTTGTGGATCATATACAGATCTCTATCTTTAGTTCAAGTATATTTCTCCATTTTGATAGCCAAGTCACAGCTAGCCTACCCATCATTTTACTGCTGTTTTCTGGTGCTGAATTTTGTTGAGGGGTGGGTTGGGGATGTCACCTTGAGGGGAAGTATTTTTTAAGAAGTGTCTAGACCTGGCTCACACCTTAATCCCAGCACTTTGGGAGGCTGAGGTGGACGGATCGCTTGAGCCTAGGAGGAGACCAGCCTGGGCAACGTGGCGAAACCCAGTCTCTACAAAAAACACAAAAATTAGCTGGGCGTGATGGCATGCACCTGTAGTCCCAGCTACTTGGTAGACTAAAGTGGGAGGATTGCTTGAGCCTTGAGGGTTTGAGGCTGCAGTAAGCTTTGATCATGCTACTGCACTCCAGCCTGAGCAACAGAAGGAGACCCTGTCTCAGAAAAAAAAGTGTCCAGGTTTTGTTGGATAAGAAGGACCAGGGTCCTCTAACTCACTGCAGGGTCTCCTTGCCTAGCTAGTTCTCTTTGGTATGCTTGGTGGTATGTGTAATATGTAGAGTTAAAGATACTAGGCATAAAATAGGTGATTGTGTCAACATCAGAAACAAGAAGAAATGGGAGTGAGGAGAACATGAACTTATTGAGGAGTATTTTTTTCTTTCCTAATGTAGTTAAGAAACATAACCAGAAAGAATAAGATTATTTAACTGAAACATATTTCTAAAACTGAAACAAACATGATACTAAAATAGCTTGTTTATCATTCCCCAATTATGCATTTTTAAAACCTTCACAGAATGTGGCTTCATGTCTCAGGCTTTAACATACTTATTGAGTATGCACACCTCTCTCTGCTAGTTACAGTGTGCCTTACGAGAAGATTTTTCTGATTATCTGTTATTGTGTAACCATTGGCCCAGCTCTGTGTAAACAAGCTCTTTAGCCTGGCCTGCTGGAGGTTGGCTCTTCCCAAGAAAGTTTTTAGAACTCAGAGGAACTGCATGAAGTAGTAGTGAGAACACTTAGCCCTGCATTGCAGAAGTTAACTGATCCTCTCAGCATCACTGTGAGGTAGGTAAGTAAATCTGAACTTGAAACCTAAAGTGCAAGGCTAAACAAGTTGCTTAAGTCCTTGCAGGAGGTATAGCATCAGAAGGTGATTCATACACTGGGATCCCTGGCCCCCAGGCTTGTGCTCAGAAAGATCCTCTGTTCTGTTGACCGCTTGATAGAAAACTGGAATTTGATTTATTAAATGTTTGACATTTTTAATGAAAAGAAATTGATTCAGAAACTTTGTGAATTTTGCTCACTGTTTTGAGAATCTAAAGACCCTTTTTCTTCTTATTTTAGAAGCTGCTAACCTGTGCCAAACCTCCACGGCTGCTACGACACCTGTGACTCTCACTACTCCATTCAGTATAACATCCTCTGTGTCGTCTGGGACTATGTCAAACCCAGTCACAGTGGCAGCTGCAATGAGCATGAGAAGTCCAGTAAATGTTTCAAGTGCAGTTAACATAACCAGCCCAATGAACATAGGGCATCCTGTAACTATAACCAGTCCATTATCCATGACCTCTCCTTTAACACTCACTACCCCAGTCAACCTCCCCACCCCCGTCACTGCCCCAGTGAATATAGCACACCCTGTCACCATCACATCTCCAATGAATCTACCCACACCTATGACATTAGCCGCCCCTCTCAATATAGCAATGAGACCTGTAGAGAGCATGCCTTTCTTGCCCCAAGCTTTGCCTACATCACCGCCTTGGTAAACAGTATTATAAAATCAAAATATGGGTAAAAGTAAATATTTACCAGCAACTTAACTTTTAGTTGATTAAAGCAAAAAGTAAACCATGAAATTGGGAGATTTTATTACATTAGTTAATAAGAGTGTGGTAGCATTTTTCTCCAATTTGGCTGGGATTATTCAAAGTAGGGTGTGTATGTAACTTATCACTGGACCACTTTAGTTTAATCAGAAATTCCTTTTAGCTGACAACATTGCTTAAACAGGATAGTAGTTGGCAAGATGAAATGCCAGAATTAAAACCAATCATAAGTAGAACCCACTTCAAAATAAAAAAACAGCATTACTATTTCTAATCCCAAGGAATCACTTTATTGTAAACACTAGCAGAACTCTTCTCCCTATACAAGGTGGATGGCTGATTTTAACCTGAAATTTTAAATCCACAGATTGAGAGCTAGTGTAGAATTGTCTGTGTTTATTGTTTTTATGAGTAAATACATGCATTGTCATAATAAAATGCATTTCAGAGAATATGCATTTTACCTTTGGGAATATGTTAATTTCAGGCAGCATTCCCTATGGGAAAGGTGATACCAGCTCTGATATGCAAAGCATATGATAATTTATCATTCTAACTTCAACGTATAATAGGGATTGTGACCTGATATTTGGAGATGTAAATATTGCTCAGCATATTAATCCCGATGGAATATAGCATTGTAGTTGACTTTTTAAAAAAAAAAAAAATTTAAAAAAAATCTACAAATTGTGTTTTGCTAAGAAAAGCCTCAACTGACAGAGGAGAAGTCAAGTGTGTGGACAGGCAAGCTCCTAATAAACAGAGTCCAGTGGGATTCCTATTTAGGAGCCAAGGAGTACTTTGGAACAGTACAAATATATTGCTTTAAATTGGAAGACGCTGGAGGCACTGGGATGTGATATGCCCCTCTCTCTCCCAATCAGAGCCTGTTGATATTACAACAGGGACAGATGTGTTAGTTGCTCACTAGAGTTTATGTCTTATATTAAATTGTATACAGTTTTTATTCTAACCACTAACTAGGTAGTGTATGCCCCTTCAGAACATGCAGAGTGTATCTTTTTTTAAATTTCTCCTTCCGTTTCTTAAGTATTGCGCAGATTTGTTCAACTTTGTAAATATGGACATCACTTTTTTTTTCTTTGAGAAAACACTTGTATCAGCTTTGTGGTGTTTTCAGGGAGACAGCTGTCTGCATTCCCTGTAGAAACCCAGCAATGATTATGCACGTTGAGACATGTGCTTTTTATTTCTTAGCAAGATATTTTATCTCTGTACATAAAGTAGAAACCAAAAGCTAGGGAAACAGATACTCTTTACACCATCATGCCACGCATTGTTTTTAAAGCATTGCGTTAAAAAAAAAATTAACTAAACCAAGATGCTGTGATTTTTTAAGTTGCAATATGTTTTTGGTTTTTTTCATTTTTTAATCATTGCAGTTAAGAGAAATGGAAATTAGTTGTGTTAATCTTGCAGAATGTTTGCAGGACTGACTATCAAACTGGATGATTTCCATTTATACCCTACTGTGTCAGTTCAAGCATCAAAATACCTTGCATCTGAGACAGACTTCCTACATCAGGGACAGGTATCTGTGTGTCATTATACAAAACAGTTCTAGGGGGTTGAACTACATAGTAAAAAAATAAAATAAATAGTACTTAGTGTAAAATAATTTTATAAATGATCTTTTGTACTTTAGGACATTAAATTGTACAACTTTTGTATATATAAAAGCTTAGGAACTTTCTGTTTAGCAGGAAGGCAACACATTCCTACACTTTTAATGTATATGTTTGTTATAATGTCCATGTAAACATGCCCTATGTTTGTGCCTTTTAATTAGTTTGTCTCAATAAACAAAATGTAGAGAAAAATATGTAGCTATGACTTTGTTACAACTGTTCTTATCCACAGTACAAAAATGGTTTGTTTTTAATATGTAGAGCATTATGTGTGGACTACTGGAAGGACTCGTGTAGGGAAAGCCCAAGAATGACCTTGCTGAGGCCTGGATTGGGAGGCACAGTGGCCACATTTGGAGGAAGTTCACATTTCCTGGCATGCAGACCCAAAACTGGGTTCTGGCTCTGCCTGCTGGGATCTGTTATCTCTGGTGGGCTGGCAGTCATAATTCACAATTCAGACAGCCCAGGCTTCCTCCACAGTGGTCCAAGGAGCAGTCCTCAGTGGGGGCAGGTGTGGGCCCTACCCCTAAGCTAGAATGTGGTTGTCAGAACCCTGAAAGTATTAGTTCTAAAAAAAAAAAGATATATACTAGAAGTAATTGTTTTATCAATTCATTGTATAATAAACAGGAGTGAGACTTCATTGTATGACTTCAGTTAAAATACTATTTTGTATGCATTCTTTATTCACTTAAGAAGCTTGTCTGCAATAATAAAGCCACGTCATGTCTTCTTTTGGGAGGGAGAGAGTCGATGGCAGGAGGGGGTTTTGGGTGGGCCACTGAAAAGGGGTACCGAATAGGTTGTGTGATGAAATTCTGTGTCTTGGAACTGGAATTGAGTTTCGATGTTGATGAACTGATTCAACCAGGTGTTGAAGGCACGACAGCCACTGCTCTACGAAAAGGCAGAGTACGTTTTTCCCTTCTGGTTGTAACCTGGTTGAGAGCTTCCCCTTTATCAGATTGGCAGCTAAACAGTTGTATTAGATAATCCTTAAATCTGACATCCAGCCTGTTACGCTCTAGGGCTCGCTGCTTGGCCTGCGTTTGCTTTTTATTGTGTATCCGTTCCCCTCCTACGGTGTGCTCCTGAATGAAGGTTTCTATGTAAGCAGATGATGATTTTACCTGTCAATACCAGCACTGTATTACTAACATGCAAAATACTGCAGATTTATTTTGAAAATTAAAGTTAACTGGTCACAAATGTTATGATGGATTGTTTAATACCTCAGAAGCTTCATCAGTTTGCTCTGATAATAGAGGAATTTTTCAAGTACTTTCTTTTCAGGTGCGCACATCTCAGTATTGGGTTGGAGAGAGAGGGAGGGACCAGTATCAGGCTGGTTGGAGGGTGGAAGGGCACCAGACTGACTGCCCTTGGTAGGTGCACCCTCCCAAGCAGCTCAGGTAAGGCCCAGGAAGCTAGGATGGAGGCAGTGGCCACAGGTTTAGGTCCCTGTCCTACCCAAAAGAGAAGATGGGTTTAAAACATTTCTTCTCATGCTCTAGGACCCAATTTCCTTAGTTGAAAGGGGCTTTAAGCTGGGTCCCTTGCCCATTTGTGTTCAACTAGATTTATGAGATGCCCACTGAGGACCAACAATGTGCCACGCACTATTAGGCACTAAGGGGCATGAAAAGTTGATTTAAGACATGGTTGCTGCCTCCAAGGAGGCTGTTAAGGGAGATGGGACGAGTGATGGTATCACCAAACAGCAAATCAGGATGAATGTGACACTTCATTCAATGAAAAAGTTTTGGATACCTACATCTGTTTTATATAGAATTGAGGCTTTCCAAACTTCCTGTGATAATTGTCTTAGGCCTTTAGTGACTCAGTGAACACAGCTGGAGGAAAGTGTTCTTCGTGCTGTGTTTGTCCTAGGAACAAGGGAAGTGTTATTTCACTGAGTTGCTAGTTAATCATTCCAGTCCCGGCTGTTCAGGTGTCTCCACTCTTCTCAAGGGGCCCTGTAGTTTGGTCCTCTGAATCGACCTAGGTTTAGGATGTAGAGGAGATAGTGGAGGTTTTCACTTCAGTATCCTCAAGGATCATTGGACCTAAAAGTCCAATCTGTTCATGGGACAGTAATCAATTTTTCCTCCCTGCCCTAATAGGTCTGGCCATCAGTCTTGCACTTTTTCCAATTCCTCCTTAAAGAGTCCTGTATCCTGAAAGAATGTCTTTTGTCCCTGGTTTGGGTCTGTAAATCTCCCCCACAGCTGGCCTGACATTGGCAGATTACTGGAAAATCTCCCCTTGTAAAAATAGGGGGCTAGGCTGGGCACGGTGGCTCACGCCTGTAATCCCAGCACTTTGGGAGACCAAGGCGAGCAGATCACAAGGTCAGGAGATCGAGACCCTCCTGGCTAACACGGTGAAACCCTGTCTCTTAACTAAAAATACAAAAAATTAGCTTGGCGTAGTGACGGGAGCCTGTAGTCACAGCTACTCAGGAGGCTGAGGCAGGAGAATGGCGTGAACCCGGGAGGCGGAGGTTGCAGTCAGCCGAGATCGCGCCACTGCACTCCAGCCTGGGTGTCAGCAAGACTCTGTCTCAAAAAAAAAAAAAAAAATTAGGGGGCTGGCAGGTTAGTGTGTAATGATCCAGGGCAGAATACTGACTGAGTTTGTGTGTTAGTCCAGATTCCAGCTTCTCTTGGCTGCCCACCTTTGAGCAATCTAAGGCCCATGTAGTACCGATAAAGGAATGAAGGGTCGCAGGCTTTCCTTTGGATCTTTGCATGAGGTAGCCCTCTCCTTAGACCTACCCATTAGGGGTTGGCTAGTTAGCCTTCCTCTTCCCAAGATAGGCACTTAACCCAGATCTTGGCCCTGGACCATGAAGGTCAAGTACACATCACTTTACAAAAACCGCCCTGGATCGCTTGAGGCCAGGAGTTCAAGACCAGCCTGGCCAACATGGCAAAACCCCGTGTCTACTAAAAATACAAAATTTAGCTAGGCGTGGTGGTGCAAGCCTGTAGTCCCAGCTACTCAGGAGGCTGAGACATAAGGATTGCTTGAACCTGGGAGGCAGAGGTTGCAGTGAGCTGAGATTGTGCCACTGCACTCCAGCCTAGGCGACAGAGCAAGACGCTGTCTTAAAACAAACAAATGAACAAAAAACTGCTCTGTTAGTTTTTGTTGTTGTTGTTGTTGTTTGTTTGTTTTTGATATGGTGTTTCACTCTTGTTGCCCAGGCTGTAGTGCAATGGCGCCATCTCGGCTCACCAGAACCTCCGCCTCCTGAGTTCAAGTGATTCTCCTGCGTCCTGAGTTCAAGTGATTCTCCTGCGTCAGGCTCCCAAGTAGCTGGGATTACAGGCATGCGCCACCATGCCCAGCTAATTTTGTATTTTTAGTAGAGACGGGGTTTCTCCATGTTGGTCAGGCTGGTCTCGAACTCCCGACCTCAGGTGATCCACCCGCCTCGGCCTCCCAAAGTGCTGGGATTACAGGCGTGAGGCACCGCGCCCGGCCCATTTGTTTAGGACAGCGTCTTGCTCTGTCGCCTAGGCTGGAGTGCAGTGGCACAATCTCAGCTCACTGCAACCTCTGCCTCCCAGGTTCAAGCAATCCTTATGTCTCAGCCTCTGTCTGTCACCTGGGCGACAGAGCCAGACTCCGTCTCCAAAAAAACAAAACAAAGCAAAAAAAGATTCTCTATCACTACTGACTTGCATCATAATTTTAGAAGTCCTCTTCATCTCTAATTATCTTAAATTGACATCCCACCTCCCTCCCAACCCCTAAATATCTCTTTCAAGATTACATAAAACATAAAATAAGAACTTAAAATCACGACTCCTTTGTAATATATGTAACTGCTAACCATGTAGGGAGAACTCTCATTAATGGAGTTTCCTTAAAGTGAGGTCCACCTGCATCTGGCTGTGTCAGAAACTAAAGAAGGACGTTTGAGGAAAATATTCTGTTCTGCCAGTGAGGTATTCTTTTGGCATGACAGCTGAGAGGATGAGGAGATCAAGGGGAATGACAGGGAGCAATATGCCCTTCCAATGACTGGTCCAGCAGCTCTCTCTGGCAGTCAGTGCTCAGGCTAGGCTGGGACAGATGCACCAATTCTAGAGGCTGCCCATGGAGAAGAGAGCCATCCTCAAAGACTGGGATGGGAAGCCAGGTCTTTGCCAATCTTAGGGACAACTGGGGACTGCCAGAGGCTTATTATCCCTACAGAGTCAGCCAGACAGATCTGTTTTGAAGGAGCTTGGATCCCCAAGGCCCTTGCCCATGAGCCAAGGAATTCTTATCTTTGTTAGTGGCAGGAAAAGAGCTAGAGAGAAATCAGATTTGCATGTATATGGAGGAAGAAAAAGGGGAGTCTTGGAGGTTAGGAAGAGGCTAAGGAAGGGAAAAGAGACATTTTGGAGGAAATGTTCTTGTGCTACCTGTGACATCACTCCCACCCTGACCACCCTCTCCATGCACCTGCCCTGGGCTAGACATGATTACTTAGGGAACTTGGAGACAGGCTGCTAGTCCGAGCCAGCTGTGATGATTTGTTTCAGCCAATAGGCAGGAAAGAAGACGTGCATTTCTTCACCAGATAAAGGAGAAAAGGCTGGGTGCGATGGCTCACGCCTGTAATCCCAGCAATTTGGGAGCCCAAGGCAGGCGGATCACGAGGTCAGGAGTTCGAGACCAGCCTGGCCAACATAGTGAAACCCCATCTCTACTAAAAATACAAAAATTAGCTGGGCATGGTGGCGCATGCCTGTAATCCCAGCTACTCGGGAGGCTGAGGCAGGAGAATCACTTGAACCTGGGAGGCAGAGGTTGTGGTGAGCCAAAATTGCACCACTGTACTCCAGCCTGGGCAACAGAGTGAGACTCGGTCTTAAAAGAAAAAAAAAAGGAGAAAAATCAGTAGCTGAAGAAACAGGCAAGATTCAAGTAATTAGGAGTGAGGACCTGTGAACCACTTCTTGCTGGAAGAAGTGGGGTCCCACCCTTTCCTGAAATCCCAGAGCTCTGTCCCAAAAGAGTAGGTCCTGATTCCAGGGTGGCCCTGTCAACGTAAGGGAAGTTCTGTCACTTTGTCAACACCAGAGACTCTGTGGCTATCAGGCACCTCTGAGGGAGAAGAATGGGGAGGGGGGAGTCTGCGAAGAGAGAGAGAAAGGAGACAGAGTCACTGCTTCCGCTGTTTTCTAGGCCTAGAATGCCCTCCCCATAACCAGCCCTCCAACATTCTTTCTCCACTGTGAACCCCTAGACAGGCAGAAAGTGTAATTTAAATGTTGCTTCCTCTGAAACCTTCCCCTGCCTGAACTAACGTCAGGCAGTTAGTTTATTCTTCCTTGGTATAACAGGAATAGGTGGGAGATATCAAAATAAAGGTGGAGGCAGTTTAGCACCCCCAGAAGGGAGGCTAGTTTCCAAATTGGACCATAGCTTCCAAAAGTTTTGCTACATTCCTAAATCTTTGATTCCAAATTAGTGGGTTCATGGCAGCCTGTGATTGTTGCTGATTTTGCCCTGTATTGATGAATCCCAATGTCCGGGAGACCTGAAACACAACAAGGAACCAAGTACCAAGGCCAGAAACAGGAGTAAGCACCAAGGTAAGTGAGGAGGGCCCGCAGGGGATCCAGAGCAGAGGGCGATTTGGCATAAGGAACAGCTGGGAGGTGCTGTAGTTTAGGGTTATGATCAAGAGCAGAGACTTGGAATCTGAGAGGCCTGGGTACAAATCCAAGCTGTGCCACTTGAAGCTATGTAACCTTCAGCAAGATATGTAGCCTCTCTGCCCTCTGTTTCCTAAGCTGTAAAATAAGCATGACAATAAATCCAACCTGGTAAAGTTTCGTTTTGTTTTGTTTTGAGACGGAGTTTTGCTCTTGTTGCCCAGGCTGTAGTGTGATGGTGCAATCTTGGCTCACTGCAACCTCCGACTCCTGGGTTCAAATGATTCTCCTGCCTCAGCCTCCAGAGTAGCTGGAATTACAGGCACGTGCCACCACGTCCGGCTGATTTTTGTATTTTTGGTAGAGACAGAATTTCACCATGTTGGTCATCCTGGTCTTGAACTCCTGACCTCAGGTGATCCACCCACCTCGGCCTCCCAAAGTGCTGGGATTACAGATATAAGCCACTGCACCTGCTCCTAGTAAAGTTTTAATCTGAAGCATGTAAAGTGCTTAGCCCAGGGCCTGGTACAGAGGATGGAGCCTCGAATTCAATGTAGACCATCTCTATCTGGTCCTCCTATTTCCAGTTTGGGTCATGGCAGCATCACTTTGCTCAAAGGCACCAATTGCATCCTCTGACAGACCTGCAAAGGAGCTGAATTGCCTTCCTGCATTGCTTTCTCACCTCAGATTTTGGGGGTTGGCATCCAGCATGGGGAACGAGCTTCATCCGAGGAATGAGAAAATGAGACGTATGGCACATCTCCTGAAAAGCAGCTAACTGGAGGCTGGCCAGAGGTGTGGCAGGCCAGAGGTGTTCAGATTAGACCACGGAAGAGTCACCAGGCTGGGAGATCCGATATGTGCCTATCTGGGGATGGTGCATCCTGCTTCAGAGAGGTCATTCCATCTCCTTCGTTCTCCACATTCACTATATCCAGAGAAGGCAACTGTACAGCTTCCCCGCGCAATCTCACCGTCCTGACAATCAAAGAGTTCGTTCGTCCTTCTCTAGCTGCAAGCTCAGCACAGGCCAGACCTCCTCTTTCCTTCCTAAGAAGAAGAGGAACACCACCACCTAGCCAGGTGGGATGAGGGAGAGAAGCCCAAATCCGTCTATCCCGCTCAGTCCAGAGTCAGCCCTCACAGCTCCAACCTCCCCTCCCAAAGGCGTCAGGGACTCACTGATCCGGGAGAGGAACCAGCCCCGCAGGGGACAAGGTAAATGTGAGTGTTGCCATGGCTGGATCAGTCACCCTGCTGTGGAGCCCAAACTGGCTCCACATTGGCCTGGCATTTGGCGCCCCCCACCATTTGGCCTGATCAACCCTGCCGGCCTCCTGGCCTCCTCTCCGCCTCTTTCCTCCAACGGTAGGGCTGGAGGGGACCCGAGGCAGACAAACAACTCTTGGGCGTGTGGGCCCCCGCCCGATACTAGAGCATCGGCGGGCCGGGATTGGCTGATATCTCCCGTGTTCTGATTGGGAGGGCGGCGGCCTGTATCTCATTCACAGAAAGCATTGCTTCTCTCCTGCTGGAGCTTTGGACCTCGAATGCTGCTTCACTTTCCGCACTCTGCACAGTAGCTGTACTCATTTGATGTAAATAGATACAATTCAGTTCTATGGTTTCCGCAGATGACATGCCCCCAAATGCAGTGTTGGCCCCTCAGGGATGGCTGAATCTGTCCGTTTATTGTATCGCATATCCAAATCACAGCTGTACGAGTCAATGGGACCAGGCTTATGGGAACTGTGGGGGCTGCGTTTTGCATACCCAGGTGAGGCCACGGTTTGTTTTGTTTTGTTTTTTAGACGGAGTCTTGCTCCGTCACCAGGCTGGAGTGCAGTGGCGTGATCTCGGCTGACTGCAACCTCCGCCTCCCGGGTTCAAGCGATTCTCCTGCTTCAGCCTCCCGAGTAGCTGGGACTACAGGCGCCCGCCACCACACCCAGCTAATTTTTGCATTTTTAGTAGGACGGGGTTTCACCATGTTGGTAGGGATGGTCTCGATCTCTTGACCTCGTGATCTGCCTGCCTCGGCCTCCCAAAGTGCTGGGATTACAGGCGTGAGCCACCGCGCCTGGCGAGGCCATGGTTTTATCCGGCGAGACCTTTTGCTGGGTTAGGCTTTCACCCACTTTCGCCGGCAGTCCTTTCTACCATTTACACTTGTATTTCATATTTCTTTGTCTTTAATCATGCTGTTCCATATACTAGGAAAGCCTTCTTCTCATTCACCTACTTTTAAAATGTGGCTAAATTTCCTGCTCACTAGGACTCCTGCAGAAAAAGCCGATTGCAGAGCTTGGGCAGGGAAAACACAAAGTGAGCCTGGAACATTCAATATATATTTGGAAACAATTACAAACTTACAAAAAGTTGCAAAAGTGAAAATAGTCCAAGAAATATCTGTAAACCCTTTACCCAAATTCACCTATTATTAACATTTTATCCCTTGCTTAATCACCATATGGGGCTCTATCCAATTTGTTTTTTTTTCTGAACCATTCTAGGGTTTCATACATCATAGCTCTTACCCCTAAATATTTCTGTGTGTATTTCCTAAAAATAGAGATATGCTGTTACACCACAGCACAGTTATTAACTTTATACACTTACATTTATATAATACTTATATTTAATCTACCATCCTTATCCTTATTCCAGTTGTTAGTTAGGTGATGTAGTTATGTTCTTTTTTTTTTTTTTTTTTTTTGGTCTCGCTCTGTCACCCAGGCTGGATTGCAGTGGCACGACCTCAGCTCACTGCAACCTCCGCCTCCTGGGTTCAAGCTATTCTCTTGCCTCAGCCTCCCGAGTAGCTGGGATTACAGGTGTGTGCCACCACGCCCAGCTAATTTTTGTATTTTTAGTAGAGACGGGGTTTCACTGTGAGCCAGGATCGTCTCGATCTCTTGACCTCATGATTCGCCCGCCTCGGCCTCCCAAAGTGCTGGGATTACAGGCGTGAGCCACTGACCCTGGCCCTAATTATGTCTTTTACAGCATTTTCTCCATTCCAGTAAAAGATCTAGTCTAGGGTCAGGTTATTCCATCTCCTTCATTCCCCATATTCACTACATCCAGAGAAGGCATCTGTACAGCTTCCCCTTATAATCTCATCATCCCAATAATCAAAGAGTTCATTCTTCTCTAGCTGCAAGCCTGGCACAGGCCTGACCTCCTCTTTCCTTCGTAAGAAGAAAAGGGGCACTACCACCTACCCAGTAGGATGAGGAAGAGAAGTTCAAATCCTTCTAGACTGCTCAGTCTTGAGTTGTCATGTCTCTCTAGCCTCCATAAATCTGGAACATGTACATAACTGGCATTAAAAAAAATACAGACCCCGCCTTATTTTTTTTTTAATGGAACATTCTCCATTTTGTATTTGTCTGGCTTTTCCTCATGATTAAGATGAAGTTCTGGCCAGGCATGGTGGCTCACGCCTATAATCCCAGCACTTTGGGAGGCCGAGGTGGGCCGATCAAAAGGTCAAGAGATCGAGACTATCCTGGCCAACATGGTGAAACCCCGTCTCTACTAAAACTACACAAATTAGCTGGGTGTGGTGGCATGTGCCTGTAGTCCCAGCTACTCAGGAGGCTGAGGCAGGGGAATCACTTGAACCTAGGAGGCAGATGTTGCAGTAAGCTGAGATCGTGCCACTGTACTCCAGCCTGGCGACAGAGTGAGAATGTCTCAAAAAAAAAAAAAAAAAAAAAAAAAAAAAGGAGAGAGAGAGATGAAGTTCTACATTTTCAGCGGGAATACTGCATAGGCCACGTGTCCTCAGGATATCACACCCGGAGACGCACAATGTCCCTCTGTCCTTCATACATGATGTTAACTTTGATCACTGGGCAAGGTGTTACCCATTTTCTCTATCACATAATTACTTTCCCCTGCCCTTGCAACTAATAAGTAGTCTGTGGGGAGACATTTGAAGACCATCTATATATCCTACTCTTCAACAAAATTTCATCTTAGATTTAGCATTCATTGATGATCTAATTAAATCTTTACCAAGATGGTTGAAATGTCTCTTTGCACAAGAAAGTAAGGAAGTGCTCAAAGAAGATGAGGATGCAGCCGCAGAATTCCAGGAGTTGGCACATGGCCAAGTCCGAAACAATCTAAGCCAAAATAGATGATAATAACAAATTATACACAATCGAAGGAAGATAGTAATCCATGAATTCATAAAGAAATGGGTGACTACCTCCTCCGGCTCCCTTAAATCTCAGTTCAGCCTTCTTGTGCCTCAGTGGGAGATGTGCCCCTCTATGCTACCATCTCCTGCTGTGCTTCTCAACCTGCCACGATAATGTGACACTTTCCTGACTGTAGAATGGAGCCGAACTGAGCCCTGGGCTTTACCTTCCCTACCCTAAAGGGAGCAGGCTCTATAGACTGGAGTGTGAGGCCTGAGGCTGAGGGTCTGGCTCCTAGGAACTCAGTCCTGCCATAGCTTCAGGGTCCACTTGCCCCAGAGGCTCAGCCCTGCTTCCAGGAGGAGGTTTCTCTTTTCTCTTTTTAAGAAGCAAGCTACTCTGAAGACATCAGTCAGCCCTCTATAGGGTCCTCCACCCACTACTATGCTGTGCAACCCGAGTGAGGCTCTTCCTCCAAAGAGTAAAACATTTTTGACATTTCAGCTAGTGCCCAGAAGCCTGTTCAGGGGTCAATGATTTAGTGCCAGCTTCCTCTCTCCTCCTTCCCTGACCATTTGCTGGCCCAGCAGAGGTTCCCTCCCTCCAAGAAGGGAGGATCCTTCCCCAGGACACCAGGGCCATGCGGCTCCTCCACCTGCAGCACCTGCTCCCCAAGTCCCACACAGGAATATTCATCCTGCTCCACCCCACAACCTCCTCTAGGGAGCTTCATTTCTGGGAAGAACCAGATCTGAGAATCTAGGCCAAATTGATCTCAGGTATCCCTTCTTGGAATTGCAAGAACGACAATAAGAAAAACAGGCATCATTCATTGAGTATTAGAGTGATGAGGAACAAGTCAAGGCGATGCTGGTGCACACCTGTAGTCCCAGCTACTTGGGAGGCTGAGGCGGGGGGATCACTTGAGCCCAGGAATTTGAGGCCAGCCTGGGCAACAGGAGGCAGAGGTTGCAGTGAGCCAAGATTGTGCCACTGCACTGCAGCCTGGGTGACAGAGTGAGACTCCATCTAAAAAAAAAAAAAAAAAAAGAAATAGCTTAAGTTAAGAATAATCATGGAGGAAAGTCATTTATGTTTAACTTTCCTCCTTCCAATTATAATGATTTTGAAGGCTAAATATAGACATATATACATAATCGATAATAAAGCAATGTATGTATAATGTAGGAAATTCAGAAAATCCAGAAAAATACTAATAACAAAATAAAAGTTATCTTTAAACCCTCATCTAATGATGCTAACATTTTGATATATTTTCTTCAAGTTTTTTCTTTTATGTTTATATTTTTATTTTTACAAAAAAATATTTTATTTTTACCATATAAGAATAAATGGGGTCATTGCATTTTGTTTTGTAGCATTCCTTTCCCCCAACATTGTATCATGAACATTTTTTACATTCACTAACTGTTCCTTTCTTTTTTCTTTCTTCTTTTTTGGAGACAGAGTCTCGCTCTGTCACCCAGGCTGGAGTGCAGTGGCGCGATCTCGGCTCACTGAAACCTCTGCCTCCTGGATTCAAGCAGTTCTCCTGCCTCAGCCTCCCAAGTAGCTAGGACTACAGGTGTGCATCACCACGCCTAGCTAATTTTTGTGTTTTTAGTAGAGACAGGGTTTCACCATGTTGGCTGGTCTTGAACTACTGACCTCGTGCCTCCCAAAGTGCTGGGATTACAGGCGTGAGCCACCGCACCCGGCCTCACTATTCTTTAAGAACAATTTTAATTATTACAGGGGATTCCATTTATCTAGGTCAAATCTCCACCCCACGGCCTTGTAGAGGACAAGCTGGCAGCCTCTGTACAAGGGGGCAAGATCCCTGGAGCCTCACAAACTGTTACCAATCAAGGGGAAGATAGTGGTTTTTATAAAGGCAAACAGGGCATGTCTCACTCACTTGTTACAATTCAGGCCTTTGGCAAATATTTACTCAATCTCGCGGGGTGCAGACACTGAGATAGATGGAAAACACCCCTTACCTCCCGGGAGTTCATGAAGAGACAAACTATAATGGCACGCACTCTCTCTCTATACAGGCTGGTGGGATGGACACAGGGACTGCAAGGGAGCAATCCCTTATGCAAGGGAAGAAGGGCTCACAGACATGATGTTCGTGCTGGCACCCTGGGGAAGGGGTGAAAGTCCCCGGGAATCCTTTCAGATAGCCATCAAATCGGCAAGCCCACAGGCATCCATCCAGCTATTATCTCACAAGGGAGTTGTTTGCTTATTTATTTATTTATTTATTGTGACTGCTTCCACGGTTCACCTGTGTGTTCTTTCAAATCCCCAAGTGATGTTACCAGTTCCTTAAAAGTTTCCTAGGCTGGGCTGGGTGCAGTGGCTCATGCCTGTAATCCCAGCACTTTGGGAGGCTGAGGCGAAAGGATGGCTTGAGCCCAGGAGCTCGAGACCGGCCTGGGCAAGATGGCAAAACCTCACCTTTACAAAAAAGTTTTTTTCTTTAAATAGCTGGGTGCGGTGGTACAAGCTTGTAGCCCCAGCTACTCAGGAAACTGAGACATGAGAATCTCTTGAGCCCAGGAGTTCGAGGTGGCAAGTTTCCTCTGAGTTCCTTGATTAAATTGGTCAGAGGAGAAAGGGTCAGGATTATCCAAATTATTTGGAAGTTTACACCACTTGCTTTTCTACCTCCAGCCTTCTTAAGCTGTCTTTGGTAGTCCTAGGAGGAGGAGTGGGTCTCACGGTGGCAGGGACAATGTGGTTGGTCGCAGAGCCGCAACTGTCTGCTCTCCTTATCAACCATTCATGCCCTGGCATTTGCCCTGGGCTGGGGGACCTTCAGAAGGGAAATGTCCTGTTTTCCCCACGGTCCGATCAGAGCTCACCATTTCCAAGCCTGAGCCCAGTGGCTCTCCATCAGCCTCATTCTCACAGTAGATAATGCCATATGCTCCAGCGATCTGAGCTTCATACAGCCACAGACTTAGCAAAAGGCTTCCATCACCTTCACATTCAGTCTGTGGAAACAGCAAGTGTTCTTGGCTGGTTTTGTTTGTTTGTTTGAGATTGAGTCTCGCTCTGTCACCCAGGCTGGAGTCAAGCACGATCTTGGCTCACTGCAACCTCCACCTCCCAGGTTCAAGCAATTTTCCTGCCTCAGCCTCCCAGGTAGCTGGGACCACAGGCGCCTGCCACCACGCCTGGCTAATTTTTGTATTTTTAGTAGAAATAGGGTTTTACCATGTTGGCCAGGCTGGTCTCGAACTCCTGGCCTCAAGTGATTCACCCGCCTCGGCCTCCCAAAGTGCTGGGACTACAGATGTGAGCCATGGTGACTGCCCTGTTCTTGGCTGGTTCTAGCCCGGGAGTGGGTGGGTGGCATGAGGACAGAAAATGGGAAGAGCTGGAATGGAAGTTAAGGGCAGCCTGGGAAGGGCCTCTCTCAGGAGTTTAAATTTCATTCTCCAAGCAATGGGAAGTCATCCACCTTGTTCAGCAGTGCAGAGACATCACCGGTTTGTACATTAGAAAAGTAACTGCTGGCACTGAAAAGGATGGATTGAAAGGCAGGGCCCTGGCAGCAGGGCCTGAGCCAGGGCAGAGGAGAGGGGGCAGGTTCCAGAGAAACTCAGAAGCAGAAAGCCCTGAGTTTACTGAGGGGGTTGAATGTACGAGGGGAGGAAGGCAGCATGTAACATCTGCAGCTTGAGCGAATGGGAGGTGCTGCTTATCCAGGACAGAGAATTCTTGCAAAGGATGTGGAGATGATGGGCTCCAGGCTCCCCGCACTGAAGGTGCAGTGGCTGTGGGACAGCTTGTCCAATGGCAGTAACACATGCCAGTCAGGGGCTTGAGAGAGGGAGTGGGGTGCTCGGACAGGTCATCAGCACACTCCACTAGGTGCAGAGGGGGTAATGTTATTAATAAAACTTGGCTGGGCACGGTGGTCCACGCCTGTAATCCCAGCACTTTGGGAGGCTGAGGTGGGCAGATCACCTGAGGTTGGGAGTTTGAGACCAGCCTGACCAACATGGAGAAACCCCGTCTCTACGAAAAATACAAAATTAGCTGGGCGTGGTGGTGCATGCCTGTAATCCCAGCTACTCGGGAGGCTGAGGCAGGAGAATCGCTTGAATCTGGGAGGTGGAGGTTGCAGTGAGCCAAGATCATGCCATTGCACTCCAGCCTGGGCAACAAGAGCGAAACTACGTCTCAAAAACAAAACAAAACAAAACAAACAGACAACAACCAAAAAAAAAAAAAAAAAAAATAGCCGGGTGCGGTGGCTCATGCCTGTAATTCCAGCACTTTGGTAGGCCATGGCGGGCGGAGGTCGGGAGTTTGAGACCAGCCTGGCCAACATGGTAAAACCTCATTTCTACTAAAAATAAAAAAATTAGCTGGGCATGGTGGCGTGCACCTGTAGTTCTAGCTACTCGGGAGGCTGAGTTGGAAGAATCGCTTGAACCTGGGAGGCAGAGGTTGCCGTGAGCCGAGATCGCGCCACTGTACTCCAAGCTGTACAACAAGAGCGAGACTCTGTCTTAAAAAAAAAAAAAAAAAAAAAAATATATATATATATATATATATATATATATATATATGCAGTCTGCAAGTGGAGCCATGAGGGGTTGGTACCTGCCCCACTCTATTCCCCCTGTGAGAACATCTGGAAAGAGGGGTTGGTTAGAAAGTTAGAGGACTCAGCCTTGGAGAAACCCCTGGGGCAGGCAGAGCTGAAGAAATGAGGGAATGGATAGAAAGACGCAGAGGCTAGGAAGCCATGAGGGTGGGAATGGTTTCAAGGAGGCGTTAGCAACATCCAGGGCTCCAATGGAGTGAAGGAATGGGATAGGGAGGAGGCCCATGGGTTGAAACAATGAGGAGCCTAAGGTTGCCTCCCTTGGAAAGGCATCTTCCCCTAGAAAGATGCCGGTGCCTCCCTGTAAAAATCACCTTCCCCTAGGATGAAGGGGAAGAAAGTCAGATTGTAGGAAGTTGAGGATTGAATAGGGCTTGAAGAAGCAGAGAGTGGGTCTGGTTGCTTCTTAGGGGAGGCCTACTGATGAATGCAGAAGAGAGAAACAGGGCAATGACTTGAGGGCAGGGCAGGGTTGGGGCCAGGTTCCCTTAGAAGGGGGTATCCTGAAGTGTTTGTAGTTTTGAAGCAGAGGGGAGGAGAAAGAAGAACTAACAGAGTTTCCTGAAGCACATAGGAGGTTGGGCTGGAAAGCAAAAGGGACATCTCTGGAAGAGCAGAGACAATAGGGCCTGAACCAGGCAGAAGTGGAGGAGTGAGGCGGTGAGAGAAGGAGAAATGAACAGGATCTGATAACCAGTGGAGGGCCAGGGAAGCTGCACAGGAGACAGAGGCTTCCAGCCTCTGAGCCAGAGGTGGATTCAGGAGAGTAGGAGGAGGTGGCTTAGGTAGGGAAGCGGTCTCAGTCGCCTTTAGCCTCCTTGAGTTTTAGGTGTCTGGGAGACTCACAGGTGGCCCTCTGTAGGCGGCTGGTGTGAGGGGCTGGAGCCCTGGGGGCTCAGAGGCAGTGGTGGGAGTGGGTGGAGGTGTCTGGGGGTGGGGAAGTTGTGAGAGGCAGGGAAGGGGTCTGAGAAAAAGCTTCCAGAAGGACAGACCCAAAAGGAGGAGTATGTTAGCAAAGCCCAAGAAAAGTGTGCTTCAAGGAAGAGTGTCCATTAGAGCAACTGGTTTTATTAATGACTATAATAATAATGTATTTAAAAATTTTACTAGCCGGGCGTGGTGGCACCCACCTGTAACCCCAGCTACTCAGGAGGCGTAGGCAGGAGAATTGCTTGAACCTGGGAGGCGGAGGTTGCAGTGAGTTGAGATCGTGCCACTGCACTCCAGCCTGGGTGACAGAGCGAAACTCCGTCTCAAAAAAAAAAAAATTATGAGCAATCCATAGGCGAGTGCAAATGGAAATCTCCAGGTTTGCAGATGCATTTTTCTGCTCCTGAAATGCCAAGGTGACAGGAATGAACTGCAGAGGGATCTTGCAAGTAAGCAGGAAAGTGACAAATGAACTGCACTATGGGTAAGTGTAAGGTAATACACTTGATAACATAATCTAGACTATATTGGCCAGGCGGACAAATCCTGAGCTCTCAGTTACAACCTGGGAAAGGAGCCAGGAGTCAGTATAGAGGCATGGGTCTGTCCCTTCGGATTAAGAATCTTTAACCTGGGGCCTGAAGACCATCTTCTGGGATTTCAAGCACCCTGCCTCCCCCGGAAATTGAATGCACCAGGGAGTGAAGTGTGGGGAGAGAGGAGCAGGAGAGAGGAGATCCTCAGAGGGGTTTGGAAACCCAGTCCTGGAGTTCCGTTCAACATGCTAACCTAACGTTGGGCCTCCCCGAGGAGGGTGTGGTTCTGAGGTTTCTCCCCCTCCCAGTTTCCCACCTTGCTGAAGAAACTTGCCCTTGACATGCAAATGATGGAAACACATTGGTGTCTGGGGCACTTTGGTTTGTGGTTTTTACCATCAGCTGTCTCTGAGGCTGAGCGTGTCGATCTGTCTCAGCAAGGCTAGCAAATTGCAAGCGCTCAGAGGAGGGGAGAGGGGGGCTATTCCTGGGGTTCTGGGCCCAGATGGGCAAATGGGTCTGTAAGGCAGACTTTTCCAGGAGGAGGGTGCAGACCCTTTGCAAGTTGTTTGGGGACAGAGCTTAGTTTGCATCTGGCCTTCTTCACCCTCCTCAGATCCCCTAGGTAGCAGGGTGCTTGGTGGTCACCACCTGACCTAGGCTACCTACTCCCAAATTGGAGTCTGAAATGAAAGCACGTGGGAAAAGTATAGCAAAGGTCAGTTTCCCATTTATTAAACAAGTTCTTCCGTGGAAAATCTTCCCAGGGCTCAGCAGCCCTTGAAGTGATCAGGGATGCTGGGGAGGTTGGGGGAGGAGAAAATGGGAGATGGCAGGTGGTATCTGTCGGTGTGGACGAGTGATAGCTTTGATTTGCTCCCCCTTCCCACCATCTCCTGTGTCCTCAGCATTTGATTTGGTTTCCTTTCCGGGGCCCTAATTCCAGGGAGGTGCCCCTCCTCCACACCTGTGTCCCAAGCCCCAGCTGTGCGTCCTCACCCTGGGTTCCTGGCACTGACCTGGAACCTGTCGGGCAGCCCTGCTCTTAGCTCCCCGCGGAGTCTCGGAGGTCTCAGGTCTCCTCCGCCCACCCTCTCCGCAGCTGGGAGGGGCAGGATGCCCCGCACCCCGCTCTGCGCGGGAGGTCGAGGCACCCCGCTCACGCCCTCCTGCCCGCAAGCTAGGGAGTCACTGCGGCCGGGGAGGGAGGTACACGGAGGGCATTTTTCCAGCCTTCACTGGGTGCTCCCCTCTCCACCCCCGGCAACCATGTAGGTTTCCGGACCCCCAGGTCCGCTTCCCTCCTCTCTGGAAAGGGGTCGGCCATAGGGAAAGGGCCCGGGGGCGCCGCAGCCGGGCCCCCGCCCCGCCCCGCCCGCAGCCCCGCTCCTCCCCGCGCGGCCCCACTTGTGGCCCTGCCGGCAGCCGCGCAGGGACAGCTGCATTTCTCGCCGCCCGCCGCTAGGAAGCCGGCCTCGCCTCACTTTCTCCGCCTCCCCGCGCCCCAGCCGCGCCGCCGCCGCCGAGCCTGGCCCCGCCGCCACCGCTGCGGATTGCAGCCCCTCCCCCGCCCGGCCCGCGGCCCGGCCCCTGCGGCCCGCGCGGAGCGGACGCGCGTGGCGCTGCCCGGTAAGACCCCCGCGCTCCCGCGGCTCCCGCCCGGCCCCGGGCGCGGTCCTCGCCGGCGCCCCGCGCGCAATCCCGGCCGCGGCCCCGGCCCAGCGGCCCCACCTTCTCGGGACCCGTTGCCCAGGCGCCGCCGGGAGGGCCGGGCCGTCGCGAGTTTGATTCCCGGGGCTGTCGGCGCGGCTCCCCGGGAGCTCCGCGTGCGGCAGGTCCCCGCCCGCCCTTCCTTCCCGAGCCCCCACCTCATCCCGGGCCCCGGGCGCGGGGGGCGTGCGGGCATCTGGGGGGCCGGGAGCGGGGCGCGCGATTAGACCGGGGGGCGCGGGCCAGCGCCGCAGGGAAGGGAGACGAGGCCTCCCGGAGCCGGCTTCGCCCGAGTCCCCTCTCCCGCCGCTCCCCCTTTTGTGTGGGCGCCCCTCCCCGCAGTGCCCGGGCCTGGGGGCGCAGGCTGGGCGGCGACGGCAGGCGGGGGCGCCTGCTGGGAGCCGAGCGCCTTTCAGGGGGAGGGGAGCTTCGCTTCCTGCCCCCCGCCGATGTCACAGGTCGGCTCAGCCTTTTTTGGTCCCTCCCGGTCCCCTGGGAGCTGTATCTCCCGTCAGCTCGGCCAGGGAAAGTTGGGAATGCGCTGTCCCCGCCCCTGCTCGCCCGCCCCGCCGGCTCCTGTGCCCCAGGCTCTGAGCTCCAAGGGGGGCTGGTGTCAGCGTTTATTCATTCCTCCCTCTTCCTTTTCTCGGTCGCGTGGTCGCCTTACACCCAGCACTGCCCTGCCCATTTCTTTTCCCCTTAAAAAAAGTTTTAGCTCTAAGAAACGTACACTGAAATTAAATTCCTGAGACGGAATGTGTTTTAAGGGGAGGGAGGGTTTAGATTTTCCTTTTTTTGGTGGAGTAGTGGAGTAGAAGATGAGGGGACTCCCTGGGAGTTTAGAAACAAGATGCCCTGGAGGCGATAGAGGATACAAGAAGACCATCCACCGTGCTCCCCACCTGATCCGCAGTCAGCGTCTTGTAGCGAGAGGAATGAGCCTTCCCTGGGTGATCCCGCAGCACCTGAGCCACCTGGCCCAGGAGAAAGGACTCAGGGAGATGTACTGGGCCTTTCACCCCTTTTCTTTATAGCCAGCTGTGCCTGAAGGAGGTGAGGGACCCCAGGAATTCTCTCACGGAGGAAGTCATCTCACCATGTGGTTGGGCCCCTGCTGGATCAAGTGTGAAGCTGGGTCCTCTCTGTTGTTGGGGGTCAGTGCCACTGGTACCTCAGTTTGAATATGGTGCCATCTCTGGGATGGAGAGGTGCTGCTGGGAGAAACCTGGCTCGGGTCTCCAGGAAGCTGGAGCGTGTGCAGCAGGGCTGGGTGTGAAACCCGCTGTCCACTTTCTGCAGCTGGAAGGGCCAGGACAAGGGAAACAGGATACTGCTACCGACCTGGGCACATCCTTGAATAGAAGAGAGACCCTGGACAGCGAGGATGGCCCAGGGATGTTGATATGACTAGGGCTGTATCCCCAGCTCCTGGGCCAGGCCAACTAGGGCCAGAGGTTGGAGTCATGGGCCCCTTTGAGAATCTGGTGAAAGCTCTAACTCCTCTCCTTCCAAAATGCATGTGTGTAGGGAGACACCTGTATTCAACACCAGACGGTTAATATACCCCCTTGGAACCAGGACCTCCATTGAGACCTCTGCCCTAGAGTTACTGGTCTGACCTGGGCCATCAGAACAGTTGTCACCTTTTTGGCTGGTCAGTGAATAATCCCAGGGTTCAAAGAGCAGACTGCTTCTAAGGTCTTTTCTCATGACCTCCCTATGCAACTTTGGGCTTGTGGCCATGGAGACCTGGAGTGTCTGGACAGATCCCAGCTCCCTACAGCTAGCTAGAGGATGGGGGCAGATGAGGTGGCCCTTTTCCAGGGGCTCATTTTGCTGTCTGTGTGGTGGGAAGGCCCTGGGCACTGGACTAGGCCCACTGGTCTATTGAATTAGAGGTAAATAAAGGGATTTGGGTGGAGGTGGATATTCTGGTGTTTCAGCTGGGTGTGAGATCCAGGCCTTTAAGAGCTCCAGCTTGTTCTTGGGGAAATGGGGTTGAGGTGCTTTAGTAGAGAGTGTTAAGTGTGAAAGACGACTCTTAAGGAGGTCTTGGGGCAGAATTGTCCAAGGCTATGATCTGGGTGTTGTCGGTTCCTTAGATCCCTTTGGACTCTTGAAGGCAAGTGGGGGCCAGAGGGCTGCTGTCACTATCCCCAGTGCAGCCCCAGGCCAGAGGAGGCCTGGCCTGCCTTTCCTTTCTTGGCTCACTGGGTCCTGGGCTGCTGCATAGGTGTTTGTGGCATCTACACTTGCTAGGGATCTGGAAGAGCTTTAGGACGATCTGCCATTTGTGACTTCTCTACCTTGGGACTGAGAAGACTTCCTTAGGCTCAAGTCCCCCACAGAGAGCTGTAGGGGATTTTTCTTTGTTTAACTAGAGAGCACAGTGTTTGGCATATGGCAGCACTCACACTGGTATTCTTCCTTTAGAGCTTCCTACATTTGCTCTGGTAATAAGCAGCAGAGGCAGGAGTATTCTAGAGCCTTGGGGCACAGGAAGCTGGGTGTCTGACAGGGGTCACCTCTGACTATCCAAGGTGAGCTGGAGGAGGTGGTGCTTCTGTGTTGCTGGCTCTTGCACTTACAGGAAGCAAGAGCTATAAAGGGCATTGGAGGCCGGATGCGGTGGCTCATGCCTGTAATCCCACCACTCTGGGAGGCCGAGGGGGGTGGATCACCTGAGGTCAGGAGTTTAAGACTAGTCTGGCCAACATGGTGAAACCCCGTCTCTACTAAAAATACAAAAATTTGCTGGGTGTGGTGGCGTGTGCCTGTAATCCCAGCTACTCAGGAGACTGAGGCAGGAGAATTGCTTGAACCTGGGAGGTGGAGGTTGCAGTGAGCCGAAGTTGTGCCATTGCACTCCAACCTGGATGACAAGAGCAAAACTTTGTCTCCAAAAAAAAAACATAAATAAATAAATAAAATAAAATAAAATAAAATAAAATGAAGGGCATTGGAGACCCTAAAGCGCTGTGGTCCAGTGGTCCTTGACTTGGGAATTGAAAGTGTCTTGGTGGCATGCAAAGTCCTTGTTGCAGTGACTGAGGATTCACCTTCCCCAGTGGCCATGACTTCTCAGTCATGCTGTGGCCCTGGCTACCATGGGTTGGTGAGTTCAGGATGCTAGCTGTGTTGGCTCACTCAGTGTTTCTCTGATCCCCTTGGCTTCCAGGCTCCCAGAACCTCTGATGTGTCAGCGCATTATCACAGACTCTTGATGATGCAGCTAAATGTCTTATCTTTAAAGCAGGTCATAAATGATAAATGTGATAACAGTCCTTGTAAATATAAACTCCCTTCTTATAAATGTGACCATTTCATTTGCATTGTGGCAGCACCAAGGGTCTTTGAGGAATTCTTGGTAAGATAAAAATGTTTAGGCTGGGCGTGGTGGCTCCTGCCTGTAATCCCAGCACTTTGGGAGGCTGAGGCGGGTGGATCACCTGAGGTCAGGAGTTCGAGACCAGCCTGGCCAACATGGTGAAACCTATCTCTACTAAAAATACAAAAAATTAGCCGGGCATGGTGGTGCGTACTTGTAACCCCAGCTACTTGGGAGGCTGAGGCAGGAGAATCATTTGAACTCGGGAGGCGGAGGTTGCAGTGAGCTGAGATTGCACCACTGGACTCTAGCCTGGACAACAGAGTGAGACTCTGTCTCAAAAAAAAAAAAGTTCCAACTCCACTGGCTTAACTTCCACCCCCAGGAAGCAACTGAGTTATTTTGTGCACATTTTCATCATAGCTTAGTTGTTTAGAGTGTAAGATCTGAAGTTAGGCATCTCCAGGTAGAATCCCAGCTCTCCATCTTACTCTAAGACTTTGTAAGTGCCAGAGTTTCCTATATTTAGAAAGAGTTAAAAGAGATCTCATGTGTATGCCAGACAAAGAGGAAGTGTTCATTACATCGAAGCTATTATTATTATTGCCATTTCTGCACAGCGGTACACAAATTCTGAGGCTCATTATTAAGGAAAATCTTTGGTAAAAACTGTAGAGGCTGAGGGTGGATTTTGGAAGAGTGGGAGGGGGTGGGGTGAGGCTCTTGAATGATGAGCAGAGAGGACCGCACAGTGGAGGCGGGGGTGGGGAGACTGAAATGTCATGGGTGACAGCTAAGCATATTTGGGGGCAGAATGACTCAGCATCTGTAGCCCTGCTGTGGAACCAACTCTTTTTCCTTTTCTTTGGAGAATTTGCCCTGTAAGCTGGGGGAGGGGTGAGGAGGCATAACCAGTGAGAAGGGTTGAATGGCATAAAGTTAATACTAACATTGGTCCAGAGGAACAGGGCAGAGTTCCCTGGAGGAAGGGAACCTAGTCAGGAGATCGGGGCAGGCCCAATAGGCAGTCAAGAGTGCAAGCTCACAGGGTGCAGTGGCTCACGCCTGTAATCCCAGCACTTTGGGAGGCCGAGGCGGGCGGATCACCTGAGGTCAGGAGTTCGAGACCAGCCTGGCCAACGTGGTGAAACCCTGTCTCTACTAAAAATACAAAAATTAGCCGGGCATGGTGGTGGGCGCCTGTAATCTCAGCTACCCAGGAGGCTGAGGCAGGAGAATAGCTTGAACCCAGGAGGCGGAGGTTTCAGTGAGCAGAGATCACAGCGTTACACTCCAGCCTGGGCGACAGAGCGAGACTCTGTCTCAAAAAAAAAAAAATAAATAAATAAAAAAATAAAAAAGAGGCTGGACACGGTGGCTCATATCTGTAATCCTAGCACTTTAGCAGGCTGAGGCAGGCAGATTGCCTGAGCTCAGGAGTTGAAGACCAACCTGGGCAACATGGTGAAACCCCCGTCTCTACTAAAGTACAAAAAAATTATCCAGGTTTGGCGGCAGGCGCCTGTAGTCCCAGCTACTTGGGAAGCTGAGGCAGGAGAATCGCTTGAACCCAGGAGGCAGAAGTTGCAGTGAGCCGAGATCGCGCCACTACACTCCAGCCTGGGTGACAGAGTGAGACTCTGTCTCAAAAACGAAAAGAGTGGAAGCTGTGGGGGCCAAGGGTTTCTGTGAAGGGATAGGCTTGGGAAATAATCATTGCAGCACTCACAGAGGGGTCGGACCCTTTCCAAGTACTTCACATGGATTAGCTCGTTGAATCTTCACAGGACCTATGAGATATTATACCAATTTTTCAGGTGAAGAAATAGAGACATAAGAGACATCAAGAGTTTAAATAACTTGCCCAAGATCACATGGCTAGAAAGTGGCAGAGCCAGGATTTGAATTCAGGAAGTCTGGCTGCAGGCCCACACCCTTAGAGAAACTGTCAGGGCTGGGTGTGGTAGTTCATGCCTGTAATCCTAGCACTTTGAGAGACTGAGGTTGGCAGATCACTTGAGCTCAAGAGTTCTAAACCAGCCTGGGCAACATGGTGAAACCTCATCTCTACAAAAATTAGCTAGGCGTGGTGGCATGTATCTGTAGTCCCAGCTACTCAGGAGGCGTAGGTGGGAGGATCGCTTGAGCCTGGGAGGCCGAGGTTGCAGTGAGCTGAAATTGCACCACTGCACTCCAGCCTGGGTGTCAGAGCAAGACCCTACCTCAAAAAAAAAAAAAAAAAAAAAAAAAAGTATGTCAGAGACACCCCTACTGAGCTCGGGGGTGGTCGTGGTGGGGGAGGGTGGAGCTGGGGGGGTTGTGGGATTTGTGTCCTGCTTGAAGGGCTGCCAGTGCAATGTCCAGGCATCGTTGGAACATGCCTGGAGGGTTCAGCTTAACAGAGTCTGCTGAGAACCACTGGCCAAGTGCCAGATACTCTGCTGGGGCCCATCCTGGAGCACAAAGGTCATCAAGCCATGGCCCCTGCCTTCAAGATGCCTCCTGTCTAGTAAGGGAGACAAACATGTTAGCCTGGAATTTCAGTTTCTGTGGCAAGTGCTGCGATAAGACAAAGCACTGAGGAAGGGGGCACTTTGCCAGCCAGAAGAGGAGTTGGGGCAGGGAAGGCTTCCTGGAGGAGGGGCCGCTTGAGCTGAGTGAGGACAAGATAAAGTGGCTGCTGCCTCCTGGGCTTTTGATCTGGCATGGGAGCACATTGTTCTCCCCCTTGGTGAACTCTGAGTAGAGCTAAGTAGCGGTGTGGGTTTCAGAGAAGGGTCAGGTTTTCTGGATTCTGTAGCACCCTTGCCAGGGTGAGGCAGGAACTGGGCAGTGTGGTCAGCTTTCCTGATGCCTTTGTGGTTTTTAACAGCTGAGAAACACTGCCACCTCTTGTAATGCCTGCAGTGAACATGGTGAAGAAGACATAAAAGTCCCTTAAGAGTCATTGCTCAGAACACAGTGATTCACTCTTGTCTCTCTGCACTTAGAACCAGAGGCAAATGAATTTAAACTACAGAGGGAGGATTCAAGTAAGGTATGAGGAAGACATTCCAGATAGGATGTGAGATGTAAGAAAAGTGACTCATAGGCACAGAGGGGAATGGCCTCCCCTGAAGGTCTTCAGAAATGGGAACAAGTTTCATTTGTCTTTGTGGTTTAAGAGGTTTCATCTGGAGACAGGAAGATGAAGTAGAGGCCCCTAGAGGTCCATGTCAGCTCGGTGATCGGAGGATAAAAGGAGCTGGAATTTTTGAGCTAGAAGATTACTTAAATTTGGCCTAACCCCTCCTTTGACTGTTGGAGTGATTGAAGAATGCCCGATAACACTGAGCAGCTCATCCATGAATGAGTGAGCCAAGGCACAAACAGAGTCTGCCCAACAGCTCTGGGCCAGGTGACCCTGGCCCGCAATGTTCCTGGTCAGCATCACCCGGGGGTGCTCACTGGGAGGGACCTACAGCTCTCGGGGATGGAGTCCAAGCCGTGTGAGGAGAGCTCAGGAAACCTGGAAGTAGTGGAGCATTTGTCTTGGTATTGGAATACAGAAAGCATCAGCCCCCATACACACAGTGTTTCTGAGAATGGCACTCTCAGTTGGAGCTAGTGGGTTATCTCCTAGATGCACCTAGAAGAGTTTTAGGCATATATATGAGGCCCTCAGTAAACTTTGTTGGATGAATGAGTAAATAACAGATAATCCAAGACTTAATTTCTCTTTGACCATACCCTTGTTAGGCCAGTGCACTTAACCCTTCTTATTCTGTTTTGCTTAAGCTGACAGTAGGCTTTTTTTCATAATACTGCCTAGCCACAAAGAAAGCTGCCCACAAGTATGCTGGGGGCAAGGGTAAGAAGAGAAAACACAGTTTAGGATCCTTCTCAACATTTATACTTCTTTGAAGGATCATCAAGGCCTGACATTATGTTCAGTCATAATGGCTTTTGCTTTTTTTCTTTTGTATTGTTCCAAGCACAAAAGTGTTTTTATTTTTTATTATTTATTTATTTATGAGACAGGGTCTTGCTCTTTCACCCAGGCTGGAGTGCAGTGTGGTGTGATCTCAGCTCACTGCAACCTCTGCCTCCCAGTTTCAAATGATTCTTGTGTCTCAGCCTCCCGAGAAGCTGGGATTACAGACATACGCCATCACAAACAGCTAATTTTTTTGTGTTTTTAGTAAAGATGGAGTTTCACCATGTTGGCCTGGCTGGTCTCGAACTCCTGAGCTCAAGAGATCCACTCGCCTTAGCCTCCCAAAGTACTGGGATTACAGGTGTGAGCCACCGTGCCTGGCTCGAGCACAAAAGTAAAACGCTTCGTTTTTCAAATTTACGAAAAACATGTAGTATAACAGTCTCAGCCACATTACAGCAAGATGGTTACAGGGATCTCAGAAGAGAACAAAGCTTGCTCTTGGAAGATAATCTGATTAAGAGTGAACCAAATATGAACGGATGCTGGACAATGAGTTTAAAAATAATACCGGGTGGTGAACTTTAGCTCACGGGGTGAACTGAAATAGACTTGTGCAAATAAGAGAGAAGTAGCAGCAGCAAACACGACGGCAAGAACTTTTGCTTCCTCCTCTAATCCCATGATTCCCTATTCATTAAGAAAGTATTTGATGTTAGGAGGGCACTGCAAAGCTTTTTTTTTTTTTTTTTCTCCTGGTGACCAGCAAGCTGGATTTGGAGCTCTGTTAAGGGGAAGCCTCTCTGTGGTCATGTAGGGTGATCAGGCTCCTGAAATGATTTCACTTTGCTCTGGTCTGAGATTAGTTTCGGTTTCAGGCTGTACCCACAGCTGGGAGAGAGCTAGTGAGCTCCAGGGAGGGTCAGCTGGGGGAGTTTCACCATTGGCTGTGTCAGCCAATGGCAAGGTGTGTGAACAGGGAACTCCTGTGTTGAGCAGAGAGAGGAAGAAGATGCGTCCGAGATGGAGTTGGGGAAGGCAGCACTTGCGTGTTTGTGTGTCCAGAGACCGGGCTGGTGATGATGAGCAGGAGGGAGCGTATGAAGATATCAGATGTGCAAAGGACAAAACCCCCACCCAATTACAGGACCACTGAGCCTCGAGCTAGGGAAGTCTTAAAACAGATTGCCTGGGCCGGGTGGATTTTCCCTGAGCAGGTGTACACCTGAAAGGAAAGCAAGTGTGAGCATGCCACAGAGTCAACATACATCTTGTACTGGCATTCTTAAGATCAGCCTCTACGGTGCAGCATTTTCTTGCATATGAGTTTCCTTTAAAAAAAAAAAAGTCAAATTAAAGTTTGAGAACTGATAGTTGCGAACTTGCAGACCTTTGCATGTTGGTGGATCCTTTGAGAACTTCAAGCTGTCATTTTTCCTGAGACGGCTTGAGGCCAGTCTGGTTGGTTCACAGGACATCATTACCCTAGAAAATCAGCAGTTTTCCTCCCCTGACTGGTTCTGGGTGAGGCATACACAGATGTTTCCTTCCCTCAGCAGTACTAGAGCATCATTACATTTTATTTCTCAAAGTTATAAATTCATTTTATTTTGAAAAGAGAGAATCACTGAATTTTACAGCTGGAAAGGATTCTGAAGACTGCTTGCTTGGTTGGCTCCTGGAGGAATCTGAGGTTGTGGGTCGTTAAGTGCTTTGAAAAGACCAATGGTATGTAATTAAGAATACTGAATCAGAATGCCTGTGCTTCATCCCAGCCTCTGCTAGTTGCTGCTGTGTTCTTGGGGCAAGTTACTCAATCTCTCTGAGTCTTAGTTTCCTGATCCATACAGTGGGAGTAATAATATTACCAAATGGTTTTTTGGTGTTTTTTTTTTATTTTTTATTTTTGAGGTGGAGTCTTGCTCTGTCACCCACAGCCTCCACCCGCCCGGGTTCAAGTAATTCTCCTGTCTCAGCCTCCTGAGTAGCTGGGATTACAGGCGCCCTCCATTACCCCATGCCCAGCTAATTTTTGTATTTTTAGTAGAGACAGTGTTTCACCATGTTGGCCAGGCTGGTCTTGAACTCCTGACCTCAACTGATCCGCCCACCTCAGCCTCCCAAAGTGCTGGGATTATAGGTATGAGCCACCACGCCCGGCCAAAATATTACATAATGATTGTTAATTACTACCAAATACTTATTAAGCCCCTAGCACAATGTTTTGCATATTGTAAGTCCTCATTAAATGTTAGCTGCTGCTGTTATTGTTATTATTTTCATTTTGTGAAATCACACAGCTACTTAGTGGTAAAGCCAGGGCTACAATGTTAAATTCTTTTTATTCCAATTCTTTTCAGCATGGCCATAAGGAGATTTCACCACATTCTGGAAATATGGGAAAACCTTTACAAAAATGTTTATGCGGATGTCTTTGCATGAATGTTCATAATACAGCTAGAAGAAATGGGCTTAACCTATTTATTAGATATAGTTAGACTTTGGGCATGGGGGCATATGTCTACCAAAGAATTTGTTTCCACAAATATTATTTACTAGTGTTTAAAGGTTTCCTGAATGCTAGATTGGTTGCCTCTGCTGGAAGATTGGGGTGTTTTTAGATGTTTTCATTGAAGAGTTCTTCTCAAGTTGGAAACATCCATTTCAATGAGTTGTGGTGGCAAAGCAGGCTTTTGTGCGTAATGGAAATATTTCTGTAGCCTGGCTGCTATTTATCAAGGGTGAAGACAGTGCAGATGTTTTGAAAAAAATATATAGGCTTGGCAGAAGTCCATGTGTCTTAGGCCATGCCTACACAAATCCATTCCCAAATGATCCGTACTGACCTTTAGCAAATCGATGACAGCCTCGGAGCCTCCCAAGGGAGCCGTTTTTGTCTGAAACATTGTTGAGGCCAGTGTGACCCCTGGCCTTGCATGGTCCTTGACACCTCTGATGGGGCGACACCCTCTCCCTAAGGCAGCTTTGGTGTGTTTTCGTGGAATATGAAGACGAATGGAAATGAATTTTGTTTGGTGAATCTTGAAAGATTCCTGGAGATACTGTCGCTCTGTAGAGATTGAAATCTGTTCTTGATGCTGATCCGTGGGACTTCTCAAATCTCCATGCCTGAAGGAGACAGTGTGTTAAAGTGTGAAATGTGTGAGTGTGCAAAGGAGTTGATGACTGGAGTTCCAGTCTTAGCTCTGCCATGTGTGGGCTGTGTCATTCTGAGCAGGTCACTTAGTTTGTTAATTTATAGTTTTCTTGAGGCTAATCTATTATTATACTCCACAACAACACATGGCTATTGACTACATATGTTAAATAGAGCTGGTAAGAATAATCTCTGTGGCACAAGATTCTTGTAATAGTCTAATAATGGCTAATGGCCAGGCGCAGTGGCTCACGCCTGTAATCCCAGCACTTTGGGAGGCCAAGGCGGGCAGATCACCTGAGGTCGGGAGTTCGAGACCAGCCTGACCAATATGGAGAAACCCTGTCTCTACTAAAAATACAAAATTAGCCGGGCGTGGTGGCGCATGCCTGTAATCCCAGCTACGCAGGAGGCTGAGGCAGGAGAATCACTTGAACCTGGGAGGCAGAGGTTGCAGTGAGCCGAGATCGCACCATTGCACACCAGCCTGTGCAACAAGAGCGAAGCTCCGTCTCAAAAAAAAAAAAAAAAATATATATATATAAAAAAATAAATAATAATAACTAACATTTATTGCATGCTTACTGCATATGCCAGTAAGCTTTCTAAGCATCTTGGGAATATTAATTTATGTAATCAATCCTAGATGAGACAGTAGTATCATCACTTTATGCAGGAGGAGACCGAGGCACAGAGAGGTTAAGTTAACTTGCGTAAGGTCACACTGCTAGTTAGCTGAGGAGGCAGGATCTGAGCTCCAAAGCCAGGAGGCTGAGTCCATAGATGTATTTACAATATTGTAGCGTTAGGATTCTTATTCTTTGACTGTTACTGTTCTTGTTTGACAGTCCCAGGGAGGGATAAACTGAGCCTAGAGGTAGATTAAGTGTACAGATCACAGTCTTGGAAACAATGAGGGATGGAATATATGAGAGTTTTTTTTGGAGTTCTGGGGAAACAGCTGTTTCTAAGTGTGGGGCAGAGCTGAGGAGATCTGGCAGAGATAGAGAAGGATTTTTTTTGGGGTGGATTTTTACTATCTGCTTTGAGGGTTGCATGTATGTGGATTTAAGAGCCACGTGACTCTTTCCCCTCCTATCCCATTTTATTTGGGAACTTATCTTTAAATTCCAACTCACCTCTCCCCCTGGCAGCCTTAGAAACTTAGAAAACTGCCATGGATGGTGAATTCTTGAGACATGAAAGGAAAGGTGAAGGGTGGGGTTCTTAGTGGAATTTCTTCCTTGTGGTAGCATTTCTATTAAATGCATATGGGGAATGAGCCACAGCGTGGCTTATGTTTGGTGGAGAGAGGGATGGGAACTCGGGTGACTTCCCTTTTTCTCATGAGCTGATTTAATAAGAGAATGAATCATCCTATGAGCTTTAATTCTGGAAAAGAAAGAAAGGAGAGGCAAATGAGTGAGATGGCATTTGACTGAAGCCAGAAGCCTTCCATGTCAGTCTCCTAGGGCGGGCACTAGGCTGGCACCCAGGGCCTTGGCGGTTCGTGCTAGTGGTGAGTTCCCTCCAGGGGCTTTGGGAAGGGCTCCCAGCTTCCGGTCACTGCCACTGTCACCATCAGCCCTCTCATCCTGGTAAGGCTCTGGAACCTAAGGCCTTGAAGGGAAAAGAATAGGGAGGCATGTCGTTAAAAATAGACTACTGGTAAAATTCACATATAGCAGTGATCATTTTTGTTTTTGTTTTGTTTTGAGACAGAGTCTCACTCCGTCACCCAGGCTGGAGTGCAGTGGCGCGATCTCGGCTCACTGCAAGCTCCGCCTCCTGGGTTCATGCCATTCTCCTGCCTCAGCCTCCCGAGTAGCTGGGACTACAGGCACCTGCCACCACGCCTGGCTAATTTTTTGTATTTTTAGTAGAGACGGGGTTTCACCGTGTTAGCCAGGATGATCTCGATCTCCTGACCTCGTGATCCACCCGCCTCGGCCTCCCAAAGTGCTGGGATTACAGGCGTGAGCCACAGCGCCCGGCAGCAGTGATTATTTTGAAGACATTAACATAAAAATTCATCTCATAAAACTAGACAATTTGGCCGGGTGTGGTGGCTCACGCCTGTAATACCAGCACTTTGGGAGACCAAGGCGGGTGGATCACCTGAGGTCAGGAGTTCAAGACCAGCCTGGCCAACATGGTGAAAGCCCATCTCTAGTAACAGTACAAAAATTAGCTGGGTGTGGTGGTGCATGCTTGTAGTGTCAGCTACTTGGGAGGCTGAGGCAGGAGAATCACTTGAACCCAGGAGGCGGAGGTTGCAGTGAGCTGAGAGAACACCACTGTACTCCAGCCTGGGCGACAGAGCGAGACTCTGTCTCAAAAAACAAATCAAACCAAACAAACAAACGAAAAAAAACTAGACAATTCAAAAATAGTTTTTGACCTACAGGGATGTGAGTGGGCCATTCGCACCCCATGAAGGTGGCAGGTGTCCTCTCTGTGCTAATGGCTGACCTCCTGGAACATCTTAGGAAAAGTCCTGTTCTCTTTCAGGACTTCAGATGTGAGCACTCCCAGCCCAGCCAGCTCCACCTCCCAGCTGCCGGGCCCTTCTCTGAGTTTGCCGGGAGGCCGGGAGCACATCCTTTTCTAAGCCACTCTTTGTGGCCTTTCTGTGGATCACTGACCTTAATTTGGATTCTGAGCCGAGCCTGGGGTCCCCAGGGAAGTGTAAAGGCTGCCACCGAAGAAGGGGTTGCATGAGAACTCCTTCAGACCAGCCCTGCCCCCCAGGCTCAATTTAGGAACATGAATAGGGTGGTCTTATTTTCGGACTCTGGCTTCTCCACACACATTTCCCAAAGGCTTGCTTTTTTAGACAATGTCCCTCTGTCCCCATTCACCTCGTTTTCCTTCCTGGCCCCAGCCATCAGCAGTGGCTACTGTTAATAGTTCCCATTTGTAAGAGGACTTGCTCCATGTCAAACATGCTACTTATGTAATTTAGTTTAGTCCTTATACTGACCCTAGGAGCCAGCGATTATTGTCTTTTTGGATGTGGGAACTGAGGCTGAGGGTTAAGTAACCTGGCCAAGTAACACACCCACTCACTTGGTGAGGTGTTTATTTGGTTTTGGTTTTAACCTTTTACTGTGAAAAATGTCAAACATCTACAAAAGTAGAGAGGTTAGTATAGTAACTTCCCTTTGCTGTTATGGAGAAGCCCTGGCTCCAGTTCTTCTGTGGCATACAGCAGACACCTTTGGGTGAATTAGAAGAAGGTGCTCTTCCTGTAGGTCACACAGCTTGGTAGGCAGAGTGTAGGCTGGATTTGAGCTCCATTTGCCCCTTTGGATGGGCACGTTGTAGTGAACAGCCTGCATAACTGTATATGGCAACCCTGTCTACCTAACTTTTATCTAGCTTTTGGCATAAAGAAAGGAGACTATACCCAGACACCAGTTCCTGACAGAATAATGACTTCTCTGCTCAGTCCTCTGCTATGTGGGATAGGGGGAGAAAAGCTCAGTCATGGGGGACTTTTCCAGTTAAAATGAAACAGGGAGATGATTCCCAGAGGAGACATTTCGGCTGCAGAGGAGGGTGGGGAAGATGAGTGGTGTCTTTTGCGGCTTCTGTTTTCCATCAGCCACCTGCTCTCTTGATGACTCCTCCTTGATGCCTTCTCCCATGTGTCTGCGCCCAGAGCAAGGGAAGCACTTGTCTACAGCCACACGGCTGGCAGGAGTAGAGTTGGTAGAGCCTTGGGTGTGAAAGCCTGGTGTGAACTCACTCTTGGCTGCCACCCTCCTGGAGTCACTAGGACAAGCTGTCTTTGCCTCCTGGCAGCTTAGCTTCTCTGGGGCTCAGGTTAGCCAGGGGCTGCGTGGGAGTTCTGCTTTGCACCTGTAGAACTGTTTCTTTTAGTCCCAAGTGGGGCTTATGAGTCACCAGATAGGGTGCTTCCTAAGGGTAGTTATTGTATTTTTTTAAAAACTACTGTGCCCTTGATTATACCCATGACAGCACCTGGCACTGTTGCTCCAGAAATATTTGTTAAACAGATGAATGTTAAACAAATGAATGCAGCATCCTGCTGAAGGGCCCAGGCTGAAAAATTCCTGTGCTTTAGTCAGGAGAGGCTGGATTATGCTGCAGGAATAATCAAATCCTGACATCCCAGGGGCTTGACACCATCTAGGTTTATTTTTTGCTCGTGGAAAGTCTTGTAGGTCAGGCAGTGCACCTCCATCTGTAGCCACATCATCTGGAATATAGGGCCTTCAAGGTTACTGCGGGAGGGGAGGAGAGAGATGGAGGAAACTGACACCTGTTACTTCCATTCACATTGTCCAGAGCTGGTCACATGGGGCCGACCTCACTGCAAGGAAGGCTGGCAAATGTAGAGGAGAGAAGAGCTGTCTTTGCCGATCTAAAGGAGAGGATTTTGAATTTCTTGTTTCCAGCTTCAGTCCATTGGAGTGCCTCTGGCTGAATCGCTTACTGTGCCACCATTTTTTTTTTTTTTTTTAAACACTGACAGAAATGGAATACCTGCCACTTCCTTTAATCCAGGGAAGGAGGCATGGGATGGCACTGAAGAAGAGTCACATGGCAGGGTTTTTAACGGCTCCTTTATTACATGTTGACTATATGATGTTGATTTAGTCACCTCTAGAGCCTCTTTCCTCATCTGTACAGGGAGGATAGTGATGCCAGCTTGTCTCTCAGTTCAGACTCTACTGAAGGCAAGTAACAGAAACCAGCTCGAGCTATTTGAAGCCATAGGGGAATTGAAGACTCAAAGGAGGAAGTGCCTGGTCTCCCAAGTGCCGGGGGTGTGTGGGGGTGTGGTGGGGGTGGCTGACGCAGCTGTTCTCAGTGAGTCTGCATGGTGCACCTGCAGGACGCCGCTGCTGCTGTGGATGTGCACCAGGTGGTATGGCCCCTCAGCTCCCAAATACACCCGTCCACTTTCCAGTAACCCTTAGTTACTGAATGGTGTCTGAGCCTTGATGTGAACTCCTGAGGAGAGAGTCTGATGGGCTTGTGTGGATCAGCTGTCTACCACTGGGCCAGTCAGCTGGGGCCAGGAGGGCATGATCACGCAGCACCAGGGGGTAGGAGCTTTCCCCTGTGAATGGGAGTAGAGGCGGTCCTCACAGGAGGGATATGAGCTGGCCAGACACGTCCAGAAGCTGTTCAGGTCAGGCGAAATGGTTCACGCCTGTAATGTCAGCACTCTGGGGGGCCAAGGTGGGAGGATCACTTGAGGTCAGGAGTTCGAGACCAGCCTGGGCAACATAGTGAGACCCTCTCCCCCCACCCACATCTCTACACATAATTTGAAAAATTAGCTGGGCGTGGTGATGTGTGCCTGTAGTCCCAGCTACTTGGGAGGCTGAGGTGGGAGGATCACCTGAGCCCAGGAGTTCAAGGCTGCGGTGAGCCGGGATTGTTCCACTGCACTCCAGTCTTCACCCAGACTGAGATCTCGTCTCAAAAAAATAAAAAGCTAGACCGGGCATGGTGGCTCATGCCTGCAATCCCAGCACTTTGGGGGGCCAAGGCAGGCAGATCACTTGAGGTCAGGAGTTCAAGATCAGCCTGGCCAACAAGGTGAAAGCCCGTCTCTACTAAAATACAAAAATTAGCCAGGCATGGTGTCACACTCCTGTAGTCCCAGCTACTCTGGAGGCTGAGGCAGGAGAATCGCTTGAACCCAGAAGGTGGAGGTTGCAGTGAGCCAGGATCATGCCATTGCACTCCTGCTTGGGTGACAGAGTGAGACTCCTTTTCAAAAAAAAAAAAAAAAAAAAAAAAAGGCTGGGCACGGTGGCTCGTGCCTGTAATCCCAGCATTTTGGAGGCTGAGGCAGGCAGATCACCTGAGGTCAGAAGTTCGAGACCAGCCTGACCAACATGGAAAAACCCCATCTCTACCAAAAATATAAAATTAGCCGGGCGTGGTGGCACATGCCTGTAATCCCAGCTACTCAGGAGGCTGAGGCAGGAGAATCGCTCGAACCCGGGAGGCAGAGGTTGCGCTGAGCTGAGATAGCGCCACTGCACTCCAGCCTGTGCAACAAGAGCAAAACTCTGTCTTAAAAATAAATAAATAAATAAATAATAAATAAATAAAATTTAAAAATAAAATAAAAAGCTGTTGTCCATGTTTAGCTGGTTCAGGGTTGCTGAGCTGGCTGGGTAATGTCTGTAAGAACACTGAGAACTATCAGGTATTGCATATGTGTGCTCTGGTATGGTGCTGCCAGCTCTCTCATTAGGAATCATGGAGATTGTACTGCCCTAAAGGGGCATGGGAAGGATTATAACGCTGTGAGGGAGAATTTAAAAGTCTTGGTGGAGGCAGGCGAGCTGTTTGTTGGAAGGCCATGGAGCAGGGATGGGAGGGAGTAGTCAGGGCCGGGGCCAGCACAGGGCATTGCTGGGGTTAAGCTAGGTTTATAGGGCGTTAGGCCATGACATCATAAACCAGAGAGTAAACGTGTATTTATCACCTGCGTAAATACAGATGCTTCTACACTTGAAACTGTGTAATGGAGAAAGGATGTTAGGCCGGATATGGCACTTTGGTCCCTAGACCAAAGTCCTTGTCCCTAGACTGTCTCAACTGGCTGTGTGCCTGTGACTCTGGGCTTGAGGATCCTGTGTGTGCAGCCTGTGTCCATATAGCATGGGAGTTAAGGCCTGAAGACTGGGATTAGGCAGCTGGCTTTGAGTCTTGTTCTTCACTCTCTGTGTGACTTAGGCAGATTATAACAAATTTTTTATTACAATTATTTTATTTTATTTTTTGGCTTCTCATGCTTATTTCCTACCTAGGCAGAATTTTAGATTTATTTTTTAGTTTTTCTTGAGACTAGGTCTCTCTCTGTCGTCCCAGCTGGAGTGCAGTAGCACCATCACAGCTCACTGCAGCCTGGATCCCCTGGGCTCAAGGGGTTTTCCCACCTCAGCTTCCCTGAGTAGCTGGGACTACAGGCACTCACCACCATGCCTGACTAATTTTAAAAATTATTTGTAGAGATAGGGTCTTGCTATGTTGCCCAGGCTGGTGATCCTACCAATCTCCTAAAGTGTTGAGATTATAGGCAGGAGCCACTGTGCCCAGCCTCTAGGCAGATTTTTTTCTTTTTCTGTTTTTTTTTTTTTGAGACAGGGTCTCACTTTGTCACCCAGGCTGGAGTGCAGTGGCACAGTCTCGGCTTACTGCAACCTAGACCTCCCAGGTTCAAGCATCCTCCTGCCTCAGCCTCCTGAGTAGCTGGGACTACCGGTGCATGCTGCCACATCTCACTAATTTTTGTATTTTTTGTAGAGATGAGATTTCACCATGTTTCCCAGGCTGGTCTTGAACCCCTGGGCTCAAGTGATCCTCCCAACTCGGCTTCCCAAAGTGTTGGGATGACAGGTGTGAGCCACCACGCCAGGCCTCTGGGCAGATTTCTAAACCTCCCTGAGTTTTAGTTTCCTCATTTGTGAAATGAGGATATCCATAGTACCTGCTTTGTGTGGTTACTGTGAGGATCACATGAAATGAATGTGCAATCAAATGTTAACTAATATTATTAATAGAAGCTGAGGCCAGGCTGATTCCAGGGAACCATGGCAGGGTGCCCAGGCCCTTTAAGAGTAAGAATGAGGGCTGGGTGCGGTGGCTCACACCTGTAATCCCAGCACTTTGGGAGGCCGAGGTGGGCAGATCACGAGGTCAAAAGATGGAGACCATCCTGGCCAACATGGTGAAACCCTGTCTCTACTAAAAATACAAAAATTAGCTTGACGTGGTGGTGTATGCCTGTAGTTCCAGCTACTTGGGAGGCTGAGGCAGGAGAATCGCTTGAACCCAGGAGGCGGAGGTTGCAGTGAGCCGAGATCACGCCACTGTACTCCAGCGTGGTGATACAGCGAGACACCGTTTCAAAAAAAAAAAAAGTGTGAATGAACGTGGAGGGCTGTATGGGGGCGGGATGGGCTGGGGGTGCAGGAAGAAGCCCTGAGAAAGGATAGATAGGAGGCTAGAGGAGCAGTGCGCAGGAGAGTGGAGCTGCTGACAGAGGTGGATCTGAGCCTCACCCGGGTTGCGGCTCAGGTCTTTCTATTAATCCAGTTCTGCCAGCACAGTAGTGCCATGCTCTGTGGAAACAGCCCTGGAGCCAGCACTGCCTCCTCTCCTCCCGCTGCCCATCTGCATCCCAGCCACTGTCCCTGAGGCCTCAAGATGTGTTGAACCTTAGGGATGAGTCTGCAGAATCCTAGAAGTTGGGTGCCTCCTTCCCTGCCATCCTGGGCTGGGGGCTTGAGAGGCACCTGGTTGTGAGGGCTGGGATTAGAGTGCTTCCATTGCGAAACTGTGGAGCCTGGAGAGTTAAAAAATAAATGAAGAAGCTCTGACCACAGAGCAATTGGAGGGCTGAATTATTTAGAGCCTCTGCTCCCTCTGGCTTCTCCTGGGGAAGGGCCAAAGGAGGAATGTGGAGCCAGGGAGGGCTGAGCTTCCCTGGCCAGGCTTGTGCACTCAGGGGCCCTGGGAGTCCACACTGTCCTGCCATGTCCTCAGCCGCTTTTGTCCTTGGGTCACAAGGCCTCTGTGGTTTCCCGCAGCCCACAGGGCCTGACAGATTCAGGTTGAGGCTGAGAGGAGAGACCCTCCCTTTCCTCTTTGCCCCACTCCTGGTCTGGCCTCCCCTGATGCTGCTTGGCTCCAGGACATAGCGATAATGAATGACATAAATAAGTCATTCTCATTAGCAGCGGGTGGGTCACTGGCCCAGGAGACAGGACAGCAACAGCGGAGGTGGGTGTGGACAGGGCTGGTCAAGTCCCCTGGTCTTTCTCTCAGGAGCCCCAGAGGGAGGCTTAATCCTCTTTCAGTCTCTCCAGGATTATGTTTTCAGCTTGGGGGACTTGATGAAAATCCATGCTTCCAGCAGTCAAGGGGGCCCAGGAGAGGGGTGCCAGTAGGGTCCCCTAGGAAGGAATTGGGGTGGGACGGCCAGGCGCTGAGGCTGCTCCAGGCGGGCCTGGCCCGCCAAGGTGGACCGTGGCCATGGCAACCCCTGGCTGCACCCGGGGTAAACACAGGCTTTCAAAGGGGGCCTTGTTTTGTTCCCTGTGGAAGCCTTTCAGTTCCAGCCTGCTGGGGCTTTTCAAACCTCGGGAGGAAAGGGAGGGCAGCGGGGATGGGGCGGGCCTGGCTATGAGGAAATGTCACTCCTGGACCCCCTTCACCCCGGCCCCAGGCATATTTCCTGGAGGCCCCAGTTTCTAAAGCTCCTGCTTCTGGAGAATGAAAAGAAGAGTAAGCACCAGGAATGTGTCCAGTCTCTAGGCAACAGGGTGTGTGTGTGTGTGTTTGTGTGTGTGTGTGTGTGTGTGTGTGTCTAATGGAAGGGAGGGAAGCTTAAAAAAAAAAATCACTGTCACGCTGGTCACTCAGGATGGAAGCCTTCACTGCTCTACACTGATTTCAGCAAGCCAGCCAGGGCTGCCTGAAGCAGGTCTTTAAGGATTGCTCATCCTGTTGTCATGGAATATCAAATAAGTAAAATCTCAGAGAAAACACTAAACCATTCATTAAATGTAAGGTAAACACATTGGCAGTTTGCATTCTTGTGTATTAGTCAGTGAGTTTTAGTAAGAAAGCTGATTGCGGGCACTTGAATAGCCTTTGCTGTCTTGGGGAGCTTGGTCCCTGGATTCTATCCCCATCATTTTGTCTGTGAGCTTAACCCAAGTATAAAAATGGGGAACGGGCTGGGTGTGGTGGCTCATGCCTGTAATCCCAGCACTTTGGGAGGCTGAGGCAGGTGGATCACCTGAGCTCAGGAGTTCGAGACCAGCCTGAGCAACATGGCGAAACCCTGTCTCTATTAAAAATACAAAAATTAGCTGGGCATGGTGGGGCATGCCTGTAATCCCAGCTACTCGGGAGGCTGAGGCATGAGAATTGTTTGAATCTGGGAGGTAGAGGCTGCAGTGAGCCGAAATCACGCCACTGCATGCCAGCCTGGGCAACAGAGTGAGATTCTGTCTCAAAAAAACAATCGGGAAGGATGGCATGTCTGCCCCTCTAAGTATTCTCTATGTATCTGTTAAGGAATGAGTAGATAGCAAATGCACTTCCACTTCTTAAAAAAGATAGGGGTTCATATCCAAATATTGTCTTTCTTTCCTTTTTTTTTTTTTTTTTTTTTTTTTTTAGAGAGACAGGGTCTTGCTATATTGCCTAGGCTGGAGTACAGTGTCACAGTAATGGCTCACTATAACCTGGAATTTGTGGGCTCAAGCTATACCCCTGCCTCAGCCTCCCAAGTAGCTGAGACTACAGGTGTGCACCACCATGTCCGGCTATTTTTATTTTTATTTTTGAGACGGAGTCTTGCTCTGTTTCCCAGGCTGGAGTGCAGTGGTGTGATCTTGGCTCACTGCAACCTCCGACTCCTGGGTTCAAGCAATTCTCCTGCCTCAGCCTCCCGAGTAGCTGGGACTATAGGCACGTGTCACCACGCCTGGCTAATTTTTGTATTTTTAGTAGAGACGGGCTTTCACCATACTAGCCAGGCTGGTCTTGAATTCCTGACCTCATGATCCTCCTGCCTTGGCCTCCCAAAGTGTTGGGATTAGAGGTGTGAGCCACCGCACCTGGCCTTTATTTTTATATTGTAGAGAAGAGGTCTCACTATGTTGCCCAGCCCAGGCTGGTCTCAAACTCCTGGGCTCAAGCAGTCCTCCCACCTTGGCTTTAAATATTCTTTCTTGACACTGCATTCCTCTTTGCCTTGTCTGAAGAGGTGGTGAGCAGGATGGGGAGGGGAGCAGGAGGCAGATATGACTGCATCTGTTAACATTGGGCTGGCCTCTCTCAGCCAGGTCCCCAGATGCTCCTGGGGAGTCTTGAAGGAGGTGTAGGGAGAAAGATCCCAGCCCATAAGTCGGGCTCCAAATAGAGGTGTTCTGGGCCTGTGTTCATTTGTTCTCGAGTCACTGTCGGCCTGGGGAATGCAGCATCCGATCTGGTAGACTAGAGTTTACTGCTGAAGACCCCAGCTTCATGCCTTCCAGTCTGGCCGGGAGAGGTGGGGCTGAGGAAGTATGAGTATACCTAGCCCTGCATCCCTGCAACTCAGCAAGCTTTCCCCACAGCTGGCAGAGAGCAGTCTCGTTCCAAGGCTAGATCAGGTGGCTGGGTCCTCCTGGATTCCCATCTCTTCTGTCCCTTCCTCCCTTTGCAAATTCTCCCTTGTCATATGCTGTTGAACTGGGGGAGATGAAAGTGGCTTCTTCATCTGAAATTGGGGTGGAGGGGGGCTCATGAACTTGCCCAGCTTTTTTGATTAGTATAAAATAAGAGGCACTGCATACAGCTTTGTGGAGACAGGGAAAAAGAAGATATGGTTCCTGCTTCTGGAGAGATTTGGTCTAATGGAGGAACCGACCAACACGTTAGAACATCAAGGCTATATAAAGTTACAGACATTGTTGTTTACTTGTAGAATCTTAGACTGGCTAAGAGATCCAAAATGTCCAGAGCAGCTCTGTTCAGTGGTTCTCCCCCCTTGCTGCCCGTGAGGCTGTCTGATTCTGCTAGTGCTGGGTGGGGCCCAGGCAGGGGTAAATTTTATACATTGCCCAGGTGTTTCTATTGGGCAGCCAGGGTTGAGAACCATCTATCTAGTGCAGTGGTTCACAAGTGGGGATCATCTGGCCCCCCAGGAGACATTGGCAGTGTTACAACTGGGGGTGATGTTGCTACTGGCATTTGTGGGTAGAGGCCAGGGATGCTGCTCAACATCTTCCAATATACAGGACAGCCCCTTACTCTCTAGCCCAAATGTCAATAGTGCCTAAGGTTGAGAACCCTTGCTCTAGCGCCTGGACCAGACTTTTTTTTTTTTTTAAGACAGAGTTTTGCTCTTGTTGCCCAGGCCAGAGTGCAGTGGCACAATCTCGGCTCACTGCAACCTCTGCCTCCTGGGTTCAAGCAATTCTCCTGCCTCAGCCTCCCAAGTAGCTGGGATTACAGGAGCCTGCCACCACGCGCAGCTAATTTTTGTATTTTTAGTAGAGATGGGGTTTCACCATGTTGGCCAGGCTGATCTGGAACTCCTGACCTCAAATGATCCAACCACCTTGGCCCTCCAACAGACTTTTTTTTTTTTTTTTTTTTTTTTTTTTGAGACAGAGTCTTGCTCTGTCACCCAGGCTGGAGTGCAGTGGCGTGATCTCTGCTCACTGCAAGCTCTGCCTCCTGGGTTCACAACATTCTCCTGCCTCGGCCTCCCGAGTAACTGGGACTACAGCACCCGCTGCCATGCCCGGCTAATTTTTTTGTATTTTTAGTGGAGATGGGGTTTCACCATGTTAGCCAGGATGGTCTCGATCTCCTGACCTCGTGATTTGCCCATCTCGGCCTCCTGAAGTGCTGGGATTACAGGCGTGAGCCACCATGCCTGGCCTTTTTTTTTTTTTTTTTTTTTTGAGACACAGTGTCACTTTGTTGCCCAGGCTGGAGTGCTGTCGCGCGATCTCGGCTCACTGCAACCTCCACCTCCCGGGTTCAAGAGATTCTTGTGCCTCAGCCTTCCGAGTAGCTGGGATTACAGGCATGTACCACGACACCCAGCTATTTTGTGTGTGTGTGTGTGTTTTTAGTGGAGACGGGATTTCACCGTGTTGGCCAGGCTGGTTTCGAACTCCTAACCTCAGGCGATGTGCCTGCCTCAGCCTGCCAAAGTGCTGGGATTACAGGCATGAGCTACCACTCCCAGCCTAGAGATGCGTTTTAAGCAGAATTCTGAGAGAGGGAAGGACACATGTGGGTGAGAGGAGCAGGGTGGGGGCATCGTGTAGGGAAGCAGCACATGGCAGGGTTTGGAGGTGGGAGAATACGATTTGATTTTTGCAAAGGAGAAAGAGGCTCGTGGTTTCACGGGAGTCCTCTGCAATCCAGAGGAGGCTTTTCAGCCGGATCCTCCCTGGATTCGGGACTGTGTCTTATTGAGACACCTTTGGTTGGGACATGAAGTCCCTCTGACTGTGTTCCTTTGTGTGTTCCTAACCCTCAGGCCTTTCTTGGCCCTGTGTGAGTAAAGAGAAGGAGATCTGTCAGCCACCATCAACTTGAATACCCAGTCTCACCCTCGGACTGGCTTTCCCTGAGTCCATGCATATGTGAGAGCTTCTGCCCAGGAACTCTCTTTCCCCCCACTGCAGGAACAGCAGTGCCCTTTGACTTAGTTAATGCCCTCATGACCCCTTTTTTGCTTATTCCCCACTTCTTTAGAGGAGGGTAAGGAGAAGGCCCCAGCCTGTGCCTCTATGCCCACTTCCTGACAGTGCCCGGCATGTGGCAGTGGCTTCATCAGTGTTTTTGAATGAATGAGCGACTGCCCGGAATGAATGGGAGATCTGGGGTTTTTCCTGCGAATTGTACCTCTCCCTCTTTTTTTGTTTGTTTCTTTTTTCTTTCTTTCTTTTTTTTGAGACAGGATGTCACTTAGTCACCCAGGCTGGAGTGTGAACACAGCTCACTGCAGCCTCGACTTCCCAGGCTCAGATGATCCCACACTTCAGCCCCCAAGTAACTGAGATTATAGGTGTGTGCCACCACCTCCAGCTAATTTTTGTATTTTTTGTAGAGACCCTGTTTTGCCATGTTGCCCAGACTGGTCTCGAACTCCTGAGCTCGAGTAATCTGCCTGTCTCAGCTTCCTTAAGTGCTGGGATTACAGACAGGAGCCACCACACCCGGCCAGCTCCTTTAATAAGTCATTCAGTCCTTGTGCCAGAAATGGAACTAGGAGAGACTGAGGTTGGCACTAAGGAAGAAGGTCTTTAGTGTCCTTTAGTGTCAAGAATTTCCAGGGAGTAGAGCAGGTCATGAGAAGGTTACCTGCAGGAAATGGGGACCATTTCCCCTTTGGAGTTGGACTGTTTGTGGCTCTTTCTGGCTACAGGAGCGGTCACAGAGGGGTCATTTCTGCCCTCCTGTGTTGGCCACAGCACATCCCTTCCTCCCAGGCTTCCAGCTCTTAGATTTCTCAGCTTTCACGATAGATGTGGATATCTTCTTTTTAAGAAGTAGAAAGTGCTGTCCAAACACACGTGTGTAGTGATTCTCCCAGGCCATCACTGTTGGAGACCCAGCTTCAGTCTGGCTTGAGCAGAACCAAAGAAGTGGGCACAGTTTTCTCAAAATCCTCCCTCCTCTTGCTGTGGTTGTGGGTAGCGTTCCTCGCAATGTTTGCAAGTGCTTCTGAGCTGCTTTTCTCTGCCTTCTGTTAAACCCCTGGGACGGAGAGGGCTTTGGTTTCTGACTCAGGATAAAAGGGCCCCTGGGCATCCCAGACTCAGCCTGGAGTTGGGGAAAGGTGTTTGTAAGGGCTACCTTCTGGCCTCCTCACAGCCAGTGCTAACTGGTGAGCCTTTGCTGGAGTCCGACTTGTTTGCCAGGTGGAGTTCACAGCATCAGCCTCGTTGGCTCTGGTCTGCTTGTGCAGTTGGAGACTTGCTACCCAAAGTCAGGTCCCTAGACCAGCAGCGCTGACATCACCTGGTTAGAAATGGAGAATCACGGGCCCCACCTTGAACTTCCTGAATCTATCTACATTTTAACAAGGTCCCCAGTGGTTCGTGTGCACATTAAAGTCTGAGAAGTGGCCGGGCGCAGTGGCTCACGCCTGTAATCCCAGCACTTTGGGAGGCCGAGGCGGGTGGATCACCTGAGGGCAGGAGTTCGATACCAGCCCGACAAACATGGTGAAACCCTGTCTCTACTAAATACAAAAAAAATTTGCTGGGCGTGGTGGTGCCTGCCTGTAATCCCAGCTACTCGGGAGGCTGAGGCAGGAGAATTGCTTGAACCTGGGAGGCGGAGGTTGCAGTGAGCCAAGATCGCGCCACTGCACTCCAGCCTGGGCAACAAGAGCGAAACTCCGTCTCAAAAAAGAAAAAGAGAGAGAGAGACAGACTGAGAAGCGCTGTGCTAGAAGACTTTGGATGCTGCAGGGACAGCTGGGGACGTGCTGAACCTTGTTTGAGTGTCTTGTATGACCCGTCTTTGCAGTGCTTTAAAACAGTGCTTCTCAAAGTATCTGAGGTGAAGGACAATATGCTCTATTCCTTAGTTCAGGAACCGATGAGCATGACCAGTCTGAGCCAGTCTGAGAACATCCAGACTGGTCTATACCCTGTTCTAAGAGGGAAGTCCACAGATCACATGCTTGGATATTGTGCTAAGGTCAGATTGCTAGAAACATTTTAAAATCCTTCCTTCCTTTCTTTTTCTCTACTTATTTGGTAAGGACCCACAACTAACAGTTTGTAGGTGGTCTGTGGACATACTTTTAGTGGCCCTGGTCTAGAGCCCTGTCTTTGGGGTCAGATAGATCCAGGTTTGAATCCTGGCACTGTCACTGACTTGCGGTGTGTTCTTGGGCGGCTGTTTAACCTCTCTGGGGCTTAATTTTGTCATCTCTAAATTGGAGATGATAATGCCCCTGCCTCATAGGGCAGGGGTGAGGATTAAATGAGATAAGTTTGGGTAAAGCTTATCGTTAAGAGCCCAGCACACAGAATTTGGGCTTGATAATATTGGGTGTCAAATGTTGGCAGCAGCATCATTGTCATTGTTTGCTGTCTTGGAGCATCTGGAAATGAGGACAATGGCCTCAGTTAAGGAACACCCTTGTTTTTAGACAGACGGTGGCCTTTAAAACTGTGGCAAATTAGTATGGAATGGAAACTTTTTTTCCCCGCCTGCTAATTTCTGATAGTTTGGGGCTGCCGTAATGAATTATTTTTCTCAGTGTGGATCCAAGTAAAACCCAGGATCAGAATTGGGACAATGTTGGAACTTGTTTTTAAGTGATGGAAAGAAGTAATAAACACAGAGTAGGAAATCCTTTAATCCCACAGGACCTGACTCTTAACCCTTTCCCTCCCGCCCCCCACCCCGAGTTTATATCCTGGATACTGTCTCCCAGGCAGGCTGGGTGGACTTTCAGTGCCAGGTACCTCTAATTCTCGAATGCCAGTATATTCTCCCTTTCTGGAGAAACTCAAGTTGCCCTCTTCGCTATTTCTTGATAGCAAAGAGGTTGCGTGAAAACGTAGAGGACTCAAATCGGAAGATCTGTGTTCTAGAATGTACTTCACAAGGCATCGGAGGGTTGTTACCTTATTAGCCCTAGGTTCTTTTTTTTTTTTTTTTTTGAGACAGAGTCTCACTCTGTCGCCCAGGCTGGAGTGCAGTGGCGATCTCAGCTCACTGTAAGCGCCACCTTCTGGGTTCACGCCATTCTCCTGCCTCAGCCTCCCGAGTAGCTGGGACTACAGGCACCCGCCACCACGCCTGGCTAATTTTTTGTATTTTTAGTAGAGATGGGGTTTCACCGTGTTAGCCAGGATGGTCTCGATCTCCTGACCTGGTGATCCGCCCACCTCGGCCTCCCAAAGTGCTGGGATTATAGGCGTGAGCCACCACGCCCATCGGCCCTAGGTTCTTAAGCTTTTTTCCGGTCCCAGATCCTGTGGATAATCTAAAGAGAACTTTGACACCCCTCCCAAAAAGCATAGGCACACACAAACACATTAAATTGCATTCGATTTTTGGGACGAGGGGTTCCATAGACCTCACAGAAATCTCACAGAGCCTTCGCTAAGAACCTTGTGCCAGGCTGTAAGCTTCACAAGGCGTGTTTCCACTGCCCAGTGACTACCTGAGTGCCCTGTGGCATAGACTAGGGGTTAAATACACAGGCTTTGGAGTCAGGGTGCCAGGGTTTGAATCCTTCCTCTGCTACTTGTGGGCTTGTTAACCTTGGGTACAGCTATTTAGTCTCTCTAAGCCTCAGTTTCCCCATCTATAAAGTGGAGGAAAGAACAGTACCGACCTTACAGGGTAGTTGTGAAGTTAGATGGGATAATATTTTTAAAGCTTACATTGCATGAATTGTTTTGCCTACAGAATGTCCATTGCCATCCAGAGGAATCTCATGTTGGTAGCAAGAACTTGCACTGTCTTTGTTGCAGAGCAACAGGTTATTGGGCTGTGGGTTAATGTGAGGCTTTCTTTGGATGAGTGGGGTTGGGGGGCAGATCCCCTGACATACCTCTTGGAAATTTGAGGGGTTGGGAGCTTTGGAGCAGGGCTCCTAGAAGCCTGCTAAACCCAGCTGCTCCTATTCAGTAATTTCCATGTGCTGTTGTTGATTTTGGCTTCAGGCATGGAGAGCCCTGCCTTGGGAGCTTCCTTGAAACTGGATGCCCCAACCCAGAGGGTGTGGGCAGGAGGGAAGCCTCAATGAACACTGGAGAAGCAGACTTTTTTTTCTCTCTCTAACTCTGGCTTTTTTTTTTTTTTCTTTCTCCCTAGGCTTTCTGCAGCAGCCCCAGCAATTACCAGGAGTGTTAACTGGGGTCAGGGCAATGGCAGGGCTTCTGGAGACTCCCGGGGGGAGTGGGGAGGAGGAGGAAGTGCCTCTCAGGCACCCTGGAATGAGGGCTTCACCTCCTGCTGCCCAGGCCCGCCTGCCCCTGGATGCCCTTTTAAGTGAGCTGCCCAGAAACCCATTGGCACCCTCCATAACAGCCCCACTCTCTGTCCCAGCCGCTCGGTGAGAATGGCAGGGAGTTAAAGGATTCTAAACATTGGCCCCCACTGAGCCCTTAATTACATTAACACACAAAGCAGCAGGGCCGGCCATCCCTACAAACAATTGCCGGCCTGTTTCCCCCAGCTGCGCCTCCCTTTCATCTGGGCCTCTTTCTCAGAGATGCTGGGTTCCAACCTCCCTACGTTTCCTCCTGTTTCATTGGTTTTGTCTCTTCCTTTCCCTGTCTGAGTCATTCCTTTCCCGCTTTGGTCCAAGAGGCCCGGTGTGGCACCAGCCGCTGAGCCCCATTTCCTATGTTCCAGAAGCAGCCCCATAACTCTGTTTTATGGTGGATACATGAGTGGTTTGAAAAGAAAAACGATGTGGTTATATTTTTGCCTCTAATTTGCATATTGTCCTGAAAGAGAAGCAAAATGCCTTCACTTTATAATGACTTCCCGTGCATCTTAACCACACTTTCCATTTGTTTAGAATTTGACAGCTTTAAATTTATTTTTTATTTTAAAATTTGTAAATAGAGACAGGGTCTTGCTATGTTGTCCAGGCTGGTCTTGAACTCTTGGCCTCAAGTGATCCACTCACCTCAGCCTCCCAAATTGCTGGCATTACACAGGTGTGAGCCACTGCACCCGGCCAGAATTTGGTTGTTTTTAGAAGTCCCATCCCATACATTTCTCACCGATCTGTAAATGTTTTGATGTAGTATCTAGGATGGGAATCACACCTATTTCAGGGGGTGAAGGGGCTTGAATGGGGACAAGATCCGGCTAGTCTGACTGCTAGGCCAATGCTCTTTCCTCCTGCCCACCTTTTTGGCTTGGTGTGGGCCTTTTTCGGTCCTCTCCAGTGTCTCAGCAAAATGCCAGCAGCAGGAGGCCATGCAGAGGCACCTTTGGTGATGGTGAACTTGAGCTCCTTGCTATGAGTGGCAGGTGAGGGACCCCTGGAGAACTGGCATTTCTCACCTCTGCACTTGACTCTGCCCCTCTCGCAACTTTGAGGGATGAATACGTCACTTTTTCCATTCCAGTATTGGTGGGTCTCTAACATTTCCAGAGAAGGAAGTTCTCTAGTTATCCCCATGTTCCAGGGTCTCCTGGCACAGGGCCCCTGACCCTAGGATGAGGACTTCCCAGTAAGCTGGGCTTGGGGCCTCCCCACCCAGCTTGGGGAGCCATCAGGCCTGCAGCCCCAGCCAGACCACCCTTGCCACCTCTGGGCCAACCACAGGTGGCAGAGGACAGGCGGTCAGGTGAACGCTGAGCTCGAGAGCATCTTTGCTGGCAGTACCAGGCCTGGGTAAGGGAGGACGGCCCTGTAATTAGTGTTCTTTTAGAGACAGCTGCTGTGGCTCCTTCTCTTTTGACCCTCTTCCTCCTTCACATTTGCACATGGCTTAGGGACCTGCCATTCTCCCTCATTCAGGCAGGCATTCCCAGGAGGCTCCTGTGCCCCAGATGGTGAAGCTTATCTCTTTTATATCCTCATGCTTGGGGGTGGCGGCACTGGCAGGGATCTTCGTCTGCTGGGGGTCTCTCAGGGACACTGGACCCTGCAGCGGCAGCTGTCTTCTGTCTCTTTGCCTGGGGCAGAGCACCTGAGCAGGCTGTGTTTCACTGCAGTGTCTTTGCCAAACTTCTTTAGAGCACTCTAAGGGCTAATGGGCTTTTGGTTATGTTCCCTGGAGAACTTCTGCCCCTTGGGAAGGGTACCGCACTGGCTTGCTTGTTTAGGTGTGACCACAGCAGAGCCCGAGGGCCTCTAGATTACAGCTGTGCCTGTCCCATCTCATTGCTCGGGGCTGCCTGGAGGGGTTTATTCCATCCCAGCAGCTCTTCATCCTGACTTCTCAGTCACACGGATTTTAGTCAGAATGTGTTCCCCTTGCCCCCTGGGTAGTTTACATGCTCGTTAAAGAAAAACTGGAAAATGTTTAATTTCCAGTAAAATTGATCATTCTGATAATTTCAGTACTACGGCTGAAAACATTTGGTTATATTTCCCTCTGTTCTTTTTTTTTTTTTTAATGTGCACAAGTTTTAAAAACTAGTTGTGATCTTACTGATTTACATACCTTTGAATCTAGCTTTTTGGTGTAACACTACATAATGAGAATTTTTAATGGAACGGTGTGGTTTTAAACACTCTTTTAAGTGGCTGTACAGTGTTTCATCCTGTGGCTCTGCTATGCTGACTATTGTTGACACCCCCTCCCCTCCAAACTCATCTTTATTTTAAGCCTCAGAACTTTATGGAGCGTGAAAGTCAGGAGCCATTTGTTTGGGTTCTCTTGGTGTAATATTAATCCAGAGTTGGGGCCTCTGCCAAGGACCCTTCTTGCCAAACTGCTAGCAGGAGGGACCTGGCTGTGGTACAGGCCTGGGGCCTTGATGGGACAGCGGCTTCTAGCATGGCCTCTTCAGCCCTTGGCTCCATAGAAGTGGGACACTCATTTGAGCGCCCTTTGACAGCTTCAGGAAGCTTCCTGTGGCTTATACAGGGGTGGGGTGATGGGACCCAGGCTCAGATTGGCTCTCGGTGCCCATCAGTGCATCGATAGAGTCTCATTCCCTGGGCCTGGGGCTGGGTGCCTTGCTTAGCCACGCAACACACGGGATAGACACCACTTCCAGTTCTATTGATTTACACACTTTTCCCTTTCTTCTCTGCCCCAAATGAAAGGGTAAAATGAGTCGCAGAGATTAAGAGTTTTGAGCAGCAACGTAAAGAAGCCGGAAGAGGCCCGGCGCGGTGGCTCACGCCTATAATCCCAGCACTTTGGGAGGCCGAGGCGGGCAGATCACGAGGTCAAGAGATCAAGACCATCCTGGCCAACATGGTGAAACCCTGTCTCTACTAAAAATACAAAAATTAGCTGGGCATGGTGGCGTCCGCCCGTAGTCCCAGCTACTTGGGAGGCTGAGGCATAAAAATCGCTTGAACCTGGGAGGCGGAGGTTGCAGTGAGCTGAGATCGTGCCACTGCACTCCAGCCTGGCAACAGAGTGAGACGCTGTCTCAAAAAAAAAAAATGCAGGAAGAATCGGAGCACAGTGGTGTGTGCCTGTAGAACCAGATACTTGGGAGGCTGAGGCAGGAGGATTGATTGAGCCCAGGAGCCCAGCCTGGGCAATATAACAAGACCTCATCTCAAAAAAAAAAGTAGAAGTAGGAAGTATTGGACAGGCTTTAGTTACATTTCTGGCTCTGTCCTGTGTAAGTTCCATTGTTACTTATCCATCGAGCCTGTTTCCTCATGTGTACAATAAAGATGATGATGCCCGCCTTGCAAAGTTGATGTGATGTTCAAATGAAAATATTTATGTAACATTGCCTGGCACATAGTAGGTGTCCAGTCAGTATTGTTTTGTTGATGTTCAGGGTCACAAAATGCACCAACCTCAAAGCCAGAAGGGCCTGCCACCCAGCGCCCCACCAGCTCTCGTTTCACAGGAGCCCATCAACTGTGCCTTTACTTTGCCAGCTCCTGGTGGGAAGCTTTCCTGGTTGGCTGATCAGAGAAGTCTGGTTGACCAGAGTTGCCATTGTTTCAGCTCCTTCTGGCTGGGACATCCAGCCAAGGCAGGCCATGCTGTCCTATACCCTGCTTATCTGAGTGAAAGTGACCAGGGCCCTTGCCTTCTGACTCTCCCTTGGATGATCTTGAGACGGCAGCTCTACGTGAAAGCAGGGTGTGGCACCATGGTTAATTTGCTAGTGCATCTTTGTGGCCACACTTGTCTGCAGCTCTTGGTAGAACCCAAAAAGCCAACAGGAAGCCAAAGAGAGAGAGAGTCACCTGAGGACAAGCTTTGGTTCTGAGTCTTCATGCCCTAATCTGAGGTCATATAGTTGACTGTCTGCTTCCAGGAGGCAGTGCACTCTAGCCTGGCTGGACAGAGATTCATGTAACCTTTCCAGCCATCTGCCCAACACCTTGAGTTTTGGGTGCCATGGACCAGTGGCATTGGCATCACCTGGGAGCTAGTTGGAAATTGTAAACAAAAAATAAAATTCACAGCCAGATGCAGAGGCTCATGCCTGTAATCCTAGCACTTTGGGAGGCCGAGGTGGATGGATTGCTTGAGCTCAGGAGCTTGAGACCAGCCTGGGCAATGTGGCAAGGCCCGTCTCTATAAAAAATCAAAAAATGAGGTGGGAAAATCGCTTGAGCCCTGGAGGTCAAGGCTGCAGTGAGCCATGTTCATGCCACTGTACTGCAGCCTGGGCAACAGAGCAAGACCCTATTTAAAAAAAAAAAAAAAGAGAGAGGGAGAAATTCCCTGGGTGATTCTAATGTGCAGCTGGATTGCAGAACTGATTTAGACCCCTGTCTTTGGGATGGATGGTCTGGAATGACAGCGATCATGATGGTAATAGTTGCTGTTTATTGAGCTCCTGCTATGTAGGAAGAGCTTTATCCTTATTTGTAATCTTCCTTTTAAACTGAAAGGTGGTAGCACTCTTCCTGTCTTTCATATGAGAAAAATGGAGGCTCAGAGAGGTGAATCCAGTCACCTAAGGCCACTTAAATAGTGAATCTGGAATTGTCTGCCCCGAGGCTTCTTTTGCCATTACTTTACTGTAATGAAAGCTCATACTGGTTTAGACAGGTCTGGTTCTCCATGGAAAATCTGGCTGAGGATTCTCTTCTCGGTCAGTTTCAATGATACTTTCAGAGTATGTGGTTTTAGGATTGTTCTGTTTGAAGAAAAGCACAGAAACTTTTAATCCCCAGATTCATGTCTCCTAGAATGAACAGAGGGGGGAGGTCAGTGACAGACAAGTTGCAAATGAGTGGTGGACAAGTCTTGAGGAAAGGAGGTTATTTCCAAAGGTCATAGAGGAAACAGGGTAAAGAAGCCTGGACTTTTGGGCCAGAGAACCCCACCCAACTGTGTTTGTTTTAAGCCGGCTATATGAGTTTGAGCAAGTCACTTTATCCCTCCATATCCAAACTCCACACCCTCCAGATGAGCCAGGGGTAACATTTGCTGCTTTTTCTGCAGATCTGATCTCTTTTTGTTTTTTTGAGACAGAGTCTGTCTCTATTGCCCAGGCTGGAGTGCAGTGGCGTGATCTTGGCTCACTGCAACCTCCACCTCCTGGGTTCAAGTGATTCTCCTGTCTCAGCCTCCTGAATAGCTGGAACTACAGGCACGTGCCACCATGCCTGGCTAATTTTTGTATCTTTAGTAGAGACAGGGTTTCACCATGTTGGCCAGGCTGGTTTTGAACTCCTAACCTCAAGTGATACGCCCATCTTGGCCTCCTAAAGTGCTGGGATTATAGGTGTGAGCCACTGCGCCTGACCAAATCTGACTTCTAAGATACAAAGTGGAAAACAGAGGCAGTGGTGAGAATTGAGCCGAACCACAGACCCCAGGTCTTTTGCTCTAAGAGCAGCTGAGAGGTAGCACTGGAGACAGGTGCTGGTAGAAAGCCATGAAAGCAAAGGAGAGGGCAGCCACTGCGCCCAGACAGGAAGCACACAGAACCCTGGGACAGAAGCTCCCCAGCCCTCGTGAGCCTGCAGAGAAACCGGGAGAGAAGCACAAAGCAAATGGGCCAGACATTGAGAAATAGCCCTTTCTTTTCATGTTTTGAACCACGTCCAAGCCTAACTTCTAAGTTCGAATAAGGATTTGAAAATCAGCCTGAGGCTCCCACGGAATCTAAATCCAGGTTACTCCGTATATCTTCCTTATAAAGTCATGGGATATCTGTGTTTGGGGAATGGAATGAGTGAGGGTGAATGTTTCACTGCTTTTTTTTTTCATCTCTTTTCTTTTCAAGAAAACACTCGGCCGTTGCATTGCCAAGCACCTTGCAGTTCACAAGGAACTTTTATGCCTTTCACTGCATTGTTGGTCCCTGAGAGGGGAAGGGGGTTCCCCCCATTTTATAGCAGAGGAAACACAGGCCCGTGGAGGAGAGCCTCAAGATCGCACAGCAAATCAGGGGCAGAGTCTGGACTGTTGTCTTCCAGCTCCAAGCACAGCACTCCTTTTGTTCCACCAATATCTCCCTATTAACTCGCTACCTTGGCTTTCCACAGTCAGAGGCTGGATAGCTGACAATAACCTTGGATAGACGGAGCTCATAAAGTACAACTAATTCCCAGTGATCTGTACATGTGTTTTAAAACATACTTTCCTTTTAAATTGTATAACCTATATACAACTATACTCTGTTTATTAAACATTTCAGCTGGGCATGGTGGCTCACACCTGTAATCCCAACACTTTGGGAGGATGAAGCGGGCAGATCACCTGAGGTCAGGAGTTCAAGACTGGCCTGGCCAACATGGCGAAACCCTGTTCTCTAATAAAAATACAAAAATTTACTCGGCATGGTGGTGGTGGGAGCCTATAGTCCCAGCTACTAAGGGAGGCTAAGGCAGGAGAATCACTCAAACCCAGGAGGTGGAGTTTGCAGTGAGCCGAGATTGCACCACTACACTCCAGCCTGGGCAACAGAGCAAGACTCCATCTCAAAAAAAAAAAAAAAAAGAAAAGAAAAAGAAAATTCAGATAATAAAAAGCCTTCTTTGGCTCCTCCTAACAACCCCCCAATCCCATCCCATTTCTCAGAGGTGACCACTGATGACAGTTTGATGTGGATCCTCCTAGCCCTTTTCTAAAAATGCATTTTGCATGTGTTGCTGATGGATTATTATAATCCCTAACCATCTTGCTTGCTTTAATTGACAGCTGTGTGTGTGTGTGTGCATGGAGAAAGCAAACATAGTAATATTACCTTCAGCAAGATAAAACCAGGATGGTAAAATTAGCCAGACTAGAGGTTTAAAGCAGTGATTCTCAAACTTGGATGTGCATATGAATCCCTCATAGATTTTGCTAAAATGCAGATACTGATTCAGTTTGTTTGGAGTAGCTCCTGGGATCCTGCGTTGCTAATAAGGTACCAGTCTCTGTTGATGCTGCTGGTCTCAGGCTGCACTTTGAGTAGGGAGGGTTTTTAGAGCACAGTCACTGGAATCAAAAAGACCTACTGGGCCCTTAATTGCTAGCTGAGTGAGTTGAGCAAGTCTTTAAGCTTTCCATGCCTGTGGATCAGGAATAAGAATGGCATCTTTCCTGCAGCGTTGTTGTGAAAACAAAATGAGCCGGGGCCTGTGAAGCACTTAGTCCAGTGCCTGGCACATAGTGAGCGCTCGATAAATGTTAGTTATTAATATTGTCTAGAGACAAATACCATCAATTTGTCCAAGCCAAACAGAAAACGCTTGCTGGTTGGCTATTACTGGGGGCTGTTTGTGCTGAGGCACTTTTACCTTGTTCATTTAATGTCCTCCTCGTCATCAGGATTTTGAATATATCTTGTATGGTATTATCTCCATGTACTTAGGGAGAAACTGAGGCTCAAGGAGGCTGGGTGGCTTAACCTTCTGAGCCACACAGCTAAGAAGTAGCAGAAATAAAGTTACACCCAGGTTTCAGGTCTAGTGCTTGTTGTATACATTGCAGCTGCCTTGTCTTGAAAACTTACTATGTGCATGGCTTAGTGGGTTTGTCGGTGTGGGAGCTTAAGCCTTTGATCATGGCTCCAGGGAAGGAAAGCAACAGGCTTCAAACTTCTTTCACTTGTACACCTCAAAAGAATTTTGAACAACTGTGTATCCCCTCATATATTAAAAAATTGACATATATCGCCGGGCACACGCCTGTAATCCCAGCACTTTGGGAGGCCAGGGAGGGAAGATCACTTGAAGTCAGGAGTTCAAGACCAGCTTGGCCAACTTGGTGAATCCCTGTCTCTACTAAAAATACAAAAATTAGCCAGGCATGGTGGTGCCTGCCTGTAATCCCAGCTACTTGGGAGGCTGAGGCAGGAGAATTGCTCGAACCCGGGAGGCGGAGGTTGCAGTGAGCCGAGATCGCGCCATTGTACTCCAGCCTGGATGACAAGAGCAGAACTCCGTCTCACAAAAGAAAAATTAATTAAGAAAACATAAAAATTGACATATATTCCCGGGTGCAGGGGCTCACACCTGTAATCTCAGCAGTTTGGGAGGCCAGGGCAGGAGGATCACTTGGAGTCAGGAGTTCGAGACCAGCCTGGCCCACATGGAGAAACCCTGTCTCTACTATAATACAAAAATTAGCTGGGCGTGGTGGCAGGCGCCTGTAATCCCAGCTACTGGGGAGGCTGAGGCAGAAGCATCGCTTCATCCCGGGAGGTGGAGGCTGCACTGAGCCAAGATCATGCCACTGCACTCCAGCCTGGGTGACAGAGTGAGACTCCATCTCAGAAAAATAAAAATAAAAATAAAAATTGACATATAAAATGTTTTATCATAACTTTAAGTGGAATGTATTTCCAGGCCTATTGTATGCCATCTACTTGCTTCAAATTTATTTTTGTCAAAGCCTTAGAACAGCAAACCCAGCCCAGGCAGTTGTGGAAAACATCCACCATAATTCCTAATTGGCCAGGCTGGATCTTGTGGTTAGACCAGCCAGCCAAATCATACTTTGTGTCGGAAAAACTCTGACTCCTCTTTTTAATTCAAATATTTATTAAACAGGTTAAACAGGTGTCCCTGTGTCAGCTTCCTAATTCTAATCCTAAAATAAACAGATGGGTAGGTAAGATAGATAAGGCCCCCTTCTCAACATCTTAAGGAAGTTCTTTGTCCTGCTGGAACTCCTCCCATGAGGGCTGCATTCTTCCGTTGTCTCTTTGGTGGCTTTTATAACCCAGGGCGGGATACCAGGGTGAGGTTGGGATGACTGGGGGTAGGCCTTTCTTTTGGGAAGTGTTTAGGAGGGCCTTGGTGAGGGGAGAACTGGCAGACCCAGAGGGTTCCCGGCTGATCAGTTTTAGGAAGAAGCACAGGAAGTGGAGCTTTCAGAAGTTGATTCCCTGGAAGCCATCCATGTCTGAATACTTCTGGGAAGTCCCCAGGTTCCCTGAGGGTTTTGCACATGTACTCTGGTGGGAAGACTGTTGAGTAGCAGCCTGGATATCCTACCTAGGATTTTGCTCTGTGGACATTACAGAGCTTGTGGATCTTTGAGACTGAGACTGCTTCTCCCACCAGCTCCCTGGTAACACCTTGAATGCACGCCCCATGTTTCTTCTCAGCTCCTCTCAGTGAGACAGCAGGGGCTCACACTCTAACGATGCCACCTTGTTGAGGGGGTAAACTGAGGTCCAGAACAGGAGAGTGACTACACAGAGCAGTCCATGTACCCCACCAAAAAAGCCAGCTGGCATTCCTAGTGGAGGCATCACAAGGCAAAAAAGCCTTGGGGTGGGTCAGGAGGAGTAGTCTTCAGAGTTCAGCCTCTGCCCCTGCCTCAGTGCACGTCACCTGCATTCTCTCAGCCTCAGTGTCTCTGCCTGTTAAATGAGGCTGATGTGGCAGGTGTTGAGCCTGCTGTTCACAGGCTCTGAAGTTGGGCAGACCTATTTTTGAATCCTAGCTTTGCCACTTACTCGCTGTGTGACCTTGGGTGAGTTATTTACCTCTCTGTGCCTGTCTCCACATCAGTCAATGGGGAGAAGAAAGGCCTCTCTCTCATGGGATGGTTGAGAGGATCAATGAGACAAGTGTTAGTGTCAGGCCCACATGGCATGCTCAGTAAGTATTATTGTTATCCTTGGTTTTTGTTCCCTGTAAGAATTATAGTCAGGAAGAGACTCCGTGGAGTGAAGGCCTGGTTGAGACTCTCCAAGGGCAGGATTGTGTTGGTGCATGGCCTTGCCCCTTCGTCCCAGGATGACCACATGTGCTAAGTGGCACTTAGTATGTGTCACCTGATGAACAATGAGTGCCAGTCAAGAGGCCCTTATGACAGCCTCTGAGCCGCTGCCATCTGCTGGGCCTCTTGTTGTCATCTTCCTCCAACATTCACCCGGGGAGGCATCAAGCCACTGGCCTTGTTGCCCTGGGGGAGATGAGGCTGCCCCCACATTTCCCCATAGCCCAGTGGTTTTGAGAGCACCTGTGTGCCCTGATGGGACCTGTGGCAACCTCAGGGACCTAGTGGGACACCTGTTGCCGCCCATTCTTCTCCACTGTTCAGGTTCCCATGTCCTCCCTATTGGATGGGCCTCAGGCGCTTAGCCTGCTCACCTTTCTCTTCTAAAGTCACCACGTCTCCATTTTCTTGTGGGCCTCTCCTAGGAGATGTTTTATGAACAGAGTCCAGTCCCCACCCCTCCATCCCCTCATCTCTTCTCACAAACTTTCCCCTGGAAGTTACTCCCTTGACCCCCTCCTCCTCCTGCTCAGAGAAGTGAATAATGAAATAAAACAGACAGTGCACTCCAGGTGGGATTTTGCTGCTTGAAGGAATCCCTTAGTCAAGCAAGGAATCCTTTTGTAAAGTAAGTGCTCACTGTGGATTTCCGTCTGGGAGTTTTTGCTTGGACTGGTTCTCGAGAGCGGGGCCCAGGCGAGTTTGTGAGCCTGGGGGTGGGCGAGGCTGCTGGCCTCCTCTCTGTGGCCTGAAAGGGCTCCCAGTGTGGCTTCTAGATCCACTGATTACCTTTCATCCTTCCGCTGTCTTCCTGTCAGGGCTCTGGTCTGCCAGCATCGATCACACTGGCCTGGGAGGTGGTGACGGGTTTGTGTTTCTCCCTGTTTTGTTCCTTTGCTTCCCCGTCGCATCTCCATGGAAACAGGTGCAGCCTTTGTGTTGCCTTTGCTTTGGGCAAATCGATGCCAAGTGGGGACTTCTCTGGACTCTCCACCCCCTCCCCTCTCTGGGATCAAAGTGGGAGGAGGGGGCAGTGCAGGGCCTGACAGGAAGCCTTTTGGGGGCCTGGAGGGCCTGGGGTGGGAGACCCCGCTGCATGGCTCCTGTCCTGGCCTGCCCTCATGCCTCAGGCATCACAAGGCCATCGGGATGGAGCAAGTGTGCTGTGATTTAGAAACACTCTCAGCCCCCCTCGGCCTTCTGCATTCTCAGAGGCAGCTGCTGGCCACCTGGGGCGGGTTGCTGGGTAGGAGTCGGAGAGCTGGCACCAGCTTCGATTCTTTGGTGGGACCTTGAGGGTGAGGCCTTTAACCTTTCCGGCCCTTGGTTTCTCCTGAGAGGTTGGAGAGGTTTTGAACTCGTGAGAAGATGAGGCTTCGGTAATATGACTCCTCTTTTACCTTAAGGAAAACCTACATCTGGGTAAACTCTGCAAAGTTTTTGTCATATGATTGTTCTATGGTGAATACTAAATTCTGTGTTTGATTCAAACGGGTGAGTTGCCTGGCAGGAAATGAAACCTTCAGCTTGGGAGCATGTCTTTAGACTGAGCTCTTGCTTATCATAACAGCCCCCTGAGGCCCCCTCCTCCCCGCCCAGCTTGTTCCGCCTTCCCAGGCTCTTAACAACCTATTAGGGAGCCTTCTGTTCCAGGCCGGAGCTCAAGTGTTGGCCCAAACAGCCGGGGGTAGCAGCAACCCTGCCTTAAGTCCCCGAGGTCCTACCAGCATTTTAGCTGTGGCACGTGGGCAAGGATACCCAGGCCGGACAGGGCTCCCTAAGGCCAGGCGCCAACTTTCTGCCTGAGCTGTTGCTCAGTCCCTGCTGGTTTGATAAACTGCATCATCCAAAACTCATGTGCTAACTTTAACGTAGCCACATTAACCTCATTGATGACATTGGCAAACTCCAAGCCCTGCCCATTCATTAAAAAAAGACTTCATTTTAATATCTGAACGCTATGCCTATCTGCTTGTTAAATTTAGCAAAGGATGTGTTTGACTTTAGATTTTGCATTGTCCACAAGCCTCACTTGAGATGGGAGCTAGAGCCCAGTTGCCTGAGGGGACCTCTGAGCGTGCCTGTGGTGGTAAATGTCAAATTGTCCAGTCTCCTGCCTGCAGAGTGGGCATTTGATGTGGTTGCATCTTTCAGGGATCTGTCCTAGGAAATGAACTTTCTAATACCTCTTTATAGTCAGGAAGTTTTTTTTGGAATCCAACCTAAATCCCATTTTATTTTATTCTGTCTTTAAGAAAGATAGCAAATGAAGAGTAAGAATCCTGAATGCTTTACTCGAAGACCCTTAAATCTCTACTTGGCCTTGGCCAAACACACCCAGGTTTTGAGGGTTGCCTCCTGGCCTTCTCTCCTTCCAGCAGAACAATGCCTGAGTTTCCTGTTGGTAAAACAAGGAGAATAGTAGCTGCCTCATTGGGTTGGTGTGAAAATTAAATCAAGACTGTGGGGACGCACCTTGCCAAGTGCCTGGCATATGGTTCATTTTCAATTACACTAGCTGACTCTGAATAAATTTTATTTCCTGCCTACTTTAATGCCACTCAGAGTTCCTGCTTTTCTTCACAGTCTCTCTTGAGTAATGCACCCAGGATTAGTGGGCCTCCTCCTCCCTGGCCTGATCCTGGACCCAGAGAGGCCAGGTGGGGCAGGTGCAGGCCACATCCCTCTGTTTCTCTCAAACCATCAGGCTAGGAGACTTGGAACCCTTCTCTCTCCCCTGGGAGTCTGGACATGGGAAAGAAAAGCCCTTTCATGCCAAGGCCCCAGATAGCATTATCCCTGTCCCTTTTCTAAATCGAGCTCCAGGAGCTCCCAGTTGGGACTGCTGACTCCCAGACCCTCCCAAATGGATGCAACAGGATCCCTGGTACCTCATTGAGAGAGACCTCCTGCCGAGATATATTGCTCCTCCCTGTGCACAGCAACCTGAACCTGTGCTTTATCCAAAGGGTGAAGTTATGGAGTCACTGTGACCTCTAAGGCACAGGGAGCAAGGACTTCAGAGGTAGCTCCTCCCGACCCCCCAAGGTTTAACTCTTTTTCTCTTTGAAGCAGAGATACCCTGTGGACTTATTTACCCCCTGTGTCTCAGGCTTCTCTCTCTGGCACACAGGACATGCTAATACAAGTATTTGCTATAGTTTTCCTACAGTTTTGAAAAATGTGCCTAGGATAACTGTTTGATTTAAAATCTCCTCCTCTCCCTTTCTTCTGATCAACATAAATAGACATATTCCTTGCCTGCTCTATGCTGGGCACTGAGCAGGTTGTTAGGGACCGAGAACTGAATGAGATCCAAAAAATCCCGCCTTCCAGGTGGGCACCATCTGTTGGGGCCACCAACGGGCACAGTGGCAATCGTGAGAACATGTGACTAGTGCTGCCACATTGATGGTGGAGGAGAGAGAGGGTTCAATAGGCCAAAGCCACGTGGGAGTGAGCCAAGAAGTGCATGTGAGAAGACTTTCTGGAGGAGGAGATCTACAACCTGAATCCTTGAAATAAAGAGTTGCAGTTGGCCAGGGTGAGGCTTCTGGGGCCAAGGAGTTAGAACCCAGGGTCAGGAAAGTATGCTGGGGTGGGGTGCTGGCCAGTGGTGGCCAGAAGGAGGAGTGGCCCAGGACACAGCCATGCATTGTGTGAATCAGCAGGTCCCTGGAGGACTGGTCAGTTCAGACGAGAAGGATGATATTTCCTCGCTAGAAATCCCTGGGATGGGGGGCAGAAATGAGGGGTTGCTCAATGTTGACCTCTCCTCCCTAGAGTCCCTGGGCCCTGTCCCTGCTTTACAGCCCCTGCAGCCTCTGCTCCTCCCTGCACTCCTCTTTGACTTACTTGGGATCTTGGGGATGGGGTTTGGGTGCACCTCAGGAAATTCTGATTCAGTAGAATTGACAAAGACACATGGGCCTTTTTCTTTAAAAAGCACCCCAGAGGCTGGCACAGTGGTTCATGCCTGTAATCCTAGCACTTTGGGAGGCTGAGGCAGGAGTGCTTGAACCCAGGAGATGGAGATAAGTCTGGGCAACATAGTGAGACCAGTTTCTTTTCCTTTTTTTTTTTTTGAGATGGAGTCTTGTTCTTGTTGCCCAGGCTGGAGTGCAATGGCGTGATCTTGGCTCACTGCAACCTCCGCCTCTGGGATTCAAGCGATTCTCCTGCCTCAGCCTCCCAAGTAGTTGGGATTACAGGCACCTGCCACCACGCCCAGCTAATTTTTTTGTATTTTTAGTAGAGGCGGGGTTTTACCATGTTGGCCAGGCTGGTCTTGAACCCCTGACCTCAGGTAATCCACCCGCCTCGGCCTCCCAAAGTGCTGGGATTACAGGTGTGAGCCACTGTGCCCGGAGACACCCAGTTTCTACAAAAATTTGTTTTAATGTAAGCAGCTGGTCCTGGTATGAGCCTGTAGGCCTAGCTACTCTGGAGGCTGAGGTGGGAGGATCGCTTTTGAGCCCAGGAGGTTGAGGCTACGATGAGCTATGACCGCACCACTGCACTACATACAGCCTAGGTGACAGAGTGAGACCCTGTCTCTGAAAAAAGAAAGAAAGAAAAAGGCTCCCCGGAGATTCTGATGCACCCCTCTAGTTGAGAATCAGTGTGCCAGGTAGGCCTGTATACGTTTAGAATTTTCCTGCCAAGGCATTGATGGAGCTTCCCTGAGTGGTCTTTTTGCAGTTTATTTTTACACAGTGGCGTTATTATTGTTTGTTTTTTACTCTCCCTTTATTCTTCCAAACGGTGTCTTTATCATCTTTTTTTTTGGCTTTACTATTTTTTTTAAGTAGTAAATATTAGTAGATAGTGAAACTGAGGCACAAACAAGTAAAAAGTTGTCCAAGATCACAGAGAAACCAACATCTACCTTCCAGAATCTATGATCTCTTCAGCCTGCTCCAAATGTCTCACCTGGCAGAGGGCCTAAGTGTCCGGAACCCCAGATGTTTGAAGAAATGGGACAGGAGTCTGTTCCTCAGACATTTACCGCCTATTAATTAGGAGGTAGTGTCTTCTTGACTCCCTCCAGCGGGTCCCAGGCCTGCCTGCCCGAACATCTGTTCTCCTAACAATGTCTGCCCATAAATCCTGTCCCCGAGTCCAGGGTGGCTTAGCTGGGGAACAATGGAGCCTATGACCGGCAGCCAAATCCTCACCATGGTTACACGAGGGTGTGACTGCAACTGTGTGTGCTTGTTGGCAGGCACCAGCACCTGCAACTGGGGCCAAGGTTGTGTGTGTGTAGCGGTCTCCAGGGCCAGGGGTGGGGGCGTTGGGCTGCGGTTGGGAGGGATCCTCACAGAGCACCTTCTGTAGGCTTCTGCCATTCATGCTGTTGTAATTCTTGGCCTCTGTGAAGAAAAGAGGTTTTTATCTTGCGCATCCTGACATACAGTAGGTGCTCAGTAAGTGTTTTTTGACTGCCAGTGAATGAGCGAGTGAATAATTAGAAGTCTGTTTGTGAATGTCACTGGGGTGCCTGAGAATGAAACAGATTCAGTTCACCTGGGACATGAGGAATGCCTCCTGGTTAATGAGGAATCACTTAAGAAATGTCTGTCCCAGTCTGCCCTTAAGAGCTGATAGGGACGGGCACGGTGGCTCATGCCTGTAATCCCAGCAGTTTGGGAGGCAGAAGAGGGCGGATCACTTGAGATCAGGAGATCACTTGAGTCAGGCCTGGCCAACATGGTGAAATCCCATCTCTACTGAAAATACAAAAATTAGCCAGGTGTGGTGGCGCACGCCTGTAATCCCAGCTACTCGGGAGGTTGAGGCAGAAGAATTGCTTGAACCTGGGAGGCGGAGATTGCAGTGAGCTGAGATTGCACCACTGCACTCCAGCCTGGGTGACAGAGCAAGACCCCATCTCAAAAAAAGAAAAGAAAAAAGAAAAAAGAGAGCTGGTAGGATGAAGGAGAGCCAGCCACACAAGACAGCAGGTGATGAAGTGCTACACTGCCCCTGATTATGGCCGCTAAGTGATCTCCCCATCTACCAAACCACCCTTAAGAGGAACAGGTGCTCTGGAAGGGAAGAGAGAGATCAATATTGGCTGAAGTTCTCAGAGATTGCCTCATGGGACAGGGGAACTTGAGCGAGGTCTTGAAGGATGGACAGGGCTTAGTTAGGGAGACAGGTGTGGTCCCTGGACCAGTGGTGCCAGCATCGCCTAACAACTTGTTAGATAGCAGATTCTTGGACCTCACCCCAGACCCAGGGAATCAGGAACTCTGGGGGTGGAGGCCAGCAATGTGTGTTTAACCAGCCCTCCAGGTGACAGTGATGCTTGCTGAGCATGAGGACCGCTGATGCAGAGGGAGGGATGTGATCTTTACATAAGAGACTGAGGAGTTCGGAGGGGACCTGGCCTGCTCTTCCGTTGGTGGCATAGGGAGAAAATGGGAGGGAGACGGCAAGAGGAGCTTGAAGGCATCAGGGAAGCGGGCTTGGGAGGCTGAGGGTCTCAGCTGGATTGGTGGTGGCCATGGTAACAGAGCAAAGCCAGGGGGTACTGTGAAGGCCTGGTGACACACTGGGTCTCATGCCAGACTTTAAGGGCACTCTTCTTTGAAATGTTTTAAAGAAGACTTGTCACCTCATGATCACATTATGATATGCTAATTGTGGAAAAATATAAGAAAGGAAGAAAAAGGGGGTGTTCACAGAGTTGTACCATCCAGGACAGTTATTGATATATTTGGCATATTTCTTTTCTTTTTTCTTTTCTTCTCTTTTTTCCTTTCCTTTCTTTCCCTTTCCCTTTTCTTTTTCTTTCCTTTCTTTTCTTTTTTTAAGAGACAGGATCTCACCATGTTGCCCAGGGTGGTCTCAGACACCTGGGCTCAAGCGATCCTCCTGCCCCGGCCTCCCAAAGTGCTGGGATTACAGGTGTGAACCACTGTGCCCCGCCCTAGGCATATATATTTTTGATCCTTTTTTCTATGCATTTTTTTTTCTGTGGTTGAAAACATAACATATATATGTTAATTTGTATTCTGTGCTCATTTGCATCTTGTATTCTTTGCTTAAACTATCGTAAGCATTTCCCTATGTGCTTTCAGGTGTACTTTTTCTTTTTATTGTCACAGGGGCCCCATGGGCTGAGCAGGGGAGGTCACTGAGGTTTAGCAAGAAAAAAAAACTTACTCCATGAACTCCAGTCTGTGGAGAAGGCTGCCATTGAATGGCCTGTGTTCTTCAACACAGAAATTGTAAGGAAAAGAAAGGGATGGAGGGAGCCAGCCATGGTGGCGTGTGCCTGTGATCCCAGCTACTCAAGAGGCTGAGGCAGGAGGATTGCTTGAGCCCAGGAGTTTGAGGCTGCAGTGAGCTATGGTCCTGCAACTGCACTCCAGCCTGGGCAACAGAAGAGAGAGACCCCATCTCTAAAACAAAACAAAACAAAACAAAACCAGAACCAAACACCCAGTCATTGTGTTGCTAGAACCTCTTTCGGTTATTTCCTCAGCCTGACCGTTGGGTTCTCTTTGATATGCACTTACCTGCTGTCTACCCGCACACACATGCATACCCCGCCTCAGCTGCCCTTTTTCTCTGACTCCTCCCCATTGCTCTGGAGAAGCCCAAGGAGGCAGTTTTGCATTTGCACACTCAGGACAGGGAACAGGGGAGGAGCCTGGGGATGTTAAGACATCCTTCCTCCTGGTGAGACAAACTGGGAAAGCCTTTCTGAGCCTGGTCCTCTGAGGCCTGGGCCCTGCCAGTGTGGACATCAGAATTTAGGCTCCCAGCTGGACCCCAGCTTCTCTCTGCCTGGGTGTGAAGTTTCACAGGAAACAGCCAACGCTTTGATCTTGGATGAGGCTGAGGACTCAGTGATGAGAGGACACAGAGCTCACCCCAGCTCTGTTTGCCCAGGAGATGTGGAAGGGCTCCTCTGCTGGGGATTGACCATCCATAGTCCTTGGTCTCCCTCAGAAAGTCATAATAAAGCTCTTCCAGTTATAGTGAATCAGGGCTTATGTTCTAAAATACGTCCTGTTCAATATGATGGCCATTAACCATAATGGCTGATGAACACTTGAAATGTGATGGTATGACCAAAGAACTGCATTTTAAATTTTATTTAATTTTAGGCTAGGTGCGGTGGCTCATGCCTGTAATCCCAGCACTTTGGGAGGCTGAGGCGGGCAGATTGAGGTCAGGAGTTCGAGACCAGCCTGGCCAACGTGGTGAAACCCCGTCTCGCCATGACAGAACGAGATTTCGTCTCAAAAAAAATTAACAAATAAATACATTTTATTTAATTTTAATTAAAATTAAAATTTTTATTGTCATACATGACCAGTGGCTACCTTATTGGACAGTAGGTTCTAGAAGAAGTAGGTCTCTGAGACAGCCATAGTGGCTACATTATGATCTTCCTTTTTTTTTTGAGACAGTCTCGTTCTGTCACCCAGGCTGGAGTGCAGTAGCGCGATCTTGGCTCACTGCAACCTCTGCCTCCTGGGTTCAAGCGATTCTCCTGCCTCAGCCTCTCGAGTAGCTGGGAATAGAGGTGCATGCCACCACACCCAGTTGATTTTTTCTATTTTTAGTAGAGACGGGGTTTCACTGTGTTAGCCAGGATGGTCTCGATCTCCTGACCTTGTGATCCACCTGCCTCAGTCTCCCAAAGTCCTGGGATTACAGGCGTAAGCCACTGCACCTGGTCACATTATGATCTTTCAAAGCTACCTGTCTTCTTTCTAATGCGTGCACACACACAAATGCACACACACAGCCACAAATAATACCTGGCATGTTTCAGGAAGCCCCTGGATACAACATCCTTTTATTAAAAAATCTACTCTTTAAATATCGTTATCTCAAGTGAGGCAGAGCTGCCGCTGACCACAAATGTGCCCCACACAAGGCTTCTCTTAGCCCTTGCATGATTGGAGATATGTGGCTAAACCTCAGGAAACCGTGCCCCTGGGAAGCCTGTCTTGGCATCACAGTTCTCAGCATGTGGGGCCCTACTTGGGTGTGCCCAAGCTCCTCTGTGCTTCTCTCCTTCAAGAAGAACCTGATGACCAGGCGCGGTGGCTCACACCTGTAATCCCAGTACTTTGGGAGGCCTAGGCAGGCAGATTACCTGAGGTCAGGAGTTTGAGACCAGCCTGGCCAACATGACAAAACCTCGTCTCTACCAAAAATACAAAAATTTGTCAGGTGTGGTGGCGAGCACCTGTAGTCCCAGCTGCTCAGGAGGCTGAGACAGAAGAATCACTTGAACCTGGGAGGTGGAGATTGCAGTGAGCCGAGATCATGCCACTGCACTCCAGCCTGGGAAACAGAGCGAGATTTCGTCTCAAAAAGAACCTGATGCCTGGTGGCTGGCCCGTGGGCATGCGTGTGTGAACGAGGTCCAGTCACAACGGTGTTCAGCTCACCCTGGCAGTTTTTATCTTATTCCCTATTCTGGATCTTATGGCTTGGCCTCAAGTCACAGGAATTTGGGCCTTCTGCAAGAATTGGGGGGTGGGGTGCACTGGCAGCTTTTTCTTTCTCATTTTAGATAGGTACAGTATTTTTTTTTTTTTTTTTTGAGTCTCACTCTTTTGCCCAGGCTGGAGTGCAGTGGCGTGATCTCGGCTCACTGCAAGCTTCACCTCCCGGGTTCAAGCAATTTTCCTGCCTCAGCCTCCTGAATAGCTGGGATTACAAGCGCTTGTCTCCACACCCAGCTAATTTTTGTATTTTTAGTAGAGACAGGGTTTCACCATGTTGGCCAAGCTGGTATCGAACTCCTGACCTCAAGTGATCCGCCTGCCTTGGCCTCCCAAAGTTCTGGGATTGCAGGCATGAGCCACTGCGCCTGGCCCAGTATGTACTTTTGAACAAGATTTGTGGGGGTACTGAAGATGTACAGAGGTATTTACTAGATGTAAATAGGGTCCTCTTATCCCTTACCCCCACTTTCCCACTACCCTGAACCTGGGAGCATGCTCCCGTCTGTGGAGTGAATGATCCAGCCTGACTGAGGGTCCTCTAGGACAGACTGCTGATCCTCTTCTCCCAGCCTCTCCTGCCCACTTCCTCCAGTATCTCTCTTCCCCAGTCCCCTCCTGTCCAAGGTTCCCTGATGCATGCTTCGTTTTCCAGCACACTAGCCTTTTAAAATACTGTTTCCTAGCGTATCATAACGCAAGGATTTCAAATGTCCACAAAGTATCCCTGCAGTGCTGTCTCCCCCAGCCTTGTGGCATGCGTGACTCTGCAGGCCATCTGAACAGCCCTCGTCAACAGGGGTGTCATTGTCTCCCAGCCCACTCCATGCAGATGGGGACAGAGCCCCTCTGTGCAGGCCAGGATTTCCTGTGTGCTGGCTGCCCTCTCTCTAAATAGCCCGAGTAGTGCCCCCTTCTGCCTGGTGATGGTGATTCATGGTGTCTTCTTTTTTTTTTTTTTTTTGTGAGGCAGAGTTTCACTCTTGTTGCCCAGGCTGGAGTGCAATGGCATGATCTCGGCTCATCACAACCTCCACCTCCTGGGTTCAAGCGATTCTCCTGCCTCAGCCTCAAAGTAGCTGGGATTACAGGCGCCCGCCATCACGCCCGACTAATTTTTATATTTTTAGTAGAGACGAGGTTTCACTATGTTGGCCAGGCTGGTCTCGGAACTCCCTATCTCAGGTGATCCACCCGCCTTGGCCTCCCAAGGTTCTGGGATTACAGGCATGAGCCACCGCACCTGGCCTGACTCATGGTGTCTTCTACAATCTGGTGCCTTATTTGTCTCTCTCTTTCTTGTGTAAAACATACTAAATATAAAACTTACCATTTTAACCATTTTTAAGCGTATAATTCAGTGGCATTTAGTAGATCCACATTATTGTGCCACCATCACCACTATCCATTTCCAGAACTTGTTTATCATCCCAAACAGAAACTCTATGCCCATTAAGTAATAAGTCCCCAATTCTCCCTCTTCCCTGAGTCCTTGGAAACCTCTATTCTACTTTCTGTCTCTATGAGTTTACCTGTTCTAGGTTCCTCATATAAGTGGAATTATACAATATTTGTACTTCTATGTCTGGCTTCTGTCACTTAGTATAATGTTTTCAAGGTTCATCCACATTGTAGCATGTGTCAGCATTTCATTCCTTTTTGTGGCTGAGTAATATTCCATTGTTCTAAATATGTAGAGTACATTTTGTTTATCCATTTATCTATTGATGGACACTTGGATTGTTTCCAGCTGTGGACTATTGTGAATAACACCACTATGAACACTGATGTACAATTACCTATTTGAGTCCTGTTTCCAATTTGTTGGGTTATATACCCATGAATGGAATCACTGGAGCATATGGTAATTCTGTGTTTAACTTTGAGGAACCACCAAACTGTGGTTTTTCACTGTGTTTCACTATCTTTTTCATAGTGGCTGTACCATTTTACATTGCCACCAACAATGAACTTTATTTTGTTTAATATCTTATTTTAAACTGCAGAAACAAGGCATATTTCTTGTAAGAACACCAAAGGTTGCAGAGGTACATGAAGCAAAGAGCAGGAGTTGCCCCCACACAACCCTTCCTTTTAGGTAACTGCTGCCTTGGATTTGGTGCATATCCACCCAGACGTCTTCCTGTGTGTACCCAAGTGTACACATGGACATCCAGACATTTGAACAAAAATGGTACGGTGTACACATGGCCTGGCCACTTGGTTTTTTTCATGCGATTCTATTTGGCACTGGAAGGTGTTGGCTGCATGTGGATGTGCCCTGTGTTTTTTGTTGCATATGGGGTATTGAGAGACAAGTGGGTGGTTCCCCATTTTAGCTCTGCATTTACGGCTTTGCACGCGTGGGCCTGTGTTTCACCAGATCATAGCCTGTTTGGGGAATGTGAGCTGAGCACGCACTGGGGAGGCCCTCCAGCCCAGAGCCATCTTCCCCGCCAGCCTCAGTCTTTCCCAAGTTGCTTGCCACCCCCAGTGCAGCTAAACTGAGCTGAGCTGTGAGCTTCCTTGTGAAGGAGGGCCACCCACCTGGCCTCAGCACGCAGGCAGCGCGCAGCCAGGCATCCCCTCCCCTCTGGAATACCAGAGTGACTTAGAGCTGGGTGGAGAGTTGAGCAGCAGGCTGGAGTGTGTGTGTGTGTGTGTGTGTGTGTGTGTGTGTGTGTGTGTCAGAGAGAGAGAGAGAAGCTGTAGCCATTAGCCTGCTGGTCTCTAGTGGTACCGGGTGGCAGTGTTCTTCATGGTGACTTGCAGGACCCTCGAGGCATGCAGCCCCCTCATTCGCTCAGGAAGGCCCAGTTAGGCCTGGCAAAAGGCCACCTGTAAAGCCAGGGACCAGCCGGTCTTTCTCCAGCACCTTTTTCTGCAGAGCCCCGGGCAGCTGGTGGGAGAGTACAAAAAGGCCTGGAAAATCCGTAAACTGTATAATCAGCCCCTGCATCTTGGCCGCTTGACTCTGTTTATTGCTTCCTGTCCCCGAAAGCCCTTTACAAAAAGAGCTGCTTTGGTAGGGGGATGAGTTGGACCCGGTGGGTGGCCTGCCCCTGTGGTCCCAGCACGGATGGAGCAGGTAGCTTCCCTGAACAAGCCACCTCTGCTGCAGCCACCCCTGCAGAGCCGAGGAAGGGTGGGAATGAGGCCCCCCCACTCCCCTACGGTAGGGCGATCCCCCCACGCCTAGCCCCTAGGGCCATTTACTTTGTAATTGCCAAAGGACAGGGGTCCCATTTCTCCCAATTTCCTTGAAGGCCTCAAGGTTAAGCTCTCCTGAAGTGCAGGAGGGGAGCAGAGTGAAATCTTAGCCTCTTGATGACCCCTGTGAAATGGGACGGGGAGCAGGGGCCATTCCCGGGGAACTAAGGACAGGCCTGGGCCCCAGGGCTTATAAGGCTTGCTCAAAGCCTGTTTTTTTGTTGTTTGCATTACATTTTTAGAAACAGATTTTTCCTCGTTGATTGACTTTTTTCCTCTGGTGACCATATTCCCTTCCCTCCCTCCCACCTCCCCAACCTTCATCCCTCTTCTCCAGAATTCAGCCTTTCCCACCACTCCTGGTGGCTGATGTGTGACTTTTTCAGGGAACAGCTGCAGCTCGAAAAGTTGCCCGAGACACAGTGTTTCAGGGTTGCTGGGTGCCCGTGAGGATGGTTATGGGTGTTTTTCTCACCTAGGAGACGCGGTGGGGTAGGGGGGCCAGGACAGCTGCATGGTTGGAGGAGAGATGCCATCTTTTGGCAAGGGGGTGCAGGAAGGCAGTCTTCCTAGAGCTGGGGCTGCCCCCTGCCAGCTGGGGTGAGGGGGTGTCTTTCATCTCTCCCAGACGCAGGGCTCCCACTGGGGTCTGGCTGCCCAGAGTCCCATCCTTCCCTCTGTGGCCGGCCTTGTGCCTCCTTTGCTTGGTCTCCCTGACTTGGAACACTTTTGACCACAAAAACCCTGATTTTATCCCTGTTGGAAACCCTCTCTGATTTTTTTTTTTTTTGAAACACGGTCTCTCTCTCTGTCACCCAGGCTGGAGTGCAGTGGAGCCATCATAGCTCACTGCAGCCTTGAACGCTTGGGCTCAAGTAATCCTCCCATCTCACCCTCCTGAATAGCCGGGACTACAGGTGTGCACCACCATGCCTAGCTAATTTTTCCTTTTGTGTAGAGAAAGGGTCTCTATGTTGCTCAAGCTGGTCTCAAGCTCCTGGCCTCAAGTGGTCCTCTCATCTCAGCCACCCAAAGCACTGGGATTATATAGGTTTTCATATACTGTGCCCAGCCTCTGATTTAAAAAACAGTGGAGATGAGTTGGCCTGTATTTTCTCTGTGGACCTGCTGTATGGGGCTGTGGGTTGGCCTGCACTTTTCTGCAGGTGGCCTGTCTAAGCTGACTTCCACCTGGGACCTGTGTGTGTTTGAGCCTGTGCTTTGGTTGTGCAATTCTGAGCCTGCCCCACCCTCCTAGCTCCTTCCTGAAAGTGAAATGCTACAGTCTTTGCTCAAGAACAAAGGACTCAAGCTCAGCCCTGCATGTTAATAATTTTCAAGTGTGGCCACTTCCTCTTGCCTGGCCTGACTCACCCTGGCTGCTGCCCATTGTGGCTGCCATGGAAATACAACTCGAGGAGAACCCAGACCAGGACAGGGAGGCCATGTTCTGGGTGGCAGTGGAGCCTGGCAAGGTGCCCTCCTGGCCTGGGACTGCTGTGGCAGAGGAAGCATGAGGTGGGGCCTGGCCTGCCCAGCTCAGAGCTGAGGTGCCCCCTTGGTTTTTTACCTCCCTGTTCCCTGGCTGGCCCACTGCACCCACGCACTCAACGCAGTGGCTTCGCTCCTCCTCCAGGATGGCTGGAGGTGGGACCATTGCCAGGATGGCCTCAAGTGCCCAGCCCTCCTGGAAGACTCAGTTTCCCTCTTTGTCCCATGCAGAGGTGCAGAGATTCATTATTGTAAGTGGGGTGACAACATGGTGAGGGGTTGGAGTGTGGGCTCTGGGGTAGAATCCTGACCTGGTTACTCCTGGCTGCGAGACTTGGGGCAAGGTATTTAACTCCTCTGTACTTCAATCCCCTCCTCTGCAAAATAACAGTCCCTACTTCATAGGATTGTTGTGAGGATGGCATGGCACCTGGGCCAGCTCTCTGCTATAGGGTTTGTGCCCAACCTGGAGCCTGGCTGAATGCAAAGCGTTCGGGGACTTTCCCGCAACGTCTTAAGCTGTTGAGTGCTGTGCACACGTAAAGCACAATCATTGTGGACAGTCAGTGTGGTCAGAGTGAGAGGATAATCTATCTTGGGATTCTCAAATGACTAGTATCAGCAGATCCTGGCTACAATTCACAGATGTTTCCCCTGTGGAAGCTGGGTTTTCATCCTTGCCTTTCCTGTTCATCCTTCCTCTTTAGTTATTTTGCACATGCACACAGGTTCACCATACACAAAGGTAGCATGAATCTCAATTCAACCCGTGTCCGGGCTGTGGGTCTGCTAATCCCCACAACTCTGCTGTTAGGGATACACAGACCTTGCAGGACGAGTCAGTCATATGTTTGCCACCAGCAAGCAGTGTTCAAGCACTACCTGAATGTATCATCGTTTCTCTTTTTGAGATGGAGGTCTCGCTCTGTTGCCCAGGCTGGAGTGAGTGGTGTGATCTCAGGTCACTGCAACCTCCGCCTCCCAGGTTCAAGCACTGAATGCATCATGGTTTTTTTTGTTTTTTGTTTTTTGTTTTTTTTTTTCTGAGGTGGAGTCTCGCTCTTGTCTTCCAGGCTGGAGTGCAATGGCGTGATCTTGGCTCCCTGCAACCTCTGCCTCCCTGCAACCTCTGCCTCCTGGGCTCAAGCAATTCTCCTGCCTCAGCCTCCTGAGTAGCTGGGATTACAGGCACCTGCCACCACGCCTGGCTAATTTTTGTATTTTTAGTAGAGATGGGGTTTCACCATGTTGTCCAGGCCGATCTTGAACTCCTGACCTCAGGTGATTAGCCTGCCTCGGCCTCCCAAAGTGCTGGGATTACAGGTGTGAGCCACCATGCCCGGCCAGTGCATCATATTTTAATGATGATTATCGAAGAAGCCAAGGGACTGAGAAATGTCTAGCTGCTTCTGGAAGATTCTTGCAACTGCTGGCTGCTTCTCATGCTGTTTTCTCATATCCCTTAAGTCTAATTAAACTTGCAACCCATTTGTAGGCTGGGGCCGTTCCGGCTACATCCTCTATACAGCCCAATCCCTCATGCCCATTCTGTGTTGGGAGAAGGGGAGCACACCATTCACACCTCCCAGGTGGCTGCTTCCCTGTGACAGACAGAGTAGGTGCAAGTTTGGGCTTGTGAGGTGATTTGGCAGTGCCTTTGTTTGATGACTGTTGACTAAGCCCAGGTGTGCAGACTCAGTGTTTACAGAGTCCTGGTTGGCTCACGGCTGGGGCTGGAATGAAGAAAATAAATATTCAGGGGAGGGGTAGGTGGCATGGATGATCCAAAAGCCATCTGTTTAGGGCCTAGAGCCAGAGGTAAGGTATTTTTTCAGGTTTCCTTAAATCAACTAGACAGGAACTTTATGTCATGAGTGTCTACAGTGTGCGCTGGCTGCTACAGGGACCAAGCAGTCTGTGAAAGTCAGTTTGTATACCTGTGGACCAGCTGGGAACCTAGAGTGGACACAGAGAATGTTGGAGGTGAAAAGAGTCTTGGAGATTATTTAGTCCTACCCTCCCATTTTCCGGATGGAAACCTGGAGGCCCAGTAGGTAAAATGATGTGTCCGAGGTCACTTGGCTAGTTAGTGATGGGACCAAAACCAGCATCCAGGTCTCTGAACTGCATCACCTTGCAAGAGAGTGGTCCTCACAATTTACTGTGTATCAGAATGACCCAGGGAGCTTGTTAGAAAGCACATCCCCAGAGCATGTTCTCAGAGATTCTGATTTAATAGTGGGTTAGAGAATATGGGTTCTTAGCAAACACCTCAGGGGAGTCTGAGGAAGGTGGTCGCCACCGTCCTCTGAGATACACCTGCTATAGTGCAAAGAACATTTGACTTCTTAGACTGATGGAAAAGCTCATTGCATTTCCTGAAGCCTCATCAGTAGCAGTGAGCAGAACAGGCAGAGATGCAAACAGCTTTAAAGATGAGAGCATGAGGGATTAAACCCAGGCTTTAAAATGCATTGCAAGTAAGTGGTATGTCAGGAGACTTGACATGTACATGCAATTTCAATGTGGCGCAGTCCTGGACAACCTCTAGGTCACACACGACTCAGTGTATCTATCTATAAAATGGTGATGATGATGGTGGAAGGTAATAACCTGCACTACTACATTGTCACGAGGATTAAATGATGTGATGCACGAGAAGTACTTTGCCTAGCACTTGGTAAATGGCAGCTTCTCTGATGATGCATAATTGCTGGGGGTGGATGAGGGCAGGTTTCTGTTTAATGCCTTTACATAATGGACTTCTGCTGAGGGTTTCATTTGAAGAAAGGGGTTCTGGTTCTGTAGCTAAAGAAAGTGTACAGACCCTTCCATCCCTGGGGGACTAGGATGCAGCAGGCTGTTTCTGCAGAGGGCTCATCCTGGTTTGTGCCTAGAACAGTGGTGCCTTTCTCTGGTCCTGACCGGCTCCCCCAGCCCCCACCTATATCCCTGGAAGATTTCAATGATCAGACCAAACAGGGACTGTTTCTCTCCATTTTCTAGAAGTAGAGATTGAGGCCCTCGGGAGGCGAAAGGAAGCTGGTTATGGGACCCCTAAAAGCTCTTGCCCCCTTCCCCTGATTGTTAGATTTGGGGCTGAGGCTACCAGCCCCAGCTGGCCTGAGGTCCTTCCCTGCACTGCCTTCTAGGAGCTGGGCCTGCAGGGAACCAGGAAGCTGGTGTCTTGGCCAGGGTGTGCCACTTCCTGGTTCTGGCCAGTTTTGCTGCAAGTCAGGTCAGCCTGACCTTACCAATGCTGTAAAACCCATTCTGGGTGCAGATGGGGGAAGAGAGGGATCCCAGGGCCTCATCTGGCCCTGCTATCAGCCTAATGAAGGGGGTGGCTTGGAGGGTGGGCTGTGGGAGGGCTGAGGGTGCTGTCAGTGCGCACTAGCGAGTGTGTATAGAAGAGTGACTGTAATTTTAAAAACATAGCTTCAGAGTTGGGCGAAGAGGGGAGTAGTACATTGAGTGCCTGGGCTGTGTGGGACGGTTCAAAAAAAATCCTAAAGTGTTGTCTGTGTCCTATGGCTGCGAGGGCCTGGGAGGAGCATGTGGCACTGTGCAAGTGAATGGGGTTGAGTGAGCTGGTGTGTGTGGCAGTGAGTGGGAGCCTGTTAGCACATGCAGGCATGTGAGCTGTGTGCTGGCATGTGCTGCTGTATGTGCCCATACAAGGAGAGAGCACTGGCCAGGAGTCTCACGATCTGGGTTCGAATCCCAGTGCTGCAGCCACTGGGCTCTCTGACCTCTGGCAACATGCACCATGTGGAAGTGAAAACATGAGGTTTCTCCTGCCTCCCTAACCGTGGCAGCTCCAGAGTATACGTGTGGGCACGTGGGTATGTGGATGGGCAGGAGAGGGGACCTGGGCAGCTGGGCTCTGGGCGCCCCTGACTGTGCAAGGGGATCGCTGCTGCTACACAGGCGGAGCAGGGGCTGAGGCCGGGTGGAGGGAGCAGTCTGTGGTTGGGGGGGTGCAGCTGGCCCAGCAGTGAGTGGCTCTAAATTATCCCATCTGCTGTCTGGGCTGGGCCCTTCTCACTCTGGGTGGAATTTCTGATGGTGTCCCGGCTGCCTGAGGCGGGCGGCCTCCCAGCCGCAGCTGCTGCCTGCTCTTTTGAAGCTCAGCCCTGGGCCAGCCACCCCTCCCTCCCAGCCTCTGTTCCTCTGTCCTGGGCCTACATTCCTCAGCTGCCAGAGAAGGCATTTCTGAGAGGGCCACTCTGCCTGTGCTCCTGCTGCCCAGAGCCCATGGAGCCCCTCCCTTGGGGGACAGGCCCCTTCAAGCCACCTCCTTCCCCTGGTTAGGAGTGGGCACCCTGCATTATTCCAATCACTTCTCCTACCCTTGGAAGCTTAGCTGGAGGGCAGGGTATGGGCAGGAATGGGCACAGGGCTGCTGGCCCAGCTCCCTGCTCCTCCCTTGGGGTCCCTGAGCCCTCTCAGCCTGAGGTCCTGGAGGTCCCTGAGTGGGGAGGCCTTTGTGCTCCACATTCACTCCCTTCAGGGCTGGATTCCCAGGCCAGACGCCTGGGCCAGACTCTAGAATCAGCCCCTTGGAACTATGTGGCCTTGGGGTGTGAATGGCCCGTGCTCATAGAGTCTTACTAACAGCTGCCTCTGACTGACAGCTTCCCTTGTGGGGTGCTGTGCATGCCCACCACAGTCAATCCCCTGCAGGAGCGCCATCTGAGAAGGTATATGTATCCCCATATTACAGATTGCTCAGAGCAATCCTGCTTGCCCCATAAGCTGCAGGATCAGGAGGTAAGCAGAGGACTGCCCAACTCCTGACCACTCAGGCTAAAGCCCCACTCCTGACCACTCGCTCCATGGCTTCCTACCCCAGACATAGCACCAGTAAACAACTTGTGGTCTCCCCTCCACCGGCAGCTTCCTGGCCAGACCCCCAGCCCTGTTGTGCCCCAACAGGCCCTCCACACTGTGGTTCTACCTCTGAAACAGCTATGCTATGAGCCAGCACTTTGTCCACTCGGCCCTCATTCCTTCCCTGCATCCCCAGCAGGAGGCAGGTGAGTCCCTGACCAAGGTTGGAGGGTGCACCATGGGGTGCAGTGACTGAAGAAAGCCTGCCTAAATGATCAGAGCAGGAAGGATTGGGTTGGGATTCTTAGGATTGAAAAGGTTTTAAAGCCCTGGAGGCTCTGGGGTTTGCTTTCTTAAGATTTTTTCTACCACAATTCAGTTTTTATTTTTTTAGACCTAGTCTCGCACTGTCGCCCAGGCTGGAGTGCAGTGGTGCAATCTCGGCTCATTGCAACCTCTGCATCCTGGTTTCAAGCGATTCTCCTGCTCCAGCCTCCTGAGTCGCTGAGATTACAGGCACCTGCCACCACGCCCAGCTAAGTTTTGTATTTTTAGTAGAGTCGGGGTTTCACCATGTTGGCCAGGCTGGTCTCAAACTCCTGACCTCGTGATTCACCCGCCTCAGCCTCCCAAAGTGCTGGGATTACAGGCGTGAGCTACCGCGCCTGGCCATAATTCAGGTTTTGTAAAATTTTGTTTTAATTAGAGAGTAAAGACATTCTAGAAAAACTTTTTTTTTTTTTTTTTTTCATTGAGACCAGGCTGGAGTGCAGTGGCACGGTCTTGGCTCACTGCAAGCTCCGCCTCCTGGGTTCACACCATTCTCCTGCCTCAGCCTCACGAGTAGCTGGGACTACAGGTGCCTGCCACCACACCCGGCTAATTTTTTGTATTTTTAGTAGAGACGGGGTTTCACCGTGTTAGCCAGAATGGTCTGAATCTCCCTACCTTGTGATCCACCTGCCTCGGCCTCCGAAAGTGCTGGGATTACAGGCGTGAGCCACTGCGCCCGGCTAGAAAAACTTTTAATTAGAGACACTATAGGTTGGAAGTTAAGAAGATCATGGACTCCGGGGCCAGACTGTTTGGATTCCAAATCGGGCTCTGCCACTGACTATGTGACCCTGTGTAAGTTATTTAATCTCTCTGAGCCTTAGTTTTCTTTTCTGTGAAATGGATGTATTCATTGCTGTACTGTGGGGATTTGATGAGATAATGCATGCCAAGTATATAGAAAATGCATGTACCTACCAAGTGCTCATAGACGTTTGCTATAATTATTATTAAATAGTAACTTATGTCTGCTGTAGATGATATAATATGCAAAAGACATGGCCAGGCGCGGTGGCTCATGCCTGTAATCCCAGCACTTTGGGAGGCCTAGGCAGGCAGATTATCAGAGGTCAGGAGTTCGAGACCAGCCTGGCCAACATGGTGAAACCCCATCTTTACTAAAAATACAAAAAATTAGTTTGGCATGGTGGCACGCACCTGTAGTCTCAGCTACTCTGGAGGCTGAGGCAGGAGAATCACTTGAACCCGGGAGGCAGAGGTTGCATAAGCTGAGATCACATCACTGCACTCCAGCCTGGATGACAGAGAGAGACTCCATCTCAAAAAAAAAAAAAAAAAAAAAGAAAGAAGAAAAAGATATAAAAATCACTGGCAATGCTATTACTTTAATGTTCTTAGTAATCCAATAATAATGGATTATTTGCATATTTTATTTTTAAATTAATAAATGAGTATCAATCAAAATTTTAGAGGTATACAAGAATCTGTAGTGGAAAAATTTCCTTGATCTATCTCTTATGACCCAGTTCTCCCCAGGGGAAACATATATTATCAGTTTCTTGTGAATCCTTTCGGATTTCATACACACACACACACACACACACACACACACACACACACACCCCATAATGCACTATAGTAGAGTGACTATACTCATTGTTTTGTACCTTGCATTGTTCCCTTAGGTCTTGGGCTAAAGAGACATATTGAAATCCCTCATTTTTGTTTGTTATTGAATAGCATTATATAGAGAGAGGAGGATGCTGATAATGTATCATATTTTCATCAGCCTGCTACGGGTAGACTTGTAGAGTGTTTCCAGTCTTCTGCTGTTAGACTATTACAAGGAATATCCTTATGCCCATACTCAACACAGTTGCAAACATATCATCTGTAGGTAAATTTCATAGAAGTGGAATTCCTGAATCAGTAGGTAGGTGCAAAGTGTGCCTTAGTGTGGAGGGCAAGGGCAGGGGTTGGGAGTTCTGTTTGCAGGACCCTCCTCTGCCCATCCTGAGCACTCCTTTCTAATCATGGGTTCCTTGACCCGGATTACCTGGGCATGTTCGGATGCTAAATTGTGGGGCATGGATTGCTGCCTGTCCGGGGACCCAGAGGTGTCTCCTGCTGCTGTCCAGACCTCAGAACTCAGCCTACTGGGGGGGCCTTCAGCCTGACTGCCTATAGGAGAAGCCCAGGGAGGAGCAGCTGACCCCTTTTCCCAAGAAGCTGGGCCTGGTCCAGTATGAGCTCATGCCTGGAGCCAACCCAGCTTCCTTGGCCCTGCACCTGAGTTACCAGTGGCCCCCTTCCTCCAGCGTGGGCCCTTTGACTTGGTAGCATGAACGCGCGTGTTCCTGCCAGCCCAGTGGGGTCCCCTAGAGCTGTGGCACCTGGGAGGGGAGGGGCAGGGGGACAGTAGCCCCCTTAATCCGCTGAGGTTTGATCTCCTCCCAGGCACCTGAGTCGAATATCTTGGCTGAGCTGGTGGCTTTTGTTTATGGAGTGAGGGACTGTTGTGGAAATAGTCCCCAGCCAGCCCAGGTTGTGGTGGAAAACAGTTGGTTGCTCAGGCAACTTGACAACTTCAGTAGGATGGGAAAAAGGTTTTGTGAGGAAACTGCCACTGTTTTGTCTTCTCCTTTGCTTCCTGGACATAAGCACCATCCCTTATACCTCCAGTGGCACCCAGGCACCCCCAGCCTCTCCAGGGGCAACCCTGTCCTTTAGTATTCAATTTAACTCACAGTTATTGAGTTCTTGCTGTGTGCCCAGCTCTGTGCTAGGCTCTAGGGAATATGGAATGGTGATCAAGCCCAATGGATACAGAGTGTTAAATCTGGAATCGGACCTTCTGGGTTCAAATTTCAGCTTGGCCACTTAGCTGTGTGACCTTGAACAAGTTACTCAACCCTTCTACGCCTCATTTTTCTACTATGAAGTGGAAATAGCAGTAGTAATATGCACCTTGTAGAGCTGTAGGGAGGATGAAGAGAGTTAACATGCAATAAGGCACTTTGAGTAGTGGCTAGCATATAAGGAAGCAGGCAATAAGTGTTATCTATTCTCATTATGACTATTATGACCATTATCTTGCTAAGATGAACCAAACAAATGACATGTTTCTCTGCTGAGAAGCCTCATCTTGGATCTTTTTCACTAGAAGGCAGAATTGGCTTCTTGATGGTGCCTTTTGTGGCAGCCACACCTGATATTTGGGCCTCAGGAGCAGAGATGAATGATGATGTCCTTAGGACTGAGGCTCTGGGACCAATTTGTCCACAAGGGACCTCATTCACCTTCTCTGAAACCTCTTGCCCTCGTCCCTGCCCCACATCTCCCATTGGCTACAGACTTGGCCACAAGTGTTGAGGCAGGAGAGAGAAAAATTAGAAAAGAAAAGGTCTTTTTTGAATCGTATTTTTTCTTTTGATTTTTTTTTGAGACAGAGTCTCACTCTTGCTCAGGCTGGAGTACAGTGGTGTGATCTTGGCTCACTGCAACCTCTGCCTCCTGGTTCAAGTGATTCAAGTGCCTCAGCCTCCCAAGTAGCTGGGATTACAGGCATGCGCCACCACACTGGGCTAATTTTTGTATTTTCAGTAGAGACAGGGTTTTACCATGTTGGCCAGGCTGGTCTCAAACTCCTGACCTCAGATGATCTGCCCGCCTCGGCCTCCCAAAGTGCTGGGATTACAGGCATGAGCCACCAAGCCTGGCCTTTCTTCTGATTTTTAAAGATTAAAAACAATTTTTAAAGGAATGCCCCACCCTTACAGATCTAAGTGATAGGGGTGGGGGTGGCCAAGGCATCATGCCATGCCCAGCCTGCACAGCTCATGGAGTAGCCTTTGGAAGGCAGGGGCTGCCCCCAGCCTCACCCCTGCCGGCAGCTCTGCTGTGTGGGCATGGAAACCAGGTGTCCTGCTTCTCTGGGTGGCAGTGGGGCTTCTTCCTGGCAAAGAGGTTTAGGAGTCCTTTTATCAAATCCTCATGGTTTGGTTTTGTTTTGTTTTTGAGACGGAGTCTTGCTCTGTCACCCAGGCTGGAGTGCAGTGGTACGATCTTGGCTCACTGCAACCTCCACCTCCCAGGTTCAAGCAATTCTCTGCCTCAGCCTCCCGAGTAGCTGGAATTACAGGCACCCACCACCATGCCTGGCTAATTTTTGTATTTTTAGTAGAGACGGTGTTTCACCATTTTGGCCAGGCTGGTCTTGAACTCCTGATCTCGTGATCCACCTGCCTTGGCCTCCCAAAGTGCTGGGATTACAGGCGTGAGCCACTGTGCCCTGCCAAATTCTCGTGTTTTACAGATGTAGAAGAGATGAGTGGTCCAGAGAAGTACCCAAGGTCACACAGCAGCGCATGACAGCATTGTCTGTCTCTCCCCTGCTCCTCCTCCTCCTCCCCTAAGGTCCAGTGGCCTCTTTTCTCCAATGGCTGTGCCCGAGGGTCCTCTTTGCCCTTCCTGGCTGCCTGGGGGTGGGCACAGGTGTGGCTGCCCAGCAGCTCTGGGGGCCTCGGGAATGAGGCTGGCTTTGTTGCAGCCCCGGCAGCTGTGGCCATTTGGGTCGAGTTTCCATTAAGCCTTTTCCGAGCCTTGGGCAGGAGCAGGAGGCTCAGCGTTTAAAGGTCACCCGGCTTTTGAAGCTGCAGCGACATTAATAGCTTGGGAAGAAAACAAGCCTTTGCAGGGGCAGGAGGACAAGGCGTCTCTGTCAGGGCTGCCTGAAACACACACACACACACACACACACATACCCTGAGAGCCTCTGTCTCTTGCTCTCCTCTTCCCTTCCTTTCACCCCCTTTTGGGGCCTCTTCAGCTCTGAAGCCAAGAAGCTCAGGCAGATTTCCCTGCACCCCACCCGCTCTGAGGTGACAATTGGCCGAGAATGCAGCTGCCCCAGCCCAGCAGCCTCTGCCATTACACACTTGAGGTTTCCGCAGGACTCAACCATGGTTACACAAGCCTCCCAGGGTCATATGACCTCATTCTGGCCCCACTGGCTTTTGCAGCCTGGATTCCCAATGAGACAGAGTGAGCCTGGCCTGCGTGTCCTCATACGGGAAATGAGAGCGCTGGCAAGTGGCTTGTCTTGCATGCCAGTTCTAATCACTTGGTCGTGGCTTGCACAGAGGCGGTGTTGCAAAGGGTTCTGAGGTTGTGTGTGTTCTGTAGGACAGTAATACCTGGGTGGATTAGTGATGTCTGCCAAGGATGAGGGCTAGAAGGTGGTGGCACATGTGCCAAAGATTTCCTGCCTAGGATTAAATGATTTGACAACTCTGCGGGTCTTGGGTGCTAAGACCCCTGAGGCAACTGGGTGGTTCTTCTCCCTTTTAATCAGGCCAAGGGTGGGGGTGGGGCACATTCTTGGGTTCTGAGAGAAAAGCCACTCTGGCCCTTTCCCTGGGAGCTGCCAGGGCCTGAGCTCTGGGACACCACCTAGTGGCCTGGCTTGGCAGCGCCACTGGGCTGTGCCAGATCTTAGGCAAGAAGCAAATCCCTCTGCAGGCAGGCATCACGGCAGTCACAGATGGACGTAGGGTCTGCTCCTTGGTGATTTTCAGAGGAGGGAGCCTGGGGTGCACAGAGACAGAGCTGGTCTGAGGAGTCTTACCCTCCTTCCAGAAGAGTGGCCTCTGGGTGGGACACAGGAAGGTGCTGGCAATTGGGACCTGTGGCTTCCTGTTCTAACTCCCACCTTTCAGGGTTGGGCCCTGGTCCTCCTGGGGGGCAGAATGGAAGGTCAAGTCAGATCTAGGAGGGGGTTAGCCTCCTGCCCCCTGGTGCTGGCACTGGCTTGGAAAGGGGCAGCCTGCCATCAGCCTTGTGTCCACGTCACTGGGCTGCCTTGGCCTCAGACCCCTTGTCTGTGAAGTGAGATAATAACGCATTCCCTTATATATCTTCTAGGTTTGTTGTGAGGAGTAAATGAGTGTGTAGGGGAGAGAGGGCTTTGGAAACTGAAAAGGCCCCCTCCCATCATTGCTGTGAGCCGGAGGAGGAAGGAAAGGGAGGGAAATCCACAGTTACAGCACTCCTCCATCTTTCCTTCCCTTCTTTACTCATTCGCCTAATAAATGTCTATTGACCATGCCAGGCACTGATTCGGGCACTGGGGATACCACAGTGAGTATAGCAAAGCCCCTGCCTTCATGGAGCTTACATTCTAGTGGAGAAGATATCAGTGACAAATGTATAATATTCAAGGTGGTCTGTTTCATGAAGAAGACAGGGAAGCCTAAAGGGTTAGGAACACTGGGATGTTGGGGGGTGGACTTGCCACTCTGTTCCCCCTCAAGGTGATGGTTGAGTAGGGACCAGAAGGAAGGGAGCCATGCAGATATGTGGGAGCAGAACGTAGCAGTTGGTGGAAAAAGTAAGTTCAGAGGCCCCTGGGTGGGAGTGTGCTTGGCTCGTTGGTGGACTAGCAAGGATCCAGGTGGCCACAGAGAGTTAGGCTCTGTCTGTATGTGTGCGTGCACATATGACAGCGAGGTGACATGGGCAGGACCATGTGGGTTGGCCACGGTAAAGCTCTGGGTATTCTGGGGACATGGGAGCCATTGGGAGGCATGGAGCAGAGGAAGGGCATGACCCCTGTGATGAGGGGTCTCTAGGCCAACACGTGGGAGGCAGGGAGCTAGGGAGGGTATGGTAGCTGTGGAGGTGGTAAGGAGTGGCCAGATTCAGAAATCATTTGGAAGACGGGGAAGACAGGCTTCGCCATAGATTGGACATAGAGTATAAGAGAATGAGAGCACTCCAAGATGACTCCAAAGGTTTTGGCTGGAGCCAGGGAGAGTTGCCATTAACAAAGATGGAGAAGGCAGGGGAGAAGCAGGTTGGGGTCGGAGGGAATCACAGGTCGGATGGATCCATGTTGTTGGAGCTGCTGTTGGATGTCCAAGTGGAGGCAGCAAGAAGGCTGTATGAGTGTGGAGTTGAGGGGAGTGCCCATGAGAGGTTGGAGCACATGAGAGCCAGTGTTCAGTATGCAGATGGTATTCCAAGCCATGGGGCTGGATGAGATTGCTCAGGGAGTGAGTCTAGCCCGGGAAAAGGTCCCAGGCCTGTGCCCCAAGCCACAGCAGCCTGTGTCACTGGTGCTTATTATACGCCAGGTACCCATGTACGTTCTATTAATACTCCTCCCCTATGTCTACAAATGAGGGAGCTGAGGTGCAAAGAAATGAAACAATTTCCCCAAGTCACACAGCCTTACTAAGGTCACAAAGTGCACCCAGGACTCTGGCTCCCCAGCTCTCATAGCCCCCATGCAGACCCTCGCTGGCCCTGATGTACCAGGCAGGAGGCTGGCTGGGATGACCTTGGGCAAGGCCAGATGAACTGCACTGGGGCAGCTTGCCCACCTCCGTGGGCCAAGCCGGGAGTGACTCAGGCCTTGGCTGCGTGCTTATGCTAGGAGAGGAGGTTGGCTGTTTGCCGCCCCTGCCGGGCCTGGATTCCTTCACAGGGGAGGTGGAGGGCCACTGTGATCCTGGCTTCCTGGGACCTGGAGGAGGACAGGTGTGGGGTTTCTGCTTCCCAGTCTCCAGGTCATCCACAACCATGAGTTCAGGGGAGCCTTTGAGTCAGCCTCCGAGAGGTCTGATGAGCCCAGTGGGTTGTTTGCTTCCTTTTTCAGAAGCCAGTCAGGGGTTATGTCCCTCTGTTTCCCTGCCAGTGCTCAGCAGCTGGGGTTCTGAGAGGTGGTATGGTTTCTCCAAGGTCACAGAGCCAGCTCTGGAGCAGAGCCAAGAGACCTTGCTACCATGCTGTCTGGGTCATGTTTCCTGTGCTGAAATGTCCTCTGGGCTGTGCCCAGTCTCCTGAGCCTGGGGCACACATGGCTGAATTTCTTATGCTCCTTGGCTCATAGCCCTGTGAGCCTTACTTGGCATTTTTTGCCTCTTAGGAAGTGGGTTCCTATTCTGGCCTCTCCACATACTGGCTGTGTGACTTTGGGCAATTTACCCAACCTCTCTGAAATGGTTCCCACAGCTATGAAATGGAGACAGCAACACCTGTCTCATGGAGTTGTAATAAAGATTAAATGTGAAAGCATGTGGCACAGGCTCGTAAACCTGTCGCCTACTTGCTTTAATCCTTTCGTGTATTTTAAACTGCTTTTCATTTGAGCAGTGCTAGTTGCAAAAGGCAGCCTGGCATGGACGGCTCTGACCCTGCTCCCAGGCACACCACAGCCATGGCCTCAGACTCTGCCCTGAGCTTAGCCAGGGGGAGAGAGGGACAGTGCTCTGAGAATTGGGGGCCTCTATAGTCCACCTGGTTCTAACTATAGGCAGCCTGGGAGTCTCTGAGACCTTATAGAGTCCTGTGGAAATGGTACTTCTGGTAATCAAAATGCTTCCCATTACTGCTTCCTTGTGTTTCCCATTACTGTTTCTGAGCCACTCTCCTCATCCACAGAACCACCCTTTGATAGAAAAGTCTAGACTTTGCCTTTACTCGCTGTGTGTCCTTGGGCAACTCCCTCCTAGACTTGGGTCTCAGGCTCTTCACCTGTAATGTGAGGCAGGGTGTGGGGCTGGGCTGGAGTTGTCAGTCCTTTACATTTTGTGGTCCCCACAAGGATGCTTTCAAAGCTTTGCACTTGGGCCAAATGGAAGCGGCTGCTTGAGCTGCTGTGTCTCCAGTTGCCCAGGCCAGCCCAGCCTCCCCTGGGGCCATGAGGATCAATATTTCCTTACAGAGGGCTGAAAGAATTCCAGGGATTGACATCCAGGTGCTGGGGAAGACCCCCCTAGAATCTCCCTACCCCATCCCCCCTGTGAGGGCAGCTTGGCCAATTTACCCACTGCTCCTGGCTCTTTACCAGCCTCCTGGGGCAATGATAACTCAAATGCAGCATAGCCACGTTCTAGGCAGTGTGCTGAGGATTATCTTATTTCATTCCCATTGAAACCCCCTAAGGGATACATCCAGATGAGGGCTTAGGGCCACGGAGAGGATGGGAGACTTGTCTGAGGTCCCACAGCTGGGGAGTGCGGAGGCCTTGTCTGAACTGGTGCGTGTTCCCTATAAGTGGCAAGAGTGCAAGGCTTCTGGAGCTTCTCAACACTCAGAGAGGCCCAGAACCCGAGGGAGCTGTCCAGAGGGCTGCTAATGGGGAAAATGTCGGTCTTGCCATCTTCTTTCTTCCTCCCCTGGGGGTGGCCCAGGTCATCTTTCTCCGAGGGATTGCCTTTGGCAGAGTGAGACCTGGGTCCCTCCATCTCTGTTAGTAAATTACTGGAGGGGCAGAGAGATGATGGCTTTACTCCAGAAGGCCTTAACACAAGTCACTGACCCCTGTGTGTGATGACACTAGGACAGCAGACAGTAGCCCAAGGCATCAGCTTCTGGGGCCTCCTGGCCCTGAGGTCTGTGTTAGAGGCTTGAGGGCAGGTCCCCAGAGCCCAGGACAAAGGCAGCTGTCAGGGTGGAGCCCAGGCGAAGCTGCATACTCTTCTGATGTGTGTGGGTTCGTGGAGATGTGGGTGTAGGGGTGTTGGGGTGTCTAAAGCCGGCTATGGGAAGCCATGTCATACTTGGCTACCTTCCTATGTTCCTTCTCACAGCAAAACTCTTGGACTGATCATTTGAAGTCACCCCTCTGTGTCTTCTTGTGAAATGGCTTGGGCGTCTCTGGGCTCTGACTTGCTCATCTGGGAAGAGATGGGGTAGAGGGAGTTGGATTATAAATCATGCTTCACTCAGTCAACAGAATGCTACTCAGGCACTAAAAATGATGGCGTAGCCCTACGTATTCTGACATGGGAAGATGGCCACAATATCTTATTATGTGGAAAAAACTAGTTGCATAGGATTTATGGTTTGATTACATTTTAGTAAAATAAATTCATTTATGGTGGTATATGCAAAGAAAAAATAATGCCGGGCGCAGTGGCTCACGCCTGTAATCCCAGCACTTTGGGAGGCTGAGGCAGGTGGATCACTTGAGGCCAGGAGGTTGAGACCAGCCTGGCCAACATGGTAAAACCCCATTTCCATTAAAAATACAAAAATTAGCACCAAGCGTGGTGGCACGTGCCTGTAGTCCCAGCTACTCAGGAGGCTGAGATGGGAGACTTGCTTGAACCTGGAAGGTGGAGGTTGCGGTGAGCCAAGATCACGCCACTGCACTCCGGCCTGGGCTACAGCCAGACTCTGTCTCAAAAAAAAAAAAAAAAAAAAAAGAGAAAAAGAAAAAGAAAAGAAAAAATCGAGATGTAGACACACTAAAGTGTGAACAGATTTTCTCAGGGGTTGATGTACTCACAAAAACATCTTGGCCAAGCATTGAAGCTCATGCCTGTAATCCCAGCACTTTGGGAGACCAAGGTGGGCAGATCACCTGACGTCAGGAGTTTGAGAACAGCCTGACCAACATGGCAAAACCCCATCTGTATTAAAAATACAAAAAAAAAAAAAAAAAAAAAGCCAGGCGTGGTGGCGTGTACCTGTAGTCCCAGCTACTCGAGAGGCTGAGGCAGGAGAACTGCTTGAACCTGGGAGGCAGAGGTTGCAGTGAACCAAGATCACAGCACTGTACTCCAGCCTGGGCGACAAAGTGAGACCGAAAAAAAAAAAAAAATTTCTGTATCAGCTGTTAAGATTGTGACTCCAAGTCCTAGAAAAGTGAAAACAAGTTTGCACCTGTTTCATCAAACTCAAGGATATTATTTGATGGAATTGTCCCTTAAAATAAAGCTGCCACTGTCAGAAGTTGGTGTTTAGGCGCATTCCATTCCCAGTGGTCTGTGCTAACAGAAATGCAACCTTGGCAGTGATTTACATGCCTGGGTTTGAGTGGGCCGGGTGGTTTTCTGTGGCAGATTAAGGTCCCTCATTGTGCTTGATTTTCAGTTCCACCTATACATGTTGTCAGGACACTGTGCTGACCCTGGGGGCTGAGGGACACACATTGGCTGGGGCAGGAGAACTGGGCTTGGTGGGGATAAGAACAGAATTTATGGCCGGGCACGGTGGCTCACGCCTGTAATCCCAGCACTTTGGGAGGCCGAGGCGGGCAGATCACGAGGTCAGGAGATCGAGACCATCCTGGCTAACATGGTGAAACCCTGTCTCTACTAAAAATACAAAAAAAAATTAGCCGGGTGTGGTGGCGGGCGCCTGTAGTCCCAGCTACTCGGGAGGCTGAGGCAGGAGAATGGTGTGAACCCGGGAAGCGGAGTTTGCAGTGAACCGAGATCGTGCCGCTGCACTCCAGCCTGGGTGACAGAGCGAGACTCCGTCTCAAAAAAAAAAAAAAAAAAACAACCAGAATTTATGATGTATATGGTTTCTCAAGACAACTTTGAGAAAAAACTTCTAGAATTTTTAAAAATATGTAAGGACACTGAGTGTTCCATAAGAACAAACGTGTCTGTGATATAAATAAAACATGTCGGCCTGACATTGGGGTAAGGAAAATGAACTCCAGGGGTTGACAATGGCCTTGCATCTCTCTTTTGGGCTGGTGCTTCTCAGGGGAATGGACTGAGTTTTAGGGCCTGACATGAGTTTTCCAAGAGTGGGAACTGGGCCTCCCCTATTAGCCCGAGGCTCTGCAAGGATGAAACCCTGTTTCCTCTCTCAGGCTGGAAGCTCCCGGTGACACTGGAGGGTCCCGCTTCTCATCACTGCTGTCCCCGGGGTTCGATGGAGCTCTGCACAAGATTCCTGCCCTGGTGGTGGGACCACGATGTTGGGGCAGTGATGTGGGAAGATGAGAACAGGGACTAGAGATCAGAGAGGCAGGACATCTTTAAAGAGCCCCTCCTGCCTCACTCAGGTCTTCAGGGGTCTTTGGCAGTATGTGTAATGGTAGAGACCAGTGACTTGAGGGCCATATGTCCCAGATTCAAATCCTGGCTCCTCCACTAACTCAGCGTCTATACCTCACTTTTCCCATCTGCAACATGGGCATACTAGCACATACCTTACAGTATTGTCATGAGTTGGCCCACATAGAGCACTTAGGATGGCACCTGGGTCGGAGGAATCCCTTGCTAACTGGTGGCTGTCCTGTGCTAGTAAAGAACTGTGGGGATTTCATTACTGAAGCCGGGGAGAAAGCATGAGGAAGAAGCAAGCCTCCCTTGCCCGTGGTAGGGGTCGCGGTTCCCTGCCCTCATTTCTTAGTAGCCCTTGGCCGCCACCCTGAGCTCATGTTTTGTTAGCCTCGGCCCTGACTCCATCTCTTTCGGTTTCAGGTGGGACCATCCGTGAAACCGGTGCCAGGATGCACCGGGGGTGTGGATGACCGGCCGCCCAGCCCCAGCACGGCCCGGTCCCGCATGCCACCGCCCCGCGAGGACCGCTCTCCAAGGGCTGCCTGGGGCCCCGCGCCCGTACTCTCCTAACCCGGAGCTCTTGGCAGCCCATTGCTGCCTGGCTACCCGGGGAGGAGGAGGCGCAGGAGTGAGCTGCCCGAGACCGCAGGGCAAGTAAGCGGCTGACGGCGGAAAGACCCTGGGGAAGGGGCTTTGCGGCCGGCTAGAAACATTTTCCCCAAGCGGCTCCGCAAAATGACCAGCCTGTTCCGCCGGAGCAGCAGCGGCAGCGGCGGGGGTGGCACCGCCGGGGCACGCGGGGGCGGGGGAGGCACGGCCGCCCCCCAGGAGCTCAACAACAGCCGGCCTGCCCGCCAGGTGCGCCGCCTGGAGTTCAACCAGGCCATGGACGACTTCAAGACCATGTTCCCCAACATGGATTACGACATCATCGAATGCGTGCTGCGCGCCAACAGCGGCGCTGTGGACGCCACCATCGACCAGCTGCTGCAGATGAACCTGGAGGGCGGTGGCAGCAGCGGCGGCGTCTATGAGGACAGCTCCGACTCGGAGGACAGCATCCCCCCGGAGGTAGGGGCGCAGCCCGGGTAATTCCAACCACCACTGGAGGACAGCATCCCCCCGGAGGTAGGGGCACGGCCCGGGTAATTCCAACCACCACTGGAACCTCTAAGAGGACCTGGGTTACTCCGCTATCTGGGTTCTAATTAGCAAGCAGCCTTACTTCCCCTAGGGAAAAGTACCATCCGTCAGTCACCTTATTTTATGGGCAGAAATCATGCAGTCATTCAACAAACACTGAGCGCCCACTCAGTGGTGTGCGAGACGTGGCACTAGACCCTGAGTCAGGAGGCATCAGAATCAAGGTGCTTGTTAAAAATGCAGGTGCCTGGGCCCCACCCCAACATACTGAACTCCACATCAGGCGTAGAGTCCGCTAGTGGCCAAGTCAGACCAAATTTCTGCCCTCCTGGAGCTCACAGTCCAGTGTGGACTAGAAGCGCGAGTCGGGTACTGACGGCCAGAGTGGTAAGTGCTCGATGGAGACGTGGAAGCAGCAGAAAGGAGTGACTTCCCAGAGGAAGCGATGGCTAAGCCGAAACCCTAAGCTGAGACCCAAAGGAAGAGTGAAGCCGGGGGAAGGGTGTGCAGGCAAAGGGAACAGCTTGTGCAGAGTCTGGGAGGTGAAATAGTGCCTCACTGGCTAGGGAACTGGCAGCAGGACCATCTGTCAGGGTCCTAGAGTGAGAGGAGATCAATGAGGTTGACAAAGCCCTGACGCTGAGAAAAAGAGTGCGGCTGGGGCCGGGCGAGGTGGCTCATGCCTGTAATCCCAGCACTTTGGGAGGCCGAGGCAGGTGGATCATGAGTTCAGGAGTTCGAGACCAGCCTGGCCAATATGGTGAAACCCCATCTCTACTAAAAATACAAAAATTAGCCAGGCGTGGTGGTGCGCACCTGTAGTCCCAGCTACTCGGGAGGCTGAGGCAGGAGAATCGCCTGAACCCGGGAGGCAGAGGTTGCAGTGAGCCGAGATCATGCCACTGCACTCCAGCCTGGGTGACAGAACAAGGCTCCGTCTCAAAAAAAAAAAAAAAAAAAAAAAGAAAAGAAAAAGAGTGCGGCTGTATCCTGGGAGCATAGCCACGGAAAGGGAGTGAGGAATCAGACTTGCCAGTTAAATCCCTCTGACTGTGGCCTGATGGAAACAGTAGTGAGCCATAGCCAAGCAGTCTCTCCAGGGAAGTGGCTGGAGAGAGGGGACCTGCGTACTGCATCAGTACCCACCTGCTGGAGGTTGTGAGTCCTTTCCAGTCCCACCCGAGTTCAGTGGACATCTGGCCACCCAGTATCAGCAGAGCCTGAGGTGCTTGGTGCAGAAGGATGAGGCACACAGAGCCTGTTAATCAGAGGGGTGTTGTCCACAGGGCCATCTGGGACATGCAGCCATGGACAAGACCAGGACCCAGCAGGATTTAACTCCACTCTTTATTGAGTCCCGACCCGTGCCAGGCATCATCCTAAGTGCTTTAGATGTATCATATCTTCTTTTTTTGTTTGTTTTTTTGTTTTTTTGAGACAGAGTCTTGCTCTGTCGCCCAGGCTGGAGTGCAATGGCGCGATCTTGGTTCACTGCAACCTCCACCTCCCAGGTTCAAGCGATTCTCCTGCCTCAGCCTCTCGAGTAGCTGGGACTACATGCATGTGCCATCATGACCGGCTAATTTTGTAGTTTTAGTAGAGATGGGGTTTCACCATGTTGGCCAGGCTGGTCTCGAACTCCTGACCTCAGGTGATCTGCCCGCCTCGGCCTCCCAAAGTATTGGGATTACAGGCATGAGCCACTGCACCTGGCCCGATGTGTCATCTCTTCTAATCCTCACAAACTTTGTGCTGTGGCATTATTATTACCCTTGTTCATCAGCCATCCTGCAGGGCAAAGTCTCCTTGCTTTTCCTCCTTAGTGGGTGCTGCTGAGACTTCCCCTAGAGGTGGAAAAGCTCTGTTGGCCAAGACATCTGGCTCATCCCTGTGTCATCTGCAGCACCCAGGACAATCCACGCACATAGCAAGCACTCAGGGAGTGTTTGTTGAATGAGTACGTGTTGCTGCTGTCTTTGTACAGTTTTCTATTGTCTCTCTCCTTGGGAGACCACTCCTTTGATCTGCTTGGAGTAGGTGGTGGAAGGAATATTGGAAAATATGGATCCTCTTTGTAGAAAGAAGGAGAGAGAGAGAGTGAGAGTATGCGTATGTATGTGTGTGTCTGCAGATACAGTTGACCATTGAACAATGCAGGGGTTAGGGGCAGTGAATCCTCCCCTTGCAGTCAAAAATCCACTTTTTAATATAACTTTTGATTTTCCCAGAAATTGACTGCTAATAGCCTATCGTTGACCTCAAGCCTTAACTCAAGCCTTAACATAAACAGTCGACTAACATATATTTTGTGTGTTGTATGTATCATATACTGTATTCCTACAATAAAGTAAGCTAGAGACAAGAAAATGTTAAGAAAATCATAAGCAAGACAAAATATATTTTCTACTCATTAAGTGGAAGTAGATCATCGTAAAGGGCTTCATCCTCATCTTCTCACATTGAGTAGGCTGAGGAGGAGGGACAGGAGGGGTTGGTTTTGCTGTCTCAGGGGTGGTGGAGGTGGAAGAAAATCTACCTATAAGTGGACCCACGCAGTTCAAACTCTTGTTATTTGAGAGTCAACTGTATATGCTTTAAGTGTGAACTGGAAGGAAAGCTCTCTGCAAGCTCTGACCCTTTCTGCAGTCTGATTTGCCCTGACAGTCTGGCAGGTAGGGTAGTATTTTCTCCTTTGTCCATGGCCCCCACAGTCCTATAGACCTCTGCAAGGCTTCACCACCCCCTAGGTAGGCCCTTGCTGTGTGTGCACTTCTGTTTTTCTAAGAATCTTGCTCTCCAAATTGAGCCCCCTCCCGGTACCCCTCCCCTCCCTTGGCAGTCTCCCCAACCCCCCACCTTTGGAACTCTGCCTGGGCCCATAGGCAGGCAGCTCCTGAGCCAGCGGAAAGTGCTTCGGAAAATTTATGAGCCACAGCTGGAATGACAATAACTGCTGACTGGAAAAAAAAACCCTTTCTGGGGGCTGATGGATGGTGGGCTGGCCCGAGGGGTATCCTTGCCATGGAGAAGTATCTCCTGTCAGATAAATGGCCTAGACCCTGCCCCCTGGAGCACCTGGCAGGCATCCATCACCCACAATGAGTTAAGCCAGGAGGCTGCAGAGCCCAAAAACTTCAGCACCTTTAGAGCCAGAAGAACAACCTCTTTGTGGCGGTGGCAGTGGGAGGGAGAGGCCAGGGAGGCCAGCAGTGCTGCTGGGGTTACTCTCCTTGGGACTCGGGCCCTGCATTCTGGAGCTTGCCTGGCCGGCCGCCTGTCTTCTCTGTGTTTCCCAAGTCCTCTCCAGGAGGCTCTGATGAACGTCTGTCTGGTCTTGCTGCCCTGGGAGGCTGCACAGAGGAGCAGGAGGGGGCCTCCTGGTGTGGCTGGGGAGGGCTGATTGCCCTGAGTCTGGGGGGCTGACTGCCACTAGCCATGGTCAGGGGAAACCCCAAGCAGCTTCCTTTAGGGGACAGTTTCTACTGCGCTCTCCTCCCCTGCTCACCCACCTCACTCTGACCCATATCAGTGGGAATAGCCCAGGCCAGCCACTGAGACCCACCACTGCTGGCCTCAAGGCTGCAGCCCAAAGCCCTATCCCTCAGAGAAGAGGGGTCTGGGAAACAGGGTGCCTGGGCTGGGGGACAGCAGCAGCAAGTTCTCAGAATGCACCAGGTACCTGCTGGGTCACTGTCCTGTGCCAGGCACCAGAGAGTCGCCAGGGAACAGGAGCAGCGCTTACAGTGTTCTCTCTCTTTTTTCCTTTCTTGTGGAAATTTAGGGTAAGCAGAGCAGTGGCCTGCCAAGCACTACATTCTTCCTTTCCTGCAAAAGCATCTGTTTAAATACTTTTGGCCTCAAAGGAAAGAACGTTAGTGCATTCCAGGGCGGGAGGCCTCCTTGGGTTTAGCTAGCTATGTAAGCGCAGAGCACTGCAGAGTGCACGTGTGCATGTGTGTGCATGTGCGCGTGTGTGTGTATGTGTGCTCACATGCACAGGCTCACTTCCCTACCCACCAGGTGCCCCTGGGAGGCTGTGTGTGCTGGGCATGGCTGGTCTCAAGAGCAGAGATGTACCAGTGAGGCCTGGCCCAGCCCAGGCTTATACAGGCAGCATTATTATGGTGACTTCTGCAAACTCACCTGAGGTCTGGGGGCTCTGGGGCACCTGAGATTCACAGCCTCTGAGCTCCTCCCATATTCTTTGATCTTGGAGGAGATGGGAACAGAGTTGTGGGGAGTGAGCGGGAGGCGAAGGTGTAGGCCAGGTTGGGCTGTGTGGTGAGGGATCTCCCAGTCAGGGGCCGCCCCTATGGTGGATCAGGAGTTCAAGACCAGCCTGGCCAACATGGTGAAACCCCATCTCTACTAAAAATACAAAGATTAGCCAGGGGTGGTGGCGCACGCCTGTAATTCCATCTACTTGGGAGGCCGAGGCAGGAGAACATATACTTTGATGTCTGCGGAGTGTGCCAGAACTGGAGGGTCAGAGGTAGCCATGTGTTTAGCTGCCCCAAACTCCTCTCTGGGCTTCTGGGGAAGAATCTAAGTCGGTCAGTGGAGCAGGACCCCAGACTTTGCCCAGTCCTTGGCCTCTCCCTGGCCCTCTTCTTGGCTCCTGGATAAAGACAAGAGCTTGGGAAGGAGAGCAGGCATCCCGGGCACTCCCCTTGCTACTCTCCGCCCTGAGAGTCCAACCTGAGTGTGCAGCCAGTGTGCCTGAAGGAGGGACCCTTGTGGTCCAAGTTGAAGACTCAGTTCTAAAAAGCGTGTGGCTTTTGCCATGTCACTTAGCCTCGGCCTCAGTTTCCTTCTGTGTCAAATGGGGTAATGAGCCATATCCTACAGCGCCAGGTTGTTCGAGGTTAAGATGAGATCAGAGACGTGGAGGTACTTTGAGAGAAGGTATGAAAGATGTTATCATCAAAGAATAGCATGGGTACAGGAGCACATGAGTCACACGCATGCAGCTCGGTGGAGTTTCACAGTGCGAATATTCCACATTATCAGCACCAGCTCAATAACCATCATCCCCAGAACCTGGAGTGCCCCTGGTATCTGTTCCCACCCTTACCCGCTCCACAGAGGGCACACCGCCCTGACCCTTACCACTGTGTATTTGTTTCTGCCTGTATTTGAACTGCACATGGAGGGAGAATGCTGCTGTGAACATTCTTTTGGGGACATACACTTTGATGTCTGTGGAGTTGCCAGAACTGGAGGGTCAGAGGTAGCCATGTGTTTAGCTTTTTCAAAAAGGCAGTTTTCTAAAGTGGTGATTGTATCGATTTACACTCCCACTAGCAACACACAGAGTTCCTTTATTATACCTGCCCTCCCACACTTGATTTTGTCTGAATGGTATTTAAATTCAAGGAGGGATGATTAATATTTCTTTCTCTGTTGCCTCTGATTTAGATCTTGGAAAGGACTTTGGAACCTGATAGCTCGGATGAAGAGCCCCCACCTGTGTACTCCCCGCCAGCCTACCACATGCACGTGTTCGACCGGCCCTACCCTCTGGCTCCCCCGACTCCGCCTCCCCGGTGAGAATCTGTCATGTCTCAGAGCACAGGGTGGCAGGGAAGAGGATCAGTGGCTGGGGCTGTGTACAAACAACACGAAACTTGGCTGGACTGCTCAGTATATTTCAAAGAACAGGCTTCTACTGCAGCAAGAGACATTTTAGCTAGATACCAAGGAGAACTTGCAAAATGTAAGGATTGCAAGAGCAAACATTTCCTAAATTCCTACTCTAGGCTAGGCGGTATGTCTGGTACCATATGGGACACAGAGTTAAGTAAAGCTCAGCCTCTGCTTTCTGGGAGCTTATAGTCAAGGGAGATGCCAGAGTAGGAATGACAAACAGGGAATGTGTATTGGCACTTCCCCTCCCAAGCCCACAGCAAACATGGCTGATTCATCACTGTGCTCTTTCCTGCTGAGTCAAGACAGAGCCTCAGATCCTCCTTAACACAGAACACAGCATTCCCAGCCAGTCATCAGTAATTGATGGAATGGCTAGCTGCCATCCTTGGGCTAGGGATATTGTGAGGATTTTTAAGCAATGAGAGCAAGTCTCTTTCATTAAGGTAGTTTGATAACTGGAGGCAGGGAGGTAGACTGCAAGGTCCCTGGAAACTTCTTCCAGGTTAGAGACTCTGTAATTTGGAAGCTTAAAATGAAGCTAGGCTGGGCACAGTGGCTCACATCTGTAATCCCAGCACTTTGGGAGGCCAAGGTGGGTGGATCACTTGAGGTCAGTAGTTCAAGACCAGTCTGGCCAACATGGTGAAACCCCATCTCTACTAAAAATACAAAGATTAGCCAGGGGTGGTGGCGCATGCCTGTAATTCCATCTACTTGGGAGGCTGAGGCAGGAGAACCGCTTGAACCCCGGAGGCGGAGGTTGCAGTGAGCCAAGATGGTGCCACTGCACTCCAGCCTGGGTGACAGAGTGAGACTCTCAGTAAATAAATAAATAAATAAATAAATAAATAAATAAATAATCAAGGTAGTTGCCAGGAAGATCCCATGGGTCTCCGGGGTGCTTGTTTTTCTGGGCTCCACATTTGTGCTGGGGCTGCTGGAGCTGGGGTGTGACCTCTTTGCCCTAGAGCTGCTGTTTCTTAGAATGGCTCAGGCCTGGAGTGGTGAGGGGGTGGGGAGATGATGGGACAGGGCACCTGTCCCAGTTAGATCTTCCCTTCTCCCCAGAACAGCCCCAGAGCAGTGGTGAACTCTGTTATCATACAAGTGTAGCTAGCATTGACTAAGCACCCTTCCAATGCCAGAAACGGAGCAGGTTCTTTACCTACACCATCACATTTAATGCAGAGGCGGGCACTGTTGTCATCACCCCTATTTATGGACGAGGAAACTGAGCCTTGAGAGATTTCATAACTTCCCCAAGACTAAGAGCTGGAGTTCGAATCCAGGTCATTCTGACTTAAAGCTAATCACTCTTCACTGCTGTGTCCTGTCACCTCCCGAATGAGAAAAGTCTCTGTGATTGCAGCTTACGGAGCTCATAGAGTCCTAGAAAGTTACTGAGGGGAGGAGGGAGGGAAGTGTTTTGAGTCAGGGACAGGAACAGAGCTGGGATCTTTGTCACGAGTGGTACCAGGAGCTGGCAGGCTGTACTGGAGTGGGAGGTGGGGAATGAGTGGGTGGGTCTGGGTGAGACCTAGGCAGGACTTGCAGCCTGGGATAGATCACAGAGCCCTGGGCTAAATGATTTTCCTTTCTTTGACTTTTTTTTTTTTTTTTTTTGAGTCGGAGTCTCACTCTGTCATCCAGGCTGGAGTGCACTGGGATTATCTCTGTTCACTGCAACCTCCGCCTCCCAGGTTCAAGTGATTCTTCTGCCTCAGCCTCCCGAGTAGCTGGGATTACAGATGTGTGCCACCACACCCGGCTAACTTTTGTATTTTAGTAGAGACGGGGTTTCACCATGTTGCCAGGCTGGTCTCAGACTCCTGATCTCAGGTGATTCGCCCACCTCGGCCTCTCAAAGTGCTGGGATTGCAGATATAAGCCACCGGGCCTATCCCCACCCCCACCTTTTTTTTTTTTTTTAATATTCCAATACACTTTTGCAAAAAGTTCAGTTTCTGCTAGGCAGAGTGGTTCCACCTATTTTCAGAAGGGAAAACTGAGGCCATAAGAGAAAGGATTTTTTTTTCTTTAAATAGAAACAGGGTCTCACTATGTTGCCCATGGTGAATTTGAACTCCTGGGCTCTAGCAGTCCTCCCGCCTCAGCCTCCCAAATAGCTGGGACTACAGGGCATACCGTCACGCTTGGCTGAAAATCCCAGTATAAATGTGGTATGGATATCCATGCCACATCCTCCCTCCCTACTCTGGCTGGGTGTTCAGCCTGCTGTGGGTGGGGGCCAGGGTGGTGATGGGAGCCCCACTTGGGGGCAAGGTAACCTCAGCACCAGACCAAGGCTTAGGAGACCCTGTGGACTTTAGATAAGTTACTGCTCTTGCTTGAGGTTCTGGAGCCTAACTCAGGAAATGGAAGGCTTTGCTGGGCTGGGAGTGGATGCCCTGAGGAGAACTTGACTTGTGGAGTCAGACAGAAGCGGTCTGTTCTCCCCACCCCTTTCTTCAGCTGCCTAGCTTAGAATTCTTCAGGCACCTTTGCAATGTGGCCTTTGGCTCATTGCTTAACCTCTCTGAGCTTCGTTTGCCTCACCTGAAATGGGAATAGTAATTTCCACCTTAGCACTGTTAGGAGGATTGAATGAGATGTGTGTGGAGCACTTAGCACAGACCCAGGTATAGACCAGACCTATAATCAGTGGTTTACTGCTCCTTCCTGTCCCCCAGCTACACTGGCTGGCTTCTAAGTTTAGCTCTAACATTGAGACCAGGGGCGAGGCTTCCCCCAGAGGCCAGTGTTCAGTAGAGGCACAGATCCCTTTGCCCCAGGATGGCTCTGCTAGACCTGGGCCTCTAGGCCATCTCCAGTGCCTTGTCCAGTCCCTCCATCCAGGACATTCATTTCCAGCATTTACTGATTGCCTGCCATACGCAGGTGCTGAGCCATGTGTATGATGAGGTGGTGAGTACAGCACTCCTGAACTATGTGTGTGAACCACGTGCTGAGCCATGTGTGTGATGTGGAGGTGAATACGGTGCTGCCTGTTTGCCCACACACTGCCAAGGAGATCAGGGTCTAGGGAAGCCGAAGACACGGGGGCAGGGAAGGCTGCCAGGAGAAACTGATGTCCAGGCTGTGACCTGAAGGCCACATTGGCAGTAATGTGGAGAAGCAGAGGACAGGGAGGCGCTCAGGCAAAGGAAGGAGCACTTGCAGAGGCCTGGAGGCAGGAAAGAGGGCTCATCTGGAGACCTCCTGGAAGTACCTAACGGCGGGTGAGGCTGGAAAGGCAAGCAGATCAAAGGCCCTGTGGCCCTCCAGGGAGCTTCCGTCTTCTCTTGCAGACAGCGGGGAGCCATTCAAGGGCCTTAACCTGGAGAGCGACACGATCAGGTTCGTGTTTTAGGAATCTTCCTTTGGCTGCTGAGGGAGATCAGATTTGAGTGGGGGAATGGCCTGGCCCCCATCTGCTACCTCCAGTCACTGGGGTGCCGAGAACCTGCAGATGGGGCAGAGTTTGGGAGCGTGGGTATTGGCCTCCTAGGGCACAGAGAGGCAGGGCCACCCCGGGGAGCATGCTTCAAATGTCACAATCCCTGGGCCCAGGTTTTGCCTGGATGATGTGTGTGTCCTGGGACATGGCTTGAACCCCCTCTGGACCTCAATGTCCAGTTCTTACCAAAAATTTTACCTGGAAGTCCTGAGTCTGAAATCCCTTTCCATCAGGTCTGATGTTCCATGGGTAAACCTGGGGGTCCGATGGGGCTTGAAGTTGCAGTTTTGGGGTCCAGAGGCAGAGGCTCTGGGCTGGGAAATCCTCCCCAGCTTCTCCCTCCTTCCCCTCCCCCAGTCTGTCCTTCCCTCCATCTGTCTGAAAGACAGTCTCTGAAACCCCGGGGACCCTTCCACACAGGCCGCCTGCTGTTTTTCCGTTAAAATTACAGCCTTGGAAGTTTTTTTTTTTATTTGCGTCTCAGCTCATTTCTGACATTCCTTTCCGACCACAATGGAGTTGCCTGGGCTGCCTGTGCCCTGGCTCACGCAGCTGTGGGCTGACCTCATCTCTACCAGTGCCAGCCAAGGGGCCGGGAGGGGGCTGGGCCTGGCCTTCCTTCAGGACCACAGGCCTAGCAGCAAGGAAACTCAGCTGAGAACAGGGGCCTCCTCCACCTTGTGCCCTTCTCCACTTGGAGTCTTCATGGCTAGAGGGGTCCAGGTGCACCTCTGAGGTTCTCCCTCCACTGCTTTCCTGGGTGGCTCCGAGGTGTGGTTAAATTGGGGGTGGGCACCCATGTCCCAGATGAAGACCCTGAGACCTCAAGAACTGGTAATACCCCTGGCGAGGGTCCCTCCCTGCTGTAGCCTGGGGTGGTCTGCGAGTCCCTTAGAGATGAGGCTTCCTCTCTCCCCATCTCTGGCCTTTGGAGAAAAATGAAGCCTCCAACAGTGACAGAAGGTGGCAGTGATGTAGAAAAAAATTTGGCCTAGGAATGGGAGTCCCGGGTTGTGATGCAAGCTGCTCTCCAGACCATTCCCTCTCCCCCTGTGTCTGTGCAGGGAGAGGGTGGACGAGGCGTGCTGGGGTTCCCTTGGCTCCAGTCTGCAAGAGCTGAGCTCCCACCAGGCACTTAGCAGCTGGTTATCCCTTCTGCTGCCGCCCCCGCCCCTTCCCCTCGCCCCCGCCGCCGGCCACCCGCCCGAAATAGAAAAGGAAAGGAAGTTATTTCCATAGTCAGCGGCAGCCCGGAAAAGCTCCCCTCCAGTGAGGGGGCGGGCGGGATTCCTAGAGCTGAAGACCAAATCAAAGCCAGGCCCGAGAGCTAGAGCAGCCCCCACCGCCCGGCCCTCGGCTGCCTTCTCAGTGTGCCGTTTTCCTGATTCAGCGGAACACGTGTCCTGCGGTTGCCACGCTGCAGGCTGCCATGGAGCTGTGGGGACCTCCTGGCCGGGCTCCGAGCTGCCCTCAGGCCCAGGGCGGTAGGGCGGGAGCCTGGGGGTCAGGGAGGGTGTGTGCCACCCCCTCTTCCTCTACTGCCTTGCCCAGCTGTTGGCTCTGCCATGGCACAGAGCTCCTGCCACACACACAACGGGCCTGGAAAGAGCGGCCCCAGAGCACCCTGAGAGCGAGATCCCTTCCACACTCACATCTCCACGCACGTTTTCAGAACATTGCTCAGGACACGGCCTCCTGAGGGGCTCCCCAGCACCTGGGCAGGGAGGCAGCAGTTTCTAGATAAGGAAACCGAGCCCTAGAGGGAACAGGGGCCCACCTAAGACTACCCTGCCGGCTGGTGGTTGAGCCAGAACTGGAGCTCAGATCTGCTTTACCCTCTGTAGGGATCCTGGCGTCCCCATATGCCCCTTCCTCAGCAAACCAGCATGCAGCAGGCTGTGCTGTTGGTGGCTTATGTGTCTGTTCCTTTGGACCATACCTGTCACTCAGCACCATGAGCCTGGCACTGTGTAGGTGCTAGGATAGAAGCATGAAAGGATGCGATCCCTGCTGTCTTTAGGGGACATTTGTAAACATCTATGGCTAAATCCACAGAGTTCCACATGTGCACCGTGGACAGACAGCTCTGTAGGTCCAGAGACCTGGAAGGGCACTGAGTGACTGGAGAGCATGAATGGCTGGGGAGTTCGCTGAGGCTGGTGGAGACATCTCCAGTGATGAGACAGAGTGACGGGCCTTTGTTCTGGAGGCAGTGGAGGCCATGGGAATCTCTGAGCAGGATCCGACCTGCCTGAGGACCTGGTGTGATGGGGCCAGGAGACCTGGGGTTGGGCTTAATGACTTCCTCTTCCCTGTCACCTGCCATCCCCTAGTATCGACGCGCTGGGCTCTGGAGCCCCTACAAGCCAGAGACGCTATCGGAACTGGAACCCACCACTGCTGGGCAACCTTCCGGATGACTTTCTCCGCATCCTGCCCCAGCAGCTGGACAGCATACAGGTAACAGGGGCCGCCCCCGCCTTCCACTCCCACCTGCTTGTCCAGCATCTCTCTTTGCCCACACAATTTGTGCCAGCCAGTTTTACTTCCTGATGTTTAAACCCAGGCTGAGCTATTTCTGTTGCCCTGGGTTCGTAGGGCAGGAATGCTGAACTGAAAGCCTCACTTCCTGCCTGGGCCTGGAGGTTTCCTGTTCTATCCAGGGAAGGTGACAGCCTAAGGAGGCTGTCTGCTGCAGCAGTCACCTCAGGCTGGAGAGAGGCGGGCATGGGGTGGCCAATGGTGGAGGGCCAGAGCACCCCCCTTCCTCCCTTGGGAAAGGGCCAGAGGCTGCTTCTTGCTAGATGTTGGCATGCCCCAAGGTGCCCCACAGCGGGGCAGGTCCACCCTGAGGCTGCTGGTGCAGGGAGAGGGTTGAGTTTGGGAATTGACGTATAGGCTGTTCCACAGTCTGCAGATTTGTTTTCAGGACTGTTCAGGTTGTAGATGAAGGTATGAGGTGGTCTGTGGCGTGGGGGAAAAATAGTTTTTAGGCTACTGCTGTGTCCCCTGCAGCAATGGCTCTGACCTGTCCGTTGGATTTTGGCTCGCAACCAGGTTCCATTAGGAGGTGTGAGCCTCAGGTGAGGGCTGGAGGATGTTGGACAGGGCATGTGTGCAACCAGAGGGATGTGGACGTTTGTGCAACATGTACCCTTGTGTGTACACATTCAACATGCTCGCTTCCCTCCTCAGGGTAACGCTGGGGGCCCCAAGCCTGGGAGTGGAGAGGGATGTCCACCTGCCATGGCTGGGCCAGGGCCCGGAGACCAGGAGAGCCGCTGGAAGCAGTACCTGGAGGACGAGAGGATCGCGCTTTTCCTGCAGAACGAGGAGTTCATGAAGGAGCTGCAACGGAACCGCGACTTCCTCCTCGCTCTGGAGAGAGGTGGGCAGCGCCTGCAGCCACTTCTCCCTGGCTGAAGAAGGGAGGTGATGCTGGCTTTAGCCTTGGGGCTCAGGAAAACACTGAGCTGGGGGCTGAGGGGGCCAGGTGCTTTCTGTCCTATTGAGGCATGACTCCCACCAAGTTATCCCATGGGAGCCTCAGAATTCTGCCTATGGGGACCTGGGTCACTAGCCCACCCCTTTCTCCCTCGGGACTCAGAGGAAGAAGGATGTGCACTCTTAGGCCTTCTTCCCTTTGCACACCTGCTCTGTGCCAGGCACTGGCCTTGGCACAAGGCAGCAGGGAGAAGAGCACTGCCCCTCCTCACAGAGCCCCAGCCCCAAGGCAGGCGTGATGTGTCTGGAGCTCCGGAAACAGAACGACTGGGTTCATGAAGGCCAGGGCGGGGGAGGCTCTTGAGTGGAAGACTTTAGAGCAGGGGCTCTGGAACTTTGCAGGTATTTGGGTTGTCTCTGGGTTGGAGACCCTGCTCCCTAGCCTGGCTGCCTTTCCCCTGCAGGGTGGGAGTGCGTTTGGGGTAGAGGAGACGAGAGGGCTGTGGAGCTCTGTCCCTGTGACGGCCACAGCGTGAGAGCTTGTGTGTGTAACTGATGGTGTGTTGGTGGGGGAGGAGCAAGTTGTGGAGGGAGAAGGCTGGGCTGAGGCCCAAGGTTAGCCCCAGCTCTGCAGCAAAGGTGCTAGAAGCCTCAAGGCTTTTCCGTTTATTTTTTATTTTTTGAGACATAGTCTCGCTCTTGTCACCCAGGCTGAAGTGCAGTGGCTCAATCTCGGCTCACTGCAACCTCCGCCTCCCAGGTTCAAGTGTTTCTCCTGCCTCAGTTTTTCAAGTAGCTGGGATTATAGGCGCACGCCACCGCACCTGGCTGATTTTTGTATTTTTAGTAGAGACGGGGTTTCACCATGTTGGCCAGGCTGGTCTCGAACTCCTGACCTCAGGTGATCTGCCTGCCTTAGCCTTCCAGTGTGCTGGAATTACAGGCATGAGCCACCATCCCTGGCCGTGCCTTTCTTTTTAAATGAGGGGGTTTGGACTCTACAGTCTCTCTGAGTCCTTTTAATTCTGACATTTGAGATGGCTGTCAGGCGGTAGTTTCTTTTACTGCTGGTTCTTTGAGAGCTGGTAGATGTGTGCACTCATATTTTGGGTGCCCGTGTGTGCTCATGTGTGATTCTGGGGACTTAGCCTCTAGCAAACTACCGTGTCCCAGCCCAGCCTGCCCCTGGGAGCCCAGGAGCTAACCTCCCTGACCTGTGAATGTGGTCCTTTTCCAGATCGATTGAAATACGAATCCCAGAAATCTAAATCCAGCAGCGTGGCTGTCGGAAACGACTTTGGCTTTTCCTCTCCTGTCCCAGGTAACTTTGCCTTCTGGGGAAGAAAACCTAGAGGCATAGTGGGGAGCTCACACCCAACTTTGCTTTGCATATTTGGAGTTTGAGAGGAGGGTGAAAAAACAGATTGTGGGAGGGGGCCTGGGCCTCCTCAGCAGGCTGGCGGGGCTGCTTCTGCCCCCATCTCCATATCCAGTCCATTTAGCAGCTCTGGGGTCTTTCCAATCCAGCCACTGCTGGGCTTCAGAGCCCACAGTTGTGTTCAAGTAACATAGGCTGGCTGAACTCTCAACCTATGCCTCGAGTGTAGGCTAGTCAATGACACATGGCCAGGTGCGGTGGCTCACGCCTATAATCCCAACACTTTGAGAGGCCGAGGAGAGTGGATTGCTTCAGCCCAAGAGTTCAAGACCAGCCTGGGCAACAAAATGAGACCCCCCTATCTCTACCAAAAAAGTACTAAAAATTAGCTGGGCATATTGGCCTGTGCTTCTAGTCCCAGCTACTCAGGAGGCTGAGGTGGGAGGATCACTTGAGCCCAGGAGGTTGAGGCTGCAGTGAGCTGTGATTATGCCACTGCACTCCAGCTTGAGTGACAGAGTGAGACCCTGTCTCCAAAAAAAAAAAAAAGAAGAAAAGGACCCCAAAATGCCCCGTGGTGGGGCTCAGAGACTCATAAGTCTTGGTCTGTGTCCTGGGGAAGCTTATGGTCTTGTAAGGAGAAATGCCCAGAAAACAGGTAGAACAAACTAGCAAAGCTGAGGACTTACTGATTTTAGCAAATGCATGGGAAAAAAGGAGGGCAGGATTAATCTGGGGAGTTTACTCATTCATTCATGACATAGCTGGAGAATATCTGCCATCTGTTGGGCCTTGCCCTAGGTGTTGGAGGAAGAGGAATTTCTAGCTTTGTGTACAAGGTGGTGGGAAGTAAGAATTGCCTGTAAAGAGGGCCAGGCCCTTCTGCTCAGAAGCTCTGATGGCTGAAAGAGGGTTGGATAGGGGTGAGGGGGCTGCAGTGCTCCTGGGATGCGCAGACTACTGGGTTGAGCCACAGCTGGGAACGATGACCTGGTGCCTGTGTGCGAACAGTGGCCCCTCATCAGTCAGTGCCCCCTGCCCCACATGTACACAAGCTGCCCACCTCGGAGAAGGGCTCTTGCCTGGAATAGACCTTGCATCATGCAGTGGAGTTGGGGGTGGAGGAGCAGAGGGATGGGGAGCTGAGCTGATCCCAGCTTGAAGGGAGAAAATCCTGTGGAACTGACTCATAAGCAGCAGGCTGGGAGCTTAGGGCTCAGCAGATGTGCAGCTGGGAGTTTTAAGCAGGAGCCTCTTGTCCTTGATCCTGAATTAACTAGAGATACCGGGGCTGCTGAGATGGATCAGAATGACTCAAAGGGGACTTAGCAGGCAAGGTGACTGGGGATTAACCAAGTTGCAGGACAGAGAGCAGGGGCTTCAGAAACCAGCAAAAAACCCAAGTGGATGCTGAGCGAGCCCGGGAGACTCTGGGTGGCCGGTGGGGTTCTGACTCCAGGACTAGTCCCATTCTATTCCTACTCATTGTCTAATAGCCAGAAACCCTGTGGCTGGGAGGGAGCAATGGATGGGCTTACCTGGCAGGAAGGACAAGGGACTTGCTACAGGTGAATGCCGGCTCTGAGCCAGCACCTCATTTGACTGTCACATGAATGTCGGGGTGCAGGAGGCCCCTGGTGTGCTGGTGAATGTTTCACAGCCAACTCTGGGTGCAGCGGGAGCCTGATATGTAGTGCTTGGTGACCTCCATGGTGGAAATACTCCCAAGCTACCAAGGTGATGTCATGAAACATGGAGTTGGTCAGAGGCGTGGACAGTTGGGAGCACACACGAGCTGGCTGTCTGCACACACAGTAGACCGCTGAACCCTCCCCATTTTTACAGAGGAGGAAACAAAGTCCACAAGGGGAAAGAGGAGCTCCTGGAACTCCACATCCTCCTTGCTTTAAACTCCCTTCTGGCCAGGGAAGAAGCCTGCTCTTTCTTTGCATTTGTCCTCAGATGGGTGGGTAGGGCTGGGACAGCGGCCATGGCTGGCCACGGTGGCCGGCCTTCAGCAGGTGTCTCCTTCCAGGAACTGGCGACGCCAACCCCGCTGTGTCTGAAGATGCCTTATTCAGGGACAAGCTGAAACACATGGGAAAGTGTGAGTCCCACTCAGGCCCCGCTTCCCTCCCCAGCTTTTCTGAGACAGGCCCTGTGGCCTCCCAGGAGTGAGGGAGCCCCTCAGCACATGTAATGCAGCTGACTCTTGGTGAACCAGTGACATTTTCATCGCAGGCTGGCTCCCTCAGCCTTCCTGCCTCACTTCCCTCTACAGCTGAGTCTAGATACAAATTAAGTTTTAAATCCTCTTGAGCCAGATGTCTGCAGAAAAATAACGTGCCACACATGCCCTCACCGCAATCCTCATGTTCACGTTCTCTGTGGCTCGAGGAGGCTTGGCCGGAGCTGACTGCACAGAGAGGCCCTTGCTAAGCCTCTGTGGGGGTGGGGGACCTCTTTCCACAAAGTCCTACCAGCCTTGAATGCCCCCTTCCCTCCCCCTCACCTCCCCGCCACACAGACCCACAGCCATGTGTGAATGAGGCTGCGATCCTTTCAGGCTCCATTTCAAGGAAAATCTCGGATTAGTCATGGAAATCCCAGAACCAACTTTGGAGGTGGCTAGGGGAGGGGCGGGAAGGCGGTGGCGGCGGGAAAGCGAGCCAAGATGCGTTGCAGTGTGTTGCAGCTGGGGAGGGAATACTTGGATCTTGAGCCGCCTGCGGTCCCTGGGCCTGGCTCAGGGTGTCCTGTGCTGCCCCTGCAGGCTGACCCAGGATGTAGCCTCTTGCTCCTGGGGTGGCGTCCTCAGGGGTCTGCGATTCCTGTCATCTCTCCCTCCTCAGCTCCCACCCTTGCCTGCCCCCTGCTCCCTCTCCGGGGGGCCTTGGTCCTCCCCTGGCCTTTCCCACACCTGGGAGGAGGCCATCTGGTGTGCTGGCTGCTGAGAGAATGACTCACAGGTCTCTCTGCCCCCAGCCACCCGGAGGAAACTGTTTGAACTTGCCCGAGCCTTCTCAGAGAAGACCAAAATGAGGAAGTCAAAGAGGAAACACTTGTTGAAGCATCAGTCGTATCCTTTCCAGCCTGGCACTGGTGGGGGTGGTGGAAGCCAAGGGCCATGGAGCAAGACCCCTGTTGGACTCCCTGCAGCTGTGCCCTCCCCTGGGAGTGGAACCCGGCTCTGTGGCCTTCCCTTCCTCCTCCCCTCTCCTCCATGAGCTTGGCCACCAGTCCACTGCCCGTCTCTCGTTGCCAACCAGGGACCAGGCCTAGGGAGCAGGGCAGCAGCTCCTGTCTCCCTTCTGTAGGCCCAGAAGTTGTCCTATTAACTTTTTTTTTGGTCTGAGGTTATGTACTTCTTGGGAGAAAAAGTGGTTCTTCCATCAATATCAAACCTTCCCTTCATTTCTCTAGTTGAACTGGTGCACGAGTCCTCCTCACTCCAAGCATGTTGGCCCTCCCTTCCTCGAGTAGAAATACGGCTTTCCACCTTTTTATCAGAACTCCTATTCATGCTTCTCAAACAGGGCCTAGGATAGCAGAGGCTCAGCAGCCAGAGGGAAACAGGGAGGAAGCTGTTTCTCCATCCCCAGAGATGTAAGCTGGGCGAGAGTGTCAGGGCCTGGCCATACCACTGACCTCAGGAAAATGAGCCTGGGGGACAGTACTAAGGGTGTGGGGGGTCAGGTGGGTGTGTCAGGTACCTCCAGAGCTTTGAGGGGTGGGGCAGAGAGTCAGTGGGACTGGGAGGACTAGGGCAGTGTCCCCTCATCCCTGGGACGGTTTTCCTGAATGGCCTGGCAGGCTGGGGGCTGCCGCGTCAACAGCCAACCTCCTGGATGATGTGGAGGGCCACGCGTGTGGTGAGGCTGGAGGGGAGTCGTAAGCTCCAACTTCTCTATGATCGGTGATCTCCCAGCGGAGTTCCTGGGTGTTTCATGGGAGCACCCGCCCTGTCCCCTGGAGGAACACACTGAGGGTTGGTGGGCAGGTGACCCAAAGATATGGATCCCCCTGACTTGGTCGACATTGCTTCCCCCTTTCTGCAACCCCTGAAAAGGGGCCCTAGCCCTACTTCCACCTAGATGTGTACCTGTAGCATGAAGTGCCAGGTACTGTTTCTGGGGAATATTCTTTTGGGTGTGAGGTGGCAGACAGGCCTGCCCCCATGGGGGACCCTCGGCCTGAGAACCAAGCACTGGGCAGCTTCAGTCTGTGGGCCCAGAGGCTTCTCAACTTTCACCCAGTCCCTTCCAAAGGCCACGTGGGCCAGAAGACTCTGCCTCAGACCCTCCTGGGCCCGCAGCTGAACCCTGATCCTCATGCCACATTCGAGGGTCAGGAGGCATCCAGAAACAAGGACTGGAAGGGCCTCAGAGGTCATCTAGATAGTCCAGCTTTTCCATCCCATTTTATAGATGAGGAAATTTGAGGCCCAAAGACGAGGGGAGAACTTGTCCAAGGTCTCAGAGCTCAGTGGTGGACCCTGGCCAGCACCTGAGTGTCCTGCTGCCTCTCTCCCTGGACCCATGCATCGTCTACCTGGGGGGATCTGCATGGGTCCCAAATGAAGGGGGCAGAGAGAGTCGGGTCAGCTCTCTTGCCCAGTCTAGGGGCCGTGCCTGAGCGAGGCCCTGCAGGGTAGAGGATGAGGCAGCTTCCCTCTCCTTTTCAGATGAAGACTTCCGGGGCAGGCGTCAGGAGGCACCCAAGGTGGAGGAAGGCCTGCGAGAAGGACAGTAAGAGGTAAGGCCTGGAGCCATAGCAACCCAGGGACTGCCCAAGGCCAGGGCCCCCCACACTATGCACCCCACATGTCCTCCCAGGTGTCCAGAGGCGCTGGGCTCAGGCAACTGGGTAGCACAGGCCCCACGTGTCTTCCCTCATAGTTGCGGCAGGGACACGGGCGTGGGAACTAGTTCATTGCATGTCTTTTTTGGTTATTTATTCATTTGACAAAAGATGAGCACACCTGCCTATGACAGATGCTGAGAACAGGAAAACAAAATCAGCTTTGACCTTGAAGAGTTTACAGTCCAGTTGAGAAGACAGTCCAGGACACACGTAGCACACTGAGAGGATGATTTAAGAAAAACTGGCTGGGCACGGTGTCCCATGCCTGTAATCCCAGCACTTTGGGAGGCCAAGGTGGGTGGATCAGCTGAGGTCAGGAGTTCGAGACCAGCCTGGCCAACATGGTGAAACCCTGTCTCTGCTAAAAATACAAAAATTAGCCTGGCGTGGTGGCAAGCGCCTGTAATCCCAGCTACTTGGGAGGCTGAGGCAGGAGAATCACTTGAATCTGGGAGGCGGAGGTGGCAGTGAGCTGAGATCGCGCCATTGCACACCAGCCTGGGCGACAAGAGTGAAACTTCATCTCAAAAAAAAAAAAAAAAGAAAAAGAAAAACTGAGGTGGTCTCAACCCGGCTGTGCACACACACAACTCTCTCCAGCCCCCTGCTTGGGTTGGGTGGGCTGGGATCTGCCACACCAGGATGAGGAAACCCTCCTGAGGCAGCGGTTTCTGGCTGAAGCCCCAGGGCTCCAAGCCATTTCTCCTCCTCGCTTCCTGTGCACCCTCTTGGGGAGAAAAAGAAAATACCAAGGCCTCCTCCAGGAGTTGGCCAAGACAGCTGTCCCTTTTCCAGCCCCCGTTTACCATGGGAGAGGGGAAGCTGCCCGGCCTTCCCCAGCCACTTGTTTGGTCCCAGTGGGCAGCATCTACAAGGCTTTCTTGAGTTGATGGTGTGGCAGGTATGGCCCTGTGTCAGACGATGGAGAAATACTCACTTGCCTCAGGATAGTCACAATGGAGGGAAACCGGGAACAAGTAAATACAAGTGCCCTCTCCTCTCTGCCTGGGCAGCTGGCCCCCACACCCACTCCACCTGACTCCCTACCACATCTCCCACCAGGCACTGCAGCCCCTTCTATTCCCCTCAGGCTTTCCTCAAACACAAAGCCGCGGCCCACTTCCCACTGTCCTGGAATGCCCAGATAGAGCCTGCCGGGGAATCGCCTCCACTGTCACCCCACGCTGCTACTATCTCCACGCCCTTCTCCTTCCTACTGGTCCCCAGGGAGAACGGGTCCTGTCCAAACCACCCCTACATCAGAAACTTGCTCATCATTCATTCATTCATTCATTCATTCATTCATTTTGAGACAGAGTCTCGCTCTGTTGCCCAGGCTGGAGTGCAGTGGCACAATCTTGGCTCATTGCAACCTTCACCTCTCAGGTTCAAGCGATTCTCCTGCCTCAGCCTCCCGAGTAGCTGGGATTATAGGCACCCACTATCTTGCCTGGCTAATTTGTTTTTGTATTTTTAGTAGAGATGGATTTTTGCCATGTGGCCAGGCTGGTTTCGAACATCTGACCCCAGGTGACCTGCCCGCCTGGACCTCCCAAAGTGCTAGGATTACAGGTGTGAGCCACCGTACCTGCACCTCATCATTTATTTCTGTCCTAGGACTTCCAGCTTGTCCCCTTCCAGCTCCTTCTGCAAGTTGACATCCTCCTCCTCCTCCCCTTAAACACCAAGGGTCCTTGAGTCTTCCCTGCCATCCTCCTTCATCCACTGCAGGCTGACAGCCCCTCCCATCACTCGGATTGACTCGGAGGTCACCCAGCAGCTCAGGGCCTTAGCATCTTCTGCATTCTTATGGTGCTCTTCCACACGCACTCCCCTGATCTCTCCTGAAGCTGCCCTCCCTTGGCTCCTGTGACCCCAGGAAGCCAGGTTCTCCTTCCTCTCTCCTGGCTCCTGTTGCTCCGCCCACTCCCTAAATACTGGCTCTCCTTGTTGCTCTGCCCTTGACCCTCTTCGAAGTCTTCTCACTGCCCACTCTGGCAGTGCCTCCGCCCTCTTTTATAGCACCAGCAACACTTCTGCGCATCTGGCTCCTACATCTGAATCTCCATCGCAGTTAGGCTTCCAGAGCTGCTTCGTGTCCCCAGCTGCACCCAAGATTTTCTTTTCAGCCTTGGATAGCAACTCAGTCTCTCCTCCTGACTGCCCCCTTTCATTCTCTTTTCTATTCCTTCCATTACCACCCTGATAGATGCTCATCACCTAGGTCACAGCCCTGTTCTCTTCACTGCCCCTACCTACTCTGATTATCCCACCACCAAAACACCACTTTAGTTCCATTTTTCCTGTGCTCTTTGAATGAATCTTTTTTTTTCTTTTTCTTTTCTTTCTTTTTTTTTTTTTTTTTGAGATGGAGTCTCGCTCTGTTGCCCAGGCTAGAGTGCAGTGGTGCAATCTCCACTCACTGCAACCTCCCCTTCTCAAGTTCAAGCCATTCTCCTGCCTCAGCCTCCCGAGTAGCTGGGATTACAGGCACGTGCCACCCCGCCCGGCTAATTTTTGTATTTTTAGTAGAGACGGGGTTTCACCATGCTGGTTAGGCTGGTCTTAAACCCCTGACCTCGGCCCGCCTCAGCCTCCCAAAGTGCTGAGATTACAGGCGTGAGCCACTGCGCCTGGCCTGAATGAGTCTTCTGAGTAAAGTCTTAGGAACTCTTCAGCCTGGTGTCTGAGTCCTACCAAGTTCTGCCCCCAGTTTACTTTTCTCCACCTACAGGTCTTTGTGGCCTAGCTCCCCTGAGCTATGACGTATTAGAATGGGCCAGGTACCCTCCCACGTTGAAGCCCTCCCCTACAGCTGCTTCACCCCGGGATTCCATTCCTTCACTCCATCTCCTGCTGCCAGAGTCCCTGCAGCTGGGCAAGCTGGAATGGTTCTAGGAATTTGAATGGGGGGATGACCCAGGCAGAGTTCTACGGTTGACCTCGAGTCCCTGGAAAAAGGAGAGGGCTTACGTCTTTAGTAACTTCTCCCAAAACTGTCTCTCCAGGAACCAGTGACCAGGAAAGACCATTGGGCTCCTTTGAAAAAGATTCCTCCCATCCCTTTTTTCCCCTACCAGATGCCAGCAGCTCTTCCTTGCCAGAGATGATCTGACCCGGTGGGGGCAGCTGGAAAGCAACACTGGCCCCCAGCTGAAGGGCCCAGCTGCAGCCAGACAGATGGTGCTTGAGAACCGAGGCCCGGTGATCCTCCAGCCACAGTCCAGCCCAACCACTGCCACTTTCCATGGGACTTAGAACTTCGGAGTTGCTGCCTTGCAATTGGAGGAAGGACCTGGGGCCCCTATAGGCAGCAGCCAATTACAGCCCCTTTTGTAGCCAGGCGTTCCTATGGTCAAAGAGTGGAAATGCAGGAACCAACCTCCCTTTAAAAAAAAAAAAATCCAGAAAGCAGATAAAAGTTGGAATATGGAAAAGGGCAAGATGACCCCCACCAGAGGCTCTTTGGCCTGAAGGTGGAGTCTCTGCCTCCGTCCGTTCTCTATCTCTCCTGTCACAGACTCTGCCTGACCCCCTTTCCTCAGCTCCCTTCTGGTCCCCCTTCCTCAGCTCCCTCCGGGCACTTGTGCCCTTCCCTTCCATGTCCTCCTGTATCTCAGCCTTCCCCCGGGGCTGCTGGCCCAGCACACGAGCCCTGCACCCAGCCTGGGTGGGAGGTCCCTGGCCAGTCCCCCAGGAACTCTGAGGAGCTATGGGCTACTGCAAAGCATCTGCCGACTGCCCTGCCCCGTCTGGCCTCATCAGGCTGCTGCTGTTAGGGATGGGCTCACTCCCAGCAGCTCCCGGTCACCCAGCAGGGATGGGGAGGGTGGCCACCCTGGAGCTGGAGGACTCTGGGGAGGCAGGGTCTTTAATTTGGCAGCAGACAAAAGCCAGTTCTGGAGTCACACCACAGTAGGGGCTCACAGGGGCTCTGACTCCCCAGCTGGACTGGAAGCCCTGCTGTCCGAGGGTGGGCAGCGGTGGGTCCTGGAGTGACCCCTTTGAGCAGGTGCAGGGCTAAAGAGCAAGGCGGAAAGGCCGCCAGCCTGGGTGAGCGCCTAGGGCATAAGGGCTTGCTGGGTGCCCCTGAGAAGGGCGGGTGATCTGAGGAGGAGAACTCTGATTCTAGGAACGCTTACACGGCACTGACCACTGCCACGGGGAGGGAGGCTGCCCAGCCCGTGGCCCCGCCCTGGACATGGGAGCGCGCAGACCTTCCGGAGAGCCGGGAAGCCTGGGCAGGCACGAGGCTTCGGCGCGGCTCTGGGAGGTTGGGAGTGGCATCCGATCCTTGGCCGGGCCCTGGTGGCCTCCGTGGCCCCAAGATCACAAGGGCGTAGCGAAGGCGAGCCGGCGATCGCACCTCGTCCCGCCCACCCTGCCCGGACTCGCAACGCCGAGCTTGGGGAGGGCCGGGACGCGCAGCCGCCGCCGAGCGTGACCAAGTTTGGAAACGCGCGCGGGGCCGGGACGCTGGCTCGGGGGGCCCTGCCGAGGAGCGGTCGCCCCCTCCGCTGCTCCCCGCGCCAGGCCTGGGGCCCTGGAGGGAGGGGGGGGGGTCTCCGAGGAGTGCCTCGGTACCCCAGCTCGAGTTCTCGACGGGTCTCTGAGCCTTCCCCGCGCCAGGACCCGGCGCACTGTGGGGGAAGCCCCAGCCCCATGTCTGTTGAGTGTTGCTTTGTTATTTTTTTTCCTCCTATGTGTGGGTTTTTTCTTGGAGCTGTTTCATAGGAATTCCTGTAATAAACAGTTGGTGTTCTCTTGGTGCTCTGATGTGGCCAGCGGCGTGGGCTGGACCCTCCTGCTCCCTCCTCCCTCCCGGCCTGGGGCAGGGTTTGTCCCCAGGAGCCCCGCGTCGCATCCCTAGGGTACCCCTGCCTTGCCTGGCCCATTCACCCGCGGCGCTCTCCGACTGCACTCTCGAGGTGACACCTGCGGCACCGCTGCACCTCAACCTTGCGGACCTGCCGGCTGCGTCTAGCGCTGTCGCCTTCCTGTTTGGCCCAGGACTGTAAACCGCTTGCTGTATCAGGCAAGGGAAACACCATGGGGAAAGCCAGTCTGTTGAGAAAGCTCCAGACGGCCACCTCCCTAAATAAACAGCTTCTGGATTAAAGGCAGACTGGAGGTTGCAGGGAAGTGCAATTTCAGACTTCAAAGGGAACTCAGAGATCGCCCCAGTTGATACATCTCTCCTTCCTCCTCCTCCTCCAGCTCAGCAGGACTACCCCGCCCTCCACCACAGGGACAGGGCCCTCGCTGCCAGAAGAGGAAGCTGGTGCCGTTTCCAGACAGGGCAGTTCTCAAGGTCGAAGTTTTTCCTTGTGTTGAGCTAACGGCCTCCTAGGGGTTCCAACCACACATCTTACTCCTGGGCTCTGGGTCACTGTTGCCAAGGCTGCCTCTCTTGCCCCTGATGCCATGTTTCAGCTCAGTGACCTCACCCTCTCTCTTCCCTGACAACAACTGTGCCTCCTGCACTCCTGCAGGGGCCTCCCCACCCATCAGGGTCTGGCCCCACTCCCAGTCAGACCCAGGGGGGCTTGTAAAGTGGCACACCTGGGACAGGGTGACGCTCCACATGAGCTGTCCTGAGCAAACCAGGATTATCCTCCAGCCCTGGTTCTCTGCGTGGTATTCATTGCCTGGGAAGCTGTTCCAAATGCCAATTCTCAGTCCCATCCGAGACCTACTGAGTCAGAAACTCTGGGGGTGCAGCCCAGCAACCTGTGATTCTGATGCACACCACAGTTTGGGAACCATGGTACCAGGCCAGTACCTAGCACTGGCTGCACAGAATTACTTGAGTAGCTTTAAAAAAAATCCTGGCCAAGACCAGGCTCAGTGGCTTACACTTAGAATCCCAGCACTTTGACAGGTCGAGGCAGCAGGATCGCTTGAGGCCAGGAGTTCAAGACCAGCCTGGGCAACGAAGTGAGACCCATCCCCCAACCCCCCACATCTCTACAAAAAAAAAAAAAAAAAAAAAATAGCTGGGTTGGTGGCACACATGTGTAATCCCAGCTACACGGGAGGGTGAGGGGGGAGGATCGCTTGAGCCCAGGAGGTCGAGGCTGCAGTGAGCTGTGATCATGCCACTGCACTCCAGCCTGGGTGACAGAGCAAGACCCTGTCTCAATTAAAAAAATAGATCCTGGCCCGCCCTTGTGGTTCATGCCTGTAATCCCAGCACTTTGGGAGGCCAAAGTGGGAGGATTGTTTGAGGTCAGGAATTTGACATTACAGTGAGCTATAATTGAGCCACCGCACTCCAGCCTGGGTGACAGAGCAAGACCTCATCTCTATTAAAGAAAAAACGTCCTGATGTTCAGTACCGTAGACCAATTAAATCAACTATGGGTTTTTTGTTTGTTTTTTAAAAAAAGCTCCCAAGGTAATTAAATCTGCCGTCAAGCTTGAGGACCAGCCCACTTGGCAATGTGTTAGGTGTTTTAGCTCATTTGATCTTGCCCAATAACGATCACTTTACAGATAGTATAATTACAGTTCAGAGAGGTTAAGTAACTTATCCAAGATCACAGAGCTAGAGTGTCATGAGGCCAGAAAAGGAGGCTGAGGGCTGCCTGACTCCAAAACTTGTGTTGCCTCCTCTACACCCCTGCTGCCCAAAGTGTGCCCTGTGGACCAGCAGCATCGCCATTCCCTGGGAACTTGTTAGGAATGCGTATTATCAGGCCCCATTCCAGATCTGAATCGGAAACTGGCGTGCATTTTAACAAGACCTTCAGATCATTCTGATACATGCTCAAATTTGAGAACCACAGTTCCACAATCTGACCACTCACAGCTTGGTCTATGGACCAGCAACATTCATTATTACCTAGGAGCTTGTTAGAAAAAGAATCTCAGGCTCTGCCCCAGCCTCACTGGATCAGAATTCGCATTTTAACAAGCTCTTCAGGTGACTTCTATGCACATTAAAGCTAGAGAAACACTGCTCTAGAACACTGGTTCTCAAACTTGCTGTACGTTAGAATCATTTCTGATGTGTGGGTCTCATTCCCAGAGATTCTGATTTAATTGGTTTGGGATTTAGCCTGAGAATCAGATTGTAAAATCCCAGGTGCTTCTAATATGCAGCAAGTTTGAGACCCTTACACCATTTTACCTGTTAGTGTAGATGACACTGGAGATGATTGTAATCAGAGAGAGAAAGAGAGGGAGAATGCTTACCAGGTCTAACAAGGAGTGCAGGAGATGAAGCCTCTGCTGGAGCCGCTGACGCCTGGTTAAAGATGGCTATGGGTCCAGGGGCAGGGACAGGCTGGACCAGATGACTGCCTTAGCCACCTACCCTCACATTGCTTGCTCATCTGCAAGTGCTGAACTCCTGGTATCCACAAGGCGATACTTGCAGATTTATCCTCTGCAAAAATGCAGAGCTGGGCTATCTGAAGTCTGGTCCAGCCAGGGCCCCTTCCCTATCTTGATGATGCTTTGATGTCCTCAGGGATCAGCCCCAACTTAAAAGGCGATCATGGGTCTGGAAAACGCTGTGCCCACAAGAATTGCCTGGTTATTACCATGCTGGGGTCTCAATTCTCCCTTTGTTTTCTTGAAGCAACTGGTTGGAGATAGGGTCTGGGGGGGAAACAGGAGAATTTGCTCTGAAGAATGAAGGAGGCAGGCAAGGTGTGGTATGAAGATGGTAGCTCTTTATCGAGTGTTTATTGTGTGCCACACACTCCTAGGGTACTTTACCGAATCCTTCACAACAATTATATGAAATCAGTATTACTACGTGCGTTTCACACAGAGATGTTAAAGTCCTTACTCAACATCTACCCTCAGTAAGAGGTGGTAGTACCTGCATATGAATCCAGGCAGCTGAGCTCCCGAGATGATACCTAAACACTAAGCATGGTGGGGTCGGGTTGGGATGCAGGGGGATGGGGTTAAGATGCAGCACCTTTGCACAGATGCAATCTGTGGAGCACAGAAGGGCCCACTTGCTCAAAAACATCACCAAAGTGATCCGTGATCCAACAGAGTGCCTGGAACGCCTCCATTAGCATTCTTTATCTGGTTTTAAAAACAATCTCTCAGCATTTCCATTAAATGGCAAATATGCTATTGAGAGAGAAGCACATGAACTCCTTATGCCCATTATCACAGCATAGATTAATTTGTTGGATTAATGGGCTGCACCAGCTGGAGGAAGAGTTGGAAATTTCTGGAGGTGGCCAGGCGGGAGAGGGTGGGCATGTGAAGGGGGCTGTGTAAATCGACTGCCACCTGGTGGTCATCTTGCAGAAGTGGCAGTCACTGGCCACTGAGACACCCAGCACCATTTTCCCAGAAGGAAGATGCGAGCACCTGTTTGGCCTTAGGCCAAAGAGACAGAGGGAAATTTACTCTGTTCACATGGTTATATGTTTTCTAAAATTTGCAAAACAAAGATATTTTAAATTTTTTCTTTTCTTTTTGTTTTTTTGAGATGGAGTTTCACTCTTGTTGCCCAGGCTGGAGTGCAACAGTGTGATCTCAGCTCACTGCAACCCCCGCCTTCTGGGTTCAAGTGATTCTCCTGCCTCAGCGTCCTGAGTAGCTGGGATTACAGGCACCCGCCACCACGCCCAGCTAAATTTTTGTATTTTTAGTAGAGACGGGGTTTCGCCATGTTGGCCAGGCTGGTCTCGAACTCCTGACCTCAGGTGATCCACCCACCTCAGCCTCCCAAATTGCTGGGATTACAGGCCGTGAGCCACTGCGCCTGGTCAAATTTTTTCTTAAGAGAGCCACTAAGATTAGATAAGCTTCAGGCCCCCCAAAACCAGCATCTACCCTGAAGAGCTGAGGCTTGGAGTCAGGTGGCCTTTCTAGAGCGTAAAGAGTCACAGTTCTTTATCAGGACAAGAGGATTATTCCAGGGACTCCAGTGGGAGGAACTATGAAACTCAGTACAAACAGCACATGCTTCCTTGCTTTGACCTTGCCATTCAAAGTGTGGTCTTTGGATACATCGACCAACTGTCCTGGTTTCCCTGGATGCAGAACTTTCAGTGCCAAAACTAGGAAAGTCGTGGGCATACTCGGGTGGGTTCGTTATCCCAACTGCAGATTCGCAGCACTGGCATCAACCTGGAAGGTTGCTAGAAATGCAGACCCAGACCTACTGAGTCACACTGCATTTTCCAAGATCTGCAGCAAATTCATGTGCATATTAAAGATCGAGTTGCTGTGGCTTCCCCAGGAAGAGAGGGGCCCACACTGGCCCTGAAATGTATGCCTTCAAGGGGTTTGGTGGGCTGCAAAACCCCACAGAGTGATTGCAACTGGTCTTGAATTCCAACAATAAAAGGCCAGCTTCTTGCTCCAGGCCTAGCTGGCCCTTTTTTCCCTGGTCACAGTGACATAGGCCTCCCAGGGCATAAAGTACTTAGTTCTCTTCCTGAACTGGATTCTTCCTGGGGGCAAGCCCAGGTTTGGTGAAGAAAAGAGTGGGTAGCTAAATGAAAATAGTTTGTAGGCTGGGCACGGTGGCTTACGCCTGTAAATCCTAGCACTTTGGGAGGCTGAGGTGGGTGGATCACTTGAGGTCAGGAATTCGAGACCAGCCTGACCAACATGGTGAAACCCGGTCTCTACTAAAAATACAAAAATTAGCTGGGCATGGGGGCGAGCGCCTGTAATCCCAGCTACTCAAGAGGCTGAGGCAGGAGAATCACTTGAACCCAGGAGGTGGAGGTTGCAGTGAGCCGAGATTGCGCCGCTGCACTCCATCTTGGGTGACAGAGCGAGATTCCATCTAACCGCTGCACTCCAGCTTGGGTGACACAGCAAGATTCTATCTAAAAAAAAACGAAAGGCAAGAGGAAAGGAAAATAGTAGCTTGTATGTTGTTAGGTAAGGTTTTTTTTTTTTTTTTTTTTTTTTTATAGAGAGTCTCAGCTCTGTCACCCAGGCTGGAGTGCAGTGCCACAATCATAGCCCACTGCAGCCTCGACTTCCAGGGCTCAAGCGATCCTCCCACCTCAGCCTCCCGAGTAGTTGGGACTACAGGCACATACTACCACGCCTGGCTAATTTTTTGATTTTTAATAGAGACAAGGTCTCTCTGTATTGCTCAGGCTGCTCTCAAACTCCTGGGCTCAATCGATCCTTCCACCTCGGCCTCCCAAAGTGCTGGATTACAGGCATGAGTCATGGCAGCCAGCCTCAGGTGAGATTTAATTGAAGGACACTGTTGCTCTAAAGCGTAGTCCGAAATTACCATCACTCTATTTATTGAGTAGTTACCATATACCGGGCACTGTTTTAAACACTTAGCAGGTATGAACCCACTGGTGCCTCACTACAAACCCTCTGCTAGGTGCTATGATTATCCCCACTTTACAAATGAAGCTGAGGCCCAGAGGACTGTAAAAGAGAACTATCTGTCAGTGAGGCACAGAGGACAGCCAGACCGGAAATGCTCACGATGTGAAGTGAATGGTGAGGTAGGGGATTATTTCCATTCACCCACAGCTCTCTCCCTATCTGTGTATCTGGGGAAGGCCTCAAAGGAAAGCTGGGCCTGGGAGAGAGGGAGGGCTGGGTATGCACAGGCAGTGAAGGGAAGGCTGAGATGACAGCATCCTCATTTGTCCTAACTTGGCTTTATTTATCCATGCTGTTCACTGGAAAACTCTGAGAGCTGTGGGCCAAGCACCAGGCCGGGTGTGGGGAGGCAGAGCTAAAAGTCCTAGTTCCTGCCCTCAAAAAGGCCCCTGTAGCCAGACTCAGACAGGTAAACAGAGTTACAACACAGACATAGCCCTGAAAGAGATAAGCATAGGAAGGGAGGGAGCAGGTCTGGGCACTCACCCGATCTTACCGAGTGTGTGCTGGGGGCTGAAAAGCTTTTCCACCTGAACTGATTCTTGACAGTTCCTTGAAGCCTAGGAAGGGGGTCTGAAGGGGAGCTCTCAGGAGAGGGGCACAAGCCCAACAGCCGGAAGGAAAGAGAAGGTACTCTGACTCCCCCCCCCCTTTTTTTTTTTTTTTGAGATGGAGTCTTGCTCTGTCGCCCCAACTGGAATGCAGTGGCACGATCTCAGTTCACTGCAACCTCCGCCTCCTGGGTTCAAGCAATTCTCTTGGCTCAGCCTTCCAAGTAGCGAGTAGCTAGGATTGTAGGTGCCAACCACCATGCCTGGCTAATTTTTAAATTTGTAGTAGAGACGGGGTTTCATCACGTTGGCCAGGCTGGTCTCGAACTCCTGACCTCAAGTGATCCACCCACCCCGGCCTTCCAAAGTGCTGGGATTACAGGCGTGAGCAGCTGTGCCTGGCTGCCTCCTCCTTTAATAGCCCTCCCTGCCCTTCATCCTCCTGGTCCTCAGACTCAGGAAGCCTACAATTCTTTTTTTTTTAACGGATCCTGATATAATCCTCTCTCTCTTTTTTTAGAGAAAAGGGCTCACTTTGTCACACAGGTTGGGGTGCAGTGGCACGATCATAGTTCACTGCAGCTGCGAACTCCTGGGCGCAAGCAATCTTCTTGTCTCAGCCTCATGAGTAGCTAGCACTACCAGCTTGTGCCACTGCACTGGCTAACTTTTTTCTTTCTCTTCTTTTCTTCTTCTTTTTTTTTTTTTTTTTTTTTTTTTTTTTGTAGAGACAAGGTCTCGCTATGTTGGCCAGGCTAGTCTCAAACTCCTGGCCTCAAGTCATCCTCCCGCCTTGGCCTCCCAAAGTGCTGGGATTACAGACATGATCCTCCACAGCTGGCCTGACATAATTCTTAAACTGTGTATTGAATATACTGTATTGCTTTCCTCCCTTTAAAGCTAATTGCTCCCTGATTTTAGCTGTCATAGGTGAGTAGCAGCATTCATGATTTCATCAGTGTGCTGGGAGTTTCACTTACCAAAGCTGTTCCACTACTGGGGATGATGCTCTTCCTCATTTTGTCTGACAAATTCCCACACAATATTTATTTATTTATTTTTGAGACGGAGTCTTGCTCTGTTACTCAGGGTGGAGTGCAGTGGTGCAATCTCAGCTCACTGCAACCTCCGCTTCCTGGGTTCAAGTGATTCTCCTGCCTCAGCCTCCCAAGTAGCTGGGATTACAGGTGTGTGCCATGACACCCGCCTAATTTTTTTTATTTTTTATTTTTTATTTTATTTTTAGTAGAGACGAGGTTTCGCCATGTTGGCCAGGCTGGTCTCGAACTCCTGACCTCAAGTGGTCCACCCGCCTTGGCCTCCCAAAGTGTTGGGATTACAGGCATGAGCCATCACGCCTGACCTCCACGCACTATTTAAATACGGGCATTGTCACAAAGATGTGGGCAGAGTGATGGGAAGCCACAAGGGATGGCCTAGACCCCGTGGCTAATAACAGAGGGGTACAGCTTGCCAACTACGTCTAGGCTTGAAGGAGCAGGAGAGGGACGGTGGCTGGAACCTGGTGAGAGAGCTGTGATTTTATGTTCTAGAACTTTATGTTCCAGGAGGGAGCCCGCTGGCAGTACCAACTGGAATCCAGCCAGAAGCAGAGGGCAAGGAGCTGGTGGATGCAGGCCACAGAAGCCAGCCTCCCGAGGCACAGAACAGGGCGAAGGACGGCAGAGAGTGGGTGTGGAACTGCTTGGGCAAATGGGAACTATTCAGCACTTACTGATCTATGTTAGGGGCTGAGCTGTGTCTCCCCAAAAATCATATGTTGAGGTCCTAACTCCAGTACCTCAGAATGTGACTATAATAGGAGGTAGTCTTTAAAGAGGTAATTAAGTTAAAATGAAGTCAGTAGGGTGGGCCCTAATCCAATAAGACTGGTGTCCTCATAAGAAGAGATTAGGACAAAACCTTCCCACACAGAGGAAAGACCATGTGAAGACGTGGGAGAAGAAAGCTGTCTCCAAGGCAAGGAGAAACTAGCCAAGTGCAGAATAAACTAAACTTGCAGACACCTTGATCTTGGACTTCTGGCCTCCAGAATAGGGAGAAAATAAATCTGTGTTTAAGCCACCCACTTTGTGTGCAAGTGGTGTTAGGGCAGGCCTAGCAAACTTCATACAATCAACAAGCTATTCAGCACATAACTTAATATTTATGTATTTACCTCTCTGTCTTCCCTACTGGACCGTTGGATTCTCTAAGACTCAGAATAGTCAGGTAGGTGTTTATATGCTTCTGGAACGAACGGATCATCTAACAAGAAAGTAAAACAGTAAGGCAATCTATGAAATATTATCAAAATGCTGCAGTCCAGGTGGCAATGGGTGGATGACACAGCACAACAGCAATCGTGTTGCTGTTACAGCCATCAGGCTTGTTGCTGCTCACAGGCACTCACTATGTCCCAGGTGCCGTGATTAGTGCTTTACATGAATGATCTCTTTTACTTTTGCAACAAGCCACGAAGATAGTTGACACTGCCATCCAGATTATTATTATTATTATTATTATTATTATTATTATTATTTGAGACAGGGTCTTGGCTCTGTTGACCAGGCTGGAGTGCAGTGGTGTGATCATGGCTCACTGCAGCCTTGAACTCCTGGGCTCAGGCCATCCTCCCACCTCAGTCCCCTGAGTAGCTGGGATTACAGGCATGCACCACCACACCTGGCTAATTTTGCCCAGGCTGGTTTTGATCTCCTGGCTTAAGCAATCCTCCCACACTGGCCTCCCAAAATGTTGGGATTACAAGCATGAGCCACTGAGCCCAGCTCCACATTTTAACAGTTGGAGAAACAGAGGCTCGAAAAGTTACATAACTTGCTCAGAGTGAAGCAATTAGTGGGCACGTCTACAATGAGACAGTGGGATTAATATGAGGCCGAGTGGTGTTGTAGGAACATGGCCTTTGGGAGTTTACAAGCACCACTTCCTTATCTGTAAGATTAGCAGGACATTACCTATGTCAGCAGGTGGTTGAACAACTGAATGAGACACTTGAGGTTCCTTGGTACCTCCCGCGGCACAGTGGTGCGTGGTGTAAGTGCCCCAGGCCCTCACAGCCTTGGGCGGCTGTGGTCCCCACTCAAGAAGACAGCCTCAAATGTCCATTCTGCCTGCCCCCTGCTGCCCGACAGCTTGCTCCTGTATTATGAATGAATGTTTCTTGGGTGTGTACTTCTTGTGTAGCCTCAGAAGGCTGTTATCCCCAAAGTACCCCCAAGTCTGCCCACCAATATTCTGCTCTCAGTCACAGAAGCAGGCTGGAAAGGGAAACTTCAAAGGCTTGGAAGAGGAAGGGACCACCCCAAGATTAGCGAGAACATTTCTGCCTTGCAGTTCTTCCCCTATTGAGGGTTTGCGTCTTTGGTTCCCCTCCTTGATCTTGGAATAAACCCTTTAACTCTTTAGCTGCAGTGACTGCACTAACCTACAGTAGCAGTTCCTGGTGGGAGAAGAGAAGTGTGCCTGTAATCTGGGCTGGCAGATAGTGCTTGCTGGCTGGGACAGAATTAGAAAGTTGTTATGAGGCCTGGGAAGACTATATTTAGCTGGGAGCATGTTTACTCTCCCCAGAGCAAGGTCTTTTAGACCTCCTGAGGGCTGGGATACTAGAGCCTTTACACCTGGCCTGGGGCCAGAGCTGTGCTCTCTCTTCTCTGTTCCAGAGGGTCTGGAGGCAGCAGTGAAATCCACCTCAGGTTAGCCCTGGGCCTCAAATCACTGGATCCCTGGCGTGCGTGTGTGTGTGTGTGTGTGTGTGTGTGTGTGTGTGTGTTGTGGGGGGGGCGGGTGGGGAGCGGCGTTCTGCTGGACTCTTGAGCCTACCAGCCTCGAGCTTTAGGCATAGCTTAGGCGGCATTGTGAGGCACTGGAAAGGGCCCTGGCTGCCCCACCCCCCCAAGGCTGGCTCTATCAGTTGCTTATCAGACAAGTTATGTAACTTCCTGAGGCCTTGCTTTCTCATCTATAATGAGGATGTTAATAGCTACCTTATGGGAAGGTATGTGGATTCAGTAAGATAACACACACAAGCAGTAACTACTCATCAAACAGTCCCGTCCTCCCCTTCACCAGCCTCAGAGTGGGAGGACTCTAGGATGACTTGACTAGGCTCCCAGGAGACATTGTGTGTGATTCAAAACATTCATTGGATTAAAAGTTCAAATATGAATACAATCTCTTTACAAGTCAAACTCTGAAGCATGTGTAAAGGAAGAAAAAATTCTCCCTTGCCTGCCTGCAGTTTCACTCCGAGATATCCAATGTTCACAGCCTTGGGTGTCCTTCTGCAGAATTTCTATCCTCAAACACAAACATATATAGAGGTGTTTCTTTTTCCTTTTTTTTTTCTAACACGTTGAGATTCCACTAAACATGTTTCTTTGCAACTTCGTTTTTCATTTAAACATAAGTCATGTACCTTAACCTTGGTAAATACATGTGGATCTAGCTCATTCATTTTAATAGCTGCATAGGGTTCCAAAGAAAGTATGAACAATAATTTTCCAGCTATTTCTCATCTGATGGATTTTTTTTCCCACTACAAACAATGCTGCAACGATGATCCTTGCACAAACATCCTCATGAATTGATGCTTTAATTTCTAAGGGGTTCTTTCCCCGAAATATGATTACTGGGTCAAAGGGTATGCTACACACAGTTTATATTTTTTTACAGTTTAACACTGAGAGATGACTTTCTCCAGATTTTTTCGTTTCCCTCTCGGCGTCTGTTTGTTCCGGACACTTTCACTTTTCGAGTTCCAAGGAGGAGGTAGCCCGCGACACCGGCCGCGGGAAACACGAGTTGCAGCCAGCATCCTAGTTAGCGTGGATGCAGGTGGCACTCCGGGGACGAGGGGCTTAGTGGGGAGCACTACACAGCCAGAGGCGGAGGCCCGAGATCTAGCACGACGCTGGGCAAGTGACGGCCCCTCCCCGGCCTTGGTTTTCTTCTGCGTAGTCTGTGACTCTAAACAACATTAGGCTCAGCCTGGGCCTAGAGCTGGTGACCTCAAATCTCGGCCTTTGTTGGCTCCCCTAGGACTGTAGGCTGCGCTTCACCCCTGCTCTGCCCCACTACTTCTCCTCCGCGCGGCCCCACCTTTTCAGAGGAGTTGGCTCAACAAGGCGAGAGAGAGTAAAGCAACCATCATGATGAATCCCTCCCACAGCTCGGTCATTTATTACTTCTGTCCGGCTTTGGCTCGCTCCTGCCCTTTTGGCTCGGCTATCGAGTGCTCCTGCCTGAACCTGGCAAGTAACCTCGGAGCGCGCCCGTTCGGCCTATCACTTGCTTCTGCCTGCGCCGCTCTCCCGCAGGGGCTGCGGTGAAAGCCCAGCGATCCTTGGCTCGGCCAGCAACTTATGCGCCCTTTACCTGGAGCAGCCGCTTCCGGTTCCGGTAGCAGCTAGTCACGCTCGGTACCAGGCGCAGATCATGGCAGGCAGCCGGCTGGAAACCGTAGGGAGCATCTTCTCTCGGTGTGTGCTCCCAGCCGTGGTGGGCTGAGGGTGCCTCCCCCAGGCTGGGGTTCTCAGCCGGTCACGCTCTTCCTTGGAGCGGACCTGAGCAGGGCGAGGCGTATTGCAGGGTGCGGGGGCTGAGCTGGGTGAGGCCCTCTCATGTTTTCTCCTGGCTCCGAATAGTTGTGCCTGAGGATGCCTCTCCTTGAATTTATGTGTCATGTTAAAGATTATTGCAGCTGCCTCTCCCCGAGTGGAGGTCTCTAGGAAGAGGAAGGGAGGAAGAGCCTGATGGGCCTTCCTTATCAGGTCATGCAAGACCGCTCTTTGCATTTTTCCGTGACCGAACGTGGGTGGGACGCACAAAAGAAGATAGAGGGATTTAACTCTCCTGAGCGTTGTTAAGTTTGGTTTGGGATGTGGACAGATCTTCTCTGTAGGTGGGGAGCAGTCCTTCCCCGTTCTGTGTTGCAGACCGCATAATACCTTTAATGTCCCAAACTGTGCTAGACTGATTCAGGGGCTTTGGCAGGCTACTGCAAGTGACCCAGTTTCGTTCTGTTCCCTCCCTAAGGACTCGGGACCTGGTTCGGGCCGGGGTGCTGAAGGAGAAGCCCCTGTGGTTTGACGTATATGACGCCTTTCCCCCGCTGAGGGAGCCCGTCTTCCAAAGGCCTCGAGTGCGATATGGCAAAGCCAAAGCTCCCATCCAAGACATCTGGTACCACGAGGATCGGATTAGAGCGTGAGTGCTCAGCCCTGTAGTGGACAGGAGGCAACAGAACTTCAGAAGGGAAGGTTTCGGTAGCAGTCTGGGAATTCAAACATGAAATTGAGTCAGGGGTTTGCCCTGTGGAGAAGGCTTATCTAGCCAAATTAGGGAGGCAGCACCCCTTCCTCATAGTGAAACTGAAGTTCTGAAAAGTGGAATCTGGAGCCCAGCAACCGAAAGATCATTGCAATTATAGCCGCATGTTTCTGGGCATCTGCTTTGGGCCAGGCACTGTACTAAGCTCTTTGCAAGCATTATCTCATTCTCTAAAGGCCTTACTCTAACTTGTAAGGAAGGCATTCTTGTTTCCATTTTATTCAAGGAGACTGCGAAGCTCAAGGAAATTAGCTAACTTCTTGTAATTACTAAATATATAGGAGGGTGGCAGATCTGGGAATCACATCTCTGACTCCAAGCTTATGGTGATCATTATGCCGGCCTTCTCCACGAGTGGAGATAGGAGGAACGTGGTCTGTGGATCTAGTAGTCCGGCTCTTTGAAGCCACTCAGATGAAAGGATGCTTGAAAGTCTAAGAGAGGCCGGGTGCGGTGGCTCACGCCTGTAATCCCAACACTTTGGGAGGCCAAGGCGGGCGGATCACCTGAAGTCAGGAGTTCGAGACCAGTCAGACCAACATGGTGAAACCCCGTCTCTACTAAAAATACAAAAATTAGCCGGGCATGGTGGTGGGTGCTTGTAGTCCCAGCTACTCGGAAGGCTGAGACAGGAGAATTGCTTGAACCTGGGAGGTGGAGGTTGCAGTGAGCCGAGATCCCACCACTGCACTCCAGCCTGGGCGACAGAGAGAGACAATCACTAGGAATTTGAAGGAAAATCATGTGTTCTTTATTTTTTTTTAGCATCCCTTTTCTCTTTTTTTTTCTTTTTCTTAAGCTCAGTGGCAAGAATACTTCCTCTTTTATTATAAAAGCAACACATGCTACTTGTAGAAAATTTAGATACACAAAGAAAGCATAAAAAGAAATCACAGGCTGGATGTGGTGGCTTGTGCCTGTAATCCTAGTGCTTTGGGAGGCATAAGGGAGGATAGCTTGTGCCCAGGAGTTTGAGACCACCCTGGGCAACATAGCAGGACTTGTCTCTACCAAAAAAAAAGTAGTTGTCTTAGTTTACACTCTGATTAGCAGTTTCTGAGAGTTCTTACTTTATCCTTGTCAGTATTGATAATGATTATTTAAGAATTTTTTTTTTCTGGGCCAGGCACGGTGGCCCACGCCTGTAATCCTGGCACTTTGGGAGGCTGAGGTGGGCAGATTGCCTGAGCTCAGGAGTTCGAGACCACCTTGGGCAATATGGTGAAACCCTGTCTTGACTAAAATACCAAAAATTAGCCGGGCTTGGTGGTGGGCACCTGTAGTCCCAGCTACTTTGGATGCTGAGGTGGGAGAATCGCTTGAAACTAGAAGGTGGAGGTTGCAGTGAGCTGAGAGTGCACCACTGCACTCCAGCCTGGGCAACAGAGGGAGACCCTGTCTCCAAAAAAAAAAAAAGTTTTGTTTTTTTCTGATCTAAGTATTTTTTTTTTTTTCGAGATGGAGTCTCACTCTGTCTCCCAGGCTGGAGTGCAGTGGCGCAATCTCGGCTCACTGCAAACTCTGCCTTCCGGGTTCATGCCATTCTCCTGCCTCAGCCTCCTGAGTAGCTGGGACTACAGGCGCCCACCACCACAGCTGGCTAATTTTTTGTATTTTTAGTAGAGACAGGGTTTCACCGTGTTAGCCAGGATGGTCTCAATCTCCTGACCTCGTGATCCGCCTGCCTCGGCCTCCCAAAGTGCTGGGATTACAGGCGTGAGCCACCGCGCCCGGCCTCTTTATTCTCTTTTTTTCCAAAACTTAAATAGTCACAGAAAATGTGCTCCTAATGGTTGCCTAGGAACATTCTTTTTTTTTTTTTTTGAGATGGAGTCTCGCTCTGCCACCCAGGCTGGAGTGCAGTGGTGTAATTTCAGCCCCATGCAACCTCCACCTCCCGGGTTCAAGCTGTTCTCCTGCCTCAGCCTCTTGAGTAGCTGGGATTACAGGCTCACGCCACCATGCCTGGCTAATTTGTATTTTTAGTAGAGATGGGGTTTCACCATGTTGGTCAGGCTGGTCTCAAACTCCTGACCTCGTGATCCGCCCGCCTTGCCTCCCAAAGTGTTGGGATTACAGGTGTGAGCCACCGTGCCCGGCCTCCTAGCAACATTCTTAAAAATATCTTTAAAGTTCTCTATTTTTTCTTTTTTTTATTTTTTATTTTTAATTTATTTTTATTATTTTTTATTTTTTATAGTATTTATTGATCATTCTTGGGTGTTTCTCGGAGAGGGGGATTTGGCAGGGTCATAGGACAATAGTGGAGGGAAGGTCAGCAGATAAACATGTGAACAAGGGTGTCTGGTTTTCCTAGGCAGAGGTCCCTGCGTTCTTCCGCAGTGTTTGTGTTCCTGGGTACTTGAGATTAGGGAGTGGTGATGACTCTTAACGAGCATGCTGCCTTCAAGCATCTGTTTAACAAAGCACATCTTGCACCGCCCTTAATCCATTTAACCCTGAGTGGACACAGCACATGTTTCAGAGAGCAGGGGGTTGGGGGTAAGGTTATAGATTAACAGCATCCCAAGGCAGAAGAATTTTTCTTAGTACAGAACAAAATGGAGTCTCCCATGTCTACCTCTTTCCACACAGACACAGTAACAATCTGATCTCTCTTTCTTTTCCCCACATTTCCCCCTTTTCTATTCGACAAAACCCCCATCGTCATCATGGCCCGTTCTCAATGAGCTGTTGGGTACTCCTCCCAGATGGGGTGGCGGCCGGGCAGAGGGGCTCCTCACTTCCCAGACGGGGCGGCCGGGCAGAGGTGCCCCCCACCTCCCGGACGGGGCAGTGGCCGGGCGGGGGTGCCCCCCACCTCCCTCCCGGACGGGGCGGCTGGTCGGGCGGTGGCTACCCCCCACCTCCCTCCCGGACGGGGCGGCTGGCCAGGCGGGGGCTGCCCCCCACCTCCCTCCCGGACGGGGCGGCTGGCGGAGCAGGGACTGCCCCCTACCTCCCTCCCAGACGGGGCGGCTGGCTGGGTGGGGGCTGCCCCCCACCTTATTTTTTTCATACAAAAAAAAAAAACAAAGATGTCACACTTCTTTGGGACTACTTTTCTGTTTTCATGTTTCCCCTTTTGTGTGCCCTGAATTTTGTTCATACTGCCCCTGTTGTGGCCTTAGCCTGTCTTTAATAGCTCTACATTCCAAATGCCCTGTCTTTATTCAATAACAAACATTCATTAAGCACTGTCATGGGCCAGGCATTGTCAAATTCATTCTTGTAACTTCAGTGCCTAGCCCATTGTGTGGCATATAAGTTGCTTATTAATCGTCTCTTGAATGAAGAAGCTAATGGATTAATGGACAGATGAACTATGAGGCTGGTAGAGAGAAACGAAAGAAAATTCCTTGGAGAGGAATGGTGGAGGGCCAGGACTGGGACTGTTTGGAGAATGGCCATCAGAATTTTATTAGTTTTCTGAAACAATTTCAGGAACAGTGGGCTAGAAACCACTTCTATGGCCACATTTAGCATCCCTATACATTTATGTAAGATCTAAGTAAGTGGTAAATCTCTCACTGGGAGTTTACTGACAAAGCCCCTCCCCTTGAATACTGATGTTAATTAGCTTTTAGTACCTTGAATTTGTCTAGTTCCTTTTTCTCTTAAATATTTATACCAATGAGTGTGCCTAATTGACTTTGATACACATCCCTTATTCTTACTGTTGTTTCAGGATGCTAGAAAATGGAATTTATAAGGTCATTATGTTCCGAATTGGGGCCCAGGCTTTCACCCCGGGACCCCCAACACCAACACTCATTTAAAGTAGCAGAACAAGTATGTTCTTGTTCTACTTGGATATTTTCGGCATACAACATGAGATCTTTGAGGAGATTAAATGCTTTTTCAGCACCTTTCTTCTCAGACCCATTGCATGCACTTTGTGGTTCATTGATACATTAAAATCATTTGTGCTTTGCTCTCACATGTAATCCTGGCACTTCAGGAGGCCGAGGCGGGTGGATCACTTGAGGTCAGGAGTTCGAAACCAGCCTGGGCAACATGGTGAAACCCCACCTCTGCTAAAAATGCAAAAATCAGCTGGGCGTGGTGGCATGCACCTGTAGTCCCAGCTAGTCTGGAGGCTGAGGTGGGAGGATCGCTTTAACCCAGGAGGCAGAGGTTGCAGTGAGCTGAGATTGCACCATTTCACTCCAGCCTGGGTGACAGAGTGAGACTCCGACTCAAAAATAAATAAATAAATAAAAAATTTAAAAAATCATTTGTGCTTCTGCTGTAGATTTGGACTGGATGATAAATGATTGGAGAATGTGGAATAGTTTACTTGTCCCTCTTGTTAAATATTACTTTTTTTTTTTTTTTTTTGAGATGGAGTCTTGCTCTCTCTCTCTCTCCCAGGCTGGAGTGCAGTGGTTCAATCTCAGCTCACTGCAGCCTCCACCTCCCGGGTTCAAGCATTTCTCCTTCTCAGCCTCCCGAGTAGCTGGGATTACAGGCATGTGTCACCACGGCGGGCTAATTTTTTTTTTTTTTTTTGTATTTTCAGGAAGACAGGGTTTCACCATGTTGGCCAGGCTGGTCTTGAACTTCTGACCTCCAGTGATTCACCTACCTTGGCCTCCCAAAGTGCTGGGATTACAGGCATGAGCCACCATGCCCAGCCTGTTAAATATTATTTCTTTAAATTCTTTTTTTATTTTTTAATTTTTTACTATTGTCAGAATATATAAAAATTATTTCTATTAACACCAAAATATTATCTTGTATTTATATAATTTATTGAACCTTTATCTTTGTGGCCCTCTTTTTTTTTGGTGGTTTTGATATTTAAAAAAGCTTATAGAGTGGTTGTGCATGCCTGTAGTTCCAGCTACTTGGGAGGCTGAGGAAGGAGGACCATTGGAGTCTAGGAGTTCAAGGTTGTAGTACACTATGATTGTATCTGTGAATAGCCACTGCACTCACAACAGCCTGGCAACATGGCAAGACCCCATCTCTTAAAAAAAAAAAAAAGAAAAAGGAACTTACAACAAAATAAATAAAACAAACAAAAAAGATGTATTAAAATCTAAGTGTAAAAAGTGAGATCATAACAGTACTGGAAGAAAACATGGGAGAATTAAAAAAATAATCTGAGTGATAAAGGTCTTTTTAAGCATGATATAAAACTCAGAAGCCATAAAAAGAAAATATTAAAATTTTCTGTATAAAAAAGTACTGTAAGCAAAATCAAAAGACAGCCAACAAACTGGGAAAGATCTTTGCAATGTTATGACAAAGGACTAATTTTCTATGTATATGGCTACAAAGTTTGCTTAGAAATCATTAAGAAAGAGACCACTGTGTAACGAATTACCATAGACCAGGTGGCTTATAAACAAATGAAATTTCTTTCTCATAGTTCTGGAGGCTAGGAAGTCTGAGATCAGGGTGCCAGCAGGGTCAGGTTCTGGGGAGGACTGTCTTCCTGATTCCTCACATTGAGGGGAGCAGAGAGTGGTAGCAAGCTCTCTTCTATCTCTTATAGGGGCACTAATCCCATCATGAGGGCTGATTACCATGACCTGATTACCTCCCAAAGCCTCCATCTCTAAATACCATCACAATGGGGATTAGGATTTCAACATAGTAATTTTGGTGGGACACGTTTAGTCCATAGCAACCACCAAATAGAAAAGCGGACAAAGAACTTGGACAGTTCACAGAAAAGGAAATTCAGTTTGCTTTTAAACTTGAAAAGATGTCCAGTCTCTTTAAAAAGAAAAGCAAATTAAAACTATAAAGAGTTCTGGTTTCTTACCTATTAGGTTGGCTAAGATCAAAAAGTTGGAGAACATGTGTGTGTGTGTTTGTGTATTTTTTTTTTTTTTTTGAGGCAGGATCTAACCCAGACTGGGATGCAGTGGTGCCTATCATGGCTTACTGCAGCCTTGACCTCCTGGACTCAAGTGATCCTCCCACCTCAGCCTCCTGAGTAGCTGGGACTACAGGTGTATGCCACCATTCCTGGCTAATTTTTAATTTTTTTTGTAGAGATGGTGTCCCACTATATTGCCCAGGCTGGTCTTGAACTCCTGGCCTCAAGTGATCCTCCTGCCTTGGCCTTCCAAAGTGCTGGGATTACAGGCATCAGCCAGCACGCCTGGTCTAAATATATATATATATTTTTGCTGGGATTACAGGTGTGAGCCACTGCACCTGCCTCGTGTGTGTGTGTGTGTGTGTGTGTGTGTGTGTGTGTGTGTGTGTATATATATATATTTTTTTTTTTTTTTTAGAGACAGGGTCTCAGGTCTCACCATGTTGCCCAAGCTGGTGGTGAGCTCCTGGCCTCAAAAGATCCTCATGCCTCAGCTTCCCAAGCAGGTGGGATTATATGCGTGAGCCTCTATGCTCAGCTGGAGAATGTCATTTGGTCAGGGTGTGGGGAGATAGGTGCTCGTATATTACCTATGTGAATGTAAATTGGTACAGCCACTTTGGAAAGCATTTTGGCAATTTGGAAGGCTTAATTACAAATGCACATACCTTGATCCAGTAGTACCACATTTGTGAATTTATGCCACAGACTTATTTACGTAGTGCACTAAAATTATAAATAGAGATAATGATTGCAGCATGGTTTAGAGTAGTAAAGGACTGGAAACAATCTCCATGGCACTGATAAGGCAAGATGTAGGGAGGAGAAATGGGGAGTGACTGCTCAGATACAGTGCCTCCTTTTGGGGGTGATGAAAATGTTTTGGAACTTGATAGAGGTGCTAGTTGCACAGCTTTGTGAGTTTTCTACATGTCACTTAATTGCACACTGAAAAATGTTAAATGTGGGCTGGGGACAATGGCTCATGCCTGTAAGCCCAGCATTTTTGGAAGCCAAGGTGGGAGGATCTCTTGAGGCTAGCAGTTCAAGACCAGCCTGGGCAACATAGTGAGACTGCATCTCTACAAAAATTTAAAACTTAGCCAGGCATGGTGGTGCTGCGAACCTGTAGTTCCAGCTACTCAGGATGCTGAGGCAAGAGGATTGCTTGAGCCCAGGAGTTTGAGGCTGCAGTGAGCTATGATCACAGCACTGCTACCTGCGTTGGTGACACAGTGAGACCCTGTCTCTTTGGAAAAAAAAAAAGTTAATTTTATGATGTGTGACTTTTACCTCAGTTTTTATTATTTATTTTTATTTTGTTATTATTTTTTGAGACGGAGTCTCATTCTGTTGCCCAGGTTGGAGTGCAATGGTGCGCTCTCCACTTACTGCAACCTCTGCCTCCTGGGTTCAAGTGATTCTCCCACCTAACCCTCCCAAGTAGCTGTGACTACAGGCATATGCCACCATGCCTGCTAATTTCTTTGTATTTTTAGTAGAGATGGGGTTTCACCATGCTGAACTCCCAGTTGCAAGTAATCTGCCTGCCTCAGCCTCCCAAAGTGCTGGGATTATAGGCATGAGCCACTGCGCCTAGCCATACCTCAGTTTTTAAAAAGGCAAGATGTAGAGCAAGGTTTACTATTCTTGGGGTTAAAAATGTGGCTGGGGACAGGGAATGATAGTGCATATATGCTAGTATATTAGTGGAATATTTCTGGATGGATATACAAGAAATTTGTTAGTGTTGCTTCCTGGGAAGGGAACTGGGGGGCTGGGGTGCAGAAGTGGGAGGGAGTGTTACTTTTCACTGGCCACCCTTTTGTGCTATTTGATGTATTTACCATGTGCATGTGTGCATTACTTATCTAAAAAAACAAAACTGTTCAGCTTAGGCTATGTGGGTTATACCGTACTTAACTCCTCAGTGCCTAGCACTTATTCTTTATTTCTTTTATTCCATTCTCATCCACAGTCTATAATCGGAGATTTATATTATGTTGTTTGCATTTTCTAGGAAGTTTTATTCAGTGTATGGGTCTGGTCAAAGAGCTTTTGATCTATTCAATCCAAACTTCAAGTCTACCTGTCAACGGTAAGCCATTTTATAAGTCCTAGGCTATTCATATTATTTTTTAAGGATTTTGTTATCCATTTGATATTGTGTAACAGCGTCTTAACAATGCTTACAAACATACCTAAAATGTGACTGCTTGGAATTACAGGTTTGTGGAGAAGTACACTGAGCTACAGAAACTTGGAGAAACAGATGAAGAGAAGTTATTTGTGGAAACAGGGAAGGCTTTATTGGCAGAAGGTGTCATTTTAAGACGAGTAGGCGAAGCAAGGACTGTGAGTATTTCATTGTTAAAATTGTTACTGGGTTTATAGTTGTCCCTCAGTATGCACAGGGGATTGGTGCTAGGGCCCCTGCAGATACCAATATTCACAGATGCTGAAATACCTTTTATAAAGTGCTGTGGTTTTTGCATATAACCTACACATATCCTCCCATATACTTTAATCATCTCTAAATCATTTATAATACATAACACATTGTAAATGCTATGTAAGTAGTTATACTCTATTTTTAAAAATTTATATTTTTTATTTTATTTATTTATTGTTAAAATATTTTTGATCCGTGGTTTGTTGAATCTGCATATGTGGAACCTGTAGATGCAGAGGGTTGACCAGAGTTGCCAATCTGATGGAAGTTAAAGAGAGACTTGGTTTTCTTTCCCTAACCTTGGCTTATGTTCTTAAACTCCAGGTCAAATACTGTTACACTGAATATACTAGAATTTTGTGGTAATGACTGCTACTTGAAACAAGTGAGTCGTCATTAGGGCTTTTGAAATTTGGTTCTATAGACTTTTTTTTTTTTTTTTGAGACGGAGTCTCGCTCTGTCACCCAGGCTGGAGTGCAGTGGCGCAGTCTTGGCTCACTGCAAGCTCTGCCTCCTAGGTTCATGCCATTCTCCTGCCTCAGCCTCCCGAGTAGCTGGGACCACAGGCGCCTGCCACCATGCTCAGCTAATTTTTTGTAGCTTTAGAAGAGACGGGGTTTCACCGTGTTAGCCAGGATGGTCTTGATCTCCTGACCTCGTGATCCGCCCGCCTCAGCCTCCCAAAGTGCTGGGATTACAGGCGTGAGCCACCACGCCCGGCCCTATAGACTTTTTAAAATCATGTTTACTATTTGTTATAGTAGAATTGGATCTAAGATATTAGTGCTAAATTTTTCACTCAGTGACAGAATGTGCCTAGTTATATATCTTTAGCGAATTAATTGAGTGAAAATGATAACATCTCTGTGATACTTAAATCTGGTCTTTTAAGCAACACGGAGGTAGTCACGTTTCCCGGAAATCCGAACACTTGAGTGTCAGACCACAGACTGCGTTGGAAGAAAACGAGACTCAGAAAGAAGTTCCACAGGACCAGCATTTGGAGGCACCTGCAGACCAGTCGAAAGGTCTCTTGCCTCCCTGAAGGACCTGTATACTGTGTATGCTGGCATTCACACTCTACTCACTGGCTGAATGTTGAGCTATTTTTAAACAGTTGAACTGTGTAAATGTTTCTTGATCTCTAAGGTATTATGTTTGCCTTCTCTTAGTTATTTCTGGGTTGTCACAAAGCTCAGTATCATGGTTTGACAGAAGCAGTTATGTGAACTTTTATGTTAGGACATTACTAAATAAAGAATTCCCTAGCTGCTTATAAAGTAAATTTACTTTGAATTGTAAATAACATGAAGAAACCTTTATAAAGATTGTTCAAATGGGACTCAATCTGACTAGGCTTGCTTTGATGTTTGTTAGTATGTGGGCTGGCTACATCTGATTCCCGGGTACATATTTCTTCTGATCCATCAGACTTATACGTGTACACATGTTGTGGAACCTTGGCTAGCTGGTTTTGTCTGCAGAGAATCTTTGTACTTCTTGCTATAGAACGATTATCTCTCCACTTGAGAGGCCAAGCTGACTTGCGCTTTGTGGTAAGAGTGAGGACCTGTCATTGCTGATACACAAAGACCAAAACTGTAACTTTAATGTCATGGATTGAGTGTGCTGGAGACAGTTAACATAGGCCTGCACAGACTAGGCTGTTCAGTAAATACTTGTTGAATGAATGAGTGAACGAATGGTTATATCCAGCTAAAGACTGGATTCATATGGTGTAGATAACAGGATTGCCAAGAAAGGAGGCAGCTAATTTAGGTGATGCTCTCCACCAGCATCCACCTGCCTCCCTGGGGCCAAAGTGTGCCTACAAGTCCTTATCAACTTCCCTGCCTTCCTCGTTTCCCCAGGTTTTACTAAATACATGAAATATCCCTCTGAGATTGCAGCCTTTGTATATGTGGTCAAGCCAGTGGTTTTTAGCTGTTAGTAGTAAGCTGCTTCAGAAATTCCCTATTTTAAAACTCATGTAGATTTTCTACCCAGTGATTCTTTGTGTATGCTCTCATCTCTCCTGGTACACTGTGAGGCAGGTCCACATCTCACAGTCTGTATATAGTACACATCCATGCACGTGGGTGCTTGGTTCATGCAGGTGAATGAATACATTAGGCAAAAGCAGCTCTCAGCCATGCTGCTTCCCCCTCGACCTTTATCACTGTTTCACAACTGCTTGCATTTGGAGAATGCTTTACTTTTCCGTAGGGAAGTAAATTTCATCCATTCAGAGACATTACACAACCATTGAGACCAAACATCGGGCCAGACCTTGGGAAGAGGACTTAAAAAGCAGGTGAAAGACACAGTCTATTCTCAGAGGAACAATTGAGGGGTCACTCATCTCTTTAAACCTTAGGTTTCTGGTTTTTTAAGGGCAGGTTTTTTTTGCCACAATGATGAATATTTAAAAAATGTTTTTTTCCTTCATGTCTGGATTGATGTCCCATTTTTGCTATTTTTGTTTGTTTTCCTCCTCTGTAGATTTTTAATTTTTTTTTTTTTTTTTTTTTTTTTTTTGCGATGGAGTATCACTTTGTTTCCCAGGCTGGAGTACAGTGGAGCCATCTTGGCCCACTGCAACCTCCGCCTCCCAGGTTCAAGCAGTTCTTCTGCCTCAGCCTCCCAAGTAGCTGGGATTACAGGTGTATGCTATGACGCCCGGCTAATTTTTGTATTTTTAGTAGAAACGGGCTTTTAACCATGTTGCCCAGGCTGATCTCAAACTGCTGGCCTCAAGTGATCCACCCATCTCAACCTCCCAAAATGCTGGGATTACGGGTGTTAGCCACCATGCCTGGCCTTAATTTTTTTTTTTTTTAATTTTGTTTTAGGAGATGGGGGTCTCACTGTGTTACCCAGGCTGGGTGCAGTGGTGCATACCCTGCCGCAGTCTTAACTCCTGGGCTGAAGCCATCCTGGCTCACTTCCCGAATAGCTAGGACTATAGGCATGTGCCACCACGCCTGGCTCTTTAACATTTTTTTTGTTTGTTTTTTTTTGTAGAGATGGAGTCTTGCTATGTTGCCCAGGCTGGCCTGGTCTCAAACTCCTGGCCTCAAGCGATCCTCCTGCCTCAGCCGCCCAAAGTGCTGGGATTACAGGCCTGAGCGACCGTACTGGGGCTGAAGACTTTTAAAGAAGTTATTTGTTGCATAATTCTTTAAAAAAATTATACATGCACATGGTTCAAAACTTAACAGTAAAAAGCTAGTCTCCCACCCCTGTTCCCCAGCCACCCTTTTCCCCTTCCCTGAGGCCATCACTATCACCATTTCCTTGTGCGCTCTTCCAGAAATATTTTGGGCATGGACAGGACACTATGCATACTGTTCTGTACCTTGCTTTTCTAGTTACTATGTCTCAGAGATCCACTGTGATTTAATCAGTGCCCGATTGAAGAAAATGTTCTTTGTTTTACTGTGTTGCAAATGGGCTGCTAGAGTTATGGGATGCTGGATCAAGGAGCAGATCATTTTGAGTTTTGATATCTTCGTCCATAGAAATTGTGCTTAACTATACTCTCATAGCAATGTATGAGAATGCGTTCCCCTACACATTCTGATCTTGTTAAACCAGACTGGGACTCTGGACCAGAAGGGAAAGACCATCCCTGTATAGCAAATATCTGGATGGGGAGAAAGCTGCTGTCACTCATTGACTTCTTTAGGTTAAGTCTTAGTGATCAAAACATAGTGAAAGATATGAAGCTTACTTTGGAAACTCAGAACTATTTCCACAGTTTGGGCAAAAGCTGTCATCAGATCCCCATCACGTTTTGGAGAGAATGGAAGCATGACCGCATTCTTGGCTTTAAAGAGCTTAAAATCAGGCCGGGCTCCATGGCTCACGCCTGTAATCCCAGCACTTTGGGAGGCCAAGGTGGGCGGATCACCTGAGGTCAGGAGTTCGAGACCAGCCTGGCCAACATAGTGAAACCCCATCTTTACTAAAAATACAAAAAAATTAGCTGGGCGTGCGGGCGTGTGCCTGTAATACCAGCTACCCGGGAGGCTGAGGCAGGAGAATCGCTGGAACCCAGGAGGCAGAGGCTGCAGTTGAGCCGAGATTGTGCCACTGCACTCCAGCTTGGGCGACAGAGCAAGACCCTGTCTCAAAAAAAAAAAAAAAAAAATCTTAAAATCGAGTTGGGACTACAAGAGTGACTTGTGAAACAGCAAGATGAACAGGAATCCTTTTAAACTTTGATATAAAAGTACAGTAGAGGTTCAGGGGCAAGGAATCAGTTCTGGATTTGTCTAGGAATACTGCATGAGAGCCTGGAAAGGCAGTGGGATGGACATGTACATGCGGTTTCTTTGGGCAGGAACACCCTCCCTTCTACCATGGTCTGTAGGAATTGAACCTTCCGTGCCGTTTTCAAATGCTGTCTGTGCTCGGAAAATACATAATATCAAGTCCCTTACTGAACCCCCTACAGATTGTGTTCATAAGGTGCTTCACTGCTGTTGGTCTACCTGGCCTACTGTTTGTACTCCTGCCTCATTTACTGTGGCCTTCATTCAAGTAGTAATGATTATTTACCTATTAAGAGTATAGGGTGGGCGTGGTGGCTCATGTAATCCCAGCACTTTGGGAAGTCAAGATGGGTAGATCACTTGAAGTCAGGAGTTTGAGACCAGCCTGGGCAACATGATGAAACCCCATCTCTACTAAAAATACAAAAGTTAGCTGGATGTGGTGGCAGCCTCCTGTAATCCCAACTACTCGGCAGGCTGAGGCAGGAGAATCGCTTGAACCCAGGAGGTGGAGGTTACAGTGAGCTGAGATCATGCTACAGCACCCCAGCCTGGGCGACAGAAGAGAGACACTGTCTCAAAAAAAAAAAAAAAAAAAGTATAAAGGAGGGCAGAAATTCTTATTCTTTTAACCCATTGAAACATTAAACAGCCTTTCAGGAGCAGACCCTCCTACGGATTTGCTGAATCCAAGGCGAGGAAGGCATATATCCAGGTTACAGTGAAGTTTGCCCCAGACAAGTAATGAAGATTTGGGTTCTAGATCTGGATACTCCAGGCAGTTTTTACTATGTGACCCTGTGCCTGTCACAGTATTTCAGCCTGTAAAATATGGACAATGTTTGCCTTTTTGGCTTCCAGTTAGCTTTGTGAGGATTAATTGAGATGAGTGCAAAGCTCATTTGTAATGTGTGGCTGGTGGTTTTATTACTATTTTGAGCAGTAGTGGAAAAGCCCATTTGAACTGGTAGGATGAGATAAGATCATGGTGGCCTTGACAACTACATGGAGGAGCCAGTTGGGTATGGGAAAGTTTGAGCAGGGAAAGAAAGAATGTAGTGAAAGCAGTGTCAGGTCAAAGAAAGGTTTGCCTAGGAGTGATGTAAAGAATGGGATGGAGGAGTGGGCAGGGAAGGAGGAAAGAGGAGACATGTCAGAGGGACCAAAAAGGAGGCAGCAAGTCCAAGGTCACAAACCTGAGTGACTAGAAAACTTAGCAGCATCACTAACACCCAGTTGGTGACGTGGAACTGGTGCTCTCCTGGGAGAGAGCTTCAATTCTCAACCTACTAAGTTGAAGGTGATGGTGCTATATCTAAGTGGCAGACAGAGATAAGGGATAGGTGTCTACAGGGGCAAGATTTGGAGCCAGGAGAAGAAATGAGCTCTCCAAGGGTAGTGGGGAGAGATCTGGGATGTTGGGGGCTGGCAGGTAAATGCTTTAAGTGATAGAATAGGAGGAATGAGAAAGCCAGCAAAAGAAATTCACGTCCCATGTCTTCCATCATCTATATGTCTGACTTGTTTAAGTGGTCCTGGATTCACCAAATTTTATAGAGCTCTGCCTCTGCCTTTATTGGGTAGGCCTGATTTTTGATGATGTCCTTAAAAGGCTAGCCTGATTCTTCTTGTAGTTTTGTAGAACACTTTGTATCGAGAGTTCTCTGATAATGAAAGTGGTATTACAGAATAATCTGCCCCCGAAGGACTCCTGATTTTGTTAAAGTGATACCTTTCTCTGTAAATAAATGATGGCGTGCCACTTAAAAACCTTCAGCAGATTTCTTTTTTTAAACAAAGTCACTCAAGTGGGACAGTAAGATTTTCTCTGAGGCTGGCACTGGTGCCTGCCTCTGCTCCGGGGAATCCAGACGTGGCACCCGGAGTTGGGCCTCATCCATCCTCAGCTTTCATTTGTGACCAAGCCTGACTCAGAATGGGCTGGCAGTTTTCCTGAGTACATGGGAGTTAGGGCAGAGAACATGATGTGGTGCTGGTAGTCAACGCAAGCTGGCACGGCCTCAGCCAGAAGACTGGAGCTAGGAGCAAGCAAAGGTGAGTGGAGGAGGGGATGGGGAAGGCTGAGACTTCCTGGTCTCTATGTTCTGAGCTCAATTCTAGAATAGCCAAAAGGTGGGAGCCTGACTCGGGCTAAGTTAGTCATGCGTTCTGAGCCTTTGACCGTGCTGGGTGAGATGAGGGATGGCTGAGCAGGTTCAGTGAGCAACTTGGTCGAGGTCACCTTGGCTGGCAGAGGAAGGGCACCTGCCCTCCTGTGGAAAAGACGGGAAATGGCTTTCCTGTCACTCCTAGGGTAGCGCTCAATGTGGCAGGCGGGTCTCTGATTGGATGAGCCCGGCACTGAAGCAGTTTCTGTGGTGATGCTGAACCAGACAAGTGTTTATTGCTGCAGCACGAAAAAGAAAAGGTTGCTAGGGGAAGGCAGAGAAGGCAGGAAGTTAAGTGTTATGTTCCCTACAAAATGTTGCTACTGCCAGCCACCACCACCACCCTCCATCCATGCAGATTACAGACAGGGTTTTTGGGGAATACTAGCTGACAACGAAAATACATTTCAAGTATCATTTTACCCTCAATGAATGCTTTTCCTGGACTGCAACTGAAATAAATGTCAGTCACCGGACCTTCTAGCTCCTCAGTTCTTTTAATTAAAAGATAGTTCTAAGCAAGATCCAGTAGTGGTCTATTTATTATTTATCAAGCATTTTCCTTCCAGCAGTTAGTGAAAGGTCACTGGCTTCAACTGAGCTTTGTTTTTGGTGAGCAGCTTAGATGAAAAAGATATACAATCAATCTCTCCTGTTTGCTCATGGGCAGGACACTGTTTAATAGTCATTGTGGCATTTAGGATCGCAGGCCTCTGAAACATGCAGAAAAGTGCATGTGCATCCCTTGCTGCTGAACATTTCTCCAAAAGTAAACATCAGGTTGTGATTATGGTTAATAATGAGATATTGATTATTTGAAAATGTCACCGCCAGGGACTTGTCGGTTTCAGCACCACTAGATGGCGCTGGACTCTCATGCTGTTCAACTACAGTCATTTCGTTTCCTTGCCTCGGGGTACCTTGCCTTTCAAGGTTGAAGAGTGTCCTTGTAAAAATAATGTTGTGGCTGAAATTTAGGAAGCTGAGGTCCTGGGGTGCTACTGGGATGGGGTAGAGATGGGAGGGGACAGGCCACGGGACAAATGACAAAGGCCTGCCGGGGAAGCGGCACTGTTTGCACCATAATAGGAGCTGGAGAGGAAGGAGCTTACTGCGCTGAGCCCCTGGAGACTCTGCCCAGAGCAGTGTTTCCTAACCTTCTCCAGTCAATGACACATCTGCGAATTTGCTGTGGAGGACAGCGGGAGAGAGAACAGTGCAGGCAGGGAGGCAGAGCAGCGGAAAAAACCCAGGCCTTGGAGAACAGACCTGGGTTTGAAACCCTGATCTGTTGCTTTGTCTGGTGACATTAGGGGAGTTAGTGAACCGTCTGAACCTCAATTTCCTTATCTGTAAAACAAGGGTAACAACGTCTACCTCACTAAGTTGCTGTGAGGACTGAATGAGAACGTGAACAAAGTTCTTGGCGAGTACTCCGTCTTTGCTGTCAGTGCCTAGAAGGCTTTCAGCCACTGTCGATTCCCACTGGGTGGGGAGGAATTAACATGCGCTAGATTAACATTGAGAAGAAACGGTATTGTGTCCTCTTTCACCAGCCACTCGTCTAAACACAGCTTTCTCTATCCCCCACCCCCAGTAGTTACTCTGTCCTTTATCTCCTTCCAAACTTCTAGCACCAAGTAAATGAATCAAATTAAAAAACAACTACAACAACAACAACAAAGGAGGAAACTAGAGAACATCTTGGGAACTATCCGCTTTTGGAACTTATCCCATGCTGGTAGGTTTCACTGGAAAATGTGCATTTATTTAGTAACTTCTTGGATTGTGTATGCCTGTGGGCAAGCGTGTGTGTAGAAACCAACATTTTAAATGACACTCAATGACACTCATTCTGTTTCTTCTTTCCTGCTTCCTTTTTTTAAAAATAGGGACAAAGTCTCTCTCTGTCACTCAGGCTGGGGTGCAGTGGTGCAATCATAGCTCACTTCAGTCTCAACCTCCTGGGCTCAAGTGGTCCTCCTGCCTCAGCCTCCCAGGTAGCTAGGGCTACAGGTGCATGCCACTATGCCAAGCTAATTTTTTATTTTTAATTTTTTTGTAGAGATAGGGTCTCTATGCTATGTCGCTCAGGCTGGTCTCAAATTCCTGGCCTCAAGCGACTCTCCCGCCTTGGCCTCCCAAAGTGCTGGGATTATAGGCATGAGCCACCATGCCCGGCCCTTTTCTGCCTCCTTGCTGCCCCTCTACACTCCCCCCAACTGCCTTCCTTTCAGCACACTTTTCTGCTTTCTTTCTCCACCCTCTTTGCCCCAGATTATGGAGGAAAGCCAGAGGGTCACTACCTAGAGGCCCGGCCAGGGAAAATAGTTCCAACATCAGAGCCATTGTTTTGGGGACCTGGGGCTAGTCAGCAATTAGGAGTTTCTGAAACTCTTTCTGGAGCTTCTCCCTATGAAGGGCATGGGGAGGCAGTGGGTGCCAGGGCAGAAATGGTGGGCAGGGTGAGGATGAGGCCTAGAGGACCAGAAAGATCTATCCTTGACCTTCCTACCCTCCCACTTTATTTTACCCTGGTGGTCTGCCAGTGTATGGTGGGCCCCTCTGCCTTGAATTACCTGGGATGTGAGGCCAGAGGAGCACAGAGCTAAGGGTGCCACCCAGGTGGGTTACAGGGGAAGGGCTCTGACCTCTTTCCTCTCTAAGTCTCAGTCAAAAGGACTGGATTCAAATCCTGACGCTGGCACTCCTTTGTGGCCATGGCTTTAGAGAAATCACTTGACCATTTTGAGCCACATCCAGCCCCAGGAGAGAATCTGGAACCTAATAGATTTTTGGAAGTATATTTGTCAAGTGAACAAATGAATGATTTCCCTGTTTTTGACACGGGGAAAATAATATTAGCACCAAGTATGTTTTGGGGTGCAAAACCCGAATAAGATGCTGGCTATGCAGAACTTTGTAAACTCTCAAGCCTTCTACTGTTACGCGAAATAAAGATGCAGGAAAGAAGAACATGGCTGTGGGGCTGGTGGTGATGCTACTGGCCTTCAACCTGGAAGCAGTGTAGATTCCAAGACGATGGCCTCCGGAGAGGGAGTGTGGCAGGATGAGGGACAACTAGTGGAAAAGTTCAGCTTTCTAGTCTCTGCCTCCTAGAAAATTCTGCAGGAAATGCAGGATTGTTCTTCAAAGCCTCTCCTTTCCCAGGTGCTCAGTGGAAACCCTAGGCGTGCTCAGGGTTATTTCTGGAATATTCAGTGCATACGAGGAGGTCCTGAGCTTTATCATCAGCTCCTGCTGGCTCCCGCCCAGTGGGGCGAAATGGCCCTGCCCCTTCTCTGCAGCTCAGGTGACCTCCTCTGCCCTCCCGGAGCCCATTGCCTTCTCGGATCTGGCTTCCCGCTGAGAACCAGGCTGGTATAGATGTCACTTGGCTGGCTCCTCAAGGCTTCCAGCCCCCTTGAGTGTGACATCAGGGACAAGGGGGTGGCTTTGCCACTACTGCCAGCAGCCACAGGCTGACTCCCATAGCATGGGCAGGGGCTCCATTTTCAGATGGGAAAAGGGAAGGCTCAGTGCCCGGGATCCAGGTCACCTCAGTGAGTGTGCCTGAGCCACATCTGGTTTCTCTGCCTACCCACCCTCCAAGGGCCCCCAAGGTTAGAACAAGAGGTAGTGGGCTTAATCCCAGAAAAATTCCAATTTAAATATGAGAAGGTAAAGCTTGTCTTTGGTAGCTTTGCCCCATCCCCAACTTTCCTATGTGAGAGAAGAGAAAAGGGCTGTGGGAGATGGGCCAGCTAAGGAGGAGGATCTGGCAACCCAAGCTCCAGGCAGACAGAAGGCACCAGAATGTCCCACAGTCCTGTAGCATTCTGGCCAGGCCCCTCCTGGCTTATTGGGCAACCTAACCTCTGATACTTGGGAGTGTTTATTTCTTCCCTTTTGATTGTTGAAATGGGCCTAGACTGGCTTTTTTTTTTTATTTAAATTTTTATTTATTTATTTTTGAGACGGAGTTTCGATCTTGTCACCCAGCCTGGAGTATACTGGCACGATCTCCAGTCACTGCAAACTCCGCCTCCTGGGTTCAAGTGATTCTCTAGTCTCAGCCTCCCCAGTAGTTGGGATTACAGGTGCCTGCCACCACGCCTGGCTAATTTTTGTATTTTTAGTAGAGATGGGGTTTCACCATGTTGGTCAGGCTGGTCTTGAACTCCAGACCTCAGGTGATCCGCCAGCCTCGGTCTCCCAAAGTGCTGGGATTACAGGCATGAGCCACTGCCCTCGGCCTTTTTTTTTTTTTTTTGAGATGGAGTCTTGCTCTGTAGCCCAGGCTGGAGTGCAGTGGCGTGATTTTGGCTCACTGCAACCTCCGCCTCCTGGGTTCAAGTGATTCTCCTGCCTCAGCCTCCTGAGTAGCTGGGACTACAGGCATGTGCCACCACACCCAGATAATTTTTGTATTTTTAGTAGAGACGGGGTTTCACCATGTTGGCCAGGCTGGTCTCGAACTCCTGACCTCAAGTGATCCACCGTCCTCGGCCTCCAAAAGTGCTGGGATTACAGGCATAAGCCACTGCGCCTGGCCATAGACTGGCTTCTTAAAAGAACCAGTTTAAACACCTGTAAGTCTAAGAAGGTCAAATTTAGGAAAATCTCATCTGCAGGACTGAGGTCCCCTGAGCCACTGGCCACTTGTAATTAATATTAATGAGCTCTAGATGACAGATGTTTATTGCTCGACTGACACATGCTTTGCCAACCCCCAAAGGAGTGGCTGTAAGATCTAAAGGACTTGAATATACTTTAATTTTATGTTGAAGAGAATAAAACTTTCCGGGTATAGTCAGGGGTTTTTTACGATGAGAACCCATCGACCCATAGGCAATGTCTGCCTTAAGAAAAAAAGAACTGAGTGTACCCCGGTTCTTTATTGACATTTAAAAATAGCTCCTTTTGTCCAAAAATGAGGCAGACATGAGACAGTAGATAGGACACTGGGTAAGGCTCCTGGAGACCCCAGCCTGGCCCCAGCTCATCCATTTGTTGGCTGTATGACTTTGGTAAGTCTTCAAACCTTTTTAGCCATTTGTAAGATGAGGGGGTTGAGCTACAAGATCCCTGAAGTCCTGTTCTTTGGGTCCATGGGTCCAAGCGGAGCTCCAAGAAGAGCAGAATCAGCATCTTCCAAGATTTATTAAATACTTCTTTAAAATCTTTTCAGGCTGGGCACAGTGGCTCATGCCTGTAATCCCAACACTTAGGGATACCAAGGTAGGCAGATCACTTGAGGCCAGGTGTTCGGAACTAGCCTGGGCATTATAGTGAGACCCCCATCTCTACAAAAAATTTTTTAAAAATTAGCCAGGTATGCGTGGTAGTGTGTGCCTGTAGTCCCAGCTACTCCAGAGGCTGAAGTGGGAGGATCCCCTGAGCCCAGGAGTTCGAGGTTTCACTGAAACCTCGATTTATGATCATGCCACCGCACCCCAGGCTGACTGACAGAGCGAGACCCTGTCTCAAACACAACAAAACAAAACAAAACAAACCCACATTTTAAATTTGATTATGGAAGCATTCATAAAAGTAGAGAGAATTGGCTGGGTGTAGTGGCTCATGCCTGTAATCCCAGCATTTTGGGAGGCCGAGGCAGGTGGACTGCCTGAGCTCAGGAGTTGGAAACCAGCCTGGGCAATATGGTGAAACCCTGTCTCTACTAAAATACAAAAAGTTAGCCAGCCATGGCAGCGTGCACCTGTAATCCCAGCTACTCGGGAGGCTGAGACAGGAGAATTGCTTGAACCTGGGAGGTGGAGGTTGCAGTGAGCCGAGATCGCGCCTCTGCACTCCAGCCTGGGCGACAGAGCAAGACTCCATCTCAAAAAAAAAAAAAAAAAAAAAGAATCATATAAAGATCCTCCATATGTTTATCATGTAGACTAAACCATTATTAATATTTTGCTGTTTTTGCTCATCTATATTTTTTCTGAAGTGTTTTTTTTTGTTTTGTTTTTTGTTTGTTTTTTTGAGGCAGGGTTTTGCTCTGTCACTCAGGTGGGAGGGCAAGTGGTGCAATCATGGCTCATTGCAGCCTCAACCTCCTGGGCTCAAGGGATCTGCCCGCCTCATTTTCTGAGTTTTTGTAGAGACAGGATCTCACCATGTTGTTCAGGCCGGTCTCGAACTCCTGGGCTTAAGCAATCCCTCCACTTTGGCCTCCCAAAGTGCTGGGATTACAGGCATGAGCGACAGCTTCCAGCTTTTCTGAGGCATTTTAAAGCAAGTTCCCACAAAACCTCTCTCACCCAAGGCTTCAGCCTGCTTCTCTGGAAAATAAGACCCTTTCTTATATCAATACAATACCATTATCAAACCCAACAACATGGCATTTAACAGCCAGTTTTTGAAGATTTCCTCGTACTCAGTCCATTTTCAAATTTCCCCACAATTTTCTGAACAGGCTCTCCACCCCTCCGACCCCAGGCCTGTTCTTGGGGCCAACTAGTTTTAACCATTTCTGTTTTTAGTGCGTCTGGTGGGTACCTTTACATCTCTAAATAATCAGCTTGCTTTTTTTTTTTTTTTTTTTGAGACAGAGTTTCACTCTTGTTGCCCAGGCTGGAGTGCAACGGCGGGATCCCTGCTCATCGAAACCTCCGCCTCTTGGGTTCAAGCGATTCTCCTGCCTCAGCCTCTTGAGCATCTGGGATTACAGGCATGTGCCACCAGGCCCGGCTAATTTTGTATATTTAGCAGAGACAGGGTTTCTCCATGTTGGTCAGGCTGGTCTCTAACTCCCATCCTCAGGTGATCCGCCCGCCTCGGCCTCCCAAAGTGCTGGAGTACAGGTGTGAGCCACGGTGCCTAGCTGGCTCCCGCCTTTGTAAGATGAAGGTAAGAGCCAATGGTTTCAACAGACAGCTGGATGGACTCAGGGTCCAAGAAGTCTGAGTGATCATGAGAAGAACTAAACAGAGGGTGAATGCTTTCAGATCCCAGGACTGTAGGATATCTTTATGGCTTGTCTGCAGCTATGGGTCCCAGGCCCCTGAGCAGGAATCTGAAGGAGGGTCCTTCCCAGAGTTAAGGCTGTGTCAGTCCCCAGGCTACTGTGGTCAAGTCGGCCTGCTTCCCTCTTGCTCATGAAGGTCTGTTCTCTCTGGAAATGTCCCAGAAGCTGGCAATAAAGACAGTTCCCTTTATAGAGCAGCTGCTTCTTTTTTAAAATTTAATTATTTTTAATTTTTTCTTTTGGAAACAGGGTCTCGCTATGTCACCCAGGCTGGAGTGCAGTGGCATGATCAAAGCTCACGGTAGCCTCTACTTCCCAGGCTCAAGCGATCCTCCTGCCTCAGCCTCCTGAATAGCTGGGACTACAGGTGTATGAGACCCTGTCTCATTTTTCAATTTTTTTGTACAGATGGGGTCTTTCTTTGTTGCCCAGCCTGGTCTTGAACTCCTGGGGTCAAGCGATCCTCCTTCCTGACCTCCCAAAGTGCTGGGATTACAGGTGTGAGCCACCTCGCCCAGCTGAGCTGCTGCTTCTGAAGCCTGCTTTGACATTAAGCTGTTACAATGCATTGAGGGATGCTAGGAAATGGTTGTATGAGGCATACTTTTGTTTTTTTCTGTGGGAATGTTACTGACCATTTTTTCCTCTATGAAGACCCGTGGGATAAATATCTTTCACGTTTTAGCTTAAGGAATAAAAAACTGTGCTGCTTTTGAACAACTTGGGTGGTTTGCTTCTGCGGTCTTGGCAAATTTGGTGTCTTAGTTTCCCTCTTAGCTTTGGCTGTGGGGAAATTCAGAGCTTAATTTACAGTTACATGCAGCTCTGGAGTAGGAGATGGCATTATTTTTGATTATTATGAAATATTTCAGGCATTCAAAAATTACAGAGACTCTACAACAAATATCTACTTACCCATCACCCAGGTTAAGACATGAGCTTCTTGTATCCATTCCTGATCCCTTTCTTCTTTGTCCCTACTCTCGTGGTGGATATTTTCCTGGACTTGGTGTTTATCTTCCCTACTTAAAAAATAATAATTTTTTCTACAAACGTATGTATCTATAATAAACATACAGTATTGTTTTACACATTTAAAAATATTATAAAAGTGGCTTTATACTGCATGTATCCCTCTGTAATTTGATCTTTTTACTCAAGAGTTTTCTTTTGAAACTCACCTGTTTTGCCACATGTAACTCTAGTTAATTCATTTTCACTGCTGTACAATATTCTATTCTAAGACTAGATGTATGAATATGTAGGCTTTAAGAGTATGGCTCTGGGGCCAGGCTGCCTTGGTTCAAACCCCAACCCTGCCACTTACTAGTTCTGTGACCTTGGGCAAGTGACTTAACCTCCTCTTCTCGTCTCTGTTTCTTCATCTGTAAAATGGGGCTAATGATACCACCTATCTAATAGAGGCGAAAATAAATGACTTAATAGGTGAAAAGCATTGAAAATATTCCTGGTATATAGTGTAAGACTTGGTCTCATAAGCACTAATGGAACATTCTTTTAAGAAATGCCATATCACTAATGTCCTTCATGGAACAGAACAGGAAGGTATGTAGAAAAGCACAGACATCAAAGACACTGAGTCTGAAAGGGATTCAGACATGTCAGACTGAACAGGAAGATGTTTAAGACCACATTAATAAACTTAATTCACCTGTAGCTTCTATTTTTATGTATGTAGTAGAATAAAAACACTATGCAAATAAATTAAAAAGAGTTATTTTCATAATTAAAAAAATAAACATTAGAAGGATTTTTGGCTGGGCATGGTGTCTCACGCCTGTAATCCCAGCACTTTGGGAGGCCAAGGCGGGTGGATCACCTGAGGTCAGGAGTTTGAGACCAGCCTGGCCAACATGGTAAAACCCCGTCTCTACTAAAAATACAAAAATTAGCCGGGCGTGGTGGTGGATGCCTGTAATCCCAGCTACGCGGGAGGCTGAGGCAGAAGAATCGCTTGAACCCAGGAGGCAGAGGTTGTGGTGAGCTGAGATCACGCCATTGCACTCCAGCCTGGGCAACAAGAGCAAAACTCCGTCTCAAAATAAATAAATAAATAAAAATAAAAATAAATAAATAAAAACAACAACAACAACAACAAAATGATTAGCCTGGTGTGGTGATGGACACCTGTAGTCTCAGCTACTTGGGAAGATCCCTTGAACTGCAGTGAGCTATGATTGTGTCACTGCAGTAAAGACTGGGTGACAGAGCTGAGACCCTGTCTCAAAAACAAAAAGTGATTTTTTAAAAAGAGAGTTGGCTATTATTGTTATATATTTATTTTCCTCTTGGAGGTTTCAGTTGTTTCCAGTTTTTTTTTTTTTTTGCTGTCTCTAGGATGTTGCAGGGAACATTATTATCCCTGTTTCTTTGTACATGTGTGCAAGGAAGAATCCCTCTGAGCCAGGGCATACAATTAGGAGTGAAATTGCTGGGCGGTAGGGCTCATCTTTCGCTTTTTGGGTGATGCCAAGTTGCACTCCAGAGTGGTTGCACTGACTTGCTCCCACTGGAGGGAATGGGTGTGCCCGTGACCCCACTCTTACTGATTCTTGGCATTCTTTTTGTACATTACTTTTGCTTAAACTTTATTTAATCTTTCTCCCTCTTTTCGCAGATGTTCCCATTTCTTTATATTCATCCTATTATGTATTTCCGTAAGCACCTTTTTTTTTTTTTTTTTTTTTTTTTTTTTGAGATGGAGTCTTGCTCTGTCGCCAGGCTGGAGTACAGTGGCGTGATATCAGCTCACTGCAATCTCTGACTCCCAGGTTCAAGCGATTCTCCTGCCTCAGCCTCCCGAGTAGCTCGGATTACAGGCATGCACCACCATGCCCAGCTAATTTTTGTATTTTTAGAAGAGACAGGGTTTTACCATGTTGGCCAGGATGGTCTGGATCTCTTGACCTTGTGATTCGCCCACCTCAGCCTCCCAAAGTGCTGGGATTACAGGCTCATCGCACCCAGCCCCATGAGCACCTTTTTATCCACTCTCCCCTTTTTTCTTTTGAATGAAGCAGCATTTAAATACATAAAAATTAGACAGCGTCTGCCAGAATAAAGAACACAATCTATAGGGGCAGCCTGCTACCTTAGGCCTGGACCTAAAGGCTTCCTGGCACTCAGCATTGTGAAGGTAGCTATTAGAAGAGGCTAACATTTGCTGAGTGTTTATTACATGATAAGTGCTCTACAAGCATTACCTTACTCAATCTCACAGCAACTCCATGAAATAGGACTGTTATTCCAGGAATTTTGATTCAAACAAGGCAGAATGATGCCAGAGTCTATGCTTTTAACCATAGGTCTTCCTACAGGGCTGCCATGTGGGGTGACTCAGGCCGCACGTTGCACAATTCCAGGGGGCACCATTTGCGCAGACTACAATGAGAATGGCATCCCCTGGGGTGTGTGTTGCAGTGGTCCCGGCCTTCTACTAAGTAAGAGCTTAAAATGCTTAGAAATGACAGGCTTAGAAGAGTAAGCCCTACTACACACGGAGGGGCCTTTCTCCTCTGGATTTATGGTGCTTTCTTAAGGTCATGGTTCTTCATGTTTTAAAAGCCTATTGGCATGAGAGCCCTCCCACCTATATAAACATTTGTTTAGAGAGGAGAGCCCAGCGTGGGTCCTGCGCTCTGACACCAGCCGTGTAAGGGCACAGACTCGGCTGCTGTTCGTGGCTTTCTCCCTTGGCCACTGCAGACTTATTGAGCAATATATTACAAGTGTGCCTCACTCTGATGATGTGTTATGGATAAATCATTAAGGAGGCAGCTCACCGCGGTGATGTATTGGTGTAATAGATCATCAGAGTGAAGTCTTCTACCGACATACGGGCTGGCTCAAAGGGTGGTGTCATTCAGGGAAGAATTAGCCCAGCAGCAGATCTGGCTTAATTACAGGATAAAAGGTTTGTGAATGATAGGCTGAAGTCTGCAGCACCAGCATTTTGATTCTTGATGTAAAAATATAATTGGGCTTCCTGAGAGAATTTTTGATTATTTCCAAACAGTCTTCCGCTTTATCATAACAGCACAACTTGCCACGTGGTTGCAGGGGAATCTTTTATTGGGGGGGTATCTCCAGGCCCTTTCGCCATCTGAATTATTTTCCTCCTTTCAATTTGTAGGTCACAGAATGAGTTAAGGGAGATAAAATTCAGGAGGCCTGCCTTTCGGGCCTTCAGAATAATGTCTTTAGCAACTGGACCATTGGAATCCAGTGATTTATTCAAATCATCATTAACTAAGGCAGTGGTTTCCAACTACTGAACTAGGACTGTGAGCATGTGCAGGGGAGAGGGGATGGTCTGGTGAGTATGTGTCTTAGGCCATCAGCACCTTGGGGATAATAATAATAATAATGTTTGCCCAACACTTAACAGACGTTGTTGTGCTAAACATTGAGCTAAAGGCTTTGCTTGTATCATTCAATTTCATTCAATCCACATGACGACATTGTGAGACAGGTATTATGATCTTTTTTTTTGAGACAGAGTCTCTCTGTCACCCAGGCTGGAGTGCAGTGGTACGATTTCGGCTCACTGCAACCTCTGCCTCCCAGGTTCAATTGATTCTCTTGCCTCAGCCTCCCGAGTAGCTCGGATTATAGGTGCCTGCCACCATGGCAGTGGCACGATTTCAGCTCACTGCAACCTCTGCCTCCCAGGTTCAAGCGATTCTCCTGCCTCAGCCTCCTGAGTAGCTGGGATTACAGGTGCCTGCCATCACGCCCGGCTCATTTTTGTATTTATTATTTTTAGTAGAGACAGGGTTTCACCATGTTGGCCAGGCTGGTCTCGAAGTCCTGACCTCAGGTGATCTACCCACCTTGGCCTCCCAAAGTGCTGGGATTACAGGTGTGAGCCACCGCGCCCGGCCTATGATTTTCATTATTCCCATTTTCCGGATGAGAAAACCAGCCAAGAGCTGGCCTTATTGGCCAAGGTTGTAGAACTGCTCAGTAGCAGAGCCGGTGCACCTGAGGCTGTGGGTGATTCTTATGCACTTCCCTTCCCACCCCCAATGCCCCCCTTCCTTTGAAGACCCTAAACCCATGCTTCTGGAACTACAGGCCTCAGTAAGCAGAAAGATGTGTTTGTTGAAAAATCGATTATTTTGTTTTAAGACACATAAATCAACTTTAGGTCTTTCTTAACACCTATTAGTAGGGCCCACCGTTTGGCCTGAGTTGGTTATTTCTTGAGAAGCTTACAGGATGAGACCTCCTAGCAATGGTAGGCTAAACTATGTGGACCAACTCTCCCACTGGAGACAAATAACAACGTAAACTATTTTTTGGAAATCTTCAGCAGTATGAAATTGCTGACAAGATAGTAAGAAATGACTAGGTCAACAGGGAAGAGAGAATAGGAACCAGAGAGGTGAAGGAGCACCAAAGCTCTTTTTGCCCTGCAGGTATTTGCTGATCCTCTGTGGGGAACTTCCACGGATGGGCTGCAGCCTGGCTGGAAGAGAGTGCAGAAATGGAAGCCAGGAGCCAGCCAAGGAGAGGCGGCCCTCCTATAGTACACTGGGACTTCCCAGGGTATATCCTGAGGGGGAGGGTGGCTAGAAGTGGAGCAGCCCTCCTGCAGAATCATAACTCAGGTTCCAATTATTCAGATTGTCCAGGTCCAGGAAATCTCAGGCCTTGGATTTGGCTTAAGGTGGTCCCAGACTGGTATGATCCCAACACATTACAGAAGCAGATCATCTCTGGGTATATCTACACCCAGAGGCCTCATATTATTCCTATACCTAATTTTTAAAGTGCTGGAATATGGTCAAAGATAACCAGGTACACAAGGAAACTAGATAGAATAGAAGCAGATCTATAAAGATGTAAGCTGTTGAGATTATCGAACTACAGACAATATGTGACTTTTCTTGCTTATTATGTTTAAATAAATAAAAGATAAGTTTGAAGATATCTTCAGAGAACAAAAAACAATTTTAAAATTTATTATAGGACAAATATGTCACTAACAATCTTGTTCTTACCTCCCACTCTGTCTCCCCAAAGCATAATAAAATTCTGGATGGCAAAATTTATTTATTTATTTTTATTTTTATTTTTGAGACGGAATCTCACTCTGTCATCCAGGCTGGAGTGCTGTGGCATGATCTAGGCTCACTGCAATCTCCGTCTCCTGGGTTCAAGTGATTCTCCTACCTCAGCCTCCCAAGTAGCTGGGATTACAGGTGCCCACTACCACACCCAGCTAATTTTTGTATTTTTAATAGAGACGGGGTTTTACCATGTTGGCCGGGCTGGTCTCGAACTCCTGACCTCAAATGATCCCCCCATCTTGGCTTCCAAAGTGCTGTGATTACAGGCGCAAGCCCCCGTGCCCAGACTGGACAGCAAAATTTAATATGAAAATCTCACTTGGCTCAGTATCAGGCAAACTACAGAAGACATTGTCCTGTCCTCTGTACATTTATTTTTTAACAAAGAAGGTCAAACATAGAACTTCCTTTTGGCTTTTACTTGTGACTCTTTAAAAAATTATAATTTAAGGCTGTGTGCAGTGTCTCATGCCTGTAATCCCAGCACTTTGGGAGGCCAAGGGGGGTGGAGCACTTGAGGTCAGGAGTTTGAGACCAGCCTAGGCAACATGGCGAAACCCCGTCTCTACTAAAAATACAAAAAATTAGCTGGGCATGGTGGCTGGCGCCTGTAATCCCAGCTACTTGGGAAGTTGAGGCAGGAGAATCGCTTGAACCTGGGAGGTGGAGGTTGCAGTGAGCCACGATCACACCACTGCACTCCAGCCTGGGTGACAAAGTTAGACTCCATCTCAAAAAAATAAAAAAAAATTAGAATTTGAATTTTATTATTAACGTGGAAGTAAGAAATGCCTTTAAATAAATTGACTAAAAAATCTTGAGAAATTTCAATAGACAATATACCATACTCCCATTCCCCCAAAAGTGGGGAGGAAGTACAACCTGAAATTTTTAAATCATTGTAGAAAATATTCAATTTGATATGTAAGTGTGGAAGTATGAAACGTAAGTGGCTGTGATGTTATGATGTATAGATGACATGGCCAAAAATACTTAGGATATTGGAGTATAACATCATAGTTTAAAAACACGGCTCTACATCAGACACACCAGGTTGGGGTCCAGCTCTGACACATTTTGGAATCTTGGGCAAGTTATTTAACTTCTGAGAGCTTCAGTTTGGTTATCTGCAATATGGGGATAATAAGAGCATTTCCCCTGCTTCTCATGGTTGTAAGGAGTCAAAAGAGATTCTGGATGTTAAGAATTCGGCATTCTGCCAATGTGAAACTTGCGACAGTGACTTTAGCTTCTTGGAGCCGCATTACCGCATCCAGATGAAAGTGGCATTTGCATTTTGCTTGCACTTCAAATCCAGGAAGGTTTTATGTAAAGAGAGTGATTACCTATGTGTAACTAGTCAGAAAAACTCTCTTACCATAAAAAGTTGATGAAATTTTGTTCCTGAGGACTGACCCAGGGCCGCTCAACTTGGACATTGACAGTGAGCCTTTTGATAAAGAAGGCACTTACTCTGGCCTCTAAAATCAAGGCCATCTCTTTGTGAAGGGTAGAAATCCAGGTGAGATAAGATTGATAATCCTGCATTACAGAATTTATTAAAGATGTCCAGATTAAAAAATTAGGTTGTCTGTCAATCAATCAGTCTGTTTTCTACATTTTTCTCTGTCATATACAAAAAATATTCCTGTATAACACTGAATTCCCTGTGGACCTCATCAATGCTAATAGCCCTTCCTCTTTCATTCAGAAGGACAAGCTTAGTCATGTTTCCTAGCAGAGGTCCCTGGGTTTGTCCAGTCTTGCTGAAGCCTTCACTATTACTATGGAAAGTTTTTTCAGTTATTTGGTTTCAAGTGGGGAAGGACGGCACATGAATGGACGTGACCATTGAAGTGTGGTATAGGCTGCATTCTTTTTCTTTTGGGTAATTTCCTTTAATCCCAGTGAGAGGGAACAGGTTGGAAACAACCAACCTGAAGACCAGTCAAAGGCTCAACTGTTGATTGGCAGATCACTGTGTAACTGTTTGGGTCCCTTGAGTCAGGGGACTGAGTCAGTATCATTTGTGTTTCCCAGTATCTCAGCCTGAGATTGGGAGATGTCTGAGGTTGGGCTCCCTGGAAACAGACTCTGAGATAGAGAGCTGCACGCAGAACATTAATTAGGAGTGTTCTTGGGAGATGTACTTGTAAGGGGGCAAGGGAGGCAGGACGGGGCAGAGGGAGTAGCTGCCCCACAATGTGCTGGCCATGGAGACCTCAGTTAATTCTACAGGGAACTCTGGAGCTGGGATGGCCCTCCAGAGCTGTCCTACTGTGAGAGAGCTGGGCCTTTGCATCCCCCATCAGCCAGTCATTGACTAAGGCTCTCCCCCAGGAGGGGATGTGCCTTGGGTCATGCATTTCCCAATGAGGGATGAACCTCTGAGCCATTAGCAGCCCCTATTCTCAGTAGCTAGGGGATGGGTGTGTGGGCCCTGAAAAGGGATCTGGGTGGGCAGTGTCTGTGACAGATGACCCTTCAAGTGGCTCAGAGTCACTTGTTTCTTGTAGTAAGTTTGCCCCATCTCTGATGGCTTATTTATGATTGTAGTGAGTTTTGCTTCCTGGGGAAACTGACAAGAGAAGGGTTAATGGGACAGACACAGACTCTGATGCTGCATTTGATCTCAAGGTTCTACCTGGTACTCCTTATGCCCCTTCTCCACCACCTGTACCAGAGTCTTCCTGCCCTTGGCTGGCATCTCTGCTGGTCTAAGAGACTTGTTGGGTGGGATGACCTGGACCCTCATTCCTGAGGGTTCTGACCACATGGATACCATGCTCTTTTCAAGACCTGGTTGTTGTACTTGCCCATTATCATTAAAATGGGTATGGAACACCAAGAAATGCCCCAGTGGATTATCCAAATGCCAAACGTATTCCTCCCTGCCTCCACCGACTGGCAGCAGCCCCAGCTCACACTGCCACACTGAGCTGACCCTTCTATGAACTGAACTTGGCCTTTTGCTTCTGCTGTCAGCTGGCCGTAAGGAAGCCCTCATGCAGCTATAGGTGATTGCTGAGGGCCAGGGCCCAGGGAAATATTGACACATGACATGGGAGCCTGGGCTACCTGCCCATGCAGCTTCCGGGTGCCGATCCTAAATGTACCGCTTCCATCGAACGACTGATTGCTACTGGGCTTGCCTGCCCTCGTGACTCTGTGGATCTGACAGATCCAGTTCATGATGGGGAGCTACAGTTGTCTGGTTACTTGGTGTCACTTGGTCAGAAGCCTCATCTCTACCAGGATCCAGTAGCATTCTGGGAGCTACTTTTCTTTTTCTTTTTCTTTTCTTTCTTTCTTTTTTTTTTTTTTGAGATGGAGCCTTACTCTGTTGCCCAGGCTTGAGTGCAGTGGTGAGATCTCACTGCAAGCTCTGCCTCCTGGGCTTAGACCATCCTCCTGCCTCAGCCTCCCAAGTAGCTGGGATTACAGGCACCCGCCACCATGCCCAGCTAATTTTTGTATTTTTAGTACAGACGGGGTTTCACCATGTTGGCCAGGCTGGTCTTGAACTCCTGACCTCAGGTGATCCGCTCGCCTTGGCCTCCCAAAGTGCTGAGATTACAGGCTTGAGCCACCGCGCCTGGCCTGGGAGCTACTTTTCAATGGGTGTGTAGCTTTTCTTGCAGATGGCATGCCCTGCTTCAGAACTCTAGGAATCTATAATATTATTTCCTATTGGTGTTCACCAGAAACTCCATGTGGTGTTTCTTCCTCCACAAAAAACACAGAGCCTTTAGGACCACAGAGCCTGCCGAGTCACACAGCGCGGGAGGCAGGGCTTTCTGACCACAGCCTGAACCTGCTGCAGAGCCCTTTCCTGCTCTGGGTCCCATTCAAAGCTGGCAGCTTTCTTTGTTACCTGCAGGGTTAGAGTACTGTTCCACAGTGTGGACTGTGGCACCTCCAGAACCGATGAAACCCACCAAGCATCATAGTTCTTAATTCATTGTGGGAGCTGAGGCTCTGGAGCTCTGGATGAGGGGATGGCTCTTTTAGAGTTCTTCTAAAGTGATATAAAAAAAAAAAAAAGTAGGTGTTTTCATCCCTGCCTCAGCCAGTCCTTGATCATAGACGTCCCCCCTGGAAGGGGTATAATATTGGGCAGGGAAGTTCCTTGTGGCCAGAGTAATTCTCAATGAGGGTTGTAGCTGTGAGCTTAGTCCCCAGAGCTGGAACAGGTGAAGAGGGGATCTGGGGAGGGGACCACAGCATTTGTGACACACAACCCAACTCCAGGGCTAGGACTAGGGTGAGGCAAGTGAGACACCTAGGAACAAGTGTAGCGAGTCCCTCACACTTGGGTCATGTGAGTGCAGATTCAGCTCTTGCCTCACCCTAGTCCTGGGCCTGTCAAACACCCATGGGACCCTAATAGCAGGAAATGGTAGGAAGTTCAGTTTGGCTAGGAGAAACTTCATATCTCCATGAAGACAGTCTCTTTCTGGAACTGGTAGAATGATTTGTTGGACAGCATTGTCCTAGACTATTTCCTTTCCACTTCTCTGCAGGGGACCGGGAAGGTGGACACTAGAGAAAGGTGTCACCTGTCACTACTGCCAAAAAATTCAAAATACCTTTCCTATCCCATCAGTTATTCTATGACTTTATTTGTCTGAGCCCCATGGTCATCTTTGTGTTGTGGAATGAAGTCAAAGGAGGGAGTTTAAGCTAGAAGATTTTGAAATTTCCTTCTGTTATTATGGCATCGAAGATATTGTCTAATCCTGATCCTACTGGCCAGCTTCCATGGGTAGAACCAGCCTGGAAGCATCAGGTCTCACCGGTATGAGGGGGTGGATTACACAATGGTCAAAAGAGAGAAGACCAGCCATGCCATTCTGGGAGAGAAGGAGATGATTCGAAGGCTAGAGAAACATAACTCATAGGCAAGTAGGAATTAGAGTTAGAGCTTGTCTGAATGTTTGTGTCTCACCAAAATTTATATGTTGAAACCTAACCCGTGAGGTGATGGTATTAAGAGGTAGAGCCTTTGGGAAGTGATTAGGTTATGAGGGCAGCATGAATGGGGTTAGTCCCTTACAAAAGAGGTGGAGTGGCTGGTTGAGGTGGCTCATGTCTGTCATCCCAGCACTTTGGAAGGCTGAGGTGGGTGATCAGGAGTTCGAGACCAGTCTGGCCAACAAGGTGAAACCCTGTCTCTACTAAAAAATACAAAAATTAGCCTGGCATGGTGGTGGGCACCTGTAATCCCAGCTACTTGGGAGGCTGAGGCAGGAGAATCACTTGAACCTGAGAGGCAGAGGTTGCAGTGAGCTGAGATCATGCCATTGCCCTCCAGCCTGGGTGACAAGAGCGAAACTCCATCTCAAAAATAAAAATAAAAATAAAAATAAAAGAGGTGAAGCCTGTTTCCCCCTTCTGCTGTGTAAGGATGTAGCAAGAGGTGCCATTTATGAAGAATAGGCCCCCACCAGGCACTGCATCTGCTGGTGCCTTGATTGTGAACTTCCCAGACTCCAGCACGGTGAGCAATAAATTTCTGTTGTTTACAAATTACTCAGTATAAGGTATTTTGCTGTAGCAGCCCAAATGTGCAAAGACAGAACCCAATGGGAAGAGAGAACAGGAGTTGAATACAGAGCAGGCTGAGTGAAGTAAGACATGAGTGTGGGGCTGGATCATTCCTAGACTGAACCTGAGCACACTGAATTCTGGTCATGGCATCCAGGGTATGTGTGGGCATCCATGGATAGTTTTGTCTTTCAGAAACTTGGACCACCTTTCCCAACTTAATATATACAACTAAAACATTTCTAATCAGATCTCATTGCAGTTTTTATTTTTAACTTAGCAACTTGATAATAAAGTTTAACTGGAAGGATAAAATTAGCCAAAATAAAAATTTGAAATATAAGCATATAATATTATGTATATAATACTAGCTATCAAATGTATTATAAAGCAACAACCATGAAAACAGCATGGTACATGTATAGGAATAGGCAATTAGACCAGGGGAATATGTACAACAGGGAGTCTAGAAAAAAATCTGTGTATATATGATAATTAAATATATGACAAAAATAGCATTTCACATCAGTGAGAAAAGGATGGTTTATTACATAAACAGGGAAAGGTTGTGAATTTCAGAGAAAATTCAAATTTGGTTCCTGTGCCCGTTTTCTGGTTCCATACCTGAAATAAATCCGAAATGGATTAAAGGCTTAAAAATAAAAATTAAAACAATAAAAGTGCTAGAAAAAAAATAGGTCCTTTTTGAGCATGACACAAAAACCAGAAGACAGCAGGAAAAGAACAACAGTCCTAACTACATAAACAAACAAGCAACAATAACAACTTCTATATGGTGAAAAATGTCACAAACAAAAGTTAAAGAATGGAAGAAAATATTTTAAACATACGTAACTGATAAAAGTATAACATCCATAATATACAAAAATGTCCTACAGATCAGTAAGAAAAAGAAATACCATAGATAAATGAACACAGGTGACATCTGGGCAAGTCACAAAGAAGAAACACATATGGCATAGAAAGCATGAAATGATACTCTAAATTAGCAACAAAATACAAAACAACACAACTAAAACCAAGAGGAGATGTAGTTTCCCTATCAAAATTAGCCAAAATTAAACAGATTGCTAGTACTCAGTGTTTTGGAAGGATACAGATAAAAAGGCATCCATAGCTGACAAAACTAAGACTTGCCATAACATTTTTGATGAAGAGCCTGGCAGTTGCAGTCAAATTTAAAATACATTTTCCCATTGAGCCAGAAATTATGCTTTTAGGAATGTGTCATACGGAAACCTTCTTCAAGAGAGAAGAGATGTATGCCTAAGTGTGTTTACTTAGCATTCTTTGGTATAGAAAAACACTGCAAATAGTCCTTCAGGGTAACAGAGGTTGGTTAAGTTGTAGAAAATCCATACAATGGAAAACTATGAGAAAGAATAGCTGTGCAGACATGGAGCTATGTCCACAACAAGCTGTTAGTTTTTTTAAAGAGTAAACTGATGAATGGCACATAAGGCAAAATTCTATTTTTTAAAAGAAAAAAAGGTAAAACAGTAGTTAAAAATGTAAGCTATGATTGTAGTTTTTGTTTGTTTGTGTGTTTGTTTGTTGAGACAGAGTCTCTCTCTGTCAGCTAGGCTGGAATTCAGTGATGTAGTCAGGGCTCACTGCAGCTCTGAACTCCTGGGCTCAAGCAATCCTCCTACCTCAGCCTCCTCAGTAGCTGGGACTACAGGTGCTCACCACCATGCCGGGCTAACTTAATTTTTTTTTCTCTTGTAGAGACGGGGATCTTACTATGTTGACCAAGTCAGTTTAGAATTCCTGACCTCAAGGCAGGATCCTCCTGCCTTGACCTCCCAGTGTTGGGATTATAGGCATGAGCCACTATACCTGGTGTACTGTATATTTTTTTTTTTTGAGAGAGGGTCTCATTTTGTCACCCAGGCTGAAATGCAGTGGTGAGATCCCGGCTCACTGCAGCTTCCACTTCCCAGGTTCAAGCAATTCTCCTGCCTCTGCCACCCCAGTAGCTGGGACTACAGGCATGAGCCAACACACCTGGCTAATTTTTGTATTTTTTGTAGAGGCGGGGTTTTGCCATGTGGCTCAGGCTGGTCTTGAACTCCTGACCTCAAGCGATCTGCCCGCCTCAGCCTCCTAAAGTGCAAGGATTATAGACATGAGCCACCACCCGTAGAATTTTTAAAACACATTAAAAGTAAAGAGTATAGTGTAATGAAACTCCACATCTCATCACCTGGTTGCAAAAAATATATATATATACATATATATATATGTATATATATATTTTTGAAATGAAGCCTCACTCTGTCGCCCAGGCTGGAGTGCAGTGGTGCGATCTTGGCTCACTGCAACCTCCGCCTCCCAGGTTCAAGCAATTCTCCTGCCTCAGCCTCCCGAGTAGCTGGTATTACAGGCGTGTACCACCACGCTCAGCTAATTTTTTTTTTTTTTTTTTTTTTTAGTAGAGACGGGGTTTCACCATGTTGGCCAGGCTGGTCTTGAACTGCTGACCTCAAATGATCCACTCCCCCCGACCTCCCAAAGTGCAGGGATTACAGGCGTGAGCCAGTGCGCCCGGCTGGTTGCAACAATTTTAAGCTCTTGGCTATTCTTTTTCCATCCCATTCATTGTCTCCTTCACCCATGGATTAATGTGAAGCAAATCCCATATACCCTATCATTGTACCCATAAATAACCTTGGAGCCATTTTCACATTTAAAGGATGGCTCAGGCAGAGAAGAAAGGCTCGGAGGATATACACCGAGTTGATGTCAGTGATCATCACTGGGGAGTAGGATTGAGGAGCATGAGTTTTTATTTTAAACACTTTAGATTACTAAATATATAATTTATTTTTGCATTACTTTGTTTTTTAAAAAATTGAGATTTGTAAGCAAGAAAGTGAGAGGCTGGGTGAGGTGACTCACGCCTGCAATCTCAGCAATTTGGGGGGCCAAGGCAGGTGCATTGTTTGAGCCCAGGAATTCGAGACCAGCCTGAGCAACATGGTGAAACCCTGTCTTTACAAAAAAATACAAAAGTTAGCCAGGTCTGGTGGTGCGCGTCCATAGTCCCAGCTACTTGGGAGCCTGAGGTGGGAGGATCACTGGAGCTCAGGAATTCGAGGCTGCAGTGAGCTATGACTGCACCACTGCACTCCAGCCCGGGCAACAGAGCGAGACTCTGTCAAAAAAAAAAAAAAAAGAAAGAAAAAAAGAAAAAAAAAAGAGAGAGAGACCTCACCAACTATCCTTTTTGTCTATATAGAAACCCCTTTTAAACTCTAAAAACAGCAAACAGAATTATTCTTACTTGATTTTTTCAAAAGCCACCTCAAATCTTTTATGGAATGGTTTGGGAATTCATCAACAAATATATTAAAACTTGAATACACAATCAATACCTAGAATATCACGTTTAGGTCAAGTTTTTGACAGTCGAGTTGCAGCTTTTATATGTGCGTGTCCTGTATGTATATTATAATATAGGGAAGTGCTTACACATCAATCTGTACATGTATGACTGTTTTATAGAATTAGCTCAGTAGCTCACCTGCAAAGTTTCCAGAGGAAGAATTTGATTGGCCCACCTTGGGTCAGCTATTCACTTCTGGCCCAATCAGCTGTCACCAGGGGCAGGGGAAGGCAGGGCATCTGCAGACTGAGTGGACTTCTCACTTCTACTACTTGCTGTACATGCCTAGCACCAAGTCGCCCCTAAGCTCCTCTTTAACATCACCTGTGAGTCTGGGCTCCTTGTTCAAGGACATGCCCCACACATTCAGCGTGGAGGCCTGGAGTTGTTCACAGCACGGGCCCTGTCACTGCAGACCATGGGCGAGGGCCTCCTCCTTTGCCTCCATTTCCCTGCTCTGCTCCTCCTTTGCCTCCATTTCCCAGACCAGCAAGCACTATTTTCACGACAGGGCTCCTCAGCCCTTCCCCTTGACCTTGGAGTTCAGCCCCCCGGGTGTTTCCTTACAGGCATCGCCTTCCTGCTCAGGCCCATCTCCCCTCACCACAGGCCTCTCCACAAACCCACTCGGATATGAGCTAATGCCATTATCTTCCTGAAATTAAAATCAAGCCTCAACCTATAAAGTTTCACAGAGAGGGAATTGGGGTTGTATATTCCTGCGTTGAGCGGTATTCTATTTCAGTCATAGCATTTAATTATGATCGGTATGTTAGTGCCCATCGGAGCATAACAAATTGTCATTATGTTATTCTGCTGAGTCTAATTTAATTGGCAAGTTGTCACAAAAGCAATTATCCATCATTTATTTTGTTGCCATAACCACATCTCGAAGAGCACCTGCTGTCTGCGAGGAGAAATGCGCCACAGTCTCTCAGCCCTGGATCCAGGCCACTTATCTGACAGAAAGACATTGCTTCCCCCTTCTGATTTAAAAATATGTTCCTCATTTCCTGCTGCGGTCTCATGAATCCTCCTGGGGGAGCCTCAAAGTGCCAAAGGAAATTCATAGTCTGGGAAGTTGCCCGAGAGGTCTGCCCCGCCCTGTCAGGGGTGGGTGGGAGGCAGCGGGAGGACGCAGACCCCCGTGGAGGGCCCGGGACCCGACTGGGTCAGGCTTCGCTCCGTCAGCTGTTTCAGCGCCACCTCAGTGATGGATTTATAAATATTTGTTGCTCTTTTCTCCCCGGACAAGCCGCGTGCTCGCTCCCTGGGAGGCAGGATTGTTTGGCCACTTCACAGAGAGAGAACCCGAGGCCCAGGGAACCGAAGGCCCCCGGTCACGAGGAAAGTCTGGAGAGCGGCCAGGACCCCAGTGAAGACCTCCGGAGTCCAAAGGCTTTTTCCACTCTTTGGATCAAACATGTGCAGGCAAAACCTAGTTACTTTAGGCCTGCCAGAGTCCCAGACTGTGCCTCTGGGTGCAGGGGGGGACTGTCGTCCTAGGGCTAGATCTGATTGGCCCCATTTCACATGGAAGCATCAGGCTGAGAGCTCATGATAGCGTCTGGGACAGCGACTGCCCAATCTCCCTGGAGTCTCTGAGCCTAAATCTCTGGGAGGCCCTTTTATCCTGCTCCTACTCGGGTGCCTCTCCGTGCCTGGACTGTATCCCCCACACCCACAGGCAAGCCAAGGCAAGCAACATTGTCATACGATTTTTTTCTTCCCTGAAGCAAGGAAGATAGTCAGTCCTAAGGGACGATGAAGCCTCCAGGTCTGTCTCTGTCCTGGGGGCTGGAAGTGGGTGAAAAAATTATTGATGTTCTTGCTTCCATGATGGTCTTTTTAGCATAGTCACCAAAGAACTCGTTAAAAACACAAACAAAATAACAAACAAAAACACCACCAACAAAACAAACCAAAAACCTACCACTGTATTGCAAAGGGGATAAAGGAACCAGACTTTTAAATAAACCAGCTTTTTCTTTTGGGTCAGTCAGGTACAATTTCCAGGCTTTCTATTTGAGGGCAGTGGAAGATGACCAGCTCCCTGAACAGGCAGATCATCTCTTGCAACTCCAACAAACAAACAAACAAACAAACAAAACCCTCTCATTGCAATTGCTGATAAAATAAACTAGGGATGTTCAGACTCCTCCCTCCTGGACCAGCATTATCCCTAAAGAATGTTCCTTGTGGCTACAGAGAAATCACTTTTTCTACCACAACGCAGTGTTTAGGATCTCTGCTTACTGTGGAGGGCCCCACTTGAGCCTGAAGTTATGCAGTCGATATTGGAGCAGGAAAAAGTTGAATGTGCAAGGAGGGGACTGTGCATGTGTCCCCTGCCGGGCCCAGTTGTGGCAGAGGGTGGTGCTCTCCCACGTTGTGAGTGAGTGTGTAGATTAGTGCAAACTCTGTGGAAAGTAAGCTGGCTAAATGAGTGAAGAGCCACACAAAATGTGCGTCATTTTTGACTCATTAATTTCATTTAGGATAAACAAATTTCATCAAAAACAGAGGAAAGATGCTTGCTCTAGTTTTATTTATTTATTTATTTTTGAAATGGTGTCTCACTGTGTTGCCCAGGCTGGAGTGCAGTGGCGTGATCTCAGCTCACTGCAACCTCCACCTCCCAAGGTTCAAGTGATTCTCCTGCCTCAGACTCCTGAGTAACTGGGATTACAGGCGCCCACCACTGTGCCTGGCTAATTTTTTTGTACTGTTAGTAGAGACGGGGTTTCCCCATGTTGGCCAGGCTGGTCTCAAACTCCCGACCTCAAGAGATCCACCGCTTCAGCCTCCCAAAGTGCTGGGATTACAGGTGTGAGTCACTGCACCTGGCTGGCTATAGTGTTATTTATAATAGCGAAATCAAAGTCTGTGCTAAAGAGCAAACTGACTTGAAGCACACGGCTACAAGCAATGGGTATATGGATGGAGTTCGGTTTTTGTTTTCTGGGAGAGATGTTGAAACAAGAGGAATTCTTTTTTTAAAAAATAATTTCCACTTTTGTTTTATATTAAGGAGATACAGGTGCAGGTTTGTTACCTGGGCATATTGTGTGATGTGGAGATTTGGGTATGATTGATTCCTGTCACTCAGGTAGTGGGCATTGAACGCAAGAGTTAGTTTTTCAACCCTTGCCTGCCTCCCTCTCTCCCCACTCTAGTATAGTCCCGTGTCTATTGTTATCATCTTTATGTCCGTGAATACCCAAGGGTTAGCTCCCACTTATAAGTGAGGACACATGGTATTTGGTTTTCTGTTCCTGCGTTAATTGGTTTAGGCTAATGGCCTCCAGCTGCATCCATGTTGTTGCAAAGAGCATGATTTCATTCCCTTTTAGTGATTCATAGTATTTCTTGGTGTATGTGTACACCATTTTCTTTGTCCAACCCACCATCGATGGACACCTAGGTTGATTCCATGTCTTTGCTACTGTAAATAATACTGTGATGAAAATAATTTATTTTTGAGGCACGGTCTCTTCCCTCTGTCACTCAGGCTGAAATGCAGTGGCATGATCATGGCTCACTGCAGCCCTCAACCTCCTGGGCTCAAGAAATCCTCCTGCCTCAGCCTCTCATGTAGCTGGGACCACAGGCATGCACCACGATGTCTGACTAAATTTTTTTTATTTTTAATAGAGATAAAGTCTTGCTATGTTGCCCAAGCTGGTCTTGTTACTCCTGGGCTCAAGCAATCCTCCTGCCTCAGCCTCCCAAAGTACTGGGATTACAGGCATAAGCCACCGCGCCTGACCGAAAGGAATTCTTTATGTAATTTCATTAAGTAATCATTTCTGAACACTTCAATTTACTGGAGCCAAGTTATGCATGTATGTAAATACAGATGAGACGTATGCACATATAGGTCCCTCCTATATTAGTTTCCCATTGCTGTTGTAACAAATTACCTTCCATTTAGTGCTTTAAACCAGTGGTCCCCAACCTTTGTGCCACCAGGGACTGGTTTTGTGGAAGATAGTTTTTCCATGGATGGGGATGGGGTGGGGGGAGATGGTTTGTGGATGAAACTGTTCCACCTCAGATCATCAAGCATTAGATTCTCACAAAGCGTGTGCAACCTAAATCCGTCGTATGCGCAGTTCACAATAGAGTTCACTCTCCTATGAGAATCTAATGCCACCGCTGATCTGACAGGAGGCAGAGCTTGGGCAGTAATGCTTGCTCGCCTGCCACTCACCTCTTGCTATGTGGCCCGGTTCCTAACAGGCCACTGACTGGTACCGGTCCACTGCCTGGGGGTCGGGGCCTCCCTACCTTAAACAATACTAATTGTCTTATGGTTTTCTGGGTTGGAAGTCCGAAATGGGTCTCCTGGGCTAAAATCAAGATGTTGGCAAGGACATGTTCCTTTCTGGAGGCTCTGGGGAGAGCCTATCTCCTTGCCTTTTCCAGCCTCTAGAGCCCCCCACATTCCTTGACTTCTTGCCTCCTTCATCCATTCTCTTTTTTATGTTTTTGAGACGGAGTTTCACTGTGTTGCCCAGGCTGGAGTGCAGTGGTGCAATCTCGGCTCACTGCAACCCCCACCTCCCAGGTTCAAGCAATTCTCCTGCCTCAGCCTCCTATGTAGCTGGGTTTGCAGGCATGTGCCACCACACCTAGCTAAGTTTTGTATTTTTAGTAGAGATGGAGTTTCACCGCGTTGCCCAGGTTTGTCTCCAACTCCTGATCTCAGGTGATCTGCCTGCCTTGGCCTCCCAAAGTGCTGGGATTACAGGTGTGAGCCACCACGCCCAGCCTTCCTCCATTCTCAAAGCCAGCAACATTGAGCCAAATCCTTCCCACTGTGTCACCCTGACCTTCTGTAGTCACATTTCCCTCTGACTCTCTGCTTCTGTTCCACTTTGAAGGATCCATGTGATTACATTGGGCTCACGCCAATAATCCAGATCATCTCCCTGTTTTAAAGTCAGTTGGTTAGTGACCTTAAGTCCAGCTGCTAGCTTAATTCCTTTTTGCCATGTAACAAAACGTATTGACAGGTTCCAGGGATTAAGCTGTGGACATCTTTGTGCGTGGGGGTGGGTAAGGGGAGAGGGGCATTATTCTGCCAATTACACTCCAGACTGACCAGAAGCCCACAGTTGAGTGGGAGAAACACATGAACACATCTTCAGCATACGTGGCAGAGTGCCATAATCAGCTCTTGGAATCTGGGAGGCAATATGCATATTTATCCATAATTCAGAAATTCCTTGCCGGGAGGCTAGATGCTGTCCAACTCAGTTTTCCTCCTCTTCCCAGCACAAACTCTCTGCTCTGGTCACTTCAGTCCCTCCACTGTTTCTAGTACTTAAATATTATAGAATATTATGGAGGTATTGAAGAATCCTGGCTACGGGGGAGGCTGACACAGGAGGATCACTTTGAGCCCAGGAGTTTGAGATTCCAGCGAACCATGATTGTGCCATTGCACTCCAGCCTGGGTGATGGAGCAAGACCCTGTCTTTAAAAATAACACCCATACTTTTGCCCATTGCCCTCTTACCAGCTGCCCTCACTTCCTCTTACCCTCTGTCCAAATCCCACCCACCCTTAAGTCCCACATCCAGACTTCGCCCACAACCAAGACCCAAATCAAGTCCCACATTCTCCCTGATTCTTTCCTGTGCCCCCCGCACATGCAGCCCAGGCCTTCTGGAACACGTGCATTCTCAATGACATAATAGTCTACTTAAATGTAATTGCTTTCACAGGCTGTTGTTTCAATGTTAGTGCGTTCTTATGTCTCAGCTAGTTTTTGATCTCTCTGAGATCAGGGGTCATGTGCTATAATCCATCTGTCACCTCCACAGCACCTGGCACAGTGCTGCTGAAGAACAATTTGCTAAATTTGTTCAAATCCTTTTTTGAATACTCTCAGAGGGGCTAGATCCTGAGGGTGGAACTGTGCTTCAGGGAGTGTCCTGCTCTAAAGGAGCACTCAGTCTGAAAGGGAGACTGACAAGAAACTGATGGGTCAGGGGGTGATGTGACGAGTGCTAGAATAGAATTATGCACAGAGGGGTCTCCAGGTCAGCTTGTGGGTGGATCAGAGAAGGCTTTTCAGAGGCAGTGATGTTTGAGCTGGGTTTTGAAGGATGAGTAGGAGTGAGCTGGCTAAAGGGATATGGGAGAAGGGTTCTATTCCCATAAGAGGAGGACCATTTAAAGCAGAACAAAGAGTATTATAGATGCCAAATGCTGTCCAACTTGGTTTTCCCAGCCTCCTAGAGCAAACTCTTCTCTTATGACTTCAGCCTCCTCTCTGTTCTATGGTCATGGTCTGCCTCTTCCCAGTCCCATATCTTTGACGGTTAAGTTAGAAAAAATGGTGAAAGTTGACATTCACGAGTGAAGCTGAGAAGGAAGGGACAAAAATCATCAAGTCACTCTGAGTCAAAAGACTAATGATAATACACACAACAGACAAGAAACAACATTCCTAATATGTAACCTGATAAGAAAAAAAGACAAAGCTTTTAAAAAATGGACAGAGCACATGAACAAACTTTTTTTTTTTTGAGATGGAGTCTTGCTCTGTCACCTAGGCTGGAGTGCAATAGCGCAATCTCGGCTCACTGCAACCTCCGCCTCCCAGATTCAAGCAATTCTTGTGCCTCAGCCCCCCGAGTAGCTGGGATTACAGGCATGTGCCACCACACCCTGCTAATTTTTGTATTTTTAGTAGAGATGGGGTTTCACCATGTTGCCCAGGCTGGTCTTGAACTCCTGACCTCAGGTGATCCACCTGCCTTGGCCCCACAAAGTGCTGGGATTACAGGTGTGAGCCACTGTGCCCAGCCTATGAACAAACATTTTACAGATGAGAGAATACAAATAGCTGATAAGTACATGAAAAGACACTCAACTGTATTTGTAGTCAGGGAACTGCAAGATAAAACAACAATTAATACCATTTTCAGTCATCAGATTGGCAAAAATTAAAGATTGATAACATCCAATGTTGTCAACGGTGTGAGTAAACAGGGACTCTCATACATTGTTAATGGATATATGAATTGCTAAACCCTTTTAAGAAAGCAATCTCAAAGTGAGTATTAGAATTAAAAATGAACACATCCTAGCTGTTGGCATACATCTGTAGTTCTAGCTACTTGGGAGGCTGAAGTTGGAGGAGTGCTTCAGGCCAGGAGTTTGAGACCAGACTGGACAACATAGAGAGACCTCATCTCTCCAAAAAAAAAAAAAAAAAAATTAAATTAGTCAGGCTTGGTGATGTGTGCCTATAGATCTAGTTACTTGGGAGGTTGGGGTGGGAGGATCACTTGAATCCAGGAGTTTATGGTTACAGTGAGCTCTGATCATGCCACTGCACTCCAGCCTGGGCAATGGAGTGAGACTCCCCTTATCTAAAAAAAAAAAAAAAATCCTTTGACACAGCAATCCCAATATGAGAATGTATTTTAAGGAGATATATACATATAATATTTATTGCAAGGTTGTTTCTAGTAGCAAAAGCTGGATAGAATCTGAATTTCCATTAATAGGGGAATGTTAGGTAAATTATAGTACTTAAATATTATAGAATATTATAGAAATATTAAAGAGTGCATTAAACCCATACATGTTGACCTGGAGGAATCCCCATGGTACCATGATATAATGTTAAGCAGCAAAAGCAAAAAGCAATCAGCAAGGACAGTGTCATAGTGTGTGAGGGGGGAGGGAGAGATATATGGGGAATGGTTGTATACTATTAAATGATCTCAGAGAAAGATACAGAAGGCTGCATACTCTAGGATGTTAACAGTCATTACCTGAAGTGACAGCAGTGGGAGCTAAGGAAGGGAAGACTTTAACTTTAGAAGTCTGCATTGGGCCAGGTGCAGTAGCTCAGTACTTTGGGAAGGTAAGGCAGAAGGAGTTTGAACCCAGGAGTTCAAGGTTACAGTGAGCCATGATTGCACCACTGCACTCCAGCCTGGGTGACAGCATGAGACCCTATTGCTAAAAAATTAATTTGTAATGACAAATATTGGCCAGGTGCAGTGGCTCACGACTGTAATCCCAGCATTTTGGGAGGCCGAGGTGGGCAGATCATGAGGTCAGGAGTTCGAGATCAGCCTGGCCAACATGGTGAAACCCCATCTCTACTAAAAATACAAAAATTAGCCGGGCGCGGTGGCTCACGCCTGTAATCCCAGCGCTCTGGGAGGCCGAGGCAGGCAGATCACGAGGTCAGGAGATCGAAACCATCCTGGCTAACATGGTGAAACCCCGTCTCTACTAAAAATATATAAAAAAACTAGCGGGGCATTGTGGCGGGCACCTGTAGTCCCAGCTACTCGGGAGGCTGAGGTAGGAGAATGGCGTGAACCTGGGAGGCAGAGCTTGCAGTGAGCCGAGATCGTGCCACTGCACTCCAGCCTGGGAGACAGAGAGAGACTCCGTCCCCCGCCCCCCCAAAAAAATTAGCTGGGCGTGGTGGTGGGCACTGGTAATCTCAGCTACTTGGGAGACTGAGGCAGGAGAATCATTTGAACCCGGGAGAGGGAGGTTGCAGTGAGCTGAGATGGCGCCATTGCACTCCAGCCTGGGTGACAGGGTGAGACTCTGCCTGAAAAAAAAAAAAAGACAGAAATTAATAATGTGGAAAAAAAGTACTGAAGAAAGAATTGAGTGAGGTCTCCATGTTCAGGGGTGGGCAAGTTCCTGAGTTCAGGGCCATTTGCCCCTCCCTGGCTTCTCTCCTATTCAACTATTCAAATGAGCTAATTCAACAAAAGTGAGGTAGTTTGCATTTTCTTGGTTAAGTGGGTTTAGATCCTGGGATAAAAACAGCCTCATTTACATATGTAGTTTGACCTTCTCTTGATATCAGTGAGCTCCAATAATGAATTAGAGCCAGTTAGTCCCAACTGCCTCCCTGAGAGTGACTTTCTTTTGCTGCAGGCATCTGTCTGAATCAGGATCAGGGCGAGTGTATTGTTAACACCTCTACCCATGAGTAGCAGAGTGGGCCCAGAGTCACCTGTGCTGCATCTGAAGATGGTCCAGCACTTTCCCAACACACGCCTCGACATAAACTCGTTAAACATTTGCCCACTGACTGAAGAGAATGCCATTTGTGTCTCTGCTCCTTGCTTCTCAGCCACCCTGGGGAAACCCTTTCTTCTGAGCCTGAGCTACCCTGGAGGTCACAGTCCCACAGTCACCATGGCAACTCCCTTCAGGGTATGAGGGAGGGAGCTGAGGAAAAGAGTCAGAAACTTACCAGGAGGCCCCAGGAGAAAGCCACTTTCACAGAGAAAAATTTCAAAGTCTCAGTGATTGGGTTGGTATATGGGGCACTGCCTTGTATGGGATGTGTCATTTCTGGAAAGTTACCCTATGTCATTCTTTGGGGTAAAATTTTGTGATGTTACTTTAAACATACGCTAGAGTTCCCTACATTGGGAGCCTTGTTGTGAATTCTTTTGCAAAGTGAATAAAAACCCTCATTATTCTTTGAATGCAAGCATAGATATTCAGATGTCAAGTGGTTTTACAGTTCAGCACAGCAGTGCTTTTGGATTTGGAAGGTGTTGGGTAGTAAGAGTGTGAGTGGGGCCTGGGAAGGAATCTACTTTGAGTGATGCTTTGGACGTTATCTGGATGCTGTCTTAAGGTTAGTTGCTACCAAAAGAAAAGCCTGGGCTGAGGAGTCTGGTGTAGGTGATTTATAAAGGAACTGCTCTCAGGAGAAATCTGTAGGATGGGAGAAACAGGATAGGGAAAGGAAAGAATCCAGGCAAAGATTGGATATCAGGTCCCAGACTCAGCCTGATCCCATGAGGAGTTCTGGGGTGAATTACACCCCAGCATTTACCACCTTGAATCAAAGGAGCTGGGCTTTATACTCTCAAATTAGTCAGTTATTGCTTATAGGTTTCCCAGGATAAAGTGTAAAATTTTCAGAGGGAAGCAGCTTTGGTGCCCCCAGTCAGTCTTCTGAAAGTCATCAGTGCAAGCTGTTAGCAACAAAAAACACAGAGGTGGAGAGTGGGCATGTGGAGCTGGTGATAGGGATTTCAGGGGATCTAGGAGGGCTTCAATAGAGTCTACTATAGGTGCCAAATATGGTACATAAATGACTTTCCAAGGTCTCTACCTTAACAACAAAAAATCAGTGAAATTACTTAGCTTCCCACAACACAGTATTCAGAACCATGTTTTAGAAGAAAGATAACAGTGTACGTAGGCAGATACAGAATTGGTTGAGAGAATATTTCTGAAGAATATGGAAGGAATGGCTGTTGATTGGGTAGATAGCTCTAGAAGTTGAACACAGGACTCCACCTGGGGCTTGTATTGTGAAATATTTATATCTACATCTTAGAGCAGATGGAGAGCTCTTGCCAAGTATATCTGTGGATTCTCCTAAACTGAGAGGAAAGGTAATGGAACAAATGACAAAAGAGTTGAAAGGAAGATTCCAATTAATGAATAACTGTAAGATTAACATTAAAGAAATAAATGTAAATGTAATGTGAAGTTAATTTCATTATGATCATCCACATAATGGAATATTATATAGCCACTGTATTAGTCTGTTCTTGCACTGCTATAAAGAAATACCTGAGACTGGGTAATTTATAGAGAAAAGAGGTTTAATTGGCTCACAGCTCTGCAGGCTATATAGAAGGCATGGCAGCATCTGCTTAGCTTCTGGGGAGGCCTCAGGAAACTTACAATCATGGCAGAAGGTGAAGGGGGAGCTGGCATTTCACATTGCTGGAGCAGGAGGAAAAGAGAGAGTAAGGAGGTACTACACACTTGTAAACAACCAGATCTCATGAGAAATCACTATCACCATTCGGTCCTTCTAGGCCTCAGGGCCTGTGATGGGTGGGGCTTCCAGGAAGGCCTCTGAAATGCCTTCCAGTCCTTTTCCCCATTGTCTTGGCTGTTCACAGTTGACTCCTTCTTTTTACTTTTGCAAATTTCTGCAGCCTGCTTGAATTCCTCCCCTGAAAATGGAATTTTCTTTTCTACCACATGGCCAGGTTGCAGATTTTTCAAACTTTTATGCTCTGCTTTTCTTTTTAAATATAAGTTCCCGTTTTAGGTTATTTCTTTGTTCATGCATATGAGCATAGGCTGTTGGAGGCAGCCAGGTCACCTCTTCCACATCTTGAATGCTTTGCTGCTTAGGCATGGTAAATCATCACTCTCAAGTTCAAAGTTCCATGGATTCCTAAAGCAGGGGCGCAATGTAGCTAGGCTTTTTGCTAAAGCATGGCAAAAGTAACCTTTACTCCAGTTCCCAATAAGTTCCTCATTTCCATCTGAGACCTCCTTAGCCTGGACTTCATTTTCCATATCACTATCAGCATTTTGGTCAAAGCCACTCAACAAATCTCTAGGAAGTTCCAAACTTTCCCTTATCTTCCTTCTTTTCTGCCCCTTGCACTCTTCAAACCTCTGCCTGTTGCCCAGTTCCAAAGCTGCTTCCACATTTTCAGATATTTTTATAGCAATGCCCCACTCCTCAGTACCAACTTTCTATATTAGTCCATTCTTGCACTGCTGTAAAGAAATACCTGAGACTAGATAATATATAGAGAAAAGAGGTTTAATTGTCTCATGGTTCTGCAGGCTGTACAGAAAACATAGTGGCTTCTGCTTCTGGGGAGGCCTCAGGAAGCTTCCTATCATGGCAGAAGGTAAAGAGGGAGGGAGGCACTTCACATTGCCAGAGCAGGGGGAAGAGATAGGTAGAGAGAGAGGGAGAGAAGGTGCTACACACTTTTATACTAGCAGATCTCATCAGAACTCATTATCGTGATGACAACACCAAGGGGGATGGTGCTAAACCATTCATGAGAAACTGTCTCTGTGATCCAATCACCTCACACCAGGCCCCACCTCCGGCGTTGGGGATTACATTTCAATGTGAGATTTGGGCTGGGACACAGATCCAAACCATATCAGCTGCTAAAAATAATGTCAAAGAATAATGACATGGAAAAATGTTCATAATTATTTGGTTATAAAAGGCCATCGCAATATGCATGGAAAACATTTTCAAAGACATATTCTAAAATGGTGTGATTCTATAAGTGGAATATAATTCATTTTTGCTCTCTCGTTTTGCTCACTTCTATTTATATATTTTTAAAAATTATAAATTGTGAAGAAACCAAGTAGCAGTTTTTTTTGGTTGTTTTTTGTTTTGCTATATGGGGAAAATACAGCTAAAAACAAAAGACATAATTCTAAATCTGAATGCATTTATTAACAGAGCTTCAAAATGCATAAAGCAAAAATTATAGAGCAATGATCAATAATTAACAGAAGGCCAGGCGCGGTGGCTCACGCCTGTAATCCCAGCACTTTGGGAGGCCGAGCCGGGCAGATCACGAGGTCAGGAGATCCAGAACATCCTGGCTAACATGGTGAAACCCTGTCTCTACTAAAAATACAAAAAATTAGCCAGGCGTAGTGGCGGGCGCCTGTAGTCCCAGCTACTTGGGAGGCTGAGGTAGGAGAATGGCGTGAACCTGGGAGGCAGAGCTTGCAGTGAGCCGAGATCACACCACTGCACTCCAGCCTGGGCAACAGAGCGAGACTCTGTCTCAATAATAATAATAATAATAATAGAAAAAATAGAAAATCAGTAAGGCTATAGAAAACTTGAACACCATCAACCAAACCAATCTAGTTGACATTTGTAGAACCTCTTCTACCTCTGCCACCCCTGGGACAGCACGACCAATACCTCCTCTTACTCCTCCTCCTCAGCCTACTCAATGTGAAGATGACAAGGATGAAGACCTTTAGGATGATCCGCTTCCACTTAATGAATAGCAAGTATATTTTCTTGTCTTTATTTTGTTTTTAACATTTTCTTTTCTCTAGCTTATGTCATGGTAAGACTACAGTATACGTATAACACACAAAATATGTGTTGATTGTTCATGTTAATGGTAAGGCTTCTAGTCAAGAGTAGGCTATTAGTAATTAAGTTCTGACTGGGGGAGTCAAAAGTTATACACAGATTTTTAAACTGTGTGCTTGTATCAGTGCTCCTAAACCCTACATTGTTCAAGAGTGAATTGTATAGAACAACACTCCTCATGAACATAAATGTAAAAATTCTTAACAAAATATTATGAAATCAAATCCAGAAGTATATAAAAAGGATAATGCATCATGACCTAGTAGATTTTATCTAGGAATTCATCGTTGGTTTAATATTTGAAAACCAATGAGGCCAGGTGTGGGGCTCATGCCTGTTATCCCAGCACTTTGGGAGGCTGAAGTGGGCAGATCACCTGAGGTCAGGAGTTCAATACCAGCCTGGCCAACATGGCGAAACCCTGTCTTTGCTAAAAATACACACATAAAATTAGCCAGGCGTCATAGCAGGCACGTGTAATCCAAGCTGCTTGGGAGGCTGAGGCAGGGAGAATCGCTTGAACCCAAGAGGTGGAGGTTGCGTGAGCCGAGATCATGCCACTGCACTCCAGCTTGGGTTACAGAGTGAGACTCCGTTTCAAAACAAAAAACAAACAACAACAACAACAAAAAATTAACATATTTTGCCTTTTTAACAGAGTAAAGGAGAAAAACCTATAGGGTCATCATAATAGAAGCAAAAATGTATTTGACATTTGCTTATTTATAATAAGGAAACTTCCTCAATCTGATAAAAAGTACCTAAGAAAACCTACAGCTAACATCACCTAATGATGAAATATTAAATACTTTCCAAGTAAGATTGGGAAAAGGCAAAGATGAATGCTTTTATCATATATATTCAACATTGTACTGTAGGTTTTAGCAGTTGCAATAAAGCAAAACAAACAGACAAAAAACCCCATAAGCATGCAGATGGAAAGGGAGAAGTAAAACCATCTTTGTTCACAGATGACATGATTTTTCTATGTAAAAAGTTCTAAAGAAAACTGCTAGAAGTAATATGTGTGTTGAGCAAGGTTTCAGGATAGAAAGCCTATTATGTACAAAACTAAACTGAATTTCTATATATTAGCAGCAAACAATTGGAAATTCAAATCTTTAAAAACATCATCTTTAATGACATCGAAAACATTTAATACAAAAGATGACAGAAGATGGATAAGACTCTGAAAAATTTTAAAAAATTGTTGAGAGAGCTCAAAGAAGACTTAAATAAATGGAAGATATATAATGTTTGCTGTGGACTAAATTGTGTGCCCCCCAAATTTATATGTTGAGGCCCCAACCCACGATGTGACTTTATTTGTAGATGGGCCTTCTAAGGAAGTAATTAAGGTTATATGAAGTCATAGGGTGGGTCCCTTATTCAATAGAATTAATGTCTTTATAAAAAGAGACACAGAGACTTCTTACTCTCTATCTATCCATCACACAAACAAGAGGTCATGTGAGCACACAGTGAAATGGTGGATAACTACAAGCCAAAAGATGAGTCGTCAGAATGAAACCTACCTTGCTACCACCTTGATCTTGAACTTCCTAGCCTCCAGAAGAGTGAGGAAATAAAATTTTATATATATATATATATATATATATATATATATATATATAGAGAGAGAGAGAGAGAGAGAGAGAGAGAGAGAGAGAGAGAGAGAGAGAGAGAGAGAGAGAGAGAGACGGAGTCTTGCTCTGTCACCCAGGCTGGAGTACAATGGTGCGATCTGGGCTCACTGTAACCTCTGCCTTCCAGGTTCAAGCGATTCTCCTGCCTCAGCCTCCCAAGTAGCTGGGATTAGAGGTGTGTGCCACCACACCTGGCTAATTTTTGTATTTTTAGTAGAGACAGGGTTTCACCATGTTGGCTAGGCTAGTCTCGAATTCCTGACCTCAGGTGATCCACTGGCCTCGGCCTCCCAAAGTGCTGGGATTACAGGCGTGAGCAACCACTCCTGGCCCAAAATTCTATTGTTTAAGCCACCCAGTCTTTGGTATATTGTTATGGCAGCCTGAGCAGAGTAATACACTGTTCATGGATCAGAAAACTTAACATTGTCAGGATGTCAGTTCTGTCCAGATTGATCTATAGATTCAATACAATCCCAATTAAAATCTCAGCAGACATTTTTGTAGAAATTGGCAAGCTGGTTCTAAAATTTGTATGAAAATTCAATGGACTTACAATAGCCAAAACAACTTTGAAAATGAATAAAACTGGAAGACTTATTTACCTGATGTTAAGGCCTTATTATACAGCTACAGTAATCAAGACAGTGTGGTTGGTACTGGTGTAAAGATAGCTGTATAGATCAATGACACACAGTGGAAAGCCCAGAACTAGACCACTGCGTACAAAGCCAATTGATTTTTGACAAAGCTGTCAAAGCACATTAAGAGACATGTACAAGAATGTGCAGCACTATTCATATTAACTCCAAACTGGAAAGCCACACAAAGTCCGTCAATAGTAGAATGGATTAATAAATTGTGGAATGGAACACTATCCCATAATGAAAATGAGTAAACTATAACTGTACATAAAAATATAAGTCTCATAGACATAATGTCAAATGAAAGAAGCCAGACACAAAAAGGTATGTACTCTAAGATTGCAGCTATATATATAACACAGGAAAAACTAACCTATAGTGTTAGAATTCAGCATAATGGTTAATCTAGAAGGGCAGGGGAGTGACTGGAAGACTCTGTGAAAGGGCATCTGAGGTGCTGGCCATGTTCTGTTTCTTGATATGGGTGCTGGTAGACACGTGTGCACGATTTCTGAAAATTTATCAAGATGTATACTTAAGATTTGTGCATTTTTCTGTATGTATCCTATACTTCGATAATTTTTTTTATTCCTATGCTGAGAGCACAACATAACACCCAACTAGCCATTGAAGAATACAGAATACAGAATCCTTTCATCTGGATTTTACATTTCTATTAATGTCAGTTAGATCACATTCAGGATTTTTTGTTTGCTTGTTTGTTTTTGTAATCTTTAAAAAAATTTTTTTCTTTTCTTTTTTCTTTTTTTTTTTTTTGAGACAGAGTCTTGCTGTGTCACCCAGGCTGGAGTGCAGTGGTGTAATCTTGGCTCACTGCAACCTCTGCCTCCTGGGTTCAAGCAATTCTTGTGCCTCAGCTTCCTGAGTAGCTGGGATTCACAGGTGTGCGCCACCACACCTGGCTAATTTTTTATTTTTAGTAGAGATGGAGTTTCACCATGTTGACCAGGCTGGTCTTGAACTCCTGGACCTAAGCGATCCACCCACCTTGACCTCCCAAAGTGCTGGGATTACAGGTATGAGCCACCACGCCCGGCCTGTTTTTGTAATCTTAACAGTATTAGCTCATGTTAAGCTGACATGTCCTACTTAGTGCTTCTCACATTCTTTAAAAAATTTCTTTTTTACCTACTGTTCTCTGTTTCCTTTCAGAAGCTTTATTTTTTTACTTTTCACATTTAGATCTATATTTTGTATATATGTATCAGGAGGAGTCAAAGTTCACTTTTTTCTCTGTAGACCCAGCACCAGTTTTTGAAAAGGTATTTCTTTCTCCACAGCACTGCAGTACCATCTTTGTTATAAATCAGGTGATCAATTGTATATTTACGAGTCTGTTTCTGGAACCTCTAATCTGTTCCGCTGCTCAACACCACACTGTTACAATTGCTTTAACTTTAAAGTAGGTCTTAGTAACTGATAGCGTAATTCCTCCAGTTTTGTTTTTCTTCAAAATTGGCATGGCCATTCTTGGGCTTTTGCATTTCCACATACATTTTAGAATCAGCTTGTTAATGTTCACACATAAAACAATTGCTGAAATTTTGATTGGGATTGGATTAGATGTATAGATCTTCTGGGGGAAAAATGACTGCTTTACAGTATGGAGCCTTCCAATCCAAGAACATGGTATAATTCTCTACTTATTTAGGTCATTTTAAATTTCTCTTTGTTTTCAGTGTAAGAGTCTTGCACTATTTTGTTGATTTATTTATAGGTATTTGATTTTTTATACTACTGTAAATTGTGTCATTAAACAGTTTTATTTTCTATTTGCTTGTGCATATAGAAATGCATTTGACTTTTGTATATTGACTTTGTATCCAGTGACCTTGATAAATTACTCATTAATTCTAATAATTTTTCTTTATATCCCTTTGGGTTTTCTATGTATTCAGTTGTGTTGTCTGAGAATACTCACATTATGCTGTGTGTATTCTGAAGCTGTATTTCTAGATGTATAAATGTTTATGATTGCTATGTTCTTTTAATGAATTGACAGCTATAAAATAACTTTTTTTCTTATCCCTGGTTGTATTTCTCCTCTGAAATCTGCTTTGTCTGATATTTTACATCAACTCCTGCTTTCTTTTGCTTAGTGTTAGGAAGGTATACCTTTTTTCATTTTTTTACTTTTAACCCGTTTGTTCTTCATATTTAAAGTAGTTTCCTAGTAAGAGCATATTGTCGTGTCTTGCTTTCTTATCTAATCTGACAATCTCTGCCTTTTAATTGGAGGTGTCTATTGATGTGGTTGGATTTATTTTTATCTTTTTTTTTTTTTTTGGAGACGGAGTTTTACTCTTGTGGCCCAGGCTGGAGTGCAATGGCGCAATCTCAGCTCACTGCAGCCTCCACCTCCCGGGTTCAAGCGATTATCCTGCCTCAGCCTCCTGAGTAGCTGGGATTACTGGCGTGAGCCACCACGCCCAGCTAATTTTTTTTTTTTTTTTTTTGTAATTTTAGTAGAGACAGGGCTTCACCATGTTGGCCAGGCTGGTCTCGATCTCCTGACCTCAGGTGATCCACCCTCCTTGGCTTCCCAAAGTGCTGAGATTACAGGTGTGAGCCACCATGCCCAGCCAATGTGGCTGGATTTCAATGTACCATTTTACTATTTGTTTTCTATTTCTGCCATCTAGTCTTTGTTCCCTTTCTCCTCTTTTACTGCTTTCTTTTGTATTGAGTATTCTTTTTATGATTTTATTTTATCACCTTTATTGACTTATTAGCTCAACTGCTTTGTTTTGTTCTTTTAGTGATGGCTTTAGGATTTATAATGCGCATTAACTTATCACATATACCTTCAAGAAATATTATAACACTTCACGTATAGTATAAGAACCTTACAACACTGTACTTTCCTTTCCCCCCTTCTGGCCTTTGTGCTATAGTTGTCATACATTTTACTTCTACATAGATTAGAAACTCCACCATGCCAGGTTACTTTTGTTTAAACCATCAATTACCTCTTAAGGTGGTTTAAGTAATAAGAAAATAAGCCTTTTGGCTGGGCGCGGTGGCTCACGCCTGTAATCCTAGCACTTTGGGAGGCTGAGGTGGGAGGATCACAAGATCAGGAGATCGAGACCATCCTGGCTAACATGGTGAAACCCCGTCTCTACTAAAAAAACTACAAAAAATTAGCCGGGTGTGGTGGCGGGCGCCTGTAGTCCCAGCTACTCGGGAGGCTGAGGCAGGAGAATGGCGTGAACCCGGGAGGCGGAGCTTGCGGTGAGCCAAGATCGCGCCACTGCATTCCAGCCTAGGCGACAGAGCAAGACTCTGTCTAAAAAAAAAAAAAAGAAAAGAAGTCTTTTGTACTTCTCCACATATGTACTATTTCTGGTGTTCTTCATTCCTTTATGTAAATGCAGATTTTTCCTTTGGTATAATTCTCATTCTGCCTTAAGGACCTCTTTTAACATTTCATCGTACTGGTGGTTTACTGGTTATCAATTTTCTAAGATTTTGTGGCTGAAAAGGTCTGTATTTAGTTTTTGTTTCTGAAAGATTTTCTCTGTGTATAGAATTTTATGGTGTGTTTCCCTCTAGTACCTTAAAGATGTCACTCCATTATCTTCTCATTTCTATTTTTTTTTTTTTTATGAGACACAGTCTCACTCTGCCTCCCAGGCTGGTGTGCAATGGTGTGATTTTGGCCCACTGCAAACTCTGCCTCCTGAGTTTGGGTGATTCTCATGGCTCAGCCATCCAAGTAGCTGGGATTACATGCGTGTGCCATCATGCCTGACTAATTTTTGTATTTTTAGTAGAGATGAGGTTCTGCCATGTTGGCCAGGCTAGTCTCAAACTCCTGACCTCAAGTCATCCAGCCACCTTGGCCTCCCAAAGTGCTGAGATTACAGGTGTGAGCCACTGTGCCCAGCCTTGCATTGTTTATGATAAAAAGTTTGCTGTCATTCTTATAATTGTTCCTCTGCAATGTCTCTTTTTTTTTCTCCAGTTGCTTTCAAGACTTTATAACTGATTTTAAGTAATGTAATCAAGATGTGGCTTGATGCAGTTTTCTTCATGTTTTTTGTTCATGGAGTTCATTGAGCTCCTTGTATGTGTGGGTTCATAACTTTTTAATCAAATTTGGAAAGATTTTGGTCACTATTTCTTCATATTTTTTCGTCCTCCCTCTCTCCTTTCATTTTGCGATTCCAGTTACACATATGTTTAATGTTGTGTCACAGCTCATTGATACGCAGTTCAATATTTGGGGTCTTTTTTCCCTCTGTTTCACTTTGGATTGTATTTGTTGCTGTATCTTCAAGTTTACTAATCTTTTTTCTTCAGTGTCTAATCTGTTGGCAATCCTATCCAGAGTATTTTTCATTTCAGATGAATTTTTTTTTATCTTTAGAAGTTTGACTTGGTTCTTTTTAAAAAAATTTCCTTGCCTACTCTTATCATAATCATTTTCCTCTACCTTCTTGAACATGTGAAGTAATAGCTACTTTTAACACACTGTCTACTAATTCTATCATCTGTGTCATTTCAGGATATGTTTCTGATGCTTGATTTTTCTCTTCATTATGAGTCATATATTCTTTTTTCTTTTCCTTTTTTTTGAGACAAAGTCTTGCTCTGTCACCCAGGCTGGAGTGCAGTGGCATGATCTTCGCTCACTGTAATCTCCGCTTCCCGGGTTAAAGCGATTCTCCTGCCTCAGCTTCTCGAGTAGCTGGGACTACAGGTGCCCGCTACCATGCCCAGCTAATTTTTGTATTTTTAGTAGAGATGGTGTTTCACCATGTTGGCCAAGCTAGGCTCAAACTCCTGACCCCAGGTGATCCACCTGTCTCGGCCTCCCAAAGTGCTGGGATTGCAGATGTGAGCCACTGTGACCAACCTGAGTCATATATTCTTGCTTGCTGAAATACTCAGTAACTTTTGAATTCTTCCCTCTACTGTGCCCTAATTGGATTCCCCAGCACTTTAACTGTTGGTCCTAATTCTGTCTTTTAGGGTTATGTAAGTTCGGCAAGGCATGGTGGCTCACGCCTGTAATCCCAACACTTTGGGAGGCTGAGGTGGGTGGATCAGGTCAGGAGTTTAAGACCAGCTTGGCCAATGTGGTGAAACCCCATCTCTACTAAAAATACAAGAATTAGCCGGGCATGGTGGCAGGCGCCTGTAATCCCAGCTACTTGGGAGGCTGAGGCAGGAGAATCGCTTGAGACCGGAAGGTGGAGTTCGCAGTGAGCTGAGATCGCACCACTGCACTCCAGCCTGGGTGACAGAGTGAGACTCTGTCTCAAAAATAAAAAAAAACAAAAAAAAGTTATGTAAGCTCCATGTTCTTGGTCCCTATAGCACCTTCCTTCATGATGCTTTTCAATATTTTAGATGTCCCATTTACTTTGTGATCATCTGATCAATGTCTGCTTTTCTCACCAGATTCCCTCTATGGCACAGGTTCTAGGTATGCTCTTGGTCATCACTGTATCCCAGCGTAGGGCACAGGCCTGGTGCATTTGAAGTCCTTGATAAATATCTGTTGAATGAGAATGAAACAAATGTCACCTGACCTGAATTTGGATTTTGTGGTTTTAAAACTCGGCTCTTTTTAAGTTTCTTTATGTTTTAAGATACAAAACCAATCACAATTATAAGGACCTTATTTGGATCCTGACTCAGATAAACAGACAAAACAATTTATGAGACAAACAGAAGAAGTTAAACACTGCCTGGATACTTGATGATATTAAAGGATTATTATTGTGAACAGCAGTTGAACATGGGTCAGTTGGTCCTGAGAGATGGGTGAGTGCCATTCCGAAAGGACCTGCAATGGCCTCCAGTCCCTTCAGCTGATAGAAAGGGAGTCGGGTTCAGATCCCAGAATCCAGAATGTTCTTAAAAAAAAAAAAGAAAAAAAAAAGGAAAGAATTATTGTTAAGTTGTTGAAGTTGAACATGGTATAGTGAGAATGTTTTTATTTATTTATTTATTTATTTATTTACTGAGGTGGAGTCTGTCTCTGTCACCCAGGCTGCAGTGCAGTGGCGAGATCTCGGCTCACCACAACCTCCACTTCCCAGGTTCAAGAGATTCTCCTGCCTCAGCCTCCCAAGTAGCTGGGATTACAGGTGCCCGCCACCATGCCTGGCTAACTTTTTCTTCTTAGTAGAAACGGGGTTTCACTATGTTGGCCAGGCTGGTCTCAAACTCCTGACCTCAGGTGATCCACTTGCCTCGGCCTCCCGAAGTGCTGGGATTACAGGCATGAGCCACCGTGCCCAGCCGAGACTGTTTTTAAAAAGACTTCATCTTTTAGATTTATATATAGTGAACTCTTTATGGATAAAATAACGTAATGTTTGGCATTTACTTCCAAATAATTGGTGGAGAAGAAGAAAGTGGGTGGGAATGCTGATGAAACAAGATTTGAAAATTATTGAATCTGGGACAAGGGTACATGGGGTTTATTATACTCTTAAATTTTCCTTATAAAAGTGAAAAAATTGCTTAGCTCTTTGATTGGCTGAAAAAAAGATAAACAGCCAGGAGTGAGATGGGTGTTCAGGATGGGGAGGGGTGTGGAAGAGAAGGAAGTTAGAGGTTTCAAAGATGCAGGACCCTCCAAGAAGTTGCCTGGAGGCTAACCAAACCAGAGCTGTCTCTGATAAAATAGGGGGGCTTCTGATGGTGGTCCTTTTGTTTGTTTCCTTATGCATTTATCTACCAATCTCTTTCTGTTTCACAAACAGAATAGTCGCAATTAAGAGGTGAGTCTAACAGGCTCTCTCAAGCAGTATGCAAAAAAAAAAAAAATGCCCTTTAGGCAACAATCCCCCACCCCCTAGCTCACTCACTCTGGAGCTCCTGGGAGATCTGCTGATTCTGCCTTTACAGGGGGTGTCAGCCCTTTGGGACAGAGGCGCAGGTGGTGCTGCTTGGACTTCCCGCCTGGTATCCACCCAGGTATTCCCTGAAGTAGCTCTGTCTTTAGGATTCAGGATGCTGCACACAAGTCACTGTGATTAGTTGTTTCTCCTTTTTGCAGGGCTTGCTGGTGGGTGGGGAGGACTTCTGAGTGGCCCTGGCTCATTCCACAGTTCACAGCACACAGGTTCTGGACTGTTTTGGCAGGCTTGAAGGAAATGGGTTCTCATACTCAAACTCTTATTCCTCCTCCGTTTCTGGGTCCTCTCATATCTGTGTCTGCAACACAAAAGACGGGTACTCCTGAAAGATCTGCCTGGGACTGCCCATAAAGAGAGGCAGTATTTTAGGTAAATCAGGTCATCTGGTGCAAGGCTTTATCCTGACTTTCTTGGGGTGTTCCTGTGTAAACAGCAGTCTGTAGTTGGCTGTATATACCATAATTGCTTCTGCCCCCACTCAATATCCCTCCTGTTTGGAGATGAAAGCTCAGGAAGCATGGGCATTTTCAGGGAGCAAAGATGTGTTAATATACTTCCAGTGGCATAACCTGAGAGCTTGTTTGGAGGTTCTAGCAAGGGAGCACAGCTACTCATATGCCCTTGACCGAAGATCGGTCCTCCTCTGTCGGGGATGGTCATCCTCTTCAGCCTCCGGAGGGACGCACATGGAGTGCTGAGGGAGGAAGTGGACACCCACCTAGCCAGCCAGATCAGCCGAATCAACCCTGACGATCAATGGGGTGACAGACGTTGCAGCCAGATCGCCCTCACATCCAGAACTTCCAAGCCAATAGACTTTTCAGTGGAATGAAATAAATTCTGGAAAAATGACTTCCATGAAAAACTTTTCATTTTGAGGTTAGATCAAAAACTCTTGATGGATTTTCTAATTTGAAGACCCATACTTATTTTCCATTTTAAAAGTAAAACACCTCATCAAAGAACTCTTGAAAAATACAAAAGAAGGGGAAAATAAAAAAAAAATCTAGTCATAGTTCTATCACCGAAACACGAGCATAAATCCATTTTCGTCTATTTCATTCTGTTCATTTTCTTTTGAAATGCACTGTCTCCATCATCTTCAGCCAATGGTTGAAATTCTAGCATATACAAATGTTAGTGTAACTGCTGTTTCCAGCCTTGTTATAAAATGTCTCCATGTTTTCATGTACTCTTCGTAAGAGACATGTTGCCAGCTGGTTTCTCAAGGAGCTCCTCCTGATTTTTTTCACTCTTCCCCTATAAATGGGCAGATGGGATGTTTCCATTTTTGCCCCATAGCAGACATCTTTTTCTGCATTTGGAGTGATTTCCTTAGGATCGAATGCAGAAGTGGGAGTTCTGAGTCAAAGATAATGGATATTTTTATGGCTCTTGACTCATCTGGCCAATTTGCTTTTCACAGATTTTGCATAAACTTACACTCCCACGATAGTTCAGATTTGAGTCTTTAAGTTTTGAACGACATTGTTCCATGTACCACACCTTCTATAGTAAATATTTTCCTGCTCAGATACAAACTTTAAAGGTTCTGACACCAGAGACAGTATCTTCTCCTATGTAAAGCCTTCAGCCCTTTCTGAAAGATGCTGTAAAGCAGGCTTGTGGTGGAGGACATGCTTAGAGTATGTCCTCGTTCTCCCATTCTCAGCTTGGACCACTGGTGTTCATTCCTGCCTTTTCCTCCTGGGAACAGTTCCCTAATCTGAATGTCCTGTAGCAATTCAGAAACCAATTCTCCCAGCTAGACCCTGTCTGGTTCCTACTAGTCTGTGGTCATGTTGGCCACTCCCTGGTTTGGGGTCCTTCTAATGCTTCTCAAAGCCCTAGTGGAGGTGGAGCGATTAACGCTAAGGGGTTAAGAGCTCAGTCAAATTCTCTGGTCAAGGAATGCACTATTCCTAGCCCCCTTCAATATGCAACAAAGTTGTTGGCAGGTTTTGCCAACTTTAACTCCACCCAGGAGAAAAAGATCCCCTCATGCACCCCCTGCTTCTTTTGATATTAGGAGAGAAAGAAAAAGAGAGATTAACATATTTACAAGTAGCCAATCATCCCCCATCTTTTGGAAGTCAAGTATTAGAGGAAAACAGACAGACATCTGTGAGCATTTAGAGAGTGGAAAAAGAAACAAGCAGGTTTCAACTGGAGCCAGGCAGGTGGTTGGCAGCACCCACCCAAGGAATGGAGTTTCTGTCCTGATTATATTGTTTCATTCGGCTGTGGATACAGCAGAAGCGGAGTGCTGGGGGTGCCGAGGGAGGCATCTCCATGTTTAATTCAGCTTACTTTGAGAACAAGTTAAAGTCTTGCAGCAAAGAGTTCCTCCACAGCAGAAATTTGGGAATCTAAAAAATAAATCTTGGAAAGATGTTAGACTGTGCATAGACCTAGAGCAGAGGAGCCAAGAACACACGGATAGCTCCTTGAGGTGGGAAAGAAGCACGGTGGTTCAGGATGGGCGGTTGGGAAGAAATGATGACCTTAATGATGATGACCATAGCTAACATTTTTTTGAGTGCTTATTATGTCTCAGATACTATCCAAAACACTTTACACAGATTAACTGTTTATTCATCACTGCGAACTTACTTGGAAATGACTATTATTGCTTCCATTTATGAATGAGGAAACTGAGTCACAGAGAGGGTGTGTGATGAGACTGGTAGGTTGGAGCTGTGACTATACTGGGGACAATTACATGGGCTGGATCCTGAAGGTAAGGAAGAGAAAGGAGAAAGGGGTGGCAAACAATCTTTCTGGGGATGTGGATGTCTAGTTATCTGCACCCGAAAGCTGGGAGTATCCCTGGACTTGCCCCTCTCCCTCTTATCCAGTTACTTCTGTAATTTCCCTGGTCCAGTCCATCCCCAGCACCATCCCCACCACTCACAGCTGCTCTACCAGTGTCTTGCCTGGGCTATTGCAGTGACTTCCCAACTGGTGAGCCGCCTTCAGCCCCCAACCCTAATCCATCTTCTAGATTCTTTCCCCACCCAGTAATCTTGCTCTAGGCTTCCTTGGCACCTTATAAATATCTCTATTTAGTACTTAGCACACTAATGGTAATTGTGAATTTATATCAGTTTATCCAGTCCAAATATTTGTTGAATGAAAGAATGAGGTCATATTCAAGGAGAATAATTAACATTTGAAGGCTGAGGGGTAAACCTTGGACCCAAAGAGAAAGGACTTTGCATTCCCAGGGCCCAAGAGCACCAAGAAGAAGTAAATCAGAACATAGACTTAAAAAGGGTGAACTAGCATGAGAGGCTAGGGATAGAACCAAGTGGATCAAGGGGTTGCTGGAAGATGTCAGTGCTTTGCACCTATTCCCATAGAGATTAATAATACATGACATGATTTTGGTAAGTTAAAAGTACCATGAATATCAGGAGCGGGATCTTCTGCTTGGTGGCAGCTCACGGTACTCCATAATAAACAGAAGTGGGAGCCAGTTGAAACAGCTTTTACTTATTTGGAGATGTCTCACTCACCCAAAGGCATCCCCATCTAGGCAAGATGAACACAGGAAAGTGATATTGCATATGGCTGGGAAGTTGATAGACTCTGGGAGGGTGCAATTTGTGGAAAAGAGTGGATTTCTAAGCCACTGTCCTTCTGTCAATTTTTGAGTATATTCTTGGTCTTTCTTGCAGTGCACACAATTCTACAATTGATCTTTAGGTGAAATAAGTTGGGAGATTTAGATTTAGAAGCATTGACCCTCTTTCTCCCGAAGATGCTACAAGGTCAGGTGCATTTCTGCTTTTATTTAAGAGTGTGATTAAAAACAGCCAGGGCCATCCTGGACCCAGCCGGCATTTCCCTGAATGTTCATTATTTTGAATGTATCACTAGAACAATGAGTGATAGAAGTGATGACATGATATAACAGAGAGAAAATCTGGGGTGAATGATTTCACAAGTTTGTCTCTGTTCCTATGATGGAAAAAAATGAAATCTGATTGTCTAGCCCAGAAGTGGAAGATATCATGTTATCTCACAACCTTTAAAGGTTTTACATAATATTTTTGAGACCGAGAATGCTAAAGCATTATTGCTTATGTTCTAGTTATAGGCCTATCTAATGGGTTATTGGTGAAAGACAAAGCACAGAGTCATGAATATGTCTCTGAAGTCAGTGCTGAAGCTGCCCTTGGATCTTTTGCCTCCTAGCCAGGCAGTGGGGGGTTGTCAGTATGGACTAATTCATTCCTGTAGTCACACTTTTTTTTTTTTTTTTGAGGCAGAGTCTTGCTTTGTCGCCCAGACTGGAGTGCAGTGGCACAATCTCGGCTCACTGCAATCTCTGCCTCCCAGGTTCAAGCGATTATCCTGCCTCAGCCTCCCGAGTAGCTGGGATTACAGGCGCGTACCATCACACTCGGCTAATTTTTGTATTTTTAGTAGAGACTGGGTTTCACTATGTTGCCCAGGCTGGTCTTGAACTCCTGACCTCAGGTGATCCACCCACCAAGGCCTCCCAAAGTGCTGGGATTACAGGCGTGGGCCACTGTGCCTGGCCAGTCAACACATATTTATTGAGCAGCTGCTATGTGCCAGGCACTGTACTAGGAAGTGGGGATACAGCAGTGAACAAAACAAAGTTCCTGTTCTCATGGAGCTTACAATCTAGTTGGGGGAGACAAAAAATAACTATGAAACTTATACTATGTCAAGTGATGATACATGCTATGAAGAAAAAATACACACAGTAAGGGGAAAGGTTGGGGTTTCTATCTTATAGAGAGTGGTCAGGGAAGGCCTTGCTACTACAATGAGCACAGATTGAATGGAGTGAGGGAAGGAGCCCTGTGGTTGTCTGGGGTCGGAGTGTTACAGGAAAAGAGAGCAGTAAGGACAAAGACCTCAGGCGGAATCATGCTCAGCACACTCCACCAATGGCAAGGAGGCCAGTGCGGCTGGAGTGACGTGAGCACGGGGAGGGTAGGAGATAAGGTTGGAGAAGAAGCCAGGGGCAAGACCACATGTGGCCCTGGAGTCCGTGCAAGGACCCTGCATCCTCTTCTCTTAGTGAGAAGAGAAAGCTTTGGAGAGTTTAAGCCAAGGAGTGACACGATTCAGCTGTTGTCATAAAAGACTCTGCTATGTGGAAATGTCCTCAGAGGAACAGGGTGAAAGCTGGGAGCCCAGCCAGGAGATGGCTGTGGCTGGGACTGGGGGTAGCAGTGGAGATTTCAAGAAGTGGGCAGATTCTAGACACATCTTGAAGGTCAAACTGATTGAATTTGCTGATGGATTGGTGGAAGGTGTGAAAGAGAGACACATAAGGATGAGCACGCTGTTTGACCTGAGCAACCAGAACTGTGAAGTTACCCATATTAGGATGGGAAAGATTTCTCAGGAGAAACCAGTGAAGAAAAAAAACGATGGGAAAGGCAGGGAGGAGAGAGGAATCAAGAGCTCTGTTTGGACATGTTAAGTTAGATGTCGATGGGGCACCGAAGTGCAGATGGTGAAGAGGCTGCGGGATATGCAAATGTGGAGTTCAGGAGAGGTGCTCAGCTAGAGATATGCATGTGGACAGCGTCGTTGTGCAGCAGTTAAGGCATAAGGCTGAGAGGACGCACAGATACAGCAGAGGCTGGACACCGAGCCAGAGTGTCCTGATGTTTGGGGGTTGAGAAGAGGAGCTTCCAGTCAAAGGTGACAGAGAAGGACTGGCCAGAGAGGTAGGAGGAGAACCAGGGGTGAGTCGAAGGAAGAAGTGCTTCAAGGATCAGGAAGGAGCTGCCCATCAACTACGTCAGTGTCGCTGATGGGTGGAGGGGAGAGGCCTGAGAATGAGCCACGGGATGAACGGTGTGGGTCATGGTGTTTTTGACAAGGGCAGGGAAGGTGAAGTGGGCACAGACAGTTGATTAAGTGGGTTCAAGAGCTAACAGGACAGGAAGGGAGTCACTGAGCGTGTTTCAAGAAATTTGGCCCTCTAGGGGAGGAAAGACATCCGGTGTAAGGGGCTAGCTGGAGGGAGATAGGGTGCAAGGAGTTTTTTTGTTTGTTTGCTTTCTTATATGGGAGATGTTTCAGCATGTTTGTAGTTAATAGATATCCAGTGAAGAGGGAAGATTTGAGAATGCAGGGCTGAGCTGCCCTAAACATAACTTTCCTCCCTTTTCTTTATTGTACAGCTTAGAGCATTGATCAATGTGTTCAGTAATTGTTTGTGGTTGATGTTTCTGTGAATATCTCTGGCATTTATTTCCCCTTTAGGCAAAGTTGCATGTCCCTCAAATGTGCCCATGCGACCAGATCAGATCCATTTAATGATGAAAATGCTTTGAAAAAACAAATCCCCTGACTTTTGTCTACCAGACCCTCTCAGTTGTTCTATCACTTAGTTGTAGAGGTGTCAGCTGAATCAATAATAATAAGCTACTATTATTGAAACCTTAGGATGTGCTTTACATGAATTATCTCTGTAAAACATCACTGTGATGCAGGTACAATTGATGATCTCAATTTAATGAAGAAACAGAAGCTTCAGAGGTTAAACCATATGTCCATAGCGGGGCAGGCGGTGCATGGTAGAGCCAGGTTCCCAACCAGCCCCCGTTGACCTAACCAGGACGCCCTAGAGAACTGCCCCCAACCCAGAGGGGCTGCGGCAGACCTTGGCCACTGCAGGCAGACTTCAGTACCGAGAGACTGCATCCTCTTCCCGCCCGTCTGGGCGACCCGCTGTGCCAGGAAGCAGCTCCGCCCCCTCCCCGACCTGGCTGTGCGACACCACCCGGGCTCGGGCAGCAGGGGGCGCTCTGCTGTCACGAGAGGCGGACCCAACGCGCCGAGAGCCTGGCTCCCGGACTGCGACGACTCCCTCCCCCGCCACCCACACCCCCAGGCTCTCCCCTTCCTCATTCTGCATCAGAGTTTGCTGCTGCTGCTGCTGCTAGCAAAGCTATCTCTATGGAGATTTGTGAAAAACCTCTGCTCTGGTGAAAGGGTCGTGGGGTAGGGGCGGGGTAGAGGTGGGGGGTGGTGGCCCATGGTTTCAGGGTGTTGGTGTTAAAATAGTGGGGACCCGGTGGGGACAGCAGGCTAAGGCCCTCGGCTATGCCCTGGGTCTGGCAGGTGGTAGGTGTCTCGCTCAGCTCCTGGAACGGGTAGATCCGCTGCGGGGCAGGCACTCAAACATCGCTTTGTTTCCTAAGTTCTTTCTGAGCAAGCTTCTTTCTAAGATCCCAAGCACTAGAACCGCTGAAATACAAATTCCTAGTTGGGAAAATCAGATTCCCGTATCTGCAGGGATGCAACAAAGAAGGGCAGCAGTGTCCTGTGGCTTTGAAGTGCATGTCACATGAAACAGGGCGAGGAGGGAAGCAGGTGGCATTAATCCTTCCCCGCCCTCCTCCGCCCCTTCTGCGAGGACACCACTGGCCATTTGCTGCCCTGGTAGCGGGGGAGGCACAGCTGGCCAGGGAGGCCCCAAATCAAAAGGAAGCCATGTGGGCTGGGCGCGGTGGCTCAGGCCTGTAATCCCAGCACTTTGGGAGGCCGAGGTGGGTGGATCACGAGGTCAGGAGTTTGAGACCAACCTGGCCAACATGGTGAAACCCCGTCTCTACTAAAAATATAAAAGTTAGCAGGGCAGGGTGGTGCGTGCCTGTAATCCCAGCTACTCGGGAGACTGAGGCAGGAGAATCACTTGAATCCAGGAGGCGGAGGTTGCAGTGAGCCAAGATCACACCGCTGCACTCCAGCCTGGGCGACTCCATCTCAGAAAAAAAAAGGAAGCCATGTGGTGGGTGCCTGAGCCTGGCGCCACCACAGCTGCTGGCTGCATGTGACAGCTCCAGTCCTGACCAGAGGGCCTCAAGTCGCATGGGAAGGAGGGGGTGGGGACACAGCTGCTCCCACCCGGAGCATGGCCCTCCTTAGCCCAAGCTGGGACCCACAAGCCCAGACCCAGAAGCAGAGATGTGAGGGAGGAGGAGCCGGATGTTTCCTCTTTCCAAAAGATTCCAGAATTGGCTTGGCTGCGTGGCCCCTTGCCCCTGCTGACAGCCCCCACACTTCCTGATTAAGTCTGGCTTCCCCAGGTGGCTGCTGCCCAGGACTCCCAGATGCAGCTGTGGGTGGCAGGAAGCAACCAGTGTCCTGGCATCACCCCAGACACAAACCTGGTCCCTGATTTGACAGCATCGCGTTGCCCTCCACCCACTGATGTGGTTAGAGCCACACATTGAGGGGCACAGAAAGCCCCCTCCTGCTGTGAGTTCTTTGCATTTTGCCTTTCCCTCTTGGAAGCAGCCAGTCCCAGAGCTGTCCTGATCTGTTTAGAACTACAGCTATTCCACCCTGCGCCTGCCAAGTGTAGCTGTACTTCCTGTGGACTAGATCTAAACAAACACAAAAATTCAAAGTGCGACAAGTATCAATCTCCTATCGAATGCGAAAAGTAAAGGAAGCACCTCACCCTCAAGGGACTTGTAATCTAGTTGAAGAGACGAGATCCAAATACGTGGGGAGTTCAGTATCTGGGAACAGTGAACATATCAGTTTCGACTACAGAAGAAGAGATGTCACAGGTCCCTTTGTGATTAATTATCAAGTGAGTGGTTCTGACAGTGATTGCTCCCCTTGTCTAGGGGAGAGAGGGCGTGCTTCAGGCTTTTGTGGTCAGGAACACTGGACTGGGGCAGGGGGCAGGGATGGTGCTGATGGGATGGAGGCCTGGGTTTGAGTTGCTTCTTGAAGGCTGAATGCATCAGAGCCTATAAATAGAACTCATGATTCTTTTTGCTTTGGAAAACATACAGACTAACCATCCTTTCTAGATTAGTGCCTGATTCCAGTTTACTGCCCTCCCGTCATCAGGGTGCTCAGAAAATGTAATTTGATAAGTAAAAATGCCTTTTATGAGAACCTATAATGTGCCAATTATTGCACAGTGTACATTACAAAAATTATTTCTGGTATTTTTTAGCAACACTTATTGGATGGCCATCCCCTACCCTAACCTACAAATGAATCAAATGGGGCTCAGAGAATGTAGGTATCTTTCCTGAGGTCACACATCCAGGTCAGGCATGGCGAAGCTAGAATTCAAGGCCTGTTCTTTCATACCCCAAAGCCGAGGGGCTGAGATTTGCAGAAGGGTCTGTAGCTGTTTTCCAAAGGGTTTCCCATATAGATGCCAAATTTCCCGCCTTCAAGCAGACCTCATCTCTTGGAGCCTTCCTAACATACTGCATGGATTGAGGACCCAGCTTTGATATTATTTCTTGTCTTTTTTTTAGGATAAGGGAAGAGAAGCCCAAACAAATAGGGTTGCTGCAGATTTCAGAATTGAACTGAAGGTCTGAACCAGAGGAAAATTTTCAGGAGGCAGGGATCCCAGTGACTCAAAAGTCCCTTGAGAGAAAATGGATGCCCCCCTCCCCCGTTCAGCTTTTTATTTATTTATTTATTTTGACAGAGTCTCACAAGGCTGGAGTACAGTGGCACTATCTTGGTTCACTGCAACATCTGCCTTCCGGGTTCAAGTGATTCTCCTGCCTCAACATCCCGAGTAGCTGGAATTACAGGTGCCCACCACCACACCCAGCTAATTTTTGCATTTTTAGTATTTTTAGTAGAGGCAGGGTTTCACCATATTGGCCAGGCTGGTCTCAAACTCCTGACCTCAAGTGATCTGCCCACCTCAGCCCCCCAAAGTGCTGGGATTACAGGCATAAGTCACCGAGCCTGGACCCTGTTCATCCTTGACCCTCTCTCCTCTCCCTCTCTCTTGAAGAGCTGGACCCCTGCTCCTGGAAGAAGCTGAAACCTCACTCTGTGGAGTGGGGAGAGGCTGGCCCTTTAAGCCCCTACCCACCAGGCTCTCAGCAGTGGAGGATGGAGCACGGTGAAGGAGCATGCGGTGGGGCTGTGTCCACAGAGCATGCTTCTGGCCTGTCAGTTTGGTGGAATGGAGTGTAAATCTCTCCTTTCCCTCTATTTGCTTTCCTGACCCTATAGAAATGAGGTGATTAACACCCACCTTCTCTTTTCTGTTTTCACGGAATCTCTGATCAACTTGGCACCTGTCTTAGTCTGTTTGGGCTGCTATACCTTAGATTGGGTGGTTTATAAACAACAGAAATTTATTTCTCACAGTTCTGGAGGCCGGGAAGTTCAAGGTCAAGGCCCTGGCAGATTTGGTGCCTCATGAAGGTCTGCTTCCTGGTTGAGAGATGGCTATGTTCTCACTGAGTCCTCATGTGGAGAAAAGATGATGGAACTCTCTGGGGCCTCTTTTCTAAGGGCACTAATCCCATTCATGAGAGCTCTACCCTCATGACCTCAGCACCTCCCAAATGCCCCACCTCCTGCTACCATCACACTGGAGGTTAGGATTTCAACATAGGAACGTTCAGTTCATGACAGCACTCTTTGAAAACCCCTAGAATTCAAGATGATATGCAGGTTCCCCCTCATGAAAATAAAACCAAGATGTTCTAGAACAAAAAATATATATGAATATAACAAAGAAAAACATAAATCATACACTCCTCTGAAGATAACTTTTGTGACATTTGGGTATCCTCTGGTTGTAATATTTCTTTTTAATACAACTCTGATGAAACTACATATGATTTTGTATCCTATTTATTCACTTAGCATTTCCCCAAATTATTTATAAATTCTTTGTGAACATCATTTTAGTCACTATATATCATATGGAAGTATCATAATTTCTTTTTATTTTATTTCATTTTTTGAGATAGGGTCTCACTCTGTTGCCCATGCTGGAGTGCAGTGGGGCAAACTCGGCTCACTATAATCTCCACCTCCTGGGCTCAATCATCCTCCCACCTCAGCCTCCTGAGTAGCTCATGCTGGAGTGCAGTGGGGCAAACTCAGCTCATTACAATCTCCACCTCCTGGGCTCAATCATCCTCCTATCTCAACCTCCTGAGTGACTGGGACTTACAGGCATGTGCTACCATGCCCGGCTGATGCCCGGTTGATTTTTTTTTTTTTTTTTTGTAGAGATGGAGTTTTGCCATGTTGGCCAGGCTGGTCTCGAACTCCTGGTCTTAAGCAATCCACCCGCTTTGGCCTCCAAAAGTGCTGGGATTATAGGCATGAGCCACTGTACATGGCCTCATAATTTATTTAACTTCTATGTAACTAACCATCTAAGTGGTTCTAGCTTTTTGCTACTAGCAGTCATATCACAATTGATATATTTGTGCATAAAGATTTTTGACATTTTAGTTTATAACGTTAGGATGGATTCCCAGAAGTGAAATTATGAGGCCAGGAGTAGGAACATGTTTAAGGCTCTCAATACATTTTTCCAAATTACTTTCCAAAAGGGTTATATTAATTTATACTTTATTAGGAATCTATAAGAGTGTTAAACATGTCACAGTCTTTCCAGCAATCAATATACTCTTTTAAAAATTAGTTTTTAACTACCTAAGTCTACTATCCTTATAAAACAAAGCATAACAGATCAGGCCAAGGTTAGCTTTGCCCATATCCTCATTCTGTTCCACTCCTCTTCTCTCTGTACATACGCGCTGCTAGCTGTCGCTTTCAGTTCTTCCAGGCTCTTCACTTTACCTTTACATATGTCATCCAATCTACTGTTTGATTATGTTCCCCTGTTGATATTTTTAAACGTGTGTTCTTTTTCTCCTTCTAGAACAGAAATTGGCAGACTTTCTTCGTGAAGAGCCAGAGAGTAAGAATTTTGGCTTTGTGGGCCATGTCTACTGCAGTACAAAACTCTGCTGTTGTAATGTAACAGCAGCCATAGACAATATATAAACAGTTGAATGTGACCATTTTCCACTAAAACTTTATCTACAAAAATAGCTGTCAGGCTAGATTTTGCCAGCAGGCTATAGTTTGCCGATCCCTGTTCTAGACTGTAAATTCCCTGGGGCAAGGGCCAAGTGGATTCCCCAAGCCCCTGGACCAGGGTTATGCACAGTTATCCTTGGCAATGACTACAGTAAGAGGGCTGGCATGTTTCTTTCTTTCTTTTTTTTTTTTTTAAGAGATGGGGTCTCACTATATTGCCCAGGCTGGTCTCAAACTCCTGGGCCCAAGCAATCCTCCCACCTCAGCTGAGATTACAGGTTTGAGCCATCACACCCGGCCTGGCATTTTCAATACGAACTTGGGGCTTGGGATGGATAGAAAGGACATGGAGACATCATTCTGCATCACCTCCTCTGTGTTCTCTGCTCCTTGTCCTTCTAGTGGGAAAAGGGAGAGGACAAGGAAGGGACATTCCAAAGTGACTTGAGTCCTTTGGGCCCTGGGAGTGGGAAATTAAAGAGATGCACTGTAACCTTTCTTCCCTACTCCCTTAGCTGAGCCCAAATGCAATTCTGCCTTTGGGCAAGGGTGTGTACCAGGCAGGGTAACAGTTGAGGGCATCAATAATGCCACTATAGGCAGAGGAATGACAAAAACTAGCATTTACCAAGCACTTACCATGCACCGGAACACTGTAGCTTCCTATATAATCCATCTAATAATCAACCAATAATAGTATTGCTGACTGTGAGGTCAGTACTGTGGTTACTGCAAGTATAAAGATGAGGACGTAGAAGAACAGAGAAATTAAGTAACTCATCCAAACTCTCCCGCCTGGTGATTAGTGGAGCAAAGGATGGCATCTGGGCCCAGTGTTTCCACTCCTCCCCACCACTCTGATTGCCTCTGTGGCAAACACTCTCAGTTGCCTTCCCGATATCCATTATTTTCTTCCTTAGTGTCAGGACCTTGGACAACATGCCCAGGTGATAAACTAGTTTCCAGTCTCCTTTGCCATTAGATATAGTCAATTAAGTGGAAACTCTTTGGCTGTTTCTCTTTTCTCCTGCTTGGAATATAAACATGATGACTGGAGCTCCAGCAGCCACTGTGAAGCCATGGTGTGGATGGAAGCCACGTGCTGAGGATGGTGGAACAGAGGCAAAAAGGATCCTGGGAGCTCTCAGATCAGCTCTGGGCTGCCTTATTCCGGACTCTTTCTTTTTTTTCTATAACACAAGAGAGAAATAAATCTTTATCCTGTTTAGGCCACATCGATCAGATCTCTCTTACAGGAAGATAAATGTAATTCCTAAGTGTTAAAACCTCGAAGAAGAAACCAGAGCTGCTCTTATAACACACAAGAAATTTGCAAAGAGGAATCCATCTGGCAGGATCCAAACGCATATCTTATTCCCCATCCCTAAGTCCAGAGTCATCAAATGCAATGGGACAAAATGACTGAGATATGTCCCAAGGAGTGAACAGAAGTGGAACCCAAAGGGAGGGGAATAAGTGGGCTGAAAGGAGAAGAAAAAGCTCTAAGGCAGGAGGGAAGGGTTTTTCTTACCAACTTTGAGAGGGGTGGCCACATGTAGCCAAGAGCTGAGGCTGAAGGCCTTGTGTCCTTTGAGGAGAGGGACCTCAAATTATCTGTGGCTTCTGAACAGATAAGACAATACAATGTGGACCTCAAACAAGTAACTGTTGTTTATGGCCTGGATCTACGTGGGTCGACCGACCATCAGTCAGCCTGCGTGACAAGGACCTGCACTCTCCCTCCTTCCCACTGGCCAGTGCCCGAGTGATGAGGCTACTCATCAAGAGGCTATGGTTTGGTGGAAATGAAGCCAGCTGGCGGCCCAATATCCACGCACTTTCCCAGAGAGTGAGCCGCATGCAAAGTCCATCTGTCGCCAAAGCTGAGGGGGCTTAGGGTCATTCAGTAAGGCCTGCCACTGAGATTTGGTTCCGGATCCAGCAATCCTCTTTAAAAAGAACAGATTTTCACCTGCCATCCTCCCCACGTTCTAATCTCCAGGAGGGGGAAAAACGTAGTCAAAGGAGAGATTCTCTGATTCGAGAGCCTCAGGATTCCAGGCAGCAAAGATAGAACTTTTCTCTCAAACTTAGGTTGTAGGGTTCTGCTGGGAGCTCTCTACTGATATTTGCAGTAATTTGCAAATGGCACATTGGTGTCACAAGTGGGAAGCCTGGGGCTCAGGGACTCACGGGTCAAGGCGATCCACGGCCAGGTGAGGGGGTGTGGTGAGGAGTAAACCTATTCCGTGGGAGGACAAAGATACAAAGGAAGGTCTCTTTCTGAACTGAAACAAAGAGGAGGAGAGTCCTTATAAATGCCTCTGGAAGAGGCCTGCGCCATGCGGTTAACCTTGAAAGAAAGTCACTGACTGAGGTTTCACACTTCATCCTTGTCCTGACAAGTCCAGCATTTCCAAGTTTTCCCTCAGATGACTCCCTATCAAGACAATCTGTAGATTTTTTTTCCAGTCGGCATATTGGCTGCAAAGATAATGTAGGTATTTTCAGTCAGCCCGGAGCAGGAGAGATAAGAGGGGAGAGAGCCAGGTAGAACTTGATTGAGTGACCAAGATAAATTTACTGTACCACAGGAAATCGAAATGCAAAAATAAGGATTGGGAGCAACTGAAATATTTAAAAAGATAGAGAAGGGACTGGCGTTCTAAGGGAACAGCCTTACCCCTTCATTGCCTGAACTCCTGAATATTGCAAAAGAGAATAGGGTTGAAAAAGGACCAGAATAGAAACTAGCCATTAAGAGAGACAGAATGAAGGGTTTGGCTTACAAATGGGATTATAATTAAGAAAGGAGGAGAAATCAGAACGGTTTGGGGTTTGTCTTCTTGGCCTCTGGTCTCACCTAGGTGATGCCTCAGACAGAATGCTTCTCTATATTGTGGTTTCTGCCTCTAAGAAACCTTTCTCTTGCCCTACCTCCCTGGGGTGAGAACTGCTGCCTTCTTAGTCGGGAGGCAGTGGGGGTATTGGTAAGAAGTCAGGCTTGGCTGCTGTAACCAATAGACCCGATAGTAATTGAGTAGCTTATGTAAGACAGAGTTTACTTCTTTGTTGTGTAGCAGTTTGAGGTGAGTGTTCCACAGAGTCCTGGAGGCACTCAAATTCCTTCCATCAGGCCTTGGTTTTGTCTATAGGTTGAGGCTCAGCTGCTGTGGTTCCAGCCACTGGGAAAGGGAGAGAACGTAGAGAAGGCTCAGGCTTGGCAGTGGCACCCCTCATTTCCGCTCACATTTGTTTGAAGACATCTTAGTTATATGGCCCCCACCTAACTGCAAGGGAAGTTGGGAAATGTAGTTTCACCATGTGCTCAGGAAGAAGGGAGAGCCATCTTGGGGGACAAGCAGTGTTCAAGACCACGAAGAACTAGTGGAAGGAGGAACAGAAGAGGCTGAGGTGCTGGTAGGTAGCAGACTCTGATGGCTTGATAAATAAGAGAGCCACCCCATCCATCAGGGGCCTGGATGTCCTCCTGCTGGCGGGGACATCACAGCCAGAGAGCTGACCATGTTCCACTATCAGTACAAGCGGACTCTGGCAGCAGATGTGCTTCTCAGTGAAGGTGTGGCGACATCTCTCCGCGTCTCCTTGCAAATGATCAGCTCCCACCTCCACCCTGGCACCAACCTGGGCTGCAGGAAGCTGAAATGCATGTTGCCCCTTATCATGAATGGGAGCATCATCTTTGCAGAAAGTCTCCCTTCTTTATCCTTGCAAATTGAGAGTGCAATCCAGGATGGAAGGAGACCACATTCAACCATCAGCATCAAGCGGGCGAATGAGGCCTCCTGAATTGAGCATTGGGCTCAGGAGGGGCATGAAGTTCCACAAAGCACAGACCACCCTTTGCAATGAGCAGCAAGGTGGGTGTCTCTTTCACAGGTCGGGGTGAGGTGGGGTGTTTCCATCCAGGGAGCCCCAGTCAGCGCGAACCCAGCCTGCTCTTCTCAGATGGACTTGCGTTCCATGTGTGCCAATTATCAGGCACTGGCAACCTCTCCAGAGCTGGTAACTTTAGATCAGTCTTCACATCTTTTTCCCAGTGTCTCTACAATCAATAGGCAGACATCACCCGGGGCTGGCCACTGGGCAATCCAGATCTGATGGTTCAGCCCTTCCAAACATAACCTAATTCCCCTCTCTATTTTTAAGGATAAAAATCTATGCATAAAGCACCCAAATGATTCAAAGGGCATGGTGTAGCTTATCCATTTTTTTCCCCTCATATCTTCAGCTTGGCATTTCTTTAAAACAATGAAACTATTTTTTTCCTTAGATATGAAACATGGCCTCAGAGACCCTGACTTGAAGTCAGAAGATCTAGACTCTCTTGAGGTGTCTGTAAAGAGCTCACCCAGGCTGTAAACAATTCTCTCCCTGAGGTCTCTCCCTTGTGTGACCTGAGAGCAGGTTGAGTGTTCATTTCTCAGGAATTTGCAAGAAAGAAAGTGTTTATGCTAGAAGAAGCCTTTCATATTCTAAAATTGCCGGCTATGCCAGTCTAAAATTGCCAGACTATGTTTTCTGGGGCAAGGTACCTGGATCACATTGTTCAGGGTGGCTAATGTACTTCGGAGCTTGCTATTTAACTTGTTTTTGCTGAAGTCTGTAGACTTATTTAGACACAAAACCTTGAAGAAACCTACTTCCCAATTCCCAAGCGTATGCCTCATTTCCTTCCTCTCCTGGTCAACCCAGACTCTTGTCAGGACGCCTTCTCATCAATCTTAAAACTCTGAAATGTAGAGTGCAAAGCTCTTTTCTTCCCTTTTAAAAACAGAGTTTATTTTTCATTCTCTCTATAAGTCATGCCAGTTTAATATAAAAAATGGAAAATATAAAGTAACCAGGTAAATGAATGAGTTGGGCTGGCTTGGTGGGGTGCAGACAGAAAGCAACTCTACTCTTCCCCCGACTTGCCCTGCACACTGGCTCTGTGGATTCATTTTTTCTTTCTCTTGCTTTTTGGATACTCCCAGGTATTAATTAAGAGTCTTGCTCCTTCAGGTAATAAAATGTCAAGTCCCAGTCTCATATCAAACTCTCATGCAGTTTATAACTTCTCCCCTTGCTGAGCTTGGCCCGTGGGCACAGGCATGTATGCAGTTGCCTCTTCTCTGTTTTCTTCCTCGCGCCCCCTCTCAGTAGTCGGCTTCTGCCACCTGGGCCAGTGTGGGAGGAAGATGGGGGAGAGGCTTAGGGGGCAAGCAAAGTCTTGGTTGACTGGAACAGTTGTAACCTGGTATCCTGAGGGTGTGTTTCTCCTGTGTGTGCTCTTTAGGGTTCTTTGGAGACACCATCTCCCCACTGGCTGAGGATTTTCTTGGACGGTGCTTCCTCCAGCTGACTCCATAAGAGCGCTAATTTACAGCAGTCAGCTCCTCTGTTGTGGTCGCCTCACTTCTCCAGCAGGGAGCACTCACTTCTAGGGGATCCATATCTGACCTATAAGCAGGCATTTTTCTCAGGGGAAGTCCACGTCTGGTCCACGGGAAGCGCACCTGTATCCTCGCACCACCAAACCTAACAAGTGCAGTGCTTCCTGCCCCTGCCCTGCCTCTTGGCTGCCCATCCATGCAGGCCATCCCAGCTGGCCCTCTGTCTTTGATTTTGGAGCATGAGTCAGGTTGCATCCCTGCATCCTTCAAATTCTAGGGGCATAGAGCAAATCCTTTGAGTGGTTCTAAGTGCCCCTGCCTTTGTATTCAACAACTAACTCTCTCCCTCTTTAAAGAAATCTTTACTCTCAATCTCTTCATCCTGATTCATGCATTCACAGCCTTCTCTTAAAACAATCAATGATGTTCGAGTGCTGACTGAACTGGAGACCCTGCCATGCTGGCCCAGCATCCTGCTTTACTCTGCACCCATTATTTTCTACTTTCAGTAGAAATAATGTCTTGTCTCAGTAATACTGAGACAAGAATCCCATTTTAACATCTAGCGCAGTAGTTGTAGTAGGTTTTTTATGGCTCCAGATTCATTTCAATCCAGGATTATGACCCTTTGCAATACAGCTTTGCAACTCCTCCCATCCAGAGGAGACATCTGCTTGTCTACTCCTTGCAATTTCATTGGCTTTGAGACCAGCTTTGTCCACATAGAAAGGGGCAGAAAGCAAAGCTAGGCAACTTCTGAGGCTAGGGCTTATGAGTCATTGCTGCTTCCACCTTTGCTCTCCTCTAGGAACATTGCCCTGAGACAGACATCCATGAAGAAGCCTGGGATGAAAGACCACATGGAGAGAAAGGCCCACCATCATTCTGCACCAACTACCAACGGCGTAAGGGAGGTTGACTTGGATCTCCCACCCCAGTTGACTCTCCAGCTGAAAGCAACTGCCTGAGCCCAAACAAAACCTGCTGAGGAACCTCCCTGCTAGCAAATGGAATCAGGAGAAATAATAAATAGTTCTGTTGTTTTAAGTCACCAACTCACAAACGGAGTATAAGAAATAATCAATGGATGTAGTTTTAAGTCTCTATGTGTTGGGATGGTTTGATATAACAATAGGTAACTGAAACAGTAGAAGATTAGAAAGAGGAAAAATAATCACCCATAATCCCATCACATAAAGATGACTGCTCTTTTTTTTTTTTTTTTTTTTTGAGATGAAGTCCACTCTGCCACCCAGGCTGGAGTGCAGTGGCACAATCTTGGCTCACTGCAACCTCTGCTTCCTGGGTTCAAGTGATTCTCCTGCCTCAGCCTGCAGAGTAGCTGGGACTAAGGCGTGTGCGACCATGCCCGGCTAATTTTTTTTTTTTTGTGTGTGTGTTTTTATTAGAGACGGGTTTTCACTATGTTGGCCAGGCTGGTCTCAAACTCCTGACTTCAGGCGATCCACCTGCCTCAGCCTCCCAAAGTGCTGAGATTACAGGCGTGAACCACCATGCCTGGCCAAAGATGACTGTTCTTAACATCCGTAAGTTTTTCCTTTCGCTCTCTTTTTTTTCTACACATATTTTTCAACATTTTATTCTGAAAATTTTCAAACACATAAAGTGAACATTCCATACCCACTACTTAGATTCTACAATTATCTTATTTTTAGTGCATTTCAAAGCAATGAACATCAGTACCCTTCACCTATAAATACTTTAGCATTCTGGATATGTTTTAAGTAGTTGTAATAATAAAATGCCTAATATGTACTTTTATATCCTGCTTCATTCAATTATTTTGATATTATTAACACGCTTGAATGTTAAACTCTTTGTGAAATTTACTTTTAATGACTGATAATGTACAATGAAGCAGGTATACTGTCTTTTTTTTTTCTATTTCTGATTGTTAGATAGCTATGATTTTTCTACCTTCGTATCTGTTAATATAAGTTATACTTCAAATACCCTCATTTCCAGGTACAGAAAAAAGGCCAGTGGGTTTACATGACTCATCTGATTTGCTCTGGGATAAAAGGCAGTGTGTTAAATCTTGTTAAGTAGAATATTTTCTCTTGCAGGAGAACATGTGTCTTGGCATCAAAGAGAGCTAGTTCCATCACTTTTCAGTTTTGTGACCTTGATCAAACTCCACAGCCTCTTTAATCTTGCTTTTCCTCATCTATGAAATGGGAGTAGTAATTGTAGGTACCTCAGCTAAAGAATCAGAATGAGATAATTCACATAAAACTCCTAGGACACTGCCTGACACATGTCTTCATTATCACCATTAATATTCACATCCACGAAGTTTTAGAAACAAAGGTATTTGCACATACCAATGTATTGTAAGTGGAAGTAAAATTAAACAAAGCTTAATTCACAAACAATGCGAAAGCCAAATGTAATCAAGAAAATTCATGAGCAGTGCACTTTGATAGAACCCAAAACAATGCCTTCCCATTGATATCCAGACAACCAGGGCAGACATTTGACTGGCATGCAAGGGCACAGCTATTCTGGTTGTTTCCATCAGGTGTCCATTCTGGTTGGTCAGTGACTGTGCTTTTCTAGTTGTTACAATTTTTGGGCCCCACCTACCAATAAAACCGAAAGCAGACAGAGAGCTAGCTCTTAGTCCTTGCTAATATTTACTTTGAAGAGGAAAATGATGCCACCTTTGAAGTTCTCCATAGGAGTTGCCTCTGACACTAGGGAGAAGACCTGAGCAAGGCTTATGAGTTGAGTCCCAGAGCCAATGTCAGATCATGTCTAAGGAATCACCTCACCGGCCAAATCTGGCAGTCTGTGTGCAAGAATGAGCATCACAAAAGGGGTCATAGGTAGGGAGACAAGGTGATTGGCAAGTCTGGGAACAGGCTAAGGAGACGGGGTCTCAGTCAACATGGGAGATTGTTTCTGTTGAGCCAAGGATAGAGGTGGATCACATGGGCAGGAAAGCTCCTCTTAAGGGGCCAGGCTGGGAAGGACTGCTGCATGTTGCTTTCCTCATGCCCACTGGACTCTGATGATAAATCTTGACGATCTCATCAAGGTCATGGTCTTCATTATAGTCATGATCATCATTATCATCATGAACAAAGGCATCCTAAAATGAGGGAGAGCAATGAAGTTCTTTGAAGGACTAGGAGACCCCTGGGGGCAATCTTACCACCTGGATTACATTTGGCTATTTCCTTACCCTCTTCTTTCTCTTAAGGAAAGAAACATTCTGGCCCCAATAGCTCTGCTGAATTTTCTCCTTAGAGAGTAGTAGAAAGCCTCTTTCCAATTAGTCCACTAAGATGAGAATTATCTCCCACCACTTCTCCATCCCCTTTGTCCTATAAACAAGGGAGAGAATCAGCACAAGAGCCATGAACTCAAGATGGGATCCATGTACAAGACTAACTCACATTTTGCTCATTGTTAAAAAGGTGGAAATGCTTCCCATCTTTCATTGTATTCTCAAAATTTTTGACAACTTGATCAAGTCTATTACGATTCCCAAAGCTTTGAGGCTTAAGTAGCAAGAAACCCCAAACTTTCCAGAGATATTTACTGCTCTCGATTCAGAACTTTTTCTTGCTTTTGACTCAGATTATTCAGAGAACAGAGTGGGGGTGGGTTAGGAAAGAGAGAGATCAATGTAAGTGTTGAGGCTGATGGCTAATGGCCTTTAGATTGCAAAGATTGGGTAAACAGATTTAGCACACTGATTCAACATATTAATTGTTTGTTAACCTTTGCATAACCTTTAGGAAGCCTCTGAATGTGTGGATTTAAAACCCAAAGTACACTCAAGGTATTCCCACAGCACAACCCACTTTTACAAGGTGTTAAAACTCATTAATTTTCTGTTGAAGCTGGGCAGGAAAGGGGGGTTTGGGGGAACAGAGCATACTAAATAGAGAACTAATCAAGCAAATTAATGTATGCAGAAGGCTCTCTCCCAGGCTTGCAGAAATATCCATTTGTTACCTATATAAACTATAATTACACAAAATGCAAGTGATGGCGAGGTAGAGTGTGATTTAAGGGTTGAGAAAGCAAACATCATAACAATAGCGTAATCCTAATAGCCATCATCCCTCTAATAATGTTGGCCCTTGGCTAACGTCCTCGTTTAGGGATCTCCGAGCATGTTAGCCACATTAATTAATCCTCTCGCTGTATGGCTGTGAGGGTTGCTCAGAGCCATTACCCCCTCACACCTCAGGCGAGAGAGAGGACATCAGAGCTGGGAAGCTGGGAAGAGGTTGTGGAATCCCATTCCCCACCCCACTCTCCTTCCCCTGTGCTCAAGCAAGCTCCAAGCTGAAAGCCAGCTCTAGACTGGCAGGTCATGGCTTTGGTTCTATGATGCTTGAACAAGAAGAATGGATAGCCCATGGTGTCCATTTAGTAACTGAACCATACAAACAAATACTCTTCTGGTAGGGAGAAACCCTTAGAGGCCGTCTGGTCCACCTCAACGTCTGAAAGCTTTAAACTTCCTCCAAAGACCATTGTCTACCCTGTCCTTCAAGTACTGGAGAAACAGATTGCTGATTCTTTGGGTCTCCTGGGCTTCTCTGTTGTGATGCCTGGGACTGATGTTCTCTCTTTCAGTTAAGACCCATGGACTGCAACCCCAGCTGAATTAAGGCTGTAAGTTCTCCCCCAAAGGAAGAGAGTCATTTTAACACTTTACACCGTCTCACACCAGTCTCTCCAAAGCTAATGGCTATAGAATTAGCGATCATCAGATTATTTTTACTGAAGACGGGCCTTTGGAGTCTCCCCCAACTGATCTAGCCCCAGAATATGAGCGAACTTGCTCTGTAAATTGTCTCTGCAATCTTCCCTAATTGGCCATTCATCTTGATGTCAATCCACTTTTTGGAATGAACCGAACAAGGGCTTGGGCCTCTTTTCCTGTGCGGACATGCTGAGCAGTCCCCGAAGTCCCTTCCCTGCAGCGGCGTTCCCTGTCAATCCCTTTCTTTCTTGCCCTGGGGCCCTGTCTCTTCCTTTCTTCTCCTCTGTCCACTACCTTCTCCGATCAGTTGCATAAAACCAAGCTCAGCCACTCTAGCTGTGTGACTTTGAGAATATTTCTCAGCCGCTTTCTGCCTCAGTTTCATCTCCTGCAAAACAAAATGTTTGGACAAGATGACTTCCCAGGTTGTTTCCAGGACACAGAGTAAGAGGTGAGATAATGCTTGCATCCCTGCCCCACCGGCGGTGGGGGGCGCTGTAGAAATGAGAACCCTGCTCTCCCCTGTACAAGGGTGGTAGGAAGAGGTGGGGCTTCTGACCCCTTATACAGTCCTCAAAAGATGCAGCTGCTCTTTAGGCCTCCCGAACCTGGGGTGGGTCAGCCCAGCCAGGCATCTGGCAAACCTCCCCACCCACAGCCTCTCTTTCCCTTCTTTCCATCAAGTGGACCCTCTCCCCTCACACATCTGACCCTCACCACTCTGTGCTTTCTCTGCTGTCTTGGCTTTTGAGCTGCTCAGCCCACACCTAGGTTTTCAGGAGGATGACTTGGACCAACAGAAGTGATGGGAAGACATCAGCTTCTTAAAGTTCTGCCTTACCTCTTGGTTAGAAGCACAAACAAACAGCAACGACAAAAGCCAAAACAAAACACACACACACACACACACACACACACACACACACACACACACGAGAGAGAGAGAGAGAGAGAGAAGAAAAGAGAAAGTAAAAAGAATCCCACCTTTCAAACTTACCAGAAATGTCTTCAACCTAGTCATGGAACAAGCCCTAGAGTGGGAACCCTGAAGCTGGGTTGTAGCTGTGGGGCCCTGGCAGAGCACTAGGCCTCCCTTCTTTCTGTTTCTCAGTGAGATGAGTGGAAAGGCTGCCTCCTGCTCCAGCATCAGATGAGATGTGCAGGGAACTGTGGACTGCCTGTGTGTAGCGGCACAAGTGCACATCGAGCCCTCCACTGTGTGGAGCGCTGTTTCCCCCAACACACCCAGTCACCCTGTGAGGTTGGCAACAGGGTTGGCACCATTAGCTCCTCCATTTTGTAGCTGAGAAACTGAAGCTCAGAGAGTAACTTTCCCTAAGTCACATGCTAGTAAGTGCCTGGCAGAGGTTTGTACCAAGGCTCACTCATGCCTAATCGTGATGAGGTGGTCATCTCCTAAATGTCATTACAGTTTGCATTGCTGTCTCAAGCTTGCACTGTTTGCTTTGGGTTGGGGTAAAGAAAGACTCATGCTGTAGGGTGGTGCCTAGAAACAGGAAGAGCAGCAAACACAGCAGTATCCTTCTTGGCAAAGCTCCCTGGACTCACAGAGCTGGGTCCTCTGGCTGAAGAAGAATCTCCTTGTTAGAGTTTGGGGGCTGCCCCTGCCCAATGAGGTGGCCAGGCCTTCTCTGGGGCTCACACAGCCTCAACCCTCATGGAATTGTTTCTCCTGCCCCACCCCTCCTGAGTTTTTTCTGTCCTGGCTGTGGCCGCAGCTCTTGGTTGACTCATTCCCATCAATTTCTAAAGCTCAGTTCTGTCCTATCCCACCCAGTACCTAGCCTGGCCCCCTGCTGCTAGCTGTCTTTACAAGTGTGCCTTGTACCTACCAAATCTTGAATTTCTTTCCTGTGCCTCCCAGTTTGCACCCACCCAACCTGGCCCCAACACACATGCACCCTGGCATTGCAGCCAGACATCTGAAGGAAACTGACTTGGCTAGGAACCTAGAGCTGCAGCACTAGCTGTTAGCTAGCGAGCACTTGCAATGTGCCTGGTTCTTGTTGAGATGTGCTGGAAGAATGAAACACACAGCAGAGTTTTGAAGACTTATTATAAAACACAAAGATGGAAAATCTCTCTCTCTCTCTCTCTCTCAATAGCATCTCACTTGGTTGCCCAGGCTCTAGTGCAGTGGGTGCCATCGTAGCTCACTGTAACCTCAAACTTCTGGGCTCAATTGATCCTTCAGCCTTAGCCTGCAAAGTAGCTGGGACTATAGGAGCACACCACCACGTTGGCTAATTTTATTTTATTTTTTACATTTTTGTTTCTTTTTTTCCTTTTTTTTTCCACACTGGCTAATGTAAAAAAAAATTTCTTTTTAAGAGACAAGATCTCGCTATGTTGCCCAGGCTGGTCTTGAACTCCCAGCCTCAAGCATGAGCCACAGTACCCAGCCTATATTTTAAAATATAGATTATATGTTAAATAGTATTTTAGATATATTAAATAAATATAATGTTACAATTTATTTTACCTGTCTCATTTTCTTTTTTAATATGGCTATGCCATGAGTTTAAATCACATATATGGTTCTTTTTATATGTCTCTTGGACAGCACTGATCTAGAAACTCAAAATCAGATTCTGCCTGGGCCACTCACTTGCTAGGCATCTCTAGAAGAACTCTCACCTTTTCTGGGTTCAGTTTCCTCAGAATAAAATAGATACCCAAAGGGCTGCCATGCACATCTCTTCCAGCTCACTCTGAGCGGCCCTTCTGAGAGGGCAGCCAGGGACACACCCGGCTTTCTTAGGGGTGAATCTCTTTTCTTTCTCTTTTTCTAGTTTTCACTTAATCCTTTAACATGTATTTAATAAGCACAAACGATGTGAGTCAACTCCTTCTGCTTTCTCAGTTGATAGCCCTGGTGATCACTTTTCTAACCTAACAAACATTCTTTTGGGGACAGGAAGTCATTCTGAATGAGAGCAAATCCCGTTGATGGCCAAGGGCCCTAGAAGCCCCAACCAGGCGGACAGCTTTTGGAAAAAGATGCATCCTGTGCTTTCATCATTACCTAAGGGTGATGGGACCCCTCATCTGACATTGGTCTGCGGGCCCAGAATTCAAACTTCTGTCTCTGTTATCTGAATTCACAAGGCAGGGAGGTAATGAGAATCCACCAAGACCTGTTGGGCCAAGAGACAAAGAGGAAGTTACACTAGTCAGCAAGTTCCTTTGTGTCCTTAGTTTACAGATCATCCCAGGACCTTGGATATTTTTGAGATGTTTGTTCATTGGGTAATTTGGGGTCCTCTCTTGCTTTCTCTCCTTCCTTTCCCACTCCTGAGAGACACTTAGAGTCACTCGGTCTATAATACATCAACTGGTGCTATTTATTGAGCACTGAGGGTATATCAGGCACTGAGCTTTTCTATGCATATCTCATCTAAATCTTTCAACAACCCTGTGGGGTAAATACTATTACTACCTCTGGCCGGCTGGATGCGGTGGCTCATGCCTGTAATCCCAGCACTTTGGGAGGCCGAGGCGGGCAGATCATGAGGTCAGGAGATCGAGACCATCCTGGCTAACACGGTGAAACCCCGTCTTTACTAAAAATACAAAAAAAAATTAGCCGGGCTTGGTGGTGGACACCTGTAGTCCCTGCTACTCAGGAGGCTGAGGCAGGAGAATGGCGTGAACCCGGGAGGTGGAGCTTGCAGTGAGCCGAGATTGCACCACTGCACCCAGCCTGGGTGACAAAGCTAGACTCCGTCTCAAAACAAACAAACAAACAAACAAACAAACAAACAAACAATTACTACCTCTGGCCTACAGTTGGGGAAACCAAAGCTCAGAGACACACAACAAAGGTCTATTACGAACCATGCTGCCATGAAACACAAGCTCAGAGGACTTTGCCTGAAATCATAACCAAGAGAGAGATGAAGCCAGGACTCATGGCCTGATCAGACTTCAAAGTTCATGCTTAAAACACTTTGATGTTTTTTGAATGTGTATTTTAATTTTTAAATTATGAATCATGCACATGCTCTGTCTGTCTGTCTGTCTGCCTCTCTTGTTGCCCAGGCTGGAGTGCAGTGGTGCGATCTCGGCTCACTGCAACGTCCACCTCTCTGTTTCAGGCAATTCTCCTGCCTCAGCCACCCGAGTAGCTGGGATTACAGGTACACGCCACCACGCTGGACTAATTTTTGTATTTTTAGTAGAGATGGAGTTTTACCATGTTGGCCAGGCTGGTCTCGACCTCCTGACCTCAAGTGATCTGTTGAGGTCACTCTGTTTCCCAGGCTGGAGTGCAGTGGCGTGATCTTGGCTCACTGCATCCTCCACCTTCCAGGTTCAAGCCATCCTCCCACCTCAACCTCCCAAGCAGCTGGGACTAAAGGTGCACATCACCATGCCTGGTTAATTTTTTTATTTTTTGTAGAGACAAGATTTCACCATGTTGCCCAGGCTGGCCTCGAACTCCTGGGCTCAAGCAATCCACCCACCTCAGCCTTTCAAAGTGCTGGGATTACAGGCAAGAGCCACTGCACCTGGCCATTTACATTTTAATCACTATTGATACATTGTTTTTGGAAAAGCCTTTACTCCTTCTCCTCTACCATTATCTGAGAGTGCCTGTTTCCCTACATCCTCACCAGAACTATGCATCTTCTGGCTTTATAATTTTTGTCTAAGAGGCTCTTTGTAATATCCACTAACCCTCCTGCCCCATTTCCCTGCCTCAGAACCCCTAACCCATCATGCCTTAGGTTTTGTGCTATACAGCCATAGTGACCACACCATAGTCCTAGTGTGGGGTCATCCCCTGGGTGACAATTTGTCCCCTATGGTGACATCTGGAGACATCACTAGCATCCGCTGTTTAATATTTATTGGGAACCTGCTGTGTGCTGGGCCTACACAGCAACAAAGACCTTTGGGAAGAAAACATGCAGTGATCTGAAAGGCAGAGATTACTTAATAAAAAGCGACAGCCCCATCAGAGGCCACAGGGGGACCACTGTTTCCCTGGGCTTCTGTGTGCTCCTGGTGAAGCAGGTGGGGGTGTGTTCCCCTCTGAGAAGCCACATTAATACGGCAGCTGGTCTCCTACAGGACGTCTGTGCAATTCGATGGAGCTCATCACTTTTCGGTCTATGAGCAATTAAATTGCACCAGGAAGCCCTGTATCTTTATATCATCCCCTAATGACTTGGGGTGGGGAGAAGAGTGTGGACACAAAGAGCCCACACCCGTGGGTAATTGGCAAAGTTATCACCTTTCTTCCGAGGCCAAATGTCCAGTGTATTTCCAATTCCTCTACCCCTGCCAAGACCAGAAAACAACTGGCTTTGTCCCTGGCATGCACCTCTGGAATTAAATGTCATTTGCAAAGCCCATAATTGCTCAAAGAGACAGCCACTTCTTTTTGTCTTTCTCAGACTCTGATACCTTTAACCCGGCCCACTCCCGCTCCCTGCTCCGCTGACTTTTGTTTCCCTGAGTCCCATCCCAGAGCCTGTCAGATTACATTTTTTATTTTATTGAGACAAAAAGCCATCTGGAGCTCCTGGTCTCCACTGTCAGTGGGCTGCCGTTCCCGGGGTCTCTTGCCAGGCTCCTGATTAGGAGTCGCCCCCCCCAGCCCTCAGTCTTTATGTTTCACCCCTCGCTCTGCCCCTCCTCGGCTGTGCTGCCTTTGTCCCCCTGCTGCTCTCGCCCTATCACTGGGCTGCAGCGTACCTTGTCGTGGCAGAACAATGCAGGCTGTCAGCTCTTATTAAGTGCATGGGGTGGGGGAAAGCGCCACAATTTCAGGTGGCTGAAAGCTTACAAATTCTTCATTTGGTTCTACGAGCCCCGAGTTTCTCTCCTGGTTGCCAATAATACTTATTTTAGGCTGCAGCTATTCTTCTTTTCTTTTCTTCTTGCCCCTTAAACCTAAACCTAAATAGCCCTTTAGGTGAGAGCCTTTGTAAGGTCATCGAAGCCAAGGACACAGCCCTGGAAGTGGGTGGGAGACAAACTTGTCCCTCCTTAGCTCCAACAGCCCAGCAGGGAGCAGATCAGTGGATGCCGGTGTAGGGGGGCTGGGGGTGGAGTGGTGGTAAGAAGAAAGAGAGGCCACTGCCCCTCCCCTGCAGGCTGGGCAGGGTACTAGGAATTCCACTTGTGGTTTTGTATTTGTGTGCATGCGTGCATGTGTCGGCATTGCAGGGTTAAACCCCAGGCCCACGTGACCTCTGGAGTCCCAACGTGCAGAGAAAGGGCCCCTGGTGGAAAGCATAAGCCCCTGCCTATCGTGTGTCTTTTCCAAGCAGAAGGGGAGTTTTGCCCTAAGATGGGATGAGGTGCAGGCGTGGCTGCTGGAATTCTCTTGTGGGAGCGCTGAAGGAATCAATGTGTTTGGGGAAACTGTGTGACCAGCAGGTAAGAGAGTGGGTGTCACTCGTACATAGCTCCCACTCTGCTCGGTGGGAGCCATGTGGCCTTTGGGCAACAAGTGTAACTTCTCAGTATTTTCAGCTATGACAGTAATCATATCTACCTCATAGGGCTGATAGGAAGCTTGGATGCAACACAGGGTTTAAAGCTTCAAGCATTGGCCAGGCGCAGTGGCTCACGCCTATAATGCCAGCACTTTGGGAGGCCAAGGAGGGTGGATCACCTGAGGTCAGGAGTTTAAGACCAGCCTGACCAACATGGCGAAACCTCGTCTCTACTAAAAATACAAAAATTAGCCGGGCGTGATGGCGTGCACCTGTAATCCCAGCTACTCAGGAGGCTGAGGCAGGAGAATTGCTTAAACCCGGGAAGCAGAGTTTGTGGTAAGCCCAGATTGTGACACTGCACTCCAGCCTGAGCAACAGAGACTCCATCTCAAAAAAAAAAAAAAAAAAAAAAAAGCTTCAAGCATCATGCTTAGCTCAGAGTGAATGCTCAGTGAATGTTGGCTGTCATAGTTAGCTCTAGTTCAGGCTTCAGACTCCAGACCCCCTACTCTCTCAGTTTTTATTTGGCAGTGGTATCATTCATCTTTGAACTCCCAAGGTAGACAGTCACCCACCCTTGGGGAACTTCCCGAGAGCTGAAGGATGGGCCAGAGGTCTCCTGCACGGGATGTGCCTTCTCAATATCCTCTCAGGGCCAGTACCTCACCCCACATTGGTGCTCAGGGAGATACCTCACAATTCTTCCCCTCTCGGATTGCTTCAGGATAGTGAAAGGTTGCAGAAAGGTCAGTAAATCAAAAATAGTGTGTTTAAACTGAAACTCAGCCAGGGCTCTAACTTCAGATTCCACATCATCTCCAAAGAGGGAGCAGACTCTTATTTAAATAACTCAACAATTGGTCTTTAGATCAGAAGCCTAAACAGAAGCATAAAGAATGATGCGTTCATTGTTCTCCCCTCTCATTTGACATTAACCTAAATTTGGCTTTGAGCCGATTCATCCCAGCAGTCAGCAAGGGGCGCCGTACAAGAGTCCCTCAGTGAATGCCCATCCACAGATGAACACTCGCCTCATCTTTCTAGAGGGGATGCGGTGGGGTGGGAGGGATCTCGCATTTCCTGAGCACAGACATTTTCTGTTTAATTCTCACAAAGTCTATGAAGTAGGTTTTATTACCCCCATTTCCCACACAAATAAATGGTGATCCAGAGAGTTTAAGAAACTAGCCTAAGGCCTTAGAGCCAAGTAAGGAGTCAGGATCTGTCCCAAATCTATCTATCACCAAATCCAGGCTTTTCACGCCATGCCAGCACCTCCAGTGGCCTTTAATTAATCTCCTAATAAAGGCAGACATGATACCTGTCAAGGTTTGTCAACAGTTAACATGTTCAAGTGTTCAATTTTCACAAATAATCAACTGGTTTGACCTTAATTTATCAAGCCAGTATGGAAAGACATACAGCATCTTTCCCAAAACATCGAAATTGCTTTGAGGCTCAGCTTTTCGCTAATGATCACAAACTACCTTGGGGAACAATCATTTTTGAAAATGAAGCTGGTCACACACTTGCAGTGGACAAATACAGCCCTGAGTCATCTCACAAATCTTTCTTTAATGAGCATAGCAGTGGACGTTATGCAGTGTTGGCTATGCTGACGTTGCTGGAATATTTGGGAGTCTGAAGGCTTGTATGGCTTTGCTTTTAAATATATTTATAGTAGAAACTTTCCTTATTTCCAATGGTGTTATAGCAGGAAAACAAAATGGTTGGCATACGGCTAAGCAAATGGTTAAAAGTGAAACCATCGCCTGTAATTCCAGCACTTTGGAAGGCTGAGGCGGGCAGATTGTCTGAGCTCAGGAGTTCGAGACCACCCTGGGCAACATGGTGAAACCCCATCTCTACTAAAATACAAAAAAATTAGCCAGGGGTGGTGGCACAACTGTAGTCCAAGCAACTCGGAAGGCTGAGGCACGAGAATCGCTTGAGCTTGGGAGGCAGAGGTTGTGTGCAGTGAGCCAAGATCATGCCACTGCACTCCATCTTGGGCTACAGAGTGAGACTCTGTCTCAAAAAAAAAAAAAAAAAAGTGAACTACCTATGTAGGAATGCAGAGATTTTCACGTGTGCCTGCTACAGAAATTAAACTATTTTCCATCTTTGGACCCCAGCACTTTTTTTTCCCTTCTCTTAGATAATCAAACTAGGAATGGTTTCTAAGGTTCCTCCCAGACTCAGTTTCCTATAATGTTGTGTCTCAATACCAGGCACCTTTGAAGATGGTATAAAACATGATTATATTATATAACAACAATTTATAGAACACTTGCTCTGGGACAGGCTCTGTTTTATGCTACTTTTATTTATTTTTATGTATTATTATTTTTTTAGAGATGGGTCTTGCTCTGTTGTCCAGGCTACAGTATAGTGGCACAATCACAGCTCACTCGTTCTATGCTAGTTTTAATCTTCACAACAATCTTCTGAGGTAGATATTATTATCCCCATTTCTGAAATAAGAAAACTAAAGCTCAGAGAAGTTGAGTAACTTGTCTGAAGTCACACAGTTAGTAAGTGGCAGAGAGTGGATTTGAAAAGGTAGTTTGGCTCCCCAGCTCCAGTGTTTGACTATGGCCAAGTGGGTAACACACCTCCACAGAGCTGGCAGCCCACAGCATAACTGGAGGGCCACAGAGCAGCACTCCCTGTCCCCCTGCCCCGGCTGCTATAGCACCCACACAGAGAAGCACCCAGGGCTAGTTTTTTAGGTAGAAAAATTAAATGCCTATGATATCAAAGGTACAGCAATAATCACTTGGGCCTTGTCCAATTTGGTCTCTTCTCTGCTTTCACAGTGAAGGTGTGAAATCAAGGCTTTTCTCTTCATTCTTACCCTTTTATTGCCCTCCAATGAGCTTATCTATTAATACTAATTGGTCACATATGTGTTTCTGTATTCAGATCTGGAGCATAGAGCGCTGGGCTGGGAGTCTAAACCAGACTCTTACACTGGCCCTGCCAGATGTGTGATCTTTGCAGTTACCAGCCTCTCTGGGCCTCCTGGTCCTTACTGGCACTGAGGCAGGTGGATTCCAACAAGCACCAATCCCAGGCCTGGGGCCAAACTGGACCTGCCTGTGGGTTTTATTTAGTATGTTCAGTGATTAAAAAAAAATTGAATATGTTGCCAACGATTAAAATACGGAGTTTTTTTGTTTTTTTTGAGATGGAGTCTCACTCTGTCGCCCAGGCTGGAGTGCAATGGCACAATCTCATCTCACTGCAACCTTCGCCTCCCGGGTTCAAGCCGTTCTCCTGCCTCAGCCTCCTGAGTAGCTGGGATTACAGGCACCCGCAACCACGCCCAGCTAATTTTTTTTGTATTTTTAGTAGAGATGGGGTTTCACTATGTTGGCCAGGCTGGTCTTGAACTCCTGACCTCATGATCCACCCACCTCGGCTTCCCAAGGTGCTGGGATTACAGGTGTGAGCCACCGTGCCCAGCCTAAAATACAGAGTATTAACATACAAACCTGAGTCTCCGGAATCTCATGAAACCGGAAAGATCTGGGGGATTGGAGCTCCCCTTCCCACAGTGCGGTGAGAGGGAATGGTCATTGCACCCCTGTAGGCAGGCTCGTGCGGAGCACTCTCTTGCTGGAGTCCTCACCACTCCCAGTGGGTTTCCCACAGCCTGCTTCCCTGGTTTACATTCTTTCCTGGGCCCTTGAGGCATCTCCATTTGTAGCCCCGTGAGTCCACGTTCTCCAAGGCCCTGCTCCCATCTAAGTTGACTTAGGTGTTTCATGTGCTCCCCGTGGTCTCTACGCTTCAAAGGGATTAGAAGTGTCCCCTTCACTTATGACCCCCACAGGGCCTCTATAGGTGGTCCCAGTACCTGCTGGGTGACTGAGTCTGTCACACAATTGGGAGACCCGGAGGGCTGAGGTCTTTGCGCTGCTCTGCCCTGGTGTTTTCGTTCTGTTCTGTTTTGTTGTTGCTGCTGCTGTTGACACTGGCGGGTAGAGAGTTAGGAGGAAGCTTGGAAGGTCGGTCTCTCATGCCTTTGCAGCCCCAGGTCCCCACTGGACTCCACTCTGGAAGAGGGACGGGCGCACAGGGAATGGACACATCCCCATTGTGTGGAACCCCAGAACCCACATTTCTGCCTGTTCCTTTTTACAAAGCTCCTGCTTTTCAGAGATTAATTGTTGTCAAATGCAACTTATTTTCTAATCCTTTCAGGACCCATTTAAAACCTTCTGCTTTATTTTACCTTTTTTGATAAAGTCACTGAGGGTTTTTTTTTTTTGGATTTGCCAGTGATTGTCCAGTTTGACAAACTGGATTCTTAAAGCTGATTCTTTGAAGAAAAGGATGCAGTGTGACAAGACAATAAACAGCTCATCCTCAAATCAGGAGGATATATAAAAAAAATAAAAGCAACCCCAATCTCCAGCTTTCCTGTGACTCAAAGGGTGTCTCAGTTGTCACTGATAATCTAATCTTTCTATGATAGGTGAGGAACAGGACAATGGCGACCCAGCCAGGCTGTGGGTGTGACAGGCCTCTGATTAATAGGACTGTCCAATAAGCCCCCAGCCCCCAGGAAGAAGATTAATGACATTTGATGTGAACTCTGACCTCCCGCGGCAAGAGCAGAGGGAGAAAAGGGAGCCGCTCAGACAGAATGGTGCATCCTGCAGCCGTTGATTGATTCCTGAAGGCTTTGTTACCTGGAGGTGGTGTGTCTCGGGAGGGGGCCTGAGCATCTTGTTGCCTGCTCATGGGCTTTGACTGGAACCCCAGCCTAGCAGGATTTTACAGTTTACACCTCTCCCAAAGACCAGCCTTTTAACTGCTCCCCGGAACACTGTGTCTGAAAAGTAACAACCTCCAGAGCCTTGGCCAACCCCTGCTGACCTGTCATCTTCAACCTATGGGATCACTTTGACCCCTCCCCAACCCCAGTGCTAGGAATCAAATGAAGGAGGCTTTAAAAGCCAGGCTCCGCTCGGTGCTGTTGGCTCACGCCTGTAATCCCAGCACTTTGGGAGGCTGAGGCGGGCGGATCACCTGAGGTCAGGAGTTCGAGACCAGCCTGACCAACATGACGAAACCCCATCTCTACTAAAAATACAAAATTAGCCAGGCGTGGTGGCACATGCCTGTAATCCCAGCTACTCAGGAGGCTGAGGCAGGAGAATTGCTTGAATCCAGGAGGCGAAGGTTGCGGTGAGCTGAGATTGCACCATTGCACTCCAGCCTGGGCAACAAGAGTGAAATTCTGTCTCAAAAAAAAAAAGAGAAAAGAAAAATAAAGCCAGGCTCAAAAGTCTTCCTTGGGGCTTTTTACCTCATTCTATGGGTTGACAGGGTCTAGGATCGGGGGAAGTGACTGGCTTTATGGCAAAAAAGTGTTTCTGTAGCTGGCAGGAAGCAGCTGAGATGCTCCCAGCACAGAAACCAGAGGTAAAAGGGCATGAGGTGGGCATCTACCTGGCTACCAGAGGACATTCAGGGGGTGGGAGGAGACAAGGAGACAGCCTGCTTGCCTCCCATGGCTTGGTTGAAAAACCAAAGTCAGGCTCGGCAGTGGTTGGGTCTTTTTGCCTTGCTCTCAGGCTGACTCTCCAAATTGCCTCCCCTTAACAGCATGACCATCACATAGCCTTAAATGGTTTTTCCTGCTTAGTGGCCTTTTCTGACTTTACTGCGTATCTCAACTATTGTACGAGCGGGACCATTTGGCATCTAGGCCTTGGTTATAATAATGACCAAATGATGATGGCCAAGAAAAGTATGAATCATGAGTTAGCTCGACCACTGAAGTGTGTGGGCCAGTGACCACCCAAGAGCTGGAAGTGTGTCTGCCTGTGAGTGTGAGCAAGACCTGAGCACCAGGGGGCCCTGCTCCTGGAAGCAGCCTTACTTGTTGGTAGACTGTAAACAAGGGTGGCTGGAGGGGCCCTCTGAGAGGTGCGCCCAAGACAAGACCCATGGCAGTGGGAGTCAGAGATCCACAGACCCCCTGACTAGAGAGGCAAGGCGGAACTTTGGTACAGCCCTCACTTTCTGATAACACACTTCAAAACCATTGAAAGCTGAATTTGGTTTTCAGAACCTTAGCTGACGGACAGCACTCTCAGCTACCCAGGGGCACTGCAGGCCAGTGGGTCCTTGTTGGCAGTCTTGCCAGCTTGCATCACACAGCAGAAGTGGGTCGTGTTTGAATATTTTATGGCATTTGGCTTTATCTGATACATTTGAGTGGGAGATGGACAAAATAAAGCTGCTGTAATAGGACTCATCAACCTAATTTCACCCGGACAAAGGTGAGCCTTGGCAGGCATGCCTGGGCTGGTGGCTCTTGACTTCAAAACATGATGCACATAAAGTCCCTGTGTCTGGCACATAGAAAATGCTTTAAGGGTGAGAATTCATATATTTTTAAAAAATAAATGATTATTCACAATGTGATGCTCATTGGATGATCCTTTGACAGTGTGCTCAGTTGTAAAGAGGAAGATTCAGGAGCACATGTGAAATACTGAAAATTATTTTTGAGGAAATATTCCAAAGAAGAGGTGTAATTAGGGATTTTATAATTTCCTTTTTTTTTTTTTTTTTTTTTGAGATGGAGTTTTGTTCTTGTTGCCCAGGCAGGAGTGCAATGGCGCGATCTTGGCTCACCGCAACCTCCGCCTCCCGGGTTCAAGCAATTCTCCTGCCTCGGCCTCCCGAGTAGCTGGGATTATAGGCATGTGCCACCACACCTGGCTAATTTTTTGTATTTTTAGTAGAGACGGGGTTTCTCCATATTGGTCAGGCTGGTCTCGAACTCCTGACCTCAGGTGATGTGCCCGCCTTGGCCTCCCAAAGTTTTGGGATTACAGGCATGAGCAGCCACTGAGTCCGGCCTGTAACTTCCTTTTTTAGTGAACTGAGAATGGATTCCCCTTGCCACATGGAGTCTATTTTTCAGTTTTTGCCTTTAGACTACTACCGGGGTTTGGAGTAACTCATTATGTTGAGAAGTAGGGGACTGCCTGGAGTATAAAAGGCCAGCCAAGGCAAGGCTTCCCTAGGAAGGAAGAGAAGTTGCTGCCTGGGCCTCCCCTCTTCTCCTCCCAGGCTGGCTGCCATGTAATGCAAAGTCTGATGAGTTGAGTATTGGTGAAGGGTATAAACACTCACCCAGGGTTACTGGGCCAGGGGCATTGCCATGCACTCTCCTTAACTGCTAGGTTGACCAAGTTTACCTCCTGCCCTGGCCAGGCCTGACTGCAAAGAACTGCCTCCCTGCCCTGTCACTACATGCTGTTAAATAACACAGGCCAGGAAATCTGGTCAAAGCATCCAACTAATGCAAGATTAACTGGGGAAAGGCCTGAGGAGGAAGGAGAAAAATCACAGAAGGTGAGAAGACATCCTGCTTTATTTCCCAAGCAATATAAAGAAACAACTGAGACCTGGGTTAAGATGAAAAGTTCCATCCAGAAGTTTCTCAGATCTGATACTACTCAGAGAGTCTCAGGTATTGATTAGCTCGATTCTTCAAATTTAGCAATTGTCAGAATCATCTGGAGGGCTTGTTAAAACACAGACTGACGGGCCCCAGAAACTCCCAGAGTTTCTAATTCAGAAGGTCTGGGGGGGCCTGAGAATGTGCATTTCCAGCAAGTTCCCAGGGGATGCTGATGCTGCTGGTCTGAGGACCACATTTTGAGAATCACTGGATTAGCTAGCTCAATGGAGGGCATCAGAATGATTTCGGGGATCTTATTAAAAATGTTGATTTCTAGGCCTTTTGTAATAATCATGATGTGTTTGGCAGAAAATTAACAGAATATCAGACAACAGTTGTTTGATCAAGAAAGACATTTAATCACATATCAATTATATTGGAGGTAGGTAATTTCAGGTTTGGTATAGAGTATCAATGATATTATTATTAAACAGTGGAGGCTCTTTTTATTCTAGTTGTTCGTCCTTAGCACAGCTGAATTTTCATCCTTAGGTTTTCCTCAGGATTGCAAAATGGCTGCCACAGTTCCAACCATCATGTTATCACACAACTGCATCCAAGGCAGAAGAAAGAGCAGGCATCTCTCCTTCTCCCTCCCTCTCAGTCCCACTTCTAAACTTCAGGGACAATATTTTTTCATAAGTTTTCTTTTAACAACTTCTCGGCCAGAAGTGAATCACAGGCCTACCTTAAGTAAACCAATAGCAACAGGGAATGGAATTACTGAATGCACCTAGGTTTACCACCTGGGTCTGGGTGAAGGCTCAACTTCCTTAAACATGTTACTGCATCATCAAAATTGGGAATCTATAATTCAAGGAAGAAAGGAATGCCACTGGGCAAGGATGGACAGCATCTGCCCTAGCTAGGGTGACCAACCTGTTCAGTTTTCCTGGGACTGTCCCAGTTTTAAAATGGAAAGTCTCATATCTGGGAAACCATGTTGGTTCTGGGTAAATCAAGATGGTTGATCGGCTAGGTGCAGTGGCTCATGCCTGTAATCCCAGCACTTTGGGAGGCCAAGGCATAAGGATTGTTTGAGCCCAGGAGTTCGAGACCAGCCTAGGTAATATAGTGAGACCTGGCCTATTAAAAAAAAAAAGATGGTTGATCACCCTAATTTCAGTCTCCCAAGGCCTTCTGAATTAGAATCTCTTTGGAGTGGGACTCAGAACTTAAAAATGATATTTTAACACTCTCCCAAGATGATTCTAATGTATGTCAAAGTTTAAGACACAGTGGGCTTAAGTTACCATGAAGCCAAAAGGGGAACTCAAGGTTAACATATTTCCAGCCAACATCAGAGCAGAAGGAAATCCCAGATGAAGTGATGCAGGTACAGCTTGAGACTGGGGATTCTCACAGGCTCAAATAGCCTGGAAGGACCTAGGCCTAGGATCCTAGACTAGAAGGACCCGGAATATTTGAATTCCATCCCATCCTGCTCCTATTCTCACTGCCAGAAGGAAGGGACACTCTAATTTAGAGGCCCCTCCTCTGGACTATCTTAACACCCTGTAGCCAAGTCTGTCAGGCTCCTTATCACAGAGTCTTGTGATGCTGGACTTGCAGGCTATCTCCATGGGAGATGGCAAATCCCCTCAGGACAGAAGCCTCATTTGAGTGTCTTCTATCCTAAGCATTCAGCACCGTGCCTGGCTTGTCTTAGTCATTCAGTAAATGTGTGTTGAATATGTGAATGAGTGAATGAATGAATGAACAAATGAGGAGGCTGTATTCTTGAATATAAAGATAAATTCTGGCCTTTAGACCCCAGATCAACCCTTGGAACAGGCAAGTGCCCAGAGCTTACAATCTTCCCTGCTTTATCAACAAACTGGCAAGACTCTGGGTGGGGCTGGGGTGGGTGGCGTGGGAGTCAGGGTCAAACTCTGTCTTAGGACACTAGATGACTGGGCACTGGCTTCCTGCACCAGGCTTCTGTGGAAGCTGTGCATGTCCCCCGTGCATGGTGCAGGGTAACTTTCGGATGGTTTGAGCTCATTACTCATCATTAGGAGGCCTGGTGTCTGGAGTTTTCCAGGTGATCAAAGCTTCTCTGTCTGGAGCAGCCAGGCAGGCCCTGGTGTCTGTCACCAGTAGTCTCCCAGCCTTGCCAGGCAGACAGTTAAGTAACCCAGGAAGGAGGGGATTTGGTTTTTAAGCTCACGTAATTCAGCCTGACACCCCCACATGCAGACAGTGGCTCTGGCTCTGCCCTGAGGAAGTTGTCGCTGGTTGGAGGGGTGCGGGCTGATGGGAGCAGTAGCTTGTCTGTGTGCAGGCTTATTTTAGAGCCCGTGGGCATCTCTCCTCACCCTGCTGTGCTTGGTACCCATCGCCTCCTGCAGCAATGCCTCTTGTCCCCACCGAGACAGGCTTCCAAACAGTCCCCCGACCCCTTGCTCTACCAGAACCAGGAACTCCTAATGGGGCTTTTCTTTGTCCCTGGTCTCTGGCTGGGCTCAGAGTCCAGTTTGCTTCCCCAACACCAAATCCCTCAGCGCTACACACAATCTATGTCATTGCCCAGAAAATGTGCTGCAGGCCTAAAGTGCAGAGTGAGACTGCAGCATACCATGCCTCTTCAGGTTCTGATGTTTCAGTAACAATCACAAAGTCCTTCAATAATAGGGGAAATAAATTTAAAGGATGCTTAAAACAAGTTTTAAATATTGCATCTCATGATATTTTAAAAGTTGGTTTGAAAAAATTGGCCTAGACATTTTTTTCTGATATTGCGCAAACCGTGCAAAAGAGTTGTCTCACCCCTGCCCTAAACAATGCAGCTGCTGCCACGCTTCCTCTCAACATAGAAAGCAAAGTCTGAACAAATAGTGAACTTGGGGAGTTGATTTGTCTGGGAAATGGAAATGGATTTGCTAAAGAGTTTGTATAAATGTCCAGGTATCAGCGTCACAATGTGTCCTTTAGAAAATTGAGAGTGGGAATAGAACATTCCCACCCCTAAGACTGACAACTGATGTGATGCCAAGTCCTTCCCAGCATGCTCTCAGGGTCATCGTGCTGGCCTGGGGACCTGGTGTGGCTTTCTTTCAAGCAGATGTTCTTGCCCTGGCTAAGTTCTGTGCTTAGTGGAGTGGCTGCTGGTGCATATTAGACATCACCACTCCCCCAGACTGCTTCGGAGGGCCTTCCTGGCACAGTCCTAGCCCTCCCAGGCTGGAGAAGGGCCAGCTTGTGTCTAAGGCCTGCTCCTGTGTCTTCAGCTCCACTCCCACCAGGATGTTTTACATATTTTAATTAAAGTGCCGCCCTGGGCTGGCAGGGCCTCTGATGGATGGCTCCAATCCGAGTTGCGGAGTTGCAGAGTGTGAAACATGGCATCCAGCGATGCGCTCCTCCTGCTCTCGAGGAAGCTTTGGCTCCCACCTCTGGGGGTGGTCCGCTCGGTTCCAGGAGGAGCTGCGAACCGGCAGGCAGTGGCAGGTGGTAGGCACATTGGCTGGGCTCAGGGATGGGAGGAGAGTGAAGGTAGGACAGCGCCGTGGATGGTTTCCGAGGACCAGCTGGCTGGTGGACTGCGGATGAGTCCGATTCTTGCAGACGCACGGCCCTGTGGACACTCCTTAGCAGTGTCAGATTATGACAAACGGCGTGGGTAAAAGTTGCTGCGTGGCAGCTGCCGCATCTCAGAGGGAAGCAGGTATTTTTAGCACCGCGGCTCGGGGCTCTGGTGCTGGGTTAATTAATCATAGTGAACAGCACCACGTTTTGTTCTTGACCCTGGTCCCCATCCCCCATCCCAGCCTTGTCCCCATTCCCCTGACTGGAATACCAGCTGCAGAGGTGGAAACCGCGCACAGCTGGAGTAGCCCTGGAGAGCCCTCGTAACACTGGGGATACCACCCCTGCCTCCCCCAGCTAGGTTGCCACATGGTCCGGCCCCTCTGACCTCCTCCCCCTACTTCCCATTGCCACCAGCCACATAGGCCTCCTCTGGGCTCTTCGAGCCCCTTCCTGCCCCAGGCCTTTCCACTTGCACTTCCTTCCTGAATGTTATCACCAGGTCTCCTCCTCCTTCCTGTCTTGCCCCAGATGCTGCCCACCCCCTAACCCCCACAAAGGCCCTCCCTGAGCCCACTCCTACCCGAAAGTCTATCACCTTCCACTGCTTATTTCCTTCAGAGATTTAGCACCAGCCTAAATCATCTTATTTGTTGATTGCTTACTTTACTGGTCTCCTTCCATCAAAATGCTGCCTGCTTGAGAGCAGTTTTTTCTGTCCTGCTTGTTCTCTTGAATTTCAGTTGCCTGGCTCAGTGTACACAGGGTAGGTACTCGATGATTATCACTGAGTAAGTGGATGGATGGTTGAATGGATGGATGAATGGAGAAGTGGAAGCCTGGCTGGATGGATAGATGGATGGAAGGCTGGCTGGATAGCTGGATAGATGGGTGGATGGATGGATGAACGAATGGATGGGCGGAAGGCTGGCTGGCTGAATAGATGGATAGATGGATGGAAGGCTGGCTGGATAGCTGGACAGATGGGTAGATGAATGGAATAATGGATGGATGGATGAATGAATGGAAGGATGGATGGAAGACATTTTATGAGGACATCTGAGAAGACACCGGTTGTATCACAGTATCCTTGCCCAGGCCATAGGAGGCACCGGGTCAGGAGATTCTGGGAAAAGAGTGGCTAAATAGGGCCAACAGCTGTCCTCTCTCCTTTAGAAATATCCAATCACATGTTCTTTGGGGTTTGGACAGATTGCTCTGAGTTCTGTTTTTTTTTTTTTTTTTTTTTAATAATTTTTTCTTCTTGGGGATGGGGAGAGATAGACCAGTTTTTTTTGTTGTTTTTTTTTTTGAGACGGAGTCTTGCTCTCTCTCCGCTTACTGCAAGCTCCACCTCCCAGGTTCACGCCATTCTCCTGCCTCAGCCTTCCAAGTAGCTTGGGACTACAGGTGCCTGCCACCATGCCCGGCTAATTTTATGTAGTTTTAGTAGAGACAGGGTTTCACCATGTTAGCCAGGATGGTCTTGATCTCCCGACCTCGTGATCCACCCGCCTTGGCCTCCCAGAGTGCTGAGATTACAGGCGTGAGCCACCGTGCCTGGCTTAGATAGACCAGTTTTAAGAGACTCCCAGAAGACTGCTTCCCCACTCTGCCTGTGAGCTCACATTAGTAGTTCATTTGGGAGGATTTTGCATGGTTCTTTCACCGAGTCTTTTCCTTAGATCTAATTACTCTTTGTGGAAGACACAGTTGGTTGCCCGTCCTCTCCCTTTCTTGCTTGAGAACAGAACCCCAATTTGGTTCTGGTACTGGGATCCTTGTGCTTCAGGGAGGCCTGACCCAGCCCCAGTCCCAGGAAGGGGCCTGTGATCGGCCTCAGCCAACTGTGGGAGCCCCACCCCTCTAGTCAGTGATGTAGTTAGAAGGGGCCCAAGGATGTGGTTCTAACTCACGGGATGTGAGGAGCTTCTAGCTTCTGAGCATTTTCCTCACTTTAAAGAAGGTACATGAAGAAGGGGTGCCTCTGTGTCATGTCCCTTTTCCCAATCCCCAAAAGGACCAAGGCTTATTTCATTTGCAGAGACAGATGAAGGCATAGGATGGGGTGGGGTCCTGGGGAAACCATCTGGCTTTTGCTGGCAAGCCATGGGCAGGGTCCCGCAGGAATGGTGCTCAGACCCAGTGATGCCCAACCTGGGGAACTATTAGAACATGCCCACTACTGACTCCCATCCCATTCAGGTTTACTCTGATTCTCAAGGGTGGTACTGGGATCTCTGTGGGGCTGAGGTGCCCCTCTTGTCCCCCCAACATCCTGAGACATGAGGAGGCTGTAATCACTGAAATAGGCCAGGTACAGAGAAACCCATCTGACAGTGGGTTCAAGGCCTGGAGATGTTAGAACTCCTTTTTCTTGAGACCTTTAAGGGGACAAAGTGATTGGCTTTCTTAGTTTCCTCGTATATATGGAAGGAAATTTTGTGAGAAAGGCATAGTCCTTGATTATGAAATTTCTAGGAGGATAACATTCAGGAGAACATGCACATTAAGTTGCCCTGCTGAGGATGCTGCCCTGAAGGCTTGGGAGGCCACCAAGCCTGGGGTCTTCTGCTGACAGCATTCACTTGCTTCTAGTCTCTGCTGTGCTCTTGTGGAAATACCGTCCTCCCCTCTGGTTCTGAGAAGCAAACTTCAACGTCATTAAAAAGCACCATGGAAATGGAAAAAGTGCTATTCCATGTGACTTTTACTACTTTTCTTTTGCAGATCTGGTTATGACTTCCACCATTCCCCGTGGGAGGCACAGACAAAGACTCAGAAAATAAGAGAAAGAGAGAGAGAGAAAGAAAGAGAGAGAGAGAGAAACAGAAAAGCACTCAGAGAATGTTAGAGACTGCCTTTTTGCTGATTCAAAAAATATTTATTGAGAATCTATTATGTGTCCAACATGCACACACTCCCTTAATTAAATATACCACAAGACCACATGCTGTTTTTATCAGCTCCTCAATCCCCATCTAGCTCTTAGGTAGTGGAATCAAGAAGTTGCTGTTTTTGCTAAGACCAGTAGGTGTCATCATGTCAGCGGGAAAGCCAGGGTGCCCGGGATTTGATAGCCACCTGTAAAAATAAGTTCCATTTCATCTAGTTCTCTGAGTGCCAGTATGTGCAGGGCACCAGGCAGGATGCTTGAAGGTACACAGGGTGAGAAATCCATGATCCCTGGCCTCATGGAGTTCACTGTGCCATCAGGGACCTGGAAGGACAAAGTCCTAAGTCACGAGAAGAGGGAGATTTTAAGTGCCTCAGGAGAGGTTTAATTGAAGGACTGTGTGGATTCTTCAAACATCAGAGACGTCAGAACAGCTGAATCCTGCCTTCTCACATTATGGTGGAAGGAATAGGTTCCGAGAGGGAAGGTGATTGACCTAGGGTCACACAGCAATTCCAGTCTCCAGATCTCCTGACTCCTGGAAAAATGCTTTTTCCACCATTCTGTCTCAATAATCAAAGTTGCTTTTTTCATCTTGCCATTTAAAATTTCACCTTATTGCTTGACACTTTATTATGCTAAAAACCCCACAAAATCCCCCAGAAAATGCCACCTTAGTTTAGCCATGAACCTCCCTGCAAAATGCCCTCTCTGATGCCTACTACAAGGCACCCTAGATAGGTTAATCTGCATCTCGGAGGAGGCAGCTGCCCTCATCACGGTCCCTGTGGTGCGAGAGTCAGCTTGCAGAGGCTCATGAGAGCTGATTTTGTGCATCTCTTCCCAGTGACATCATGTTGGTAGCTTGAAACTGGCCACGGTGGGAGTATTTACACCATGGAAATTGGCAACAGCTATCAAAATAATTCGGAGTTTTATTCACTTTTCCCCATAGAACTGCACACCACTGAATTAGTATTCCTACTTATAAAAAAGATTGAGGCTCAGGGAGATGGGGTAATCTGCCAAAGATAGGTAGATTATAAGTAGAGCTGGGACTCTAACCCAGGTGGTTTGATGCTAGAGTGCTTGGCAATGGTAGATTGAACAGGACTTAGAGCCACTTTGACATGGAAGGGTCTAGGTTGATCCTAAGTTTCTTAGTCTATTGTGTGCTGCTATAGTAAAATACCCGATGCTGGGTAATTTATAAAGAACAGAAATGTATTTCCTTACAGTTCTGGAGGCTAGGAAGTCCAAAATCAAAATGCTGGCATCTGGCAAGGGCCTTCTTGCTGTGTCATTCCACAGCAGAAGACATCACATAGTAGAAGGGCAAAGAGAGGGTGAGAGAGAGACATAAAGGGGCTGAACTTATCCACTTATAAGGAACCTGCTCCCAAGATAACAGTGTTAATCCATTTATCTCTTAAAGGGTAGCCTAATCATCTGTTAAAGGTCCTTCCTCATAATCCTGTTACAATGGTAATTAAATTGCAACATGAGTTTGGGAGGGGACAAATATTAGCATCACAGCACCAGTTGTCTCATGAGGGCTCTGGTGTGTGTGCTGTTCTGGGTTGCTCTCATTAATCTGACAGCAACACTGGAACAGGAACTGGTTTGGGTAAAGAGATCACCAATTCAGCTTTGGATGGCTTGAATTGGAGGCCCATTGTGGGGGAGACGTTTAGATTTGGAGACCAGGAGAGAAGTCTAGGCAAGAGACTGAGATGTGCAAGATGAAGGTTTGTTCCTGACTAAACCAAATGTAGATTAGCTAGAAGTATTTTCCTTTGTTCTAATTATCAGGTAAAAAGTACAAGATTTACCTTTCTATGTGTTGTTTCTCATATTTGTTAACATTCAGGTATGTTGGAAGACCATGCACTCACTTGTTCCCTGATCCTAGTGTGTAGTGAGCACTTAGTATTTATTGAATAAATATGACTAACCCATTTTTACCTTGCACCTGCTGAATCAGCCATTGCTGTGGACCATACATCAAAATCTAAGTACATTTTTCGCAATTTCTAAGATTTTATAGAATTCTGACATCATTATAGGAGTATGGACTTGGAATAAGAGATTACTTTTTAGCATTTTAGAGCTACAAGTGGGATTAGGTATCATCTCTTACAATGTCTTTGTTTTACTAGTGAGGTACTAAAGCCCAGAGACCAGTCCAAGACCATGCAGGTCCCTTGCCAGTGTGGGAGACCACCCAGTCCTGGCAGCCAGTGAGCCTGGCCTGGCCTGCCTTGCTCTGGCCAGTTTACTTCCCTGCTCTGGGACTTGGTTTGTTCCTTAGGTTAAAGAAGAACTTGAGTTCTGGTTCTAGAAGGGTGATGAGTTAAGGATCCACATCTCAGGAGGGCGACTTGGTCAGATAAACAGACAAAGCTCTAGGTAACCAACCAAGGAAGCTACAATATGCAAATGAATGGATTGTGGCTTTCTTTCTGGTTGGCTGAAGGGGCCCTGATGTCACAATTCTAGGGTTTCTCCACTCCGAATGATCGTGTCTCTAGCCAAAAATATTTATTGACCTGGTTGGTCTCTTGGCTTCCTCTCTTTGTCCAACGTAGAAGAGACAATGGAACCCCTCTACCAGGCTGGGTCCATTCTCATGACGGTGAATACCCTACAGGGGAAAAAAATGATAGAGAGTGGCCTCCAGTCTGGAGACTTTTCCCTGTCCCAGTCATGGCCCTCCTGCCTCCCACCACCCGCTGACTTGGAGATCCTGCAGCAGAAGGTGGCCGGGGTGCAACGGGAACTGGAGGACTTTAAGAAAGAGGCATTGAAGTCCATTCATTACCTTGAAGACGCCTTCTGCGAGATGAATGGAGCCCTGGTGCAACAGGAGGAGCAGGCGGCTCGCGTGAGGCAGCGGCTAAGGGAGGAGGAGGACCGTGGCATCGTGCGCAACAAGGTTCTCACCTTCCTGTTGCCGCGCGAGAAACAGCTCCGGGAGCACTGCAAGCGGCTGGAGGACCTGCTGCTGGACAGGGGACGTGACGCCCTGCGTGCCACCAAGAAGAGCCAGGCTGACTGAACCTCGTGGGTGGCACTAGCCAAGCACCAAGTTGAAGATTTTTTTTAACGGAAGGAGAAACCCCAAGTCCCTACCCCCTTGCTTTCCCTTCCTCATTTCCATTGCTTTCCTTCTGCCTAAATAACACCTTGCTGAGAGGCAAAAAGACTTCAATATTTTTTTTGGTGAAATTCCATTTATCCAGCATTCTAAAGGAAGGAGGCACCCCAGTACTGAGTCAGGCCCCTGTAACTTTCACTTGAACTGTTTTCCTGTTTGTAATGGTACTATTGCTCAATGTATACCTCTTTATTTGTATAGTATATTCTTAAACTGATTGTGTTGAACATTCACCTTTTTTTTTTTGAATGATTTGAGGCTTTCATGATTTGAGACTTAACACCTGGTCAACTGATACCACATCACGTAACACATGATCTCCCCAGAGGGGTCGGACTGCTTGCCCGTGCACTAACACTACCCCAGATTGCTCTGTTTTTAGTATTCTAACCCTTGTCTGTATGGTCTTTCTGTCTGCCTCTACTCTTAGACTGTCACATCTCACTTTTCTTTGCTGCCTCTTTCTACCTCTACTTCCTTTCCATTTAGACTGCAGACTGGCCAATCGGAATGACAGAGCTTATTGGGACTGTGTGGGTGGAACTCGCTGAGCTTTAGCAACCGATAATGCAACACCTCTGAGATGGCACTAGGAAGTGGGGAAACTGATTTCTGTGTTCGATCCATGGAGCAGGAATTATTGTCACAGTGCCTGGCCATTTATCAGGCAACACACACATACCATCCCACTTACTTCCATAGGCACCTTGGAGGTGAGTGTTGATTTTCCATGGTTCACACTGGGAGACTGGCCGCAGGAAGGCAAGTCCAGTACCCAAGGTCTGCACACTAGTAAGTGGCAGGGCCATGGTTTAAGTCCAGGTCAGCTGTGCTCATTTGCATCCTGCTGCATCCTTCTCTGCTCCCCAGTTTTGGAACCACTTCAGGCTGTTCATGGACGTGTTCTTCTGGAAGGCTGAGGTTGTCACATGGGTGACTTGGGAGTTCATTAGCTGACACTATACCTTTTATTTCCAATTAGTCTTCTACTTCATCAATTCATATATCTTCTCTCTGGCTACCCAAATGCTGCCATGCAGCAGGGATTCTCCTCTAAACAGCAGAAGAGACGTGCCTGGAGACCAGAGCCAGTGCCTCAACAGAAAGTCAAGTCTGTCTTTCCAGTTCTGGGCTTACAGCAGATTCCATATCCTCTGATCTTCTGTGGCAGTCTCATTCTCCCTCTTCCTTCTGTCATAGAATCTCTCCAAATAAGATTTAAACATCTGGAACTCCCAAGCTGCGCTTCCCAAAAGGACCCCGTGACCCATGGTTAATTGTAATACCCATCCAATAGCCATCTACCACGAAGGGCTGCAACCCTACTTTAACTTTAGACAGTTTTTTTGTTGTCATTGTTTTTTGTTAGTTTGAGTCAGAGTCTCTCTCTGTCACTCAGCCTGGAGCGCTGGAGTGCAATGGTGTGATCTTGGCTCTCTGCAACCTCCGCCTCCCGGGTTCAAGCAATTCTCCTGTCTCAGCCTCCGGAGTAGCTGGGACTACAGGCTCATGCCACCATGCCCAGCTAATTTTTGTATTTTTAGTAGAGACGGGGTTTCACCATATTGGTCAGGCTGGTCTCAAACTCTTGACCTCAGGTGATCACCTGCCTCAGCCTCCCAAAGTACTGGGATTACAGGAATGAGCCACTGCCCCCAGCTGCTTTTTTTGTTCTTTTGAAGAGAGTCTTACTCTGTTGCCCAGGCTGGAGTGCAGTGGTGCAATCTCAGTTCACTGCAACCCGGCTTTCAAGTGATTCTCCTGCATCAGCCTCCCGAGTAGCTGGGATTACAGGTGCGTACCACCACAACTGGCTAATTTTTGTATTTTTAGTAGAGATGGGGTTTCACTATGTTGGCCAGGCTGGTCTCAAACTTGACCTCAAGTGATCCTCCCGCCTTGGCCTCCCAGAGTGCTAGGATTACAGGCATGAGCCACTGTGCCTGGCCTTTAGGCAGTTTCTTTGGAAGATTTAGCTTAAGTAATAATAATGGTAATACTAACAATATTATTACTAATATAAGAGCTTAGTGTTATTAAGAATATGATATAGTCCAGGCACCATGGTTGGCCCTTTGAAGGTAAGTACTGCTATGGTTTGAATGTCCCCTCCGAAACCCATGTTGAATCTTTTTTTTTTTTTTTTTTAGAGGGAGTCTCGCTTTGTCACCCAGGATGGAGTGCACTGGCATGATCTGTGCTCACTGCAGCCTCTGCCTACCAGGTTCAAGCGATTCTCCTGTCTCAGCTTCCCAACTAGCTGGAATTACAGGTGCCCACCACCACACCCAACTAATTTTTGTATTTTTAGTAGAGACAGGGTTTTGCCATTTTGGCCAGGCTTGTCTCGAACTCCTGACCTCAGGTGATCCACCCGCCTCGGCCTCCCAAAGTGCTGGGATTGCAGGCGTTAGCCACAGTGCCCGGCCTCTCATGTTGAAATTTAATTCCAAATGTAACAGTGTTGGGAGGTGGGGCCTTTATGTGGTAATAGATTAATGCTATTATCATAGGAGCTTGGTTAGTTATCTCAGGAGTAGGCTCCTCATAAAGGGATGAGTTTGGCCCCATCAGATTTCCATTGACATTGACATTTCTTTGGCCATACCTGGGTTGCTTGCCCGCCCTAAACCAATTATGAAAAGAGGAAAGCAATTGCCACAACTCTGCTCCTGGGCCTGGACACTTCAGTTACCCAATATCTAAAGAAAATCAAGGTTTCATTAGTGAGGCTGGTAGTAATCAACCCCAGCTGCCACATCCTCAGTCTTATTTTTTCTATATCATGGATACTGAGGGCCGGAAGAAGACAGCTCTGGGAGATGGCACTGACTGGGCAGTGTCATGCAGTGTGGGTGGCTGTCGCATGGCTGCAGGGAGCATGGAGTTAGGTCTGAGAATTGGGGAGATGGGCTGGGTCTAGGTGCAGCTACACCTCAGTGCTGTGGGTACAGACCCACTGCCTTCAGTTGCTTCACCTTCATCTGCCCGATACCCAGCCTTCACCCTTGAAGTCAGAGGCTCGAGATGACCCAAAGGGTGCCAGGGAGACTTTGCGACCCCTTGGTCATTAAAACAGGCAGCCACTCTTAGAGATGCAATCAGTTAACACCGTCCAGGGTAACCAACTTGTTCAGTTTAATTGGGATTGTTCTAGTGTTAAAACTGAAAGTCCCTCAGGCCAAGATCTCTCTCAGTCCTGGGAAAGCAAGGATGGTTGGTCACCTGCACTAGAAATAATACACACCGTGGGGTGATCCAGGTGAGGCTGTGGGTGGGGCAAATCACAGGAACTCAAGGCAGGAAACAAGGATGGTAGAGGCCATACATGCCAGGTCAGTGCATCTCTGCTGTCATTTTTAGCCAGAGGAGGCTGGTCTGTTCATTCTGCAGCTGGAAGAGCTTGTCTTTGTGTCCATTTCTCCTCCCCACTCTCAGATCCTTGCCTTCCACCTCAATCTGGCAAGAAAATTTGAGAGCGAGGCCTTTTCCGAGCAACCTTTGAGATCCTTCTGGGGACCCCAGGGATTCCTCATTAGGCCACAACTCACAGCTGCAACCTTAGTCCTGGAGGACAGAGGAAACCTATGGTGGATTAAAGAGCCAAGGAGAGGCTGGGTGTGGTGTCTTATGCCTGTAATCCCAGTGTTTTGGAAGGCCAAGGCGAGAAGATTGCTGGAGGCCAGGAGTTCGAGGCCAACGTGGGCAACATAGTGAGACCCTCACTCTACAAAAATAAAAAAATTAGCTGAGTGTGGCGGTGCATGTCTGTAGTCCTAGCTACTTGGGAGGCTGAGGCAGGAGGATCACTTGAGTCCAGGAGTTCAAAGCTAGAGCAAGCTGTGATCATGCCACTGCACTCCAGCCTGGCCAACAGAGGAAGACCTTGTCTCAAAAAATAAAATAATAAAATAAAATAAAATAAAATAAAGCCAAGAGGAGACAATCTGGTTTGTAGCTTTGGAAGCTGGAGTTCCTCATTTCAACTCTTCTGCTCCCAACTGTGAACAATAAAGTTAAGCAGCCCAACTGCTCACTTTCCCTGAAATTCTAAGACAAATAGAAGACAAAAATAACAGATGGTTTTCTCCATGCTAATAGCCGTTGGTTCTCAAAGGTTTTCTATAAGCTGCAAGGCTCTGCTTGCTCCCCCTCAGCATCCACAGCAATCAGAGGGCTGCTGAGATCCTAGACATATGGCTCCATCTTATGAAAACCACTTGCAGACAAGGGAGTCCTCCCTGGGACCCCAAGTCCTGTGTCTACTGCAAGCTGGGATGCTGGGGTGAGCAGCAAGGTAGCTGAGATGCAGGAAAGCAAACGTGTGTGGCTAGGGGAGGGAACTCACCCAGTTGGCACAACTTCAGCCTTGTCTATTTAATTGATACTTAGTGCTGGGAAGAAGAGAGCGCTCAGGGAGGAGCATGGCTAGGCAGAGTTGTGCAGTGTGGCTGGGAAGCAAGGGTTTGGATTTGGGCATTGGCTTCATTCCACATGCAGAGCTTTGCCTCTTGATCTGACCCAATCCATTTAGTAATCCGCCCAGTGCTAAGAGCAGTGAGCCTTGGGCATGTTTTTTTTTGACACCAGGTGTCAGTCTAGAGTGACTTTCCCAGGGTCCAGATGTATTGGGTGTGGCTCATGCAGCAGATGTGGCAAGTCTTCCAGAGTAGAGGTGAGAAGGCAAAGAGGTACACAAGGGTTTGTCCATCTCCTCTCCTATTCTCCTCTTTTTGGCTGCTTCAGAAGTGAATGTGGCTCACAATGAATGCCCAGCAAGGAGTAGCTGCTCAGGGAACATATGTTGAATAGAACAGGAGGTGGTGGCATCATCTGTGCCTGTTTGTGTGAGTGGTGTTTATCAATATGACCTTTGAGAGCAGCTGAGTGGAAATCTCTGGGCAAAGGCAGCATTTTGTGGCAGAGCACTGAGCCTGTGGTCAGAAATTCCAAGTACAGATTCTAACTCTGCAGCTTCTTAGGTTTCTATTTAAGATGTGATCCTTTAACTAACAAACATCTCTGTCACACCAAGGCCTCTGTTTTCCCACTTGCAAATTGGGATTTGTGGGGCCAACTTCCTAGGCTTGTTTAAGAGGTAATTGAGATAAGGCATGTACAACAGTGCTGAAAGGAAATATATTAAATTATAAGAGATTGCAATCTTCTATTCCTAGTCATCTAAGAGAGCCAGCCCAAGTTTTAGACTTTTTTGATGCAGAACTAAAGAGGGGAAGCTAAGGGTCTTGTTTCAGAAAGGGCTGAGATTTATTCATGGGAAAGAAAAAATAGACACAACTAGAAGGAAACAAGGAGATGGAGAAACGTAAGAAAGAAAACCTGGCAGGCTTAGATTTTCAGAGAGAAGTCTTTTCAGTGCGTAGTTGAGAATGAGTCCTGAGAATGAGGTTGGACAGCAGAAGTATAGAAGAGATGAGGGGAGGCCAATGGCTTAGGGGAAGGAAGGCATTAAGAAGTGATGTGTATAGGAGCTAGAATTATAAAATCTTAGAAGAAAGCATGGGAGCAAATCTTAGATATGACACAAAAGGAACAAGCAACTAAAGAAAAAATAGATAAATGGGACTTCATCAAGATTAAAAACTTTTGTTCTGCAAATGGTACCATTAAGAAAGTGAAAAAGGCAACCCACAGAACGGAAGAAGATATTTACAAATCATTTATCTGGCAAGAGACTTGTATCCTAAAAAAAGAGAAAGAACTTTTTTACAACTTAATAAAAAGATAACTCAACTGAAAAGCTAGCAAAGGATCTGAATAGACATTTCTCCCAAGAAAATAGACAAATGATCAACAAGCACGCAAAAAGATACTCAGTATCCTTAGACACTAGTGAAATGTAAGTCAAAACCACAATGCAATACCATTTTACTCCTACTAATATGGCTACTATCAAAAGACTAGACAATAACAAGTGTTGGTGATGATACAGAGAAATGGGAACCCATTGCTGATGGGAATGTAAAATGGTGCAGACATCTTGGAAAACAGTTGGGCAGTTTCTCAACATGATAAACACAGAGTTACCCTATGACCCAGCAATTCCACTCGTAGGTATATACCCAATGCAAATAATAACACATCTCCACATAAAAATTGGTATGTGAGTGTTCATGGTAGCATCATTCATAATAGCCTAAAAGTGAAAACAACTCAAATATCCATCAACTGATGAATAGACAAAATGTGGTATGTTCATACAATGGAATGTTATTTGGCAATAAAAAGAACAACATATTGGCCAGGTGTGGTAGTTCACACCTGTAATCCCAGCACTTTGGGAGGCCGAGGCAGGTGGATCACCTGAGGCCGGGAGTTTGAGACCAGCCTGAGCAACATGGCGAAACCCCATCCCTACTAAAAATAGAAAAAAATTAGTTGAGCATGGTGGTGCACACCTGTAATCCCAACTGCTTGGGAGGCTGAGGCCCAAGAATCACTTGAACCGTGGAGGTGGAGGTTGCAGTGAGCCGAGATGGCACCACTTCACTCCAGCCTGGGCGACAGAGCAAGATTCTGTTTCAAGAAACAAAAACAAAACTGTTTATAAAATAAAGTGTAAATTCAAATATACAGTGAGAAAAATAAATGATGTTATGATTTATCATTCAAATCCCATTTAATATTGAGTGATACAAATATAGACTGCGATTATTTTAAATTATTTTTAGTTTATGGACATTCTGAAGCCACATGGGCTCCAGAAACTATCTAGGTTATAGATGTAAAAGGTGCCTGAATTAGAGACTGGGCCATAGAAGGCATGTCATAAATGATAAATGGATCAGAACTGGAGATCTAGAACTTGATTGACCTTCACTATCTCCAAGAGGTCTCAGGAGCTTGGCAGGGTGTGCAAGACATTCTTTTGTGCCCAAATGTGTGCTTGACTCCCCTTCATCAGGGAGATAAGGGATAGAACTGACTGCCACAGGGAGATCAAACCCCAAGCCCCTCCAGGGCTGGAAGAGATGTCTGATGGAGCAAACAGCAGCATCATGACCAGGTAGCCAGGTAGCCCCTGGTGCTGGTGACAGCTGTCACGTGACCAGGAGGTGGTCAAAAGGTCTTAAACTTTTCAGATGTGTCCCTCAAAAACCTTCACTCTAAGAGTGAGATTTCTTTGTTGACCTCTTGCCCATCTCAACCCTTTCCTTTCGGATTCCTTTCAATAGCAGAAAAGGGTAGTGGATAGACAAACTGGCCTAGCTGAAGTACCAACTCTGCTACTCGGTTTCTGCATGGCACAGGGATGTTACTCTACCCCTCACAGTGTTGTGTGATAGGACTTTCTGCAATGACGAAAATGTTCTGTAATTCTGCACTGTCAATTTAGTCGCCACCAGGCATATGTGGCTATTGAGCATTTGAAATGTAGCTAGTGGGATTTAGAAACTAAATTTTAAGTTTTATTTCATTTTAGTTGGCCATATGTGGTCAGCGGCTACAAACTTGGAGCCTCAATTTCCCCATATCCCTCATGGGGATAAAGACACTACGGGCCTCACAGGATACTTAGGTGAATTAACAGAGGGAATGCAGGTAGGGTAGGATAATTTGCTAAGACTTGTAATTATAATTCAGTTCCCTAACCCAAGAAGATAGGCTTTGTTCCTGGCCTTGGGGATTCTTGTTTGCTAGACCTCAAACAGATGTTGCCAGAGACCCAGAAGGGAATTTCGGCATTTGTGCTTGGAAGCCTAGATCATGGAGTGAAATTAAGCTGGATCAACCCAGAGTGTAGGGTGATGGAAGCAGGTGATTCTGTGTGCAAGAGGTGAAGGAGGCCAGATCCAAAGGCAAAGCTGGATCAGAACCTCAAATCTTCCAATCCACTCTGTGTGCTGAGCTGGCTGTGTGGGGCATGAGAGTCCTTCTCCCCAGGCTGGAGCAGATAAAATCTCCTTCTCTCCTCTCTCTCTCTCTCTTTCTCTTTGGAGTCTATTAAGTGCAAACAGGAGACAGCCAGCGCGTTGTCAATCAAGCCAAAGCTCACTGGGGCTGAGGTTTAGAACCAGGGTCCCTGTTCCTGGGCCAGAATCAGGACTTGAGGGAGGGGTTGCAGAGTCTGAAGGTTGGAGCTTGGTCACGATAGCCCCAGAAACAGAGCTCGCTGGGAGCAAGCAGAAGAGGTTTCTGGGGTTCCCCACCATGGGCCAACAGGCCTTGGGGCGGCAGATGGCGAGCCTGGCCAGCACAGAGTGGACACCTTGACTTTCAGAAAACCAGCCTCTTGGGAAAGGTTTTCAGAGAGCTTCCAATAGTCTTGGGCAAGAGGGCTACCTGTGTGAAAGCAGAAGGCAGGCCCTGTCCCTGAGACTCTGACAGTGGAACGCCGCTGGTTCTGGTGCCCTTGGCTTGTCTGTCACTATCGTCAATGGTTATTGCTTTGGGAGGGGTATGGCCCCATTTTTGAGTTTGACAGTTCTGGCGGAGTCAAACATGTCTCTACTAAATAAATTAGATCTCTCCAGGGCAGATCAATATTTAATGTGGGCCTTAAAAAGACCGACTCAGGAAATGAGTTTAAAAGTGGAGAATTTGCCTTAGGTAGCAATTTCTAAAATACAGTGGTATCAGGGGACAGATTATTCAAACCCAAGCCATGGATAATATAAAAACAGTTGAACAAGCCAAGTTCTTCTTCCAGTCCATCGGTGACTCTGAATCCCCTGGTTTTCCGTGTGCTACTCGCAAAGGATTAGTTCAAGTAAAAAGACACCTTAGAGAGGATCTACCCCAGGGATGGCAAAGGCCACATGCACTGCCTGGAGCCCTCCACAGGTGGCAGGCATCAGTCATCGATCCCAACACTCTTCCTGCTTGAGTTGGAGGCAGATTCATATTTTTTTTCTCAACATCTCGCTCCCAGGTAGCCACTATCTATACTGGTCACAGAGTGGCACTTGAGGTGACATTTATTTCTCATATTCATCAAGTCCAAATTTCTCATTTAGCAGAGGAGACGCTCAAGGTTACATAGTGATTAGTGGCTGATACAGGACCAGTGCCCTGTCTTCTTGTTTCTAAAATAGACTTTTTCCCCACAGGAATGTATTAGAGGTTAGGGTTCCATCAGAGATATTTTACTGACCCCTCTGTGAGCAACACAGGGCTTTCCCTGAGCAACATTTGTCTTTTTTTCTAGAGATAAAATTAGAGCATTTCAGGGCTAGAAAGCAACTTAGAGATCTTCTCCTTCTACTCTTTCTATCATGGGGAAATGAAAACTCAGAGAGGTCAAGTGATTTGCTTAGAAACACATAACAGGTGGTTCTTTCCTCTGCAGCAGCAATGTGCATTTCAGTCCTGGAGTTCTCATTTCAAGGCCTTAGGCAAAGTACACACATTTTCGGACTGCCGTTTTCTGGTCAGAATCTCAGGAACTAAGACTTGCAAAAGGTGTGTGTTTTAAGAAGTGCATAGCATCTACCGTTGATATATTTTGATGTTTACAATACACTTCCAGATTTACTTTCTAATTACATTTTGTTTGGTTGGTACAAAAAATTGCTTTGTATTCCCTAAACAAATAGTAGCTGGGAATCAAGATTTGTGCTGGGCCACAGAGGGAGGAGTTGGTTTTGTGCAGAAATCTTTTTAATGATTTGTGTGTGTGTGTGTGTGTGTGTGTGTTTGTGTGTGTATGCACGTGTGAGTGCAAAATGACAGTTTCTAAGACAAGGAAGACATTTTTTCTTTCTGGGGTGGAGGGGCAGGTAGGTGGCGTTTCAGTTCTAGGTTTCAGACCACTTATGTGGCCTCTATTTCCTCATCTATAAAATGGCAATAATGATACCTGTCCTCTTAACCTCAGAGGCAGGTTGTAAAGGTTGAATGGAATAATGCCTGTGAAGGAGTTTTAAAAAGTAAGAGATTGTTGAGACTGGGCACGGTGGCTCATGCCTGTAATCCCAGCACTTTGGAAGGCTGAGGCAGTGGATCACCTGAGGTCAGGAGTTTGAGAGCAGCCTGACCCACATGGAGAAACCCTGTCTTTACTAAAAATACAAAAATTAGCTGGGCGTGGTGGCACGCACGTGTAATCCCAGCTACTCAGGAGGCTAAAGGAGGAGAATTGCTTGAATCCAAGAGGCGGAGGTTGCAGTGAGCCGAGATCGTGCCATTGCACTCCAGCCAGGGTGACAGAGCGAGACTCTGTCTCAAAAAGAAAGAAAGAAAGAAAGAAAAGTAAGGGGTTATTGAGACAGGCAGAGAGGATGGAGCCAGTAGATTGTAGAGGGGGCAGCTCTCAGGAGTGGAGTAGTGGGGGGTGGAGGAGAAGTAGATGTTGCCTTGACACTGGGATGCTGGCAAGAATTTCCATGCCCTCATTACATGAGGTGCTCCTGTCAGATTTAAACCAAGCCCTCCTTTACTGCTTGAGACGCTGCGATATTTTAGGAATGGCAGCCCAAAGACATTCTGTGTTTTTAAAAGGTCTCTTTCCTGAATTTGCCACTGGGTATTATTTTTATGCCACTGTTCTGTTATCCAACTTCAAAATATACATCATATTTATATTGCCTCTGCTAAGCATATATTTTTATTTTATTGCTTACCATGTGGGTGACATTCGGTTATTGAATGTCTGGAGAATTGGATCTGGTTGTTGTTTTTTATTCTTCCCTTCGTAAGTGCTTGCTCTGATGTATTAATCTTTACAAAAGCAATGAGACAGGGACACATGAGCATTCACACTCACACACACACTAATCACATTGCCATTTTGTCTCACTTTGCGGGTGTGTGGCTACATTTATAAGAGCCGACAGATCTGAAATAGGTGGTCTGAACTGATTCAGGTGGGGAGCAATGAAGCCAGCCACCTCCCGGGGACTCAGTTAGGGAGGGAGGGAGAGAGAGCCTTTTGTCTTCTGTTTGTGAAGGACACACCAGGCGAGAACCAAGGAGGGAACCATTGTAAGTCTGAGCTGGAAGGGACCCTGGGGATATATTTATATGTCTATAAAAATATAGGCATATGTTTTATAGATATTTTATATCGTCTATATCCACATATCTATCTAGCATCTCACATAATTCCTGATCCTGGGATCAATAAATGGTTATTGAATGAAGGAACAAAAGAATAGTTATATAAACCCTTTACTGAAGTCGTATTCTGTGCAAGACACTTCACATGCACTCTCTAAGCCTCTCAGCATCTCCACAAAGTAATCCATTTTGAAAATAAGGGAAACTGAGTTCCTCAAAATGTTGTACATAAAATTGTCATATGACCCAGCAATTCTACTCTTTTGGGGGGTATGGACCTAAAGAAATTGAAAACAGTTACTCAAACAAATTTTGTACATTCATGTTGTCACAGCATCATTTGCAATAACCAAAGCATGAAAACACCTCAAATATCCAGCAATAAATGAATGAATCAGCAAATTGTGCCATGTTCATACAAAGGAATATTATTATGCCATAAAAAGGAATGAAGTGCTCATATGTGCTACAACATGGATAAAATTCAAAAATATGATGTTAAGTCAAAGAAGCCAGACACCGTTCACCTATTCATTTATACGAAATATCCAGAATAGGGAAATTGATAGAGACAGTGAAGAGATTGGTGGTTGTCAGGTGCTGGAGAGGACAGAGGGGGAGATGAGGAGTACCTGCTTAATACTGTGAGGTTTTGTTTTGTGGTAACTAAAATGTTGGTAACTTGGATAAAGGTGGTATTGCCTAACATTGTGAATGTACCAAATATCACTGAATTGTGCACTTTAAACTGGTTAATTTGGTCAGGAACGGTGGTTCATGCCTATAATCCCAGCACTTTGGGAGGCTGAGGTGGTGGATCACCTGAGGTCAGGAGTTCGAGACCAGCCTGGCCAACATGGTGAAACCCTGTCTCTATTAAAAATACAAAAATTAGCCGGGTGTGGTGGTGGGCGCCTGTAATCCCAGCTACTTGGTAGGTGAGGCACGAGAATTGCTTGAACCCAGGAGGTGGAGGTTGCAGTAAGCCGAGATGGCACCACTACATTCCAGCCTGGGTGACAGACTGAGACTCTGTGTCAAAAAAAAAAAAAAAAAAAAAAAAAAAGAAAAGTTAATTTTAAGTTATGTGAATTTCGCCTCAATTAAAAGAAAATAAGGAAACTGAGCTTAAAGGTAGTGGTAGATTGATTACACTGACAACACTTATTACTTGCCTCCCTGTGATCCAGCCATTTGCCCTGTAACTTTATAGGCCTCTTCCATTCTGACTCCAGGTTCAGTCGAATGACTCTTTGGCCAATTGGATGGCAGAAAACTTAATGCAGGCACAGGCTTGAAAAAGCCCAGGTGTGTTTCCACTCACTCTCTTGGAAATAAACACCATTATGAGAACAAGCCCAGGCTATCCTGGGGATGAGAGTCCATGTGGAACAGACCCAAGTTATCCCAGCCAAGGCCATCCTAGACCAGCCAGCCCCCAGCTGATCTGCCAGCTGACTGTAGATGCATGAGTGACCTCAGCAAAGATCAGCCAAGTCTGGCTCACATCAGCAGAACCACCCAGGCTACTCATACACTCATGAGAAATAATAACCGATTATTGTTTTAAGCCATTAAGTTTTGAAGTAGCTTGTTTCGCAGTAATCACTAACTGACCTAGAGTGGTTGAATTACTTGTCTGAGGTCTCACATCTAGTAAGAAAAGGTAGAACAGGTTCCAAAGTCTGGTTCTAAAGGATTGTTCTATGCAGTTGTCACCTTCATTTTACAAGTGAGGAAAATGAGATTCAGAAAAATTGAGGGTGGGTGTAGAAAGATGAAACAAGAACATCGTGTGTGTGTGTGTGTGTGTGTGTGTCCTCCTTCTCTGTCCTAGGTAATGAAGGAATGTCACCTGTAAACCCTCCCAGCCTTCCCCAAACCCCAACTCAATACTATAGAAAGGTATTAAAATGCTGGCACTGACTTCCAATTTGAGTTTCCGGTGGCATCTCTGCAGCTTTCCATCAGTTCTGGTCAAGGCTGCTGTCCTGCACTGCACTGCCATGGGTACTGCCTTGCTAATGGACAGGTAAGAAAGATAACTCATCAATGTACTATTCTTTTCTCCTAAAGCTTTGTCTGGGTATTAGCATGGCTCTTTAGCAGATTTTAATTCTGTGAAGCAGTGAGTTGCTAGGATAATGGTTGCCTTAAACAGCTGTGGAAAGAGTCCCAGGGAGAACATGCAACTCATATAGGCCACATGGTTTAGTGCACCAGGATCCAAGATTCTCAAATGTGGTGCTATTCCCTGACATTCCTCTCCTACAAAGAGGATCCTGAAATCACCAGCCTACCCCCAGCCCCTATAAAAAAATGGTTCCTTCTTGTTGGCAGAAAGGCCAAGTTATTCTACATCTTAAAGTGCTGGAGGAGGTAGGAAGAGCAGAGGAGAATTTCACAAACTGGGAGCCAAGGAGGAGCTTTTTCAGGGGGTTGAGGAGAGTTACACCCAAGCAGCTGCAGGGAAAGAAGGAAGTAGAATGAATGGGATTTTAGTAAGTGCTGTTGGAGTCCATTGGATCTGAGTCTCCTTTAGTAGTGCTAAGATAGAGAGTAAGGAATGGCATTGCATTGTGCTTCTAGGTCATAATAACTCTCGATGAGCCACATGAGTCCAGATTTTATCAGGGTTACATCAGGCATGGGGCTGAGCCCATTGTGAACTGGAGAAGATAAATAGGAATTCTATTTTCAATCCAACGTTTTGTCTTCAATGTTCTGCCTATCAACTGACCATCTGGGTTTGGGAAGAGACTTAAGGATATGGGCTTTCCCCATTCACTGCCTGCTTATAGGCAGTGGGGTCTTGACCATTTATAGGACTCTGTCCTCTCCTTGTTGGCATTCCTGAAGCTGAGCTCCCAGGTTACAGGGCTCTCAGCAGCTGAGAAAATGAAGAAAGTCTGGTTTTACCTTGATGGGGAGTGCTGAGCCCAAGCTCTCCCTTCCTGGGATGGCTGCTGTGTCACTTTCAGGATGGGACACCTTGGGTCTTAGTCTGTGAGTCTTACTGCATGAGTGAAGGTGCATACAGGACCCAGGCTGAGCAGAGAAGCCAGAAGTGAGATGAGAGGGGCTAAATCTCTTTCCTTCCTCATGTCACAGATCACTCACCTCATACCCAACACCACACACAAATGACCCCATACCTCACACCCTTTCACACACTGTGATCACACACATCATATCCCAGGCCACATTCATACCACGTATCACATATATGCCACACATGCTATAGAAACATACCACACACCACATAACAAATATACATCACATCATCTGCAAATCATACATACAGCAAACCACACTCAATGCACTGCACAAAAATTACCCCCAGACATGTGCCACCCATGAGACACACCCATCACACCATTCACACATACATCACACCCATGCACACACTTTGTATGCCTGCCACCCCATGTCCCATACCCATACCCACACCCACACATCTCTCCTCTGCATGCCTCATAGCACACACGTCTGCTGTGCCCCATGTCACACCCCCCCCCCCGCCAGGTTCCTTCTCACTCTAACCAGGGCAGAAACCTAAAAATGTCTTACTGATCATCCTCATGGCACAAAGCCCCATAGGCAAGGGGGAAACAGTGTGGATGGAGTGGCTACATGCAAGCAGTTGCATTCTTTAGGCATCAAATAGACATCTGGGTACAATGGAGCATTTTTCAAGCCGGTGGAATTTTTTGGAAATTTTAGTTTATTTAAGTCAGATGATCCTTTTCTCCTCCCTAAAAAGTAAGACCATAGGTGTTACCTTGAAGGGCTCACCATATGGTTGGCATGACTGACAAGTAAGCAGGTTATAACAAAGCCCTTCCAGAGCCCTGGGGGCCCAGGGCTCACCTGCCCTGAGCATGTACCTGGGGATACCTTGTGGAGACACAAGGGACACAGAGCGCCCAGTGTCTGCTCTGGAACTTGCAGGCTAACTCAGTGGCTGGCATGGAAAGAATGAGAATGAAGGCAGATCAACCTGCCAAGGAAGTGCAAGTCATGGAGGTTGCAGACAAGGGAGGCCCAAGATAGCAATGGAGAGGTGGTCTCCACGACAGCTAAGGACTAGGCGTCAGTGCCACAGGCACCTGGGTGTGAGTCCTGCTCCTGCTGCTCAGTAGTGCCAGGGCCTTGGGCTTATATGATTTAATACTTAACCTCCCTGGAACTCAGTTTCTTTTTCTGAAATGAGGGACAATGATAGTACCTATAGTAAAGGGTTGTTCTGAGGACAAAATCCAAATGAGAACATTCATATGCCTGGTACATATTAAGCACTCCATGAATACTGCTGCTCTTATTATTATGACTATTAGTATCATTGTTTTCTTTGGAGTCTGGTTCCCCAGATGATGGGAGGAGATGAGATCCAGAGCTTAGCAGAGGGGTCAGCCTTGGAGAAGAAGAGAAGGAACAGGTGGAAGGAGAGAGCCAGTGGGAGAGATAGAAGTTGTGAGATTAGAGGAAGAAGGCATAACAAGAAAGATGGGATCTGAGTTGGTTGGTATGGACTGGTGGTTATTAGCTTGAGTTGCCTGCTGGAATCACCTAGGGAGCTTTTAAAAATGCCCATGCTTGGGACTCACCCTGAGAATCCATTTAACTGGTTTGGGGAGAGCCCAGGGGTTGCTACTCAGGAGAGCAACCCTCATGATCGCAATGTGCAGCCAGGGTGGGAAGCCCCAGGAACAGACAAATGCCGGCTCTCAGGTTGTCATCTCCATCAAACCCCTGGTGGGCCTTCTCCATGCTTTTGGGGGGTCTAACTTTTGGCAGTGCCCTGTCCACATATCTCTCCCCTGGATCTAAAGGGCCCCATGGAGCAGATGCCAGCTACAGGCTCTTCCCTTCCTTGGGAGTTCTGTGTCCTTAAGTGAAGAGGAGACTTTGTGGATGGACTGACTGAGGGGCCGTGGGTGGGAGACAGATGAGCTGCATAGACTCGGCCTACAGGGCCTAGGGGTGACATTGGATGGGGCCACATGACAGGTGGAGCCTTGGGGTCCCTCTGGCAGCACATGGCCAGGAAAGGAACAGCACCCATGGAAGGGGAAAGGATCACAGAAGATGGGCCCCATAGGGACCAGACTCTGATCATCATGCTGCCCTTTGCCCTGGAAGCTCATCTGAGCTCTGCAGCCCTGGCCCCAGCTGCCTCCCTAGCCTCCCCTTCTGAGCTTGACAACACCACCATCCTCTAATCCTCCAAGCACAACATGCTGTTTCCCAGCTCTGTGTCTAGGCCCAGTGCTGCTTTTGCCCTCTGCCTTAGGTCACACCACTCAGACCAGCTAACTCCTCCCTGTCCTCTCAGACTCAGCTCTTGCAGGAAGCCTCCTGCCCTGACCCTCCTTTCTGGCTAAAAGCCCTGTATTTCCATAACACCTTTGCTTACCAGCATCTCGGCCTTTTAAACACCATGTTGCAGTCACCTGTTTGCAGTCACCTGCATCATCAGACTATAAGCCCTTTGGAAGAAGTTTCTGAATTATAGTCACATCCAACTATCCCCAGACCTGGCGCATGGGAGATATTCAGCAGTCTCTAGGAAGAGGTGTGTAAGAGCTGGAAGATGGGTTCCTGTTTCCCCAGAGTGCGTTCCCTCTATCCACCTTATGTGTGCACAATCTCCTGGAGTTAGAGCTCCACGGGCGGCTCTGCTGGACCTCAGGGACAGCTGAGGGCACCACGTGTCCGAGGCTGCAGGGAGCTGTGAGGCCTCTGCTGGCCAGTCCCAGAGGAGGTGTCTTCCTGCCTTCTGCTCACAGTGGAGGAACACTCCCAGCTCTGTTTAGGCCTTTCCAACCCTGTGCCTCTTGGGATGTCTTGGAAAGCAATGTGGCATCTCAATGAGTTTATTCTTCCAGTATGTGCTGAATATGGAAATCCGAGCCAGTATGTGGTGGGTCAATAAGCCTGCTCTTCCATCTCAGTGTCCCCTGAGTCTCCTGGCACGGACTGCCCTCCTCCTGCCCTTCCCTCCTCCCTCCTTCCTTCCCTGCAGCACCTCTCAGCCCTGGAGCAGCAATGGCCAGGGTGTAGACGTGTGAGAACCTGAAACAGGGGCTTGCTGGAAGGAGGCCAAGAGGACGGACTGTCAGAGGCCTGGGTCTCCCTGCTGAAGGCCAAGGTGAATTCAGCTGCTTACCCTGGCAAGGGGTGCTATTCTTTTCCTCACAGTCCTGATGGCCAAGGACAGTGGTTGATCCCATTCTCTCTTGCCACCTCATCTGGGAGTCAAGAGGTGGGTCAGGTCTTGGCTCTGCCAAGTGTCATTGTGTGCCCTTGGGCAAGTCCCTCCTCTGTTGAACGACGAGGTGGGTCCAATGGTCTGAGATATTGTGACTTTCCCAGGACCTGCGGATAAATGTAGCCCTGCTGCCTGCAGGTGGCTCAAGCATCGTGGCTGCCTTGCTCAGGGTCTGAGCTTTACCTCACAGTGAATCACACAGAAGTGGGGGGAGCTGAGTGGCACACTCCGTTGCCACATTGGGACAGTCTGGATGTGGGGACAGTGAACCCCTAAGGCTACCCTCCCTCATCCTACCCTCCATTTCCTGGGGCTTGCCCCCTTGCCACTTGGTGTGGGAGGTTCTGCTTAGTAACAGACTAAGCTGCCCCCTTTCTTTGCCTCTGACCCTGAAGGCAGAGCAGCCCCCTTCTGAAGCCTCTGGCGAGTGGCCTCAGAGCAGATGCTCCTCTGTGTCCCCGCCTCCTCCAAGGCCAAGAGGGCACATCGCTGCCCCAAACCCCAGGCTCAGGAGACCCTGCTTCCCTACCATGTTGACCCCGCCAGCTCCCCCCAGCATCTGTGGCACTCCTCAGGGCACTCTTGCTTTGGGACAAAGAGCTGGCACTTCCTTTGGTCCGGCCAAGCCGAAGGTGGCAGAGACAGGTGGCAGTCCTCCTCCTGCCTCAAACAAATGCAATCAAGCCATCAAGCTGCCTTTTTCTTTTCTAATCAATTCCCATGACAAATGGGTCTGTGAAGGAGGGCAGCCTGCCCCAGGCATTCTGTACTTCAATCAGGACAACAGAAGGAGCTGGATTCATAAAACTATAATGCACCACTTGAGCATATTTCCCAGGAACCGGACCTTGCCATAAGGGGGCTGCCAGCACCCTCCCTCCCATGAGGGGAGGCAGCTTAACCCTTCACCCGAGCACAGATGGAGTGCTCCACAGCCTCCTCATGGGACCAGGGGTGGGTCTGTGTGCTTGGCTGATCAGAGGGCATTTGCAGGGAGAGGGACAAAACCGTTAAGAGTGAGCGGCAGCACGTGATCAGCATAGGGACATGTGGGCTTTGGAGTCGTGCAAACCTTCACCCTCACAGCTGCATGGCCTAACTTCTCTGGTCCCCAGTTTTTCTTGTCTGTAAAGTGACGTCTGTAACACCTTTCCTTCTGGGAGGTGAGGAATAGCAAGACGAAGAACGCAGACCTTGAGTCAATGCCAGCACAAAGAGGGCACTGAATGAATGAACCGAGTCCACTGGACTCAATACATCACACAAGGCCTTTCCACAGACACATGCCACGAAGGCGCTCAGAAGCCGCCACTCCATCCTAACCACAAGTACAAAACTGGACAAACTGAAAAGCAAGTCTTCTTAGATCCACCACAGAATTGAGGTCACCGGGCAAACCACTGCACCCCAAATTGTAAAGACAGGTGGATACAGAGAATCACAACTTACTGGAGCAGAAACTTCTGTGGCAACCAGTTCTGGGGTAAAAACATGCCCTGTAATTGACAAATTCCTGGAGGCTCTGCATGGGCAAACCTGAGAGAGAAGAGCCTCAGGGGGGACCCAGTCACCAGGTCCCCATGGCCCACCTGGTCATCACAGTGAATCGCACAGAAAAATCTAGTGGTGGGGAGGGGAAAATAAAACATTTTGAAATACTCAGAGCATTCTATTCTTACCAAGTCCTGCCCTCAGGAGCCTAACTTGCTGGAGGTTTTTTGTTCTTGTTGTTGTCGCTGAGATGGAGTTTCGCTCTTGTTTCCCAGGCTGGAGTGCAATGGCGTGATCTCAGCTCACTGCAACCTCTGCCTCCTCGGTTCAAGCGATTCTTCTGCCTCAGCCTCCCAAGTAGCTGGGATTACAGGCATGCACCACCACGCATGGCTAATTTTGTATTTTTAGTAGAGATGGGGTTTCTCCATGTTGGTCAGGCTGGTCTTGAACTCCCAACTTCTGGTGATCTGCCCGCCTTGGCCTCCCAAAGTGCTGGGATTACAGGCGTGAGCCACTGTGCCTGGCGTTTTTTTTTTGTTTTGTTTTTTTGACGGTCTCACTCTGTTGCCCATGCTGGAGTGCAGTGGTGTGATCGCAGCTTGCCCTTCCCCATTGGCACTGTACTTGATTTTTCTTGCCCTGGAGTGTCTTAAGGCTGAAATTCCTCTCTTTTCCCAAACCAGGTGGAAACCTTGGCGACTTAGGTAATCCAAAGCAGCTTATTCCTAGGTGGCCCAGGGAGACTGCCAGCAGAGAGGCTAGTGGTCTCTGGGCCCTGCTGCTGGGAAGGGGTCTGTGTGGCATGCCTCGTGCTCCTCTGGGTCACACTGGCCCCAAGTTTCTGATGTCCTGTTTTAAGCCTAACCCCAGTCCATTCTAAATGTCCCACTTAAGACCCAGGGACTGAGAGATGTGAAGCTGCCCAGTGAGAGCACAGATCTCATGGCTGAGCTGCCGGGAGCCAGGCCTGAGCCACAGCTCCCCTCCCTGCCAACAGCACCGCAACAGGCCAACCTTGAGGACCAGATGCAAGGACACCACCCCTCTACCCCTGACACTCACAGCCGAGCTCAAGGACAGTCTGTCTCTGTCATGTGGGGGATGCCCTTTGTTGAATGCTTCCAGAAACAATCTGTGCCCCTTGGCAGAAGGGAATGGCTAGAACTCCAGGTTTGCCACCTACTTATCCGGGTCCAAGTATAAGGACAAGTATGGGCTTAGGAGCACAGGCTCCGGTGTTGGGCAACCTGGGTTCAAGACCTGGTTCTAGCCGTGTGACCTTGAACAAGCTCTCTAGTCTTGGATTTTCTTCATGAAAAGTGAGGATACTAATTACAAACCAATTCATGAGGGCTGCCGAGAGGATTAAGTGAGGTGGTTTACACAGAGCCTTAGCTCCTGGCAGACAGAGAGGATCACAAACTGTTCCTATTATCATGGCTGCGGCCTACCCTTCTGGGATGCTGAAGTGTCAGAAAAGAACCTACAATGCTATGCTCACAGCAATGCAATGCTCACAGCTCTCCCTGCTCCACCAACTGTCTGCTGGGTGACCTTGCGTCAGTCACTTTGCCTGGCTGGGATCGGGTGAGGAATGGCCTCTGGCAGCAGCTGTCCCACCCCAGCAAGGAGTGACTCATTGGTGGGGCCTGGACCGGGAGGCAGGGGCTGGGTCGGGGAGCAGGCTGAGCGCTCAGGAGGCACTGCTCTGCCACAATTCAGGATATTACTGTTTGTGAGTTTGAAATTTCCTGACAGACAGAATGAGCCATCTGAAGCGAGAGTTTCATTTCCTTTGCCGTCCTGCTCAGCCATCTCCCGGGGATGGTGCATGAGTGACAAGCTATAATTAAAGCCTCAGCGTAAGTCCTAGTCAGAGAAGGACGGTCTTGTAGTCAAGTGCACTGCTGAGGACAGACCTTTCCATCTGCGAGTCTTTAGGGACCCTCTCCCCGGTTGCTCTGTCTGTCTGTTGGAGCAGGCCGCCTCTCTGTCCTTGTGACCTTTACTAGCCTGGTGGGGGTTCCCTGCACTCTCAGGCTTCAGCCTGTCTGCCCTTTCCCTGAGAAACCCTGTGGATCCATTCTGGGGCTCTGCAGAGATCTTTGCGCTGAGGTTCCAGGAAGCCAACTGCCTGTGGAAGAGGTGCTGGGGCAGAGGGCACCCGGGGAACTCAGGCCTTCTGCGGTGGGGATGGTGAGGCCGGGATCTGGTGACAGGATTGCTCTCTCTGGTTCCAGTCTGCCTGCAGCTCTGCGGCACGCCTGTGGCGAGGCAGGAGCCACTAGACCGAGGACTCCTGCCTCCACTGTGACCTCTCTGGCTATTCCTTGGCAAGGAAGCAATATTCCTGGTTTACACCGAGGGCAATGAGGCATAGTGAGGGGAGGTGCGAAGGTGTCCCTGACCACCCTGCCTTCTGCTAACCACAAGCACATGCCTTTCCTGCACACTGGTTTCTTTGCTGCACATACCAATGTGGCTCTGCTTTCCTGACATCTGTGGGCTCCTTGTGAAACTATAGGTTTCCAAAGGCAGAAACTGTCCTTTCCATGTCTTTAGAGTCCCTTCCTGAACAGGCATGTTGGTGGGGCATGAGCCCTGGACATGGGCTTGAGTCTGTGCTGGGAGGTCTCCAGTGGCCTCGGTTTCCTCACCTCTGAAGTGGAAATAATATTCAAACCTGTTCTATTTCCTTCCCTGTGCTGCTGAAAGCTCTTTGTAACCGAGAAAGGCCCATAGCAATGGCTGAATCCTTACATTTCTTTGTGTGTTGCAAGGTGCCATTGGAGAACGGTTGGGTCTATGTTATTCTCTGGATCTGGATCTGAACTGAATCTAGTACCACATGCCAATACATGCTGAATAAACGCTTCTTGATATTGCTGATGATGGTCTTTCATTCATTCTGACTGGATATTAAGCTGCTTCCTGGAATACAATTCACCCAGGGCTAATTTCTTGGGGTCCTTTTGGTCTGGTCTCCAGCTGAGCCCTGACATCACAGACTCCTTCATTGTTGGTCTTCTGGAGATATTTTAAGATGACTGTGTCAGCTGGGGTCAGCTTCCACTCGGCTATCACTCGTGCTGTCAGGAGTAGAGGTTTCAGCTGTCCGGCGGGAGCCCATCAGTCACTCCCGACAGCCCTTTATCAGACAAAGGAGCCCTCACCATGGCGTTTCAGAGAGGGAGAGACTGTATTATTGTTCACGCTCAACAAATAATTTTCAACAGGAGTTTTAAGCCTGTAAATAAAATCCCTTGCATCTTTTAAGCATTTAGATCCCTAAGATGGCAGACATCCTTCTTCTCAGGTTTGAGGTTTCCCACCTTTTTTCTGGCATAACTCTCTCCTTTCCCAAAGATATTTTCATTCATTCATTCATTCATTCATTCATTCATTCATTCAACAAACACTTGTTGGGCCACTTTGATATGCCTGGCCTCTGCCAGGTGCTGGGGACGCAGCACCCTGGGAAACCCATGCTCTTATAGAAGTGAAAGGCTTATGGACAAATAATTCCAATGTCACATGAGAAGCACTTGAGCTAAAGTGGGTACAAAGTGTGGGGGAAGCCCAGAAGGAGTGACCAACTCTCTCCCAGGGAAAGCTGGGGGCAAAGGCTTCACAAGGAGGAGACTCCGCTGGGCTCTAAGGCCTTCAGCAGGTGGACAAGGTGGAATGAAGGCATTCCAGGATGAGACACCAGCAAGTGCAAAGTCACAGAAGTGGGAAAGAACATTCAGGAATTTTGAGTGGTTTAGTGGGTGGGGAGTGGGAGAATTTGAGGCTGGCAGGGTAGGCGTGGGCTAGATCACAAAGCACTGAGAACTTGGGAGAGAATAAGCTCCACAAAGATAAGCATCTTGACTGCCTTGCTCACCACTGTCTGCCCTACACCTAGGACAGTGTCTGGACATGGTAGACATTCAATAAATATTCATTCAGTAAGTGAAGGAATCATGAGTGCCTGGCAAAGAAGCTGGTGCTGAATCAATCCCTCCATCACCCACCTTGATCTCATTGTTCTCCAGCATAAACATTCTTCAAATTCCCATCAGCCATTCAATAAAATTCATATTCTCTGCTGCTATTCAAAGCTTTATTTAATCTATAGCATCTACCACCACCTTCTCCAACTGTATGTTCTAAGTCAGGAATTGGCAAATTACAGACAGTGCCCAAATCTGGCCCACCACTTGCTTCTGTAAATACAGTAGTCCCTCCTTATCCACAGTTTCAATACCTGCAGTTCTAGTTACCTCTGGTACAGTACAATAAGGTATTTTTGAGAGAGAGAGGCCACATTTACATAAGTTTTATGACAGTAGAGTGTGATAATTATTCTACTTTGTTATTAGTTGTTAACTGCTTACTGTGCCTAATTTATAAATTAAACTTTATCATAGGTATCTATGTATAGGAAAAAACATAGCATGCATAGGGTTTGGTACCATCCATGGCTTCGGCATCCACTGGGGGTCTTGGAACTTATCCCCTGTGGATAAAGGGGAACAACTGTAATTTTTATTGGAATACAGCCACGCCCACTTTTAAAAACGTATTATCTATTGCTGCTTTTGTTCTATAAGGCAGAGCTGAGTAATTGCAACAGAGACCATATGGCCCACAAAGCTGAAAATATTTACTAACTGGTCCTTAATAGAAAAAGTTTCCCAATCTTTGTGCTAAGTCTTTGGACAGAGCACTTAAACATATTAGATGCTCAATATATACAGTATTAATAGTTGTTGAATGAATGAATAAACAAGTGTGTGAATGACTTAGTTAAATGAGTGAATGGAGCCCAAGTCTCACCTCCACACTTTCCCCTTGTTTTCTGGCTCACAGCTTTCCCTACATGCTGTCATCATCTCTCAGGCCTGGGCAAAGCACTGCCTGGTGACCTTTCAACAAGACAGAGCAGAGGACAGGGCTGGACACCCTCCATCCCCACCCCCAGCCCACACACAGGGCCAAGGGAGGTAGATCCTAGGGACCTTGGGCCCTGGGAACAGAGGTAGGTCTGAGCCTGCAGGGCTGAAGCAACCCATGGGCCCAGCTGTATATGGATGTGTGTGGGACTCCAAATGTGGCCTTGCCAGGGCTGGCAGAGGCGACTCACTCAGCCTTGGGTATTAGTCAGGATACATACAGGTAGAGTCTGACAGAAAACCCAAGCAGAAGGGGTTTGAACAGTCAGGAAAATGGATCATCTCCCAAGGAGAAGCCCTGGGTGGCCTTGGTTAGGTCAGTGCCTCTCCACCCCATATCCTCCACATCTGGCTTTTCATCTAATGCCAGATTCTTGAGGTGCCCAGATGGCTCCTGCAGTTCCAGATCCTACATGATGACAACACTTAGAGGCGGAAGAGGAGCAGGGCCAGATGCTTCTTGGGCTTATTTTTAAGAAAGTAGAAAACTTTACTGGAAACTCCACCAACATATTTATCTCCATGTCTCATTGGCAAGAGGTAAATGATGACCCATTTTGAAAACCATTACTGATGAGGAGAAAGGAATCATTGTGATTAACATAGATTAACCAAGATTTACTCCCAAAGCAGAGGAGGGATAGAGTGTTAGCTCTGGAGACAGGAAGACGTGAGTTCCAATTCTGACTCCATCACTTTGTAGCTTAATATGAATCACTTAATAGCTTGACATGAATCATTTAATCAGCTAATGATATAATCGAGTCTCAGTTTCTTATCTGTAAAATGGGCTCAGTGATAATGTCTGGCCCATAGACATGGTGTGCAATAATTTACAGCAAATAAGCCTGGCAACATAACAAGATGGCATCTCTACAAATAAGAAATAAAAAAGTTAGATGGAAGCCAGGTGCAGTGGCTCACACTTGCAGTCTCGGCACTTTGGAAGGTTGAGGTGGGAGTTCAAAACCAGCCTGGGCAAACTGGGCAGAGTGCTGGGAGTTCAGTCCCAGCACTTTGGAAGGCTTGAGCCCAGGAGTTCAAGACCAGCCTGGGCAACGCAGCGAGACTGACCTCATTTCTACAAAAAATGAAAAAATTAGCCAGGTGTGGTGGGGTGCACCTGTAGTCCTGGCTACTTAGGAGGCTAAGGTAGGTGGGTCTCTTGAGCCCAAGAGGTTGAGGCTGCAGTGAGCTATGATTGCACCACTGCACTCCAGCCTGGGAGACAGAGAGATACTCTGTCTCAGATAAATAAAAAAGCATCTAGTACAGTTTCTGATACACTTAGCAAATATTCTTTTCTTTTCTTTCTGCCTTCCCTTGATCTGCACACTAACCATGCCCCACTGGCTCCTACCTAGCTGTCTTTTCTGCTTTTAAGCCTCCTTTTTCATGTCCGATGTTTATTAAAATTTTTTTTAAACCTAAATGCAGGAATTTACATTTATCCCTTTTACATGTTTTCAGCCTATTATTTCAACCTGTCAAGATGTTTTTGAATCTTGATTCTGCCATCCTTTCTATTAACAATCCCTCTGGCTTTGTGTCAACGGCAAATCTGATAAGCACATCTTCCATTTGACTTCATCCAAGTTGCTGAGAAAAGGGTTGAGGTGGACAAGGTCAAGGGCTGAGCCTTGGGGTATTGTCGGAGATGCCCGCTGAGCTGACATAGCGGCCCCACCTGCTTGCCCGGCACCTGAACCTTAGGTAGGCAACACTTCACCTTCTAATTCAGGACCCGAGCGGCTTTGACACTCGAATGGCCACACTGTGCCCTTTGTCAAAGGCACCTACTCGTCCCTCCTCTCTTAGTTGTCCCTCCAGGACAGGAATCCAGTGGGGCACAGCTCAGCCTTGGTGAACTCATGCTGGCCTCTAGGGATTGCCCCTTTCCCTTCTGTAAGTCCTCATGCTTAGAAATTTACCAGAGATTGTTATCAAACTTACCAGCCTGTTGTTACTGGGATTTAATGTTTTGTTTTCTTTTAAAACTCAGAGTACGGGCTGTCAATAGTTCGGCATCTCTTCACTTGCTATCATCCCTCAAAGATGCCTGCCTGCCAGGCGTTCTGTACTTGTCCCGAGCTTCTTGCCCTGGGATCTTGTGTCTGGAGAACTGAACTCAGAAGACCAGAGTTTCTCGGACTTTACATATGTTGAGTCCAATTCCCTTCCCTTCCCTCCCCTTCTTTCTTCCTTCCTCCCCTTTCTTCCTTTCTCTCTCTCTCCCTCCTTTCCTTTCTCCTTCTTTCTCTCCTGAAATAAAACTTTTGAGATTTTTTCCCCAATATAATACAATAAAGATGTATTCTTTGTAGAAAATTTAGGAAATATCCACCTCTGAGACATTACCTGACTTATAATTTAGTGTACCCTCCACCTATTTTCTAGGTGTAGTCTGTGTTAGACTGCTTAAACATATGATAATATAATTTAAATATATCTTATAAAGATTTTCAAAATATCATATGCCACAGTTTTTCTCACATAAAGGTAATAAAATAAAAAGTAGTACATGCTCATAATAGAGTGTGAACTGTCTAAGCAAATTTACCTCCTGTTATTTAATAATTTATGCATGTTTGTATTTATTTGAGATGGAGTCTCGCTCTGTCACCTAGGCTGGAGTGCAGTGACGCCATCTTGGCTCGTTGCAACCTCCACCTCCCAGTTTCAAGCGATTCTCCTGCTTTAGCCTCCTGAGTAGCTGGGATTACAGGTGTGCACCACCATGCCTGGCTAATTTTTTATTTTTTTTTTTAGTAGAGCTGGGGGTTTGCCATGTTGGCCAGGCTGGTCTCAAACTCCTGACCTCAGGTGATCCGCCTACCTCGGCCTCCCAAAGTTGCTGGGATTCCAGGCGTGAGCCATCGCGCCGGCCTGTTTATTTATTTTTTACTTAACATGTCAGCATGTAGTTTCCAGGCTCTTACAAAGTCTGGAGGCATTTTGATTGCTTTGTAAGAGTCCATAGACTGGACGCTCTGTAGATTGCTTAAATTGTCTCTTGTTTGGGGCCTTCCTTTTATTTGTTTCCAATTTTTCATTAAACAACACTGCAATAATTTGTGCATGCCTTTTTTCCTACTGAAGATTCCTTCCTTTAGACAGAATTCCAGGAATGGATCTATTCTCTCTTAACTGTGTTTGATTGACCCTTTTGTGTTTGAAGACCGTCCTCTGTGATACAGACATTTGGAACTCAGTGAAGAGGTGAGGTGTTTCTGCTTCCTCCTTACCACCCAGTCCCATGTCACCATCCGCTCCAGTTGGCAGATTCTTCTTGCTCCCACGACAGCTCAGAAGCCCTTCAGGTTGTGGACAACATGGTTTTTGTGTGTTTTTTCAAGCTCTCCTGACTTGAGTCTGGGTTCACCCTCCTCTGACGATTTTTCTCTTCCACAAAGACTTGTTTAACTAGTTCTTGTGAAGGCAGACTCTATTCTTTTCCACTTCATTCCCAAAACTCCTTTGTCGAAGAAAATAAGGATCTCACCAAGGGTTTCCACAGAAAGCTTGGGAGATGAAAAATAATTGAAGGCCTCTCTAGCTCCTGCCTCCTTTCTTAATGACTTTATCACCATAGGGTAAGTTTAGGCCATTCTGCCATTCCTTTGACACTGACACCTCTGATACCTTAGCTAGGATCCAGCCGTTGCCATCTCCACCAAGAAAGGGCTAAAATTATTTGCTCCTTAGCTTCCGGGTAGAATCAGAGGACTGTGAAGGGTGGTGGGGAGAACCCTCCTGGCTGAGCTGACCTAGACCACCTTGATGATGGTGAAGATGTGAACTTAGCTCGTCTGTGTGGGCAGTTATGGAGCAAGAGTTTTGTCCATGGGCTGGGGCAACCTGTCCCCAATGAATGGGGCTCCCCGATGCTAAGCACCACCAGGATGATATCTGTGCTATCCACCAGGTTTTATGTTCTTCCTGCCAGACTCTTCTTCCTCCAACAGCACCTACCATTGGGTTTGTCCTAAATTTTAGCACCAGGCACCTCACAGGCCAGGTCTAGTTCTACCATACCACATAGTCTATGTTGTGCTTCTATGAGCTGTGCCAGGCATAAAGACTCCAAGATAAGGCACCTCTTAGACTATCACTTTTAAGGAGTAATGAGGAAATTGAATGGGAAGAAGGGGTTTGAGGGCCCTTGAGTAAATGATTTGGAAAACTAGGGAGCCATCCAGGTCCTGGAATATAGGTCAACATGTTGGTTGGCAAGGAGGGGACTCTCATCATGTGCCCCTGTCTAAGGCTGCTTGGCATGGTGGGAGGAGACTCCCAAGAGGGGGTTAGAACGCCTGGTTCCACTGTTGGCCCTGAGCTTAGTAGCTGTGTAATTTTAGGCAAGTCACTTATTCTCTCTGACCTTCAAAAAAAGAGAGAACTTGACCCGGATAGGTGGTTCTCAGTGTTTAGAGTTTCAAGACTCCGGTGATGAGTTACTCTATTTTTATTATCCATTGCTTGAGAAGAAATGTCTGTGACTTTGGGAATGCTGCAGGTGTAAGCTTTGCTGGAAGGCATCCCTCATGCTGGTGTCCTAGAGGTGTCTGAAGCAAGGTTCAGGGTCTGCAAGAACTCCAGGAAGCCGCTCTTCTCCTGCTTCCCCTTCTATTCTCCTCCAAAGACTATAAGTAAAAGGGGACAAGGGGCTGGGGGGATGGGAGATGGGGGATGAAGGGATAGGGGAGGATGGGGTAGGGAGATGAGAGGATAAAAGAATGGGGGATGAGGGGAAGGGGATAAGGAGCTGGAGGATGGGATTGGGGGATGAGGAGCATGGCTATGTAAGAGGTAGGATGGTGTTGCCTGTCCTCTTTATCTTCTTCTTTTTCTCCTGTCCTCACTTCATGGAATAGGCTATTTTTGGTATAATCCTTCAAAGCAATGCTATGCAAGGTGGCGAGAATGGTTGTTGTCTTGTAGCTGCTCCCCTTTAAGAAGAGAGGGTCTACCAGCACCCATACCTACCACTCCCACCCCAGATGGGAATCAGGACAATATCTCCCCAGCCTCAAACTCCAGAAGCAAATCTCAAAGACCAGATGGAGCTGGTTTCCTAGGGGCAGGAAGAAAGGAGAAAGGAAAAGGAGAAGTAGAAGAAACTCTCAGGCCCCCACCCGAGGCTGCCCATCACCCAGCCTGATGGCTCCTCTGTATGCCAAGGCTCAGAAGACACTGCAGAGTCCCTCCTGCAGACTCTCCGCATGCCGACAGATCAGGGACCAACAAGGCTGCTGCAGCCAGGAAGCACACAGACAGCCCAGACAGGCCTCCAGACAGGGCAGAGGGGCAGCAATTCCTTGGAAAATGGAGAAGCAGGGAAGGCAAACAAGTCTTGGTGGAGTTGTAGTGTAAGGAAAAGACAGGTAGAGGGGCAGATAAAAGGGAAGTAAGGGACACAGACAGGGGTCCTTAGTAGAACCTGGGTGGAAAACTCCCGACCGTGAGGACTGCCAACCCCTGGGCAGGGGTGGATGGGCAGCCATGCCTCCCGCCTGGATTCTAACTTGGGCTCCCAGAGTTGCCCTCTTCTCAATGTCAGGCACATCCTTCCATTCTCTGAGCCTCAGTTTCCTCACCTGTGCAATGGGGAGGGGCAGAGATGAGGAGGTAGAGTCACCAGTCTGCAAAGCTCCCTTCGGCTCCATCTCAGGTTCTCCCATGCCTGGTGGCCCCTCTCTGTGTGGCCCCTGGGGGAGGCCCCCAGCCCCAGCAGGCTTGCAGCAGTGGCCTAGGGACTAGCGCCCCATTTCCTAGATGTAACTACCCATTACATGGAGCCGATCTCTCCCAAGCTGGGGCTCTGGCAGCTTTATTATAAGTTTATTACATGCTAATTCAAGCAAATAAATTTGCCCCAGCTGTGAAGCAGAGGAGATTAATAACCTCAAAGATTACTTTGCTGCTTTGATGAGTTTCTTGAGCAGAGTATATTTAGGAAGAGCAACTAGATTAGTCAAAACCCTCTTTAATTATTAGTGACACTGTGCAAACGACTCTATACGACTGGAATACCAACTACTTAACTCCCTGACCTTCGTATTCAAATAAACACATTTTATTATAGCAACATGCCTTCTGAGTCCACACACCATGGCAACTGCTGGCCTGAGGACCTGGCAATGGGACAGCTGGCATGTGGACTCCATTAAGGGTGGGATGACGGCCTTAAAGGTGTACGTTCCGCTTTCCCCATCTTCATCCCTGGACTGGCTCAGGGCCAGAGGATGCTCTGGATGTCCTGGAGCTAGAAGAATCAATTCTCAAATGAGGGGAAACGACTTGCCTAAAGTCATGCAGTGAATTAGCTACATGGCCGCTATGGCTCTGCCACCTGGATCTTCCACTCCAAAATCAGTTTTGCAGCAAAAGGCTGGGTCTCGCTCCTGTGGAAACTATGAAGGCGACGAGGTTCAATTCCAGCTTCCTCTTAGCCCTCACCCCTACCCAGGTATAGGAAGTTTTGTGTGGCTCCACTTCAGTGCTCTTCCTCCATGAAGCCTTGAGCTGTTTGGAAATCCCACCTACTCAGGCTCAGAGAAGGAAGGGTAGAGGAGTCGTTTCACCAGGGCTGCTGGCATCTCCTACCAGGGAAGGTGAAGGAGTGTCCCTTATGTTAATCCACTGCTGCACCAGAAACACAGGAGAAGACTTACCCAGGTCCCATCTCTGAATTCTTTTTTTTTTTTTTAATTTTCTTTTAAAAAGTATCTTAAAATCAGTTTATTTATTTTGAGACTGGGTTATGAGACTGGCTAATTTTTGTATTTTTGATAGAGATGGGGTTTTGCTATGTTGTCCAGGCTGGTCTTGAATTCCTGGGCTCAAGCAATCCACCCACCTTGCCTTCCCAAAGTGCTGGAATTACAGGTGGGAGCCACCGCGCCTGGCCCCCTTCCCTGAATTCTAACAAGTCAATGAAGGAGGCACTACCGCTGTATTTTCTAGGTGAAGAAACTAGAGCTCAGAGGATTTAAGCAATGTGCCCTGAAAAGCTCCTCCCTCATATGTCTACCTGGAAAATACCCCTGGTCTTTCCTGGTTCAAGTGTGACTTTCTTTGTGATGTTTGTCTGTGTGCTCTTCCCTCCACACAATCCCGGCATGGAGTCTACTCAATGGTGCTGACTTGCTTGTGATTTACCTCCCTGATTCTATGCCCTTTAAAAGCAAGAATTGGGTGGGTCTTTTCTATCTTCATCTCTTTAGATGCTGACTGGAAGCCTGGTTTGTATAAGTGCTCAACCACCATTGACAAAAACTTGAAATCGTTCTAGACAATCTTGATCATCTGGGTGTGCAATGCAATGCCACCTGTCCCAAGTCTGACCCTGCTGATTGGCAATTTGGAAGAAAAAAAAACAGCCTTAGTTCCCTGATACTACTCAACAAAACTTTTACATGTAAAAGGAAAATACGATAAGAAAAGAACTGTAGAAAATAAAGCTGAATATGTATCTCAACTCAACCAGAAAATGCCTTTTTCATTGTAGAAACCAAGGCAGAATTCATAAGAGATAGATTTGGCTATCAGTGGGATATAAATGGAAGTTGTGTGTGCAGCTTCTAGGTCCTGCCCTTCCAGAGAATTGGCCTTCCCGTCCCCTTTTCTCCTTGCTGGCCGGCGTGGGGCTGGGAGGGCAGAATCCGGCGCAGCTGTCTTGATTACAGGATGAACGCCATGTGTTGAGAGTACTGGAGAAAGAAGATCCTTTCGGAGCCATCACATCAGCCCTAGAGAGCTTATACTTGAAATATTAAGTGGTAATTCTATATTATTGCTATTTTAGGGTCTTTGTTACAGGACAAAGCCTGTATTTGAATTATATCATATCTTCATACTGATATGAAGAACTGAGAATCGGTGGAGTGTTGATATTGCAGAACATTAAGATTCTGGTGCCTACAATACTCTGGGCATGTTTAGGAACTGTTCAAATTCTAATAGAGGGAATTTGAAGATCTCTTTTAAGATATCTTGTTTTGTAGATGTCACTGGAACCATGCAAATATCCTTACAGTTGTAAAATAAAATTATTTTTACAAAGTAATCCATAAATTTTTTTCTAAAAAGCCTAAATCATGAAAGCAAAATTAAAAAGAGTAATCTATGTGTTAATTGGTATTGTAGCATAATTACACAGAAAGAACTATTTCAAGCAATTTAAAGACAAATTAATTTGATTATCATCCCAAGTGTGATATAGCCTAATAAAAATAACTGCGAAAAATTCTAGAACTGTTTATCAATATACGCACATTGGTGATGACAGCGCTGGTATTGTTAATCTGAGACTACTGGATATATAGTGCCATAAAGGAAGCGAATAATTATGTTGCTTTCATTGGGAATTTTGATTTTCAGTGTGAAAGAAAGGATATACAGATGTAAGACTGTTGAAGCTAAGGATAAGCTCTGTAATCCTGAATCTGAATTGGTAGTATCAATATGAATTCAAGAGATATGTCATTATTTTCTAGTTCTGTCCATGGTCTGATTATTTTTTATTCCATCAAAAAGACTATGGAACAATAGCCAACCCAGTAACAATGAACACCAGCTTATGGCCTCTAAGTACTGTTACCCCCCAAATGGGGATTTGGGCTTTTTGGAGAAATGACAGTTTCCAGTTTGGGGGTACAACACATACAAGATGAACCTAGAACATCTTGTTATATCAGAAGCCATCAAAGATTACTAGGGAGTAGCAACTTGAAGAGGTTCCTACTAGCCAAAGATAAGACAATTTGATCATCAGTAAAAATAAATGCACTGGACTGAAACACATCAAATATATTTCAATCCATGAGTTCATAATATTTTTTAAGAGGCAAAAGAAAAATCACTCATTGATCACTCTTGGAAGATGTTAGGGAACCTATTCATAATTTTAAAAACTAGAAAATAAGGCGAAAGAATCAAGTACCTGCTTTTCCTACATGAACCACAAAATAAATGAATGGTTGATGAGAAGGAGGAGCTCTTCGTACGAAGAATGAGAAACAGAGTAACATCATTTTCCAACTCTTAATGAAATGATGGATAATCGGTTATCATGTGCTATCTGGTGGAAGAACACAGCACTACATATGAAGTTTTATTGCCAAGAAACTGAACCTGAATGTTATGAAACATCTAGATTTAACGATCAATTTCTTGTGAAGGAGAAGGAAAAACATATTTAAGGACACTGTGGAGATGCAGTCCACAAAATCCCAGCTGTGAAAAGCCTAAAAAAACTAAGAACCCCACCTTTTTGATGAGCAAGGTAGATGTCTATGTTGGGGTAGGCTGGGGAGGCAGTGGCATTGGTGGCATCAGTCCAGGCTAGGATATCAGAGACTGAGAGAAGAATGGTGTCCTTATGGGGGGCAGGTGGCAGCAACCCAGGGTGGGTGTCAGAGCCCAAGCAGTGTAAAGAGAGTATTTACGAGTGCTTACATGGTGTGGCACAGGGGGTTAGAGTCCAAGGAAGGTGAGGAGTGTGTCCACATGGGAGCAGCATCCTGGTGAGGGGATGCAGTGGAGCATAATGTGTTGGAGCCAGAGGGAGCTAAAGGGAGCATCTACATGGGAGGGGTGGTGACAACTGTGGCCTCATGTGGGATTTTAAAGTCAAATCAGGGTAAGGAGAGTGTCCATGTGAGGGTCCCCAAAGGTGATGGGAGATGGGTTACACATTTGGGTTCATTCTATAAGCAAATATATTGAGGATAATGGGAGTCAGGACTCTCACTGTCTGAGAAGGAGTTACAAATATGGAAAAAAGGAACATAGGAATGAACTCTGTGGTGTTGGATTGGAATTAAAGGTGTTAAGATGAATTTATGATTTTCAACACATGTTTATATATATATGGATGTAAATGTGGGTATGAATGTGTATAAATACGTATCTATGTAGTGTATGTGTGAGAGAGAGAGAATGTTGTGCACGTGTGTATTTTTTAGCTCTGTCCATTGAGAGGGCCTAAGAGAAGTGATATCCCAATACCAATGAGCACATCTAGTATCCATATCTTCATTTCTAAAAACCATTCTCCACTAAAAAGAAGCCAAAACTCCTTGGAGAAATGGATGACTTTGGACCTTGGGCAGGCAAAGAATAAGAGGAGCTTAGAATATCTTGTGCCAGAAAAAAAAATGCTCAAGAACTGATGAGGATGTGTTGAAGGGACACAGAAGCCACCTTGAGGGGCTCCCACTGACTAAATCAGGGCGTATTTAAATATAAAAATAAATAGTGACAATAACCAATTATAATTCTTTAAATAATAATTCCCAAATCCATACTAATATAAAAAAATAAATTTCCCTTAGAATAAAATAACAACTAATAAGTGTAGGAGAAAAGATGCGACTAGAAAATCACCAGTTAGCACCATGAGAGTAACAATTCAGCTAGGGAGTATTCACTGATGCTAAACTTAGTGAGTGAAAGTTTGATGAGGAGTGGATATTTGTATACATAGTCTCAAAGTATCTCCCCAAAATATATTTATTAATCACGAAGAAAAAAAAGAGTAAAATTGTCCTGATACAACCTAGCATATTAAGTGATCAAAGTGAAAAATCACTACTAACAGGACAAACAGAAATTGTGTATCACCTAATAAGATGCAATGATAAGAGCACAGCCTCTCTTCTGTAATATTCCTGCTAAAAGGCACAGACTGACTCTAATCATGAGGAAACATCAGAAAATCCAAGCTGAGGGACCATTTTCATACTGCTATGAAGAAATACCCGAGACTGGGTAATTTATAAAGGAGGGAGGTTTAATTGACTCACAGTTCAGCATGGCTGGGAGGCCTCAGGAAACTTACAATCATGGTGGTAGGGGAAGCAAACACGTCCTTCTTCACACGGTGGCAGGAAGGAGAAGTGCCAAGCAAAAGTGGAAAAGCCCCCATAAAACCATCAGATCTTGTGAGAACTCACTCACATCAGAAGAACAGCATGAGGGTAACCACCCCCATGATTCAACTACCTCCCATCTAGTCCCACCCCGACACATGGGGATTATGGGAAGTACAATTCAAGATGAGATTTGGGTGGGGACACAGCCGAACCATATCAGGGACTTTGAAAAATAATGTGCCTATAATCTTCCAAAGTGCTAAGGTCATGAAAGTCAGTGAGGGTGATGAACTATTCCAGATTGAGGGTCACTAATGAGACATGACAATAAGACGTAATGCATGATCCTAGCTTGCATCTTTTGCTCTAAAGAACATCATTGAGACAACTGGTGAAACTTGAATGGGTCCATGGATTATCCAGAAGGAATGAATCAATGTTAATTTCCTAGTTTCATGGTTGTATTATGATTATGTAGGAGAGTACACACAAGTATTATTTGTATGTTTGTGTGTACCTGGAGTTGCCAGTGGTGATGGGACATCATGCCAGCCATTTACTCTCACATGGTTAAAGGAAAAAAGTTCTTTGTTACTATTCTTACAAAATTTGTTTGTAAATTTGACATTATTTTAAAATAAAAAATATCTTAGCATTAAAAAAAGCAAGCTGTTCATAATGACCAAAAAGTAGAAACAGCCCAAAAGTCCATCAACAGGTGAGTGGATAAATAAAATGTGGAATATTATTTGGCAATAAAAAAGAATGAAGCAATGATCCACGCTACAAGATGAATGACCCTTGAAAACATTATATACGAGTAAAAGAAGCCAGTCACAAAGAAGCACATATTGTATGATTTCATTTATATGAAACGTCCAGAACAGATATATCTATGGAGACCAGAAAATAGATGAGTGATTACCAGGGAATGGGGGAAGGGGGTAAATGGAGAATGAATGCTGATGGGTATGAGTTTCTTTTTGAGGAGATGAAAATGTTCTAAACTTGATTGTGGTTATAATTACACAAGTCTGTGAATGTACAAACAACATTGAATTGTATACTTGAAATTAAATGGGTGAATTGTATGGTTATAGAAATTCAATCTCAATAAATCCACTACCCAAAAAAAACTAGATACACATGATTTAGTATGTATATACATTCCAGTGGAATCCTAATCTGTGAGCTGTGAGAGCTGGTGGGAAAATGAACCTTCTACCAAATTTAGTTAAATTCAGCATGTATTTGTTGAGCACTTTTTTTTTCCCACCATGCTCTGTGCTAGGAGCTTGAGATTCAGAACTAGGAAGCACATGGCATCTTTGCCCTCCAGGAGCTCAGGCAGGTAAGCAGTTCCACTGCTGTGGGATTGTTGCTGTCACAGAAGGAAGTACAGGGGCTGTGGGGGCCCAGGAGGAGACACTCCATCTGACTGCAGCATCCTGGTAAGCTTCCCTAGGGGATATGACTTAGAGCTGAGCCAAGAGAGTGAGGAGGCGTCTGCTGGGTGGAAGAGGCTATTGCAGGGAAAGGATATTGCAGGCAGAGGAAGCAGCATGAACCACAGGATAGACACCAGGCACTGCACGATGTATTTGGGAAATGGCAAGTAGTTAGGTTGGAGGGGTGGGGCAGGTGGGAGGGTGCCCCAGGATGGAGGCCCTTGTGTGCCAAGGTAAAGGGAGGCCCTGATGGGCAGAATCCACCTTGTGGTCAGGAAAACAGCAAAAGAAGGTCATTTTCAGGTCCTGAATGCTAATAGAAGCAGGGAATTATGAGACAATTGACGGTGCCCATTGGAGCAGAGCAGGAGGCCACAGTCCTGAGACTGTCTGTCCCTCTGTGGGTTAACTGGCCCTGCCCCTGCTGCCCTGCTGAGCTATCCACGCCAAAGCCTCTTCTGTCACTGTGGATCACCCCCCCAGAATTCGGTCTTGCTAGCTCGGTTCCCTGGAGTCTGGCTGTCACTTGATTCCCCAGGAAGCCAGCTGCTGTGCTGTGGAGGAGGCGGGGAGCAGGGTTTCAGGGACGGATCTTCTTTGTGCAGAGCTCACATCCTGCTCCTGGCTCCAGATGGAAGTGTCAGCTCCCTCCCTAGCCAGAAGACAGGCTCTGAAGCTGTCAGGTCAAGCTGGCTCACCTCAGAGGCGCCTGGGAGGAGGGGAGGGGAAGAAGGGAGGCAAATATAGAGCCCCTTTGATTCTCTGCAGGAGCACAGCTCGAAGTGTCCCGGGTCAGGAGCGGGGTGGAGGGGAGGCTGCAGTGGGGCAGGAGGAGTTTGTATCTCAGGACTGTTCAGCAGAAGATTCTGAAGAATATTTACCTTCTCATGCCTCTTCTTCCTCACAGCAAAGCCCGAGGGACTCTTAGAAAACCTACCCGGTCTCCGGTATGGTTCGCATTATAATTCTCATTTCACAGAAGCAGCAGCTGAGCTGGTACAGATAGGTAAAGGTCAATAACCTGGCTTTAGACCCCAAGGGTGGCTGATTCCAAAGCCTGCATAGTGCAGGATACGGGACAGAAGAGATTTGAAGATCCTCCCAACTGAGGAGAACCAAGAGAAAGGTCACAGGAATTCTGAAAGCCATCAGCAGGCTCTGAAGGTACCCACAAATGCTTCATGGTGGGTAAGCCAGGGCTCGACCACCAAGAGTGGGCTAAAGAATGGCTAGATGGTGCATTCATCCATCCATTGCATACATTTTTATTTAGGGCCTGCCATGCACCAGGAACTGTTCTCAGCTAGCCCACAGCCTTGCAGGGTTCCAGGTGCCAGAGATACAAACTTGAATAAGTTACTGTGTGTACTTGTCTGGAGGCTGGGAGGGAGATGGGTGGGTAACCCCAAACCACAGTCCTGTGTTAGAAACTGCAGAAGTAGATGCAAGCACTATATTCAATGAGGGGCAAGTGAGGGTAGAGGCTCCCCAGGGCAGGCAGGCAGGGAGCTCAGGTAGGTACTCACTGCATTCTGGAACGTATCCCCATTCTGGGCTTGGTCACACACTTGATTTTGTCAGCACCCTGAGAGTAGATCCTTCTCTGCTCACTTATTGAGCACAGAAAATGGAGGGGCAACTCCAGAGGGCCGGCTCATTGACATCATCCAGATCTACCTGGCAGGCCAGATTATAACCAGAAGGATGCTTGGCACGTTTTCAATCAGAACAAGGGCAGCTGGATGGAGTAAATGTTTAACTGCATCAACGAAGGTCGGCGGGTGCATCTGCCTCCCAATAGGGAAGGTCTGAGCACAGAACAAGAATACTAGAAATCCATCAGCTGAGCCCTGCTTCCGTCTCCACCTTGCACATGCCCAGCCGACTGGTCGTGACACCTGAAGTTCATTGTTTAAGACTCCTCTCCCCAGGAGATGAACGCTGGCCTGGAGCCTCTCCTTTGGTCTTGCTTTCACGGCTAAATGACACTCCTCTCTGCCTACCTCCCATTTTATAGTTTGATTCCTCAAGAGAGATCTTGATCCCTTCATTTGCAAGCACTTTTAGGAAAGCCTCACAGTAACTAACCCTCCTATCAACACACCCAATAACCAATTCATCAAACGACCCACTCCACCAAAGTTACCAAATTAGAACTCGCAGGCGCACACCGCCCCCCGCCCCCACACACGCCTTGTTTCTTTTAGCTGTGGTCTTTACTGCAACTCTTTGTGAGAGAAAATTGTCCCACACCTTGTCTGTGACAGAATGGAGAACTGTTTTGTGTGACATGATCTACAGCCCTTGGGGGAGGTTAGATTTTTCCAGCACTGTTCCCTCGGTGCCTTTTCACCACACATTCCTTCATCACACCTGATCTAACAGTGTGGCTTAGACACCCTTCTCCTGCTTCTGATGTCTCTACCACAGAAGAAATCTCAGAACTGGCTTTCATGGAAGTAGCTCTTTTAATTGGCAAGTTTGAGATAAAACTCTGACAAGCTGTTGCAACCAACTCATCTGAATAGTCGCTTTGTCATCTCACGGGGTGGAAGAGCAGGCTCAGCAGGGCTGTGGGGAGCTGGGGCTCCAGTGTTCTGGAACCTTCAGACTCCTCTCACCCGTCATTCTCCCCAGTTTCTGCCTCCAGCCTCCCCACCCACCCCCCAATTTCCACCACATGTGCCTTTAGTCCCACTACCACGCTGAGCTGTGTGCTGATCTGAAACTGTCTTTCCTTAGCAGAGAGTCCCTTTTTCTTCCCAGAAACCTCCATCTATTGTGAGGAAGCCAAAGTAAATAAATGAAAAGTATATGACTACAATTCCATAGAAATCTTCCAAGGTTATTAAAATTCTTTCATTCAACACAGATAGCTGAAAACTTTTTAAATGATTATAAAAAGCAAGATTCTAGTGAACTTGTTTCTTTTGGCAGATTGGACATTTGGATGACTAGTCATTTGGCATAGTGGCCTGCTGCCACATGAAGTTGACAGACCTTGGATGGACATAGTGGGCAGGTGGGTGGGGAAGGCAGCCCAGAGAAGGGGCTGCTTGAGCTGAAGGAAGAGGAGCACCTCTATCTTGAGGCCACCTGGACTCAAGATTTTCAACCCAGGGTGCGACTCTCTGTTGTGTCCCCAAATGTAAGGTGGTTTGTTGTGAAGAAGAGTTCAGGTACCCAACTGTATCATACCCACTTTACACATACACTATTATGGACATCATGTGTGCCATACCTATACACTATAACGTGTATCACATATACGACACCTATACATATCCACTGTCATGCATTATTATTATTTTATTTTTTGAGATGGAGTTTTGCTCTTGTTGCCCAGGCTGGAGTGCAATGGCGCGATCTTGGCTTACTGCAACCTCTGCCTCCGGGGTTCAAGCGATTCTTCTGCCTCAGCCACCCTGGTAGCTGGGATTACAGGTATGCGCCACCATGCCCAGCTAATTTTGTATTTTTAGTAGAGATGGGGCTTCTCCATGTTCGTTAGGCTGGTCTCAAACTCCCGACCTCAGGTGATCCGCCCGCCTCAGCCTCCCAAAGTGCTGGGATTACAGGCATGAGCCATCGCGCCCGGCCTATCATGTGTATTATATGCACTATACCTATACGCTGTCATATGTATCATACACATATACCTCCTATGTGTCATATGCACTATACCTGTACATTATTATATGTATCATATGTATCATATCAGGAGCAGCACTGTCATTTACTTGCTTTCCAGTGTGCCTTCCTGGGAGACCCAGCTGTGGAGTTACAGCTCACAGAGGTGACTGGGTCCCAAGGAGTAGGTCAGGTGGGTGGATGCCAACCTGTCCTTCTGTTGTGGGTGCTTTGTGTGAGGCATAATAAAGGATGAGTATGGAGGTTTTAGGTGGCTTGAGGCAGGAAGGCCAGTCAGTTGCAGGGATGGTGAGATCTGTGCTGTATCCATGGCACTGTTTGTACTGGAGAAGCTGGAGTTCAAGATGCCAGGCTGGAGAGGTGGCAGGCAATGAGGCTGGAGCGCAGACAGGGGCTGGATTGGAAGGGTCTGGAAGCCTTCCTAGGGAGGCTGGCAGTAGCCTGTGAGCCTGTGTTTCTCAACTCTATCAGACCCAACACTCCCTTTATATAAAAACATGTTTTAATGCCCCCTTTTCTATCTTGAAAGAAAATCCACAAATAACTTATGTATACATGTATTTTCAAAAAAATCAGTATAATAATCCTTAATATAAAGGAGAAATGTAAAGTAAATTATTTAATAAAATAATATTTTTTTTGTTTTTTGTTTTGTTTTTTGAGATAGGGTCTCACGCTGTTGCCCAGGCTGCAGTGCAGTGGCATGATCACATGCAACCTCTGCCTCCTGGGTTCAAGCGATCCTCCCACCTCAGCCTCCTGAGTAGCTAGGACCACAGGTGCGCTCCACCATGCCCAGCTAATTTTTGTATTCTTTGTGGAGACAGGGTTTCACTGTGTTGCCCAGGCTGGTCTCAAACTCCTGGGCTCAAGCGATCCACCTGCCTCGATTTCCCAAAGTGCTGGGATTACAAGCATGAGCCACTGCACCCGGCTTAATAAAATAATATGTATTTTAATATGTAAATATTTGGGAATGACTGTGCTAGAGGACATAATAAAATAGTCAGATGCCTCCTCCTACATGTGCAGTCATAGTGAATGTGGCACTCTAAGTGCAGACAGATACCAAGGGCAATTTGCTGTTGGTAACTTGATTTTCTGAGATGGCGAATAACTCTTGGTGAAGTTCTAAACAAAATATAGCATGCTTTTAATTTATGTGGTCGTTACACTCCTGCTAAAGTCACTGTATACTGAAATTATGCAAAAAATGTTTTGAGTTGACTGTCAAATAAAATTAGGCAAAAGGCCCAGATTATTATAGATTGATTTTTCATCTACATGGATATCGTGTGGGTCCCTTGAAGGGTACAAGGGACCTAGGACAAGTTGTCTTCATGTGGGATTGGCCCACACATTTTAGGCATCCTCATCTCTGGCCCTGCCCCCTAAATGGTGGCAGGGGTCTCCCATCATTGTGACCATCAAGATGCCCCCAGAAACTTCCAAATGCCAATGTTGAGAACCTCTCTGTGGGTATGGGGAGCTAATAAAGAGTTTGAGGGGCAATGTCATGGTTGGGCTGGTAGTGCAAAATGCCCACTCTGGCAGTGGTGGAGGGATGAGTGGGGCTGGGGAGGACATTAGTGGCTATTGTATCACTTGAGAGGTCAGCAGAGGGAGGGCACAGGGGTAGGCCCCCAATCTGCAGTAGAGCCCTTCAAGGGTCCCACACGATATCCATGTAGAGAAGAAACCAATCTATAATCATCTGGGCCTTTTGCCTAATTTTATTTGACAGCCAATTCAAAGTAATTTTTGTGGTTGGGTATGGTAGCTCATGCCTATAATCCCAGCACATTGGGAGGTCGAGGCTGGAGGATCACTTGAGGCCAAGAGTTTGAGAACAGCATGGGCAACATGTGAGACCCCGTCTCTAAAATAAACATTAAAAATATTTTTTAAAGTATCTTTTGCATAATTTCAGTACATAGTGACTTTTTCAAGAGTGTAACTACCACTTAAATTCAGGGAAGAGCCTCTGGATTCCTCAAATCCTCAGACAGATGGGCCCTGGACAAGTATGGGGTGAGGGGCAGTCAAGGATGGGGTAGGGGTAGAATTTGGGCAGGGGCAAACAGAGATAGTCACTTTGGCCTGCAATGCCACAGAGCCAGGACCACTGGGTCCTTTGATAATGGAGCCTTTGGCCCTTTCTTTATTTTTATTTTTTGAGATGGAGTCTTGCTCTGTCGCCCAGACTGGAGTGGAGTGGCACCATCTCGGCTCACTGCAATCTCCACCTCCCAGGTTCAAGCAATCCTCCTGCCTCAGCCTCCCAAGTATCTGGGATTACAGGTGACTGCCATCACGCCTGGCTAATTTTTGTATTTTTAGTAGAGACAGGGTTTCACCATGTTGGCCAGGCTGGTCCTGAACTCCTGACCTCAAGTGATCCTCCCGCCTCGGCCTCCCAAAGTGCTAGGATTACAGGCATGAGCCACCGCATCTGGCCGCCTTTGGTCCTTTCCCTAGGTCTCTGCACTGGCTGACTCGGGACAACCCTACCCCTGTCCCGCCTTCTATCCCTAGCTCCAATGCACAACTTCCTTCCCAGCCTTCTCTCTCCTGGGGAGGGGAAAGGGGATGTGCAGTGCAGGTAGGCTGGGCTATGCAGCTGCCCCTGTAACTCATTTTTTACGTCTCAGGGCTGGAGGAGCTGCCCTGTGGTCCTGCTAATGTCCGAGTGTTTGAGCATCTCCATTTCCTCTAGTTGGCTGGGTTGGCAGGGGATGAAGGTGGAGGTGCTAGCCTCAGGTGGTTCTCAGGCAGACTTTCCAGGCTGGCCAGCGCCATCTGCTTGACCCGGCTGCTGGGAACCACTTCTGGGGCATACCCAGGAGAGAGCCTCTGGCCTGAATGGTACCACACTAACAGACAGCTCTTTTGTTCCTTACTTATTGCCCCGCTTCCACATGGGGGTGTATTCAAAGAGGTTTCTACAGTCAAATATTACTGAAAGGTAATTTATGTATTTATTTTTATTTTTGAGATGGAGTCTTGTGCTGTCGCCTGGGCTGGAGTACAGTGGTGCAATCTTGGCTCACTGCAACCTCTGCTTCCCGGGTTCCAGCGATTCTTGGCCTCAGCCTCCCGAGTAGCTGAGATTACAGGTGCCCACCACCATGCCTGGCTAATTTTTTGTGTTTTTAGTAGAGACAGGGTTTCACCACATTGTCCAGGCTGGTCTTGAACTCCTGACCTCAGGTGATCCACCCGCCTCAGCCTCCCAAACTGCTGGGATTATAGAGGTGAGCCACCGCGCCTGGCCCTTGAAAGGCAATTTAAATATTTCCCGAAGTGATTCAAAAAATTTCAATTGGTGATTCTATCAAAATTTTCTCTCACCAGAGAGCTAGAGAGAGAGAAGGAGAGAGCAAGCATGTCTTTGTCTCTTCAGACTGCTAAAACAGAGTACATTAAGACCGGGTGGCTTAAACAACAGACATTTATTTCTCACAGTTCTGGAGGCTGGGAAATTCAAGATCAAGGTGCCAGTGGCTTCAGTGTCCGGTGAGCACCCGCTTCCTGGTTCACAGGCAGCAATTTCTCACTGTTTTCTCAAATGGCAGAAAAGGGGCAAGGCAGCTTGTTGGAATTTCTTTTATAAGGGCATTCTTCCTATTCATGAGGGCTCCACTTTCATGACCTAATTACCTCCCAAAGGCCCCACCTTCGTATACCATCAAATTGGGGATTTAGGCTTCAGCATATGAATTCAGGAGGGTATGCAAACATTCAGTCCACAGCAAAGCATGCGGGCTTCTTAGGTCTCATAGCAACCTAATGGGGGAGATGTCATTATTCCCACTTCATGTGCACGTACACCTGTATATTTACAATCATGGCAGCTGCCTCCTAACACTCTACTTCCTTCTAAACCCAGCTCTGGTCTCCCCCTGACCACCTTACATATCTGTTCATTTCTCTTTTACCTATTCAAGGGGATTAAACTCTGTCTGGGGCTCTTGGGCCTTTTCCGGGGAGGACAATTCTCATCTTCACCCTTCACTCCAAATCTGCTCAACTGAGGCCCAAGTTAGCAAAGACCAAATTCTCCTTGGGAAGTGTGGGAGCAGGCTGACATTATTAAATTTTTTTTTTTTTTTAAGACAGAGTTTTGCTCTTGTTGCCCAGTCTGGAGTACAGTGGTATGATCTCGGCTCACTGCAACCCCCGCCTCTCGAGTTCAAGCGATTCTCCTGCCTCAGCCTCCTGAGTAGCTGGGATTACAGGCAGCTGCCACCACGCCCAGCTATTTTTGTATTTTTAGTAGAGATGGGGTTTCACCATGTTGGCCAGGCTGGTCTCGAACTCCTGACCTCAGGTGATCTGCCTGCCTTGGCCTCCCAAAGTGCTGGGATTACAGGCATGAGCAACCGCGCCCGGCCCAGGCTGACTTTTTGATAGGGTCATTCATTGCTTGTGGTGAGGTCAATGTTATCCCAGTTAGACCTATCACACCAGGCTTCCACATGCCCACTGACACACATGGTCATACCTGCACTCTCACAGAAGCATCCACTTATGCTGTTTCCTGCCATTTCCGTCACCTAATTCTTTGATGAGCACTTTTATGCTTCTTCAATATCAAGTTCTGATATTCATGACCATGACTCTGATTAGTGCGAGACTTCAAAGCACCTATTGAATCATTAAAGAAAGATTAAATTATGTTCAGAATAGCTGAGCTAATTCAGGTTCTCTGAAAATTGGCAATACAATACATTTCTACTTTACACAAGCCGGCATATTCAGATTAAACCCACATAAAAGCACAGCCGAGCTAGACCACTTTGAATAGGCTGTGAGTCCACAGGAGCCCATAAACACACAGGCACATCTGGGAATGAAGCAAAAAGCCAGAGTCCCATCCAGCCAAATGCTGTCACTACCCCGTAAATCTCCCAGAAATTCAAACAGCCGTTAACGTTTGCCGACATAGTGAGTGATGCTTTCATAATCACTCCCATCTATCTGGGCTTGGCCATGGATGGGGTCATTTGGTTAATGCAGGATTTCATCTTCATTGCTTTGTAACTAGTTTTTAATCAGCGATGATTGCTGAGCTGGGATGCTATGGGCTGGCTCGCCTGCTCCTTCCTCAGAGAGTGCCCACTGATGTGTCCTGGCAATTAACCAGAGACCTGTGGGAGGGGTGGCGAGGGCAGCAGGACAGCCAGGCTGGCTGATGCGGCCATGTGCCCCATCCCCTCTTCCGTGGGGGGTGCTCCTTGGCCCCCATCCACCTTTGGAGGGTTGGCAAAGGACATCGGCAGACACAGGGATGCTCTCACAGAAGTGTCTATTTGGACTATTGCTTTTGACTTGCCCAACAATTTAATCTCCCAGGGGGTAGAGAAAATGACCAGTGGATCAGCCACTCTGAAATCAATTCTGACCATCAAAGAACTGACCAGCCAACTGGAAGTGATAAGAATCTTGAGGGAAAGGGTATAATATTATACCCTTTATAACACTGAACGAAGGCTTAGCACGTGGAAGTATCTCTCAGACTTGAGGGAGGCAGAGCGCAAGACATTCAGAAAATAATATATAGTTATTCCTTCACATGACAAGATTCTGAAAGGGAGGATGGCATGAGAAGGTGAGAAAGGTCTTACCAATGCAATTCTGATTGGGCCACTCTCAAATGACTCTAGTGAGGAAGACGTGGAGAGTGTCCCTCATGGTCCCAGTGATGGCTGAGCTTACACACTCTCTCTCTCTCTCTCCCTGGCTCTTCCTCATTAGGGTCATTTGAGAGTGGCCCAATCAGAAGTGCATTGGTAAGACCTTTCTCACCTTCACACACACACACACACACACTCTCTCTCTCTCTCTCTCTCTCTCTCTCTCTCTCCTCGCCTCTTCCTCATTAGAGTCATCTGAGAGTGGCCCAATCAGAAGTGCATTGGTAAGACCTTTCTCACCTTCACACACACACACACACACACACACACACACTCTCTCTCTCTCTCTCTCTCTCTCTCTCTCCTCGCCTCTTCCTCATTAGAGTCATCTGAGAGTGGCCCAATCAGAAGTGCATTGGTAAGACCTTTCTCACCTTCACACACACACACACACACACACACACACACACACACACACACACACACTTCCTTGTATCTATTTCTAGAATCTTTTACAAGAAACTGAAGAGAACAATTGCCTCTGAGGAGAGGAACTATGCTGCTGAGGGGTGGAGAGAGAAGGGAACTTTACTCCTTGTATCTTTTGAATTTTGAAACACGTGACTTGACTGTATTACCCATTCAAATGAATACATGAAAAGGCAACAAGGGGCATTGATAGGAGATGGAAAGAGGGCCATAAACTCAAGAGAGCATGTAAGAGGGCAGCCCAGACCCATAACAATAAACCCAAGACAGCGGAAGGCCCAGCAAGCAGCCACGGAAGGCGCACCCTGCACTTCACACAAAAGGCTTTTGTAGGGATATTCAGAGCAAGACAGAGATCAAAGGAAAAACGGGCCTGCTACTGGGGTCATGTTATCAGATGACACTGGAGGTGTCCTGGGAGCTGAGGAAAGGCAGAAGTGAAGACAGGGAGGCTCAGCCTCACATAGCTGAGGCAGGGATGGGCCAGGGAGCCACCGAGGAAAGGTGCTCCCTGTTGGAACACTCTGGTGCCCCACAGCGTGCGGGCACAGAAAGTGGGCAAGGGAGGGAGGAGGGTCCTTGACAGCGGATGGGACATGTCAGCCTTCTTTTCTGCTGTACATTGACCTTTGTTCACATCCAACCAGGAACAGGCAGAGCTGTTCCTGCTCAGAGAGAGGGTGGAGACAGGAAGATCCGGTCTGTCCTCAGCCTAAGAGGCTGGTCCAGTGCCTGTCGATTTGCTGAGTGAGGAAGAGAGCCTTGAAGAAGGGAAGAGTGACAGGAAGGTGGGAGGGCAGAATCCTGCTGAGAGGGTGTCTGTGGGAGAGTGTGGCAATGTGTGGTAACAGTGAGCAAGCCAGAGACAGGGAGGTGAGCAAGTGTGACAGCCGTGAGTGTGGGAGGCAGTGAGGGAGGGAGTGAAGGCATGGGTATGATTCAAAGTGGGCATGAAGGAGGGGTGCAGGTGCCCGAGTGATATGGTTTGGCTGTGTCCCCACCCAAATCTCATATTGAATTGTAGCTCTCATAATTCCCACGTGTTGTTGGAGGGACCCAGTGGCAGATAATTGAATCATGGGGGCGGTTTCCCCCGTACTGTTCTCATGGTAGTGAATAAGTCTCAGGAGATCTGATGTTTTTATAAGGGAAACCCCTTTTGCTTAGCTCTCATTCTCCCTTGTCAGCCACCATGTAAGATGCACTTTTCACCTTCTACCATGATTGTGAGGCCTCCCCAACTACGTGAGACCGTGAGTCCATTTAAAACTCTTTTTCTTTATAAGTTACCCAGTCTTGGGTATGTCTTTATCAGCAGTATGAAAATGGACTAATACACCGAGTGACTGAATGATGGGTAGGGCGACTTCAAGGGGGTGGGAGTGTGAGGGAAGCAGTGGGAATGTGGGAATGGCAGGATAAGTGTGAGAGCAAGAGTGTGAGAGAGCGAGTGTCTGCGAGTGAGGGGGAGAGAGTGTGGGCGAAGACTGAGCAGGAGTGCGTGAAGCTGTGAGAACGTGGGAGTGGGAGTGGCCATGGGTGTGAGTGAGAGGGCTGAGTGTGAGTAAAGTGAGTGTGAGTGGGTCCATGTGAGTGTGTAGAGTGTGTGAGGGGTGTGAGTCTCAGAGGGTGTGTGAGACTGTGAGGGCACAGGGGAGTGTGGGTGTGAGTGTGGGAGTGTGCAAATGAGAGAGGACTTGACTGTGCATATGTGAGGAGAGAGCCTGTGTGTGTGTGTGTGTGTGTCCTGCTGGCGAGGATGAAGACAGGCTGTTGATGGGGTGGGTCTGACCAGGTACTTCCCATCTCACTCTCACCACATCCCCTAAGGACCTTCCATGGTCTAAACCTCACACCCCCTCCCTGGCTTACAGTGAAGCTACAGAGATAGCTCTGGTCCCATGGAATATTCTCCTAAGCTCATCATGCTGTGTATTAAGTTGCTGATGTATAGCAAATGAGCAGAGAAGGTATGCAATGTAAAAGAGGAGAGTCTAGAGTGTGCCAAGAGTTTGGGGAAGAAGGATGGGTAGGACTGGGTGAAGGAAGAAAGGATAGCTGATCACATCACCCCTTTACTCAAATCCATATTACCCCAGTGCCCACTGACCAAATGCCTAATTCTTTATTTATTTTTAAAATTGTTTATTTTTTAGAGATAAGGTCTTGCTCTGTGGCCCAGGCTGCAGTGCAGTGGTGCCATTGTAGCTCACTGCAGCCTTGAACTCCTGGGCTCAAGTGATCCTCTTGCCTCAGCCTCCCAAGCAGCTGGAATTACAGGCACCTGCTGGCATGCCTGATTAATTTTTAATTTTTTTGTAGAGATAGGGGTCTTGCTATGTTCCCCAGGCAGCCTGGAACTCCTCAAGAGATCCTCCTGCCTTGGCCTCCCAAAACATTGGGATTGCTAGCATGAACCACTGAGCCCAGCTCTAATTCTAAAAACTTTAATATGACTTTCAAGATTTTAGGTAATCCTGGGGAGTGAATGTGACTTTTACTATTTTACATAATAAGTACTCAATAAATGTTTGATTGCTCTGGTTCCATGGTCTGTCTTGGCTGGAGAGGGTTCCTCTCAGCTCCACACTCAGCCTTCCACACTCTGCCGTGACATTGCCACTTTGCCAGCTGGATCCATGCCAGGCTCTCCCAACATGGCGGGAGGAGGGAGGAAGGACATCCTTCTTCCTGTCTACTTACTGCTCCAGGCAGCATGCCTCAGCAGTGGGTCTTCACCTAGTAGTGACAATAGGTTCCAGTTTCCAGCTTTTTTGGGGGGGTGTTAGGAACCGAATATTCATGTCTCCCCAAATTCCTATTTTGAAACCCTAACCCCCAGTGTGGCTGTATCTGGAGGTGAAGCCTCCAAGGAAGTAACTAAGGTTAATGAGGTCATAAGAGTGGGACCATGATCCGATAGGATTAGTGTTCCTATAAGAAGGGACACCAGAGAGCTCTCTCTCTCTCACCACACACACGCACAGTGAGGAGAGGCCGTGTGAGGAAACAGTGGAAAAGGTGGTCATCTACAAGCCAGGAAGAGAGCCGTCACCAGAAGCCAGAACAGTCAGCGCCCTGATCTTGGACTTCCAGTTTCTAGAACTATGAGAAAATAAATGTCTGTTGTTTAAGCCACCCAGTATATGGTATTTTGTTATGGCAACCACAGCAGACTAATATAGGGGGTATCCCTAGAATCACCCTTGTGATGCCCTCAGAGGTTTTTAATCGAGTCCTTATGTTAATTTATCTCTGTTCACAGAGAGCTCTGCTTCTGGTTTCCTGATGAGACCCTGACTGATCCAGAAGAGACGGTGCCTATACTAGTCAAGGGCAGGAACCTCCAGGCTGAGGAGCTGGACTCTGTACCTGTCTTCTTTGTCTCACTGCATCGGGCTGTGCCCTGAGCCTCATCTTCAGAAAATGGAGGGAAGTAAGTCCTGGGTGACCGCAGGATCCCTGTAGCACAGCTCCCCCAAGGTCTTAATGAAGTGCCATTACACCTCTCAGCTAATATAATCCCCAGGAAAGGGGCAGGGCAGACAGATGGCAGAGAGGGAGACTGAGTCATACTCACTAGCTAGGCCACACAGCTAGTTAGAAATAGAAGCAGGCCTGGGACTCTTCCTCCCAATATTCCGCCCCCTTCCACAAAGACCCAGAGGCTCCCTGCCTCCTCCCTACTTTTAATTCGAAAGGTAATAGTTCCCACACTATTAACTAGCTGTGTGAACTTTCTCATGTTACTTTTCTCTGAGCCTTGGTTATCTCATTGGTTAAGTGAAGCAGGTAAACTAGATGTTCTCAAAGTGCTTTTTCAGCTATGACATGCTGTGATTTGATGATTTTTCCTCAATGAAACCAAAGGGTTCAATTTATCTCCCCGAAGATTTTCTATGTTCTATGCTCAGCTTTTGATTTGACATAATTATAGCACTTACATTTAGTGCAAATTCACATAATCATTGCATGAGTTATTAATTATTTTTAAGCATTGGCATAGTACTCACTGAACCTGAGGATGTACACATTGGTTAGGACCAGGGGTGAGTTAAGCAACCAGAGGTCTGGGACTGCAGTTAACCTATCAAGCCAGGGAGTTCATGGAACTTAAGTCTGGTTAAACCAAAAAGGGGCCAGGGATTCTAAGGCCATGTTGTGTACTGATGAGCTACTTTAATCTGCCTAATCCTACAGAGTGATGTACAGATCTGTGATAGGTTTAGCATGAACATACTTTCAATGTATGTCTTAATTTTGTTTGTGCTTAGCCTTCTAAAAAAAAAAGGTATTTTGCCAAAAAGTGGCAAAACTGTTAATTAGCCCATTCCCCACAGCCTGGAAAAACATGGAGCTTACACTGGGTTTTGTCCTCCATGTAACAAAAGCCTTAGCTTTCGGGAGGAGGGAAGGAAACCATCTGGGACCAGACTAAGAGGAATCTCCTTCTGCTGGGAGACGGGCAGATCACAACACCCAGGGACAAGGCTAAGGCACAAGCACACAAGGAAGGCCTAAGGCTAAGAGTGAAGCAGAAACACTGAGAAAAACCCTCTGGCAACCCAGCCTCCATCTTAAGAATAAGAAAATGCTAGAGGAATTTAAAGCTGGTGGTGCACTGAAGATAAAACCCAAACCTAGAGCAGCAAAACCCAAATCCAAGTCAACTTCTGACTAGATTGACTCAACCACCCACATCAAGGGGCAAACTTTGTCTACAAAGGACCAGTATATAGCAAATATTTTAGGTGTTGTGGGCCATGTGGGCTCTGTTGCAACTATTCAACTCTGCTGTTGAAGCATGAAAGCAGCCATAGACAATATGTAAATGAATGAACATGGTTATGTTCCAATAAATCTTTATTTATAGACACTGAAATTTGAGTTTTATATAATTGTCTTATGTTGTATAATTACTATTCTTCTTTTGATATCCATTTGACACATTTAAAAATATAAAAACCATTCTTAACTCATAGGCCATACAAAAATAGGCAACAGGCCTGATTTGGCCCAAGGACCATAGTTTGCAGATCCCTTGCCTAGCAGAAAAAGAGGCATGCATATTTACTACAGCCTTTACTGTTCTAAAGATGTTTTGCTTTCAATCAAAAGTCATGAGACACCAAACACAAGACCAATAACTCACTGTCAAGAAACAAAGCAGTCAACAAAACCAGATTCAAATATGACCCAGATGTTGAAGCCATCACATAGGAAACTTAAAGTAACTATGCTTACTATATATTAAAGGCTAGAGTGGAAAAGATGAACAACATACATGAATAGATGTAGAGTTTTAGTAGAGAGAGGGAAACTACAAGAAAGAGTCAAACAGAAATGCTAGGAGAAAAAAGTGACAGAGACAAATACTTTTAACTAGCTGATCCGTAAACTTGATACAATTTAAGAAGGAATCAGTGAACTTGAAAATAGGTCAACAGACTTTGGGAGGCAGAGGCAGAGGCAGGTGGGCCAGGAGTGTGAGACCAGCCTGGCCAACATGGTGAAATCCCATCTCTACTAAAAATACAAAATTTCGCCAGGTGTGGTGCACACACTTGCAATCCCAGCTACTCGGGAGGCTGAGGTGGGATGATTGCTTGAACCCAGGAGGTGAAGTTTGCAGTGAGCCAAGATCGCGCCACTGCACTCTGGCCTGGGCGACAGAGTGAAATTCTGTCTCAAAAAGAAAAGAAAAAAGAAAATAGGACAATAGAAATTGAACAAATTAAACACAAGGAGAAAAAAAGAGTTAAAAAAAGAGTACCCAAGAGGTGTGGAAGAATATCAAATGGTCAAACATTCTGTAATTGAAATCCCAGGAAGAGAAGAGAAAGAGAATGGGACAGAGGAAATATCTGAAGAAATAATGGATGAGAATGTCTCCAAAATAATGAAAGACATGAAACCACAGAAAGAAGTTCAAAGAATCTCAAGCAGAATAAATTAAACAAAGAGACAAAACAAAGAGAAAAAAAAAAAAAGCCCATGCATTCATCTAGACCCATCGTAATCACACTGTTGAAAAGCAAAGATAGGATAAAGAGAGAGAGAGGTAAAATTAAGAAAAAAACAACAGTAGATTTAGCATCAAAATTATGCAAGCCAGAAGACAATGGAGTAACATCTTTAAAGTACTGAAAAGAAACAAAACAAAACAAAACAAAACCTGTCAACACAAAATCCTATGCTGAGCAAAAGTATCTTCCAAAAGTGAAAGAGAAACAAATAGTTTTTTCAGACAAACAAAAACCAAAAACTCATTACCAGCAGATTTGCATTACAAAAAGTATTAAAGGAAGTTCTTCAGGTGGAAAAATAAGATACCCAAAGAAAACTTGGATTTACACAAAGAAATAAAGATGACTGAAAATGGTTAAAATAAAGGTACATATGAAAGGGTCTTCCCCTTATTTTCATTCCCTCTAAAACATAATTGATTGTCTAATATGAATTACTATTGGGCCTAAGGAAGAAATAATACTAATTCTATATAAACTTTTTTAAAAAATAGAAGAGAAGAACTATTTCCCAACTCATTTTATGTGGCCATCACTATTCTGATACCAAAGAAATTGAAAGAAAATAACAGTACAAATTAACATAGACACAAACATCCTTAAGAACATATTAGCAAACAGAATCTAGTAATATGTAAAAAGGATAATATATCATGACCCAGTGGGCTTATACTGGGAATGCAAGGCTGGTTCAACATTTAAAACTTAGTTAATATAATCGCAATATCAGCAGATTAAAGTATAAAAACAATATGACCATTTCAATATATGCAAAGAACATTTGACAAAATTAAACATCCATTTATGCTGCATACATGCTCTCAGCATCCACACATGCTCTTAGCAAAGTAGGAATAGGATGGAACTCCTTAACTCAATAAAAGGCATTGACAAAAAACTTACAGCTAACATCATACTTAATGATGAAAGACTGACCACTTACCTTTAAGATAGGGAATGAGTCAGGGATATTTGCTGTTGACATTCTTGTTCAACATTGTACTAGAGCTCCTAGCCAGTGAATAAGGCAAGAAAAATAAATAAAAGGCCTACAGCTTAACAAAAGACAGAAATGAAACTATTTTCAGACAGTATGATTATCTACATAGAAAGTCCCAATGAATCTATAAAAAAGCTGCCAGAATTAATAAGGGAGTTTAACAAGGCTGAAGGTCAAAATACAAAGTTCAACTGTATTTCTATACATGAGCAATGAACAATTGGAATTTAAAAAATTTTAAGTTAAGTACCCTTTAAACTCACACAGAAAAACATGAATTATGTCCAACAAATTATGTTCAAGTTCTATATGCTGAAAACTACAAAACATTGATGACATAAAGTTAAACAGAAAAATGTCCCTTGTGTATAGATTCTAAAACTCCATCTTGCTAAAATGTCAATTATCTTAAAATTGATCCATAGATTTAGCACAATTACAATTAAAACCCTAGCCACATTATCTTGTAAAAATCAACAAGCTCATTCCAAAATGTATATGGAAAACAAATGAACTAGAGTAGCCAAAACAACATTGAAAAAGACCAAAGCTGGTGGGTTCACTCTACCTGATCGCAATACTTAGTATAAAGATACAACCAAGATAGTGTGGTATGGCAATATAGATAGATAGATAGATAGATAGATAGATAGATAGATAGATGAGAGAGAGAGAGAGAGAGAGAAAGAGAGAGAGATTGATTAGTGGTACAGAACAGAATAGAGAATTCAGAAAGACCCACACAAATAGTCAACTGATTTTTGACAAAGGTACAACAAAACTCAATTTAATAGAGAAAGGATATTCTTTTCAACAAATGGTGCTAGAACAACTGGATTTCAATATGTGGAATAAAAGAAAAACCAGACCCCATATCTCACACCATACATAAATGTTAACTCAAAATGGACCACAGACTTAGGTCTGTGCAGACTTAGGTCGCATGCAAAATGCGAAACTATAAAACTTGTGGAACAGAATATAGGATAAAATTGTTGTGCCTTGAGTTAGACAAAGATTTCTTAGATATGACACTAAAAGAACAATCCATTTAAAAAGATTGATAAATTGGATTTCATAAAAATTAAGAACTTTTGCTATTTGAAAAACATTAAGAGAATAAAGAGAATAGCCAAAGACTGGGAAAAATATTTGCAAGCACGTATTTGATAAAGAACTTGTATTCAGAATATATACTCTTAAAACTTAATATGTAAACAAGCAGCCCAACCAAAAAAATAGAGACAGACAGGGTCTTGCACTGTCACCTAGGCTGGAGTACAGTCGTACAATCTTGACATACGGCAGCCTCAGCCTCCTGGGTTCAAGTTATCCTCCCACCTCAGCCTCCAGAGTAGCTGGGACTACAGGTGCACACTGCAATGACCAGCTAATTTTTGTATTTTTTTTTTTTTTGTAGAGATAGGGTCTCACTATATTTCCCAGGCTGGTCTTGAACTCCTGGCCTCAAGTGATTCTCCTGCCTTGGCCTCTGAAAGTGCTGAGATTACAGGCATAAGCCACCATGCCCACCCTACCCAATTTTAAATTTGGGCGAAAGATTTGAGCAAGTACTTCATCAAAGAAGATATCCAGATGTTGATAACATGCAAAAAGATGCTCAAGATCATTACTCATTAGAGAAATACAAATAAAAATCACAATAAGATACTACTACAAATTCATTAGAATGACTAAAAAAAAAAAAAAAAAACTGAACAATACGAAGTGCTAACAAGAATACAAAGTAACCAGAACTCTGAAAAATGTCTAGTGGTAATGCAAAATATTGCAGTCACTTTGGAAAACAGGTTGGCTAAAGTTAAATATATGCTTGCCATATGACCCAATGTCTTCGCCCTATTTACCCAAGAGAAATGAAAAATTATATTCACCAAAAACCTGTCCATGAATGTTTATAGTGGCTTTATATATAATTGCCAAAAACTGAAAACAAATTGGGTATATCTATATAATGGAAAACCAACTCAGCAATAAAAATAAGTACTTGATACACAAAACATTGATGAATCTGAAAACGCATGCTGAGCAAAAGAAACCAGACACAAAGAATCCATCCTGTTTGATTCAAGTTATATGAAACTTTAGAATAGGCAAAACTAAGCTATAGTGACTAACAGTAGGTCAGTTATTGTCTGGGACCAGGGATGCCAGTAAGGAGCTCAAGAGAATTTTTGAAGTGATGGAAAGGTTCTCTATTTTGACTATGCAGGGAGTTAAACAGGTGTATAGTATATATTTGTCAAAACTCGTGGAATTGTGCACTTAAAATGGATGCACTGTATTATATGTAATTTCATACCTCAATGTATCTGATTTTTAAAATGCATTATTGTCTTTGGAAGGTAGGAAGGATTGTGGCCTTGAAACTGTTGTATTTAGCGCTTACATGAAACCACGTTCTCCCAGAGGGATATCACTGTCCCTGCAGCTTCCTGACCACAGGACTCTTTTGGCATGCTCCTAGCTACCTTTTGCTCCTATCAGAATCATTCCCTACCCTTTTCTTTTTCTATTAACTCAGTTCATATTTTATTATTCAAAAAATGGAAATAGTTTTTAAATGAAAAAGTGATACATATTTTCTATTAAAATGTAGAGAGAGAGAACATACTATTAATAAGCACATGTACCCTAGAACTTAAAGTACAATTAAAAAAAAAGAGAAAACCCACATATCACTGCATACAATTGACTTTCTCTTCCCAGACGTTCTTGTATTCCCTTTTTTAGACAGCTAATTTTAAAGTTAATTTTATCTCAGCTGAATATACAAATCCACACTTCTTTTGAAAAATTAAAAAGGACAGGAAAAGCCAGAATCCTCTTTGACCACTTAATGTCTTCCCCATTTCACCAGTCGAGATGTAATTATTATTACTGGAATGTGGATCCCAGCTCTTTTAAAAATAGTTTTGTTTGAAAATTTGTATTTTCATAGAGTCACACTTAAAAAAATTTTTAAATTGTATCTTACAGAATTTTCAGTGAAATCTTTAAACATATATTTTTCAGCATGTCACCTCTTCCTATCCCCCTCTCCCACTTGTCTTATTTCTCAGCCCCACATCCCAGAGCCCATGTAAACAACCTAGAGTGTACCCCTTTCTTTGTATCCATGTCATCATACATGTGATGTATATACACATATGTATCTTCACATATATACATATGTAGTTTTAATTTGTGTGTGTGTACATTTATACACACACATACATATATATGTATTTTTCAAAGATATTTTACCTTATTCAACTGTGTTTCATAAATTTCTTCAAGCCACTTGTTAGATTCTGGGGTTACCTGTTTTAATGGCTGCCTAATTTTCTATGATATGCTGTATATTGATACTTCAGTCCATAATTTCCCTAGTGATGGGGAATTCAACCATTATTATAATGCATATACCTCTCTTATAAAGTTTATCCTTAAATATTTTTTCCTATTTCCATTACTGAGTGCTTACTACTGGAGAGGAGGAGGCCTAGTGGTTTTTGTATATTTATCTTACATCCAGCCATCTTGCCAAAGTTTTCATGAATTTTAGTAGCAATTTTTCTGTATTCATTTTATTTTACTGCAGTCTTTTAAAATTTCTAGAAATAAAATCATCTTTGTCTTTTCCTCCCAATGTTTATGTCTTCTGTTATCTTAGTTTTTAGAAGGTTTAAGGTAATAATAGTGACAGCAGCACCCCTACAAGTTCCTTATTTTAATTGAAACAGGTTTTGTGTTTCACAATTTAGAATAATTAATGTTGGTTTGGCAAATATTAATAGTCTTTTGGTAAAGTGTTTTCTGTTTCAACATTCCATGGTGTTATTAGAAAGAGCTGCCATATTTTTCAAATACTTTATCAGCACATATTGTTATGGTCATATGGTTTTCCTCCTTTAGTTTGCTAGTATAATAGATGTTGACAGATTTCCTGATGTTGAAATGTCCTTGAATTCTTGAAAGAAGTCCTGCTTGGCCATATTAAATTACACTCTTGATATATTGTAGAATTCTACTAGCTAAAATCATATTTCAAATTTTTACATCTGAGCTCCTAAGTCTGTAGATATATTTTTTGTTTTATTACTGTATTGGGTTTTGACAGCAAAGCCATGTGTTTCATAAAACAGGAGAGCTTTCTTTCCATATTTCTCTATCATCTGGAATAGTTTAAATGGTGCTGGAATTATTAGTTAGATAAAACTCATTTGGATCCAGTCTATTTTTCAGTATTATATCTTTATTTATCATTTCAGTATCTTTTGTGATATTAAGTTTATCCTGGTTTTCCACTTCTTACTAGTTTTGGTAATTTATATTTGCTAAGAAATTTTCTGATTCCCCTGAATTTTTTGGTTTGTTGCCAATATTCATTCTTTTCTCTGTTAACTCCTTTCATATTCTTCATATTGTATATTTTTGCTCATTTCCCCTTTATTCAGGGGCACTTGTCCATTTTATTACTGTTTATAAAAATACAGCCTTTGGACTTATGTTTTCTATTCTATTGCTTTCAGCTTCTATTTATCAATTTCTTTTTTTCTAGTTTTTTTGGTTGCTATTTGCTACCTTATTAAGGAGAAAAAGTAATATATTCCTTCACCTCCCCCAAAAAAAATTCCATCTGAAGGCATTTAAAGCTTACATTTTGAGTACAGCTTTGGCTATATGCTATTAAGTTTGGGTATAATGTGTGTTTTCTGTTGCTTTTTGGCAGTTTGTATGTAATCTTTTTTAACTTTTCTCTCTGATCCAACAGAATGTTTCTTAATTTGTACACAGTTATAATATTTATAGCCACATGTTAATTATTTGTTTCTAAAATTTTTTGGGGGGGGGGCTGCTGGCCAAAATTTATTTGATTTTTATGTTCCATGAATATAAACCAAAAAAATGTGCAAACTCTATTCGAAGAGCCATCAGATCAGGTTATATAGAGCCATCAGATCAGGTTTACTAATTGCATTATTCAATTCTTCTATGTCTTTATTTTTGTCTATTAAATACATCTAGTTCTAAGAGAGGTATATTAATCTCTCTAACTGTATTTTTATTTTTTATCAAGTTCTCTGCATTTCTAGTGGCTTTTGATTTAAAGTCTTCAGTTCCTCTGATAATTGGGACATAAGAGTTTACTGCCACTGTATCTTCTTAATAGATTGTGTCTTTTGTCATGACATAATATTGCTGTGGAGTGTTTTTAACCTTAAATTCCACTCTGTCTGATACTGACATTTCAGTTCTTGCCCTTGTTCTTTGTATTTGCCTATTTTCTCTTTGTCGGCCCTTTATTGTTAGCCATTTTCATCACTTTAAGTGTGTTTGTATACACAGCACGTAACCGGGTTTTGTTTTTTCTAAACACATCTATTTTGTAATGATAGAAAATTCAACCCATTCATATTTAGATAATGGTAGATTCAATTGATCTCACTCCTTCTATCCTACTTTGTGTGTTATTTATTTTACATTGTTGTTTCTTCTTTTTCCTTCTAGTTTTTGCTGATTTGTTTTCTATTTTATTTTTTTATTTTTTCTCCATGAAACATTAAAACAGGAAAATTTGTTGTTCTCTAGCTTGGTACTGTCCTACCTCTTTTTTTAGTGCATTTTGTTGACTCAGGTAGGCACCTAGGTTAGAAGCCTCACTCCCACCCTCCCAGGCACACTCAACACTGACGCTGACATTTGTCACCAGGCTTGAACCCAGGGGCAGCAGGATGTATGGGAGATGGGGTTTCATTCTGCCACTCAGCAGCTATACAACCATGGGCAAATTATCCACCTTATTTGACCATTACAATGTAGATAGTCACGTGGCACAGGTGGGACTAAGCAGGGCATGTGTATGATCCACTTGGCATATAGTTGGTGCTCCTGTTCCCTGCTCCCTCTCTCCTTAGGCTCCTGGGCTGGGTTTGGGCCTCCCCTTTCTCTGAGCTGAGCAATCAGGATGAGGAGCATGGCCACGATGGCCGGCCTCATGTGTCTGGCTCACTTCTCTCAGGATTCCTAAAAGGGATTTCTCACATCAGCTTCCATTGGTCTTTCATTTCTGTGGGGCAGCAGGGATTATACTCTTCTCTCCTGCCCCTAAACAATGTAACGAGACACTGTGGAGTGCTGTCTGTGGACACACAGGAGGTGGGCCTGGAACCCAGTGCTCCTGCCTCCAGCTCCAGATAAAGGAATGCACCTTCGACTGTCTCCTCTAGGACCCCAGTGTAGCGGGAATGCCTTAAAACAAAGTTGTTAGTGTTGCAGCTTTTTGAAAGAACCTGTCTAGCTGGTTTTCTGGTTTTCACCGGAAGACCCATTTTACAAAAAAGATAAACTTGTTATATGCAGGAGACAGGAAATTGGAGGAGGGACCCAAGAAGGCCATGTCCTGGAGAATACAGCTTTCCTGGGGGCCTTGAGGAAGCAGCTAAGGGCCACTGTCCTTCATCCACGCTTCATCCCTTGCACTCCTCTTGGCCTGGTGTTTCTCTCCAGGGCTTCAAAGCTGAGGAATCCACTGATTCAGAGCATGCTGTAGCCGTCATCACCAGGTATTGGGACTTGCCCTCAATGTACTGGGTCTCAATTCTTTTGTATCCTCTCGTTTGTTTGGTAGAGAGAGGGGTGGAAAGTATTGTAGATGATCTATCTCTACATCTTTAGTTTTGTGATTGTAATGATTTCCAGTAGGCAAAACTTAAAACTCCTTGAGGGCAGAGGTCTGATACCTATTCAGACCCCTACTCAGGGGTCGTGGAATGCGGTTTGGCGCCTTCTCCCAGCACTGTTGATAACTGAGGGCAGCACCCGGGAGGGCCCCTTAGCTCCTTCCACCATCTGGGTCCTCTGATCCGCAGGACCTTTGGGGTTTATTCCCTGTCCACTCATGGGTTCTGTGTACCTTCTGCTGTTAATCTACACCCCTCTCCCGTCTGCTCTTCCATCTTAGTGCTCTCTTGCCACTTCATAAAAATGGTGCCACAAGCTCCCTGGGGACAAGGCAGGGACTTCTTCGCTGCTGGAGGCCCACGGCCAGCATTCATGCTGAGGGGTGAGGGTGGCAGGTGCGATTTGATGATATCCTCTCCCGCCCAAGCAAAACAACAGCTCTCCCAGACCCCAGACCTCCTCTGCAAGTGAAAGAACACCAAACAACTCTGTTCAAAACAGTTTATTTTATTTTATTTTTTTTTTTGTCAGACAAACACATTGATTTCTGGACCACAGTAGAGGATGGAAACCTTTCACAAACTTATTTATTTGAAAATACAAATATAAAATTATACTTTCCACATCTGTGATGTGAGAGACTGCCATCCACATAGTAATTTTTTACAACAGGGCTTTAAGAAAGCCACACACAAAGACCTGAAAGATGCTTGAGATATATATATAGATAGTACATATATATGTATATATATAAAAAAAATACTCACTACCAAAGTTCTCATCAGTTTCATACTAAAGTATAAAAGTAAGGGTGAGGTCAGCCACAGTGCTAGGGAAAGTTTTATTTAGATACATTTATGTCCACATGAAACGCTTAGACTTGCATCCTATTACATATGGAATTCGGAGTTTACAATACACCATGAACGGCAGATTGGCTAGCCCACGCTACTTAAGAGGACACTCACAGATTCCACATGGGATGGTACATTATGTACAGAATACAGTAGTAGAGAACCTTCGAGGGAGGCTCTGGAACTTTTGTCTCTCAGCCTCCGGCCCCCTCCCCCATCATGCCCCTGCCTCCCGGAACTGAAATCCTGTCTGAGACAATACATTCTGATTATTTGATAGCCAGGTGTTTGGATTAAGGTTGCCCCCCTGCAGGTCCCCGACAAGAGGGATGGATTTTATTTATATGTTTTTGTGTTTTAGTTTACTTACTTTTTTTTGGTAGAAAAAAAAGAAAGAAAAAGAAAACAAACATATTACAGTATTAAAGTATTGCTTAACTTCCAGCGTCTCCTTGTGTAGTGTCTGTGCCCAGGACGGGGCTGAGCTGACGTCTGCTAGTTTTCTGCTTTGGGGTGAGGGTGGGGAAACCCGCCAGTGTCTTTCTTCAATGTGCTTGCCTGCAGTCAGTCCCTCTGCTCTCCCACTGTCTGCCTTCCTTGGAAGATAGCCTGGCTTGCGAAGCACATTCAAGAAAAAAAAAAAAAAATCTCCCCTCCCCCACCAGCCCCCCACTCTCCCTCTGTTCCTGCGTGCCACTTGCAACCAATAAAGAGAAGTATGAGTTAGTGTTTCTTTTGTAAACAATTTCATATGCAATATAATACAGAAAGCATGGCTGACCTTCAATAAAAAATGTAGTAAACGATATTGCTTTATTCTTGAATATGCTGCAGTGAGTGAATGGCAGAATGAAGCAGTGTGGAGGTGGTGGAGGAGGCTAAGTCCCTAGCCCTCGTTTGCACTAAAGATCAAAATAGGTTTTGTTTTTCTATTTGGAACCAAAAATAAATTTTTTCCCCAAAAACCCCCAAATGAAAAGGAACAACAAGCAAAACCCACCCCCAAGAAATCAAAAACAAAACAAAACCAAGAACAAAAACTGAACACCTTTCAGGTCATTAGAACCAACAATTACCCAATGATTTTTATACTAGTCTAGCAAGATGTGTGTAACATTCACTGGCTGTGATTGCTGTGCAGTGAAACAGTAAATTGACAGCAATAGAGCCATGCTACCTTAAAGTCCAAGCTACAAGTTCAAATTAAGATGAAGGTTATGAAGGATAAAAACGCAAAGGCCTGCTGGGGCTTTGTTTGAATCAAGCTAATGGGCGACTGGGATAGAGCGCGAGGCTGTTTGGTATAGAGCGCGAGGCTGTTTGTTCCCAGTGGATATAAGGAAGGCCACGAGCCAAGTCTGTGGAAGCTGCTAGAGAGCAGACCAAGGCTTGGTCATCTCCGTCAGCCCCATGCCCAGCTAGGACCGGGAATGGGTCCGGGAGCTAATGCCACTCACTCGCCTCTGCTTGGGAGGAGAGGAGTTCGGGGGTCTCAGGCAGATGGATCTGGAAGCCAGAAAGTCACCCGGTGGCTGTTTGATAATTCCGGGGAAAAGCCATCAGCCAAGAGGGTTTCTCCCCCAGGGAAGGCGAAAGGTGGTTCCCATGTTCGCCATTGAGCTTAACTGAAACAAAGACGAGGCTGAAACATCAGTGTTAAAAGAATTTACAAAAATCTTTCAAAATGGACTTCTAGATGGAATGGGGGGACTAACGTGAACCTTAAACCTAGGTAGCCACATTAAAACATATCGGATTTCCACAAGATTTGTGCTATGGGCTACTGGGTCTCTTCAAAAGGTATATAAACATCTAAAACATATTCACACAGATTATCAATTTCTTCTGAGCATTCTTAAAAAAATATTTTTTCTCTTAGTAAAATCATTTTAATATACCATGCCTCCCTCTTTTAAAAAATAAATTAAAAAAATCCAGTTTTGCATATCTAGCATTAGCATTTAAGGTAGTATGGCACCCCTTCACAGTGGGTGGGGGGGGGGGGATCTACAAAACGCCGTAGAGTCCGCCGGCATTTTAACATGGTGAGACCTTGGGTTAGTTGAAACCACATCAGATCAGCTAAAATAAAATTAAACTTGAAATTGAAAAAAATAATTAAAGGAAAAAACTGCCCCAAAATTATTAGCATTTTTTTTCATAAATAAGAGAAAGTTCTATCCTTACTGGTCCTAAATCTGAATAACTATGTCTAATTTTTTTTAAACCTTAATTATGTTATACCTATCAATATGTACTAGAAGAAAGAGGAGAAAAAAAGTCGCTACACTAGTACCAGGACAGCACGCTTACAAGATAGCCATTTTATACATTATTAACATACAATGATCAACAAAGAGTCTTCTATGAGGTGATGGGGGATGCAGAGAAAAGGAAGGGAAGTACAGTACATCACCAACATGGACAAAATAGGAATTAAATTCCCTCGTCTAAACACTGAATTTCTGGGAATTTACTATTTTTTCTTTCTTTTTTTTTTTTTAAATAAAACTTATGTTTTGTTGTTTTATGACTTGAACAAGTTTTGATATTTTAAAAGCGCTCAGCATTTAATCTGGTTGTTTGGGGGAAAAGAAAAGAAACAAAGAAAGGAAAAAAACAACAAAAAAACCTCACCAAACAACCTAACATTTTATTAGAAAAACAAAGAACATGATTTTTTTTTTAATTAAAAAAAATGTTGTTGCTGTTTCATTAGAATTGAAAACGGGTTTTTTCTTTCTTTCTGAGTTAGCATTTTGGAGTCTTTAGTTTGAAGATGCTTTTGCCCTACCATGTCTGTGAATGTCTACATTAGTCTACTTTGTTAGTAAAATTTATAAAAATAGGAGTGCAGCAGCTCTTTATAATAAATGTCGCATTCAGTGTCTCATACTGGCTGTGCCTTAAGTACCAAATTTATAAACGTAACAATTTAAAAAATATTAATAAAACGTCAATATCACATTTTAAAAAAGAAAAAATATATATCCACACTACAATATGTTTTAATGCCATCTATTGAGTTGTACTTCTATAGTTGCTGTTGCCGACCTATTACCAATATTTAAAAAAAAGTTAAATTAAAAAATATCCTTCATCATAAGTATCTTTCCCCAACCGAGGACCATATATTATAACAGCCAAATGTTAAACATGTGCAAAGAGGAAACTGTCAGTTTTTCCCACCAGTCACAGTGCAGTGATGTTTATACTTTTTATTTTTAAAATTCTGTTTACATCTACAATAAATTAAAAAAAAATTCTTCCATAGCCTCTCTGGTGATACTTGCAGCACTGAGGTATTAAAAAAAATATATATAAACCAAAAGGTTGCTTTCCTAATTTGTAAATAGAAAGTGAATGGAGAAAGGTTGTATTAATGCAGGCTTATCCACTCCTGGCCCATGGGCCCCCAGATGTGGGAGCAGGGTGGGGGGCAGGGGGAGAAGAGAGGCAAAGTGTCCTAGGGACCTTTGGAGGTGCTGAAATGATTGGACAATAGAAAATGATCAAATATTTAAAAATTAAGACTGAAAAAGAATGTCCCCCCCACCCCACCCCCACCCAAGCCAAACAGGTGTGCTTTGAAACTTTAAATATGTTAAATATTAAAATTGTAGCTTTGTTTTTAAAAAACATCTTGGGAAAAGCAGTTTTTCATATTTTAAATAAAAATCTAACTAGACGGTAACATTTGAAGCTGTGCACAGACAAGAGGTTAATAGGCTGGTACAACACTAATACAGTTCTTAGGTCTATCACACAGACAAAGGAGCTAAACAGTGCTCTAACTTGTCCTGGGGTGGTCCTGGCAGCTGGGCGATCTTCATCTCAGTAACTGACTTGGCCAACGTTCCCTTCCCGCCTCCTTCCACAGAGCATCAAACTGCCTGGGACCGACTCCCTCACAAAAATATTTTTGATTCTCTCTTTCTTAATAGTTTCTATGTAGTTAATGGAATTGTATTTACAACATTTCTTTTTTAGAATTCACAATTTCAAAAAACCTTATAATATCACCTCTTTCAACAGAAAAAAAGCACTTATAGAAAAGGAGGACACTCAAAACACTGTCGTCCTTACCTTATTGCCGAAAATAGATAGACTCAGATTAACAAAGAGACATCACAAAAAGAACTGCTAGAAAGTCTGTTAATTAGCTTACTACATCTCACTTCTTCTACAACGCAAAATAGAAAGCTCACGCCCACCTCCCGCCCTGCACTTCACAACTTTGCTTCAGTGTGTGCTAAAGTTCCACCTGAAAATTCATACAGTCTCAGAATTGGTACCAAAATATGGAGAGTCATATTACCATCTCAGCATCCTTTAAAAGTGAGAACAGAACCAAAACAAGCAAAAAAAAATGTTTTAAGAAAAAATAACTCCTTAATATAACAATTATACTATGGTTAGCTTTGAACTAGATATTAAAGCTATGTGACTACTGGACTAAGTCAAAATCACTACCAAATGTGATTCAAAGAGATTTAAAAGGAGAATGGGAAGAGAGGGAGGGAGAGGGAAACCATCAAGAAAAACAAAACAAAACAAAACCGAAATCATGGGTTATATACACATTTAAAAGCTGTTGTCTTATATTACAGCAGATTCGTGAGATGATGAGATGTAGTCAACCCTCGATCCGAAGTGAGCCATCTCTGGTTGGGATGGGGAGTGAGGCTGGTGGGGGTCCAGGTCTGAGGACATCACCTAAACAAAGGGCCACTCAGAAACTTCGCCCAGTCTTGCCTGGACATCCAGGTATGCTCTGCAGGGCAGGGAAGGCCAGGATGTCCAGAAGAAAACATAAAATGGAGGGGAGAGGGGAGGAGAAAGAAGTGTCAGACAAGTATGCGATTTCCTCCACTGTTTTAACTAGAGTTTCAAAGATGGACTTCACTGGACTATTGAATACGCACGAGAATCACCTGGCTAGAAGCTTACTGAGATCACAGGTTGGGAAATCTGACATCTAAACCATACCTGACACTGGGGAGAGGACAAGGCTTCAATTCTTTTGCTGATTTGATATAGTACCATAGGGTTGTTGAGGTAGTGGTGGGAAATGTGCTTACAGGGATTGCAGCCAGGTGGGCAAACTGCCCATTGACCTGAGATACCTTTTTTCTGTTTAAACTTCTGTTTTCAAAGCTAAATGTTAAAAAAACAAACAAACAAACAAAAAAAACCCCACAAACTTGCCTTTATTAGATACCCATCGATAACTTTTAAATGCAAACTTACACTAAAAGATCATATCATATACCAAAAACTAAAGGTCATGACACTAAAAATATACAACAAATAACCGGCTTTGGTTACAGGAAACAAAAACAGGCCCAGGATTCACAGATGTGTTTACTGAGTCTCCCTGAATTGACTGGGAGTAGGGGGCCTGGGCTCCTCTTTTGTGGATGGCGCTGAATGTCAGAGGGTTGGGGACAATGGGTGTGTTTGACCAGTCCTTCCTAAGTGCTGCGGGTGCAGCCATCTGACTCTATGAGCTCACCTAATCCATTTTGGAAGGGGGTGAGTTGCTACCACACTCTTGGTTACTTCATCCTTCTCTGGAAATTGAGTCCTAGACTTAGATGAGGGAGGATGGGCTGGTAGCAGCCTCCCCCATCCCATTCCACCCCACCCCACCCCTATGGAAAGGCTTTAGTGGCCTTGGGGTTATATGGAGCTGTGGGCAGGAAGCCCTGCACCACTCCTTCTCTTCCAGGGGAGGGAGGGAGGGAGCACAGGCAGCCCCAGTGTCTGGCCTTTCAAGGGTCTGCTGTGCCTGGTAGTTGTTTAACCCCCTCTTCATCTGACTCCACAAAGGGCTGGAGCCATCTTCAGTCTCCAGAGTTCTTGGTGATACCAGTTGTCCCTGTTCTCAGAGAAACCTTACTTCCTCTGGGTCCCCAAACCCAGCTTAATTAGTAGCAAGTAGCTTTCCTTCAAACTGTTAGTGGCCTCTGGCTCTGGCCAGCAATGGCTGGGTCAGTGCTCAAGGGGAAGTGGAGGCGAGGGGTGGGAGAATTCACACACATGGTTTATTTGGTTAAGAGAGGCAGTTGCGTTAGTTGAGGTGATCCCTTAGCAGCAACATTAGAGAAATCCAAGAGATTTATGGAGCTCAACTCAACCCAGTTCTCCACCTGGTCCGACTCAGGAGCCAGGAGCAATCCCTCTCTACGAGAGAGGCATCCAATGAAGTGCAAGCCCAAAGTGGCCAGTTCATCTCCAGCCTTGCTTCTCCTACATCCCAACTCCAAGATTGAAAGGCTTTGGTGCCTCTGTGGGATTTTCCGAGTGGAATCCATTCCCTGGCCTCAGCTGTCACCCTCTCTTTTCCAGAGACAGATCCATGTTCCAACCTCACAAACTTAACGTGCTAACACAGTACACATCTAGCGCTTTCACAAGGACAACCCCTCTCCCTTGCTGGTGTTCTTCCCAAGAAGGACAGATACTCATTTCCAAAGGAGTGTGTGGCAAGGGGCTTCCTCACTGCCCCAACCTCCCTCTCCTCTCTTCCGTCCTCCCCCATATCCCCATCAAAGTGATTGAAAAAATGTTTAATTAACTTGAGCTCAGTTTAAAAGGTTAGGAAACTGGCAGGGATCCAAATCCATGTTACACAGGTGATGTCGTTAATTTAATTTGCTTTTCGTGCAGTAATCTGGATAATTACTCAGTAGTTACTGGCAAAAACGTTTTCTTTTCACTAAAAGATGGAGTCTGGCTGTTTGACTGCATGAACCCCATTGGCTGAGCCCCAGCAAGGCCTGGGGAGCTGAAGGGGCCCAGCAACCCACAGGGCCAGCTCAAAGGACCTCCAGGAGTGGGTGGCCCTGGCCCCCATCCCTGCTTCCAGGCCTAGCAGAAGCCCAATGCTTCCCTGCCTCTATCCCCCTGGGACGGGCACAGCACGAGATCTCCTTCCAGTTTCCCACACTCTTGATTGTATTTCAAGACAGAGAAAGATGAAGGGTGGGGAAGATACAGAAAAAGAATCCAAAGAACCAAATCAAGAAAAAAAGAGAGAGAGTCAAAAAGGTGGGGGTCATGATTAAAAGCTGGAGGAAGAGATGAGAGATTAAACGACTGGATTTGCTTTTGCCCCCACCCTCCTGAAAAGGGGTCCAGAAAGAGGAGAGAGAGATGTGGATGTGATGAGACAGGGGCACGCACGTGCATGTATGACCTGTGGACATACATGTACGGACACACCGGCAGGGCAGAGACACATGGCAGAGACGGTAATACCTCAGAGTGAGATGGCAACGAAAGCACCTGCTCAATGGTATCCATTTGTAAAGGCCGTTGCAATCAAAGGTCCCTAAAATTGCACAATTGTTAAGGTCATCAGTGTGCTATACATGGGAACAGATTGTCATATTCTGGGAAAGGAAATTATCTCTAGGACTAGTTCTGTGGTTGCCAGCATGAATATGTAATTCTGAGACACCGTGCCATGAGGGGCCAGGATGACATCCTCCTCAGCTCCAAATCCCTAGTCCCCACTCCCTCCGCCCCTACCAAGCCTATCTGCTTACCCCGGGGGAAACCAAAAGCCAGATTCAGAGGCGTGGGTGGATGGTGGGAAACGGGGGTTTGTGCCCCCAGTGATGGGCATGTTGCCCTGAACCCCAGAGTGCAAAGATAAGTCTCTGTCCGCAGTCCCAACGGCTCTAGCTGGGGAGAAGAAATCCCAGTGCAGACAAACTGGGATGCTTTCTGGTTATTTCAGAAAAACATCACAGCCCACAGGTCAAAAGACCCCGGTTTTCAAGAACAAATTGGGTCTGTGTTTCTGGATGCTGAATATGGAAATAAGTTGTGTTATAAGTGGTGATAGACGGTCCCCTAAATTGAGCAGCTCTCAGGTGAATAATATTATTCTGGATTTGGTACCACAGTTGATCCGAAGGGATTAGATTCATCAGACTACTGACTTAAGTGATACTGGCTTGGGAGCGGAGCTGAACAAGGACCCATCCTGCACAAGTAGGGCTGGCAGGCGTGTGTGCGCCTGTGTGTGCGTGTGTGCGTGCGTGTGCGTGCATGTCTGTGTGCGTGTGTGCATGCATGCGTGCGTGTGAGTGTGTGTATGAGGGAGGAGCTCCCAATGCCAGGGGGCATGAATGAGGCCACCTTGGTGCCCTAGACTGTCTGCACATGTTTTGTTCTCCGCAGCGTGGCCCCCAAGTCAGGGCTTGCCAGCTGTCACTCAGAAGCGGAGTCTGACAGGAACGTGGCCTGGGACTGCAGACGCACCCATCTTAGCTCAAAACCAAACTGCCTCCAAAATGCTGAGGCTGGCTAGGGCAAAGGTTGGCCAATTTTCTGTTTCCAAAATGGAAGGGACAGCGAGCAAGTGGGCTCAGGCACATTCATGCTCACACACACCGGGAGGGAGAAGAACAACACAATCTGAAAACAGCATGCAAATCTGTTAAGCAAATTTCCATTGCCTGGATTAGTCAGATTATAGAACCACAGAGCATTACAAATATCAAATGCATCTGGCCTTCAAGGGGTGGAGGCTGCAGCTAAGGAACGCAAATGGGAACTTACTTGGAACCTGGAAACTGTAAGAAACATTAGCAAAGGAAACTGCCTGGGAGAGGGCTTGGATCCCCACACCACCTCCCGGGCTCCAGCGCTGCCACTGGACCTTAGATCAGGGGCTCTATTGACTAAGGCTGCTACTCTGGTGGGGAGCTGGGACATTTCCCAGCTCTCAGGTCCCAGCCCACATGACAGTGTCCAGAAAGCGGGGATCAAGGAAGGTGGCCACTACTGAGGCCCTATTACGTGCCAGCGTGGGACACTGTTTCGAATAATCCTCCCACAATCTTTTGAGGAAAGCATAGAGATTCTGGTTTTGCAGCCAGGGAAATGAGATTCAGACGGGTTATCGAAGTGGCTCAAGGATGCACTGTGTGAAGGTGATGGAGTGGTGATCTGAACCGGACCTGCCCATGCTCCTTCTGCTCCATCACACAGCCACACGAGAGGCACCCAGGACACCTCTAAGACGACGGAGGCTTCAGCCCTCAGGAGCTGGTGTGATGTTGATGGGGACCCTCTGTCCTCTCCTCTGCCCCCGATGTTGGGCTTTCCTGGCACACCCACAGGCCACAAGGAGCTGGTCAGGAAGGAGGAGGCAGGAGGGCAGGGGAAGGCAGGTACTTACAGCTATGCCGTGGCCGAAGCCCGAGCCCGGCTGTGGGCTGGCCGCACTTATGTAATTCCCCACTCCGGAGTCCTGGCTGGCAGGGCCGTAGAGATCGGCGACAGGTCCTGGGCTGTTGGCCCCCGGGAAGCCTCCGGGCCGCGCCGGGTTGGAGCCTGCCGGGGAAGCGGGCGCGCCAAAATTCGGTTGAGCACTGTAGCTATTCAGGACTGGTGTGCAGAGAATAGAGCTGGGTATGAGGCCAGAAGCCAGGCATGCACCGGTCATTACAAGCCAAACACTTGAGAAAAACAGCTGAGGCCCAACTTCTAACACTCAACCAAGGCCATGCGAAAACATCAGCAGGGACTCAAGAATACTCAGCCCAGGCTACTACTAAGAAGCTTGGAGCTCCAAAAATATAGAGAATAAAAAAACAATCATTCAACACACTACGGCAACCAACCGGAGGTGCTTCACTGCCCACCAAATTATCACAATAGAAATAGAGATATATATGGAAGAGAGAGAGAGAGAGAGAGAGTTTTTTTTTCACATCTGAATTGATGCTCATGCAGTCTTCTAGATCTGGGCACGTTGAGACAGCATTCACATCCCATGCAAACTACAAAGGAACTAGTTTTAGACTACACATTGTGTTAATATTGATATTAAAACGTGACAGGAAACAAAGCAATTTGTGTCCAGGAAAAAAAAAATCTTTGCAGAGGGGATTTTTGATCTTTTTTTGTGTGTGTGTTTCACTTTTTCTTTTTGGTTTTTGGATCCATTAAATGACAAATTTGTTTTGTTTTTTTTTTTAAAAAAGACAAAAAAGATCTCCATTCTCCATCCCACCCCCACCACCCGCCCCTCCCCACTGGCTACTCCCTCCCTTCCCGCCCTTCCCATTCATAACACTGAATGAAAGTCATCAATACTGAACGTGGTCGGAGGATGGGATATGTTATGGAGAGTTTGGGCATCTTGACATAACAGTAATGATGGCGGCAGAGAGTTTCCTTTTGGGGTGGAGAGAAGGGGATGGAGGGAGGGATGGGGGGGAATGGTAAACCTGGAGGCTGGGGCCAGAGCTGGGGTGGAAGCCAATGGTTCTACAGGACACCCACACACTCACCTCCTGCAGGAGAAGGAAAGGGGGGATTTAAACTTTTTTTCCTTTTGTTTAAAAAAAAAAAAGACAAAGAAGTATGAATGCAGAACATACCGACTGAACCAATTCATAGCTAAACCATAGCTGACCAAAACACCTGCTTTCTCTTGGTTATCCTGCAATGTCAACTCCAGAGTGAGAACAGCAGGCTCAGGATGTACCTTTGCTACAGAGAGAGTGGACTTGACACGCACAAATCCAGAGAGTGGTGGGGTTGCAGATCGGGGGGCAGCGGAAGGTGACACTGCCTCGGCCCCCCCAATCCCATCATTCTGACCCTAATGAGGGCCGCAGCCTGTCAACCAGTTAACCAGGTTAATTTTGTCTCACCTTTATTTCTCCTTAGTAGTTTAAACTTTATTTTCTTTTCCAAAATGGAAAACAATATTTTTTTAATTGTTAAAGGAAGTTCTTACTGATTTTTAAGCCTCAAGGTGAGTCTGGGCTGGCTACCTTTGGGCTACGGCTAACCCGTCTTAAAGAACCAGACATTCTGAGAGTCACACTTTCACATCTTTGGCTCCAGAGGGCTGCTCCTTGCAACAATCACTTCTCCCTTCTGCCTCCCTTGGCTTCTCCCCCTCTGCCCTATGACCAGTTGCCTTCAATGGCAGAGGCAAAGAACATCGATGCAGGTGGGGTCACTCCTGGCTTTGGCCCCTCCCTTTCCCAGGGGCCTGTGATTTGAGGCCCTCAGTTCTGGTGGGCCTGGAAGAGCCAGAAGTGGATTGATTTTCACCCACTTGTCACAGGGATGGGAAGAGATTGATGAGGCACCCAAGGCACACTAGCAGGAGACTGAGACAGAGACACAAAGATACACGGGAGACCAAATCAAGCTGGGCCTGGCTCCTGACTCAGCAGAGAAAACAGAACTGAAGCCTCCAGATGCCCTTGGGGCGGGAAGCCCGAAGGTGAGCCCCTCTGAAGCTGTAGCTGAGAAATGAATAAACTGGCCAATGGAAAGAGCAGGTTAAAGAGAAAAGAAAAAAATAAATTATAGAGGCTTAGAGCAAGTGAACGGCTGATCTGGGAATGCGCTGGCAGAAAAAAGGGATGGAGATTTTTGAATATAGAAGATTCAACTTGCAGATAACACTTGGCCCTCTCACTCATGGAGGCAAATATGAAGCCGAGATATTCAAAAGGCGGTATTATCTTAGTCTAACACACTTTTTTTCTTCTGAGCTCAGGAAAACAGAAGAAGCTTGGACAGTGGACTCCTGGTTTTGTCCAGGCAGCTGAAACCCCTCCCTATACAAATAAACTAATTAGCCCGTTCCATTTTAGGCTAATAGGATGGGGTGGGCATGAGGAGGCGCAGTGGTAGACGGAAAGTTTTTTGGCTTCTTTCTTGTCTGGCCGGATGTGAACCCAGGAAGGTGTTGGGCAGGCCCACCTAACTAATGGGTGGGGAGAGGCAGGTTTAGGTTTCCGTTTCTTCCAGCAGGAGAGCCACCTAGAGACTAATCTAGCCAGCAGAAGCAGCCTCGGAGACAGGATGTAGCATGCCCACAGAAGGGTGCTGTTCAGAAATACCCCCTTCTGCAGGCTTAGATAGAAGACAAAAGGGCTGTTGGTATTATGCCCATCCTTGGCAACCGCTCCCATTCCTGTGTGTGGGGAGGCCTGTGGTTTCTGAGTCGGCCTGAAGGGAATTTCACAATAAGCAGCTCATCTTAGGTCTATATTACCCCTCCTTGCTCAGTCCTCCTCCATCAAATGACACTAAAATCACCGTGGAGAAGACACTGTATTAGAATGCAGCTTTCAAATCCCAAGTCCCGTTTTATTACGCACTTGCTCATCACGGTGCCGGAGCCTCAGCTCAAAGTCACCTTGCAGATGTCCCCCAGCCAGGGGTGAAAGACAGGGCTGCTGGGTCCCCACTAGAGGGCGCAGCCAGCAGGCAATAAGCACCCAGTTCTGGCTGGTCCCGCCTCTAGCTAGGCTTCTGGGCAGTGGAACCCGCACCCCTGAGGGCTGGGCGCATGGAAGAGAGGAGCCTCTATTTTCCACAGTCGACACTTCTCTCTGTCTGTCTCTGTGAGCAGAAGAACCAGGCTCCAGAAAGCATGTTAAAGTCCCCGAACGAGCCATCTGGAAACCCATGCATCTTTGAGAAGACTCATAAAAAGCAACGGCTCTGGCTGCTTAGGAGAGAATGGGGACTGCCACTCGGCACATAAACTTGTCAGTAGCTGTTCCTGCTGTCTGACAGTGGGAAGGCATTAGGGACAAAGCAATTTTCTTCTTTTGCAAACTCAGCGTAACTCCACAAACTGAACACTGGCTGGCTACGCAGGAAAGGGGGTCATTTGAGAACCCGTCTCCCTCTAAGAGGAGAGGTGGGGAGTGGGGTTGGGGGGTGGGGGAAGGCATGAAGCCAAATCTCTCACCTGAGGGTGCTTTCTGTGGAAGTCATTCTCCAGTCAATTCTCAGTGATCCTTCTAAGCGAACGGTGCCTTTCCCCAGGCACGGAGACTTATTTTGGGGGGCCAGAATTGGTCCCATATACCAGGATCAGCTTGGGAAGAGAGGATGGGACATGGCTCTTAGTGGGCAAGGGCACCTTGTCTACTGCTCAGCTAGGGTGTGCGTGTGAGGGGGCGGGGACAGGGAGCACACTTTGTTGAATAAATAAACAGTGCTGAGGTTTATAAATTGGATATTATGACTCCTGTCCCAGAAGAGGACAACGTCTTGCAAACGTCTTGGCATTTTTGCAGCAGGAGCTATGAGCATTAAGTGGCTTGGGACAAGCCCTGCTCTAGGATGGCAGTTTGGGGGCTCATTGCGGTGATCAGGTTCATTTCATCAGCAGCATCCATGGCAGGTTCCTCTTTGCCCCTCATCCTCACTCTCCAATATCCTCTGGGCTTTCCCAGTCAAGGTGGCACCCACAGAGAGGCAGCAATGATGTAAGGAAAGGGAGTACTGGACTCAGAGGCAGAAGACCTGACTGTGACCCCAGCTCTGCTCTTACAGTCAGGTGCCTTGGGCTAAGAAGCCACTCACAAGCCCAAGTCCTCATCTGTAGCAAGTGAGTGATGCTTTCCTTATTCAATCTGACTCATGGGACTGCTTCAAGAATGAAAAAGAGACAGAGCTCTGTAACTTGTCAAGTTTAAAACAAATACACCCTATTTCTGAAATAGTTATGTATGCAGAGGCCAATAAGGCAGGTACCACATGCAGATTTAGGAAAATCTGACATAGGAAAATGCAATTCACTTGCCATATGAATCAGGAGGTGATTGACAAAAAACCCAATTTATCCATTTGGTGCATTTAATCATCTTGGGCCTGAAGAAAGGACTCCTGGGAATGGGGACCAGAAAAGCAAGGACACCGATCTCACCGAGGACGGCAAGAGGAGATGCACTTGAATGAAAGTTGGTGGTATTTCACATTGGATAAAAGGAGAAACTTCCTGCCCATCAATAAAATACTCTGATGGCTGACCTAGGAAAGCCCAAGAATCTTATCCTGGAGATCTTAACAGAGACAGATGCTGCAGGCTTAGACTCTCACCTGTAAGGGTTGGACCCAAAGCTACTGGGCACCTTTCCCTTAGGGTTCTAAAGCAAGACGGGAGAGATGCCTGCTGTCTGGCCAGCATGTGGCTCTGCCCAACTGCAGTGACAAGGGGCTGGGCTGAGAGTGGAATTAGGCATGGAGGGTAGGGAAGTGGTGGTAGTCAGAACAGCCTCACTGTGGGTCTAGAAAAGGTATGGAAGTCTAGTCCAATAATTTCTGTGTTGTCCCTAAGTGATGTCACTGGACCTGAGGCAAAAAGCTAGAGCCAGGTCAATGAGGGGGGCACCTCTGGCTCTAAGGCCTGAAAATTGAATTATTACCGATTCAGAGAAAGCAAATGTTTACAAAATCTTTTCCAGATGAGCTCAGTTCACATACTTGGAACAAGCCAGGGGCCCACCAAGTTCCAGCCCTAGACCCAGCTCCTGGTGTGGTGGGTCTCACATTTCCGCAAAGGCCAGGGCCAGCCCTCAAGACAATTTCAGTCATCTGCTTTGTGAATTATCTGCTGCTGCCAGGTTTCATTTCAGGCAGAAGACCGCAGTGGCCCCTGGTACATTTCCGGGAGAGAGACTCTTCCCTGCCCAGCCTGTGCGTGTGGCTCGGGGAGGCAAATGCAATGGAGGGCCCACCTTTGCCAAGTCCAATTCAGAAGGGATTTGGGCTGACTGGTGTCACGGCCTCCATTCCCAACCCCTAGTCCCGAAAGGACGGAGGACTGAGAGCAGGAGAGGTCATAGCCTGTGTGATAATCTATGAGGGCAGAGGCTGTGTTAATCCATCACACTGAATTTTAGGAGTTTTTGTTTCAGAGAAATTTAAAGAAACTAAATAAAGTTATCACACTCTCCAACACACACCTCTACCTTCATCTTGTCTATATCATGCTTATATCTGCCTTGATTTAAAACTCCATAGTCGTAGGACTCTGTCTCCCCTATTAGCAAGAAACTCCTCCAGGCAGTTGGGGAACTCTCAGGGCTCTCAGGGAACTCTATGTTCCTAGTCAGAGGGCATATTCTCCAAAGAGTAAGAGCAACTTTCTGCCATTCCTCAGTGGACACTGGGTCCACAATGCCAGTTGGCTGTCAACAGTGAGGGCCTGCATCAGTCCCTCTGAACAGCCAGCCACTCTTTACTGGAGGGCTCTGAATTTCAGCAACTGGGCAGCCAAAGGCCTTCCTGGGGAACAGAATTGGGGACCCCATTCTGCAGTTTCCTTCATGTGTCCTCTGAAAGCAGTGCCCACTGTAAATAATTGCAGATGGTCAAATGGGAAAGGTCAGCATGAAAAGACAAAATCTATTTCTGATAATGGAAGGAGAATACTCGGTTATGAATTGGCATGTCTTGAGCAGAGCAAGGTAGGATTATACTTCAGGAGTCTGCCCGGCCAGCTATGTCCCAGCAATCCTTGGCTCAAGCTTTCCTTCTAGAGCTTAGCCTGGAGGTAGGAGAGACTGGTAGAGAAGATCGGCAATGATGTCCAACCTGGGAAAATTGTATGACATGCTAAGTTAAAATCAAATCAGTTCAGGGACCCAGATGCAGGGACAATCAATTTTATACACAATGTAGTTTTTAAAGCTCTGCTGAAATTCAGGCTATTTCAGAAGGGAAGGGGGAAAATACTTTAAAACTGGGGGAGGATTAAGAGAGCAATGTGATGGGATTTCTTTTTCACTGTCTGCATATACAAACAGATATATTACTGAGAGGTACAAACGCAGCCTGGTGTCAACATCATGCTAGTCTTGATGTATCTGGAGTCCCCTGGCTCCTCTTACACACTGCACGGGACACATGGTGAGTTGTCTGTGCATGCACTGGGCTGACAGGGCAGCCAGCATCACACAGACATTCCAAATGTCAGTGACAATGGCGCCAGTCTTATGATAAGTTGTAGTTTCTGCTTGTTCTCAAAACTTAACCTGATTCAGACCACTGAGGTTGGTGCTGATAATGTCTACTGGTTAATGTTGGCCTGTCTCAAGTAGGGAACTGATGGACATTAGCACTTAACACTTGTGAATTATTTTGTAGAAAGATCTTGGCTTCTGGTCAAGTCACACTCCCCCAAAACCCTCAGGAGATAATATCACTATTAGCCAGTTCTAAAACTCTCATATAACATGTCAGTGGTAAAGCTGGGGAAGCACACTACCATTCGGATTGGTGTAAGGAAAAAGTTCCAAACACCCAGAACCGACCTGAGAAAGGCTTTGTGGCTAGGACCATGCATTTGCTGTTGAGATATAATCTCAACAGTGCAGTGGTGTAATCTCGACTCACTGCAACCTCTGCCTCCTGGGTTCAAGTGGTTTTCCTGCCTCAGCCTTCTGAGTACCTGGGATTACAGGTGTGCGGCATCAAATCTGGCTAATTTTTGTATTTTTAGTAGAGACAGGGTTTCACCATGTTGGCCAGGTTGGTCTCGAACTCCTGACCTCAGGTGATCCACCCGCCTCAGCCTCCCAAAGTGCTGGGATTACAGGCCTGAGCCACTGTGCCTGGCCCTCCTGGTGTGTTTTTATTATCAGCCCTGATCTGAGTCTGTAAGTGTATCTCAAGCCCCAAGGCCAGGCTGGGTGGGTTCTGGACTGGCGGGTTGGGAAGGTGGGTGAGGGAGGATGGTGGTTAGCAGTTGACTGCTGTCTGCTCATGGTGTAAATTCTGGGGATGGAGCAGCCTTGAATGGGCTGTGGCCTTGTGGCCAGAGAAACCAGGCTTTTGTCATGAGGCCAAGGAAAGAACTTTCTGGAGCCGAGGTCAGTTCTCATTTCTCTCAACCCCCAAGGGCCCTGAGGGACTGGGCTTGTTTGCAGGTTTCCAGGAGGCAAGTGCGGAGGGCCCCGGGAAGGGAAAGGCCATGAGGCAGTCACTGGGGCCCTGTGCGGTGACTGGATATCACTCCTGCCTGGCATTGGCACGGGGCTTGTCCTGCTTGTGTGAACTATCTGCCAGGCTTCACCAGACCAGGCTTCGAGTCTCAAACGCAGGATGGTGTTCCTGATCCCTCTCCACCGTGAACGGATGCTTCAACAACACCTTACCCTGAGTCTCTAAAGCGCTTCAGAAGAGGAGGGAAAACCAACCCGGGAGACAAATGTTTATGGTTTGGCTGAAGCAGGCGGTGTTTTAACACTAACATCCTGCTGCCTCTTCCTTAAATTAATTGGCTTCAGACTCCAGGCCCACACAGGTTAGAATTTGCAAGGAATAACAGACAAGGAGGCTCCCCGGAACCTGCAGCACCCATGCCATGCTGCATTGAACCACCCAGCAGCTGGGCACGCAGCCCTGGGGAGGCGAGATGCCACCATCACCACTCAGCAGAGAAAAGGCAGAGAGGTGGCCCCTGTTGGGTGATACCAGAGCCTTTGCTTCCTCATCCAGCCCTCCCAGGTCTGAGACTCCACAGGAAATAGACAGGGAGCTTGCTGCCCGGAGACAACTCCCTACTGTCTCTTACAGTTTGGTGGCTCCAAGTTTCTCCTAGTTCAGTCCTGAAAATGTCCCTTGCTTTGCTTTGATCCATTGACTGCCTCTGTCTTTGAAGCACACTCGTCTCTTTTTTTCAAAAAAGAAGTCAGTTTGGCTTTTCCCCACATGTCGCCAGCCACCCTCTCATGTTGCTGCTCTGTGGTGTGCTCAGGCACCAATTCCCAACCTGAAAGCTACCTCCCTGCCTGCTACCTGCCAGGAGGCTCAGATCCTTGCTTGTGTCTTATAAGTGATTGCACTCACTGCAGGCCCAGTTTCTGCATGACAGACTGCTGCTAAAAGAAAACACTGTGAAATCCAAGGCTGGGACCACAGACTTACGAGGCAGCCTAATGTAGTCTTCTCAATCATGATGAAAAGCTATGTAAGAATTAGATATCACTCTGCCCCTGTTAGGCCTGATACTGGTAGGGACAAAACAGGGCCTGGAGGTGAAAACCAATGAGGCAAGAAGCACAAAGTTCTAGAAGCTGTAGCTTCTGCAGGTGTGAGGCTGGAAAGGGAACTCATACTTATGAGCCCCTACTGTGTTGCCAGGCATGTTGGTAGGTGTTTCACACGATCTTTTTTCATGCTCCGAACATCTTGTAAGAGCAGCTGTGTAACCCCTGTTACAGATAAGAAGACCAAGGGTTTGAACAGCTAGGAAATGTGTCCAATGCCACACAGTGTCTCAGACAGGACCAAATCTGGCTCTAACTTGAAGGCACATGCTTTTTAAATCATGCTGCTCAGTTGTCCCTTCTGGAATCACACTTTGACAAGGTTTCCTCTGTTTACTTGGATCTTTCTTTGCCCCAGAGAAACTGCAAATTCAAGGACACAGAATAGATTCTCCAGCCTTGGAGTAGAAGCTCCTAAGGGCTTGGACCCTGTTGCCTTTCCAAATTGGGAGCTCCCTGGCAGTGGAAACATCTCTTCCATCACGGTGGGGGTTCCCTGAGGTCAGGATCTGACTGCCCCAAGAGATACAGGACTGCCTCTCTCCTGAGGACTAGGCCACCCTCCACTACGCCACAGCCCAAAGAATAAGCAGACTTGCAGTACTGGTGGGGTCAGCGTGGAAGCAGAGAGGGCACTGCCAGAGGGAAAGTAAGCCCTGGTTAACCCTGGGCCCTCGCTAGAACTCCCCTCCCCCACCCCAGGAAAGTGCCTGGACCCAGGGGGCCACCCAGAGAGCTGATCTCAGTCCTAAAAGACCACTCCATTCTGCTGAGAGCCAAGTCCTTTTGGGAGCTGGCACACCCTAGGGCTGAACGGTATTTACTGCCCAATCATATCTAATAGAAAACTCACTGCTGGGGCTCTAGCAGGCAGGGGGCAGGGTGGGGTGGGGAAGTTATCCCAGGGGCAGCCCCTTGAGGACCCACACAAAAGACTTTCCACTTGAGTAGCTCCTTTTTAATAATTATAAAAGCACAGGAGTTTAATCCATTTTTGATGTAAGCACTAATAGTTCTGTGTCCTTGAAGTTCAAAGCAGGCGCATACATGTCACTAATTAGCCAAGCACAGAGCCATTCAGCTCCCTCTCATGTTTCTAATTAGGTCTTTAATAACAAACAAACTCCGACCTTACCAAAAGGCTCCCATTGGTCAGTCAAGGAGGGCGGCTGCTTCTCTGTTTACAGTTGCTGCAGGCTGCTAGTTCTACTGGTACATGCCCTTAATCTCAGCCAGGACTGGCCTGTCCTCGAGAGAGACAGGAGGGTCCCTCTATGAGGACAAAAACCCCTTGGTCCACCCTGGAGGGTGGCCTTCCTGACCCTGCTGGGAAGACTAATGGAGGCTGGAGAGCCGTGGGCTCCACAGCAGCAGGCTAGAGATCCCAGCCCCACCTCCCCACCTCCCAGTTAGAGGAGGCTGGGGTACCAGTGACAGCCACAAAGATGTTATGGAGCTTTACATCCAGCAAGAACATGATGATACTTGAGCCCCGTGTTACACACTGGGCCTGCCTGAGGCTCACCCTGCTAGATTCTGGTTTGATGGGTCTGTGATGCAGCCTGGCCACTGCACAGTTTAAAAACTCCCCAGGTGATCCTAACAGGATCAAAGTTCCTATTAGGAACAGCAGCAAAGTTCAAGAGCCACTGAACTGGCCACAATCTCTGGGTTGATTTGCTCATTGACAGCAGCTATTAACAGGTCCACTATTATTCATGAATACCATCCACACAGAATCAAACCCTAAGAGATTTAATCAACCACACCCAAGGATGGAAGTCTGAGGACAGATGTGTAAAATGATACACAGTTCTGGAACCGCTTCTGTCCCTCCCATTGCCTTCATGCATTAAACAATTCATGGCTGTTTTCAAATTCCCACGAAGTTTCCTATCACCTGGAACCTCTTGGCTTTCTCTCCACTCACTTCTCTCAGATCTTTTTTCTTTTTTTTTCCCCTTTTTTGAGAGGGAGTCTTGCTATGTCACCCAGGCTGGAGTGCAGTGGCGCACTCTCAGCTCACTGCAACCTGGGCCTCCCGGGTTCAAGTAATTCTCCTGCCTCAGTCTCCCCAGTAGCTGAGACTACAGGCACACACCGCCACACCTGGCTGATTTTTGTATTTTTAGTAGAGATGGGGTTTCACCATGTTGGCCAGGCTGGTCTCAAACTCCTGGCCTCAAGTGATCAGCCGCCTCGGCCTCCCAAAGTGCTGGGATTACAGGCGTGAGTCACCGTGCCCGGCCTGTTCTCTCAGATCTTAAGGCACTGTCACTGTCCCTGTTCCTATCTCCAAGGAAAAGGGATTTCCAGCTTTGGAAACAGCAGCAAAACAGAGCTGTAGAGCTGAAATGGCTCCCAAGGACCCTTTAGTCTGAATTCCTCGTTTAGTAGAGGTGGAAGCAGGCCTGGAACCAAGTCTTCTGATTCCCTACTCTGCCTTCTATGCTCTTATGCTGCCTCTATTTTTTTTTTTAAGCTGTTAATCATCCTCACTGGAGTAATCAACAAGGCAACCTCTCCCCCTAGGAGGGAGAAGGAATAGAAAGCAAGCCTCTCAGCTGCTTTAACTTCGAAGGCCAGGGCATGGGGAGCCACGGGGACAACCCTGAACACAGTGTAAACCTCCAGCAGATCATTTCCAAGCCTGAACGGAATGTGCCCTTTAAGCCAGATGGGAGGGGAGTCACTGGAGTCTTGGGGGCTACCTCCATTGAAGACTTAACGACTATTTTACACACCTGGAGCTGATCAATCAAAAGCCAGAAAACACAGAAGGACACAGCAAAACTGGACTAGGGGTTTCCTCTGACACCGGTCCATAGTGTCTGCTTTGCTGCTGTGTGTCTGTCTTTTCTCTGAAGGATGGTGACGCTGCCGCCACCTTTCCACCTGAGTCAGTGACGGACCCGGACTCCAGGACATCCTGGATCCTATGTCTGTCACACTGAGCCTCTCCTCTTCTCCCCAAGGTCAGAAGCCCACCCTCTCCAGGATATAGTCAGAAATAACTTCCCGAAAGAGGGGCGAGCGGGGCTGGGGTGCCTTTCCCGGCTACACAAGCCTCTGCCACAGGCACGCAGGCATCAAATGTTTACCACAGACCTGGGCAGACCATTTTATTAATATTAATAAGTAACCAGGAACAAAGGGCCCCTTTATTTTTAGCTTTCTCTAATTGTGTAGTAATTACTCATCTACAAAACAAATGAGGCCCTGCTCGCGGTTGCCATGGTACCGGGTGCCCAGCCTCCCTGCAGGATGATTGGCCAAGAAGCCCGCTGCTCCCGCCTTGGCCCCGCCCCTCCACCCCGCCACTGGCTCAGAGCAAAGCCCCAGCAACTGGGCAGCCAATCCCCTCCCAGCCCTAAGGCCGGGCGGGGCTTCCCAGCGACCTTCCAGAAGCGGTCCTCGCAGCCCACAGGAAAAAATGTTGACTCATCCCTACAGAGGACGTCTGTCTTCCCAGAGAAGCCCGCCCGTGCTCCATCGCCTAGTTTCTTCTGGGCATTGGCTAACTTCCCTCAGCCTTGTTTCAGCTAAAGGTTCCCTTCCAATAATTCTCTTCAGGCTGGCTTCCTCTTACACGACCACGCCTCCTCCCGGCCTCCTTTGTCTGACATTGGTCTGAGTGCATTCAGGGACCAGAAACCTGTCAGCCAAAGCCAGGCAGTGTCTGCAACAGCAGGAGCAGGTGCAAAAAATACTTATACCGCCTCCTGAGGCCACTCGTAAATGATTTGGGGTTATCTCCTCCCCCAAGGATAATGGAGAATTTAGTTAAGAGCAGCTGTGGTTTTTTCTTGAGTGTCTGTTTTAAGGTTGCAGAGCCTGGCTCAGCCATCCCAGGGCTGGTACGATGGAGCGTCCGCTGACAGTGGCTTAGAGGACAGAATGACGACAGGCTTAGGCTCAAATCCTGTCTCTGCCACTTCAGATAAGCTACTATCCTTTCCAAACTACAGTTTTTAAATCTTTAAAATGGGAATGAGAATGACAGTGCTCACTTCATAGGGTTATGAGAATTTAATGGGATAAGGCAGGTGGGCTTGACATGGTACTTGGCTCACTCATAATACATGTGAGCTATTATTATTAACATCTATTATCATTATTGTATTCAAATTGACTAGGATGTGTCTCTAGCATTCTATTGACCACTTACAAGATACCTTCCCCTGGAACCCTCTTAGCCTATACCACGGAGTGGCTGCCATCGTGGTGTTCTCATCCCCTGACAGATCTAATTTCAACAGCCCATCACAGCTGTTCAAAGGCATTATTTGTCTGCTTCCTGTTCTGTAGGATCCCAAGCTGGGAAGGGAGACCTTTTTAAAAAAATTAATATTAATAAGCAACCAGGAACAAAGGGCCCCTTCATTTTCTGTGTTTTCTAATTGCATAGTAATTACTTATCCATATGAAGAATGAGGACTAGGCTGACTTTGCCGCCGGGAGGCCTGATGGTTTGTATTGTTGGGGAAAGCAGGTGCCACCCGCAGACACATGCAAAATATCTTCCAAGGACCCATAATCTCACCTTTCATTCAGGAGAGCTCACCCATGAGGAAGAGGACTGAGGACATGGGCAAAGGAGGGGGTGCCCCAGGTAGGGTGAATCAGGTATGGCTTTCTGGCACTTTGAGCCAAATTTTGACAGAGAGGGCAAAGACAAGGACAGAGGGAAATGGAGTGGCAGAAAGAAAGGGGACAGTGGCCACCTCAAGGGCAAAGGAATGGGAAACAATAGCCCCAAGCAGGGAATAAATAACAACTTGTTGGCAGAAGCAAAGGAAAGTTAAGGGAACTAAGGCAGAGATTTGCCATGGAATGCCCTCCTGTGTCTGCTTTCTCAATGCCTCTCACTCCACACCCCTTGCTCCAGGTCACGAGCCCAGCCCCAGCCCCAGACCCCAGGATTAGGGGTCAGGCTGTTCTTTGTGGAGCTACAGCCAGGCTTATCTTCTTTAGATGGTTCTGTCCTTACTGAGCGCCACTTGCATGAAGAATACGAACCTCCCTCTCCTGTGACTATATCAACATGGCTTTCAAGATCTCCCAGAACCTTGACTGTCTCTATCTCTTCAAGCCCATATTCCCTGCCTAGCAGACAGCTTCCCACTCCAAATTCTCCAGGCCCTGTGTCATGTCTTGCCTCCTCCACTAAGCTTCCTGCCTTCTGGGTACTCTCTGACCTTGTAGGAATCTATCCTTATTAAAGGCTAGCTCTCACATCGGTTGTGTACTTTTGTCCTCCCCAGAGGACTGGAAGTCGGCTAAAGGCAAGGACCATGCCATGGACTTATTCTGCAGCCCACCCCAGCCCCTAGCATGATGTTGAGTCCAGAGTTAATCGTCTTATGGATAAGAGCAAAAGGCCTACTGCTTCTTGAGCAGCTATATACTAACATCTATGGAGTGTTTACAATGTACACGAATTATCTGTAACTTGTCCTCCCACCTCAGTCCTGCGTCTTGAATCCATCCTGGACAATGTTGTCAAAGCTTGTCTAACATACAAATCTGATGTCAGTTCCTAGTTTCAGGCCTCCCATGATCTCACAGGCCCTGCCCATGTAAATCCAGTCTCCTTAGCGTAGTACCAAGGGTCCCCTGCTCTGATTCTGCCCAGCTCTCTGGCTTTACCTACAGTTACTCCCCTGTTGCATTTTATTCTCCAGCCAGAATAAAGCAGGGCCTCCACCTCACTCCATTGTCCCGAGGTCTGGTGGCTTTGCCCATGATGTTCCCCGGCCCCCTGGGGAGCTCCTATTTGTCCTTTAAAAGTGGAAATATTCACTCCCCTGTGAAACATTCCCTGACTTCCCAGACAAAGCTGATCACTTCCTCCTCTGTGCTACTTCTGTTCATTGGATAGGCTTATGTTACCGGGCTTATGGCATCCTATTGTAATTACCCATTAGTTTCCACACTAGGTTGGGAGATCTTCAATGGCGTGGAGACTGCTTAGTATTTATCCATGAACTTCCAGGAACTTCCAGGGCTGTGGTGGGCATCCACTGGTTGTCTCTCTGGCATCATTCTTCCTTTTCCCCTCTTATCAGCATGCAGGTTTTCCTTTGGGAACCCATCCTTACACCACCGTGTAAAGAGCCATTCGGTTTAGAGGGGGTGGATCCCACCCTCAGTGACTGGTTTTGTAACCCCAGCCTTAGCCAAGCAGCACAAAGCTCTGGACTCTTCCTAGCATTCCAGACCATCTGACTCCCCTCTTCTGGACAGGACGGTATGATGCCAGAAACTGCTGCAATCATTTTGCCACCATGAGGAAAACCAATATAAAGACAGTATTGAAATGAGAAGGAGGGCGAAGCTAAGAGAATTGCAGAAAAAGGATCCCTGAACAAGCCAGGCACGAAGCCCACTCTTCTATGGAGCTTCCAGGATGTCAGCCAATAAATCCCCCATAATATTTAATTCCCTGTAACATTAACCTATAGTGTTTAATCAGAGTTGGGAGGTTTCTGATACAGTCAAAAGCACCCTTGAATCAGGCTTAGGACAGTACCTACCACATATAACAATAATTACTATTGTTATATACTTAATAAATATCTGCCACATTCAACTCCATGGCAGATGTCCCGTAGGTCCAGTTCTGAAATCTACATCTGAAAGATCAGACTATGAGGTTTTAGGCCAGAGACTGAGCGCTTGGCCTATATAGAGCTAGAAGCTGAGGCTACTTGGGCTGTCCCTACATGGGCTTTTATTTTATTTTATTATTTTTCCTACATGGTCTTTATTCCTGCTTGTGCCCGGTGTCCTGGGGGGCAGGTGTGTCCCTCATAAAAAACACGGCTTCTCCAGAGGGCTACTTAAGGAGGCCAGAGACCTGGGTTCAAGTCCAGGGTTCTTCACCTTTAACCAAAGCCTTGCTCTCCGGTAACCAGGTGTGTGATTTTAAATAAGTCACATGGCCATTCTGTAGCCCAGCTTTCTCACAAAAACAAAACAAAAACATGCTTGTAAACCAGGCCACAAACTTCTGCCTTCCTGACCGTCTCCCAGGGTGGCTATGGTAATATACATCACGGTGTATATCTGAAAGTCAAAACTCTGCAGAGGCCAGGCACAGTGGCTCACACCTGTAATTCCAGTGTTTTGGGAGGTCAAGGTAGGAGGATCATTTCAGGCCAGGAGTTTGAGACCAGCTTGAGCAATATAGTGAGACCCTGTCTCTACCAAAAACAAACAAACAAAAAAAGAAAAAACAAAAAACACACAAAAAAACCAAAGCCGGGCATGGTAGTATGAACCTACATTTCCAACTACTTGGGAGGCTGAGGAAAGAGGTTCACTTGAGCTCAGGAGTTCAAGACTGCACTTCATTCCAGCCTGGGCAACATGTGAGAGTCTGTCTCAAAACAACAACAACAAACCAACCAACCAACCAACCAACCAAATAAAAAAAAAACCTCTGCAAAACACAAGCAACCATGAATGATACACCCGGGCACATGCTCCTTGGATGGTTCTCACCAACCTGCAGGTTGATCAGCTTTAGGGGCCTCCTAGACCCTGCAGTGCCCCCACCCAGCCCAGGGTGCAAGGAGCGGGTCTCTAGACCCCTCTCTGTTGTGCTCTGCGCGCCCTTATGGAGCTATGAAGGACACCACCACACTTTCCACCCCTGCTCCAGACAGCTGGGCCTGAGCTCCTGAGCCCACACAAGAGCAACGACCAACCAGCTCAGGGGGCAGGCAGAGATGTGTCAACCACTGAAAATAATTCCACTGATTTGAAAGACCATTAACATTCCCCCACTCCATTCACTTTAGGATTAACTTATACTTAGGTCTGGGCTTCAAGGCTAGTCACTAATTGCACTAGAGTTGATTTATCAAGTGCACAGTATTTCTATTACAAAATTATTGATTAGAGCTGATGTATTTTATCCTCAACAGGTTTGGTCTGAAAGCCCTTGGAAAATGAATGAAGCTGAGGTCAGCAGCGGGCAGCTGTCAGCATTATTATAAATTCACTGGGGTTACTGAAATCCAATGCTGGACTCTTTATGGTGAAAGTCCTGGCTCTCCCAGAAATGAACATTTTAATGACAAACTGGGAAACGAGGTATCCATCCCCAGAACACATGGCAGTAGACTGAGAGATGTGTGTTCAGGTAAGATCCTTTGGTAAGTCTGGTTGTGGTGGCTGGCCCTAGTGGGTCAGAGATTTGTTCTCCCCCTGGGCCACTACTGGCTGTATTCTATGGCCACAGATGTGGCTTTGTCTTAGCACAAGGGTGTCCCCATGACCTTACCCACAAATGGACCATCTTGGGTCCACAGCCCCCAGAGGATGCTTGCTGCTAGCACAGGAGGCTGGGTGAGGAAGCAGAGATGGAGGCACTGCATCCCCCGCTCCGCCCCCCATCAGATCTTGCTCATGAAGCACAGGAAAGCCATCTTCAGAAATGAAGGCACACATTGATCCATTTTCCTTTTTTAAATGAAGCTGACAGTGGTCATTCTGAGGCCAGAAACAGTGCATTGTGGGAAACACGGACTTTCAGAGGACAGGACCAGAGTCTCAGGCCACTGAAGGCTAGAAATGCCATCTGCCTTTATATTCCTTGGTGCTTGGTACAAAACAAATCCTTAATAAATACATGTTGAAAGCAATACCTGGGAACCCTAAAGCTTATGGTACAACTGACCCAAATAGCTCCAGGATCCCTCCAGCAAGTGGAAGAGTGTATGTGGGACACTATCTTTCATGTCCCCCAGCCCCTAACATATATAAGGCAGAGGCTAGCAGTGGGGACACAGAAAACATCTTGAAGGGGGATTGGGATGGGCATATCTACTTCTTGAGATCTATTCTCCTCCCTAAAGCATTTTCTCTTCTGGTTCAAGTTAAACTATTTATTCCATCCCCTGACTTGCATTTTACTTTTGCTCATTTTACCAACTGGAACTGGAGCTCTTAGAATTTCCAGCCACAGGGCAGCAAAGCCATTTTCCTAGCAGAACCAGACCTGGGATTTAGGCCAGTGGGAGGGGATTTTCTGCTCTCTCTGCCTTCTGTCCCTACCCTCTTCTCTTACTCCCCAGCCTCGGGCCAATTTGCAGCTTCAGCAGCCCTGAAGCCTGACAGTTCCAGCCATCTCCCTGTGTACCTCCCTCACCCGCACCCCCATGCAGGCCAAGCTAGAAGAACAGCTCCTTCCAGATTTATCTTCCTGGGCCTTGGCACCCTCATCCTGTTTGGTGGCAGACTGGCCTTACTCACATTCAATCCTTGTTCATTCCGATTCTGCCACCAATTTCCACAGCATGGTACATTCTTTCCACAGCGCTACCATTTTGCTCTATCTCTACGCATTCTCTCAGGGGACTTTATGGACTCCGACGTTTTCCTGGGCTTCTGTCTCCCACAGTAGATAACTTGCACCCTGAAGGTTCAGATCCCACCTGTGTTCCATCAATGTTCTTGCAGCACTGGGCAGAGCCACCACATCCTGACTTAAAGAGCAGGTTCCAGGAGGCAGGCACTACTCACTCAGCATCAACACGTAAAGAGTAGGGACACCTCCAGAAGCTCTGAGAGACCTCTGGCACTCCCTTATGGCTTGTCACCACAAATGTAGGGAAGATGGCATGTCCAAAGATGACTGGCAGCACGTGCTCCTGTTCTAAGGGCACAGGCTGCAGGACTGCTCCTTTCCCCTCTAGGGAGCCTTCCTGGGGAACTGGAGGAAACTAGGGGTGGTTCCTCTTGGATGTTCCAAGCCGACCTCCCTTTCTGTCTCCACGAAACTGTGCCAGTCACCTCCATGCTAAGAATGTCACCACTCTCACCCTACTTAACCTTCACCAACCCTAAGAACAAATAGCAATGATTCACTAGGGCCAAGTGCATTCCCTGTCTGCAGACCAAGGATCTCAAGATCTCAATCCCTTCCTTACCATGTCTCATTTCCCCTCCACCCCAAGAAGTAATCCATATAGACAGGACTGCCACATAGACCCGTATCCCTGAAGGGCTGGCTGTGACCTGCCAAAGGACTCAAGGAGTAGAAGGGCTTGAAGGAGTCTTGCTGGTAGGCCTTAAGAAATAAAAAAAGATCTGCTCTGTTCAAGAATAGTATGAGAAAGACAAGAACAAGGAAGACCTTTAAGACTCCTTCCAATCCTGGCTCCATTTTTGCACTATAATTGGACGATATCAACAGAGACCTCAGTGAGGAAGGCTAGAGCTGAGGGTGGTGACCCAGTTCTGGACTGGGGGAACGGGGAGTGTGAGGGGAGGTGGTGGTGGCTGATGGTGAGAACATGGATCCAAGCCCCTTGGAAACATTGAAAATATGGAGCCCCTTCTCTTCCTGGTCCCCGCACTATCCTTCAGACGGCCGTGCTGTGCCGAGCCGTCAAAGACCCTGTAATATCAACTCAACAATGCATGTACTACAACTACAGCTACGGCTACCAGTACATCTACTACGGTGCATGCATTTAGTTCAGTCCCACAGATACATACAATCTAAGAACAGGCAGGGGAGGTGTGAAATGTTTTACTGGACAACAGGTGTTTTGGAGTTGTAACTAATAAAAAAAATCAAAAACGAAAGTGTACAAAAAAAGACATTTCTTGAGAGTTGGATATGAGTTTGTTTCTTGAACTGTTTCATCTGAACAAGCAAAAACATGCAAACCAGCTGGTACTAACAGGAAGCTGGACACTGAGAGAGGATTAATAGGTGTGGACAAACCTTCCCGCTGAGCGTGCTCAGAAGAGTGTTTGAGAGGAGGTGTGCAGATCCTAGCGTAAGAGAGGCGGGAAAGTATGCCTCAGAGACACTCTCACCGCAGCCCCAACCAAGCAAGAGAAAAGACAACAGAAATATGACTGCTCACACTCACCACCACCATCAGGAGCTCATGTTACTAGATTGGAATAAAGCTGGCAAGTATAAAGTACAGTAAGGGGTCCTGGCTGGGGCCGGGTGGGTGGGGAGAGGTGGGACGGGGTGGTACCAGGGGCTCAGAAGCTCTAAGATTGATACACGGACCCACCCATAATGTCACCCCAAACTAAAATACCCTGAATATCCAAACCACTTCCCTCACCTGTCGGGGGAGGCTTCTGTCAAACTGAATTTAGGTTTGGGTGGGACATGATGGGGCCACTGGAACTGAATGAATACGATCAAAATAAACAAACAAACTCTCGACTGAGCACAAGAAAAGATGACATTTCAAACTACCAGGTGAAGGGAAAAGAAAAGTGACCACTGATAGTGAAGTTATCTAGGAGTCGGCAGGGACCTCACCTGGTGGGGTCCCCTGAGCCCTGCTCACCTCAGGTCCTAGGGGAATTAGGAACAGGTGGGCAGGCTGGCCCAGAGGAGTTGGCTGAGGTGGGCACAGACCTCAAGGCCCCCCCAGACCTCCTACCCTGACACCATAGCCCTGATGGATCCAAGTTGCCACCCTGAGCAAAAACGAAGCTGCCTCCCACCCCACGGCCCTCAGCAAGTGCTTCTCACTTCAGGAAGCTTCCCCTATAAGTCATAATGGAAGGAAAAAAAAAAAAAAAAACCCAAACGTTGGAGCTAGACAAAAATCAAAGACAAAAAAAGGGCCGTCCATAGGATGATGTCTGATCCCTAAATGAAGCCTGAGAGCCCCTGGGGAGCAGAGGCCACGTTTTCTACTGTTTGGAGTTGCCTGCCAGGTTTAGCATGGTACCAGGTTCAAGGTAGGTACTCAACAGACTCTCCCTGAATGTCTCCCTGTGTCTCCCTATAAGGGAATGCAGTTGAGTTCATGCTGACCTGCAGTAGTTGAGGCTGCAGGAGCATCCTGGGGAGGAGCTGGGGTGAGTAAGGGCTTCAGGAGCTGGGGAAGGTGAAACTAGGCCATCAACACCCAGTGAGCCCTCTGTGGCCTAGACTGATGCACACACCCAAGTGAGTCTTTGTGGTCTTCGAAATTCAGAGCAAAGAGCTTTTGCCACGGAGAGGCCACCCACAGGTAAATAATTGGCCATCCCATCAGGCTTGGCTTCCCGATCATTTTCTAGAAGGAGTGAGGTGACAGTCCCCTTACTGGCAGAATGCGTTAAAAGAAAGAAAGGCAGAACGCTTCCTTTCCCAAACCTGTAACCCTGTTCCAGGTCCAAAGTGGGGCTGAGGAACTAGGGTAGCCTGGCTACACACAGGCAAGTGTCTTCCTGCCTAGGCAGCGCTCTCACTATGGTGGATACAGTCTAGTCATTGCCCTGGGGCACATCCCAAGCCCCTGACACACCCTGCCCGGCAGCACTGCAGGGTTGCCCTGTAGCTTCCAGGCTGACCCTGCACCCTGTGGGGCGGGGCGGGCACCTCGGAGTTGAGGATTTACTCCTTGCGCTAACCCAGGCTGGTGTGGGCAGGTGGTCTGGGAGCACACTCCTGAATACAGTTCACTAACAGTGCAGCGATGAGCATGGCTGACCTAGAATGGGCTGGGAGAGACTTTGCTCCTGATGGAAATGGCTACAAATCAAACACCATTGATCCCGAAAAAAAAAAAAAAATGTGTGACTGGAGATGACCTTGGGGGTTAGGAGTTAGAGGGATGGGTGGGACTCCCACCTGGCTCTGGGAGTCCATGAGAGGGTAGGGTGGCAGAAGGGGGCACAGACCGTGGGAGACGGCTCTCAGACTCATAAAGAACCCCATGCTGCCCTTTAAACTTGCCATGAAGTCAAGGAGAACGGGGTGGGGTGGGGAGAGAGGCAGGGTTAATTTTGGGTTAAAGTTTAGTTTCATAATCCAAGTTATAAAAAGAAAGAAACTGAACGGAGAAAACAACAACCAACAACACTCAAAAATCTCAAGAGTTTTCTTTTATCTTTTCCCCAACCCCAGGCACAGGTAGGGCCAAGGCTTGTTTATAATGATACCAAAAAGCACTCAAGTTAAAAAACCAAATGGCACAGGGAGACACGAGGCAGCTGTGCACCCCGCCCCCGGGGCCCGGGGCTGGGGGGACTGAGGGACACTGGCCAGAGGGCAGGTGGGGCCTTTGGACACTGGCTGTGGTGAGCAGAAGCTCAGGAAGGGGGCCCCACTCTCTGGACCTGCCTGCCAGTCTGCCCACTTGCTAGCTCTCTGGCAAACTGACCCTCGGCAACCCCTGAGAACTCCCTAGCCCCCTCCAAACAAAACCCCAATGGGATGATTCGGGGGAGTGGATCCTTTGTAGCTCGAGGCAGTGCCAGTTTGCATGGAACGGATTTTTACTGAAGTTTTCTAATGGGCCTCACTGTGCCAACTTCTCATCACCCAGGGTGTGGGTTCTTGGCATTTGCCCTCTGGGCTTTTAATGCTCTATTTCCTGGTACCCTCACCAGCCCCCCACCCTGCCCAGCCCCACCCTCCTCAGAGCCCTGTGACATCAAACTAGGCGCTTCCCTGGGTGCTCCAGAGCCCTGTCCGTGGGGCGTGGGGGGACAGAGCTGCAAACCATGACCACTCAGTTCAGGGAGCAGGGGTGGGGAGGGAGCCCAGGGCACAGCAGAAGCCCTGCTTGCCTGGGAAGGCAGAAAGCATTCTGGGGAGAGGGACAAAAGGGACCCCGGGCACCCTGGACATATCCCAGCTCTGGCCTGACCCCATGATAATGCTGGGAAAGTGTTCCCATGTCACTTGAGGGGTTCCAGACCTCCAAAAGGTTGGCTTTGGAGACAGAAGGACTGGAGCAACCTCATGGGACAGAAAGCCCAATTCCCTTGGCAGCTGGAGCTGAGGAGTCTGGCTAAGAAGAGTCTGGGAGGCACAGCGGCTCCAGAAACAGCAGCTTCATTCACTGAGGCCCAGGGCTGGTCCCATGGCTGCTTTCAGGGGCTCTGGGGGTTTAGCCAGACCAGCAAGCCCACCTACCAGTGCAGCAGGGTCCCAGGGGACAGCCTAGCACTTCTCTGGCTGGCTCAGGGACCCAAGGAAGGGAGCCTGTTGAATTAGCAAAAGCCAAGGAGGGAAATGACCACAGGTACCCGAAGCTAGCTGTCAGGTGACGGGATGGTCAAAGTCAAAAAGAAACTCAGGTTTGTTTTTTTTTTCAAGGAGAGAATAATAATCTGCCTTTAGTTTGCAGTCCCATGACTGTGACTGACCCCACTACAAGTGCCCTGGGTGGCCAGGCCTTGCCCGCGCCTCCCGGTCCACCCCCTCCCCGTCCACCCCCTCCCCGGGGCTGTGGTGAGAGTGGTGTTGGACAGATGCAGCCACACAGATCCGACAGGGCCTTGACCTCCCCCTGCACACTGGGGGCATGCCTGGGAGTCGCCTGTCCCATACACCTTCCTACCTGATCCTCTTGCTGCCGCCACCGCCGCTGCTGCCACTGGTCCATAAGCCGCTGCTGGGAAGCCTGGTCAGGAGAGAGAGGAGCCTGAGTCATGGAGGAATCCTTGAAAGGGCCAGGCACAGACCTAGGTCACGGGCCACACAACCCCCCGCCCTCCACACAAAGACAGGAGTGGGAAGGGATTTTCACAGGGCAGCTTTTGAGAGGGACACAGAGTAGTGGCTGTCAGGCTTCCGGAAGGCACAACATCTTTAGGTGCGTTTGATTCTCACCCATTTGTCACCCCAGAAGCTGGTTCTAGAAGGCCCACAACAATAATTCAAGAATTGTAGGAGGAATTTTTTTCTTGAGAAGCAGGGTTGAGCTCCCTGTTGGCCGTGCATCGACACAGTGGCTCCCCTGGGGTTGTCTTGAGTAGAACTGAGCATGGCTGGGCTGGCCCACTGCTCCTGGCAGAGATCATGGCGGAGTGGTCAGCCCCGTGCCACAGGCAGGAGGCACTTGGGACGGCCTCTTGACAGAGCAGGCACCTTGGCCGGGAGCTGGCTTAATTCCAGCTGTTCTCCAAAGGCTCTGCAGGTTAGCATGGCCTTTTTAACTCCAGACTTTTGTCAAAACATGAAGTCAGCAGCATCACAGCCCCAGGCCCGAGGGTGAAGCATTGGGGGGTCCCAGGTGATTGCATACACATGGAGCCAGATAGGGAAGGGAGTGCGGGGCTGCAGGGGTCTATGTGGGGTGAGCCCTGTGGCTTTATTTGATCTCTCGGTGTTTCAACCTCCTGAGGCAATTGTGGGAATTTAGATGTGGCTCTTCGGTCTGAGCCCCACGGTCTAGATGAAGCTGGCACTGGAGGGTCTCCTACGGGTCCCTGGATTTCTTCTTGATCAAGGCTTATGCTATCTAAAAATGCACCGGGCAGCAAGGATGTCCCAGCAACGGGAATAATAGTCAGGAGGCCAAGGTAACCTCTTGTAGCTGCAGAATCCAGATGAAGTATGCCATGTTCCCTACCCTGGGCTTCTCTCAGCCACCAGCACGTGCACGCACAGCCTCGTGCTGGGACATACACAGATACACTCCCATACATATAAAGACAAACATCCTCTGCCATCCAGGCAGATGCTTGGAGGCCTGACCCCAAGACCCATTTCCAATCACTGTGGTTTTAAATGATGTGCCAGAAGCCAGCCGCAAACTCAATAAACAGCCCCCAACAGGGCTGCTCAACTTTAGCTACTGAGCCTTTTAAACAAGGAATTTCTACAGGACGAGAGGAAGACATGCACCGTCAAGGGCAGGGAGCAGAGGAGGGAAGAAAGCAGAGACAAAGCTCCCCCAAACAGAGCGAACTAGAAGCCCACTAAACACTAAGACTATTGTCCTAGCTACACGGTACTACTGAAGGGAAAGAAGTTCAAAGGGGGAACATGCTACTCTAAAAAGGTCAGGCTAAGCTACTTAAAATGTCAATGAAAAGAGACATACTTGCATTTAAATATGGTAATAGGGCTGTTGAAGGGGGAAAAAGAAAGATCCAGGTGAAATAAATGTATGGTTGTCCCTGGCTGCAGGTCTCCAAGCTCCCATGGAGACCATGCATGGTGACTGGAGGCCCTCCCTTCCCCAGAAGGCAGCAATGAACCGAGAGGGAGACCAAGGGAGGGACCCCCAACCAAGTCCTCTCCCCATTTCTTCCAGGCAGCATCTAGATTTCTGAAGATGAGGGTCTTGGCAGAAATTGCTGAAGAAACACAAGGAAGAAGTCAAGTTATTTCTCTCTGTCCCAACCCCCAGGACACCCAGGCTTCTGCTGCTGTTAAGAGCAAGGCCCAGGGGATGCTGGAGGGAGAGGGTGCAGGTGAGTCATTCCTTTGCACTCCTTACCATGCGCTGAAAACAGCGGGTTTCCTTGGAAGCACGGAAAGACTTGGGGGAGGGGGAAAGAGGAACGAAGTGGGGGAGGGGAGTGTAGTCAATAAAGACTTGTTAAGAAAAGGTCCATTTTCTGGAATTGAGTGCATTTTGGACAAAAAGTCTGAAAGAGGAAGAAAAAAAAAACTTATCCAAGAAAGGAAATCCATTATCCTTAATCTCAAATAAAGGCTCCTGCTGGAGGTGGAGCATCAGACACTGCTGAGGGCTGGAATTTCATCTCCACCCTGGAGAGGGAGGGTGTGAGAAGAGGGGCTGAAGGAGCAGGGCTGCCCAATCTGTCCCTCACACAGCACGGGCAGCAGCTCCATAGTCGCCACCCCACTGCCTCTGTGCCCTACATCTGAAACACCAGGGCCTTGCCAAAACCTGGCCTAGCCCCTTGGGAGCCTCCTGGTAGGGAAGGGATGGAGCTTGCACCAGCATCCTGCACAGCCGTCCTCCTGGCCCCCTTCTGCTGCTCCTCGCCATCCCCCTCCTGTTCCATTAGGCCATCCAGCCTCACCAGTCACCCCTCACCCGCCAAATACATTTTCCATATGACCTGGCAGACAGGCCCCTGATACTGAGTTCCCAGGGCCAGGCCTCTTCTTGGTGGCTGGGCTTGCGGGAGATGGGCAAGCACAGATACAAGGGGTGTGTGTGTTGGGTGTGTATGTGTTAAGTGTATGTGTGTTGGGTATGTGTTAAGTGTATGTGTGTCAGGTGTATGTGTGTAATGTGTGTTTGTTGGGTGTATGTGTGTTGGGTGTATGTGGATGTGTGTGTTGAGTGTATGTATTGGATGTGTGTGTGTGTGTATTGAATGTGTTGTGTACATGTGTTGGGTGTATGGATGTGTGTGTTGAGTACATGTGTGTTATGTGTTGTGTATATGTGTTGGGCGTATGTGGATGTGTGTTGAGTGTATGTATGTGTTGTGTGTGTTGTGTTTGTTGAGTGTACGTATTGTGTACCTGTGTTGGGTGTATGTGGATGTGTGTGTTGAGTGTATGTATGTATTGGGTGTGTGTGTTGTATATTGAGTGTACGTATTGTGTACATGTGTTGGGTATATGTAGATGTGTGTGTTGAGTACATGTGTGTTGTGCATGTGTTGGGTGGACTAGGGGCACCCCAGCTGGGGCTGCCAGAGGCCAAAGAAACATCCTGGTGGCCTGAGCCTAAGGCTGTGGTGACGGAGGGCACAGGCTGTCTCCAGGACAGGCCCTTCGCAGGACACAGGAGGGGCCTGAGGACCAGGAGGCCCCTGGTGGAAACAACTCTCTGGGGCTGGACCTGGGAGGGCTGGGAAATGCAGGGGAGAGACGCCTGGCAGAGTGGCCTCGTGGCACTGTCTTCAGCATTTTCCCCCAGGCCCTGAGGAGGCCGGGGTCATCTGGGGCAGGCTACTTCCTTGGGAAAGCAGGGGCTGGGTTATCAAGGAGGGGACTGCCTTAGCAGAGAGTGCTTGGGGGAAGACTGCAGGGAACCAGGCAGGTGGTCTGGCAGGGCTCAAGGCTTCTTCATAGGGCCTCGGGCCAAGCAAAGCTGCGGCAGAGCTCCTTGGTCCATGGGTGCCCACAGATGCCCAGCACCCCACTGCCCAGAGTGGGAAATGATCACCCCTCCACTGCTGGAAATGTGGTGGGGGGGTCCCTCCTCAACATAGCTTCCCTGGCCAATGTGTGAAGGGGCCACCAGACTCCTCCTCCTGAGGCAGGGCAGCACAGCAAACAGCAGAGCACGCAGACCTGGAGCCTGTCTGGGTTCGATGCCTGGCTCAGCCGCTTACTAGCTGTGTGACTTTGGGCAAGGTGCTTATGCTCTCTTTGCCTTGATGTCCCCAACTGTAAAGGAGATGACCATTTTAGTGCAGGATTAATATATGCAAAGTGCTTAGATGAATGCCTGGCAGTGAGTTAGCTTAATTAGTGAGAGCTAGGCCAGGCGCGGTGGCTCATGCCTGTAACCCCAACACTTTGGGAGGCCAAGGTGGGCCGATAACTTGAGGTCAGGAGTTCAAGACCAGCCTGGCCAACATGGGAAAACCCTGTCACTACAAACACACACACACACACACACACACACACACACACACACACACACACACACGAATTAGCCAGGCATGGTGGTGCATGCTTGTAATCCCAGCTTCTTGGGAGGCTGAGGCAGGAGAATCACTTGAACCTGGAAGGTGGAGGTTGCAGTGAGCCGAGACTGCACCACTGCACTCCAGCCTGGGTGAGAGAGCAAGACTCTGTCTCAAACAAACAAACAAACAAACAAACCAACAAACACTCTTTGGCCAGGTGCAGTGGCTCATGCCTGTAATCCTAGCACTTTGGGAGGCTGAGGCGGGAGGATCACCTGAGGTCGGGAGTTCAAGACCAGCCTGGCCAACATAGTGAAACCCTGTCTCTACTAAAAATACAAAAATTAGCTGGGTGTGGTGGCGCATGTCTGTTCCAGCTACTTGGGAGGCGGAGGCACGAGAATTGCTTGAACCTGGGAGGCAGAGGTTGCAGTGAGCCAAGATCGCATCACTGCACTCCAGCCTGGGCGACAGAGCGAGACTCTGTCTCGAAGAAAAAAAAAAAGAAAAAAAATGTTGGTGACACCTGCCATTGTGATGAGGCCTACCAGGTCTCTGTCCAGGCATCAGCCCTGTCTTCAAGACAGGACTCTTCACCAGGCAGGGGTGTTCCACTGTCTCCAAGGTAGGAGCCATGGTCAGCTGGTAGTAAGCACACAGGGGGCCTGAATTTCTTTCTTTTTCCTTTACTTTTTTTTTTTTTTGAGACAGAGTCTCACTCTGATGTTCAGGCTGGAGTGCAGTGGTGCAATCGTGGCTTGCCGCAACCTCCGCCTCCAGGGTTCAAGCAATTCTCATGTCACAGCCTTCCAAGTAGCTGGGATGACAGGTGTGTGCCACCACTCCTGGCTATTTTTTTTTTTTTTTTTTTTTTTTTTGTATTTTTAGTAGAGTCGAGATTTCACCATGTTGGCCAGGCTGGTCTTGAACTCCTGACCTCAGGTGATCTGCCCACCTTGGCCTCTCAAAATGCTGGGATTACAGGTGTGAGCCACCGTGCCTGGCCTGAATTTCTTATTGATTACAGTGGTCTGGTATCCTTCATAATATCCCAACTTCATAGCATCATTTTAGTGGAGTTAACATAGCTCAAAATTAGAATACACATTCTGTTTAGCTCTAACAATGACAAGTGGGCCAAGGGGTCAGGCATGACCCTAGTGGCTTAATACCTATCATATGTTAGTAAATCCAGCAGAAAAGAGAAAATCATTTTGCTGATCAAATCTCAGAGGGCCTGAGAGCTATAGGTTGACCACCTGGAACTTAGGTACTAGGAATGTGTTATGCTCCTCTGTTTGGGAACCTTATATTCAAAACGAGGATGTCTGGCTAAAAAAGAAAGAAGCACTAATGGTGGAATTCCAGGCATGAACAGGGGCCACGGCTTGTGGGAACCATCTTGTTTAATGGGCGTCAGACTCGAAGACCCATTCTTGCTAGAATGGAGTTCCTCTGCCCTTCGAGTGGGATAACAGAAGAATCACCCCCTTGGCCTCAAAGCCCAGCCTTCAGCCCTGGCTGTCCCTGCTTTGCTGTGCAATTGGACACGACACTTCACTTCTTCGGGCCCTGTGTAACTTTTCTCTGTTGCAAGGAGGTTGGGCAAGATGACCTCTAACGTCCCTTCATCTCAGACCTTGCTTGAGCTTGTCTGCGGGGAGGAGGATGATAAACCCAAGTCCTCTGAGGTTGGTGCTAACACAGCTCTGGGGTTAGTGACTCATCTAAGTGAAAGATGTCACCAACCTGCTGACAGTGGATGAGACACTTTGCTGGACTTTTTGGAGTTGTGATGATCTAGTGCAAATTAGAAGTCAATGGTGCTTTTGGGTTTTGGGGAATTTGAGGATGATATGATACCACACTTACTTTTTATTGCTTCTCTGGCACTTACCAGCTTCTTCCTTACCTAAGCACAGTTATTTTTGTGTGCATATCTTATTTCTCTTGCTGGGTGACAAACTCTTCTAGGGCAGGGACTCAGTCACATGTCCCACTTAGGACCTAGCCCAGAGTCTTCCCCACAGAAGACTGTCAATGAGCATCAGTTGATGATGGTCAGGATGCTCTGATGCAGTGGATGAGGGTATGGGCTGGGAGTCACTGCTCTGGGTAAACTGCAGCTGAAAGGCAGCACTGCCTACAAGAAGTAGCCTCCCTAGTCCCACGATCCTCCACCCCAGTGGGGGCACATTCAACGTCCCTGGAGGGGTCCAGGGGCATGATTCATCCAGCAGATGGGACACAGCTATGGCAAATGGGAGTGCCCTGCTCTGTATGGGTGCTGATTCTCAACCCTGGTTGCTCACTGGACCCACCTGGAAAGCTTTAACAAATGCTGATTTTTGGGTCCCACCCCTGCGATTCTGATTACTTGGTCTGCAGAGCAGCCTCGGCACTGGGACCTTTAAAAGCTTCCCAGGGCCAGGTGTGGTGTCTCATGCCTTTGGGAGACTGAGGCGGGAGGACTACCTGAGGTCAGGAGTTCAAGACCAGCCTGGCCAACCTGGTGAAACCCTGTCTCTACTAAAAATAAAAAAAAAAAAGCTAGCCAGGCGTGGTGGTGGGCACCTTTAATCCCAGCTGCTCAGGAGACTGAGGCATGACTATCACTTGAACCCAGGAGGCGGAGGTTGCAGTGAGCCAACATTGCGCCACTGGACTCCAGCCTGGGTGACAGAGCCAGATTCTGTCTCAAAAAAAAAAAACCAAAAAACAAAAAACAAAAAAACTTCCCAGATGACCCCAGTGTACAGCCCAAGGTTGTAAAAAGTAAATTTATGGCACACATCTTCAGTCTGCCAGCCCCTCCACTTTGCAGAAGCAAAGGGGCTCCTGAGAATACAGGGGGCTAACTCTTGTGGCCTGTCCCCTGTGAGAGCCAATGCGATGTCTCCACTTGGTGCAGTGGTCTCAGTCCAGCCTGGAGGAGCTTTAACCCTGGCCCCAACCCTGCCCACAGAATCGGGTGGGAGCCGGGTCTCTGTGTCTTTTAAAGGCCTTCCGGATGATTCTGATGCACAGTGTAGGCAGAGAACCCTTGATTTAGAGGAAGCTTTGGGGTCTTTGTTTTTAGTTACCACTGAAAGGGTATTGCCCTCTGTCCCATGGGCTGGGGAGTATTACGTCATGAACCCTTTTCTTTGCCTCCTCTCCCCTTCTTGGTCTGAGAAGACACTGGTCTGGGAGTGGACTGCCTGGGGTATGGTTCTGGCCCAGTTGCTACTTATTTTGGTGACCTTGGATGAGTCAGTGGCCCCTCTGTGCCTCTCTCAAAGGAGGAGATGAGAGAATTCTGAGGCTCCTTCTGGCTTGAATAGGTGTGATTAAGGGGAATCTTTATAAAAGACTCTTTTGTAATATGCATCACCGGCCCCGAATGGTCCATTATGAAACAATTTTTCCTATGTTGTGCTTACTTAAAGCACTCTCCACCCCCTTCCCCAGCATGCTTGCATCTCCCCAGCAGCAATTTCTATAGATGGTTCAAACATTCTTGGCTAAACCCAATGTTGCTTCACCGAATCCAAACACTAAAAAATAAGCAAGCAAAAGAAGAAACTGTCACCCAGAATGTAGGAAACATGTCCTACGAGAGTTTGGAAACACCGCCATCTGTCATCCTGGCTGGCCCAGGATGCTCCCACCTCCCGGGCAGACCAGCCTGATGCGACAGGGCTGGTTCTTTTCAAGGAAATCCACAGCCCTGACTTCTGTGCAGAGAAAGACAGTGGCTGGAGGCTGCAAAGGGGAGAGAGTGGAAAAAAGGTGGATGGCACATGTTTGGAGTGGGAGGACCAAGGGACTCACATCAGAACAGGGGGTGCAAAGAGGAGGAACAATTGATAACCAAAGGGACACACTTACATGATCAGACTGTCACATTTTGATTTGAAGGAAGATGTATTTCCATTTGAAAAAAAAAAAAAAAAAAACAACTTACCCTGGCGTCCTTGGCATTTAAAATAGGAATCTGTTTTAAACACATATTTTTTGGGAGAAAGCCTGACATTCCCAAGGGTACCAACACATCACTCCCATGGGGACCCCCAGACAGAGAAGGTTGCGGCTGCTGGTTGGGGAAGGGGGTGCTGGGGAGTGAGTGTATGGCCTGGGGGGGCAATGTCTCGCCCTCAGCTGCAGCTGGGAAAATGACAGGCACGTGGAACCTGTCATCTGTCCCTCCGGAGAGGGGCCAAATGTGAAGGCCAGGCCTGCCTGCTGGGAAGGGTGAGAGGTTGGTGGCTCAGGTTGGTCCTGTTGCCTAAAGGAGAGAGGTCCTGCAGTCAAGAGCCCTAAGGGTGTTAGTTCCTAAAACACAGGGATGGCACAAAAGTGCCCCAGATAATTTTTAATACAACTGCTGTTTAGCTTAATTTTAAAAAAGATATGTATGTAACTCTTCAGACTGATAGGACTAAAAGGAAGGTGCATCGCAATGTCAAACCTTTGTTGAGGTTTCAGAAAGTGTTTCTGTCAGGACACCTCTGACTGGATGAATGGCTTTGTGGAAGCATAAAATAGAAGTTAGGCAGCACCCCTGGGAAGCAACAGAGAAATCCTCAGAAGAGGCAAGTGCGGAACCAGGGGGCCCAGCCAGGAGCGGAAGGTGTGTGTCTGTCCGCAGGTTCCCTGCAACTGGGAAGCACTCAGGAAACACAGCGGAGCACCTGTCCCACCCCACTGACCCAGCAGAGGACCAGGAGTAGGGAGAGACCTCTCCCTGCCTGCCCACAGCGGGGCCCTTCGCAACACTGGATCTTGTTTTTGGCAAACAGATTCTGCGGCTTGAGAATAGGCTTTGGTCTCAACCTCAACCTGTCTCCACAACAGAACGTGGTGTCTTGGGCTGCGGAGGGAGAGCTCACGCCTTCCTCCAGTCTCTCTGAGAGGGGGCATTTTCATCCCACTCGTAGGGGGTGCTCCAGGCCCACAGCTGAATTCCACGGAAATTCCTCCTGCCTCCCCTCTTCCAGTAGGGTACCTTTTCAACCTGGGCTGCAGCCAGAAATCCCCTGTGGAGCTTGAAAAATACAACCTGGGCCCTACCTCCTGAGATTCTGATATAATCTGTCTGAGGTGCAACCAGGGCAACAGAAACTGCCAAAGCTCTCCTGGGAATTCCAACTTGCAGCTGGAGCTCAGAACACTGCAGTAGGTAGTTTGTGTCCTGCGACTCTCTCAGGGGGCAGGAAGCAGAAAGCTCTATTTGGGGACTTTGGCCCAGTAGCCTTCTCCCTGGGCCCATTCTACCGCTGAATCACTAAATCCCTCCCCAAAGAGGGCTGGGGCCTAGCATTCAGTACCTGCATGCAGTCACCCAGAACTTCCGCAGTGAGCTGCAGCAGAACTGATAACTCAAGACCCATTCTCAGCCCTGTGCCCTCCCAGTAAATACTGAGTGCTTGCTACAGGCCAAGCTCGGTTCTAAGCACTGGAATCATAGCAGTGAACAACATACAGTCTCTGCCCTCATGGAGCTTAGAGTTGCTAGCTGTGGACAGCAAAGGGGCTCTATTTATGGGACTGGGGTCCCAGGACAGGCTGCACACAGATCAACTGCCCAAGGAGAGACAACTGGCTAATGGTAAGCTGGGCCTGGGCTAAAGGAGGCCGTGGCTCACTCTTCCAGGAAGAAGGTGGGGGACCTGTGCTTTGGACCCCTCTAGGTTGGAACCAGGCATTGGCTGTGTCTGCTCTAGGGTCTTCTAGCTGAGCTCAAGGACCTGGGCGTGGCTACACCAAATGCCACTTGAAGATAGAGAGAGCACTCAGAAGACTCAGTCCTCAGAGATGGGAGTGCAGGAGTGGCCATTCCAATGAATCCTTTTCTCCAAGATCAAGTGGCAAGAGAGAAAGAAAATGGAGGTATTGCCATAGCTATGATCTTGACCTACCCCCAAAAGGTCTCACCACTTTGATTCAATTCAGTTAAAAAAAACTACTGAGCTGGGCCCTGGACACATGACCAAGACACAAGTAATTCTTTCTAGTTACTACCCATTGAGGTGGAGGCAGGGGACAGATCCCTGACTTCAGAGGCCCTGGAGAGTTCCAGCCTCAGGCATCATTGGCCTGACCATCCAGGGCCTTGGGGATGATGTGCATTTTGCTGCAGTGCTGGCCAGACAGCTAGCATCAAGAATGGCTGACACATTACAAGGGCTCCGACGCTGGCCCCCAGCCCTACAAGGACACTTGGTTCAGCGTCACTCTCTGGCCAGCAGGACTTCAAGGGAGAGAATGTCCACATGGAGTTTATTCTGAAGCCAGCCCTTGCTACCCTGTGCCAGCAGCCTGTGGCTCCTCAATAGGCCAGGGACACCCACTTCCCCACAGAACAAACATCTATCTGCCTATCTTTCTGAGACCCAGACTGAGACCTTCAAAGTGAAGGGATTCTAGCTTCAAAAGAGGCATCAACAAACTATCTTGACAGTTTTTCTTTCCAATCACACCCTCCTCTTCCCTAACTTCTCATAACAATGGCAATTTCTGATTTTGAGCCACTCTCTCATCTACCACCAATGAGTGTCAGGACAAACTACGAATGTTCTGACCATTGATCCTTCCAGAGTTCCCTGTTCCGATGCTTTTTACACTTCTCCCTGTACCCAAAACTTCAGACACCCAACTGCCAGAAGAGTCACAGTTTTGCTTCCTTCCAACAGGGTCTCTTGCTGAGCCCCTGAAATCTTACACTCTCTCTGGGTTCCTTCTCCATGCCTGCTTTCTCCCCAGCTTCATGTCACGTGGGCTTTTTCAATGAATCCGCCACAGCAGGATCCTAGACCCCAGTCCAGTGGCCCTCACCTCTGCCAACCAGGACAGCAAACGCTCAAGTCTTGAGCGCTCCGACTTTTTTTGCTGAAAAACTCCAGGTTTCCTACTTTGGCCCCATCACTAGCTCAGTGATTAGATGAACATCTGTGATCTTAAGTTCCCTCCCCTAGATGCTCCACCACTTCTGTCTCCTGAGTGACGTTGTTTCAGATGTTGAAGGGCAGACACCACCAACCCTTTTACTGCTAGACTGTGGAGCAGTCAGGGAGTCTCAGGGGAGAGCCCAGCATGGTGGGGAGGAACTTTGGCTCAGGGCAGCAGCCATTTACCAGCTAGTATAGAAATACCTAAAAATGTCAACAGCCAGTAGTTTATACCACTACACTCTAGCCCTTGTTGAAAAGGTGGATGGGAGGACGGCCTTCTCTATTCCTTACTTTCCTCACCTGTAAAATGGAAGAGCTTGGTTTTGATGATGAGAAAATAGTCATTACACTAATGATAACACAACAGCAGCCACCATCTGAGCACTTTTCATGGCCACAGAGCGTCCCTGCATCATCTCAGTGAGTCCTTGCTATAACACCACAAGAAAGACATTACTATTCCCATTTAATAGATGAAGAATTCTAGGTCCAGAGAGGTTAAAGAAAATAGTACACAACGGTGGTTAAAATCCCATCTCCCACACTTAACTAGTTGTCGGACCCAAGACAAGTTACTTAACTTCCCTCTCTGCCTCCTTTTCCTCCTCTGTAAAACCCAGTTAATGACACCTCCTCCTAGGGCTGCAGTGAAGATCAGTGATTCAGTGAGATGATGGCGTTGGGCGCTCAGCACGGTTATCTGTTGCTTGGTAAGTGGAATAATAACATTTATTTCTATTTTTATTATTATTGCCCAAGGTAATAACTGTAGCGGAGCTGAGAAATCCCTTTGGTGCCTTCCTATTCTAAAATCCTATTAATTTACATGGCATTTCACATCCAAAGGGCTTTAATAGATAACATTGATAATTCGCTTGTGAGTGATGGGGTATGTCTTATCTGAAGTGCGAGCTTAACTCTGGCGGGTTAATCTGACAGCAGGAGGCAAGGGCTTGCGGAGGGCCAGGGAGAAGCAGCTGGGGTGGCCATCGCCCTGTGAGGTGGTCACCACAGGCATGAATGCGGAGCCTGGAGCCCCAGTGCTTGTGCTGGTCAGCTGGACTGATGGTTCCCAGTGCCCTCCTGCCCTGATGTGCTGCCCTTGAAACAGGGTCTTGCCCAGCTCCCCCCACCTCCTCTAGGAGGGGCTGGACCAGAGGAGCCTTCCTGGGTCCTTCCACCAGAGTGGAATCCTGTTTGCTGCTCTGTTCCCAACAAGCAGGCAGGGGCCCACCTCTCATTCACCACTGTGTCCCCCGCATCTAGGGCAGGGCCTGTGACATAGTGCTTGGTGACTATACGCTAAACACCTAAAGGAAGGATGGAGAGATGGATGGGTGGAGGAGGCAGGATAGACACAGGGGGATGGGGAGAGGTGCTCCTGGCCTTACCTGAATCCCAGCACCTTCAAAGCTGGTCCTGGGTTTCAGGAGAAAGACTGTAGAATCCCTAAGCAGGTTCCCCACTAAGGGAACTGTGGGGCTGGCCTCACACCTTTCCCTGCAAAACCAGGCGTGCCCTGGGGGCAGCCAAGCATCTGCTCAGACTCAGGGTGGGGCAGCAGGACCTCAGTGGAAGGAACAGGAGGCTACACTTGCCTCTCCCTTTCCCACCTCAAAGGCAGCCAGCCCTGGCCAGCTGGCATCCAGAGCCCACTGGGGCTGCACAGCCGTATGCATAAAGGCCCCAGTCGGGGAACAGCCTCCTATGGCACAGGTGGGGTCAGCATCCCCGGCTCACAAAGCATGTGTCCGGGATTCCCTGGGTTTGAGAAGAGTGGCACTGGCTTCCCAATGCCAAAACCTATTGTCCAGCTGTCTCAGCCCAAGTACTAGGACAGTCTCTGCCCAGATGGGGAATCCATGGAGGTAGGAATGCGAGGGAGGGAAGACACATCATGTGTTTGGGCCTCCTGCTGGCCCTCTAGGTGGAATACCCTCCCTCATCATCTGCCTGGCGAACTTCTGTGCGTGCTCCAAAACTCGGCTCGGATGTTGCCCGCTATGGTCTGAATGTTTATGTCCCTGCCAAAATTTATATGTTGACATCCTCACTCTCAAGGTGATGATATTAGGAGGTGGGGCCTTTGGAAGGTGATTAGGTCATGAGGGTGGAGTCCTCATGATTGGCATTAGTGCCCTTATAAAAGAGACCCCAGAGAGCTGGCCACCTCTTTGACCATGAAAGGACAGAGCAAGAAAATGGCAGTCTACGAACCAGGAAGTGGTCCTCACCAGATGTCCAATCTGCTGGTACCTTGATCTTAGACTTCCCAGCCTCCAGAACTGTGAGAAATATAACTTTATGTTTTCTTTTTTTGAGACAGGGTCTCATTCTGTCACCCAGGCTGGAATGCAGTGGCACAATCACAGCTTACTATAACCCTGAACTTCTCGGGTCAAGTGATCCTTCCGCCTCAGCCTCCCAAGTAGCTGGGATTTCAGGTGTGTGCCCCCATGCCTGGCTAATTTTTTAAATATTTTTTAAATATTTTGTTGAGACAGAGTCTCACTATGTTGCCCAGGCTGGTCTCAAACTCCTGGCCTCAAGAAACCCTCCCGCCTTGGCCTCCCAATGTGTTGGGATCACAGGAGTGAGCCACCGTGCCTTGCCAATTTATGTTTTTTATAAGCAACTCACTCTATGGTGTTCTATTACGGTCACCAGAATGGACTAAGTTTTCACCCCTTCCTGAAGGCTGTCCAGCAGAGTCAACGGCTCCCTCTGTACCCTGTGCAGCTGCTCCAATCACTCAGGAACACATCTGGCCGCACGTGGGATGCTCCTTCAGGCTCTGAATTCCTTGCACCCTTGCTCAGCAACTTGTGCCCCAGGAGGCCCTGTCTCGGGTCGGGTGCTGATGACCATTTCCAGCTCTCTGCAGAGAATGTGCCTTTGCCCCAACTGAAGTGACAGAGAGCAGAGGCAGTGACCCAGCTGGGTGGGGTCTCTCAGGGGCAGGGGATTCAAGCTGACCTGGGCTCTGCAAAAAAGTCTCTGTGCAGGATTCCTTTCAGCCTGGAGAGGAGAGGGTGGGGGGACACATCTTTGCCTTCTGCTTTGTCCTTGGCTGCCAGAAGGCACCAGCTACCCGAACCTCAGGCCTGGCACTGCTCTTTGCCTAGAATTTCACATGCTGAGTAATTTTCTGTTTTTCGTTGTTGCTTTGTTTTTTAAGTTGCAGCCTTTCACGTGTTTTTGCTGATGGAAATGAAAACTGAAGGGCTTGAAGAAAGGTGATTAAGTTCCTGCTAGCAGACTTAATGGGGACTTTGCAAGGCTGGTGGTACAGGGACCTAAGCAGGTGGGGAGTGGAGGAAAATGAGATCTGGTGGGCACGGGGCCTCAGTCCACAGAGGACGAGGTGTGGGGTCACCTGCAGCCTCCCTCACTGTAGCTGCTGCCATCCTGCCATAGCTGGCGGGGCCCTCTGCTCCTTGGGCCGGGTTGCCTTCCTTGGTCATGACACTAACCTTTTCTAAAGCACTAGATCATTCCCGGTCCGACTAACCCTCTCAACAACCTGTGAGGAAGGATCAATAGCCTGATTTGACAGATGGGGAAACCGAGGCCTAGAGATGGCCTTATTTTCCTGGCAAGCTAAGGGCAAGAACTCAGTATCCTGGCTTCCTGCCTGAGGACACGGGGCTCTGGGCTTTGCCATGGGGAGCTGAGCGCTCACTTAGTCACATTTCCGTTTATTTATGCAGAGGAGCTTCAAGAGGCACAGAAAGCTGATCGGAAGTGAAACCCACAATTCTCGTCAATTCAGATTGCTCCAATTCATTTCTGCAAACGTTTATTAAGTGCCTATTAGGCACCGTGCTCTGCTTTCATCTGGGAATAGAGTCAACTCCTGATTTTCCACGCCGAGGGAGGAACGTGGCAACATATCCACAGCCCCGACGAGCCTCGTGCCGCGGTCGGTCTGGGTTTGGGGTGTGCCACTGAATTTTACTTCTCTGTCTTCTTTTAAAGCAGCAGACATGCTTTCCTGTCTAAGCTTGCCTTTAATATTCAAATGAGAGGATAGGCCCCAAGTATACACAGGGCCAGGTGGCGCAGGAGTGGGCTGGCCATGAGGGAGCTCGCTTGTGATTTGAAATCTGGCTGTGGATCTAATCTGGGAAGGGGTAATCCCCAGAGACGAGGCTCAAGGGCTGAAGGGATGTTCAGATTAGAGGGCTGGTGATGAGACAGATGTGTGGGGGCTGCTGTGTCAGGAGGGCTTTTCTTGACAGGGAGCATTTCTGTTTACAGTGCTGCAGCATCTAGCTGGGGTCCCTGGACGCACGAGTCCATGCTTATGGCAGCCTACCTGGGAAACTGACTAGCCTGTCTTGATATTTCAAGATCTGTGTCCCTACTAGCAAGAAACCAGCCATTGCTCGCTGGTTGGGCTCCATTCTGGAAGCCAACCAGAAGCACTGCACCAGGCAGAGCCTGAGGGTCTGTCAGGGGTCCTAGTGAGGGCATTTCTGGGGCAGGAGATGAGGAAACAGTCCCTTAAAAACTGAAGCAGGAGGAAAGAGGGAGTTTCAACTTACAGGAAAATGAGGGGCCGTCCAGGCAAGCCTGGAATCGCCTCCGCAGACAAGATTACAGAGCCTGGGGAGGGGAACTCTGTGCTCTCACTGAACTAGGCCAGAAAGAGCAGGACACAGGAGACGCCAAGGCAGGAAGCAGCTCCCTGAGCGCACCCCGGGGTCTCGCCTCTCCTGAGTGGGGACTGACCGCAGAGGTCTCTGCCACTTGGGTGGGCTAGAGGAGGGGGTGGATGGAAGGGCTCTGAAGTTGCTCCCCCCGGTGGCCCAGGTTACCACTCCCAGCCAGGGTCCTAGGCCTTGAGCATGGCAGCTGCAGCATTTTTGAATGTTTTGCAAAATGTCAATGACCAGACAGATCTGGCAGGTGAGTGACAGCAGGTTCAGGATGCAGCCCCTTGCCTATGGCCAAGGCTTCTCTCTCGGTCACCTTGCTAACGCCAGCTCCTCCACCTCCTGAGAACTTGGACCCCTTCACTCTGATTTCCACATCCAAGCCCTACCCCTCAGGCTAAGACGGACCACAAGCCTCTGCCTTTGCTCAAAGACCTGATGACTTGACTGAAGCTTACCTTGCAAGCAGCCCTACAGACAATGGACTACAGCGGCTTCCCTCCAGAGGAACAGGATATCCCTGAGCTAGCAGATCCCTCTCCTCAGACACCAACCCTCCCCACTCCCCCACGTATCTTTTAGAGTGATGGAAAATCACCTGGCGCCGAAGAACCATCATTGGACAGGAATATAGAAGGCAAGCTACATGGCAGACAGGCCGTGAGTCCTTCCTGGTACAGCAATCGGCCACATCGCTAATCACAGCCGTCCTTTCTGCTGAGCTAGGACTTGGCCTCAACATCATTCTGAAGCCAGTGCTCCAGGAATCCAGTGCTCATCAGTCAGCATCAGGACCCGAGAGCAAACCTGTTTTCCGTTGCTGAAGAGGTAGGAGCACAAACTGGCACTTTTATAACCAGAGTTCAAGCTCAGCAGGCTGGGGAAGGGTCTCCCTGCCTGGGGAGCTGTGCTGCCCCTGCCGTTTGCACACAGTATCCTGGGAGGGAGGTTTGGGCACCAAGCCATGACACGTTAGCTTGGCCTCCTGGCCACCCCGAGTGCTCTGTGGCTGAGGCTACTGTTGGTTGCCAAAATATTGGCCCAGAGGCCTTTTGGCGGTTAGGGCCATAGAACTGCATAGAACTGCAGGGCTCAAAGAACCACCAGCCAGCCCCACGCAGGGAGAGAGGGATGGAGCCAAGAGAGGATGAGGTGGAGAGGAGATGGGGTGCAGAGAGAAGGGACAATCCTCCAGACTCACCCTCATGGCCTCCCACTTCTCCAAACCCCTCTGACTCACTATGGAAGTTCGACCACATCACTTCTGTATGTGAAATCATCTCCAAGTACTTCACGTGCTTTGGGGATCAAATTTAACTTCCTAAACTTGACTCAGGAGGCCACCATGGCTCCAGCCTTGTAGATCTCCTCCCACCCAAGATGCTTCTGCAAGCTCCCTGTGCACTGAACTACTCACAGTCCCTGGGACCTGCAATGTTTCCTCTCTCAGGTATGTAGCAGAAATTGCTAAGTGTCTACTAGTAGCCGTTCCACTCTGCTTTTTTAGTACCAAAATCCTTTATTTTTATCTGAGCACATGGCTACCTGGAAAAAAGACACCTCTGAGGTTTCCAGGCAGCTGAAACTGGTCATGTGACCAAGTTCTGACCAATGGGATCTAAGCAAAATGTCCTGCATGACTTATAGGAAGCATTACTAAAGGGAAGAGATGTAGTCTTCTGGGATGAACATGTGATGGCTGGAGTTTGAGCAGCCTTCTTAGACTATGAGGTGGAGTCTTATGCTGAAGAGAGTAGAATGAGAGTAGAGAAGAAACCCAGACCATGAGTATTATGGAGCCACATCCAGGCTTCTTTTACATGAGAGATAAATGAATTCTTATTTTGTTTAGTCCATTATTATTTTGTGTCTTATTACTTTTGTGTTTCTCTTCTTTCTTAAAACTATCTGATTCAATGTCTAAGCATGTCATTTCTCTGTCTGGGATATACTTCCTTTCCTTCTTTACCTGGCTAATTCTATTTGGCTTTTTGAGACCCAGTTCTGGTGTCACCTTCTCTAGAGGGCACTCTGAACAAGCAGCCCACCCTTGCACCCTTACAGCATAGAGAGCTTCTCTCTCTCTCTTTTTTTTTTGAGACAGAGTCTCACTCTGTCACCCAGGCTGGAGTGCAACCGCGTGATCTCAGCTCACTGCAACCTCCGCCTCCCAGGCTCAAGCGATTCTCCTGCCTCAGCCTCCCAAGTAGCTGGGACTACAGGCACCCGCCACCACTCCGGGCTATTTTTTGTATTTTTAGTAGAGATGGGGTTTCACCATGTTAGCTAGGCTGGTCTTGAACTCCTGACCTCAGGCAATCCACCGGCCTCGACCTCCCCAAAGTGTTGGGATTATAGGTGTGAGCCACTACGCCTGGCCAGAGCTTCCCTCTCTCTAGTGAAGTGCCTGTCTCATGATGTTCAATTGGTCTTATCACTGCTTCTCTCTCCCTTGGGTAGCCCAAAAGCATCTGAAGGAGTCAGTCTTATTCATGTCCAGATGTCTGGTACCTATTTCAGTACCTGGTGATAGCAAAATGAAGAGGGAAGAGAGGGAAGGAGGGAAGAGAAAGGATGGGGCCTGACGGTGGGGAGGAAGTCCTAGCAAGTCTCTAGCTTCACGTAGGAATCCTGTATCATTCCTTTCACTGATGACAGATCCCTCATGGGGGATAAAAATGGGAAAACCACTCTGGAGAGCTGACTTAGTAAGAACATCAGTGCCCACTATTTCTAAAACTTCCAATTTTATAGCATTTACCAACTTACAAGGCACATTCATGCACATGTTATCCCTTAATTGTAACAACTCAACTAACTAGGCACTTTCATCATCTTCAGGGCTTGGAGGGATACATGACTTGCTCAAGGCCACATGGCTACTAAGTGGCCAAGTGGGACCTGGAAACCAGGTCCTCCGGCTTCATATCCAAGAACATTCCCACTGTCCACTGGTGCCTCCTCTGCCTGCAGTGCTCTGGGGAGTCAGGAAAGCAGGCCACGTGCACAACCACACACAGGCCCGTGGGCGCGAGGGTAAGACGGCGCACACACCTAGTGCACAGATGTGAGGGGCTCCAGATGTGTGTGGCATTTTCACTTGAGAGGGGAGCCGTGGCGGAGGAAGGAGCATCGGGGCGATACTGTGCAGCTGGCGCATGCAGATGCTCTGCCACTCTGCTCAAGGACAGACCACCTCAAGCAAGTACAGGGGATGCCAGGAGGCAGGGAGGGCTGGGAACAGGCGGCAGCCAGGGGGAGTTCGCATGCTTTTAGAAACTGCACTAGGCTGTCATCGGTGCTGGTTATTCAGTGCATTCACCTCCCCCGGAGCGAGAACAGGACACTGTCAGGCTAAGAGACGGCAGCACACAGTATGTCCATGGTAAACAATTTATTTTTCTACCTCGGTTGCTTACAGGGGAAAAAAAATAAAACGTCATCAGGGAGAAGCACAGATGAACTATTTACAGAGATGAAGAAAATTCACAATGGCTAAAACGTTTGTGAGGCAAGCATACTAGGACAAGTTCACCAAAGCAAAGCAATTCATAGCAAAACAAAATATGGAGATGGGGAAAAGCCATACAGATTTGTTCTTTGAAAAAAATAATACTCATGGAAAAGCCTGCAGGAAAATAAAAGGAAACTAACCAATTATTACATCAAGCATCTTTAATGAGATGAGCCAAACTGCACATGTAGGGTCTCAAGGACAATGACATTCAAATGTATGGATTCACTCACATCAAATGCATCAAATGGAAGCGTGCGGGTCACTTCTCACAAACTACCAGCACAGACAAAGCAGTGACTCTTGAGGGTCCAACTGAGTGGTACGTCATTATTCCAAGAGAGTGGGTGTATTTCAGTTAGGGAAATGAAGGAAGTCAAGCCATGGGAAAAGATCCTTCTAAGGGTGATGGGCAGGAGTGCCAACCTTGAGATGGGGCCTGATCAGGATGGGCCCCCTGTGTTCCACCCCCTCCTACTCCAATGGTGCCAGCAGGCAAGGCCAGGCCAGCACAGGCAGGGAGGCGAGCTGGGGAAGGCGGGGCCCACTGTGGATCGGTGCCCACCGTGCCTGTCATGTGGCAGCACCTGGATGACTCCACTGTCCCTTCTCGAAGACAGACAGGCTTGTGATTATGCCAACAGCCACTGGCCCCAAAAGACAAAGATAGTCAGATAGTGTTTATATAGCTCCTCTTCCAGATCAGGTTTCTCACATTCTTAGAGAATAGTCTGTCTCTGTGTGTTCACCTTTATCACTGTCCATCGTAAGACACGGGTGCTCCAAGTCACGTATCTGCAACCCCTCTGGACCACCAGCACTTCAAAGCTCACCCCATGATATGTCCCCAACAAGCCTGTTTGGTCATGACTTAAAAACATTTGATGTCTTCTTCCTAGCTTCCCCTGAGGAGGCTCTACGAAGTTTGTGAGAAGTTTCCCTCTGGCCCCGTTACATTCTGAGGAAGTGGGGTCGGTCACAATGCATACAAGAAGCAAAGTGGGAGGGGACTGGAGAATAATTTTTTTTTAATTGAGTGAAGCAATGAGGACATGAGTCCAAGAATTAAAAATGAGAAAAAGAACAGTCATTCAAACAGGCAGCTAAGACAGACTTTCAGTGAGCATTGACTGGAGCGGGGGCAGCCCAGGCCGGGACTGTGTCCTCTCTCTCTAGAAATGGTAGCAACCCCCACTTTGCTATGCCTCTCTTAAGAGCTAGTTGATAAAAATTATGTCTTGTGAAACCGGCAAATAGTCTGCAAAGTGAAATAAGAACAGAAATTAACAGATTAAACTGAAATGAGAAGTCCAGAGTGGGGAAAAGAGAGGAAGCAGGGGAGATCCCTGATCACAACCCATAATAATTCAAGACGGGATCCTGATCCAAATTCCAGGCTGGGGTGGACACCTGGATGTGGGAAGAAGGAGCTGTTCCCAGAGTGGTTGGTCACCACCCAGCCTTTCTAGAAAAGAACTACTCCCCACTCTAAAAACTATCCAGTGTCTAGCCTTCTCTAGGAACATTTATTCTGACAGAATTCTGAAGATGGGCACAGCCAGGTGCCACTTGCCACCAGCTGTGTGGCCCAGGAAGGTCCGTGCAGCCCCATGTCACATGGTGAGAATGAGGCTCTACTAAGAGTGATATCTGCACCCCCAACCAGATGAGATGGATGTTCATAGAAAGGGTAAGTCCAGGTGGAAAGGAGGACCCTTCATAAAGGGGATCAGATTGCATCTTCCTGAAAGGGGACCCAGGCTACCTGGTTTATGAGTGAGAACAGCCAGGATGAAGAGTCTCGGAGCTCTCTAGGACCTGGGCGTGCTTTCATTTCTCCCAGCTAGCTGTCTTGCATGGCCCTGCTAGGGGGACTCAGAAAGGGGCTGGGAGAGGTTCGGGATCCATGCACAGCATGAGGGGGACCGGAGGTGGGAAGTGGGTAAAGTGGGCATACAGTGAGGACACTGAAAAGAAAGACCACAAAGAAAACATCAGGATAGTTGGGAGGTGACATGACTGCTGTGTAATGTCACGAAGTCACAGGATCCCCGGGGCATGGCAGGGGTTCGCAGAATCTACCTGATGGGGATGAGGAGAGGGCAGAGGGCTGGGCTGCCCCATCTCTGGGTCCCCCTTCTGTACCCCAGCCGCCTCGGCCAGATCCACCCGAAACTTTCCTTATTGGCATGAGGTGACAGATGGAAGTCAGGGCATCCAGAAGCTTCTCTGTAGCCCTGGCCCTGAGGCTGTGGCTCCAGGAGTCATCAAGTTTGGTTCTAGAGGGGCTCAGCTACTCCCTGCGCTCTTGACTGGAATGACACATGGACCTACCTAGGCTTTGTGTCTGGAAACATTTGGCTGCTTGGGGAGGCATCTGGGATAAGCACAGACCCAACACTCCACAAGGAGCATATCCTTTGGGAGGGGGTCAGGAGGGGAATAGACTCTGACCCTAGCCTGGCTTCTCAGATGAGTGGGGTGGGCGGCCCCAGCCATGGGGCCACCCTTCCCAGTTCAGGGCCACTCCACTCTTGCCCTCCCTGAGAGCAGGCAACCTTACTCTTGTGGCCACTGGTGGCCCCTTTCTGGCCATTAGTTAAGAGAATCAAGAGGCTTCCATAGTGAGTGGGAAGGTGGGAAGGATGGAAAAATAAAAGTTTGATGGTTGAGAACAGGGCAGCTAACTCCCAAAGGTCAGGAAGCTGCTGTCTGTACATTGTAATGCCTGATTTCTGTCCCATTCAAACCCACCTGATTGTATTAAGCTGCAGGGACTGTGGCCATGACAAACGGATGGGCCCTGGGCAAAAACACTCCAACCCCACTCTATCCTCCTTCCTGCAGCCCAGTCCATCCCCCGCCCCCCCAGTTCCCAAAGTCTTGGCTTTGGTGAAGGGCTGGGCACCCAGGGGACCCTATCTCACTCTGCCCAGCCTCAATCTGGTCACTGCTGCATGTCCGTCTGCCTGGGGCAGGCCCAGGGATGCAGGCCATGGAGGCAGAGTTCTACTAGATGTCTCCTGAGCCAGCTCATGGGGGCCCCGGGGCAGGCCCTCTGATGAGACAGGGGCCTTAGCATAGGGTCCACATTGATGTCCTCTCCCAATTATTCCATGTTAAGATCCCTCAACTCTGTCCTCCTGGGACTAGCATCACACTCAGGGGCAATGGCAGCCTGATTACGGAGGGGAGCAGGTTGTGCAGGCTGAGTGCACAGATCAGTGCTGCACCTGGAGGGCCGAGATGCGTGAGCCTTTGCACCTGTCATCCCCTGGAGGGGAAGCGAGGGGAGGAAGTGAGAGGAAAAGCCACCAGCTTCTGGGCTGAGCAAGACTGGCAGAGAATGAAGCACAGGGACACTGACCCCATGGGTGTCTCCAGGAAGGAGTGGTGCGCATGTGTGAGTGTGTGGACCGTGCACCCCCCAGTAACAGCCCTCTTCCTTTAGGCACTGGAACAGCACCAGCCCGTAAGAAATTTCCACGGTGACTGTTCTACATTCTGTGCTGGCAATAGCCACTTGCCACACATGGTTACTGAGTCACTGAAATGTGGCCAGTGTTTCTAAAGGAACTGAAATTTTCTTTTTACTTCTTCTTATTCTTCTTCTTATTTTTGAGACAGAGTCTCACTCTGTTATCCAGGCTGGAGTATAGTGGTGTGATCTCGGCTCACTGCAACCTCTGCCTCCTGGGTTCAAGTGATTCTCTTGCCTCAGCCTCCCGAGTAGCTGGGATTATAGATGCCGGGCACCACGCCCGGCTCATTTTTATATTTTTAGTAGAGACGGGGTTTCACCATGTTGGCCAGGCGGGTCTCGAACTCCTGACCTCAAGTGATCCTCCCACCTCGGCCTCCCAAAGTGTTGGGATTACAGGCGTGAGCCACCGCACCCAGCCAACTTTAATTTAAACCTAAGTTTTAGTAGCTCTTTGTGGCTAGTGTTATTGTACCAGAAAAATGGACACTAGGGAGATGGTGGAGGGTGGCAGTTAAGGCCCAGACCGCCTGGTCCAAATGCAGGTCCTACCCCTTGCGTACTGTGACCCCTTCAGAAGGAGTTTCTACCTCTGTGCCTGTGCCTGGTGGGGGTCTCTGCCTGGAAATGGGAAAGTCTAATGACAGTGGCTGGTTGAGTGCTGGCCTCTCTTGTGGTGGTCCTTCTTGCATGTGCCCTTCTTTTCTTCAGGTCTGGGAGCCTGTGGCCATCCTGAAGCAGCCTGCTGCTGGGGGGCATCTTTGGGGACGGCTTCCTTAGTGCGGGCCGAGGAGTCTTGTTGAGGCCCCTCCCAGATGGGGAACCATCCCAGCCCCAGGGGACACTGGTGGGGGAGCCACCTGCACTCAAACTCCTCCATCTTGGACTTCTGCTTCTGTGCCTGCCTTCCCTGCACCCTCTGACCCACACAATCGGAGAGGGGCACAGACCCCAAAGACCATTCCTCGTAGACCCCCTTTTCCAAAAGAGAGAAGTAAGGCCCTAGAAGCTGAGTGACCCGCCCATGGCCACTTGGCCAGGTGGTATCGGAGACAGGACAAGAGCTTGGGGCTTCCACCGCTGGTTGAAGGATCTGTCTGCCATAGAGCACGGCTCTAGGTGCCCCCAAATGCCTCCTCATCTCTCCAACTACACCCTTCCCGCCCCAATGCTTGGTCTGAGGCAAAGACCAGGCCAAGCCCTCACTCTGCCCTCCTGTCATCAGTGTCAGGGCGCCATCTTCCAGCGACGCGTCTTCACTCCCTTTGCTTCCTAATTCATCTCAGACCCTGACACTCCCAGACCTCCAGGTCTAGGCATGACGACAAGGCAGGGGTGAAACTCCGCCTGCAGCCCAGCTCCCCAGGGAGCCTCCTCCCTCAGCAGAAAACCCACAGGGGACAAGACTCTGTCCCTACACCTCCTCTGGAATCTCGGCTGTCCTTTGCACATGGAGACCCCCAAACACCCCAATATATTCTTATCTGTACTCCAGATTTGAGAAAGGCTGGGGAAAAGCATACCCTGTAAAACATCGCTTCCTTCATTGTCCCTACCCCATCCCTACAAGACCATGTTTCCCCTCGCTGCTTCTCCCAGGTGAGGTCCCAGGCCTGCCAGCTACCTGGAGTTGGAGCTGGAGCAGCCCTGGCATGTGGCGGGCATCACCATGGGCTCTGCCTCAAGTCTTGATACCCACGCAGAGGGAAAGGATAATCTAAACAGCTCACCCAGGATGGACAGCAGTCCCAACCCCTAGCAGCTCAACATCAACACAGCCCAGAAGGACGCCGAAGCCACAGCAGTCAGGACGGAGCAGGAGGAGGAGGGGTGGAGGAAAGGAAGCAAGGGCGGGGAGACATCAAACATTGGGCAGGTGGACACAGGGAGCGGGGAGGCGGGCAAGGGGTGGTAGAGGGTGAAAGAAAGCCCTGGGCCTAGAGTTCAGTCCCCAGTGAGAAAAAACCCGGAAGAGGCTTCAGAAAAAGGAGGTGAGCACAGGGAGGCCTCCTGCCTCCGTTCTGCTTTCCCTTTAAAAGCTGCCGTTCTCAAATACCCGGCACCAGTGAGTTATACCTGAGTTAATCAAAAACTCTGAGCTGCATCCTGGCCTTGAACTTCAGTGGATTTGAAATTTATCATGTATAGGTCATTTTCAAGTGGATGCATGTAAGAAATGCATTCTCTTTAGGGGTCCTCTCACCTCCCCGCAAATGCAGCCCACCTCTTGTGCTTCCAAAGCCCTGGGAGACCAAGCCACTCACCTGGGAACTGATAGCCATAGCTTGGAGCAAATCCGGGGTAGCCACGGCCATAGGTCGCCACGAAGTTGGGATATCCTTGAACACAAAGAGAAAGATCAGAGTCCTGTTAGTACAGCCGCCTCAGGTCTGGGGTAAAATCTCACGGAGGGTGGCAATGAGGAAAGCCTGAGTTATTTTCCTTCACAGAATAATTTGTCTCTCATGAGGGTTTTTTTATTAAGGGTCTGGGTCACCTCTCTCCTGTGGCCGGGGGCGCTGCTGTCAGCTGTTGCTAATTAACCCATATTTGGGCAGCCAGACCCCGCAAAGCCCATGTACTTTCCTGAACCTTCAGAGTAAATGCCATGCATCAGCACCAAACACAAAGCCTGCGCCTGGCTCTGACATTTGGAGAGCTTACCCTGCATGTACTTTACCTTAAAGCTATTGACAGTAGGAGATTAAAGTCCTCGTGATGCATCCTCCCAAGGCAGTGGACAACAGAGCCAGCACCAGACAGAGCATGCGAACTCAGGAGTCACAGTTTAGCGGCCAAACTCAGGGCTCACCCTGGGCCTCTGGAAAACGCTGGGCCTGATGAGCCATGGCCCACACTGCAGTTTTGACACTCCACGGAGGTGCCAAGATCTTTGGAGAATGGTGAGAGGCTGGATGTGTTAAGATGCATACCACAAAGTGTAGCTCCGACTCAGGAGCCCCGTGCCGTGTGACTGGATGGGCGTTTCACCACAAGCGTATTGTTTCTAGACCCCTGTCTCAGCAGGCAAGCTAGGGGGTGAGTGGTTCACTGAAAGACACTTGTAGAAACTGCCACTGGGCTGGCCACTGGGCACACAAGAAACTCAGCTGGCAAGTCCAGGGGCTGGTGTGACCATCTCAGATCTGTCACTAACCCCCAGTGATGTGAGGTGTCATTCAGCTCTCAGGGAGTCATTGTGGCTGCTCAGGCCACTTCGTTCTTCAAGTCCCTGCCTGATTCAGGCTAAATGAAGGCCGTATGGGTCAGGCTCACTCTGCCTCCCTCCACTCAGTGTATATGTAACCTCAGTACATTCTTGCTCTTAAGATGCCACCACGGCCACCCAACCACCGAGAACGTGACTTTCGCTTTGACTTTGGAGGTGAATGTCTGTGGTCATTTTTTGGCTGCCCAGCCCCTGAGCCTCTCCCTGTGTGTAAGTCTTGGAGAGAGGCCCACCCCCCCGGCCATCACAGAAGCTGAGAAGGCCTCAGGGCTCTTCCTGGGGCTGGAGGCTGGGAGGCAGGCCTGTGAACCTGGGCTCGACAGACGGAAGCCCTCCTTAGGATCTGCCTCTGGAGCTGGTAGGGCAGAGGAGGAGGGACTGGCTCCGAATTTATTCTGGTGTCAGTAGCAGAATCTGGCATCCAGTGTTGGCAACAGTGGCCCCCTGACCAGGTCATTCCTGAGTTGTCCCCTTGGCTAGGGCTGGGGCTCTGACCACCCAGCTCCCCCAGTTCCTGCCTGTTTTCTGAGTCCTGTTCTCCAGCCATCCTGTCAATTCTCCAGCACTGCCCAAGCTCCTTCTAATAATCTCCTTTGCTGCTTACAGCAGCCAGGGTTGTTTCTGTTGCTTGTTATCAAAACACTGGCAAACAATTACTTTGATGAGTGGACTTATGACAGCCTCCAGGCTCTCCAGCAATTGAGGGCAACAGTGACACTTTCCACGGGTGTCTCTGCCCTTCTACACAAACCCTTTAAAAACATCCCTACACACAGCTCTGGGGTCTTATCACCCACCTGCTCAGTGGCTTCTCATACATCACACTGACCACTTTCTGACCCTGCAAGTGAGGGCTAATGGAAAAGGATCCCTTACTAAATTCCACTTTGCCTGCACTCGGCAACAGGAGTCAGAGTTTGCTTGTCATCCTGCTGCCTACTCAGAGCTTTTGTGCCTTGGAGGTGGGCTCCACCGTCCCTCACTTCCTGGTGGATGTTGGTGTTGTAGCCTCTGCCTAGGATCAGTGGATCTGCCACCAGACCTAGAGCAGAAACTCACGGGTCTGAAGTCAGGAGACCTGGGTTCCAGTCCTGCCTCTGGCCCCCAACCATGCCCTTGGGGGTTGTTATGATTTGATGTATGTGTTTCCCCCAAATTTCTATGTTGAAATCTTAACCCCCAAGGTGATGGCCTTAGGAGATGGGGCCTTTGGGGTGTGATGAGGCCATGAGGTGGAGCCCTCATGAATGTGCCCTTAACAAAGAGGTCACAGAGAGACCCTCACCCCTTCCAACACGTGAGGACACGGTTAGAAGGGGCCATCTATGAGGAAGCGGGCCCTCACCAGACACAGAATCAGCCAGCACCTTGATCTTTACTTCCCAGCCTCCAGAACTGTGAGAAATAAATGTTTGTTGTTCATAAGCCACCTCGTCTATGGTAATCTGTGACAGCAACCCGACTTAAGATAGGAGTCTTCCTTTTTCTCTTGGAGCTTAGTCTTGTCACCTGTAGAAAGCCTTGTGGGTCCCTTGCAACAGTGACGTGCCCAAATTCTTGAGTGAGACCAGCTGTGGCTCCTTTCCCTTGCTTCCCCCAGAACCTTCCCAAATTTGCAGTCACAGCTCACTCACTGAATGGAACTGTCTCTACCTCCACAGGGTCTTGCCACCTGCTCCTTCCTGTGCACTTATTTCCCGGTGCTTGGTGACTCATTGACAGAAGCCTGCCCAAGCGAGGCAGAAGGACCCAGCAGCTCTGCACTGACTGCTAGCTAAGGAGCAGGAGCCCGGTGGGATGTTGAGCTCAGCAACCCGACGGAGAAAGAAGGAAGGAAGAACAGCAAAGGCCAGGGCTCAGATGCCTTAAATGGACACATGCATACTGGCGCCTTCCTTCGTATTTATTTCGTGGCTAGGCAGCTCAGTTCTCCTCCAAATTAATCACCTGCTAGCAAATCAGATCTTGTACTAGATTTCTTATACCATGATTTCAACAATATTGATAAATGGATTATATGCAAACAGCCAAGTCATGGCTGCCTAGGGGCTTTCCAGATGAAAAATGGCTCCTTTGCTTCTAACTTCAGAGCTGGGGGTCTTAAATATTTTAGTGTTAATCTGACAGCAAAAGCATAAGCCTATGTGTCACCTTCCCTCAGGGAGGGTGGGAAGTGGCAGAGCAGCCAGTTTCTCCCTGCACTTAGGTGACAAATACAATGCAATTATACCTGCTTTCTTCCTGGCTTTCCTACAAGGCTTCAACGAGAAAGAAGAAAAGCATGGTCAAGTTCACCCCAACTTTGGGTCTCACCCCACTCTTCCTGGACACATCAATACTATAGTCTCCCAAACCACAAAGATGAGAATTCGGCATCTGCCAGAGCGGGGGATCTTATCTCCACCCCCAATCGCCGAACATCCTCTAGGTCAGGCAGATGAAATCATAAATTTATAATACAACATTACTTCAATTTTCCTCTTCATTTACTGCTGTGCAGCCCAGCTCTGCTCGAATGGTTCACAGCCCCAGCCACACGGGGGAAATTGGCTGGCTGCATATCAATAGCACATTACAGCAGACCCGTGCAGACGCTCCGTCAAGCCACATTACGGTGGGATGACCCAGCCACCACTTCCATTAGCAGCCTGGCCCCTCCCACACTGGCCACTGCACAATTTATCTGCTCCAATACTCTGGACGCCTGATCAATCCCACAGTAATTATCTCTTGTCACTAAAGTAAAAAAAAATCAAGGCTTCTGCCAGGGTGACCACCTCTCTTGCAGATCGGCTTTCCATTGCAGAAGCAAAAATACAGAAATCAACAATAGAATTTGGATTTGCCACTGAGCTCATTTTGAGTCCCCATTTTGGGGATGCTGACAAAGTTGTCAAAACTGTGGTTCTGGTTCTAGATCTTTGCTGCAACCCTAGAGATGTTTCCCTTCTAGACGGGTCCATGACTCATCTTCTCCCGGGCTCTGTTACTCAGCTACTCAGAGTCATGGAAAACGGCTCCCACCAGGCCCCAGACTTGAAAGAGACAAGAGACAGGGCTGTTTATCCAGGGAACTGCCAGAGTGTGACATATCTGCTGCGTGATGTTTAGAGCACTGCCTGGGGCACCTCATCGGCTCCATGAGGTCTGCAAACAGACTAAACACCAAGTGCCAAGAGTCCTTCCTAGGCAAGGACGCGAAGGCTAAAGTCTACAAAGATGCTTTGCCCCCAGAATCACCCTGAGTTGCAGGGGCTCCTCCAGACCTGCGCCGTCCAATTTAAATTTAATTCAAATTATCTAAAATGAAAGCTCCAGTTCCTCATTCGCAAAAGCCACAACTCAAGGGCTCAGCAGCTACCGTGCACAGGCGGCTAGTGATATTGGCTAGTGCAGACAGGACCTTCCCTCCCTTGCAGGAAGTTCTATTGGACTGCACTGCTCTACAGGGACAATGAAGAGCTGAATTCTGAGTTTCCTCTGTCCACCAGGAAGCGGCTAAACAAAGGAACACTTCCTTGAGAATAACCTAAACAGATATTTTTGGGAAAGCCAGATCCCCGTCGAAATTGAGTGTAGATATGTGGTTTTAAGTTCCAGCCAATCTCCAATCTTTTGATCTGTTAGTGAACGCCAGCAGATTACAGCTTCCTAGTGCCTGTTCTTAACGATACTTTTTTTTTTTGCTCACATTTCAGGGGGCTTAATGTCAGGGAACACTGAGTCAGGACTTCACGCGGGGCTTCTCAGTACGACTGCACCTAAGAATGCTTTTGGCTAACGTGCTTTAGCTGATCATCAGCCTCTCTTCGTTTCTGGGCCTGCTAGGGTGAAGCTTTTCTTTGAGGGCTCAGCAATGTGCTATTTCTCTAACACTCGTATCAGCATGTTAAATAAACAGCATGTGCCCAACGAGGCCAAGAAAGTTAAAGGCAGTGGGATTATGTGGCAGAGAAGGCTCAGAGAAATAAAATATATCAACAATCATCATGTGTTTGCTTTTATTAAGTTCACCTTCATTAAGAAAAATGAAAGAGATTCTATCACATTGAGCTGGATAACTGTGGGCACCTCTTGGTGCGGTGCCGCAAAGTCTGAGGGGCTGCACGAGACCATTTCTGTTTTTTTGTTTGTTTGTTTTTGAGATGGAATCTTGCACTGTCACCCAGGCTGGAGTGCAGTGGTGTGATCTTGGCTCACTGCAACCTCAGCCTCCCGGGTTCAAGATTCTTCTGCCTCAGCCTCCCGAGTAGCTAGGACTACAGGCATGCGCCACCATGTCCTGTTAATTTTTGTATTTTTAGTAGAGATGGAGTTTTCACTATGTTGGCCAGGCTAGTCTCTAACTCCTGACCTCAGGTGATCTGCCCGCCTCGGCCTCCTGGGAGTAGAGGCATGAGCCACTGCACTGACCTGCAAAAGACCTTTCCTAAGAGTCTTAGGTGACTCTGGTTTTGTCCGGCTCAAAGGTGGGAGACCTGGCCTAAGGATAACCCCTCCTCTTCTCTTCTACATTCCTTTTAAGGAATTCCCATTGGGTTGATTATTCTGTGATTCTGTCAAACGCTGTAAAAGCTAAAACCAAAACAGGTGTAGGTTTTCCCCAAGGATGTCTGCAGCCATATCAACAGAGATCAAGATAGAATAACTGTGCAACTATATGCTTATCAGCCTCCCTCTGAAGAGACCACCCAGAGTATGGAGAAAATCTTAAATGATATTTAAAAATTAGTTCCACAGTGTTCGAGTCATTTGCAGACCAGTGTGCTGGTTGTCTCAGACTCCTCACTAGAATGTCAGCTCCCTGAAGTCAGAGACTTAGTTTTCTGCTGCATTTTCAGCATCTAGAACAGTGCCTGGCACTTAGTAGGTACTCATTTAATAAATATTTGTTGAATGAATGAATTTTAATGTTTTAATGGTTTATAGTCTCACTTCTAAAAAATCCCTAGAAGTGCTATTTATTTTTCCACTCTTTCAATAATAAAAGTTTAAATCATGGAAACCTCGTCTAATTTCATTGGTTAGTTAACTTTAAGAAAATGTTTTTCTGCATGAGTCAAGTTCATCAGCCAGATTGCTGTTGGTGAGGATGGTAGTGCTTCCAGGACTAATATGCAGGCATAGTGCTCGGTGGAGATGGTGACCCATGTAACTGATGGGGTCATGTCAGGCCATGCTACCAAAAGATTTGACTCTGCCTGATGCTACACTACCACTTTCGAGGGAAGAAGCAAGAAGAAAGAGAAACAGTCTTTGATGACAGAGTCAAGGGCTTCCATCATAGCACAGCAAATGGCAGTCTCCTCGCTTAGAGAGTCCATAGACCCAGAGGGCCAAGCTGGGCCAATGGGCAAAACAGAGGGCAGCCCAGGGAGTTCCCAGTGGATGCTTTACAGAGGGCTCAGGAGGAGGCTCTGTGATGGCTGGGGAGGCCTGTATCTCCTCAGATACAACTTGACACTGCATCTGATTCATCCCTTCTGCCTGGACCTCTGGCTGAGCTGGTTCCTGGCTGAAGGACACATTTTGGGACATCTTAGGAGACCCTGCTCAGTGCATATGGATGGCCTCACCACAGTCACTGGGAAATTCAGGAGGGCCCAGGGCTGATGAGGCCTGGAATCCAGCACACAGATCTTTGTCAGAAGGTGGCTACTCAAGAATAATCCAAACTCCTTGGGCTGGGAGTCCACAAGGAGAAAGAGGCCGCAGTTGCCACAGCACAGGTCACATTCGTGAGTCTAGCTAGGTTCTCAGCCTTGGGTGGTAAGGAAGTCCAAGTGGTAGGGCTTCCTAGTGCCTTGTTAATAACAACTCCCAGCTTGAGTACATGCTACGATACCTTGCTGATTTGAAGACACACATCTTTTCCACACTTTAACTTCTCTGAAAGTGGGATCTATCTTGCAGCCAATGTGATAAGAAAGCATTATGCGGTTTAATTAATAGCATATTTTTTCTTTCTGAAGAGTACATGAACATACATCTTACTAGCCATGGCATCTCAGATTAGACTAAATACAGCATTTACCAGGCAAGATACAGTTGCATTTATCCCTGAACAACCCCATGAAGTAAGATTATTACCCCATGGGTAGGATAAATGAAGAATAGAGAGGCTAAGCCACTTGCCCCAAATCACACAGCTGATAGAGTGAAGAGTCCAGGTCTGCTGATTCTGAAGTCCCAAGCTCTTGCCTCTGGACCACACGGCCTCCCTTGCTGGAGCCCTGCTCTGGCTAGGGCTGACCCCATCCATTCCATCCAAAGGGTTCTCTACTTGGTTAGAAGAAGACTAGTGCCTCTGTGACCTGGGGTTGGGCTGGATAGGGTCTGGGGTTAGGCACAACCACAGCTACAGCAGGCAAAAGGCAAAGGCCTTCAGCAGCAGGGTGGGGCTGCGGAGGTTATAACTCAAGAACAATAGGCTCTGAACTGCAACAATATCTTTACCTAACAGCCCCTTCTTTACTGTGGCTTGGGGAAGTCATAACTTGAACTGTGAGTAGACGGGGGAAGAGCTGGGCAGATGAGTAAGCTCCTGGCAGGCATCACATATCCATCCCCCAGCGAGCAGGCGCTGTTCAGATGCTGTCCAGATAAGCGCAGGGACCAGTGCTGTCTCCTACCACCTCAGTAGGTGCTCTCAGGAAGGGGCCACTCGGGTCTGCCCACGAGCTGCAGGCAAAGCCAACCCTGGAGCCCCTGGGCCTGCCTCTCCCCACCTTCCCACACACACGTGGCCAGGCTCGTTGGCTCTCAAGGTCCCACAGTAGGGTCCTCGTGTTCCAAGCCTGTTTATTCCGAATGGAAGGCCCCTGCCTTACTCATCCTTCTCATTTCTGCTGAAATGCCACTTCCCTGATTCCTAAGACTGGCTTCCACTCCTCATGACGTGCTCTCCAACCACCCCCAGACTCTATGATGATCATCAGGCATCTGTGCAATTCATGTTACGCATCAGGCTCTCTGTATAGACCACAAGCTCGCGGAGGGCAGGAAGCACATCTGCTTGTGAAGCACTGTGTCCCAAGGCTACCCAGGGCTGGTCACGCAGCAGGTGCTCTTGCCCCTTGCCTCCTGCCCCGCCTCCCTACCTGTGTTCCCATGATGAAATGTTAGGTACCCTTCTGTTCAGGGATCCCTGCTTGGGTGATTATGGAGATGTGGGCCTGAGCCTTTGCTCGGAGTCTGGGAGGCTGAGCACTCTTTGCTCTTTGTCAACTGACAGGACCTGAGCTGGCTCCGCTTCACACCTTTGCTTCTCCCAGATGAAAACCAGTTCCTTCTTCCCAGCATGCAGAGGGTACCAAGTTAGACTCAGAAAGGTGGGAAATTTCCTGAAGTTGGATCCTGAAGGTCTTCCATTTTATGCTGTAGGGCCTTTATGCTCATTTTAAATTCAAGACTCTAAAACCCAGTAGGTGGTAATAGGCTCAACTCTTTCTTATTTTTATTTTGCTTTTATTTATTTATTTTTTTAAGAGACAGCGTTGCTGGGCGCAGTGGCTCACGCCTGTAATCCCAGCACTTTGGGAGGCTGAGGCGGGTGGATCACAAGGTCAAGAGATCGAGACCATCCTGGCCAACATGGTGAAATCCCGTCTCTACTAAAAATACAAAAATTAGCTGGGTGTGGTGGCGCGCGCCTGTAATCCCAGCTACTCGGGAGGCTGAGGCAGGAGAATTGCTTGAACCCAGGAGGCGGAGGTTGCAGTGAGCTGAGATCGCGCCACGGCACTCCAGCCTGGCGACAGAGCGAGACTCCATCTCAAGAAAAAAAAGAAAGAGAGAGACAGGGTCTTACCATTTTGCTCAGGCTGGTCTTGAATTCCTGGGCTCAGGCAATCCTCCTGCCTCGGCTTCCCAAAGTGCTAGGATTATGGGCATGAGCCACCGGCCTGGCCCCCAACTCTTTCTTATTTTATATTTTTTCAGAAACAGGTCTTGCTATGCTCTATGCTGCCCCGGCTGTGGTGCAGTGGGTACTCACAGGCACGATCCCACTCTGATCAGCACAGAGTTTTGTGCTGCTTCATTTCCAACTTGGTCCTGTTCACCCTCCTTAGGCAACCTGATGTTCCTCCACTCCTAGGAGGTCACCATATTGATGCCAAATTTAGTGGGGACACCAAATCTGCACAGCCCAGAGTTCCTGGGCTCAAGCTTTCCTCCCGCACCAGCCTCCTGGGTAGCTGAGGCCATAGGTGCACGCCACCACACCCCGCTAATGTTTATTATTATTATTATTATTATTATTATTTTGAGACAGAGTCTCACTCTGTCACCCAGGCTGGAGTGCAGTGGCACAATCTTGGCTCACTGCAACCTCTGCCTCCTGGGTTCAAGCGATTCTCCTGCTTCAGCTTCCCAAGTAGCTGGGATTACGGGCACGTGCTGCAGTGCCCAGCTGATTTCTGTATTTTTAGTAGAGACAGGGTTTCACCATGTTGCCCGCACTGGTCTTGAACTCCTGACCTCAGGTGATCCATCTGCCTCGGCCTCCCAAATTGCTGGGATTACAGGCATGAGCCACCATGCCCAGCCTAATGTTTATTATTTTTTGTAGAGAGGGGGTCTTGCTATGTTGCCCAGGCTGGCTCATAAACTCCTGGCCTCAAGTGATCCTCCTGCTTAAGCCTCCCGATTACAGGCGAGCACCACTGCACTCAGCTCAACTCTCCTTCTTTCAGGTTGATTTCACCATTTAAAACTACCAGCTTAGAGTTTCTTTTGATATAAAACATAAAGACCTAATAAAAATTATTTTTTAAAGGAGGAGCTAAGGAATTATCTTGTAGTGAACCAGGAAATAATTATCACTGATTTTTAAAATCACACTCTTAAATATAGGTATATTTAGTTTAGACTCTACCCTTTTCTATCAACTGGTGCATTCCCATATACCATACTGTTTTAGTTACTGTAGCTTTGTGTTACATTCTCACTGTTGGTCTTTTCTCATTCCTCTTTTTAAAAACATTTTCTCATTTATTCTCACTTGTTTCTTCTTCCAGGGATAAGTTTTAGAAACATCTGGCCAATTTAAAAAAATTACAATAGGATTTCTCTTTGAAACTCTGTTAAGCCTAAAAAATTCATATGAGGAGAATTAACATCATGGCCATTTTTAATATTCTCCTGGCATCTTTTTCTATTTCATAAAGTTCCTCAAAATAGTTTTACCTGCCCTTGTTATTTCCTCAGACAAGTAGATACAATTCTTTGTCAGACCACAAGATGTTTTATAAATTTAAAATTAAGCCAGAAGTGATTTAAACAGCAGCAAATCTGAAAATATAGAAAGGGCTTATCAAACAATGTAGAAGTGGGACTCTTAGCCAAACCAAATGAAAATCCATTAACACTAGACAGCTCATGTGCCTGAATGGAATTTTACCATTAACTACCATTTATCCCACTTAATTAGTATTTTCCTGACACACAATAACTTGCACTAAAATACCATTCTCTCGCCTTTAAATTTCTAATTATTGTTGCGACCTACACCATTACGCATCTCCACTGCTTTCTCCATCTTTCATGCCATTTAAGCGGTAAGATTTTCAATTATCTACGCAGGACGGACAGAGATACTTTTAAGGAAAGGGACATAATATGCAACTCAATTTCTCTAAAAGCCAGGAGAAATCATTTTTAGTCAGAACAAACACACTTTGTCTTTCATCTTTTTTTTTTTTTTGGCAAATAAAGAGTAAAACAGGCTATTTAAAACATCCATTTAAATGCAAATTTTGATATCCCAAGAGAAAAATGTTAATCATTTAAATAGACAGGATTATCGCCCACCCTTACCACTTCCCTCCTCTCCCAAGTTTTAGAAAACGTAGCCTTAGCCCACACAAGTCAAGTCAGCCAGGAGTCCTTACATCTTAAGAACTCCCACTCAGATGAGAGGGCTGAGGCAGATAGAGGGGGACTTTTCCTTCTTTTGAGGAAGGAGATGGAAAAGAGAGAAAATAGTCTAACATATCCTATAAGCCAGGCATGGGGCAATATTATAAATACAAACACACACACACACACACACACATGCATGCACACACACACACCCACACTTAATCATCACAACTGTCTTGGAACGGGGAATTATCATCCTCATCTACAGACAAGGAAACTGAGGCTTAGAAAGGTGAAGCAGTTTGCCCCACTGGTAGGTGACCCAGTTGGGAGTAGAGGCCTCCATAGCCCTCCCAGTCCATGGTGACCTGCGGTCCTGTCCAGACTCACCCAGCATCCCCATGCCAAGCATGAACGCGTCCATGGTGTAAGGCAGTCCCCGGGCCCGGCCTCTTGTCCCAGGTGGGAACATGACTTCTTTCGGCTGAGCTTTCTTACATTCTACCTGTTAAACAGAAAGGCGAACAAATGAGATGCAAATGAATTCCACGTAAATGTCAAATGCAGAACCTGTCTGGTTATGAGCTAAGTTATTTTTAGCCTTGCTCCTTACCCACTGTAAAAATAGCCATGCCGAGTAAATGGCCTGCAAAATAAATACTTAAGAAAACACGCCACTTGTGCAAATCCTGCTTCGGAAAAACCTACAAGGATGAAACTGGGTTCTGGAGGGGTGGCAAGGACGTAAGCTGCAGATATACACACAGATTGAAGCTCAGGCTGACGCTCGTGCAGAAAGCATGACAGATAAGGAGGCAGACAATGGCTGTTGGATGTGTCTGTGAATAATAACAACAATAGCAATAATAATAATCCCTCAGGATTTTTCAGCCCTTTACACATTTACAAATGCCCCTGACATTCTCTCAGGCCAGTGACTCTTCATGCCAGGCCATCTGATTCAAACTCTTATTAAACAGACAGACCACTTAGCCTTAGCTCCAGTTCACAGATGAGAAAACAGAGCATCAGAAGTTTTGTGTTGGCTGGGCGTGGGGGATCATGTTTGTAATCCCAGCACTGTGGGAGGTGGAGGCAGGTGAATCAGCTTGAGCCCAGGCGTTTCAGATCAGCCTGGCAACATGGTGAAACCCCGTCTGTACTAAAAAAATACAAAAAACTAGGCAGGTGTGGTGGCACACACCTGTAGTCCCAGCTACCTGGGAGGCTGAGGTAGGGGGATCACCTGAGTCTGGGAGGTCAAGGCTGCAGTGAGCCATGATCACGCCACTGCACTCCAGCCTGGGTGACACAGCGAGACCCTGTCTTAAAAAAAAAAAAAAAAAAAAATTCTTGTGCAACATGCTGAAAGCCCTCCCCAACAGGTTCAGGCCTACAAACCAGATCTTTAGAATTTCTAGGTCAGCAATGCCACATTTCCACAAAACCTACACCACCACCACACTCCTGAGGGAAGTAATAAGATTAAACACTGATTCTGTTCATCTGGATTACTAGTTTCTCATTTGCAGCTACATTTTCAAGTGGTTGCTAATCTCCCCTTTCTGTTTCCCTTCTGACTCTCAAATTTCTTCATGCTAATCTGCTTGTATACCCAGAGGTCACTTATTTAATAACCTTAACTATGCGAACTATAAACCTCAGGGAATAAGTAAAACTGTGGCCCTCGGAAGCTCCTTCACTGTTTTACCAGAGCGCCTTAGGCCTGTGCTTATTAGCACTTATTTGCTTTTTGTTTACAGAGAAATTTAACAAGCATTGTTAGCCAGTCATCAATCCCACTGCTGATGAAGATGGGATGTTGCAGGGTAAGGCACGGATGCTTTTAACAGCCAAAAGAAACAGCATGGCCGCCTGATAGTGACGGAGAAAAGACAAGAAACAGGTATCTTATTTAAATGACGGAGAAAAGACAAGAAACAGGTATCTTATTTAAAGAGCAGTCTGGGCCATATGGTATAGGAACAAAAGCTCTACATAGTTCAACAGCTGCTGAGGTATCACTGTAACACAGAAAATTGCTATTGTTCACAGGTGTGCCTGAGATAGCAAGAAAAAGTTAAACTGTGTGCAATATACATTGTTTAAACAGAGACCTCTAGGCCGGACGTGGTGGCTCACACCTGTAATCCCAACACTTTGGGAGGCTAAGGCAGGCAGACTGCTTGAGTCCAGGAGTTCGAGACCAGCCTGGCTATCGTGGCAAAACCCTGTCTCTACTAAAAATACAAAAAAATTAGCCAGGTGTGGTGGCATGCTCCTGTAATCCCAGCTACTTGGGAGGCTAAGGCAGAAGAATCGCTTGAACCCGGGAGGTGGAGGGTGTAGTGAGCCGAGATCGCACCACTGTACTCCAGCCTGGGCGACAGAGCGAGACTCTATCTCAAAAAATAAAAAAAATAAATAAAACGAAAATAAAAAAGGAACCTCTATGGGTTATCCATTTTGGAGATACTCACATCCCAAATACTTCAATCAAAAAATATTTTAGTGCTCAAGGTTAGGGGGATGCTATAATTACCTAAGATATAAGTCACCTTTCTTCAAAGACACCGGACAACAGGTATTACTCTTGCTCTTTCAAGAATAACCACAAATGCCTTAAAAAGTGGACAAAATGGTTCAACATTCATGACTAATATGCTTAATACAGAGTTCTATAGATTAAAAGAGATGAGCATCCCAAAACAGACATGGGTAAAAGACAGGAGTAGACAATTCACAGACGGCTAATAAAGAACACATTCCCCAAGATGAAGCATATTTTTTGCCCACAGATTGACAGTGATGAAAGCATTGTTTGATGTAAGGGTTTCTGACGGTATAGTGTGGAGGGGTGGAAATTGGCACGTATTTTTCTGGAGGGCAACCAGACACTACATCAAAAGCCATAAATTTATACATACACCTAGTAATCTTACCTCTAGGAATTTGCCCTACCGGAATTAGAATTTTTTTTTTTAATAAAAGGAAATACCTAAAATATAGAAGAACAGGGAATTAGCTGAGTTTGGATTATCCACACTGATTGAATGCTATGCAGCTATGAAAAAGTGTGTTGATAATAATCATGCACTGGTACTGGGAAACCCCTCAGTCCCAGGCAAACCAGGATGATGGGTTTCTTTAACTGCAAGCGGGAAAACAGCAAATGTCACTGACTTTTTGAAAAATAAACAAGTGCATATATCATATAGGGAAAAATACTGAAAAGACATACTAAAGTTGTCTTAGAATCACTCTGTTTTTAAATTTTAATTGGGCATTTTGCTAGTTATTTTCTAAGCTTTCTGCTAAGCAACAGGGAGCAGGTTTTTGTAAGATAATGCAATAGACTGTCACTGATAGGGCTATTAGAATATTGTCATTGCAGGTAGGGGGGAAAGGTGATTGAAAACAACAAACTCATCCAAATTGGCTCTTTTAGGTTTCTCTCCTAAGCCCAGGGGTGAAAACTGGCTTCAGGACTCCAGAGGAGCAGGCTGAGAAATCTCATTTGCATGAACCTGCCCCAAGCCTAGGAAGATGGGCGTGTCTCGCACAGGCAGACAGATAATTACCCAAAGCCAACACCAGCAAGGGGAATAATACCGCTAACCAGCTCACTTCCTAATAGCCCTATCGGTGACAATCTACTGCATTGTCTTATGAAAACCTGCTGCCTGTTCCTAGGCAACCCGATCAACGGAAATCTCAGGTTTATACAATTTTCATTTAGGGAACATAAAGGTTAACTGACTGTAATGGGAGTGTTTTAAACAAACCCACCTACTCTTCCTCTCACTGAACAGGGCTGACAGCTCTGTTTAATTCTGCTCTGTCTTTGCTGCTGGTGGTTTGGGCAGCAATGACTGTCTGAGTGCCAACCACCTGCTGGGTCAACGGTGAGTGTTCCCCAAGGCCAGGGGCCATGGCGCATACACTCTCCAGGGGACCCTGGCCTGTCCTGGGCATCTGAATGACAGGGGAAGGCAGCAGGTAACAGTTAACAGCAGGGAACCTGGCCTGCCTGCCCTGAAGGCCTCTTGAAAGACTTCTCAGGACCAGGAAGCCTGTCCAGTCCCCTCCACCCCCGAGACTCAGCCACTTAATTCAATGACGCAGATGCGGAGGAACTCAACACGCCAGGCAAGTGCTAGGCTTTGGGGACCCAAAGATAAATAAGGAAAGCCTCCACCTCTCTGAGAGCTCTCATTGTATTGAAAAAGAAGAGGCTCTGACTGTCTTGTTCTCCTAAGATGAATGCAAGTACTCACACATCAACCTGCCCCTCGCTGCTTCTGCACTTGTTAGCCTCTCGAGCGTCTTGAGTTAGCCCACATCGGGTCACCTTCCCCTGCTGTCCTCCCCCAGGCCCTGCATAAGCCAGAGAGCTTGGCATGAACAACCCGGGTGACAGTCAGAACCCAAAAAGGGTAAAAAGTGGTCTATCTTTTCGGTTCTAGTCATGTACTTAGGCTATCTGGTCACATGCTCTGTTCCAGGTATCTACTGCTGAGCAACAAACTGCCCCCAAACTTAGTGGCTTTGAGCAACAATTTAATCATCCTTCCTCAGGGTTCTGTGGGGTGACCGGCTCAGCTGGGCTCTTGCTGGTGGTCTCATGGCGCTGTGGTCAGGTGGTGACTGGGGCTGAGGCCAGAGGAGGCCTCAACGAGGCTGGAGGCCCAAGATGGCTCCTCGCTCACATGGCAGGCAGCCACACTGGTTTGGCTGGGCCTGCTGATGGGGCGTCCACCATGGCTTCTCCATGGCGCCTGGTCTTGTCACAATATGGTGGCTAAGTCCCAAGAGGAAGTGTCCCAAGCACAAGCATTCCAACAGACTCAGGCAGAAGCTGCAAGGCTTCTTCTAACCTAGCCTTGGGACTCACAGTGTTCCCTCCCACACATTCTACTGGTGACACTGGGCCAGCCTAGAGTCCGTGTGGGAGGGGGCTCTAGGGATAATCTTTGGAGACCAACAACCACATGTGGTCGGTGAAGGGCAGTGAGCTGACAGGGCAGCAGGAGGCACTCCTCACACTCTGGCTTTTGGCTGGCTGGGTCCTTGGAGCAGTGGGCACCTAGGGCTGCTCTCACCACAGGGCAGAGGGCAGGGCACGGGGGCTCCCTTCCCACTGTAGCCCCACACAGGCCTGCCTGGCTCCCCATGGTCCTCTAAAACAAAACAAATGTGGTGCTCATGGGGACCAGGCCTCTTGCTGCAGGTATTTTGGCCCCACCTCCTAAGACTTCCCCTTGAGGAAGGCCCACCTCCCAGTCTCAGTCCTTGAGTCTCCTGCACCAACGGCTTCTCACAGTGGCTGCTGCTACTGCTGCTACTGTTTCAAATAGCAACTGACCAGAGCAGTCTATTCAAGGGGCAAGAAATGCAGTGAGATGTTCCATCTGACTGAGCACTTGTAAGAAGCCTCAGAGGCCACTGATGACCAACTGCTTATACCAGAAGGACCAGGTCTCTGTTTTCAAGGTGCACAGCTGGCAATGCCACAAAACACTCCCAATACCAGGGATGTGCCAACACCCCCCACCCCAACAAAATTGATGGGATTTGTTCTGAAATTTTCTTCTCCCAATATGCTGCTTTGTTCGACAAACTGGCCTTAGAAGAGAGGGTGTGGCTTCCTCATAGTCCCCATGGTAATGGGTTCAGAATAATGACCTAGCCCCTGGACACCTAGCCCCTGGACACCTAGGGCAGCAGCATGTTCCTTTAGAGAACAAAACGAAGGCCTGATGGGAGTGTGGCCCCTGTGGTCGCTAACACTCTTGTCCTTGCTGCCCACTGGGTTGGGTGCCTCCTCCCATCAGCATCCACAGCAACTCAGCAAGGAGGTTTGCAGTTTCTAACTCCTTACTCAGGAATCATTTCAAATTTACAGAAAAGTTGCAAGGAGAGTATCCTTTACCAGAATTCACCTACTGCTAACATTTTGTTACTTTTGCCTTATCATTTGCACACACTCCTGAGCCCTCTATATGTAGAATTTTTTTTTTTTTTAGACGGAGTCTTGCTGTGTCGCTCAGGCTGGAGTGCAGTGGCGTGACCTCAGCTCACTGCAACCTCCGCCTCCCGGGTTCAAGTGATTCTCCTGCCTCAGTCTCCCGAGTAGCTGGGACTATAGGTGCACGCCACCACGCCCTGCTAATTTTTGTATTTTTAGTAGAGACAGGGGTTTCACCACATTGGCCAGGCTGGTCTCGAACTCCTGACCTCGTGATCTTCCCGCCTCAGCCTCCCGAAGTGCTGGGATTACAGACGTGAGCCACTGCACCTGGCCAGGATTTTTTTTTCCATTTGAGAGTAAGTTGGTATGCGTTTCATAAACATGAGGGCATTTTCTTACGTAATCATAGCACAGTTATCAGTCTCAGTACGTTTAACATTAATGCAATACTTTACCTTCCATACGCTTGTTTTGCCAGCGGACCCGATAATGACCTTTATAGCTATATATCCATCCCACGGAGCAGGAAACTGAGGCTCAGACTCAGACATCTAACCTGTGGTCCAGACCCAGTACCTGTGTGCAGGGCTGGGATGTTAATCCCGATCTGCCTATAGCCCCAGCCCAAGCCAGGAGAGTGGGTGCTGTGGCCCTGCGTTACACCCTCTCCCTAGCGGGGAATGCTTAGCACTGGCTTTCAGAGGAGGTGCTGGAGCTTCTGCAAGAACAGCTTCCCTGCAGCTACTATGAGTGGCCACTCCTCCCCAGTGGATCCGAAGCCCTTGCAAAGGTAAGCTCACTGCCCTGGCATCTTTGGGGATGGTGGCTGGCAGTCTGAGGAGTATGCCAAGCTTTGGGAAGTAAAGGGCTTTTGTTTTTCCCTGGTCTCTGTACAAAAGAACCCAGTCAGCACGCGGCCTTGGGGCCCAGAGGGAAATCCAAGCCCTGGACCTGTGGCCTTGATGTACCATCCAGGACAAGGAAAGCCTGTTTGGCCTGAAGAGGCCAGTGTTTGCAGTTTCATTTCTCACTCCAAACAGGTCGTGTCTGAGACTGTTTAGTCCTCCAGAGGGAGAGGCCTATTTCGATGGATAAAATTCCCCAGTGCTCAGGTATCAACCTTGACCGTCTGACTGTCTGGCTAACAGAAAGGGGAGGGGAGCAGAGGGAGGAAAGGGCTCAGGAGGAGAGGAGGTCCTGCAGCTTCTAGGGTGGGTATCTGTCCTTCTGTGGCGTTTCCTAACAGACATAAGAGGCCTGACCTGGTCTTGCGCCTGATCAGCTTGACCTCTTCCCCAGCCAGGTTCTGGTGGGTTTGAGGCCAACATTGTTTCTCTGAAGATCCTCACCTCCGGACATTAGGCCCTGAGCCCTGCCCAGGGAGATGGTGAAGAGGAGGGGAGATGCTACTCAAGTGTAAAGTGTCTTGCCTAGAGCCTGACAGCTACACACATCTTGCTACTGAGGCAGGAGGGGTGAGCTTGGCCTCCAGAGACCACATGTCACACATACCTCCCTGCACAGCCCTCCTTTGCCATCCAGTGGCCACAGCCTTTTTTCTTCCTGGTCACTGCTCTCCTGCCCCCTCTGCCAATCACAAGCCTTTCTGGAGACCCCACAAAAAGCAGGACATTTTGTAAGGCTCTTGCAGGTTTATAATCAAGATTCGGGGAGACCCACCCTCAAGGAACTTGCAAAGCAAGGAAGATAAACACAAAACAAGCCCTTGATCAGAGTTCAACTCCTACTGTGTACCTGCACGGCACCTGGCCCTGAGTCAGCCTCACAGCAGAACGAACAGGGCCCATGACAAAAAGACGACAAGGGGTCCTTTGACCAACAATGACTAGGATTTGCAAGACGGCAACAAAGAGCAGAGCATTAGACCAGCGTGGGGGGCCTCTGAGGACAGGGCCAAGCGACGGCTCAGGCCTTACACCCAGGAAGCTGGCACTGCTGAGAGAGAGCTGTTGAATGTGTTGGAGAAAGAGGCTATGATGTAACAAGGAGAGGGGGTGGAACCCACCTAGGGGAGGTGAAGTGGCCCGGGGAGGGAAACGCAGGAACCTCGGCTGCCCTCCATGTGCAGCTCCCACTTGAGATGGGCATGTCACCATCACTCCTGCGTGAGCTTCAGAGAGCCAGGTCACCTCTACTCAGTTCTAACATCTGCTCCAGGGTTTCAATTCCATCCTGTTGCTCTTCTTGCCCAGGGCCAGAGGCCAAGATGGATTCCTGACTAGCGTGAGTATGTGGCCAGGTGAGGGCAAGGCCTTAAGAAGCCAGTAAGGGGCTAGGGGGTTGGTGAGGCAGCAATTGCACCCCTGTAAATCCTGGCAGCTGTGCTGGGAAGCCCTGGTCCTTCAATCTGGCAGGGGAAGGGTCCCTAACCACTCTGCAGTCCTTTTCCCTCACTGGTACAAGCCCTTCTGCTCCTTTGCAAACTCAGGTAGTCATATAGTTTGGATATTTGTCTCCGCCCAAATCTCATGTTGAAATGTACTCCCCAGTGTTGGAGGTGGGGCCTGGTGGGAAGCCTCTGATTCATGGGGGTGGATCCCTTGTGAATGGTTTGGGCCACCTGCTTGGTGATGAGTGAGCTCTTACTCGGAGTTGCTTAAAAATGTGTGGCACCTCCCTGCACTCTCTCGCTTGCTTGCACCTGCTTTCACCAAGCGACGTGCCTGTTCCTACTTTGCCTTCCTCCGTGAGTAAAAGCTCCCTGAGGCCCCACCCCAGAAGCCTAGCGATGTTGGCACCATGCCTGTACAACCCGCTGAACTGTAAGCCAACTAAACTTCTTTTTTAAATAAATTACCCAGTCTCAGGTATTTCTTTATAGCAACGCGAGAACGGCCTAACACAGACAGGCTTCCCAGCTGGTCACTGTGGATACTGGAAAGTGAGCGGAAGAGACCCTCCCTCCTCCCTTCTCAGACATCATAATCAGGCACTGTCCTTGTGGACAGGGACCAGCGTGTGGCCAAGCACCAGGGGACCTACTTGTAAATGATAACTTTCCTTGTTCTACTGCAAAAAGGTCCTCATGGATGTGGGACCTGCCCATGCAGTCTACAGAGGAAGGGGTTACTGTGCAAACAGAAATGGAGCTGCCAGCTTCCATAGGGAAAGGCAGGCAGCAGGAATGTCTACCTTCCAGGACACATGCATGTTATAAATGGCCCAGACCTGTTTGCAAAAGGCATTGAGAGACCTGTTAGATTTATAATCTTGACTCAGGAGGGTTACTCTGGGGAGGAAGGCACGCACTGTTTATTGAGTGCTATCCATAACTAGGCACAGCCACAACATCCTTGTAATTTTCATATATTACATAACATATACACATAATGGATATAAAGCACAGTGCCTGGCACACAGAAGTCCTCAAAGAATGTCCATGGTTGTCAACTCCCTCATTGCATGGAGCCTCATTTCCTCTGTGCGATGGCCTTACCCGCCTCGTAGTTACAGCAGAAAAGGACACAGAAGTTCTAAGGAATGACTTGCCCAAGGTCACAAAGCACAGTCAGAATCCAATCATAGACCCCCAGCTTCAAAACCCCTGCTCCCTCCTCTGGGTCTCTGGCTGCCAGCCACCCCCCCCCATCACCCCACCTCACACAGCCCTTCCCCACACTCTCCACCCAACCCTCAAGGCCTATCTGCGTCTAGTTCACAAAGCCTTTCCCGATGCTAGCTTCCACAACTGATCTCCTTACCACTTCCAGAATTAATTTCATCCATTGTTTCCTCTGCTCAGTGTTTTATTACAATCAGTGATGGCAAAGTAAAATAGGTCATAAACCAAAAATAAACATTAAGCATCTACTATTTACCAAGCAGCGGCTGGGTGTGGACACAGAAATGAATGTGGCTGAGATGTGGCTCTTCCCTCAGAGGTCCTCAGAATCTGGGCAATGGGTAGAGAGGAGCTGGTCCCCAATATCACCTGAGATGTACCCCAATAACTGCAGCCCCCACCCTGCCCAGATCTGAGAGTGGGTGCCTCCTAGTCTGTTATACGGCAGTCTAGCCTAGGGCTAAGGCTCCTGGCTTTAAATCTCTGTTCCACTTGCCGGCTCTCTGAGCTGAGACCAGCTGACTAACTTCTTTGCACCTCAATTTTCTCATCTCTAAAACAGTGACAGCTGTGCCTACCCCATAGGGCTCTCGGAGCTAATCCTACAAAGTGCTTGCACTGGATAAAGTTGGTTGAGTCACACCTTGCCCTCTCCACATGGAGCCTAGGTGAGTGCCTTTGAAGGTGATGAAGTCAGGTCACATCTGTGTTCACTGAAATCCCAGAATGGGGAGTGAAGAGGAAGAGAGAGAGCAGCAGCCTCCCCAGCACAGCAGATTCTTAGCACACAGTCATTGCCTTTCTCCCTAACCCTCCCTGCACCTGTCGGCCAGGTAGGTCCCATCTCCCTGCTTTCATCAGCAGGATGTGCAAAGAGAGCTTCCCAGGCCGCACTATTTGGGGAAAAAGCTGATGGTGGCAGCAGCAGCTGTCCTCCTTTTCATTTCTGGGAACCTGCAAGGGCATTTCAAAGTGGAAAGAAACCTCAGCCTCCAGCAGGTGCTCAGGTTCCGCCACAAGGCTGGAGGAGTGCTTACCCCAGGGCACGGTGGGCTGGGCCAGAGGCCCTGCGTGGGGCCTAACTTCATTTATTTAAAAGAGGGAGAAAATAAAAGGTATGGCTTGAGCCTTCTTTTCTAGGCAGAGGCAGCTGAAAGAAGAGGGCAAAGGAAGAACCAGGGACAGAACTCCCAGGCCCTGGGGAAACTAGAGTGAAACTAGAAGAGAAATTGGCAAGAGTCCAGGCAAGAGCCACGCTACTCTGGGCTTGGTCTCTGCAGCTGCATACGGGCGCAGACTGTTCATGCCCTGCCTTCTGCGCGGGGAAGAGGCAGAAGAGAAGGGGGGGCAGCCCCTCCTAGTGGTCTCCATGCTCCCCTCTCATGACCCTGCGCCCTGGGGGTGGAGTACGGGGACGCTGGTGGCAGCACGTTCAGAAAAGCCCAGAGGCACTGGGTGCTGAGATACTGAGGAGACAGACCACTGCCCTCCCTGGCCCTGCCTACACTGACATCGCCAGAGGACAGATGAAGGGCAAGCGAACCACTCAGGCAACTGGGAGGCCACTCCCTGCAGGCCAAATTACTTCTGCCTAAAGAGCAACAAACATTTACCACCGAACCACCCGGCCTCCCCCAACACACTAATCACTCTGCTCTCATTAACACAGCCTGTACACAAACAGCATGTGCACGCGCTTGCGTGTGTGATGCGTGGGGGGCAGGATCTCTCCCTCTCCCACGTAAACACCAGATTCATTTATTAAATGCCTCTCTGGCATTTCCTTTTTTGCCTTCATCCTGCTTGTTTAATATTGCATTTGACATTCTCATTTTATAAATGGCAACAGAAGCAGAATGGATGGCTAAAATTAGCTTACGAGTGAGAATGATGCTACAAATAGGATTGTGAATACAGAAGCCTAGTTAATTCCACCCACATTACCCGCCCCCCTCCCCACACACAAATACACCCACCACTTTTGGGCTGGTTCCCGACTGAGTTGTCTTCAGGGCTGAGGAGGAGCAGCTGGAAGGAGTGGGGGGGTGAGCCAATCACTGGGCACCTTGCCAGGTGGCAGGGCCCAGAAGCCGACCCTAGCCTGCGGCTGGCCTCCATGGATGGGCTGGTCACAGCACCGCAGCCCTGAGTCCAAGAGGACAGCTCAGGACCCTCCTCCCTTCTTATCCTTCTGCCCTTCCTTCCCCAGAATCCCCTGTTCCGAGTCAATCCCCCAGGTATGCCCTGGGCTGAAGGGTAGCAGGCCTAAGATCTCAGTAGGCTTTGCTCTTAGAAGTGGATTTTTCTGGAACCTTCTTAAAGAATGAGTCAGGTGAAGAGTGGGACTCAGCTTTTCCAGGACCTAGACAATCACATCTCTTGGTTCCTCCTGCTTTGGGAGGTGCACCACCTCCTTTCCTAGGACCATCCCCAGAGGCACTGAGAGTGCCCACCTCATACTCTCCATCCCTGCCCCGCAGGCTCGGGACCCAGTCCTGCCCAGGTCCCGCACCACTTGCATTTTACTGACTTATAATCTGCTGAGGACCTCCTTACCTGCTAACTCTTTATTTGCTCAGTAAAATAATTCTAAGAATGATGACAATGACGACAGTGGTGAAAAAATCTATCACTCTGATAGAGAGCGTGCCATGGCCTGGCTCTGTTCCAAACCCCTTACAAGTCTTAAGTCACAGCACTCTCCGAGGTAGGCACTACCACAACCTGTTTTATAGAAAGGGGAACCACAGAGCCGAAACACAGAAGTAACTTGCCCAAGGCCACAAAGCTGGGAAGTGGAAGGGGGTTCAGCACTGAGGACTTGAGGCACCCTCTACCAGGAAGGCCGCCCTGGTTGACAGCACCCTGTTCTGACCATTGTGTCACTCCCCACCTGGGGGCTCCCCCAAAGAATGAAGGCACTGATACTTTCCACAGGCTGCTATCCCCAAACTCGTGTGCCTGTTTGGGGCACCCCCTTTCTACTCTGCCCCTAATAATGTGTGCTCAATAGTGAAACTGGCTGACCATTTGGCTAAATGCCTTTCATTGGACCCCTGTAGACAAGGAGCACCCTGACTGGGCCTGCTCTGAGCTAGATTAGTTTAGTCCAGGAGTCAACAAACTGTGGCCAGCAGGCCAAACCCAGCTGCCATGAGTTTTTGCAAATAAGCTTTATTTGAACACAGCCACGCCCCTTCATTTATATATTGCCTGGACTGTGTTTGTGCTACAATGGCAGGGCTGAGTAGATGTGACAGAGACTCTCTGGCCCGTTACAGAAAATTTGCTGGCCCCTGGCTTAGGCCCAGTGGGGGAAACGTGAAGTTATCAAGGGCTGATTCCTTCAAGGCTACCCAATTACATACCCTACAACAGAACAGGCCGAGACCTCCAGGTATCAAAGCAGAGCTTTATATAAGCTGCAAAAGGCAGCCATCCTCAACCTTCTGATTTCCCACAGGAGCAAACTGGTGCAGACAGGTAGGGCACTCGCCTGTGGTTACAGAATCACCAGCGGTGGACCTGGGATTCAGGCTCAGGTTCCAAGGCTCTCTTGGTGCCTCTAAGTGACCCAGCAGGTCCCGACTTGGGGACAAGGACACGTGCACCTCACTCAGGAGAATCGAGCCCTTTACCCCAAGAGATGCATGCCTCACGTGTCTTCTGCAAGCAATGCTCCAAGGCCTGCACCCAGAGGGGTAGGGCATGGTGAGGGGCGGGAGCAGTCTCTGGCACTGAGAGCTTCCTCTGGGAGATCTTCGGAAATCTGGTCTCTGTTTGACCATAGAGGGAGTATGGAGTGGTGCCAAGAGCACCAGACTGGCCTGGAGGTCCAGGTGCCAGGCCTGGTTTGGCCCCATTTGGCCTGGCTCCGTGCTCCCTTCATTCCCAAGTCCCTTCCTTCTGATGATGATGGCTGGGCAATTTATGACCCACAAGTCCCACATTATCTGTCATTAGCAGTGGCCCTTGCCTGGTGCTTCTCAGACTTTAATGTGCACGCCAATCACTGGGGATTTGTCAGCATGCAGATTCTGACTCTGTAGGTCTAGGGTGGGTCCTGGGACTCTGCATTCCTAACCAGCTCCTAGGGGCTGCCAAGGCTGCTGGTACATGGACCACACTTTGATTACCAGCATCCAGACCTCTCATTCCAAGACAAGGGACAACCAAAGTAGCTGTACCCATGAGTTACTTAGCAAATTTCTGTAAATCCTATCACCTTAAAGGAGTAAGAAAAAGGACTATTTAAAGCAGGGGTGTAGCCAGGTGTAGTGGCTGATGCCTGTAATCCCAGCACTTTTGGAGGCAGAGGCAAGGGGATCACTTGAGACCAGGAGTTCTAGACCACCTGGCCAACATGGTGAAACACTCTCTCTACTAAAAACACACAAAAAATTAGCTGGGCGTGGTGGCGCATGCCTATAATCCCAGCTACTCGGGAGGCCGAGGCACGAGAATCACTCAGACCTGGGAGGCAGAGGTTGTGGTAAGCCGAGATCGTGCCACTGCACTCCAGCCTGGGTGACAGAATGAGACCCTGTCTCCAAAAACAAAACAAAACAAAACAAACAAAAAACAAAAAACAGAAAGCAGGGGTGTCCAATCTTTTGGCTTCCTTGGGCCACACCGGAAGAACTGTCTTCAGCCGCACATAAAATACACTAACACTAAAGATAGCTGATGAGCTTTAAAAAAAAAAATTAAAAAAAAAATCTCATAATGTTCTAAGAAAGTTTATGAATTTGCATTGGGCTACATTCAAAGCCATCCTGGGCCGCATATGGCCCGTGGGTCATGGGTTGGACAAAGTTGATTTAAAGTAATCCTGCAGTAGTATTGTATGAAGCAAATAAAAACTCTTCTTGATATTCACTCATCATATAAATCCATATTTTTCAAATACTAGGTTTGCCTAAATGGGCAGCAAGGTATAATGAGAAGAACAGAGGGTTCGGAACCAGAATGACACAGGTTCAAATCCCAGCTCTATCCCTTAGAACTGTCCCACCAAGGAAGATCCACTGCTGCTGAGCTCTAGTGAACCCCTCTGTAAAATGAGATGAGGACTCCTGCTCAGGATGTTGTGAGGACAAAAGGAGACAGCACGCACGTAAAGCACAGTCCCAGTGCCTATAAGCACCGATTCCTTTCTGGTGAATCAGGCGTGAGGAAAGGCTCTACCCGAGATGCCCTCGTCCCAGGCACCTTTCAGGCTGTACCCACGCTCTCACCCAATGAGGGTGGTGATGGCTCCCCAACATCATTTCAAGCTCTAGGCTGTACTAGGCCTCTGCGGATGCCTGGAGGTGGCTCTTGTCAATTCTCACCTCCCTTCCTGCTGCTGCCCGGCTCGTCAGGAGGCCGCTTGAAGGCTGGGCTGTGGTGACTCATCAAGCAAGTGTCCCTGCTGCTCAGGGGCTGCTTCAATCAGGGGGACGCCACGGGAGGCATTATTAGCTGCACCCGCACTGGGGCACACAGAGTGGCCAGGGAGGATCCCCTCTCTGGTGGGTCACGAGGCAGCTCTGTGCATGCATTTGTGTGTGTTTATTGATAAAGAGCCACATTTGCATTTTGCTCTGGCTTGGAGAGCTTGTGGGTTTGGCCCTGAGCTTGGGTGGCAGTCAGCTCCTGACCCATGCTCGTCACTTATCTGTGTCTGTGGCAGTGGAGGAAGAGGCATGGAGATCTGGGACCTGTTAAACCCAAGCGTGGTCCTTCTCCCTAGCTGGGAATCTGGCCTGTCTCCTCTGCTCTTCTCCTAGGAGAACATGGAACCACATGGGCCACGACATAGCTGACTGGGAAAGGGTGGTCAGTGATGGAGGGCCTGCAGCCCAGCTACATAACCCTGAAAGCCCCTTTTGGCCTGAAGGGGACACACAGTCTGATGGGTACAGATGTGAGCTCTGGAGTATAGCTTTCTGGGCTCGAATTCTGGGGCTGCCATTTGCTGACCATGTGACCTTGGGCAAACTGCTTAACCTCTCTCTGCCTTGCCTTGCCAATCTGTAAGTGGGGATAATGATTAAAGAGTAAGTGAAAATCAAATGAAATAAGATGCATGATGCATAAAGTGTTTAGTAGAGTATGTAGTTTGTACCACCCAATGTCAGCTATTAGTGGGATCTTTATGTGTGAAAGGGTGTCATGTGGGGTCTTTCTGGGCATCCTCCTGCCTGGAGATAACCTCCTTAAGGCAGGGCCTACATGGAGAATGAAGGAAGGATTCCTGTGATCCCCACTTCCCAAAGACAGCTATCCTGGTCCCCTGTGAGTAGAATGACTCACGCCTTCTCCTGGCCCTTCTGCATGGTAGAGAAGGAACTCCATTTTAAAAAATGCCCAGGAAGAGACTCCCCGACCCAATTAGATGGGCAATGGCTTTAGGAATTATAATGTGCCTCACAGACATGTGGTCCTTCAGTGAATCCTTTATTTAGTCCACAATTATTTATACAGGGTCTCCTAAGTGCCAGGCACATGAGATTGAACCAGAAGACCTAGATTCAAGTACTATGTCTGTGACTAATCTGCAGTAAGACCTTTCCCATCTGTGAATATAAAAAAATCATGGCTCCAGTATGTACCAGGGGGTGCAGCTATCTGCCACTTCCTGCCAAATACCCAGAAAGATTGCGAGGGTTTGAGGAGATGGGTCTGTGGTTTCACAGCACAGTCCTGTTTATGAAACACTCCTATGCACATTCTAACAATCATCCATGTTCTTGTTTGGCAGTCTCTGAGTTTTCAGTTTTTCCAGATATCTCATTTGAATTCTGTCCATAGCCCAGTTTAAACTCATTTCCTTTTCTTTGGGCCTCAGAAGTAGAAACCAGTATCACAAAAACCAAAACAATTCAGGATGCAGGCTTCTCTACCAACACCCTTTAAATTCCACCCTTCTTCAGAGGAGGGGAATTGGCTGGAGAAATCTCTCTCAATGACAACTCGTGGATGATGGCAAGGATAATGGCAAGAGATAACACAGATCAAGCTTGCACCCTGTGCAGACACTGTGCTAAGTAAGCCCTTTGCTCCTGGTATGTCACCCAGTCTCTAACAACCCAATGAGGCAGTATCATTACCAGCCCTGTCTTACTGGAGCTCAGCAAGGCCCAGTGTTCTTCTCCAAAGTCCTCTCCCAGGGCCTCTAAACTCCCCACCTTGGAGCTCATAACTGTTGGGCTGTGCTGGGAACGTGGACCAACACCTCCAAAGCCTGTCATCCGAATCAATCTGCCCCCACTTCTTCCTCTTGTCTACTTCCATCTTTGCTCATTCTCTTGAAGAACAAGTACTAGCCCCAGATTCAAAGGCAAACACAAACCCTTACACTAAAAACCCGGTTACGTGCACCTGACATAGTCACCCTCCACCTGGGTGGGAGAGAAGGCGATAAATATGAAACAGGAAAATGGCTGCAAATCTCTCTGGCTTCAAGCCAGCCCCATGGGTTCTTCTTCTGGGGCAGAAGCTCTACTTCCTGATTGCTGCCCGGGTTATCTGGGGATTCACCCTCCCACCCCCAAGCTCCAACAACTGTCTATATAGTTCCTTTGGCACCAGTAAGCTCAAGACCTATGCTCCTTCGCTCTCTGGATAGCCTGGGACCTATCCCCTGAGCCTCAGTTTCCCAGGATAAAGCCTTTCCCCATCTGTGTCTCGGGTTTGTTTCAAAGCCTGTCAACAGGGAAGGGCTACACATATGCATTCAAGGTGACAAATGGAGCAATGTCCTTCCGGTCTACATCTGGCCTTTCCTGATGAACCCTTAAGGCTTGGCAAGACAGGAATGGCATCTGCCAGTACTCTCTTCTATTCCCCACTGCCCAGCAGCCTTAGTGGAGCCTGTCAATGGCGTGCTCTGGCTAGGATAAACAAGGCATCTGGGCAGTGGATGCAAGTTTCATTTAAGTCCTCTCTCTCTCTTTTTAAAAATAGCTAGTACTGGTCGGGCACAGTGGCTCATGCCTGTAATCCCAGCACTTTGGGAGGCCGAGGCAGGTGGATCACTTGACGTCAGGAGTTTGAGATCAGCCTGGCCAACATGGTGAAACCCCGTCTCTACTAAAAATACAAAAATTAGCTGGGTGTGCTGGCACATGCCTGTAGTCCCAGCTACTTGGGAGGCTGAGGCAGGAGAATTGCTTGAGCCCGGGAGGCGGAGGTTGCAGTGAGCCGAGATCGTGCCACTGCATTCCAGCCAGGGCAACAAAGCAAGACTCTGTCTCAATTAAAAAAAAAAAATAGCAAGTAGTAACCTACCAAGAGAAAAGTACCAACTGTAAACTTGCACGGACATCTGGGGAGCTGAGAAAGCCTATGAGGGGACCTGTGTTATTCTGTCACACTTATCTCCCTCCTACCATTTTAATGTCTGAGTTGATGCCTCCAACATACAGTACGCAAAAAAAGAGTATTTTCATTTCAGATGCATATGATGGCAAGGAACAATACGAACAATATTATTTTAGTGCCCTGGGAAAAAATTAGCAAGTCAAATATTGAATCAGGCCTGTAGCGCCACATGCTAAGCAGATTGCTTTGATCTTATCCACACTAAAAGCTCTATTATTGAATTTAAAGTTGGTGAACACATATCAGACCAATATACAATGCATGTCTGAACGCATGTTTTAGAAGCAAGAAATGTTTTGACAAAAGGAAGAAAATATTAAAGTTACAGCTGCAATTGAAACACAGATTTGCCCTCCCTCTTCTCTTGAGGCTGGAGGCTCTCGTGGCCAACCAAAATGTTTTTGCTCCAAAGGACTGGTTCCAGAAACACCTGCTGAGCTTCTATTTTTCTGGAACCAACAAAGAAGGGAATTCTCACCCTCCTACTCAATCCGAAGAAAGGAGTTTGTGAGTGTGCAAATGCTATGCATGATATGGCACCCTCTGGTGGCCACTGATCTGGGAGGCCTACACGACTTCCCAAACTTCCAGTAATCCAACCTCCCTTCCTCTTGAGGCTGCTGTGGCAGAAAAAGGAACTTTAAAGAGCCAAAGAGAGGGAAGGAAGCAGCTGATCAAGAGGGCAGAAATTAATTGATGGCAAGGGAGGGAATGTTAATTTTCCAGCAGGACCCAAAGAGAAAAATAGTTTGGTGCAGTAAACTTCCTATCTAGGATATACCTCTCAAAAGCTGCACAGCAAAAGAATATCCTAAGCCAGGTGCCAGCAAGTTACGACTCATAGGTCAAATCCCGCCCTTCTGCCTGTTTATGTAAAGTCCAAGAATTGAGAACGGCTTTTACATTTTATTTTATTTTTATTTTTTTTGAGACAGGGTTTCACTTTGTTGCCCAGGCTGGAGTACAGTGGTGTGATCATGGCTCACTGCAGCCTCAACCTCCTGGGGTCAGGTGATCCTCTCACCTCGAGTAGGTGGGGTACAGGTGCACTGCACCCAGCTAATTTTTTTTTTTTTTTTTTTTTTTTAAGAGATGAGGTCTGGCTATGTTTCCCAGGCTCGTCTCGAACTCCTGGCCTCAAGTGATTTTCCTGCCTTGGCCTTCTAAAGTGCAGAGGTTATAGGCGTGAGCCATCATGCTTGGCCTGGTTTTTACATTTTAAGTGGTTAAAAAATTAATATTTTGTGATCTGTGAAAATTACATAAGGTTCAAATTTTGGTGTCCATAAACAAAGCTTTATTGAAACACAGCCCCACTGCTTTATGTATGCATTGCCTATGGACGCTACCCAGCAGAACTGGGTAGCTGCAGTCAGCTTTATGGCCTGCAAAGATGAAAATATTCACGACTTGGCCCTTTACAGAGTTTGTCCACCTCAGTATGAAACAACTGCTACTGTTCACAGGCCTGGACCCCGAGCATCTAGCCCCCTCCCCACCCCTGCCCACTCCAGCCTGATGATGGGCTGGACCAGTCTGCAAGACTGGGTGTGTACGTAGAGAAAGGGGGCATTCCATTTCAGCGCAACCCCTACACACTTACCATTTTATTATTGATTTCATGGAAATGAATCTCACAGACTTTCTCCACAACATCTTCATTCTCAAAAGTGACAAAGCCAAACCCTAAAGGAAAAGAGAGAGAAGAAAAAACAAAGAGAGGCGGGGTGAGTTCAGTTCTGGCAGGCCCAGGTTTTTCTCTGACGTCCTGAGGTCTTGACAGCCTCCTGGTCTGGGGGTAGGTAGGCGGATCCTTGGGAGGACCTTGAGGTTGGAGGCAATGATTTCTAATTTGTACTGAGCACCCTTCCGACAGCGAGGAAAAGTTAATGATTTCACCCACATGCAGCGGGCACTGTGTGGTTTACATTTGCCCCGAAGCAAACAAGAAATTTACTTGTCTGTTATTTACAAGGGTCAGAGCCCCGCGGCTCTGTGCACGGCAGCAGGCGGGTGGGCTAACCAGAGCCTCGTGGATCACTGCGGGGCCACGCTTGCCCTTTCCGCGAGCAGCCCTGGCCAGCCCTCGGGTCGGCCTCCAGACGGAGGTGGTTATTTGTCCTTTTCTTCCTGAATTACTTCCTCTAATACCTCATCAGGACATCCTGAGGCCTGGAAGAAACTATTAAAAGTTTCAGGCCTCTGTTCCGCGCAGGCATCCTTTTTATACTGCTGCTTCAAAAGCGCTCTGGATTTGGGGCAGTTTAAGACTGTTTGATGCCTGCTGTCAGCCCGTCAGCTATCCACTGTATGTACTCTGCTGGAGACCGGCTTTGCTAGACAAGCTGCACTGAAGAATTTTGGCAGGCGACTGCTGCTCAGTATCCTCAGTTCCTCTCCTACCCTCCTGCCCCTTTCTTTCTTCTCCTCCCGCCTCCGACAGCGTTTCCAGCATGTGGCCCCATCTGTGACCCCACTCAGTAAGTGCTGCTTTACCACATGGCCCCATGCAGGGTTGCACCCTCCTTGGATGGGATGCAGCTGCCACATGGTAGCGTTAACATGGCGAGGGAGCACAGGCCATGGGGGCAGACACACTGATGGGGAGACTGAGACCTGGCTTCCACTTCTCACTGTGCATCTACTTTATGTTTAATCTGGGGGAGCCCCTTGCCCTCTCTGAGCCTCAACTTTTGCATCTGCAAATGAAGGTGGTAGAACTGGACCCTGGGTTTCACACCTCCTGTCACAGCCCAAATCAGGATTCACAAGGCTGTCTGCTGCCATCTGAATGTTTGTGGCTGCCCCTTGCTGCCCCCCGACCCCCCACCCAGATTCATGTTGAAATCCAAACTCCCAATGTGATGGTATTAAGAGTTCAGGCCTCTGGGAGGTGATGAGTTCGTGAGGATGGGGCCCTCATAAATGGAATTAGTGCCCTTACAGAAAGACATTAGAAAGCTTGTTTTTTCTCTCTACCATGCGAGGATGCAACAGGAAGGCAGCTGTCTGTACACAGGAAGGGGGGCCCTCCCAGAAATGACCATGCTGGCACCCTGCTCTTAACTGCCAGCTTCCAGAACTGTGAGAAATAAACCGTTTTTCTTAGACCATGGTACTTCATTATAGCCGCCCCAGCTAAGACACTCTTCTCCCCAAAGGTATGAACCTGGCTGAACACTAAGCCAGACACACCAAGCAGGAAGACAAAAACTGAATGGCCAGACACACCAAGCAGGAAGACAAAAACTGAATGGCTGTTCTATCACAATTATATTATGATAATTGTGTTTCCAGTCAATGAGCAAAATACAGATGCTTCCTTTTCAAACTCTGTGTCTATTTTGGGTCCCTGCAACACAAGACGGAGAGGGAATTTCTCAGGTCCCTTCTGACTCTCATGCATCCAACTCTAACATCACCATCTTCCAAGGAACACCAGGAAACAGGGAGCTGATATGTGGAGCTCCTTTAGCATAGCTCCTGCAGGGACTAGCAGATTCTTCGGTATGAGAATAAAAAAGGCTACTATCTGCTCTCAAACCATTTCCAGTAAAACAGAGGGCTAGGACCACGAAACACAGCAATCGTGATCTTTATCATGTCATTTGCTACCACCACCCGCCAAATACTGGGCCAGTGCTCCCAGCATACACAGTCCAGCCTGTTGTAGATACATAAGGCAGCATCAGATGTACCATAAAGTGGACATGAGTGTCTGCTGGAGGGGCTCAAAGATGCCGAGTTTCTCCCAGTGTCACCCAGTAAAAGCTAGGTTCTCAGTTACCTCAGAGGCCTGAAGCAGACATCCGACAGGATACGTGGTTTGAAATGCTGTCCAACAAAAAAACCTTTCACCAGGTTTATACCCCCTACCCCCTAAACCAGGTCCTTTGAGAGAAAGCTGCTGGGAACGCTATCCTATTCCCTCTCTTTGGGCATCTCCTTCTCCTTGGCCCTTGGTCCCACTGATCATTGCAGAGCTGGAGAAGAGCCACACCGACACTTCCCCAAGCCACTTCTCTTTGGGCTTTGGGGTATTTGTTCCTCAAGCGCTCCTTTAAGCACTTTCAGTTTCCTGAGGGCATTCAGCTCACCCTACTGGGGTATGTCTCAGGAATCCTGGGTTGGGAGGAGCCTTAAAAACATCAGGTTAAAACTCCCACCCAGTCAAGGACCCCTGGAGCACTCAGCCAGGAACTTAATCTTTTTGGTTAATCCCCTTCCCCCAGCCCCACCCTCCTAGGGCCCAGATCCTAACTGGCCCCAGTAGAATGGATTAAGAGCCAGCACCCTCCCGCAATCCCACAGGGAGGGAGGGGTGGCACTGCGGAGGCCGCGGAAATTGGCCAGCGTGCCTTCAAGCCAGAGCGCCCTGCAAGAGGGTGATGCTGGGGTCTTGTCCTCTAAGGGTCCTCAGGACGGAACAGGGCCCCTAACACACACCAAGTGCTAAGTGAGTGACTGAATGAGCCATTTCTGCTCCTCCAGGGTCTGAGCATCTTGCTAATCCACTTGAGTCACTGCTTTGCCTCAAGACTGATTCCGCTCTTCCTTCTGCGTTTACCAGCTGCCACCTGTGCTAGGCACTGTGAAGGACGTGGAGATCAACAAGGCAATGGCCCTCTGCTTGCACAATTCACGAACAGGCACGAGTCAGAGGATCCCATGCAGGGACAGCGTCTCCCTCTCACCCCTCACTTCCAGCCTGTGGGGCACTCTGGGTCTCATCTGTCTTTGAAGGTCACCCCTCTGCCCCAGCCCCCACGCCCAGGCACCTTGCAAATAAAACAAGCCAGGATAGGCCAGTTTTTAGGGAACCTCACTGCTAATTAGGACAAGTGTAGCAGGTTGAATAGTGGCCCTCCAAACATACATCCATGTCCTAATCCCTGGAATTTATGAATGTGACCTTATTTGGAAAAAGAGCTTTTGCAAATGTAATTTAATTAAGAATCTTGAGAAGAGATTATCCTGGATTTAGGGTGGGCCCTAAATCCAACGACAGGTGTCCTTAAAAGACAAACAGGGGATATTTGAGACACAGAGAAAGAGAAGAAGGCCATGTGAAGACAGAGGTAGGCAGAGAATGGAGTGGTACTGCCACAAACCAGGAACACCTGGAGTCTTAAGAAGCTGGTTTTCCAGAAGGCAAGGAACGACTGTCCCCCAGAACCTCTTGGGGGAGTGCAGCGCTGGCTTCCAGAACTGTGAGACAAGAAGTTTCTGTTGTTTTAAGCCACGAAGTTTGTGGTAATTTGTTACGGCAGCCACAGAAAACTAATACAGCAAGGTTCTAGGTTTCAGCTGCCTCCATATCCCACACAGGGGGGCTGCACGCAACCTCCTCCCGCCAGGCCTGCTGACTTGGCCAATCATGCTGCTCTGGACTGAAGGCAGGAGAGAGTGGATGAATGAGAAAAACCCATCCTGGCTATGGGGAAAGAACATGAAGTCAGTGCCACCACTGAAGGGCACTGCCCCATGAGCCAGAGGACAGCCTAGTTTAAAGCCACCTTGCAGCTAAGCAAAGATCCACACTTGATCCTAGAATACAGGCCAGAGTAAAGTCAAGTCACCATGGCAGGCCATGGCTGAGTTCCCGGCCATGGAAGCTGCTTTCCTGCTGCAAACCAACTCCTTCCTGGTCCACTGCACAAATCACCTCCATACCCTGAATGGTAATTCAGGACTCTCTGATGCCCCAGTTTCCCACTCTGAGATGGGAAGAAAGGCAACTGAGGTAGGAGACAGGAATTAAAATGCAGACTGTTGCACCAGGAAGGGTCGGGGCAAGACTCAGGGCATCATCTCAAATTCTGACTCTGATATTCTCCCCGCTGGTCCTTTTCCTAACCCCACAGGACTCAAAATTCAAGTATCACAAAAATGATTTTCCTGATTAAAGGAGATAGCCCGGATTTCAAGCCTATGTACCCTGGATGCATAACAATTCAGCAATGTCAAGACTCATTTGCAGTGTTTTAAAGACCTATATCATTTCAACATCTCTGTCTGTTTGGCCCGAGCAGAGAAAACAAACTTGATTATGTCTAAAATATTTATTTATTCCATTTGGGGAAAGCAAAGAAGCAACAGAACACTTAATTATCAATAAGTGTTATTCCTTAACATATAATCATTTTTACTTCACAGATGCATTAGCATTTACAATGAATTAGTAACTTAGTGCTGAATAACCCCCAAAATGAATTAAAATGAGCAGAGGAGGACAAAAACAATGGGGTCAGAAATTTGGGATAGAGTGATGGGTGGGAAAAATCCTTTTGGCATCACAGTCTTCTTTTCTGAAATAAGTATTTTATTTTGGTAAAATATACGTAACATAAAATTAACCATCTTAGCCTTTTTTTTTTTTTTGGAGACAGAGTCTCGCTCTGTCACCCAGGTTGGAGTGCAGTGGCGCGATCTCGGCTCACTGCAACCTCCACTTCCCAGGCTCATGCGATTCTCCTGCCTCAGCCTCCCAAGTAGCTGGGACTACAGGTACACGCCACCGCACCCGGCTAATTTTGTATTTTTAGTAGAGACAGGGTTTCACCATGTTGGCCAGGCTGGTCTCGAGCTCCTGACCTCAGGTGATCCGCCTGCCTCAGCCTCCCAAAGTGCTGGGATTGAGCCAATGTGCTCGGCCATTGTAGCCATTTTTAATCACACAATTCAGTGGCATTAAGTACACTTAAAATGCTGTGCAGCCATCACCAGTATCCACCTCCTGACCTTTTCTGTACCCGTTAAATAACTCCCCATTTCCCCCTCCCCCAGCCCTAGTAACCTCTATTTTCCTTTTTTTTTTTTTTTTTGAGACAGGGTTTCAGTCCCTTGTCACTCAGGCTAGAGTAAAGTAGAACAATCTTGGCTCATTGCAGTCTTGATCTCCCAAGCTTAAGCAATCCTCTTATCTCAGGCTGTCAGGTAGCTGAGACTACAGGTGTGTGCCACCATGCCTGGCTAATTTTTTGTAATTTTTTTGTAGAGATGGGGTTTCACCATGTTACCCAGGCTGGTCTCGAAACTCCTGGGCTCAAGCGATCCTCCTGCCTCAGCCTCCCAAAGTGTTGGGATTACAGGCATGAGCCACCACACCGGCTTATATTTTACTTGTTATGACTATGAATTTTCTCATATAAGTGGCATCATACACTCTATGTCCTGTACTGTTGTGCCTGGCTTGTTTTATTTGACATATGTTTTTAAGGCATCATAGTCTTTTGAACAATCTACTGGATGTACAAGAGATTTGGGAGAGATGGAGGACAGGGAGTCATGATTATTTCCTTCTCATTGCCCTAGAAGAGGGCCCCACAGAGAATCAGAAATGGAGCCTCATGAAGGCCCATCAAACTGAGGTGTAGCAGCCAGGTAAAAGAGACACACAATTATCCTCACTCAGCAAGGGGCCAGATAACAAGCTATGTGCCCCAGAGACTCCCTTTGCCTCTCTGGACCTGTAAGAGATGCAGGCAGAAGCAGGGATCCTGCTCCAGGCCCTGACAGAGTGAGGATTCTAGTCTATGGCGAGTCTGTGAGGGCTGGCACTCCATCGGGGCCCTCTGGGTTACCCCTGTGAACATCCACTGCTCATCTCCCTTGGTCCTAAGAACCAGAGAACTCCTCCCTGGGTATTTAAACTCACTCAAGCCACCACCCAGGATGGAGAGGAGACCCAGGGACTGACAACTAGGGGAGGTGGGAGAAACAAAGGGCCAGAACTTGGGCAACAAGAGACTAGTTCACCAAAGAAACCCTTCTCACCTGGCATCAGCAAAGTGGCACCTGCCCCGCCTCTCCTAAAGCCCCCACCTTAACTGCACCCCACACTTCCAAGGGGCTCCAGTAGTCAGCAAAGCGGGGACAAAGAAGGTGGTGGGAAGGTTAACCCTAAACACCAGTGGTTTAAAAATGGATATTAATAGGGTAGCAGTTGACAGGGAGCATTTAAAAATGAAATTCTGGCATTCTCTTGAATGAAGCTATTATTAGAAACTAACAAGTAAGCACTATTTAAGAGATAAGCATTTAACAGTCAAACCTTTTCCCCCTCTTTTATCCAAATGAACAAAACTAAATATTCATCTGAATAATAAAAGCTACAAAAGACCACATACACAGAAGAAGAAGATCGAAATCTGAAAACGAGATACCTCAAAATTAAAATGACCTGCTCCAAACGCAGTCACTGAGGAACATCGACAGTTAACTTACAAGAGAATTTTTTTTTAGGTCAGAGAGAGAAAGATGGGAACAGCCTCCTCCTAGCCTCAAAAATAATTTTCTTCTCTTATCATATAGGTCAATGAACACTAATGGGCAATCATGTAGTATCTAATGCATCTTCAGTGAAAATCAATGCAAGTCATGAGTTAACATACTTGGTTAATGGAGAAAAAAAAATGAGGGAGGAAAAAACCCCAGATTGTCAAATTTATTCTGGGTATCCCATGAGAAATTTAAGGTATGTGTACTTAAGAATATTTATAACTCATGCAGCTTCCCTCTCTTGCTAATAACCTAGTATTTGGGGAAAGCAATATTCATGGGTTGCTTCCAGCACAAATGAATCCCTTGGGTGTGGGTGTGGGGAGCACTTTCTGGTTTGAAAATCCTTTTCATCCATCGTCCTACCTGGTCCCCAAGGCAACTCTGCGAGAGGCAGGGCAGGCTCTGCTACTGTCATTGTGCTCAAGTGCTCTGCACAGTTCAGTGACTCATCCATCGTGACATGGCCGCTAAACCAGAGGCAGGAACTGAACCCAGGAGTGGTACCCCAAGTTACTTTCACACTCCCCCCTACTTTTCTGGAGAAGACTGTCAGGGTCTTCTTTGGATCAGTAAGTGTTCAGGGATGGATTTGGTGGCCATATGGCTCAGAGAGCATGAGAGGGACCGGCCTGGCAAGGAGGCATGGTGGTGTGCTTGCATCGTCACAAGTCGAGCCCCAGTTGGCTGTGCGTCCATTGGCAACCCCACACCTCGGGCTGTCCCCAGCCCCAACGCGGAACGTTTCTAGGTCACCTCCATGAGCTATGGCAGGTTTGGCAAGTCAGCTGTCCTGCAACCCTAAACTTGGAAGGTCTGAGGCCCCACCTGGAAGTGCAGAAGCGATGAGTAGTGTGCACAGATGCATGGCAGGCATGGGGAGGTGGCATCACATGCCTTGGCTTTGCTCTAAGAAAAATATAACTCAGAAGATCAGTATGTTCCAAGAAAAAAAACAAGCTACCTTTTCAAAAGCAGCAGCATGTTTCTGATTACTGGCTGCCATGTTGGGAAATCACTGCACAATACTTTGGCTTCAGTGAGAGCCAATTGGAGTCGCCATTAGAGGTTCCTGGGCGTTTTCAGACACTAGGGATTGGGAAAGGGTGGGTGATGATCAGGCTGTGTGTGCTTTTACATCCGGGTGCCAATGTGGACTTTGTAAGGTGGGAAGGGCTAGGATTCCTTCCATTACAACTCGCATCTGCTTCCCAAAGGTGGTTATTGAGGATCAGTCCACATTCTAATAATAATGTTAAAAAGAGAAAGCTCATCTGCCGTCACTGAGCAGCCACTCTGTAACTCAATCTTCACCCCCAGCCCCACCCTGGGGAGTATGAATAGAAATGATTGTTCCCACTTCACAGACGAAGAACTGAGGCCCCAGTGGGACCCTGTGTTCTCTCCCCTGCAGCCCACCTTCTTCATATGAAGGCAGACTGTTCCATACTCATCAATTCCTACCTTGTCCAACAACTGCACCCCTGAACCCTGTCTCTGTCATGTTTCCCTGTAAGAACATCTATGAAATAGGCAAGAGCCCTCAGTTCTTACAATCCGGCAGACAGAGGGCAAGGAGAGAGTGGGGAAAGATATGGTCATCCACTCCAGCTCTATGTTGGCTTCCCCTGCACCCTGAAGTATGTGATTTCTTAAATATAAGAGCAGGGAAGGAGGCACTGAGGATTTTCAGAGATACACAGCAAAGAAGACCTTCACACAGAAAAACAGCTAGAGTATCTCCTAAGCCAGTCTAACCAGGATGAGCACAGCAGAGTGACTTCTCCGAACCTTTCCAGACCCCCAACCGCAGATGTACCTGAAGTAGGACTGGGATGCCAGACTTGATGCTAGAAGTTTCTTTGCAGCAAACTGGCTCTCAAATGAGTCAGCTGCCCTGGAGGGAGGGACAGAGAAGTGCTCACTTCCCTGGCCTTATTAAGAAGAAAGAAAAGGGGCAGGCACGCTGACCTGAGCTGTACACAGCACCCAGCCTCAGGGATGGTTAAGAACAAAGACTTCCAGGTCAGGAGGCCATCAGAGGCAGATACTTGAGACTGCCCTCCTGGTGGGCCAGTAAACAAGCCCGCGATGGATGCGAGGGGTCTGCTGGCATGCCCTCTTAGCACAGCCCTCCCTCCTCCCTGATATCCTTCTTCCTCCCTCCCCCCAAAATAAGCAGCCTCTCTTTGGGGTCCCTTCTGAACTGGCCCTCCTTCTCTGCCATGTCTCCGTCCCCTCTAGGGTGGCATCGCAGCCCCTCCACTGTGGCATCCTTCATGCACCTGCTTCCTCGTTTACACCAGTAGTTTGGCAGCTGGTTGCTGTAAACTATAATAAAATGCCTTTCCAGAAAATGAAGGAATGTGACCAGACACGCCAGACATCATGATATTAAAGCCGTGTCAATTAATTTCTCCCCCTGCTTGATAAACGAGCCCCATTCCATCTCTTAATAATGAGGAGAGAAACAAGAAAAGTTGACACTTAGTTTAATTTATTTTCTCAACTTGCCTGGTCATATTTCTTCCTGCCTTGCAGACCTGGCTGGGGCTGTGGGGAATTACAAGTGGCTCAAGCACAGGCAAGGCAGAGATCGGCGTGAGTCGACACGGGTCTTCTTTATTCCCCCACACGCTTAATCAGGAGGGGGAAAGCGACTTAGTGAGCCAGCTCACACCTGCGCCTCTGCAGCCACCTTTGGGGCTGGGGGGAGTTGGGTGGGGGGCGGGGAGTGATCTCAGGTGTGTGAGGAATCAGATAACAGAAATGGCACTATCAGATTTCCAATCTAGTTCCATGGAACTGCACAAGACTGCATTCCCTAAATTAATATTAAGCTACGTTGGCGGCATTTGCCAGAGGGGAGCCAATTTCTCAACTGGAAAGGTGCTCTTCTTTCCTTTTCAGCTCAGGGATGCGCTGGCCAACCCTTGACCTTGAAATGTGAGGAGAAACCTTCTAAAAGTCAGGCGCCAACCATGAACCAGCAAGTGTTTCATCAGGCTTTAGTTACAAAGAGTTTTTCCAATTGGCCACCATAACCTGGCGACCATTTATTTATGGATGCTCCTAGACAATATATCAAGGTGGGGCTGAGGGCCAAGTGTGCTCCTAGACCAATGCTTCTGGGTATGGTCCTGCAGCAGAATCTCTCATGGGGGAAGGGCTTGTCAAAAATGCAGATCCCTGGGCTCTGCCAGCTCCTAACATGGTCTCAGTGGGTGTTGCCCAGGAACTGCGTTTTTACCCAGGTCTCTGGTAATTCTGATGCTGACGCAAGCCTGACTCTGCCCTATGCTTCCCAATTCAAGACAAGCTAAGTGGAGACCATATGGTAAAAGAGAATCTAGAACTCTCCACAGGAAAGAGAATTTTGAGGAACTCTCTTACATGAAGTGGGAAACTTTTTTTTTTTTTTTTTAAGGAGATGGGGTTTTGCCACGTTGGCCAGGCTGCTCTCGAACTCCTGGCCTCAAGTGATCCTCCCATTTTGGCCTCCCCAAGGGGTGGGATCACAGGTATGAGCCACCATGCCCCTCAATAACGCTGTCTTTAAGAAGCCTCTGACATCCAAGGCAGACCAGGGAAAGACAAAGCTGTTTTCTCCCAGGTTCAGGCACCCATTCAGACTAAAGTGTAAATGACAGATCCTGCTTCTACTCCCAGAGGTATGGGCAGTTTGCCCGAATCAAATCCTTACGCGAAAGCAATTAAGTTCCACTTTAGAATTTCAAACAGGCATCAGGCACTAGGAGATTTTTTTTTTTTTAACTGATGGGGGCACCTCCCTGAGCTTGTGAAATTAGACAAATGTTTACAGAGCTGCATTTTATAAGGACAGACAGGGTGGGGGCATCCTAAAAAGAACCACCCAGGAGGGAAGAAAGGGAGGTTAGAAGGGAAAAGAGAGAGAGAGAGAGAGACCTCTAACCATCCTCAAACCATTTTTCTAAGAGAGAAATCTGTCATGAATACTGATAGTGTGATTTGAAAGTGCCTGCGGCTGCAGGGAAAGGGTGTCTCATCCCAGACTCCTGTTAACTGAGTGGGAAAAAGCACCTGTGATCCAGGCCAGACAACCCCAGCCTCATTTAATTCCGAGTGCGCTCTATAGCAGTGATTCTGTGAATGACACTTGTCAGGGCAGCAGATTAGTTCACAAACCTATTTTTTGTGCGTGGTGTTCCATCTTGGTCGGGAAAATAGTTCTTGGCGAGAGAGAAACATATTACTGCTGTTAAGTGCCAATATAAACTCTGGGACGCAGTGGTAAATTCACCAAATTAAATCGCTAGACAACTGGCTCAGATCAGGACCCCAGCAGAAGGTGCCAGGACTGCAGCTCGCGCCCAGCGGGGCAGAGGAGGCTGAGGTCGTGTGCGCAGCTGGAGCAAGGGCACGAGGACGTGCCGCCTCCGCATCTGCTCTGGAAACCACAGAGCCCGGGGCGGCTTTGGCGAGCTCCAACTGCGGGAGCATGGCCTTCAAGGATTCTCAACTCAGGGCTTTCTGAGCTCAGGGGAGATGGGGTATCAGCTGGAAGTTCTTCCCTCTGGAGGTGGGTTTTTGGGTTGGTACCCCCAGCTACTCCACTGAAGAGTGGGTTTCAAATTTGTCACCTTCTCTCACGTTCATCCTCCAGCCTCATCCATGCAGCGAGCAACACACAAGCTAAGAGGGAGTTTCAATCTACTTAATGTCCCCACTGAGGTGGGTGGAAAAGGGCTTAGACTTTGGAGCTGGGTAGATCTGGGCTTAAATCCTGGCTCTAGCACAACTGGCTGCATGACTCTGAGCAGGTTATTCAACCACTCTGACCCTTGGTATCCTCCTCTGTGAGACAAATGATCCACCTCACCAGTCAGGATTGCTTAAAAACACCTGCACTTCTGAGAAGATAGCTAGCCCCTCCTATCAGTCAAACTAGCCTTGTTATTTCTCCCCTAGCCCAATCTCTATCTCCACACATGCTTACTTTTGTCTCTGTATATAGCCTCACTTGTTAAAATCCACTTGACATGTCTGTAAGGCAGATGTTCATGGTGCTTTACCAACTATCATGATGGGATAAGATTCAGGACAGGGAGAGGTAAAACAAGTCATGCAGTGAATTCCTAGGTCACCTTGTTACTTTTAAAAGACCCTAAGAGGGCTGGGCGTGGTGGTGGCTCATGCTTGTAATCCTAGCACTTTGGGAGGCCAAGACAGGTGGATCACTTGAGGTCAGGAGTTCAAGACCAGCCTGGCCAACATGGTGAAACCCCGTCTCTACTAAAAATACAAAAACGAGCCAGGAGTGGTGGCGCATGACTGTAATCCCAGCTACTCAGGAGGCTGAGTAGAATCACTTTAACCTGGGAGGCGAAGGTTGCAGTGAGCCGCGATCATGCCAATGCATTCTAGCCTGGGTGACAGAGCGAGACCCCAACTCAAAAAAAGACCCTAAGGTGCATCCATTTAGGTTAAAAAAAAAAAAAAACCCAAATCATCCATTAATCTTTGAGTGTCGCACCTGGCTGTGCAGGGTGCGGGCATGCTGGCCCCCCGCCCTGGTGCACTCAGCTTCCCCAGCAGCCTTCTTAAGATGCTCACTCGCCTTTCTCCAACAAGTTCTCAAGGAATGGTTACCAGCCGCAGATAAGGTTCCAAAACTCCATCAAGAAACCACTACTTGGAGCAGGTTTTCAGCGCTGCCACAAATTATATGACTTTTATTATGAGGTATGGTTTCAGACCAGTCCCACTGACAGAGCCCTGGCTGGGTGCCCACTGCTCCCTCCGCGCCCCCCACAGGGGGGTCATTCCTGCCAGCATCTCCATGACCCCACCCGGCTACACTGCCAGCAAACCTGCCTGGAGTCTGCGGGCAGGCAGATGACCATCGGGTGCCTCTGATGAGTGGTTTGCAAGAGACACACATACTTAAATTCACCAGGGGGTGGGGTCTGGCCTATTTTATTATATTCTTCCAGCTGTTAAGGAACTGTTCTTAACATCTGGAAGCCAGATTTCTCTGAGAAGCTGTGACCAGCAGCCCAGGCAGCTGGATTGGCGTGGCGGCTCTGCCAGGAGGGAGCGGAGACTGCTCCCTGACTCTTCAGCAAAGGCCTGGGATAGTGACAGGGAGGAATGAGGTGAGGAGGCTACTGCGGACAGGGGGCAGCACAGTCTGGAGCTCATTATTTAGGGTGTTCTACCAATCAGCACATCCACACCACCAGGGAGCTGGTTGGAAATGCAGTCTCAGGCCCCACCCTGGACCCACTGAACCTGAATCTGCATTTTAACAGGTGATTTTATGCAAATTAAAATGTAAGATGCATCAGTCTAGAACACTGCTTCTCAGTAGTGAGTCTTACATCAGAGCCACTCAGGGAAAAATTTCAAAATGCTGATGTCCAGGTCCCATCCTCAGAATTGAGTTAGGGGTAGCACCCCAGCATCTGTATGTTTTAAAATCTCCCAAGTGATTCAGTTAGGGTTAAGAAACTTTGGGAGGTTGGGTTTGGTGGCTCATGTCTGTGATCCCAGCACTTTGGGAGGCCAAGGCAGGCAGATTGCTCTAGCTCAGAAGTTTGAGACCAGCCTGGGGAACACAGTGAAACCACATCTCTACAAAAAATGAAATAAAATAAATTAGCCTGACGTCGTGGCACGTGCCTGTGGTCTCAGCTACTTGGGAAGCTTGAGCTCAGGAGGTCAAGGCTGCAGTAAGCTAAGATCATGCCACTGCGGCCTGGACAACAGAGTGAGACCCTGTCTCAAAAAAAAAAAAAAAAAAAGAAACATTGGGAGAAGGAAAAAAGTATAATGCCTAATGCCTAATTTTTGTCACCTGGAAATAATTCCAGCTTCACTAACATTTATCATATGACTGAATAATCCCAGTGCCTTCACATGTCCTTATGTCAGCAAGACACTTGTCCTTATAAGCCACTAAAGGAAAAGAGGAAATGTTTCCATGAGGGTGGGGCTCCTCATTTACTCACCTGAGCACAGCTGGTACCTTGTGCTGTTTACAGGTAACCAGTAAATGGAGGTATAGATTATGCGATCTGGCTTTAAGAAAACCAACCCTTACAAAGTAGGTAACTGCAAAGAAAACATGGATTGGAGATAATACTAATGATACAAGCACATGCCACAAAAGTAAATGGTCAGCCAACCCTTTCCATACCCTTAGGCAAGACACCTAACCAGCCACATCACACCCCCAAAAACATATCTTGATCAGATGGGACAAGTTGCAGCCAAGTGAATGAGGAAGAACCTGATTTTCAACAGAAACTGGTACCGTAGAGAAAGTGCTTTGAAAACAAATGTTTGGAAAATATTTCTATTGTTTAGTGTTTTTGTTGCTAAAAATGATGTAACTAGGTCATCTACAAAAGCTCTCATATCTGCAGACTTTTAAAATCCGGAAACAGAACTGTAAAGATTCATTTGAAAAAAAACATGAACATTTCAGTGGATTTTGAACCCATTTGTTAAAAATATAAAAATGCAACACTTGATTAGTTTGCATGAAAAACTGATTGACATCAGGGAAGATGGAAATTTACAAGCTGAATTTCAACAAAATCCTTTGCATAATTGGAGGATGGGGTTGAAAAATTAGTATCATGATTTAGCCAGCACAGTGAATCGTGCTTCCTCCGCTGGGATCTGTTTATCTTGTGAGGTGTATTTTTCAGTTATGCCAGGCATTAAAACCAAGTATCAAAATAAACTAAACTTAGAATCCAACCTTTAGAGTTGGATCATGAAGTGTTAAATCAAGAATTCTTTTTTAAAACCAGCATATTCAATCATATTGCTCTCTAAAGTAATAAAAATATTACTTTAATTATTAATAAATAAAATTCTTAATGTATCCTATTATAGTCCTATTTGTATAGGTTTTATAATATACATGAATATTAACATAGCGGTACATGCATATAAATTAAAAATCAGGTAAGATATATTGGGGGGCGGCATGCTAATTTTTTTTTCTGCACAATTAAAAAATTTTGGAGACTCTCTAGGAGAAGGTGAGATGGTACATCATGGACTCTGGTTCTGAAGTTGCCTCTTATTCACAGAGATTGCTAGAAGTCTGGAGGTAGGGTGGGAACAGGGACCTTCAGTGACTGCCAGCGGGTGTGGACCCCTCCCCACACCAAGAAGGGATCTTTGCATGAGAAATTCACGGGAGTCAAGAATCAGCCAATTTCAGGATCTCCTGGGTCCTCCTGACTGAGCAGCACACAGTGCTGAGAGGCATTGGGGAGGTTCACTCTTCAAACTGAGATGCTTGTCTCCTGCATGTTAACGGCAGCCATACCTGAACTCGTCTCAATAAATTTTTCATAGCATCGTATCTTCATTAAAATTTTATTCTATTAGCATTCTGAATACAAACCACTAAGTATATAATTGCTAAAACATGTGTTAAGCGACGACTTACGAAATGCTGGTTTTATCATATTGTTAATTAACAGAAAGTAGGATTAATACATTCACAGATCATTAGGAGCATTTGGTTCAATTTCACCAGCTCTTCAGCAGGGTGGGGACAGTTGTCAGTGGGCAGCCCTGGGGATCTGGAGCAAGAACACAAGTGTTCTTCGGGGTTCACCCTCAGCCCCTCTACATGTTCTAAGACTGTGTCTGGGAGAAACTCACGAGACAGCGACTCAAGGTCTCTTTTTCCTAAAGAAAATTGTTCTCAGATGTCACTCAGTGTAGCCTACTCAAAAGAACCTACATGGAAGGGTTTGGGTGGGGAGGAGGAGAAAGCAACACACTCTTTTAAGACAGATGAGTGAAATTCCATGGACTGGGAGGATTTGAATCTTGGATCCGAGGACATCGTAGAAATCCTGGTTGTTTACTAGCTGTGTGATGTGGGGCAAGCCATCAACCTCCCTGATCCTATGTCCCCACCTATAAAGTAGGAATAAAGATGCTGACTTCAGCTGGGTGCAGTGGCTCACACCTGTAATCCCAGAACTTTGGGAAGTGGAGGCTGGGGAATCACCTGAGGCCAGGAGTTCAAGACCAGCCTGGCCAACATGGTGAAACCCCATCTCTACTAAAAATACAAAAATTAGCCAGGCGTGGTGGCACACGCCTGTAGTTCCAGCTACTTGGGAGGCTGAGGCAGGAGAATCGCTTGAACCTGGGAGGTGGAGGTTGCAGTGAGCAGAGATCGTGCCACTGCACTCCAGCCTGGGTGACAAAGCGAGACTGTGTCTCAAAAAAAAAAAAAAAAAAAAAAAAAAGATGCTGACCTCATGGGGCTGGCATGGGGATTAAATGAGATAATGCTAGTTCTGGTTATGCCTGCACAAGTCTGTTGTTTTTATATAAAGATTTTATACCCAATATTGCTTGGAATGAGTGGGCTACCAGCTGAGACTTGAAAATACTTTAGCTATCAATAAATGTTGACTGCGGTGATAAGAGCTTTAGCAGAGCCACCTCTGAGGTACCAAAGCTGAGCGATTTGGAAGTGTATTTGAACTCACCTAGTTGTCGTCTCCAGTGCAAACTGGTCACAAGATTCCTAGGCCAGAGGGGTTTATTGAAGCCTCTTCCCAGCCTGTCCCAGGAATTACAGGGGTATCCAGGCATGAAATGGACTAAATGTCTTCTCTTTTCCCAGCCATCCAAATTGCTTTAGCCTGGCCTGATGGTGGCACTCCCAATTTTTCACGCTTACTAATGAAGCCGTCCACCTGGCAGGGCAGCTAGCAAGACCAGCACTGGAAGCCAGGACTGGAAGAGCCACAGAATGCCGGGGTGGAAGGAAGGGGCCAGGCCTAAGTGGAGGGTGTGGGGGGCAGGCCTCACCCGGGGTTTCCTGTAGGCTGGGGGCCAAGGCAAGCCCTGAAGTCAAATGCCAGGGGTCAAGGTAAAGCCAGGGTCAGAAACACAAAAGCAGTCAGTCAGGAGATGCAAACAGATGCTGCCTCAGCCTTCATCGATAAACTTTGGTTTGGTGGGGGCAGGAGCCCTTCCCAGAGGAGGAAGATGAGTTCTGAACCAAGGCAAACTGTTAGGATATGATGATAAATGGGTTCACCCTGCTAGAGCTGGACAGAAAAATCAGTGCTAAGGGAAAACCCCAGGAATAATGAAGGCAGATCAGCCCCTGCTAGGCCCAAGTGGGAACAGAGAGGAGACAGCTGGTCACCTGGTTCTATTTTTTTTTTTTTTCTGGAACATTCTTTCAAGGCCCTAGGTACCCAGTAATGTAAAGGTTTCCAGTTTCCTGTGGTGAGGCCTTCTGAACATGTGGGTTATTATTTGTGGACTATGAATGGAAAGAGCCTCTGGATTTGTAGAAAAGGTTGTAAGTGGAAGGAGCCTGGGCTTTGGGTTCAGACATGGGTTGTAATCTCTGTTCCACAACTGATTGGCTGTGTCTCAGCTTTCTCATCCTTCAAATAGGGACAGCAGCATTATAGGGTTATAGAGGATTTAAGGAGAGAGTACACCGAAGCCTGGCACAGTTCCTAGCCCCCATCAGATGCTGAAGCACTCACGCCTCTCTAGAGGACCATTCTCATTACTTATATTGACTTGCTGTCATGACTTAATAATTTGGCCCTGTAGGATGTGGGTTCCAGAAGACGGCTGCCTCCAAGGGGCGGCTGCTCAGGGTCCTTGCGTTTACAGCAACATCTTCCCATTGACCAAATGGGGACAAAGAGGGCTGGAGATTAACTGAGAGGTGACTGTCTAGGGGAGAGGGGTCCTCAGATGTCCTGATGGCTGGCACAAGGCGGCCCTTGACTGGAGGCAGATGCGTCTGCCACTCAGAGCAGGCCACAGGGCACACCTTGAGGCCAGGCAAGGAGGCAAGACCTGGGTCTCCAACGGGAGCCACCGCCTCTCCCACCACCCAGCATGGGGGCCAGATCATCCCTGCGTCCTCCAGAGAAGGCAACCGAGCGACAGCAGAGCTTTCCCCAACTTGAAAATCACCGAGCACAGATAGCCATGTTACGGCCATTCTGCCACTTGGCCACAGAGACCAGTAACTTCAATTTATTTGTGTCTGGGGCCTTAAGGAACCTCAGCTGTCATCCTTTCCTTAGTTTATTACCAAATTTCTAAAATATTACATCCTTTATTATATCCAAATTCACTTTATTGCACTTGACAATACAGATAATCACATACCATATGCTCTAATGTTTTGAAACCAATGCATGTTGACAGCGGTTTTTATTCATGATGCATAATTCCATCCCCAGCTCACAATGAGGCATCTGAGCACCCAGCCTGGTGTTAAGACTTTTGCCTAATAACAGATTAACAATACAGCAAGTTTCCGAGACACACTCCCTCCCATGCCATTTTCTGTTTACAATGGGAAAAATGTACCTGGGCTGAAAAGATGGGCTTATCAAAGAGGAGGGGGAAAAAGAAAAACAACCCCGCATCATCACACACCCACCAGTCCCAGAGGGTTTATAATGATTTGTTACTGTTCCACGCTTATGAAACTTGATATTGAAAAGAGGAATTGGTTTTGCGCCAAGTAGCAAGGCAACTAATCACACCAACCCACACTGCTGGCCCCTGAGAATGGAAAGCACAAACTGCCCCAAAGCTCTCATTAGGAGTCTCTCTTGTTTTTACTCCTGTTTTGCTAGAAGCAAGTATTTGTCACTCCTCTACCTTGGTGAGACCATCCTTCTCCCGTCCCCTTCCCCTCATCCCCTGGGCATTCTTCTGTTCCCAATTAGCCCCAAGCTTCCTGGCGAAATGAATACAGCTGGGGATGCATCCTACCCCCCCAGTCCTGGCACCTCTCAAGCAGAAAGGCAAGGCCAGTAGGAACTGTCTTTGCAGCTCCTTCAGCGGCAGAGCCCCTTGTTCTGCGGGGTGGCTGAAGAGAAAGGGTGGATAATTTAAAGATGATCCCCTAGCTTTGCTGTAGTGCCCAGAACAAACAATGCCATTTCATACGTCCCCTAACTAAGCACTTTCATTTGCTTCAGAGAAGCACTCAAACAACTGTAAACCCATTAGATCATGTCAAACGTGGTGGGAAAGAGCTTGGGCTGTCACCAGCAGAGAATCAACTCAGATTTATAGATTCTTAAAGCTTTAATATATAGATATTTGTCTTCCCCCTGCAGATAGACAAGGGGACCAGGGCAGGGGCGGAGGAGGCAAGAAGAACGGCCCACAGCTCAGCGGCAGACAGATTGGAGTTTCACAATCATTCTCCCGGATAATGGGATTTCTCAACAAGGGGAGGAGCGGGGAGGAAGAAAAGCGAAGCCTTCACTTTGCTGAACACTTGGCTGTTTTTCCAAAGCTTTGCTTGCGGGTGGTGTGGGGGAGGAAAGAGATGTTATTATCAACAATGCCTCTGGAGTACCCAGTGACCTGCCGTGAACAAAAGCAAGTGGCGACCAAAGAAGGGCTGGAGTCCGAGGACGCAGAAACACTTACTCAGCCACCTACAAAGGAGGCCAAATGAATTAAGAGGCATCTTACTCCAAGTAATTGCTGTGCTTCTGAACAGCTTAAGTTATAACCTTTTTTCATAAATAAGAACCTACTTTCCCTTTGGGCTTACATCATGACTCCAAGAAAAGCTTTCTCTTTATTTCTTAATCATCTTCAGCAAGTAGGGGGCTCTTCCTACTACCTCAAAGGGTTTGGAATTTTCTTTTTAATTTTTTTCATTTTATCCTTTTCTCTTGCTTGTCTATCATCTACTGAGCATGGCAGTAAATAACTGGTAATTAAACCAATATCTACTGGAGACCAGGGCTTAAAGATATAATTTTATACAGAATCCTCCTGAAATATTACCAGTTGGGCTCTATGGGTCTGGAAATGGGACGGTTTGGACCAGGCTGGACTTTCATAATGCAGGACCCACCAGTGGTTTGCAAAGTGGTCCCTGGCCCCATCTTGCTGCCTCATCAATTCTAGTCTCTGAATATTTCTGGGGAAAGGGGCATCACCCCTCGGTACTTCATAAACACAGCTTGTTTGAGTTGGGCATCTTGAGGTGTTGCTAAATTCTTCAGCCCAAGGATCAGCCTTTCTCTTGGTAACTTCACAAACGGCCACTCATGGTTGGGGAAGCAGCCTGGCCCCCCTCCCAGGGGTAGTCCTTCAAGATCTAACGTAGCCACCTCATTTCTCCTTATTCGAGTCTCCTTGGTTCCTCTGGAATTTTTCCCGTAATACTGTCCTGGTCCCCATCAGACGACCTCCTCTGATGTGGTCTATCTTGTCAATGCCCCTCTTAAAATAAATGCCTGGAATGGAATATTCCACATGGGGTCTGAGCAGTGCAACCAAATACCGGACTGGACTTCCCTTTGTGGTGGCGTCCTTAGCAGCTCCATCACCTGTTGCCTCAAAGAAAACTTAACAGTCAACTAAAAAAACCCCAGGCTTCCTATAAACCATGTCAAAATCTCGCCCTGCCCAACCTTCCTTTTTTTTTTTCTTTAAAATTAGACATCGATTATAGTCATTTTTTTTTTTTTTTTTTTAAAGACAGATTCTCGCTCTGTCACCCAGGCTGGAGGGCAGTGGCGCATCTCAGCTCACTGTAACCTCCACCTCCAAGTTTCAAGCGATTCTTGTGCCTCAGACTCCCAAGTAGCTGGGATTACAGGCATGCACCACCGTGCCACTAATGTTTGTATTTTTAGTAGAGACAGGGTTTTACCATATTGGCCAGGGTGGTCTCAAACGCCTGACCTCAGGTGATCCACCTGCCTCGGCCTCCCAAAGTGCTGGGATTACAAGTGTGGGCCACTGCACCCAGCCAACATGGATTATGGTCTTCTGATTATAAAAGTAACATTCATTTTAGAGTCTTAGGAAATACAGAAAACATCTATTCCTACAACAAACATTCATTGGATACCTTCTATATGAAAGAATCTCAGCTGGGCCTTTAGGATACAATGGAGAGTAGGATCCAGCCCTTGCCTTCAAGGCTGTGAGAAGCACACAACCCACATTCTCCACGGCTAGAATGTGTGCAAGGAATAGAGTTGTTGAGCCTGAGCTCCAGGACTGCTGTTGGTTTTGTTCACCACCATATCCTCAGCCCCTGATAAGTGCCCAGCACAGAGCCAGTGTTCAGCAAATAATTATTACAGGAATCAATGGCTTTAAAGGATGGCCTTCCCACAGTGTCTGTCTTACAAATGATTCCTAAAAACTAAATCAGTTCTGACCAGAGGCAGTTAGTCCCAGACCAAGTTTTAAGTAAGAAAAATACGCCAGGGCTGCTTCTTCAATCCACCAGAGCCTCCTTTTCCAATTTTTTTTTTTTTTTTTTTTTTTTTTTGAGACGGAGTCTCGCTCTGTCGCCCAGGCTGGAGTGCAGTGGCACAATCTTGGCTCACTGCAAGCTCCGCCTCCTGGATTCACGCCATTCTCCTGCCTCAGCCTCCCGAGTAGCTGGGACTACAGGCGCCTGCCACCAGGCCCGGCTAATTTTTTGTATTTTTAATAGAGGCGGGGTTTCACCGTGTTAGCCAGGATGGTCTCGATCTCCTGACCTCGTGATCCACCCGCCTCAGCCTCCCAAAGTGCTGGGATTACAGGCCTGAGCCACCGCGCCCGGCTCCTTTTCCAATTTCTACCCAGAGCCTGGGCCAGGGGGAGTGGAATCTGCTTAGCTGAAGGTCTGAGGTGCAGGGGAGTAAGAGGACAGTGAGAAGAAAGAGCAGAAAGGAAGTCAATCCCGGGGTCCTCAGGCCTGGCCAAACAAAGCCATCTGCCTTGTCTGGAAAAGCTCATTTGCAAAGGCTTTGGTGAAAGTTCACATTTCTCCAGGCTGCGGCAGCTTGGAAGAGCCATGCAGCGACTGAAAGGTCAAACAGGAGATGCGCAGCACTCCACTCCCATTGAGCCGCCACCTAGAGCGGTGTCAAATGTGGTTTTGCCACTTCCACCGACAAGATAGGACGTTTGAGCATCTAGGGCAAATGATGCCACAGAAACTATAAGCCAGGCAAAACCCTGGATCTCCCAATCACTTTCTCTCCAGGAATAAGCTTCAGTGTCCATGGGCTGCTTGTGGAGGGGATGGGACCAGCCAGAACAGGGATCTGCTCCAGCCGGGGGGTGGCGGGGGGAGGGAGTTAAAAAAGAGAATGCGGCCGGGCACAGTGGCTCACGCCTGTAATTCCAGCACTTTGGGAGGCCAAGGTGGGCGGATCACGAGGTCAGGAGATTGAGACCATCCTGGCTAACACAGTGAAACCCCATCTCTACTAAAAACACAAAAAATTAGCCGGGCGTGGTGGTGGGCACCTGCAGTCCCAGCTGCTTGGGAGGCTGAGGCAGCAGAATGGCGTGAACCCGGGAGGCGGAGCTTGCAGTGAGCTGAGATCGTGCCACTGCACTCCAGCCTGGGCGACAGAGCGAGACTCCGTCTCAAAAAAAAAAAAAAAAAAAAGAGAGAGAGAGAATGCAGAATTTGTGTCTTTGAAGGCTGGCAGAGCCATCTGTCCTGCTCATCTCTTAAGACTGATGAAACCGAAGCTCCACAGTAGTTGGTAGAAGATAGATGGCAAAAGCTAGGACAGAACCCACACTCAGAGAGAGACCCTTGCCCTACAAAGGGTCACCTACTGCTGCGCCTAAAGGCTGTGCCCCATATGACACATCCAGCCTGGCACACATGCCAGCCTGACACATCCAGGCTGGAAACCTTCTAGGAGAGACTGGGGGTGGCCACCAGAGGCTCAACCATGGGGACACAGGACCCAGAATTGCATCCTTGACCTGGGCTCTGTGGACTGGCCCATGGGCTGGCTTCTCCGCCCTGCCCCGCCCATGCACCATCCTTCTGAAGGAAGACATCCCCATCCAATGGCCTGTGCTACAGACTCATGAGGGCCTTTGCACTCTGGTTCTTAGCTCCTGGTTTTCTGCCAACCAGAGGTATAATGGACTTTCTTATTTTATTTCATTGGCTTGTAAAGGAACATAACCAAATAGTGACGAGAGAGAAGCTGGCAGTGGTGGAGGCCTCAGCAAAGGCTGGAGAAAAGCCAGGAGTTAAGTAATGCCTTGGCCATTAGCTTTCCCCAGAGGAGCAGCGGCATTGCTGGGGCTAGGATGGAGGATATGAGGGGTGGGGCTGGGGAGACACAGATGTGCAGGGGCTGGAGTTCCTTTCCCAACCTGGGACTGACAAATCCTAGCCCAGGGAGGGAGGGGTAGAGCTACCTCCTGACTTGTTCTCCTCTAGGATGAGCCATATTCCTTTCCCCGCCTGGCTTTTCCTTCTTATTAGGTTGTCATCATTATCGTCACAACCACCACCACGTACTTGGCTTATAAGTCCTACTCAACCCCTTCATATGATGATATCTAATCCTTCTAGCCTGCCCTCGCCCTCAAGGCAAGTAATGTTATCCCAGTTAGACAAATGAGGAATCAGATGCTCAGCAAAGTCAAGTCACTGTCCATGCCCTCCTTCCATCAGGGAGTCGCTGAGCTGGGATGTAAGCCCAGGTCTGTCTGTCCCTAAAGCCTGTCACTCCTCCATCAGCCCCTGGAAGATCAACCAAAATAAATGGAAGGCTTAGTGTTAACACAGCCCTGGATAAGCTGCCATATAATAGAGGCCAATGGCTGGTCGGTTATCCTTGCTGATAAATGTGGTGGCCCAGGAACTCAGCAGGTCTGGAGTGATGGGGGTTGATCCCCAGCCTCACTCTATGGGCTCTATCACCCTGAGCAACTCAGGTGACCTCAACAGGCTCAGCTTCCTCATTGAGGGCAGAGATTTCAGCCTGGGTGGTTCACTGCTGAATTCCCTGTGCCTAGAACTTATTCTCAATAAAAATTTGTCAAATGAATGAATGAATCTGAAAAATGGAAATCCCAGTAACAGCCTCCCCACCTGGTTTATTAATGAGTGATAATGTAGGAGGGCACTTGGCACAGAGCACGACACATCCTAAGGGATCAATAAGCAGAAGTTGCTGGTCATTAATACTATTATTACATATTATTATAACGCTATTATTGCTTTTCAAGGTCATTATAGGGATCAATGCATTTGGGAAATATAAATGTAAGGCAATATCTTTACAATAACTAGTAACCAATGCTGACAAATAAGGGCAGACACTGACAAGTGGTCCCCATGAACACCGTACCGCCCACCACAGAGGCATTCTAGGAGACTGCCCTCGCCTTCCCATTGGACATGTGCATCTGGACTCTACGAGGGGGCACTCCTGCTCCATCCCAGGTCACTGTGCCCATGTGGGATCCTCAGACGGAGTTGTCGGGCACGTCCACACTTGCACAGCAGTTCCAGTGAGAATGCATCCTGTTACCTTTGCATTGGTCACCTCATGCCCATAAGTTACAGCCATCTCAGCCTGATCTCCACTCGGTTTAGTTAAAAATAGAGTTTACAACAGAAACCTGAATCCAGGCTCCTCTAAATCAGGACGGCGGGGAAGCAGGTGCTACCCAAATGTGGCGCCGTGCTGACGAATGGAGGTCGGCCGAGCTCAGCTCTCTGCCCTGAGCTGGTGGGTGGCAGCCTCCATAGCAGAGATGCCAGCTCTGGGGAAAGGAGGGCTCTTTACACAGAAGGCAACACATTCCCTCCAACGTGCTAGCCTCCTTCGATTCAATCAATATTGGTTTAGCACCTGCTTATGTGCCAGGAGGTACCTGAGGCTGCAGCCATGTCTCAAGGTGACAAAATGGACAAAGACAAGCAGACACAGAATATCTTGAATTCAGGACAGATTGCCTTAAGGAGAAAGGCAGACAGATTGGACTTTTAAAAGCAAATCGTCAGAAGCTAGAGTTCTGAGACCATGTCCCACAAAAATTACTGGGCGCCAGCCTTGGGCTCTGAGGCTCTGCAAATTCCTCTAATCCCAGAGGCTTCTATGGCAAGTCCTCACTCTTTTCCAGGTTGCTGCTGCCAAATACCATCTTGCTTAGCGAACCCAAAATTTCTGGAACAGGGTGAAGCTCAAAATAATTCTCACAGTTAGACTCACTGGGACCTAAATAGCTTTGCTGATTAAACCTCTGAATCCTTATTCAAACCTGCGACATTCCTCCTTGGTGATGCCAAATCCTTCATGCTTCCCAGCAGGCTCTGGCTTGAGGATCCGATTCTGCTGCACACACCTGTCAGGGTCACCTGTCCTGACTTGGCTACGATCCATTGATTTACTCTTTGGCACGGCTGATCAGCTTTCTAGCTCCCCCACCACACCCACTGAAGCACAGATGAACAATTAGTTGGCCTAATGATAAAGTACCCTTCCTTAGGGGTCTGGAGAACTAGGGTGGGTGTAGGTGGGATTGAGAGGACATGAGGGAAGTGGGCATTTGCAGAGAGGGAGGGTTTGGGACCCTCTCCTGATGTGGGCGGGGAAGGCAGAGGCACGCAGTCGGCTGTAGAAAGTATTGGCTTTCCCATTTGGTGTAAGCTGCTCACCTGCCCAGCTGGGAACAGAGAGGAAAAGAACAGAGGAGTGTCTGGATGTGCTCTCAAAGTGACATTATTATCATTACTATTACTTTCCCACTGTCTTTCCAAACCCATTCCTGTAGGTTATTTCACTTTATCCTTACTATCATTCGATGAAGTATCTCAAAAAGGATTATCCATTTTAACCCAAGAGGAAACTGGAGTATAGACTAGGTGACCCTTGTCGTTGACCACACCACGAATCCAAGAGGAGAATATTCAGAGAGCACAAGAACCAGAGGAGAATATTCAGAATCCAGAGGTACGTGAGGTAAAGGCAAGGTAAAACACTACCAGGTCCACCAGAAACCCATCTCCTGGGAGGAGCGGGGCCTGGTGGGGGCTGCCACATTCCCTCAGAGCATCTCCCCTTCCTGCATCCTCCTGTCTCATGGTTCTGAGGTGGCAAGGTCAGGCCCCTCAGCCTGAAATGCGGGGAGAGAAGACTTAACAAACGACAAAAGCAAGTTGTGGATTGATTCTCCCCTTCCCAGGGCGGCCTGCCCCTCCTCTTCAACAGTGACAGGCAGTAAAAGGTTAGTGGCATGCTTCCTGCCTCTGGTTCCTCGGAGCTAAATGATCAAATGATGTCAGGACTGGGCAAAAGCTCGATTCCTAGTTAGAGCCACCACAGCTCCAGAAATGAAACTTGGCACAGCATCCCTCTGCTCAGAGGCTCTTCACTGGACCCAATACATCAACAAGGCGGCCAATTATGGCTGAGTGCACACTCCTACCCTGGTCTTTACCCTGAGCCCACCTGTGGCTCAGGCTTTGCTCAAATCTGCAGGGGGAGGGGCCCCAGAGGCCGTCACTGCTGCCCTGACTGCCTTCTTCCCATGCTGGTCTTTCTCCCAGATGTCCTGGGAGGAAAGCCAACCCAGCCAGGACTCACACACCTGCCTGCCAGATCGGCCTGCCAGGAACCCCCATATAAGAGAGGATCCAGCAGCCTTCTGCATACCATGCATCCCAAGCTGCCAGACTCTGGCGACCCTGTGAACTCAGGTCACACCCATATGAGCAATTGCAGTGGGCGCCATGCTGGGCCTCCCACTTTGTCTCAAATAGGTTGTTTTTGGTTGTTGGCTTTTCTGATAAACAATCTGAATAGGCATAATGGCCTCATCACCAAGAGCATGAAATAAATCCCCAAATTAACAGAATCCCAAGGACTGGGGACAAGAAGGCAGGCAGGGAAGAGTGTTGCAGAGAAGAGATTCGACTTGGGTCTCCAGCACTGTCCATTTTTACCTGCTGGAAGAGACCCCTGTTCTCATCATAGCTCCTATGCTCCCTGCAAAACCGTGGATAACTCACAAATAATTAAGGCACAGATTTCAACCCACCCCATAACTCCTCTACCAGAGAAAACCACTGGTGAAAGTGTGGAGAATTTCTTTCCTTCCATGAATACTGCTTTACTGCAATCACTCTCAACCCAACCTGCATATCATAATCACCTGGGGGGTTTTAAAAGACAGGGATGTCCAGGCGCCACCCTCAGAGCCTCTGATTTACTTGGTCTGAGGTGGGGCCTGGGAGTTGGTCTTCTCTAAGAGCTCCCCAGGTGATTCTAATTCTAATATGATTCACAGCGTATATAAATTTTATAGCTTTTTTGTGCAATACTATGTCATCGGCATTTCCACGTCATTTAAAAACTCTCTGTAAACACCATTTTAATGGATGTGTAATCATCCATCATATGAGCGTCCCATAATTTCCTTTCAGTTTGCTTTGTAAGTGTTCTCCTGAGTGTGTGTCAGCCGTGGCTCGTGTCTACGCTGAGGACCTCCCTGTAACTCCCAAGGCAGATTTCACACCCTTTCCCACTGATGGCAGATGCACTCAGAGGCCCAGGGAGTGGCCTCCTGCTACACCATCTTAGGATCCTGCACTGCACCCTAAAATTCTTGAGAAACTGGTCATTTCAGCCAGGAAGATAATTTTGGTTCCACATACCCAGAGCAAAGACTTGTGTGGTTAGGTGGGTTCCATGTTAATTCATTCGGGGTCCAGTTTTCCCTGTGAGATCCTCATGGAATTTCCACAAGGCTCACTGGTTTAGGATAGTCACCACCTTAAAAAGTATTTTTCAATCTTTTCACTTTGGACCAGAAATTAGGTCAGGAGCTGATTCTTCATCTTCCTCTTGCTTCTTCCTCTAACATCTTGAAAAATCTGCATCTCTCCAGAAATAGGTGCCTTATTAGCCCAGGCTTGCAAGGTGCCCTGTTTTGGAGCCTCAGGCTCAATCCTGGAAGTTTAAACTCTGAGGTGAACTCCTGCAAATGGAGGGCTCATTTCAGAAGATTCTCATGACTCTCCTCATGACCACAATGTCCAGCTTTCAGAGATCCATCAGCAAGACAGCTGCCCGCAAAACTCCAGGCTGGGGCAGAGATGCCTTTTCTACTGTCCTCCTTCCAGATGTTCTAGGAAGGAGCAAACACCTGGCAGCAAACTGGAGCCCATTTCCAATTTGAAGCTACCAGTTTCCATCAGGGAACTATCAGGCAAGGCCCCTCTATTTCCCATTCCGGGAACATCTGGCGAATAGATGATTAGAAGCACATGCTGGCAGCTACTAACATGCTTCCCAGCTAAATCTAAGCTTAGTCCCAGGGGCCCTATCTCCCCTCCTCTCTCTAATCCACCGTCCCACCCCATTCACCTCCCCACCCTAGCCTTGCCAAGCTTTACTGCAAAAGAGATGTTGCACCTGACCCATGATCTCCCAGACACAGTCAAAAAAATTTTTAAAAGAGGCTACAACAGGAAACAATCTCCCCAAGTCCAAGGTAGGTCAGGACATTTCTCCCTCTGTCCCTCCTTCTCCCCGGTACCAGCCAGGCCCAGGTGTGTTCACTTCTACCTGCTAACCTTTCCTCTCTCACCAATAAACACCACCACAGTGCTCCAGCCCCCTGGAGGCCCACCTTGGTGTAAAGCTTGTCATTTCCACTCAGCAAGCATTACGATAACCAGGCCACAGGTACTCCCCTCCTTTGGTTGAAAGTCTATGGCAATTTTAACATGAAGGAATGTGCTGAAAAGCACCCTCTAGGAGTTTAATAACACTCATTTGCAGTAAACCGGGTTTAGTGTGAAGGCCTCTATCAGGAAAAAGAATCAATAGGGAAGAAGGGGATTAGAGGTGGAGGCTAGGTGTTAACTGTTAGGACTTGAGCCATTAATCAGCAAGAAAGTTCTAGAATCAGAGTGATCTCACCACCTCCTGCTGTGAGGCCCTTTGGGGGTCGACCACCTTCTACAGGCCTCATATCCTAAGGCACTAGAGGCACGAGAGTCTTTGTTCTTGATTGGGGCAAGATCTGGGGACTGAGACAGGATTGTGCCACTGGATTATGCCATGGCCAGTATTTTCCCTAGGGGCTTCTCATGATCCCAGCCTTGAGTCACTGTCTTGTGTCTTGTGCCCACCTTATAGATCATCCCAACTCACATCGAAATGTCCAAAGGAGTGGAAATATGGTTAAATATAATTTGGTGAAAAACTAAAGCATCTTTCATTTTCTATATGGCATCCTTGTGTGGACCAAGAGGCATTCTCCCAGCCTAAGGAAGAAGGTTCATGTCCTCACGTCCCCTCTCGGAGAGCAGTGACTTCATGCCACTCTCCTGCACCCAGCTCCCCCAGCCTTTATTTCAGTTTGTTTCCCAGTTGCAGAAATGCTGAAAGAACATAGGTCTTGGAGTTAGATCAATTCAGGTCCCAATCTCAGAGCCACCACTTATGGGATGTCATCAAATCCCGCTGTGCCTCAATATCTCCATCTATCAAATGGAGACAGTAATACTACTCTTGCAAAGGTTATTGGAAGGATTCAGTAAAGGTATTTATTGTAAGCTAGGTGCAGAGCAAGGTGCTTAAGACTTCTGTCTCCTCCCTTCCCCTTCCCATAATCTGTTGTAACTGTAGACAGAGAAGCCTGCTAGGCCAAGGAGATGAAGAAGGATAAATACATTCCACCCTTCCCTGGGGACAGGTAATCAGATCATCTCTGAGGCAGTGGCCCCATCCACCAGGAAGACCCCCGACTTCCCAATGCCTGGGCAAGTACTGAGAGGAGCCTGGCCACTCTGCCGTCTTTGGGGTACAGCCCTGTTGGAAGAGGCACGCACAGCCCACTGCAGAGAGAGACTGGCAGTCGCCGGTTAACTGCCGGTTAAGGCAGCTGCACTTTACAGTAACCCAGCATGGACAATATTATGAATGACACTCGCAAGCTGCCAGCCCAGGGACTCATTACAGTCAAGGTACAACATGGCGGCCTGCCAAGCCCCTGGCTTTCACACTCGCTATGCCAGAACATCCACACACAATTTAATTGCATTATAATTTCAAAAGTGCTTTTCAAACTGGAAAAAGGCATTCACTGATTAACCAGCGAAGAGCAAAATTGTTTATGAAATTGAATACAAAAAGCTACAGAAATGTAATTGGGTCGTTCTAGCACCTAATTTTCAAGCCATTTTCCCCACTTATTTAATCACGAGATACAAAAGGAGCGACTGAATTGACTTCATACTAATTAGATTACTCCCTGCGATACTCCGGGCCTATATTCCAACTGGTTGATAGCAATGTTTTAAACGGAAACAAAAATGGTGCAGCAGCCTGTCTGCGGGACAGAATGGATTGTCTGGAATAGACCCTTCCATCCATTAATAAGAACGAGCATTTGTCCCCCAAACCTCCCAAGCTCCCTGCTACATGGAAGCATCCTTGGAGAAACATCACCCTCCAGGGCACGGATAGGAAGACTCATCAGGTCCTTCTCCTACACTCCCTGGAAGAATGGGTTTGAACATGCCCCTTCTATTAAATCCTGCCACCTCCCCAGCGGGCACTGCTGCTTCACAGGCAGGCAGAGAAAGCCACCAGCAACTCTCCTAATTGGCTGTACGAGGCCCTTGGTGCGCCTCTGAACACTCCTCCTTACATTGTTTCATAAATTGACTGGTGGCCCCAACCAGATCGGTGGCAGTCTCTCGGGCAAGCCCAGCTTCGTTGAGTTCTTTTCTCAGCTCTGCCTTGAGCTTCCTGAGATGAGCCAAATCCTCAATCTCTCAGTTACTGAGTGAATAAAACCACGTTCATCCCAGAAAGCAATGCTGCGCTATATTCTGTGTCTTGAAATGATACCTCACTCTGCACATGCCCTCTACCAACACAAATCTAGTAAGCTATGATGACTTCTGCACAGGTAAACGCAGGAAATACCGGGCCCCAATGCCTGAGAACACCAACATGTGACCCAGGGGGCCAGGGCTTCCTTCCATTCATCTGGAGACCTTCTTTTGATATGTGGTACTGTCTTCTCATGGCTTTTTTAGCTCATTTTAAATTTTATTAGGAGAAACATAATTGATTATATAATCAAATGTAAAACGTACATTATCAAGATATCTCAGCACTTCGCAGACCATTTAATCAAGATATCTGGGGCTGTGCCAAGAGGAATTAACTTACATTAAGCCTCAAGTATGTATTACTCTGCTGTATTTGTTTCCACGTTTAAGATGGGTCTTGCTCCCTGAGAATGGGAGCAAATCCTTCAAGGACTGTGCCGTACACAAGCTCTGGGTCTGAAGGTCTTCCGTGCTACTTCTCGATTTCTCCAAATGAGGAGAAAACCCAAAAGGCCGCTCTACCTCGAACCCTATCTGCAGATGTGACATCTTCACACAGCCCCCGATTTCTCTTGTCTTTAAGGATGTCTTTGGGGGTCTGCCCAAGTGCCCCAGCAATACACAGCCGGCCCAAAGAAGAAAAGGGGTTTTCGCTTCCATTTGCTCTTCGTAAATCGCTACTCTCCCTGGGAAAGTAAACAGATGTTACTTAGGAGGCAACAGGGGTGTCTCATGTCTACAGCCAATTTTCACCCAACCCAGGGAGCCCGAGAAAGAGGAGAATAGCAAGAAGGGGGCATCTGCCTGAAATGCCTTCCCTTCCTCTGCTTTCAAAGCCTAGGTGGATACAGCTTCAACTGCTCCACAGAGCTGCTCCAATGAATGCATTCACTCAGTAACTGTCTGCTGAGCCTGGCTGATGTGCCAGGCATGGGTGTTAGTCGAGGGGGTATAAAATAAAACATGTCTTTGTCTTCAGAGAGTGCCCTGTCCTTAGCAGGAGAGGGACAGGCAAGCAATCCCAACACAAAACTGGTAAGGCTGTGATGGAGCAGGACAAAAGGAAGGATGACTGTCTGCAAGAATGCAGGAAGGCTTTCAGGCAGGTGGCATCCACCTATTCTAGACAGAAGACGAGGCCTCCAGGCACAAAGGGGCAGGGACGGACATTCCAGGTGGAGACAAGGGCAGGTGCAAAGTCAGGGAAGCCTCCGGGAGCACTGAGTGCACTGAGAAACTACAGGCAGGATCAGGTGACTCAAGATCAGGGAATGGTACAGCGTGAGGCTGGGAAGGCCGGCTGGAACCGAATTCAGATGCTGTGCTTATCCTACAGAAAAATGGGAAATCCAGCATGATCTCTTCCTTCTCTGGAAGCATCAGTGCTATCTAGGCACAGTGCCAGGCACTGTGGATTGTACAAAAAAATCCTTAGATGCAGATGGGGTGGCACAGCCGAATACCAGGCACCCTGGCTCTCAAGTCAGACCACCTTTGATGCATATTCTGTGTCTTCAGCAAGTAACCATGTCTCTGAGTCTCAGTTTCCTCATCTGTCAAAGAGGAACTCTGTGAGGATTAAATAAGGCAACATATGTAAGGTACTCAGGACAGCATCTAGCACTGTTAGGTGCCCCATAAACGGCTGTTGTTAATGAAGGTGGTGAAACAGATAAACGCACAGAATGGTAACCAACAACCCAAGGCGTCACGATTGCGCCAAGAGGTACTGTCCAATGGATAAAAGGCTGTATGTAAGTGCCAGTGAGTAGACAAAAGAGTGCAGCAGGGGTTCATAACTGCATTACTCAGTACCTACTGTGTGCTCGCATCATTTATTGAATGAACAAGCAAAGGAAATACCATACAATTTAGCATTAACCACATACTTGATGAGACTCCCAATTCCAAAGGTCAGGGAGACACTTTATACATCTGTGCACTGTGCTGGACACAGGCTGCAAGCTCCATAAATGCCCTAAATAGTCTCCTATTAGGGCTGGAGCTCCCCTGACAGCAGCACTGTCTCCAGAACCCTGCCCAGGACTCAGACTGCAATACTGACTTTGAGTAGCCATGAGATGGGTAGAATGGCCTCACCATCATCATCACCCCAACCTCGTGTGCTTACTGGTGGTTTCCAGGCCACCTCACTTGGACCCACTGAGGCCCAGAAACATCAGAGCTTCCCCCAAAGCAGAGGAAGGACCCAAATGCATTCAGAAATGTCCCCAATTAAAAAGAAAACCCTCTAAGGGCACAGGGCAGAGGATGCAAGCCACGGCCATACCATTGTTAACTGGCTCCTAGGAGTCACGTGATGCCTGATTACAAGGCGACCTTCTGGGCTGTCCTGGGCCAGTGCCCATAAATATGTTAGCTCCTGGGCAATTCTTAATTACTGCTGCACTCAAACCCAGCCATCTGTGCCCTGTTCCAGCAAGAAATCCACAAACACATGGCACGCCCTTCACACAGGCAGAGAGGATGGGCAGCCAGGGACATGGGGGCCTTTGTGTCTTGAGCACAACAGTATCAGCTGCACAGAGAGAAACACGTGCAGGGGGCTGGCCATAAAGGACGTCCTATTCATCAGGCTGCGCTTGGGAAATGTGACACGCCTCAGAGGAGGTGCCCAGGCCCATTCTGGCTCAGGTGGGCTGTTCAGCAGAGCGTGTAACAGGCCAGACAATGGGATCTTCCAGAACCCCTTCACCACAGCATCTTTAGGGAGGGCGGAGGGCCTGGGGACTAGGAGGTGAGGGATGAAAGGAAAATGCAAACTCTCCATTTTGGAAGCAGGGTCCATCTGTACAGAGGCCTATGTGTGTGTGTGTGTGTGTGTGTGTGTGTGTGTGTGTGCGCGCCTGTGTGTGTGTGAGAGGGAAAGAGAGAGAGAGACAGACAGACAGACAGACAGACAGTCAGCCACTAAAATGGGGCCATTATGGGTATGTTAAATGCTGGAAGGCGAGAGTCCACATTAGGAAGGACTGGAGATTACTGACATGGATTGTGCTTTATCCAATGTCATTCACTATTTTGGGGATAGAATGGAAATGGGCCTTGGGGTTCTGATCCTGGGCCCAGAGCCCGCTTCCCAGCTTGGTTCTAGCTTGCCTGGGATCTTGGGCAGTGGCCTACCTGCTCTCAAGTTTTTCCATGTGTACAAGGGTCCTTATCTCACAGGGCTGTGGGAAAGCCTGAGTGAGTATAAATGGTCCCCAAGTGTAGGGCTGGAGAGAAACAGAACTTTCCACAGGAACCAACAGGAGAAACAATTAAATCACTAAAGAGAGCAAGCCTCTAAGGTGTGCAGCCATTGGTATGAAAAATGGTCCACGTGGATGGGGTAGGTGATGAGAAATGACTTAATGGGTACAATGTATGTTGTTCGGGTGACGGATATAAAAAAAATCCTGCTAGACCACTATGCAGCCTATACACATAACAAAACTGCACATGGACCCCACAAATCTATGCACTGTTTTTTTTTTTTTTTTTTTTTTTGGAGACGAAGTTTTGCTCTGTCACCCAGGCTGGCGTGCAGTGGTGCGATCTCTGCTCACTGCATTCTCCACCTCCTGGATTCAAGCGATTCTCCTGTCTCAGCCTCCTGAGTAGCTGGGATTACAGGCATGCGCCACCACACCTGGCTAACTTTTGTATTTTTAGTAGAGACAGGGTTTCGTCATGTTGGTCAGGCTGGTCTCGAACTCCTGACCTCAGGTGATCCGCCTGCCTCGGCATTCCAAAGTGCTGGGATTACAGGCATGAGCCATCGCACCCGGCCTGTACGCATTTTTAAAAAAGGAAAAAAAAATAGTCCGTGTGCAATTCACACACCAAGACTTATCTCTCCATTCGTGCAGTCCCTGAGGATCTGATTTGTTAGCCACCAGTTTGCCTGTCAGTGTTTGCAGTGACTACATTTTTTTATGTTGGTGAAATGAAAACAGAAGTATTTTTTTTCCCAACATAGTATTTTTAAAAGATGGCTCTCCTCCACCCTCCAGAAAGCTGGCCAACAGCATGTGCAGCAGTGGGTGCATTCTGCTGGAGAGCTGGGACCCACTGTCGCGTGCTACGACAGCACAGATCTAAGAAGGGCTGTGTTACGCAGCTCTGCACTTCCAGTCGCCTAGGAGAGGGAGATCCCTGGTTTCAGGCCACAGGCAACACCAGTGCCCAGGGTAGGAGTTGCTTGGGACCAGCAGGCAATGCCTTTGCTAAGAGAAGAATGCTTCCTCTGTGTATGAAAGCACCATGAGAAGAGGCCTGGGAAGTACGGTCTTAGAAATGTCTCTAGACACATAAGCTTCTTGGCCAGGATCCATTTCTGAACATCTTGAGATGCCACAGCACTTGGCTTACCAATCACTGTTTACTGGATGTGCGGATGGGTGAAGGGATATAAGGATGGATGGATGGGCAGATGGATGGGGATGGATGGATGAACGGGCAGATGGATAGATAAATGGAAAACAACAGCTGCTATTTATTGGACACTTCTATATATCAGGCTCTTTATATATGTTCCCTCATTTAATCTATAGCAATCACATCTGAAGAAGTGTTCTTATCCCTGTTTTACAGATGAGGAAAATCAGAGAGGGTCAGAGAGGTTAAGTAGCTTATATATATAATAAGTAGAAAGAACCGGAATTTGAATCCAGGCCTGTTGGGCTCCAAAGCTGCAAATTCGAATAACGTCTGAACCAATCCTCTCTGGGTGCCAGTTTCCTCATCTTTAAAATGGGGCCACTGCCACCTGCTATTGCTTAGGTAGGCACCTTCCAGGCCTCTAAAGTTCTCATTAAACATGCAGCCGATCCCCTCTGGATAAAGGGGTGCTGCTTCAAGAGGGGCGGCAGAGACTGCTCTTGGGCACACGCTACCATTTCTTGGAGCACCTGGCTGCGGGTTTCCTACCTTTCTGTCGTCCTCACAGCTCCCCTGCCTGTGGACTTCTGGCCCATGTTTCCTCATTAGCACAGCCTCCTACCCCAAAAGGGGCCCAGAAGATCAAAGCAGCAACTGGGCAAACAATTCTTATTGCTTCCTGTTTGCAGTCTGGATGAAAGGTCAGGTGGGGGTGGAGGTGGGAGACAGTCTCTGACCCGCTAGTTCAAGCACAATTCACACAGGATTTCTCAGAATAAACCGCACAGAAATGGATATGCTGGGGTCAGAAAACAGCAAGACGGGAGAGCAAGAGCGGGGATTTTTGTGATATCTGGGGCCTGCTTGGGGCTGACAGGCCTCAGGGACTGAGACATGGGTGACGCAACTGCACATACAGTGTGTTCCAGGCAGGTGGGCAAAAATATCAAATGTTCCCACCCTCCACCTAGACAGAACCCTGTGCAAAGCTCCCAGGCCCACCCACACCGCCATCTCTCCATCTCAGGGCTGTGGTTTCATCACTTCGCTTGGTTTCTTCTGGATTGTGAGGTCTCTTCATGATTGCTCAAGAACAGACAGTGCAAGAACAAGAGGTTTCCATACTTGACTCCCTAAATGTGCACATCAGCCTGTGCAGAGGGCACCGACCTCACCGCCATTTGCTTCATCAGCTAGATGGGCTCTGGAAAGTCACCATTTCCCCTGAAGCAGGGAGCAGCTCCTTTGGAGCTGGGAGGATGGTGGGCTTTCCATCTTTCCACCTCTATTCCTGCCCCAGTTCCACTGGGGCGAAACTGGCTTGCCTCCTTTCCTGGGATGCTCACAGAACAGAAACCCACAATGCATTACTTGGCAAAGATTAAATAACCAAAACCAACCTGCAAGGCATGCTTGTGCTGGTGGCAACCACCGCCTTTACTGAGCTGCGAGGAACCGTACAGGCATTGCCCTAATGACTCCTCTCCATACCGGCAGTAATTGTTAATAATAGCAGCATTATTATACTGCTCAGAAACAGCAACATCAGTAATAAATAATAGCAGGCATGTGTTACTGTTACCCCATCTTGCAGATAAGGAGTCAGAGGCTCTGAGGATTATATAACTGGCCTAAGGTTGCTCAGCTGGTAGGTGGTTAAAATCTGGGATTTCTAAAAGGCAGGCTGATATCTGAGTCTTTGTTTCCCAACCACTCTTCTCCCAAAACGTGGTGATCTGGGGGTGGTGGGAGGAAGTAGCAGAGAGAAGAGTTTTGAAAATGTCCATGAAGCAGACCTTGTAAATCCCCATGGAAGTGGGTGGAAGTGTCCCCACCAACCCCGCTCCAGGGCTCCTCGGAGGGGCACGGGTTACTGCAAGTCCCCCATCCCAGGAGTTTCAGTGGAGGGGCTTAGCGCCTCCAAACTCTCCCCCTCCACCACCCCAGAAAATATTTTAAAAGAACAAAACTTCCCCGCAGAGACTGTGAGAAAAGCCAGCTAGCAGGGCAAGTTATGAAGATGTCATTACGCAATGAACTGCTTCCGTGGACCATAATAGGTTTTTACCTTTGCTACTGTACTACGAGAGATACCAAACAGCAATTTTAAACAGTCTCCTCCATTGCCCCATCCCAGCCTTCCAGAATCACATGTGTTTCTACTTTAAAAGCTGTTAACATGGTATAATATGTTCGGAGCACAAATCCAGATGGCCACGGGCCTCAGAAAACCCGCAGCATCCTGCTGAAGAACTGATCTTACAATTCCACCGACCAATAGCAGTGAAGGAGTTACCTGCACAGGTGGCCCGGCCCAGGTCTGAGCTGCCTGCTCCTGCTTCATGAAGCCCTGCCTCTGCAGGGGCACGGGGCAGCCTGTGGAGACGTCCACCACTTGGCCATTGTGGCCAGACTCTCTCCAGACGTCCAGTGGCCTTGGCCCTTCTGCAGACACTGGCTGTCTCTGAGCAGAAGCTGGAAAAATGCACTGGATTTGGCTTCCTGGGGACCAGGTGCAGGAACAAAGCCAGGGTGCAGGGACAGGCATCCCTTGGGTGGCAGGCTGTCGTCAGCACAGCTGGTCCCACACAGTCCCCTCACTTTCCCTCACCCCAGTGCCTGCCTGGTCAGTGGCTCTCAGGGGTGTTGCATGTTCACCACTAGGATTCTATATGGCTATGGATGGGGCTGAGACAAGCACTCGATGCAGGAGCCAAAGTCACTCTGCTACCCATGTGTCATCTTCTGCCAAGAACCACACCGTCCAGCCAACCCCAGCTAGGGAAGTTGGTATTGCCAATGGGGCTGCAGCTGGTCTGGAAAGGAGTCCAGGGAAACCACGCTATCCTCAAGGCGGGAGCGGATGAGACAGGAGAGGAGAGAGGGGGAGCTGATAAACAGGACATCGGGGCTTGTCCTCTTTTTACTCCCATCCTTCTTATTTCCTTAGCATTAACTTTCCAAATGCTGTCCTCACATGGGCGTGTTTTAGCCCAAACTCTCCCTCTCAGGTTGGGAGACAGGGTTCCATCTCACTTTGTGCTTCTGTTGATGTCTGTGTCTATTCTGGGTGTAGGTAATGCTGCTTTTGTGGTTCTGATTTGGAGAAGGTATGAATTAAAATGATGTCAAAGAACTTCTGATTTCTTTCTTTCTTTTTTTTTAGATGGAGTCTCGCTCTTGTCATCCAGGCTGGAGTGCAGTGGTGCCATCTCGGCTCACTGCAACCTCCGCCTCCTGGGTTCAAGTGATTCTCCCGCCTCAGCCTCCCGAGTAGTGGGGTTACAGGCTCCCGCCACCACACCTCGCTGTTTTTTTTGTATTTTTAGTAGAGATGGGGTTCCACCATGTTGGCCAGGCTGGTCTCGAACTCCTGACCTCAGGTGATCTGCCCGCCTTGGCCTCCCAAAGTGCTGGAATTACAGGCGTGAGCCACCGCGCTTGGCTGAACCTCTGAGTTCTTGATACATGGGAGGCAAACAGACAAACTGGGAGGTTCTGTGATTCAGGAACTCCATGAAGAGACAGCGGGATCCAGCAAGCCTCTCTTTGCTCTTGGCAGGGCTGGTGCTTTATAACTGGCAGAAGGGCTGGTCTGGGCTGAAGAGAGGTCAGAGGGCTGGGGCAAGTGACTTAGAGTCGTGGTTTTCTGTTGTGCCACCAGGAGGGATGTGTCTCCAAAAACACACGGTGAGCGGCAGTTCAGCCAGCCAGGGTCTCATCCCCACCTCTAGGCAACACGCTGGGTGTCATCAGGCCTCCAAGAACTCAAACTCTAGGGGAGGTGCAAACCCTCCTGACCCCACTCACTTACTCCAGGATGCGGGGCCTCAACAGCAGAGGCGAAAGGGGAACCGACCCTCTTTGTTATTTGTTGGAAAGACACTATTTATAGCTCCAGATCGTTAACTGCCTTTTTAAAAAGACTGTTCTCGGGGCCATTTTTAGAGCATCCGTCTTCCCTCGGATGGCTGCGTGGTGACTAGAAATGGCAGTGCTGAATAGGTGCAATTACAGAGGCGCCTAATACGCTGAGACCATAACGGCGTGGAATTTCTCTTTGTAATCTAAGCATGTCCTTTTCCCCCAGAGCCTTTATTTAAATATTTTGTCAGCTCCCCACGCCAGCAGCAGGCAAGCTCCGTCTTGAGCACTCTCAGAAGATGGGAGGAGGCTGTTATGAGAGATGCCACTCCTAACTCCCTCATTCTTCTTGACAAAATAAATCATGAAAGCCAAGAAGGAGGGTGTGTGAGGGCAGAGTCAGCTGCAGCCCCGGAGGTCCTCAGCACCCAAGGAGATGACGCTTCTTTCTGGAATGCTGACAATTCGCTGACTTAGCTGCCTTGGTTATGGACCTGAACATCTAGAAGAAATATTCAGCGCCCAAGAAAACAGTTCTGCTCTTTTAACCCATTAACTCAGACCCAAACTGGGGCTGCTTCTCATCAATGGTATTTCAGAAATTAGGGACTGTGCACTCCCAAGAGATGCCTCAACGAAACCTCTGCTCCCCATTCCCACTGGGGAGCGAATGTACACCTGCCAGACTTCCACGCAGAAAGCCTTGCCTTGGCATGGGCACAAGGGGGAACACCCCAGCCCAGGGCTGTGGGGTACCAGCCAACAGCCCAGAGAACCTGTCCCTGGCCACACACCCTTCAAGGCAGGGTTCTCCCTGGGTAATCCACACCTTCCAGAGTACACAGCAAACAGAAAGTAACTGAGAAGTGAGCTGGGTGGTGATGGCATTGCCAAATTCATTCCAAACTTGTTATGCATGAGAGTCTGGCAGGAGCGGGAAAGGGGGCTTTGGCCCCTGGGGCAGACCCTGAAGACTCCATCATGATGTCTTGGGAAAAGCCTCCAGGTCCTGAGTGACTCCTGTGCTTTTTTTGTGTGGAATATTCCTGGACTCATCTTGCGTAAAAAGAGGTAGCAAGATGCTGCCCTGGCTGTCCCATGTAAGTCAGCCCACCTCCCATCTGGTTGCCTATGACTGAGGAATTCTCATGCAGGCGGCCTGCCCCTCATCGTTAACGTTTCTTAAGAAGGTGATATTTCCGTGTACCATCTGCCATGCCTTTGGCTTACCCCTCAGTCTGTTCACTCCTCAGGCAGGGATGAGGAACGCTATTATCGGGCATCTTGGCGATCCCAACAGTGGGCTCCATACTCCATGCCCTGAACCATCTTGGACAAGTCCCTTCTCCATTTCAGGCCTCAGCCAATCCACCTGTGAAACAGGGAGATCCCACACCCGGTGCTTCCACTGAGAAGGTGGCCATGACAGCATGCATTACTAAACACCAAATAAGGCCAGACATTATACATATATTAATTTGGGAGGGTAAACATAGCTGCTAATTCAATTTCTCCTTTCTTTTATTAGTACTGTTGGGAGGATCTCAAGCTGTCACTGAGTGGGTAAAAGTACTTTGTAGATGGTTTTACCTTAAAGATATTAGCTAAAGAAACAAAAAGCTCTGAACATCAGGTGTGACCCTCGTCATAGTGCCGCAAGCCTCTGCAAAGCCTCTCTCCCAGTAGTGAGGGCCTCATAAACTCACTTAATGGCAAAGACCCAACCAGCCAATCAGTCCACTTGCAAAACAATCCTATGAGCTTGCCTCAGGAGCCCACATGGGCTCTGAGTCCAGTGACAGGAGGCTGTGATGTCACTGGACGCCCTGACCTCCCTCCCACCCCAAAGACTGATGGCAGCACAGACACGTTCTGCCTCACAGACTCACATCCCTCGTCTGCCCACCTCAAGGAAGAAGTATTCTTACATTTCTAACTGATGTCTCAGGGAAATAATTAGATGTCACTACTCTAACATTACATTACAACTTCCCTGCAGATCCTGGAGGAAGGGGAAATGAGTTACAACAAGCAAACCAAGCTAAATACAGTTGGTAATTGAAAAAGTGGCCAAGGAAATCAGGAGGGGAAAAGCGAGCAAGCCAGACCTAAACGGATTATCAATCATTTCCTTTTAGGGCAAGCTCCACTGCAACTTAATCAATTGCTATTGCTTCCCAAATTCAATAAGAAAACTGATACTGTGGGGAAGAAGGAGAAAAAAACATTAAATGTTTACCATTACATTCTTGATGGACACTGGACAATGTCCCCCACTCAATTCCAATCCAGTTCCAAGCTTATCAGCATAAAAGAAATTTACAAGCAACAAAACTCAGATAATGTGTCACCATTACCACTAACAGTGTAAAGTGCCTGAGGCATGGTCTCCAGGCATCATTGGGACATGGGGTTTAATAGTCACAACAAGTGGTGGTTCTGAGGCTGGGCAGCCTGTCCTGGCTGTAGGGAGAGGAGGATGCCAGGTGGGGCCCCAGGAAGGTAGTTGTGTGACCTTTGGACCTCCAAGGTCTCAAGTCACTTGGCCTCGAGGGGCTGCAGCATCTGTTGCCATAGCAACCTGGTGAGGATAAACACCATCACTCTTCTGGTTAATAAGCATATACCAAGTACCTATTATGTCCCAGGTACTGGGGACACCAAGAGGAACAGAATATGGTCTCCTGCAGTTAAGATCCTCATAGTAACTGGGGGAGTCAGTGTAGGGAAATAATGATGGAGGCATGCTCAGGGGGTTCAGGAGGGAGGAAGGGGCACCCATCTGAGGACCCTCAGGAGTTTATCAAAGGAAAGGTGGGTAGGGGTTAATATGTGCAAAAGTTGACAGGGAACCTGGCTGGTTGAGGAGCTGCTGGGGTCCCTGCTGCGCTGAGCAGGGAACCCCAGCGGACAGGGAATGGAGAGGTAGGCTCCATCACGCCTACCCTGGAGGCCACACTGAGGCGCCTGAGCAGGCAGCCACTAAACTTGGCACGACCAGAATCACATTTCAGAAAGATCCCTCTAAATGGGTCACAGGCCTGGAGGCAGGAGTCCCCGGAGAGTTGCTGCTCTGCCAGGGACAGATGGGATAGGTGTCTGAAACAGAGCATGGCGGTGGGTGCAGAGGACAGGGCGACCCAGAGCTGGCGGTGCGGACGCTGGCTAGATGTGTGGGAGATGGGGCCCGGGCTGAAGCCTCAGGTATGGCTTGAGCAACTGGGCACCATTACCCAGGAAGGGACATGGGTCAGTGGGGCAGCCTGGGATCTTAGCCTAGCAGCCCTGCCTCCTCACACTGCCCTACTTCTCACCCACAGGAAGCAGAAATCTTTCCAAGGAGCTCAGCCGAGTGCCCAAACACAAGGGAGGAAAGGAGTAGGAGAGCAGAGTCCCAGGCTCCCTTGGAAGTCTCAGCAGGTTTGAGCAAAACATCCCAGCAGGGGCTGCAGGCGCTGCTCATGCCTCAAGAATGAAAATTCGAGCAGCAGGAAGGGATGGTTGTGAGTCTGTAAAGATATGGCCCACGGGCCAAAGCCCAGGCTTTATAGCCACACCTGTTCAGACCCTAGCTCTGTCATTGGCTGTGTGTCCATGGGCAAGTTCCTTAACCCTTCTGTTTCTTCATCAGAAAAAACAGGCATAATAACAGCTACACCACACAGGGTCAGCCTGAAGGTGAAATGAGATAAAGCAAAAGAATTGCTCAGCCCAGTACACAGGCTTACGGAGTGCTTAGCTACTGTCTTATCATCCTTGTTAAAAACAATAACATCATCCCGGATAGAAGGCAGGTGTAGAACATTCCCTCATATCTTTCAACACCAAGGAGGCAGGAAATAGAGCTTTTTAACGCTTCCCAAACAAGCGCGTGTGCACACATTGACTACTTGCTGAGGAGGAGAGGGGGGATGGTGTCTCAGGACGCAACACCCCAGCCTCACTGGAGCAACTGGCGGCAGATGCTGGCGGCTCTCAGCTGTTCCTTCTACTTGATGGAGGGTGACTTTGCAAGTAACAAGGCTCTCTAGTAATGCTCCATAAAACTATGAATTTACTTTGAGAGCACCAAGTCTAATTACCTTGCCAAGACTCTCTGCATTTTTAAGAACCATCCCCCCCCTCCCCCGCCCCAAACTCTTGATCCTAAGGACTCTTCTTAGCAATACTTGGTGTCGTTCTTGTTTCGCCTGTTGCCGTGGCAACAAAGCAGCGTTTACCAGCCTTTCCAAGCTAGTACATCTTTATTAGCACCCGGATCCCATGAGGAGCAGGAAGGAGTGCAGAGGTTTAAAGAGCATTAATCCCCTTAAGCTTTGCAAACCTCTCTAGTTAGGGAGCCCATAAAGGGGCAGGGAGGGAGGGGAGAATTGAGGTCTCTGCCATTTTCAGGGCCCTCCTAGAATTGTTAAGCCTACATGAAGGACCAGACTGAAAAAACTTCTCTCTCTGGAGCTTTGCTTTAAATTTCTTCTCTTGAAAGAGACAAACTTGTGGGCTGCCTTTGCTTCACAAGAAAAGTCGGCTACCCATCCATCACAGAAGGGCTGCCGGCTCTTTCCTCACCGCCTCTCTGACCACACTGCTCTCTCGCGATAAACACAGGACTTTCAAAAACAACCGGTTATCTCTTGGCCAGGAGGAGGGATGGCCACAAAGGCACATGAGCTGGGCTGCCCGTGCACCCTCCTCTCTGCCCCTCCGCGATGAGAATCGAAGGATGATTCAGAGCCGAGATAGATTTCCAGTCTATTTCAAAAGAAAAAAACGGACCTCAGAAAGCTGCTCAGGAAAGCTCCCCCATCTCCTTAGCCTCAGCCTGTCTTGGAAGGTTTTTCAAAGTCAACACCAGGGCAGAAGTGGGAAAGCAGGGAGAAGAATGGGATTCTTAACATCATTTAAAAGCAGCTCAATGTCCCAATCCCCCTCCCACCAAATAAACGTCTCTTTCATCTTTCATCCCAGCCTAGAAAATCAAAACCTGGCTAGGGGTCCAGGAAGACCTGTGGCTGAATTTTGAAAAATTGCCGAGTGAAAGATGATACATTCATTCTGCCTTCCCAAACAGCTTTCAGTTTGGGCTGATTTTGCACTGGTCGAGCCTTGGCATCCACTATGGTCCCCAGTCCAGTGCTCTGTGCCCATGAGCCTAGTTCAATCAGGACTACTCAACTGAAGCGCTGAGCCCTCGAGTCTGGCCTTGGGGGGCTCATGCTCTAGCTGCGGGGATGGACAACCAAAGGCTGCATTTCCAACACTGAGGTTTCTGATGCCACTTTTGAATAGGCCAGGCGTCTCTCATTATTCCCAGTGGTGCCAACATTCTCAAAACAACAACAAAAATTTCTGAAGTCACTGGAATCCTTTTTCTACTTTTGGTGGGGTAAAGAGTTCATTCAAAGACCAGTATCAGCCTCTCAAAAGAGAAGTCTCCCAGCCCACGCCACATCAGCCCTAAAAAGCTTGGTTCTTCCACTCTGTGAATTCTAGGGGCAGTGATTTCCGGGTTGTTTATATTTATGTCCCCACTTATTTCCTAAAAATACTGAGGTGTCTTATAATGCTTAAGCACATATAAAACTGGAAACTAAGAGCATGAATCAAAGCTGTAAAAGATGACCAGTCACAGAAAGAAGAGACCAGTGTTCCCCCATGTTGGGGCTCAGAGAGGGTTGGGTGAAGCTCAGAAGCCAGAGAATCACCTTCTGGTTGTAGAAAAACTTCAAACGTAAGTTTGAACCAGAGGAAACTTGCCAGACTGTCTCTAACCAAGGAAGCCGTTGCTGGGCAATAGGGATTAAAAAAGACACTCAGAGATCAAGAAAGCCCATGAGCCAAGACCTCCGGGGATGGAGGCAGGTCCAGGACGGCGACACCTAGCGTCTGGCCCTGCTACTTCAGGCCTAGGCTAGAGCGTGCCAGGAGGTGGAAGACCCAGGGGCTGGATGCAGCAGGGCAGTGAGTGGGGGGCTGGGTTGGGGGGTGCTGGCTGGTCTCCATAATCAGAGACAAGCAGCAGGCAGAAAGCCAAGCTCAGTTCCCAGGACTCTCTCAGGAAGGGAGTCAGGAATTACAGACCAGTGAACATCACTCTGAACTTCAATTAGACCGCTGCAACTCCCCCATGGGTTATGTGCGTTACTCTGTCCCGTTAGCAGTAAAAACCTCACGACCAGATGGCCTGAGGGTCTAGTGAGGAAGTCGGGGGACAGAGCCCTGGTGTGTGGCCAGTCCTGGGGCAGCAGCAGGAGAGACCTGCTGAAGGTCACATGAGCTGGGTCCTTGAGCCCCAGGACGAGGGGCTCTAGGTCCAGCACATTCTCTGTTCCAGAAAACCCCTCTATGCAGCAAGTGGAGTAGGAGGCAACCCTTTGGAGCTGAGGGATCCAGGGAAGCTGGGCTATTGGCTTGGAGTGAGTGCTCCAGCCAGGGGGAGAAAGGTTGGGTGGGCACAGGCAGGGCATGACATCTGCCTAAGCTTCTCTTTCTACAGGAGCGGTCAGCACATAAAATCACCTCTAGTCAATCCTTGCCCCAAGCAATGGACGCCACTGTTTCCAGCTTTCACGCCCGTGATCTTTTTAAATCCCTTCCTTCCCACCTTTAGAACCCAGTGAGAAGTCTCATATGCAAATGGCCAACTGGGATACTTCTTGTTATTAACCTCAACACCTGCACTTGAAAGCTAAGACTTCAGCAGTGGGTGGGGGAAGGGCGGTGGGGCATGGCAGTGCAGGAAGAGGGGGGTGTGGGAACACCAGTGTGTGTACATGCATGACCCCATGGGTGCACCTGGGGCTCGGCAGACGTCATGCAGCAACTGGCACACATCAGGCACCTGATTTCTACCCTCGGCTGAACAGCAATTTCCAATCCAATAGCAACCTCATCCCAGACGGCGGTCTGTGTGCCTTCTCCACCCACCTGAACCTACCTCTCCACCTACAGACCTCCGCCCTCCCTCCGGCAGCAATCCCCGAGGCTCACACCAAGCCAGGAGTCTGTGGCCAAGCTGATTCTCCAGCCCAGGTGAGTCCAGTGAGGACCTACCCGCACAGGAAGAATTCAGGATGGAGCCGGGGCAGGTTCAGCCCCTGATCTGGAGACCTTATTTAGTCTGAGACATAATATTGCTCCTTTTGTCCCCTATCCATTTACCTCCCGGCACTGAAATAAGGGGACTTTGATTCCCTCCCAGTTCATGGCTTCATTCAGAAAGCTCCACAGAAGTAAGCCATTATGTGAGTTCTAAGCCACTTTGAATAAACCAACACAACTCCTTTCAAAAAAGCACCGGGAGAAGGTCATTCATGTGAATAATAACCATTCTTTCTCTTTAATCATTAAAATAAATAAATTCAAATTACATCTCCAGAGAGCACCCATCCCCCCATCAATTTCTGCTCTTGAGTTTAATAGAAAAATGGCTCCTGAAAAATTCTCCTGTGAAGTGAGGCTGGTGTGGAAGACGCCAACACAGTGCTCTCATTCAGAACACTCTCGAATGCAGACTGAATCAGGCCCTAGACAGAGGGCTACGTGTGTGCCTATGCGTGTTGGTCTTGGATGTGCGAACTGTCTAACCCTGCTCTGAGTTTTCCTAGGAAAAGGAAAAATGTCCTGAACCTCGACTCTTCCCCAGGCTGAAAATCTCCAACATTTTCCAGCCCGGCTTCAAACCTGACAGAAAAAGACAAGGGGAGACAGGTATTAAGAAAACGGAGAGCTCGTTTGGATTTTTGCTTCACTTCTGATTCTGTCCCAAAAATTACTTTTGGAAAAGAAAAGGTAAAAAGAGGCAAAACAAAAACAAAAGTAAAAGAGACATCGTGTTCTTTCCCTGTGACCCCCCCAAATCCAAACCTTGCTATTTTAAACAATGAAAAGCACAGTGTGTGAGGAACAGCTTGCATATAGCTGAAGCCAGCATTATTTACTTCAGGTTTCCTATACTAACTCAATTTTTACTTCTTAAGCACTTTTGTTAACAAAGGAGAAGAACAAGTCCCAAACGGGGGTGTCCGTCAAGGAGATCTGTGCTTGCACTGATCCTGAAGGTCGCCTGGGATGCTGTCCTCCCCAGGCTAGCTGCCGTAAGGCCTTGACAACCACTGCTTCCTGCTGCCAGCCGGAGCCACCAAACCCAAGCTCTAAGAACAGTTCTGCAAGCCCCCTCTCCCATGCACTGATAGCACTTAAAAGGGGCGTTTGTCTTCGGCAGCTATTCTCGATCCTATTGAGATTTCTAATTAGCTCAGAAAAGACCGCATTCACTGACAACTAAGGCGGGGATGGGGTAGGGAGAGGAGACAGGCAGGGTGGCTTCCCCCAGCTCAGGAGTGACCACAGCCTGTGAAGATGCTGCTCCTGCTCCAGCATCAACCCTCCTCCAAATGCTTGGATGCCTGTCCAGGGTCTCAACTGACCTCCCTGCAGTCAGAGGTTGCTCCAAAAAGGGACCATCTCCAAGCCTCTCTTGAACTCCCTTCTCTACTCAGCAAGGCCTTGGGCATCAAGCTAAGATCTCTGCCAACTACTGATGCCTTGCCCCTGAGTACAAATGCAGGAGCCCACCTAGGGGTCAAGGAGCTATCGTCAAACAGGATTCCTGGGTTCAAATCCCAATCTCCACCTCCTACTGGCTGTGTGACCTTGGTCAAGTTACTTAACCTCTCTGAGTATCAGTCACCCATTAGGTAAATGGAGGGGCTAGACTGTAAACATTAAATGTGGGGATGTATGAAAAAGCCTCAGCAGTGCCTACAATGACTATTCTCATTCATCCATTCACTCGAACCATTATATTCACCCAGCTCCTAATCTGCAAAGCTAAACGGTATTATAGCTGAGGATAGGGTGAAGGTGAGGTAGAAAGGACAGCAAAGAGCTATCACAACAACAGGGTCATGGTAGTGAGCAACTACCGGAAATGGAAGGAAAACAGTATCCCTTCTCCATACTCTCAACCACGACTTTAGTTGCCGGACAGCAGCCCATGCTGGGCACTGTGCAACTAAACCCATTTGTTGCAAAAAAAAAAAAAAAAAAAGGGCAGTGGGGAGGTGGGCTTGTTTTCGCAAAGCATAAACCCCTGCAGGCTAGGCACCAAGCCCACATAACTGGCCAAGTCTTAGATGGCAGCATGCACAATTAGATGCTTAATATATACTCATTAACAATTCTGTCGGCCGGCGCCCGGCGGCTCACGCCTGTAATCCTAGCACTTTGGAAGGCCCAGGTGGGAGAATCACTTAAGCCCAGGTGTTCAAGACCAGCCTGGGCAACATAGTGAGACCAAGCCTTTTAAAAAACAAACAAATAAAATAATTCTGTCTTTGGAAAAGTCAAAAGTTTGGTGTCTATGTGTGCAGACAATGTCCAGGGCTTGTGAGAATAACCACTGTAAAGTCCAAAGATCTTTTCAGTGGGAGATGATTTTTTTTGGCGGGGGGGTGGGGGGGGGAAGGGTAAACAAACAGTGAGAAGTAAGGGGTGAAGAGGTGAACACACACAAAAATTGCCGAGTGTCTAAACACTGCTCATTAAAAAGCACTTCTTCCCTGGGGTTATCCGGGCTGACTCCGAATGGCCATCTGACCCAGGAAACTCTAGGACTTTGCTTCATGAAGTGGAGTTTGAGAGCAAACCCTCTCCCTCTGCACCACCCCCACCCGCTCCCAGCCCCCCACACCAAACTTCTCCAGCCCTAGTGTTTACAGCTCACTACACCACAAATCTTTATTTCCTGTCACCCACTGGCCCGAGCTGTCCCTACTCCCTGTTTCTCCCAGACAAGTTAATAAGACGGAAGGCTCCCTAGAGGCCCGGAGCCTGCGAACATTATCACTTGGAAGCAAGGCAGAAATCCTGACACATCGGAAATGACTTCAAGCCTATTAATTACCCTTTCTTCTTTGGCAGATCTTTTGAAAGAAAGCTTGACAAATTGAAAGGAAGGCTATCACTGCCTCTCCGCCCCAATTAAGCCCCCACTCCCACCCCAATAACACAAATCTGATTTTTTTTTTAAACGAATTAATATGTCAGAGCTGCACCCACCCCAGGGAGGCCCACCTATGATCTGCATGGACAGGGATACAAAGGGTAAGCCCCTCTGTACAGGTTAAGCCCTTGAAATCTGAGAGACCCAGGGAGCTGTTAAGAAGAAGGGAGTGGTCAGGGCTTTGGACCCCAGAGTTGGTTTTCCTAGGACATTCACAGTGAGCCCAAACCCCTCTACACACACTGGGAGGAGGATGCCACGATGCGTACTAAAGAGCGTCCACATCTATGGGATCTCTCTTCCCTGTTGGGGTGGATGCAATGATGCTTTGATTCTTGAATGCAACATCATTCACAAAACACTCTGGATGAACTGCAACAGAAAAGCACAGGGGACCCTGAATGCTAGAAAAACTGGAGTGTTTAGGGACCAAACAACCACCCTTTCTCCAAGTTTCACTGTCTACCACACTGATGATAAAATCTACTCAGAGTTCCCCTGAAACAATCCTTTCCTTAGAGAGGTTTATGCAAAAACAATTGGGTAGGTTATGTTAATTCTCCAGAGACGTGTGTGTGTGTGTGTGTGTGTGTGTGTGTGTGTGTGTGTGTGTGTGTACTTTTTGTCTATGCAACTACTAAACATCACCAAATGGATCCCAATGGGAATTTCAAACAGAACAACTGATTTTCTTCTTAAAATGTGTTCCTTCCACCAAAGCAGTCCCCATACTATTGAATAGCACTACCATCCCTCAAGAGCTCAACCCAAGAACCTAGAGTTCACTCTAATTTTTCTCTCTCCCCTCACCTCATAACCCATTTCCAATCCATCAGAATCTACCATAACTTGTCTCCAAATATAAATTTTAAATCCCACTGCCTCTCCCCACCTCCACTGTACAACCCTCACCCAAGACGCCATCAGCTCTCCACTGCACTTCTCCAATAAACTTCCACTGGCCACCCTGCTTCCAAACATGCATCCCCGTCCTTCCTTAATTCAGGGAGCCACTGGGATCTTTCTAGAGCACCAGCCATATGCCTCTGCCCTTCTGACCTCCTCCTGAGGGTTCCCATCTGCCTTGCCTGGCTCACAAGTCATTTACCATCCAGCGCTTGTCTGCCTCTCTCAGTCATCTCTACCACTGTCCCTCTTGGAGGCCCCAGCCCTCCACCTGTCCTACCAACACATCAATCAGTTCCTTCCCATGCCAGGTCCTGCACACTTGCTGTTATCTGCTCCTTGGAATGCCTTTCTCACAGTTCTCTGCCTCCCAAGTCCAAGGCCTATTCCTCAGGGAGGCCACTCCCAGCTACCCACCTAAACAGAGTAGGCCCAGGCCCCCTCGCCAACAGCTCCCTATTTTCTCTTCTTCTTAGCCCTCAGCAGTACCTGAAATCGTGTGATGTATGTTCCTTCTCCCCGCAGAACATGAGCTCAGGAGGGCTGGGATTTGGCCTGCCTTGTTCCCTGCAGTACTGCCAGAACTAGCATTGCACCTGGAACATGGAAGGGCCCAGGACACAGTGGCCGTGGGACAAGAGCATGAAGCCCCAGAGCCTCAAGCACAGATGTACCTCTCCTGGGGCAGGGGGTTTCACTCTGCCCCACAGCGGGAGGCTACAGCCTGGCCATCCTGGGGAAACCCAAAGGGAACACATGGACAGATCAGCATCCACTCTCAGAAGTGCCAATGACTTCAAGCTGGAATCCACCCACAGCCTGGTCGTCCCTGGCTGCCCAGGAGAGGCCTTTATCACCATGCCACACAGCCTTCCAAGGGCATTCTTGGATTTGAATCCCCATGCCTAGGTTTGATAAAGGCAAGGCCACCCACCAGAGCCCTATTTTTCTGGTGTATTTTTTACCCTATCTCATTTTAAACTCAAACAAAATCTTTAAGCCATTACCCAGGAAATCATCATTAAATCATTTGTTCGTTTTTATTAGCATCACAGTAATTAAGGAGAATCATATTTCAGAAATCTTCGGCTGCACTTATCAAAACCCACCCTCCAACCAATCAATTAGTATTACAATAACCGCGGTCCCTTGTTGCCGCTGCTATTAGCATTTTGATTGAATGTCTGTTGAAAAGTGACTGGTGACAGAAGATTGTGTTCAGAAAGTAATGTTTCTTTATTCATTACCACCGAACCTTGTCTGGTTGTCTCCAGTCTCGGCTCAAAAGAGACAAGACAGTTTCCAAAAGCAGTCATTTTGGTGGTGGATTGTATTTTCATGAGGTGCGTGATAAATTGGGCATAATCGCCCCGGAATCTCCAGTTACACACAGGGGCCTCCCGCTGACTGTGGCCTTCGCACCCAGCAGCTGCCCCTCGGCTGTCGAGCCCTGACGGGATGATAAGTGTCCCCTCTGCTGCCTCACCCTCCCCCACCCCAATAATCTAGGACAATAAATACCAGGTCTTCACAAATGGCACTTCAGGCGACTCAGATGTAATAATGCCTGCGCCAGATAAGCCGGTGGCCGCTGTTATTCCCACGAAAGATCATCATCATTATACACCCCCTTCTCTGCCAGGCACTTGGGAAACCTGTTATTCTAACATTCAGACTTATGTTCTCCAGTCGTCATAATAATAATAAAAGCACCAGTCAGTACAGAGATGGGTTAACGAGCTCCATTATGGGGAGAGAATGGCTGTCTTCTCCAAGTCATAGGAATTAAAGACAAGAGTTCATTAAGTCACAATACTAGAATTTCAACGGCCTGCTACTTCAGACAGCTCTATTTACTGGTCCCCCCATCGGTGATGCCCTTTGTGGATAAAAGGAGATCTCTAGACAAAACACACACACAGAAGTTTCCATCTTTGGGCAGTCGGCTGCCATAGCTGCTGCAACTAAAGGGGGCTCTGCTCTGATGTGTCTGGAACAGAACAAGGTGGGATACAGGGGTGGGGATGTCTGGAGTTGAGAAGGGCACGTGCTCCTAGCTATAAATATGGTAGCTGGTTCACTGCTATCCATCTGTCTGGTCCATCCATCCACCCAGTTCCAATTCATAGCAAAGGACATATGGGAGTTTCATCTTCAGCGCAGATAACCTTTGCCCAAAGAATCTTTGTCTGTTCAATTCACTCACCGCCCACCCCACGGTCCACTAGGCAATAGTGAGGAGGCACTTATGAGGTTGCATTAACGCTCTACTTAAAAAACGGGGGGGCCTCCAGAATTCAGAGGGGGGAAAATCTGCTATACAGTTCCTTTGAAAATCTTTCCTTTCTCTAAACTCAGTCTCCTTCTCTGCCCCCACCTCCCCCACCAAACGTGCTTGTTTCTCCACTGGCTGCCAGCCAAGATTTTATAATAGTGTCAGGTAGCAATCTCATTTTTAAAATGCTCTTATCAAGGATTTAAGGTGAAAGATAAGAACAGCACAGTAAATCATCATAAAGGAGTGTAGTATGAGGCATAGTATTTTACAAATCAAAACAGTTAACAAAATGAAAAGGCAAGGACAGGAAAACAAAGTGAGTTTAAGCATCCTTTGAAAGGGGGAGGGTAGAGGCCAAATTAAATAGAAACATCACCCTTCAGATTTCCAAGCTCCCTTTGGTAATGGTCTTGGCATATTTGCTAAGAATTGCAAGAACAGTCCAATTTCCATTTTAAAATAGGATGTTTTTAGAAGGCATATATATTGTCAAACCATTACACACACTTAACTGGGGGTTTTCATCGAAGTCATCTGACCTGCAAGCATGTGTTGCTAATATCGCTGCTTTATTATTTATCAAATCAATCTCTTCATGGAATGACTAATAACACAACCCCAGCTGCTCTCCTCTTCCCACCCCAGCTGCTACTGCCCTGGCAGCAGCAAGATTCGCTGGGCTACCTGCAGCGCCCTACCCCGTGCATTTTGAAAGAACCTTATAAAGAAAAGAAAAGAGGGGATGAACCCAGGAGGTGCCATTTCTGATTCAAACCACTTTGTTTCTGGAAGCCACTTATCCTACCCAGGAAAAGTGAACAACGCTGCTAATGACCAGGCCAGGGTACTAGGCCTTATCAGGGGATTTTAATTAGTCCCACACTAAAGAGGCCATAAACCTAAAATAAAGCAAAATAAAACAGGGGCAGGTGTCTTCTCTCCTATTTTGATCCTTTATAGCGTTTTTGATTCCAGTTTACTTTCTGAAACCAACCGAGGGCCACGTCCAATTCAAATGTGCCTTGCACCCTCCTACCTACACACAAACACACTCACAGGCACACACACTCTGCAAGCAACACTCACACGCACATACACACAACACACAGAGCTGGGATGCAACCCTAAAGAGACAACATAGTTTTTCACTCCTGAAAATAGTCATTAAGATGCTGTTTATTCTAACTTTTTATATATGCTCACCAATCTCTCTGGGGCCTACCTGCAAATTCATAATAAATAAAAACATGTAATTAGATGATTTCCTCTTTGCCAAGGAATGATTCAATTGTCCATTAAAAGCTAGAGTTCTAAAAATAACATGAAGGGAAATTATTAGGTATTGTTGATACACATATCTCTGCTGTAAAACATATGGGCAAAATACAAAGCTTCTTTTGTAAATCTTACCCATTTTTGAAAAGGTAAGACAGCATGGGGGAGGGAGCAAATTAAACCATAATTTTCAAACGACGTCTCCTCATTGTCACTCAGAAAAATTGCCAGGTGTTTCCAGAGTAGTTTATACATAAATATACTAGCTGAATCAGGAAAACTCTTTCCAGAGCAAATGAATCAACTTAATTAAAAGAAGACTTAAGATGCCAAAACTAGTGATTTTGGAAGTGGGGAGGAAATTTAGAACTCGATCTGTAAGCACACACCTCTCTCTACCTGGCCTCTGGGGTAGAAATGCATAGGCACTTTAAATACTGCAACAGACCCCTGGCTAAAGCGTGCCGTCCCCCCAGCCTTCCAGGGCTGCAACCAGGCAGCATGGGTCCAAGGCGGAACTACAGGCAGGACTGATGTTTTTGATTCAAACCAATACTTTCAGTGTTTCTTCTAAATCAGCTGTTAAGAACAGCTACAACAACACTAAAGGCATTTTCCCCCCCTCTTAAGCCAGCAAGAAAAAATTCTCATTAGTTTGCTGGGTTCTTTCCTTGGGTGCTGGAAAAAGTGTTCCCAGATCATTTCTTTAGGTCTCCAAGGCCCTCTTCAGAAGACAGGTGTAGCTCCTACACGCCTCTCCAGACAGGGCTCCTGCACCTCCGTTTTGTTAGAGCAAAGGAAGTTGAGATGGGAAGCATTGAGTAGGAACCATTCTCAGTTTTCAGGCAAATTAGGACAGAGACCAAGGTGAGTGCCCACCCTCTTGTCATAGATTAATGGTATTTGCTGGGCAAAGGGGACATGGAGGAGAGTGGAAGACACAGATACAAATCAAATAATCAAGCAAATAGCAATCATTAAGAACTGAGAAGTGCCACAAAGGAAAATTACAAGAAGTCATGGGCACAGACGACGGATGGAGCTGACCTAGTCACCCACGAAGGGCCCCACATGAAGGAGGCATCCCCACCTCCCAGGGCTTAACAGCAGGACACGTGCCAGACTGCCCAGACACAGACCAGGCTCAAAGACCTGGTCCAAGTCAGCAGTGCTGCCTTTTTAAAGGGTTTGAAAGCTGGAAGGCTCCTTGAAGGTCATGTGACCCAGGGGGTGCCCAGCCCTGACTGCATATTAGCATCAGCTGGAAAAATGTTAAAAATAACCAATGCCAGGGCTCCATCTTTCAGTCTCACTTAATTGGTCTGGGGTGGGACTCAGGCATCAGGACATCTTAAAAACTCCCCAGGGGATTTTAGTGTACAACCAGGTTGGAAACCATCGATCCAATTCCAACATCTAACATGACATTAATCAGTCATCATGCAGGGTGACCAATGCTAAGGCTGTGGGATAAATTATCTCAGCCAGACTTTCCTAACCAACCCTGTCTCTACATGAGAAAATCAAAGTCGGCCACAGAGTGAAGCAGCTCTTGGGTTGCCAGTGAAATCTAAATTCCAACTAGAAGAACGTAAGGGAAGAGATGAACTTTGGGAAAGGTCCCTTCTCTGCTTTATTGTGCAACAGTGTTGAAACACATTTATGACCTTCCACTAAGAAGACATTTCCGACGGACTCCTTGGGTCACCACCATTCTCACTCAATGAACACCCAGCAGCGGGGTGGCAAGTGGGAGGGAGCCCAGGGCTGGTGAGAGACACACAAAACACGGCCCACTGTTGCTCCTGTGTCTATTCTGGGTCCCGAATAGATGATGTCACCTCCAGCGGCAGTGGAAAGCAGAGTCATGAATCATCCATGAACCAGCCCAGCCCTCCGAGATAATAAATCGGATGTCAGCATTGCGTACGCACATTGCAGATCTGGTGCAGAGGCGCCAGCTTTGCCTAGGGTGCTAGAACGCAGGCACCAACGCTGGACACATTCAGGGGGAAGAAGGCACTTTCAGTTATTTCCTGATACCAAGATGGGTGGCAAGTTGAGGGAGAAATTTCAAATGCGTAAGGAGTGCTCAAAGGTGTACAACTTTGATCACTTTAAAATCATGGCAGTGATTTTTATACACTACTTGGTTTGCCAACCAAACCAGGGGATTAAGAGAAGCACATCCACATGAGTGCTATAATGATCAATTACTGCTGTGCCCACCGGTGTCCTTACAACTGAAGACCTGTAGGTGTTGCCATTTTGACCCCCAACTGCATTAATTTAGCTTAAAAATTCACTCCAGGATTGAATTGGCAAATGTTCCTGCCTGAAAGAGCTTCTGGGACAACATAAAGAAATAAAGAAGTCTGTTTGGCAGCTTTTGAAGTTCAGTGTTGTCTTGCTGTTTTCTTATTTTTTTTCAGGATAGAAAGGAGGCAGGTATATAGGGATGCCAGGGTGCATGTTGTCATACACATGAGCTCTCCTGAATTCCTTCCTTTTCTTCCTTTCGTTCTTTTTCTGGATTATTTCCCTGAATTGCCAAGTTGAATGAACCAGCTAGAAACGCCACTCTAATGAGTATGGTTTGTGTCGCTGGAGTTGGGAATTCTGACAACTCATAACTGTACTGGTTATTCCTTGGCTTATAAAGAAATGACTGAGCCCTGCAGGCCACTAAATTAAAATGTAAACTTCAGACTTCTTGAAGTGTCTCTCTCTCTCTCTCTCTCTCTCTCTACCAAAATGTATCTTTAACATCCTAAGGTCACTTTCAAGGTCTTTGGCAAATTAGACTTGGGCAAGGTGTGAACCAAGTCAGGCTTCGGGGGCTGTGTTCTCAGTTGCATGAAAGGTCTTTTCTCTAACTTCTCTTGCACATCATTTTGCTTAGGGGGGTTGTGACTAGCAAGGCACAGAGCGAGAAGGATAAGTCTGACCACCAGGACTGCAGGCCAGTAGTGAGCAAGGGGACATACTGGGCAGGAAACTCTGCTTTGCCCTATTATTTTCCTAGGGCTGCCATAACAAGCTACCACAAATGGGAGGGGGGAGCTTAAAACAACAGAAACTTATTCTGTCTCAGTTTTGAAAGCTAGAAATCTGAAATCCAGGTGTTGGCAAGGCCATGCCCTCTTGAAGGCTCAGGGGAAAATCTGTTTCAGGCTCTTCTCTTAGCTTCTGGTGTGGTCAGCAATCCTTGGCTTGCAGCCGCACTGCCCCTGTCCCTGCCTCTGAGGTCATGTGGCCATCTCCCTGTGTCTCTCTCTTCACATGTTCCTTCTTATAAGGACTATGGTGAGATCAGTTCACTCCACTAAGACCTCCTCTTAACCCGATTACACCTCCAAAGACCCTCTTTCTAAATAAGGTCACATTCTGAGGTATTTCAACTTATCTTTTTGGGGTTAGGACTTCTTTTGGGGGTATCTTTTAGGGGTCAGGACTTCAACTTATGCTTTTGGAGGACAAAATTCAGCCCACAACACCCTTCAAGGTGGAAAACTTGACAGCATCTGCCAGCAGCCATCTAGGGTGTTAACATTCTCTCCAATCAGCAAGCCTGAGCCTCCATTCCCGAAGTAATGACAGTCACAGTATTCTTAGTAGTAAAATAACAATAATTAATATGATAATGACAAAGTTAACATTTACAGATAGCCTTCCAAGCATCAGATGTTTCACACAGATAAACTATCTCACTTAAACTTCCCAAGTCCATGAGTTAATAACATTAACACCATTTAATAGATGAGAAAACTGAGGTTCAGAGAGATTTAGTAACTTGTCCAGGGTCACACAGCAATTGATTAGTGGTTGCTCTGGAAAGTGAGTCCTGCAGTGGGAATCTGGACCTAAGCTCTTATCCCTTTGCCACATGGCCCAGACACTTCACAAGCATCATTAACCGGGTGTTGCCTTGACTCCTAAGCCATAAACAATGGGAATGCAGAGGAAGATTCTGCATTTGCCACGCTGTGTAAGGTCCCCACGTGTTTACTAGTCATAACTTGGGGTAGAAAAATGCTTTTAACTTTTTTTAAACTTGAATTACGAAGCACTTTGAGCTCCTGGGATGGAGGACCTCCCTGTTCTGGCCCTCCTCCCCTCTGGTCTTGGATGAACTGGCGCAAACCAGGCTTCTTTTCAGACCAGGGCCAGTCTGGCTATTCTAATAATAGCACGTTGTCTGGGAAGAGCAGAAACTACTAAGAAAATCCTCATCTATCCATCAGATCATCTGTTTATGGAAACAAAAAGCAACCTCTGTCTCCAGGTTCAAGCAATTTTCCTGCCTCAGCCTCCTGAGTAGCTGGGATTACAGGCACGTGCCACCGTTCCTGGCTAATTTTTGTATTTTCAGTAGAGATGGGGTTTCACCCTGTTGGCTAGGCTGGTCTTGAACTCCTGACCTCAAGTGATCTGCCCACCTTGGCCTCCGAAAGTGCTGGGATTACAGCCGTGAGCCACTGTGCCCGGCTGGTAAATTTTCTTTCTTTCAAAAAGTCTCTTTCACGTTGTTCTATCACTGCATTGACAATTCAAATTGGAATAAATTTTAAAAGCTCACACTAAAGAAGTAAATGAATAGGTAATAAGTGCATAAGGTACAAAAATTCAAAAAGTATTGCAGCGAGCCAAGATTGCGCCACTGCACTCCAGCCTGGGCAACAGAGCCAGACTCCGTCTCAAAAAAAAAAAAAAAATTCAAAAAGTAAATGAGTATATAATAAAAAGATTCCCTCCGTCTCTGTATCTCAGGTTGCTTAATTCTCTTCCCCATAAAAAAGGAGCAAACACTTTTTTATGTATGTATGTTTTTAATGTATGTACATCTGCATATGATATGCACGTGTGCATAAAACATATTTGAGTGTTTAGTATGGGCAGAGACTGTTCCAAACCCTTTATACTCATTAAATGACGTAAGCTTCAGGCTAACCCAATGTCCTATTTTACAGATAAGGAATCTGAGTTGCAGAGAAGATAAGTAAGTTGCCCAAGGTCACACAGCTATTAAGTCCCAGAGCTTAGATTTGTCTCACTTCAGAGCATGTGATCTTAACCAATATGCAGTTCTAACTCCTTGTTACCGATTTTGCAGGCATCCTTTCAAAGATATTCCATGCACATGCAAGCATATGTGTGTGTGCAAAGCAGAGGAAAAAACAACCACGAAAGGGTTTTATTTTTCAAGACTAGGGTCCCCAAAACTCAAACACAGATTTTAGTTTGTTTGCCTAAAGAAGTTAAGCAGGTGGTTTCACTTAAGGAGGAAGGGGGAAGAAACCAGGCTGCCCCGCACTCTCCACTTGCGGGGAGTGGGGAGTGGGCACCTCGCAAGCGGAATCATTTAACTCTTACAGAGCGGGTGTGTTACCTTCACAAGGGAGTAAAACATCTTGTAACTTGCCTGAGATCACGCCCAAGGGAAAGCTGGGATCTGAAACCGAGTATGACCAACTCTAAAACTCAAGCTCTTTGCAGCATACCATGCTGATATACAGATACAGATGGGATAGCGTACACCCTCTGATCCACAAACTGAAAACAGAGGCTGAAGTCCAGAGGTGCATAATAACCGGGACCCCTCTAGGAACCTTAAGTCCCAACGGGGAGGCAGCCACCCAGGGCTTGCGGCGACCCCTGGCCCAGCCCTCTCCGGCCACTGGCAGTGCCGTGATGCTAAGAAAGGGGGTGCTTTTAATCAAGCTGCCATGCTAAAAGCTCCTTTCTCTTCAGATCTCCACACTCTGCCCTCACCGAGATCTTAAACCATGTTGTGAGAGTCAGAGCCTGGGCCTCTATGGGAACAGGACCAAACAAAAGATTCATTGTCCCTCTCTACAAAAAAACCACTTCTGGGTCAGTGAAGTTGCTGACCCTGAGCCCACTCCCTTTCTGCTTCCGTGGGCCACAGCAGGGGGAGGCAGGAAGACCTATTAGGTCACCACCCTTTTGGTGCCAGGGCTTTTATTCCAAAGGAAAGAAGTTTAAGATTTGTATTTTGGCTAAAAAAGTGCAGCTCATCCTGGGTACCAAACTCCCCCTGGCTTTGCAAGCTCCCTCTTGCCCCGGGCACCCTGTCCCCCAGCCCTGTTGCTAGGAAGTTGAGGGCTTTGTATTACTCCGTGTCTCCAAAGAAGAGCAGGTGAACAGAAACCAAGCTACTGTGTTGATTAATATCTCAAGAGACAGCGCCGGAATGGGCGCTTCCGGAATTGAGTTAACTCGGGGGAAAAAAATGAAAGCACACTCCTTGCTTTCCTGTCAGAAATAAAATTAAGGTCTTGGATCGATGTTGCCAGATTCTACAGGAATCCTTAATGGCCTCCTCTACATGTTTTCAAATTCACATTCCCCTTCAACCCTACCCTTTTAATTGGTTATTTGCGAGGTCATGTTTGCACCAATTTCTCAGGAAGGCTAATGGTGTTTATTTAACGAGAAAATAAAATGTGCAGACAGCTCCGGGGCTGGTCTCTGAAAGATGGCAAAGGGTGGGCTGACTCTTTATCCCACCCCCTCCTTTGCCCTCCATCGCTGCAAGGTTACAGGGCCTGGGGATACAGCCCTGCAAGGCAGTGAAGAGGCGGGTGTGCCCCTCACGGTGGGCACGCAGCATGCCCACCCCCTCACACAGTCCCAGCTTTAGAATGAGCCCACTGGAGGCACAGAACCTTGGGTTCTGAGAATCTGGCAGAGGGGCAATGGCTGTCCTCTTATTGCCACTGTTGGACTAGGCGATTCTTCCTTGTTCTAACTCAAGTGTGCCCAACATTGAGGCTACACAGAACTCTTTTCCAATGGAAACTCTTCAAGTACCCAAAGGCTGCAATGAATGACCACATCACAGCTCTCCACTCCCCTCAAGACCTCTTGGACTCAATCATATTGAGTTTCTACCCCATTCTCACCATTCTCTCCCAGATTCCTGTTGGTCAATGTCTTTCTTAAACAGTTGCCCACCGCCCCACCCTCTGCCACCCAACAATGGTCCACTCTGGAAAGAGAACTGGATTTTCACCTAACCCCATCTAGGACCCTGAACTTACCTAAGAGAACCCAGCTGGCATGTTACATCACACTACGGACTAAACTGAAAGCTCTGGGAGGCCAGGAACCCTGGCTGTTGGTGGTGGTCTATGACAGACTGTCCGCTTTCTTGTCAAGTGGTTTCTAATCCTGGTGCAGAATTAGGATCAATACCAATAGTGACCAACTGTTGGTTTACAGGCTTCCAATAAACCCCTTAACACATCTCAGACTTGGGAGAGGATTTGATGGATACTTAACACCATCAACAATTAGTGAAAAGATAAGAGCAGATTTGAGAGGTGGGGAAAATACTACCGGTAAAATGCCAGCAGGGAAGACAGGCAGCAAATCCTGCTCCAGACCCCAAACGAGGGCAGCGTGGGAGCCAATCTTTTGCAGGCTGCCCTCCTGTCACATCAGCAAAAGTGTCATCACCAGCTGTGATTCTACACATCCTTATCATACTTTCTACTCCCTCCAACAACCCTTCTTCTTGGACTGTGCCCTTTCTGGCCAGAGGGTCTGATCGTTTTTGTCAAATACACTTATTCCTCCATCCTACAAAGTCACATGTACAGCTTATACAGTCCCAACGTTCTTCCCTAGGTAAATAAAGTCAGAATGTTAGACTCTCATTAGGAAGGACATGCATACATTATGTCTGACATCCCACACCTACAAGTGAAGCAATGCTTTAAATTATTTTAAAATGTAACCTACACCTTTGTGAAACTTTTTTCTATGCCCTCTTTTTTTTTTTGAGTAATAGACACCAATAAACAAATAATGACAGTGCAATTCTTAGGCATCTTTATACATCGTACATAAAAGAGTCAATCTGGACTTCAGAGGTCAATTTCAAAAGTGAGTGTCTGGCAGGTATTCAAAACATTAAGGGCTGTTCTTCCTCCTTAGAAAAGCATTATCTTCTATCACAGCTTAAGTTACATCTTACTGGCACCATTTTAATAAATAAACCGATTACGCAAATTACAAAGACCTTAAACTTTGGCCAGCTGCTTTTCGGGACAGAGACTGAGCAAGCTCCAGGAAGAACCCAAGCTCTCCGGCCACCTGCCTGGATGCTCCTCCCTCTGGCTGGATCCCCAACCACTGCACCTTTCCAGCCCAGGAACTGGGATAAACCACAGCCACTCTGGGAAAGGACCCTCTTAGTTCAAGAGGCCTGCCACTGATGGTGCTCGCTGGGGCTCACAAAACCATCCCACCCCCTTCCAGTGGGTCTCAGGGCTGTTATTCCTCTCCAAAGCCATTAGCATTGCATTTAATAAGCAACTGCTAACTGCTGGCAGAAGAGTCATCCATCACACTAATCTTTATTTCTCTCCCCGTGTCTCCTGTTCCTTTGCCTCTGGCAATGTTCCAGGGCAAGCAGGCCTGCTGGGTAATGAAGGCCACAGGGATGTCCTCTGCCAGAAACCACTCCCTCACCAGGCTATGGGATTAGCTTCAGAGACTCCTCACCTCCTTTCAACTAGGCCTCAACCATCCAGATCTTCCCTGGAGGAACCCAGCTGTGCAGGGCTCAGGAACCCAGGGCTCTGAAATTGGAGGGAAGGACAGCTGAGGATCCTCTACAGTGACCCTCACAATGGGGAGGGTTCCCTTCCCCCATAAGGAGGTGAGTGTGAGATTATTTCAGCAAGCAACATGCCCGCATTCCACTTTCTCCATCAGGGCTGAGGTTGTGGGGACACTGGAGAGAGAGCTGGCCAGTGCACCCTTCCTCCCTCCCGCTGGCTGTCTACTCCCCGGCCTCCTGCCAACAACAGAGCAAACTGGAAGGACAGCACCTTGTTGCCTCTTCCCTCCCTGTCCCTCCCCTCCAGCCCCACTTGGGATCAATACTTAATGCCAAGTCCCAGATCTTATCTGACTTTTACAAGGATAAAGCAACAAACTTCCCCCTCCTAATGATTAAATCCATTGACGATCAGCCCAGTGTTTTCCAGACCATCTCTAACAACTTTTAGACAGCAAATGAAGTGACTCTGAGAAGATTGGAAAGCCACCATTCTCCGCTCCCCCTGGGCACAAATCATCGTATGGAAGGCCAGGAAATGAAGTGAGGGACAGGGCCAAGGGAGGCATCCAGGTTTTTGTTTTATATTTTTGTGAGACGGAGTTTCACTCTTGTTGCCCAGGCTGGAGTGCAATGGCGCCATCTCGGCTCACTGCAACCTCCGCCTCCTGGGTTCAAGCGATTCTCCTGCCTCAGCCTCCCGGGTGGCTGGGATTTCAGGAGGCACCCACCACCACACCCGGCTAATTTTTGTATTTTTAGTAGAGACAGGGTATCACCATGTTGGCCAGGCTGGTCTTGAACTCCTGACCTCTGGTGATCCACCCGCCTCGGCCTCCCAAAGTGCTGGGATTACAGGTGTGAGCCATCGTGCCGACTGGCATCCAGGTTTTAACAACAGCTCTGCTCCTTGTCTGGCTGCAGGAATCTGCTATGCAATATTCCAAACTTATGTGCCTTAATTTCTCCAAGTGGAAATGGAGGAGCACGGTCATCCAGCAAGAAGGCTGTTGTGGAGAAGGACAGAAAATGAGGAAATACCAAACCCTTAAAATGACCAGCTCCTCCGCTTTAACCAGTTACCTTGCACAATGCTTGCAGAGTGTAAGAGCCTGAGCTCCAGGTCAGACAGGCTGGGTTTACGTCCCAGCTCTGCTTTCACCAGTGTGAGACTCTGGGCAGCTCGGTTCACCTATGGCTGTCTGTCATCAAGGTTCAATGGTAGGTGCCAGCACTGTGCTAAGCACTTGGTGTTGTAAGTGCTCAGAAAGTGTTGGCTGTTTCTATCAAGATTGCTAACATGGCCTGCTTAGACAGCAACAGAACTCCACACACCATCACAGTGGGTGCTGTGTCAGGATGCTTAGATCCCCTTCAGGAATGAAGGACCTCCTTCCCAGTGGCTGGGAGTGCTGCTGGAAGATAGTCCCCAGCTGGAAGTCCCCTCCAGGATTTCCCCAGGGGAAGCCCAGGTCACATCAGCCTCACAGGGTGGGCTGCACCCAATGACAGGCCAGCGTGCAGGCATCAAGGATGGCACTCCCACCCCAGCTGGGGACCCCTGAAGAACCACCCCATTACAGAAGGGCATCGCAAGTCAGCTTCTCCCTCTGCCCTCTCCTGATCAAGAGCACTTCTGGATAAACCTCCCACTTGCTAATCCCTTCCTAGAGTTGCTTCCCAGGGAACCCAACCTGCAACAACTGCCCATTCCCTCCCCTAGTCACAAAAACAGCAAAGGAATTCATCTTGAACATTCTCACAGTTAAAAAGCTAAAGGCCAGAAACATACTTCAGGTCCTGGGGCTCATCAATCCCAGGTCTCTTATTTTTTAGAGGAAGAACCTGAGATGCTCAGAGGTCAGGGAATGTGCCCCCAGGAAAAATGTCATGGGAGCAGCAGAAGCTGGAGGAAGGCCCATCTGCAAGGAGAAAGGTGAGAGCCCCCACATCTCCAGGGCTCCACCCACTGTGAGTCAAAGACTGAACGTGGGACCCTCTTCCTGCTTGCAGGGTGGAAGACATACATTGCGGGAGGCTCATTCTCTCCTAGGTCCTGGGTTCTCTCCCATGGCACTAGTGAGCCCCAGGCTGGTGCTCCTGTGGATGGGAGATACAAGCTGCCGCCATGCAGATGGAACTGAGGGCATCCCTGCCCCAACAGAGACCAACAGGGAGCAGGGACAGGAGGTGACCAGTGGGGTCAAGGAGTGGAAATTCTGCCCTGACCTGTGGCTCCTAACAGCAAGTGGAGACTGAATGGGCCCTGGGAGCCTGGCCCACCTGACGCTCATCAGATGTTAAGCCCAGTTCCCTGTGGTTATCCCCGAGCAGCAAATGTCACACAGCTCATGTCACACAGCTCCAAGGACACACAGGTAGCTGTCAAAATTCCTGGGGTAAGGATGAGTTGAGGCCCCAGGCTGCCCCACAGGGCTGGGCTAGGAGTCTGAGGACAAGTGCTGAGCATGTGCTGTGACAACACCTCTGGGTCGATGGTCTGGGCCTCTTTAAGAAGAGAGCTGGAGGCGGCGCCAGCCAGGGAGATGTCCTCAACTTCTGCCACTGCAGCACTTTCCTCTTGATAAGATCATGGACAGCAGGAACCGAGGAGGTGAAGGTAAGTTTGGGGCAAGGTGGCTGCATGAGGATTTTACTTCCTTGTGCTTATCACCTGACTCCAAATGTGCACTCCATCAGGCCACAGATGTGGGGCCGGCTCGCTCCATATATATGATCTGTGCCTCTGCTGTGATATGTTCTTCTTTTTGAAAAACAAAAATTTTTTTTCACTCTCTTCAATGTTCTAAATGCAGTGAAGTATTACACCAACTTTAGCACCCAGTTCAAAGAGAAATGCCTCCTCCGGTATCTTGAGGGGTTGGAACGTGTGTATGGGCCGCTGCTCCCACCCACACAGAAACGACATTGCAGAGTGGGAGGGCCCTGGATGAGAGGGAGGGCAGTGGGATGGCGGCTCTTCCCTGCTGAGGCTTCCTGGCATGTCTCTGCCCTCCACAGGCTGCAGCCCCTCAGGCCAGCTTCTCAATCATCTTTGAATAGGAGGCCCTGCCTTTCCTCTAGTTCTGGGCTCCACACATTTTAGAGTTGGTCCTGCCCCCACTGCAGGCATCTTCAGCTCTGGCAGGTCCGAGGGTGCTAGCAGAGGTTCTGGCTTGGCTGGGGGCAGGAGTGTGCATGCACCAAGGCCCTGCCCACGCTCCTTCCTGCCAGTGCCCACCAGGACTCCTGGAGAGCCAGCAATGATGTCCCGAAGCCATTCTGAGCAGCGGGCCTTCCAACAGACCATCCTCCACCTCACAACGGGCAAAAAACTCTTCCCACGCCCGTCCCAGACGAACCGCCACCCCATCTCTGCGGCCCAGCACTTTCCTTTCTCCCTTTTGGAAAAAGGGAAGAGGCTTCACCCACAGCAACAGGGATCTGGTTAAAAATAAGAGAGGACTTTTCCCGGCACATCCTCTGGGCCTTCACCCAGAAGTCCAAAGTCCGGTGTTTCAACCCCACCTCTGCCATGACCAGCCCTCTCCCTGCCCGGCTCTGAGAGTTAATGAGACGATACCAGTGTGAGCCCCCAGCACAGGGCTTGACACACAGCAGATCAAAAAATACTTTCACTGATTTTCAAAATAAAAGGACAACAGTATCACCTGGGGGCAACTCTGGAATCTCCCAGGACTATGAATTCTAACACTGAACACCAGGTGCCAAACTCAAATGGGCATCACCCACCCTGAAAATAAATAGCTGGCAGTGCTCTTTTTAACAAATGCATTCCCATCTGGACACAGCAGAGAAACAGCAGAATTTGAAATCAATAGTCCTGAGACCCTGCTCAGCCATGGGTCTCTCAGTTGCCTCCTCTGAGCCTTGGTTATTTTTCCAACCGGACGGAGGTGATGATAACGCTAATAATAAGAGCTAACATTTACGCACAATTGACTAGATGCTTGGCATTACACTCTCCGAGCAATCCTGTGAGGAGGTTCTATGATTACCCCCATCCTACAGATGAATAAACTGAGGCATAAAGAAGTTAAGTGATTTTTCCCAATGTCACAACAACCCTCCAGGGGCTGCTGTGAAGGTCACATTAGGAGATGCATCTGGAAGTCCGGCTTGGAAACCATAAAGCTAGATTGACAGAATGTGGATGATGATGGAGGATAATCCTCAATTGCCCACCACGGGCACCACCTTCATCTCACTCACTGGGCTCTCACTCCCCAGCAATGCAGTGGACAAAATCGATCATTCCACACCTGCATGCCCCTCCTTTCTCTCCCTGCTTCTCCACTGCTCCCCACCCTCCACCCCCTGCCATCTCTTCCCTCCATAAATACCACTTGACACCACTGTTGTGCACCCAATGCTCCATTCTCCCATTCTGAGGATGCTGTAGAGGGATGCATTTGAAGCCAGATTACCAGACGCACTCAGGATATCCCCCTCCTTCTCCCAGCCCCGCCAGCAATGATTCCCACTCCACTCCTTCTTGCCTTTCACTCACTCTGCCTTCTCCAAACAGGAAAGACATACAGTCAGTGCTGGGTAACTGTTTCTAATCACAGGTGACAGCAGGAATGTAAACAACACAGGAAACATCTAAATGCGATCCAAGTGGCAAGGAAATGCTGCTCACTCACAGGCTCCCTCCCTTGAGGGCACCAGCACACCATTTCCTGCCACCCCCTTAGGAAGCTCTGCTCATTAACACCCTGTTAATAGGAACCCCAGAAACCTGAGCTTCCGGAGAACAGAACACTAAGTCATCACCTCCTTTGACTCTGCTACCTCCAGGGAGGACTTTTCTAGATGCCTCCAATTTTTCTGTTTAAAGCAATAAATTTAATGTGTTCTTTTTGGGGAAGGAAGAGACTAAGGGCAGGGCCAGAGACCCTTTTGAGAATTTGTCCAAACCTAGGGATCTTCACCCAAGAAAAGTATAAACATATGACATTTTGCATGTCATTGCAGAGGTTCATAGACTCCAGGTTAAGACCCATTTTTTGTAAAGTGGATGGGACAGAAGCAGCACAGGGAAAAACACAATTAAGTACAGATGCCCTCTACACATTCCAGAGGCCCCACGGAGCATTCCCAAGGCTGTAATCACTACACACCCAACGAACCTACAATGTTTTATTTTGATTTTTTGGCTCTTTAGATTGACAGTCTGCTCCTAAAGAACCTCCTTCAATACAAATTGATAACTCAATTGAGTCACTGCTGTGAATAATTTCCACTTGGATCGCTTAGTGCCGAGGTTAGCAAGGGACCCAGAAAGGCAGGATTAGAGAGGTACATCTGAATATGTGTGTCAGGGATGGCTGCATAACTAAACAGGAGTTCCTAGGCCAGAAGGAAATGGTTTTTCAGCTATCCAGTACTGGAACTCTTTGTGCTACTGGGACTCTCCGTGAATAAAGATCTTCAATGGATGGTCACCTCTACCTGCTTGACTCTGGACTCTTCACTGTATCTTTTGTCAGTGGGACTGGGGATGACAGACAGAGAGGCCAGGAGAGGGTGAACGCAACCCTCTTACACTGGGGTAATCTTACCTCTGTGCCTGTTGGTAGTTTTATCAAACATCAGCATTGCATCTTCCACCTGCAAAACAAATATAGAATACAGGCTGCCTTAGGAATTTTAAGAAAGTACACAAAACATTATATGCATGTCGGGGGGTGAGGGGGTAGTTTCCATTACAGAAGTAATAGTTGCTTATCAAAAAATATTTGAAAATGCAAAAAAGTAGAAAGAAAAAAAAACAGTGGTCTTTCCACTCCACACCGTTGTATACAGTTAACATTTTATATAGTTCCCTTTAGTGTCTGCTTTTTATTTTTTGAGACAGGGTCTCACTCTGTCACCCAGGCTAGAGTGCAGTGGCACCATCACGGCTCACTGCAGTCTCGACCTCCTGAGCTCAAGCAATCCTCCTGCCTCAGCTTCCTGAGTAGCTGGGACTACAGGCATGTACCATCATGCCCAGTTATTTTATTTTATTTTTTTAGAGACAGGGTCCCACTATGTTGCTCAGACTGGTCTTGAACTCCTGGGCTCAAGTGATCCTCCTGCAGCAGCCTTTCAAAGCGCTGAGATTATAGGTGTGAGCCACTGCTCCAGGCCTGGAGTATTTTTTTTCTAAAGAAAGAAAAAACTATGACTATTTCAATATAGTTTAAATCATATAGTATATGGAATTTGTCCTTTTGTTAACCTGTAACATTACAATATGGCAAACAATTTCCAGGTTAGTATATCATGTATACTACTATCTTGACCGATGCATATTTCCCAGTGTAAGAAGCCATAGCTTACTTAATTATTGCCCTTCTAATAGACATGTGAATTGTTTTTAGTGATAAACAGTGAAGCTTGAACATCCTGATTGTTATGGGCTCAACTGTGTCTCCCAAAATTCATAGTTGAAGTCCTAACCCCCAGGACCTCAAAATGTGACCGTATTTGGAGAGAGGTTCTTCAAAGAAGTAATTAATTTAAAATGAGATCATTAGGGTGGGCCCTAATCCAATATGACTGGTGTCCTTATCAGAAGAGATTAGGACACAAACACAAACAGGGAAGACCATGTGCCAACACAGGGAGAAGACTGCAAGCCAAGGAGAGAGGCCTCAGAAGAAACCAACCCTGCCACACCTTGATCTTGAACTTCTAGCCTCCAGAATTGTGAGAAAATACATTTCTGTTGTTTTAGCCCTCCAATCTGCGTTACTTTATTATGGCAGTACTAGCAAACAAATACACTGATGCTAGGACCTTTTTAAAAACATCAAAGAGAAGAACATAATAAAATAGCAAAGGCGTCCTCTGTCTCTCTTGCTAATCCCTTCCAGACCCCTCCCACGCATCCTGTAACCCCTTCTGCATGTTTCTGGCAATAAGATTTCAGGGTCCACACTCAACTCCCACGTAGAGCTCAAGGAACTCACACTTAATGAACCAGATTCCGCTCTGGAATGCACTCCTTTTATGAGTATTTATGACCCACTCCTTTATCCCACAGAGCACACATCTTTAGCACAGGTGTTTGTCCTCACCCTTCAGCTACGCACCGGGGGAGGGCACCTGGTCTGACCAGTGTGCAGCCTACTCTCTTCATTTACTTTGTGCTCAAGGTTGATGGTAAAAATACAACCCAGTCCGTGTGGCTGTAGGGGGGGTAAAACTGTTAGCGGGGGGCCCTGTCCTCAGAGCAATTTCACTGTGTGCCTGTGGCTAAGAAGGACTGAGCACCGTTGATGTGCACTCAAAGGCTCACAAATGAGCTTGGGGGCTGGCGCTAATCCCTTTGAGAAAAGGAATCGTGGGCTATTCATGCCTCACTCCTCCCAGACTACAATCTCCAATGGAGGGGAAGACGCTGGGCAAAGCAATAAACCAAGGTTTAAAATGGTGCCTGCAGACAAATCAAACGTATTTTTCTAGATGCGATCAAATGTAATAGGGGGAAGAGCAAAGTCAAGGTAAGAATGGAAGATGGGGGTAGGCAAGCCGGTCATAAACCTCAAAGGGACTGGCCTGGCTTAAAAATCTCTTCTCAAGTCAGGGCCCCCTTTTGTTGCTAAGCAACCAAGCCTGAACAAACAGGCTCCTGGGGCCTTCCCCTTCTGCTCCCCATTTCTGAAGTCAGTTACTGGGAGGAAAATGGCCTGGCATGGTGGCTCCTCCAGCAGGCAGCTGCCCCCTCTCTCCCAGGCACCAGGATGATGGGAGTGGGCAATGCTAGTTTGGAGATCCCCATGCCCATCCCAGGCAGGACAAACTCCTTTTGGGCAGGCTTCAAGAGCCCCCGCCGACGGTAACCTGCTGGGGCCACACACACAACAGCCGTTCCACCTCCCGTGCACCACACAGGCAAAATCACCATAAGATCAACTGGTGTGTTTGTACACAGAGCAGTCACACTCGAGCATATGGTGATATGAGCATATCTCAGACTCAGACCCTGGGACTCAATAGGAATTCGAATGCCTGGGGTGTGGGTGGGTGGGTGGGGGATGAGTCCTGCCAGGTATCACGCAGGTAAATGTGACATCTGTTTTGCACCCATCTCCATATTTTCTAAGACTTTTGCCAAATCCTTATTTTGAACTGAAAATGCCTAACAGTAAGGAAAACAGCTGCCCTTCTGTGCTGGCCATGTTTTGGTACTGGGACTCAGATTCCCTTAGGAAATAAATGTTTTGGATTTTTTTTAAAACGTATTTTCAAAACCTCCTTTCAACAGTGCATAATTGGCTCTCCTTTTCCTTCCTAAGTTTGGACGTTTTCTAATAGCGCCCTCTCAACATTCGCTCCACCCTGGTGAGCGTGGGGGAGGATCTGTATATGTTTTTAGGGCAACCATTGTCATAAAGAATACAGCTCTTTCCTCTGTAGTCCGGCTGTACAATGGGGCTCGCAAAGACCTCCTGAATAGATAAAGTGTCAGGACGAAAGAAAAATTCTATTAACACGTTACAAAATACAACATCTAAGAAGGAGCTAGAGAGGAAAGAGAAACGGGAGAAAAATCAATATGGATAAGTCCCAGTGCTTGGGGGTAGAAAACTTTTCAGCAATTGCAAAATACTTATTAATTCAGAGAAGCCATCAATGCGATGGAAATCTGGCAGAACAGCAAGAGCTGAAACTAGAAGAATTTGAATATACAAAGACTGAATAGAATGAAAAACACAGTCTCACATACGAGACTGTTTCTCACGGTTCTATGTGAATCAAACAGAAGCGGCTTGTGTGAGTCAAGGGAAAATAAGGGGCACAGTTAAGGTAACTGGTATTCAATCCTGGAGCCAGCCAGCTGATAACTCTCTCGGTCTCTGTCTTTGTCTCTCTCTCTCTCTCTCTGTCACACACACACACACACACACACACACACACACACACACACACACACACACACCCAGGTATATCAGGGGGCTATGAAGACTCATCAACATGAACACACAGGCCAGGCCTCATTCAAGATGCTAGGAGAGCCCAAAAGCTTAGGGGAAGCTGGGAACAGGAGTTTTTCTTTTTTCTTTTTTTTCCTTTGAGACAGTCTCATTCTGTCACCCAGGCTGGAGTGCAATGGCATGATCTTGGCTCACTGCTACCCCCGCCTCCTGGGTTCAAGTGATTCTCCTGCCTCAGCCTCCTGAGTAGCTGGGATTACAGGCATGCACCACCATGCCTGGCTAATTTTTGTATTTTTAGTAGAGACGGGGTTTCACCACATTGGTCAGGCTGGTCTTGAACTCCTGACCTTGTGATCCACCTACCTTGGCCTCCCAAAGTGCTGGGATTACAGGTGTGAGCCACTGTGCCCGGCCAGGAACAGGAGTTTCTCTAACCCCTTATGAAATACCCCTTCTAGGGACACCACCCTCATCCTTATGATTAACTCTGGTACTTACTTCATGTTGACAACGCGCTCACCTGCCTTACAAAATTCTTTGTACCTGAAATGGGCACCTGCAGGCCTAGTGGCTCCCCTGAGGGAGACAGAAGGACAAGAGGTGTCTGATCCTCAGCATGATTTGTCCCATGTCCTGGCAGAACCCTGGTCTGTTTTGGGAAAAGGAGCTTATTCCAACCTTGAGATGTACCTTGTAATAACTTGGGGCAGGTTTGAGATATGGCCCTGACATCTTTAGTGGTGTATCTTTGTGAATGAAAAAGCAAAATAGGCCGGATATGCTGGCTCATGTCTAGTAATCCCAGCACTTTAGGAGGCTGAGGTGGGAAAATCGCTTGAGGCCAGGAGTTTGAGACCAGCCTGGGCAACATAGCAAGACCTCATCTCTACAAAAAAATACTAAAAACTTAGCCAGGCATTGTGGCACACACCAGTGGTTCCAACTACTCAGATGGCTGAGATGGTAAGATTGCTTGAGCCTGGGAGGTTGAGGCTGTAGTGAACCATGACTGCACCACTGCACTCCAGCCTGAGCTACAGAGCGAGACCCTGTCTCAAAACACAACCTCCCCCACCTGCCCCCCCCAAAAAAGCAAAGTAAAGTAACATTTAGGTAAGCTGGTGGGGAATGGGATGCCTCTGTCTTTGTCCTGACACCAGAAGGTATTGAACATATTTCTGACTACTGCACGGTTCAGACTATGCTGTAATATCCTCAGAAGTATGTGAGAGTCAACAAAGGGGACCTAATCTGTTAGTTTCTATGGCTGCTGGAGTTGGGGCAGGGATTCTCAAATATCATCCACATCAGAATCATCATCAGAGGGACTGTTAAGCCACAGATCTCCCGGGGGCCTCAGAGCCAGAGTGACTGATTCAGTAGTATTTGCATTTCTAACAAGCTCCCAGGTGATGCTGATGCAGCTGCTGGCCCAGAGACCCCTCTTTCCATGAGCTACTCTAAGGGTAAGAAGCAAGAGCAAAGGTTAAAGACACTGGGCAGAGGTTGCTTCTTCCTCTTTAACATACACTCAGTGGTCAATACATGAAACAAAATTTCCCATCTAGGAGCAAGTTCCACACTTCAGTGTGGCAAGTTCTCCCTCTCTTTGTTCCCCTTCTCTCAGATGTTTATATTCTAAAATCCTAAAAATGATGATGGTAGACCCCACGATGGAAAAGATGATAAGAAGAGGGATTTCTTAGTGGCAACCAACTTGCCCTGCACCCGATGAAAGAAAAATCCAGATTCTACTAGGATGACATAAACTTTCCTTCTAACAGATAAACTCTTATTCACAGATAAACTCATGTCTAGATCTATCTAACAGATAAACTCATGTCTAGATTATGCAGCCAATCCAATCTTGAATAGAAAACTTAGCAAATGGTAACTTTATTTACTTTTATGCAACATGCATGTATGAGGCATTCGCTATTTGCAAAACATCAGCCTAAGTACAAATAAAAGACAACTCACACAGGTCTATGGTGGACTGATGATATGAATGGTCTCACACCCGTTCCTCTGTGAGTTTGCGGTCCTTCTCCCCCAAAGAGGTGGAGTCTACTTTCATCCCTTGAATCTGGGCTTAATTTGTTAGGGCTAATAAAATGCGGTGGGGGGAAGAGTATGCCTGTTTTGGGCCTAGCCTTAAGAGGATTTGCAAGTTCCTGCTTGTTCTCTCTTGCACCTCTGCCATCACCATGACAAGGGCATGCCCAGGCTAGCCTGATGCAGGATGGGTGGCACATGGAGCAGGGCCAACTTCCCTGTGCCGAGGCCAGCCTAGATGGGTGGACAGCCAGTCACCCTCAAAGCATGCAAGTGAGGCCAGCCAGGATCAGCAGAACCACTCCAAGTTTACTCCAAACACGTGAGATAAACAGTTACTGCCTGCCCCTGAAGTTTTGGGGTTAGTTACACAGCATTCTTGTGGCCATAGGTAACTCATACGTGGTCCTCATTCTAAAAAAATCCCCCAAAACAACAAAGAAAGCTTGTAATCAGAAGATAGACAGTCTAAAATAATACTAGAAAGCAAAGGAAAGAAAAGGGGCAGAATAAGGGAAAGTGCTAAATGTGGCAGAGAATTAAACTATCAGGTTCCACATTCCACATGGAGCACGCTCTTCATGGAACATTCCACATGGAACACAGGCATTAAGGTGTGGACGGACCTCTTCTAAATCTCACCCCATCAGCAAGGTTGGAGACAGAGATCCTAGAAGCGCCAAGAGAAACTGGCAACATGTTCCTCACTAAATGAGCACCGTGAAAATCAGCAATAATTACCACTCAAGTCAGTGGGTGATGCCTCTCTAATCCTAATTCATTTAGTGAATGAGTGAACCCTCTTTCTAATGAGTCAAAAGATTTATTGTGAGCCAGGCATTCTTGCTGGGTGATTTTAGAAGTAGCCAGATGGTACTGACCACATCCAGGGGTTAGACTTGAGACAGCCCAGCTCACGTGCTGGCTGAATAGGAAAACTTTAAAGACGCAATGCAGGCCGGGCGTGGTGGCTCACGCCTGTAATCCCAACACTTTGGGAGGCAGAGGTGGGCAGGTCACTGAGGTCAGGAGTTCGAGACCAGCCTGGCCAACATAGTGAAATCCCGTCTCTACTAAAAATACAAAAAATTAGGTGGGCGTTGTGGTGTGTGCTTGTAATCCCAGCTGCGCGGGAGGCTGAGGCAGGAGAATTGCTTGAACCTGGGAGGTGGAGGTTGCAGTGAGCTGAGATTACGCCATTGCACTCCAGCCTGGATGACAGAGTGAGACTCCACCTCAAAAAAAAAAAAAAAGGACACAATGCAAAGGTACATGGAGGGAGGTCAAAAATGCTATTGTCCAGTTAGCTGGCTAATGGGTGGGAACCTACAGTATGTCCCCTGGACCACTGCCTCTTCTGCTGAAGGTTTTACAGTTTTGGCTCCCCAAATACATAGTAGGTGAGTGAAGCTGAACTGATCTGAGGACACAAAAAACTTGTTCCCAGGAGACAGCTAAAGAGCAGTGTTGCTGGTACGTAACTCAGCAGGTGTTGGGAGGCAGCTGGGTGTGGTGGGGAGTGCCGCACCAAGCATGGAGGGAGTCCAGGTTCTAATCCCAGCCCCACCAGGATCTCACTGAGGACCAGTCACCTCCCTCCTCTATCCTCAGTTTTTCTTCTGTGAAAGGAGGAAATTCTATGAGATGGCCCCTAAGATCCATGCATAAAGACTCTCTGCCTGGAATGCTAACATGGACTCCAGAGGCAGCTGGGACGATGCTCTGGAAGCATTGACTTGGCCACTGGGCTTTTGCAAACTCTCTGTGCTGTGAGGCTGCTCCAGAGCTTTGCTGTGGCCGATGCATGCCCTGAGAAATGTCCTACTCCTCTGGGGATATAAATATACACACCCGCAAGCCACACATATCAAGAACAAAGCAGGAAACGGCACTTCAGATGATCCTTAAATTATCTGGTCAAATGCAAGGAGGGAGGGGAAAGGGAAGAGAAGAAACCCAGCTCTCCAAACTCCCCCAGAACAAATGCCCTTGAATTTCTCTTCCTGCTCCCACTCAAACGCTCCAAGTGTTAGTATAAATAAACACCCTCAAATGCAATACCATGATACTATAGTGTGTCAGGCTTAACAGGCATTATGCTCTGTAAACTCAAGGAGCTAAGGCCACAAGAGTGAGACTCGGCTGAGGTGGCAGGACTGCCCAGGCCACAGGTGCCTGGGGCCTGTGGTGGAGACAGCCGCTGCCTGGGTCCAGGATTACGCAGAACATGGGAAGGCACTGTCTCCACCTCTCTCCCTGCCAGCTTAGGCAAAACCCAAATCGGTTCCTTCCGTAAAGCTCAGGAATAATGTGTAGTTTATTGAAATAAGACTTTTCCGTGTGCTCTGGCCTTGAAAAGGGTGGGGTTGGTCTGTCTTTAACCATTCTCCAAAGAGGAAGGACGGAGAAGAAGGAGCAGACTGGAAAATCCCATTGGTTCATTCTGAAATCTACATCAGTGATTTTTCAGCCGTGACTGCTCACCAAGGCCACACCCCAACCTATTAAATCAGTACTCTGGAGTGGGCAGCCCGAAAGAGGATTTTTTAAAGCTCCCCAGTGATCCAGGGTACAGCCAAGGCCGAGACCCACCGTTCTAAATGGCTAAATAGAGCTGAGTTGAGCCGTAACACAGCATATGTGTGTGTAGACAGGCCCTAAGTAAATGAGTATTAATGGGCCTTCTGCTGCCTAAAGATTAGAAGTTCATTCCCTGCCAGAAGTCAGGAGCAGGCACTCCTTGCCTCATCCTACTTTCTTAGGGCTCTCCTTAAGCTTAACTCAGTCTTAGTACAAGAAAGCCAAAGTTCTATATGAGAAGCAGCTCGGAAGAGCCAAAAATGAACAGAGGGCTTTAAGAAAACCTAACAAAACCATTGTTTTTTTTCCCATCACCACCAATATTTTCACAGGTATTATTACTACTTTCGTGGTCACAATAACCCCACGAGAAAGGGAGTATTACAAATTCTCTGAGACTCAGTTTTCCTACTGGTTTGTCCTAGAGCCGGCAGGGGCTGGGCCTGGGGTTCAGATGCTGGGCTTTTGAGTCCAAGCCTCAGCCTGCCAGCCGCTGCCTTCCTGCCCATCTCAGGTTCTTGGCCTCCTCCTGCTACAGCCAGCCTTTCTGTCCCTGTGTGTTTACCCCTGGAAGACTGCAGTGATGAAGGTGCGCTTGGAGTTTCTATCCCAGCTGCTGCTGCCAGGCACGTTTTTCCTTCATTCCAAATGTCAAAAAATGCTAGTTTGCATCCATCTGAAAGCCTGTTTATTTTAATTTGAACCCAGGCCTTTACTGACTAACAAGAGAAAAAGTCTACATAATTTCTCCTCAACTAGGGCTGGGGGCAGTGGCTCACGTCTGTAATTCCAGCACTTTGGGAGGCCGAGGTGGGCAGATCACTTGAGGTCCCGAGTTCAAGACCAGCCTGGCTAACATGGTGAAACTCCATCTCTACTAAAAATACAAGAAAAAAAAAAAATTTAGTTGGGTGTCGTGGTGCACAACTGTAATCCCAGCTACTCTGGAGGCTGAGGCAGGAGAATTGCTTGAACCCAGGAGGCGGAGGCTGCAGTGAGCTGAGATCATGGTACTGCACTCCAGCCTGGGCGACAGAGCAAGACTGCCTCAAAAATAAAATAAAATATCTCCTAAATGAAAAAAATTGTTCTTAATTGTGGCAAAAAATATATAAAATAAAATTTATCATTTTAACCATTTTTGGGGTCTACAGTTCAGTGGCATTAAGAACATTTCTCGAACTCTTCACAGAAGGCTCCCACACCTTACAATGGCCAGAGTATTTTGTCCCCATTAGCAAGACCTTTACAGCCCTTAATTTTTTCCTACATTTACTTCTTTTATTCTTGTGGGATCATTCTATTTTCCCATTTAGCTTACAAGAAAAAACGCACAATGTTTATCAGATAGCAGTTATGAATTCAACAAAGGGACACCTGCCCATGGGAACTGAAAGATGTGGGGTCTTCAGACAACTTAATCCTGGAGACGTAGACATTTTATCTACCTAAGGCAAAACCTCCTGCTCAGAGATTCTGATTCCACAAGTCTGTATCAGACTCTAAGTTATAAAATGTCTATCCTCCTGAAATAATGATTGTTATAATAACTACCATTTACTGGAGCGTAATAGGCAATTTGCAAAGCTCATTTAATTACTGCAATAGCTTGGAGGTAGATACTATCATACCCATTTCAGGCACCCATTTTTTTTCTCTTTTTAAAATTTAAAAATTTTTATTTTTTATTTTTTGTAGGGATGGGGTCTCGATTTGTCTGCCCAGGCTGGTATCAAACTCCTGGGCTCCAGCGATCCTCCCGACTCAGCCTCCTGAGTAGCTTGGGATTACAGGCACGTGCCCACACACGTGGCATCATACACCCATTTTACAGGTGAGGAAATTGTGGTTCACCGACAGTAAGTGACTTGCCTAGGATCACACAGGTAAGTAAATGGTGGAGCCAGTAGTTAAAATCAGATGAGTCCCTAAGTCTTCTGTTCTCCCTTACTTGTGTTCTGTTTTTTGAATCCCTAAGAGCTTTGTGCAGTGCCCCTGTCTGCTGGATGAACCAACAAACACTGCTTTAAAACTCTACCAAAAAGTGAATAGAGGTGATTAGGTAACCTCAAGGAAATGGAGGTATATTGCCCCGGTAGGCTCGGGAGAGGAGGAATGATTGGAAAGGTAAAGGAAAGAGGAGGATATTGGGTCTCTTCCTTTTAGATAAGTGAATTCCAAAAGCTCGAGATCACCGGGCTCCTCCATAGTCATGGAGCAAGCCTCTAGCAGAGCTGGAACTGCCAGAGGGCTCTGGAACGCAGTCCAGGCTCAGCCATGCGAGTCTCCCCGCCCCGTGCAGTGACTCTAAGGATACTCAGTGTGTCTTGCTTCCTGGAGTTGTTAGGAAGGCTCATGTGGTAGCCAGTGAGCGCCTACCACACAGAAAATGCTCATCATAACAGACACTGGCTCAATTCACTGCCCCATCCTGGCAATCCCCTCGCCTGCATGCACACACCCATACATGGTCCATGCAGTTAAGCCGGGAGCCACACCCAATGCTGTGGGTTTTCTTATTGTGAATGGACTATGCCAAGGGAAGGCCACTAACAGAACCAGTGTGCCCTTGGGGGAGCAGTCCCAGGAGGCCCTATCTCAAGACTAAGCCAGGGAAGGCAGAGTCTCCCGGTGAGAGGTAGGACTGGGTGGGAGCTCCATTCTGGCTGAGCTTGCAAAGCCGTGGGCCCAAGCACCACCCTGGAGAGTGGGGCAGCAGGCTGTCACTGGGGATATCTGAGATGGGGTGTAGAGAGGAGGCGATGAGGGAAGGGGAGAGAGACACTGAGAGAGAGAGCTGTTTGAGGAGCAGCAGTTGGATCCGGCAGGCTTGACAGCTGTCACATGGAAATGGCATCTGGCCTAACGGCCTCTCGTGTGAGGCTCCTTCAAGTGGCGGCTGCTGTGCTCTGGAAATCCAGGCCCGTGTTCAGCACTGATTGTGAGTGCGTGCGTGCATGTGCTGGGGGAGGGGAGTGGCAGGCAGGCTGCTGAACTGCTGAATGCTCCCTTCTCCCCCTCTCCAGCCTCTCCCCATCAGGCCTCACCTACCATGAAAAAGGCCCAAGCCTGCCAGCTCCAGAGGAGAGAGGCAAATCATTTAGGGGAGCACTGATGTGCCGGAACACTCTCTCACATTCCCATTAAACAAATACTAAACTGCTAATTGCCAAAATGGATCTCCACGACTCTGACCGAACCAGGGAAGGGTTTATAATTACCAAGTGTGAAAATGCACAGCCTGTAAATAGCCACCTCATCTGTCCTAATACGGGCTGATATTGATGGGCATGAAATAAACATCAGGACAAATGGAAAAATCATCCACATCTCCTGTGGCCAATGCAGTCTCGGATGGTGACAAGCGTAGCTGCAGCCATACGCCTGGGGAGGGGAGGGGGAGAGGAGAAAGGAGTTTTGTAGGCTTGGAAAATCTTGGTTCCAATCCCAATTTTAATCCCATGGGCCATCTGCACCTTCTTTCTGTCTGGAAAACAGGGAGGGTAAATAACATGGCTTGATAATGGGATGAAGGGCTTGCCTACATTTCAGAAAGGCCAGGGGCCCCAGTGCAGGGAACTTCTGAGGGCATCAGCTTTCAGGACAGGGCTTCAGACATCTTCCACCCTGCTCTCTTTAAGACTGGCTGATGAAAAAAGAAGACTGAGGGAGAGGGAGAGCTCTGCCAAGGTGACACATTTATTCATTAAACTAATATTTATTAAAGCTCTTTTGTCTGACAAACACGCAGAGTTGGTTGCAGAGCACAGATGAAAAAATGTGTGTTTAGAATGACCTTTGGGCTCTCTGACACCCCTGTACTACGGTGCCTCCCCATCCCCCACCATCTCTTTCTGCCACTCTGATGGGAGGTGGACTCTGGTCTGTTGGGTCCCAGAGCCCCACCACTTTTCTTGGCCACAACAGAGGAGGGGCAAGGGGATAAGCCAGAGGTCACGGAGTAGCTGCAGGTTTCCCAAGCCCCAGGCCCTTTTCTCTCCACCAGCCCTTTGAAGGTACCAGCCTTTGATTCCAATGAACTCAGCCAGATCTTGGAGTGCATGTTGGTAACCGAGGGAGAGAGGAAGTTCCATTTGCCTCAGAATCACAGACTCAGGAGTTAGAAGTGACCCAAAGGTCACCTTTCCACTTCCCGCCCAGTACAGGAATCCCTTCTCCAAGACTCCTTTGAACCCTTCGTGGAGCTTCAAAAGCTTGGAGGAGCATCTCTGCCCCGCCCTCTCGGACAAGCTGCTCAGGCCTGAATTCAGCAGCAGTAGCACTTAGATGCCTGAAATAGCAGCCTCCTCTGATCCCCAGCAATTCTGGCACAAGGCAGAATTCTGCGAACTGTATAGCATCAGGCACCCGAATCAGCGCACTCAGCACCACTCAGCCCCAGAGTTTCTTCATGGGGCTTTGATGACATCCAAGGAAGTTCCTGCTCCTTCCCCTTTGGGCTGCCTGGCAGCCAATCTCCCCAATCCCCTTATCCCTAAAGTCATCCCTAGAGTCCCATGGGTTTCCCAGTCCTGGTCCTGACCCAAAGACCCTGTCAAAAATTAGCAAAATGAGGGAAGGTCTGAACTACCGACTGTTTTTAGAGGAATTCTAATTTGCTACTTTTGAATTCCGAAACTGTCTTCAAATAATGGCTAAGAAAATGCTGCTGAGAACAAACTTCAAGTGCAGCAACAGGCTGAGAGATGCAGTCACTGGGCAAAGTTACTTCTTGTTCAGGGAGGATCATAAACTCTTCAAGGCAGAGAGGATAAAAAGGATATGAGTCCAGTCCACTCATTTTCTAGAGGAGCAAACTGGCTGTAAGCAATTCAGCGGGTACAGTTGAAGCCACAGTTACAGAATAAAAGAAACTTGGCATGCCATCACACATCCTGGGTTCAAATCCCACTCCATTTCCACTTACGCATGATCTTGGGCATGGCTTTCCAAAGCAGCTCAGCTTCCTTGTGTGTAAAAGGAACACGTGATCACTGTTAACCTTCACCCCAGCATTGAAAAGTAGAAACTATTGATACAACACGCAGGAAAGCATTTGGCCTGTGGCAAATGACTACCCTATGCTATTACCAGAATGCATTCCAGCCCCGGCATGCACAGATGCTCAACAAATATCTGTTGGATGAGGACTGCATAATGGGATAACAGACTTTGTATTGATAACTACAAAGTTGTGAAATCAGTACGGATGAGTGAGGTTTAACTTTGTAAGTGTACCCGGCTTGATGTACTGTGATGCAATGGGTCGCATGCAAATAAACCATCTTTTGGAAACACAGGGGGAATGGACAAACAAACCATTCCATTCCATTCCTACAATGGAATACAGCTGGTACACAACTGGTGCACAACTGACCAGAGGGATCATACCAAGTGAAAAAGTCAGTATCAAGGCTGTATTACATACTGTATGACTCCATTTCTGTGACATTCTCAAAACGACAACATTATTGTGATGAGGAACAGATCAGTGGTTGCCAGGAGTTAGGAGTGGGGCCAGGGTGTAACTATTAAGGAGAAACACAAGGAGTTTGTTGGGGTGATGGAACAGTTCTATTATATATCCTGATTGTAGTGATAGTTACTCAAATCTCCAGGTAGTACAATTTTAAAGAATTACACACAAATACACATGAAAACTGATAAGGTACCAACACTGGTTTCCTGGCTTTAACAAAGTACTGTGGTTATGGGAGTACTATCATTGTGGGAAGCTGGATGAAGGGTTCACAAGAGCTCTTTGTCCTATTTTTACAACTTCTTGTGAGTCCTACACTATTTTAAAATAAAAATGTATAATAATAATAAAAAGAAACCACAAGGGGGCTCATGATTTCAAGAAACCCCATGGCAGATCTGTTTATAATACAAACAACTATGCCCTCATTTCTGTTGATTTGGATAAAGTAGGCATAAATAAGGTAGGCATACAGTAGAAATATCTATCCCTTATCTGTTTCTTGTATTTGGCGCTGGCATACACAACTCTGAAATCTTATTCTGTCACATGAATACATGAATTGGTGGTCCACACTCCCCCATCGCTTCCTCTCCCTAGTCCTCAGGAAATTTCATATACAGCTCTGCATTCCCTACCTAGCGCCCACTAGAGGGATTAATACAAAAATAAGCGTCCAATAAGTGCGTACTGTTGAGTTTCAGGAAGATTTTGGAGGATAAAGAAAAGAATTCAGATAAGGCCAGGTGCAGTGGCTCACACCTGTAATCCCAGCACTTTGGGAGGCCGAGGCAAATGGATCACCTGAGGTCAGGAGTTCACGACCAGCCTGGCCAACATGGCAAAACTCCATCTCCACTAAAAAATACAAAAATTAGCCCAGCATGGTGACAGGCGCCTGTAATCCCAGCTACTCGGGATGTTGAGGCAGGAGAATTGCTTAAACCCGGGAGGCGGAGGTTGCGGCGAGCCGAGATCATGCCATTGCACTCCAGTCTGGGCAACAGAGCGAGACTCCGTCTCAAAACAAAACAAAACAAAATAGACTCAGATAAAAAAGAGCATCAAACCCAGTGGTTTCCAATCTTTCTATTTTGAGCCATTAGGCCTGTCTTTCATTTAATTTTTGAAACACAGACCTTAAATGTTTTGAGATCTTTCATACACCAAACTACTTACTTTTGAAGTATGGAAAATCATTTATCAATATTCATCCTGATCATCACTGGAGCTTTTTGGCAGCGTGAAGTGGCTGGGATGGGGTGTGTCGGGGTGCTCTGTGTAAGGCAAGCAGGCCTGACATTTCAGTTGGCCCATATGTGGTTTGGGGTGGGGTACCCATGGTGCCTGATAGATTTTTTGAGGTAAGGAAGTCAACTTGAGGACTCGGCATTCCTTCTGTTGACCCTGAGAGGTTGGAAATTTTTGGTCTACTCCTTACACCCAAATCATGACTCAGATCTTTGTAAATGAGTATTGACAGAATAACCAACCCTCCTACTTAATCCCTGAGCCACACAACACCCTAAGGGGGAAAAAAGAACGGAGAGGGAAAAACCCATATCTTCCCTTAAAAAAAAAAAAAAAAAAAAAAGTATCAATTCAAGCTGCTTCAAGACCCAACAAGTATGTTTTTCTTTCATTTATTTCTACATCAACACTCTGAAGGATAAAGATCTTTCTCATTTCAAGAGCTGTCAATTTGCTTTAGTGCCATGTTTTCATCTGTTTGAGGTAAAGAGGAATTACAAAGCAGGCAAATGAAATAATGCACTGCAATCTAACATATTTTGGCAATTCAAATTGGGACCAGGGAAAAAGGAAATTAAACAAGAATGACAGGCCCACAGCACACCTGTGCTGTACCCCACTGGTCCACCCCTGTCTTCCCTCCACTTGCTAACTTTATAACTTGATGAAGTCTTCAGTGCTTTGCTGAAAACTGTACTATTTGCTGCACCCTAATTCTTCAAATCATTTCTACATTTTGCACAACTCATACAACATTTTGCTTTCTGAAGCAGAAAAAAAAATCCCTTAGCTGCTGGAAAACTGTCAGGCGCTATTACTCTCAAGACCCCCTTGAAATAGTACAGGGGCCAACGTCCTGTTCCTGGTAGATTTACTACACTTCCCTATATAAATTAACAAAGACAAATTCTTGTTGAAATCAGACTGTGTGAGGAATCCTTACCCTCTCAAGCCTAAGGGTTCAATTACAATGGAACTTAAAAATAAATAAAAGGAAATCTTAATCTCCTCTCAGGGTCCTCCTCTACCAATAATGATGCCCCATGAAGATTTTTGCCTAATTCATTTACATTTCTTTTTTTGTCGTTTTTAATTAAACTGCTCCTCAACTACTCAGCTCTATAATTTTTCCTACTTTAGCTCCAGAACTAGGGATTTTCTAAGAACGATAGGAATTTCCAAGGTCAAGATGTCTCTGTAGATCTCAGGAACTATGTGGCACTCAAGAAACTGCCCTTCATCACCACAGGAGAAGCACAAGGAGCTGGCCAGAGGGTTTGAGAGCCCGGGAGGGGGGTGAGGCTCCCTGAGGGACTGCAGTGAAGGAGCCCCTCCGCCCTAACTGCTGTCAATTTAAAATCAAATGATGGCAAATGTGGTCATGGGCATATAGTCCTGTCTTTTGCAGAATCCCATCTGCTTGGTGACACTGTCGAATTCTAGATTTATAAAAGGCATTGCAGTTCTTCTGCCAATGACCCATGTGTCCACAAACAGTGCCTGCTAGGGCACCTAGACCCAGGTCCCAGCTCACCAGTACAGACTAATGGGAGAGGCCAGAAACTCTAGAGCTAGACTCCCTGGGCTTGGATGCTGGCTCTAGTATTTATTAGCTGTGTGACATTGGGCAGATTACTCAACCTTTCTGTGCCTCTGTTACTTCACTTCAAGTTGGTACCTATCTCATAGTGCTGTTATGAGCATTAAGAGATGCTAATTCAGCCGAGCGTGGTGGCTCATGCCTGTAATCCCAGCACTTTGGGAGGCTGAGGTGGGTGGATCACCAGAGGTCAGGAGTTTGAGACCAGCCTAACCAACACGGTGAAACCCCATCTCTACTAAAAATACAAAAATTAGCCAGCAGTGGTGGCGGGCACCTGTAATTCCGGCTACTCAGGAGGCTTAGGTAGGAGAATCGCTTGAACCCGGGAGGTGGAGGTTGCAGTAAGCCAAGATCATGCCACTTCACTCCAGCCTGGGAGACAGAGTGAGACTCTGTCTCAGAAGGAAAAAAAAAAAAAAAAAGGAAGAAGCTAATTCATGTGCAATATTCTGGCACATAAGAAGAACTAAACAGCTGCCATCCATTATTATTACATCCTCAGCGAGCTGGTCAGAAGATCTAGTATTGTTCATGTCTGAGGACCTCCCTCTTTCTACAGTTAGGATGTTGATGCTAAGTGAAGTTAAAATTAGTGGCAAGGCTGGCTTCACCTGAGCAAGGAGTACCCAGGATGAGACACAATGGCCACTTTCTCTAACATCTATCTGTCCAGCCCATGCTGCCCACATGGGAGGCAGCCGTGTCCTGCCACAAGGCTGCAGAAGCATGGAAAACCAGGCAACAGAGAGGGACAGACAGGCTTGTGCCGACATGAGATGGTTTCTGTGATTTACAGCCAAGTCTTAACTAAGACTCTGCGGCCTCTGAGTTCTGTTCAACGAGGAAATTAACTCACTGAGGCCAACCTCTATTCCAGTGAGGACCCCCTGTGTCATCCTGCATAGCAAAGAGATTCAGCCCTTACCTGAGGAGGCTACTCTGGCCAGATGGCAACAGGTGACAGCAGCTTCAGAGCTATTACCCTAAGCCCACTTAATGCCCTAACAACTGGGCTGAATGAGCTCCTTCTGTTCAGCAAATGGGCAGCCCTTAACTTAAAAAGAAGTTTGTCAGAGGCAGTGGTGCTACCTTTAGAATCCATTCATTCATTTGAAAAAAAAAATTAATCAACTCATATTTACCATATTAGGCCCAAAGACTTTTTAAATGAGGAAGACTTGATTCCTGTCCTTGAGTTCATGGGGACAGAGGCGCCATCAGTGCAGGATACGTGATAAGTGCTCTAGGCTGTGCAGGCCCCATGCAGCGCACATACAGGCACTCTGTCAAGGCCCAGTTTTTAGTCATTCATTCATGCACTCAAGGGCTCTGAATACTCAGGGTAAAAATGACACTAACTTAGCTGGGGGAGACGGTTCATCACAAAAATGGCAGGAGGTGGTTTCTAAGCAAAGGGGCACCAGGGACCTGGTAATGGAGCAGCAGGTGTGTGTGTCTGGAGTGGAATGTAAGCCACGGGAGCAGGGCAGGGAAACTGCAGAAAGCACAGCTGTCTGTGTGGGCCTGGCCTGTGTGAGCTGCGGAATGGCTGGGCCTCCACCCTGAAGGTGAGGTTCTGGCTTTTCAGAAAGAAACCTGGGGGAACAAAATGATGTCAGAGAGACCACCTTCAGTCTCTGCTGAAACCAATACCCCATTGCCAAATAGCCTGGGGGACATCCAACAGTGCCAACTGAGGTCAAGGGGTCAGGGGCTTAATCAACCCTGCTGTGCACGGTGACACAGCAGGCCAGAGGCAGAGCTGGGGTTAGTACGCTGCATCAACCCCGGGAAACAACATCCGTACGCACGAGAGAAACCTGCCTCCCCAGGGCAACACCCCGCTCCAGGAGCAAATGAGAGGCGTTCTGAGCCAGCAGGACTTGAGCCCAGATGGTCTCGAAAGCCGAGGAGCCCCAGTCTCAAGGCACGCAGGAAGGAAAGATGACTATTCCAGCTTAATGAACCTTCTCTGTGTCTCTGGGTAAGTGTGGGGTGGGTGGCGGTAAGGGGAAGGAGAGGCTACTCAATATATTTGAGCGGGTGGGTCGCCACTCTACCTTTTATTCTACTCACTTCACATTTGCGGTTTATTAATGCGCCTTCCTTTGTTCCACCCTGACGTCTGCATGACCATGGTAAGTTCCTGCCAGAGCATCCGCTCCCTGAGGGCAGGGCCCATGTCTTTTCCATCCTTCAGGCTGCACCTGGGACCCTGCTCTGGGGACTCAGTGCACCATGCTGGCTGACCCCCTCTGGTTCTAGAACAGGTATCAGTGGAAAAGCATAAATCGCTGTCCCTGCCTGGATGTGGTGGTGACCTCCTCCAAAGGGTCAAGACTGACTGATACCCCTGGAGTTTCTGATCACCAAGCAAAGCTGGGATTCCAGGGACAGAAGCATCTGCTTGGTGGATGCATGGCAGGCACAGCTCCCTCCCACCTCCAGAGAGCGGGATACAGCGAGGCAGAGACAGGACAAGAGCTAGCCCTGGGGATTTAAATGCCTGCTCCCAACCCCAGTTTATGTGCCATGGACTAAAGCCAGAGAAACACAAAAATGTGCCATAAGCCTATTTTCTAAAAGGTGTTTCCAGATGAGTGTTCTGCCTTGGCCAGCTCCAGCAGACTTTAGAACTCGCATGGCTTTTAAAACCAAGAGGAGGCCGGGTGTGGTGGCTCACGCCTGTAATCCCAGCACTTTGGGAGGCAGAGGTGGGTGGATCACCTGAGGTCAGGAGTTTGAGACCAGCCTGGCCAACATGGTGAAACCCTGTCTCTACTAATAATACAGAAATTAGCCGGGCGTGGTGGCACACACCTGTAATCCCAGCTACTTGGGAGGCTGAGGCAGGAGAATCACTTGAACCCGGGAGGCGGAGGTTGCAGTGAGCCGAGATCGTGCCATTGCACTCCAGCTTGGGCGACAAGAGCAAAACTCTGTCTCCAGAAAAACAAAAGACAAAACAAACAAACAAACAAAAAAAAAAACAAGAGGAGTGCAACATTATTTAGGAGCTCACGCCAGTGGAACCAAAGGCTTATGAGCATCTTGTTATAAAATATCAGGGTAGGAAGAAACGAGAGGGCTCCCTGGGGATGGGGCCACCATTCACAACATCCCACCTCATCAAGAGGGCCTCAGGGGCCCAGGCACCCTCCCCACCCAAGGCCATCCATACCAGCCCCCAAAGAGGCCTGCAGAAAACCCAGCCACACAAAAGGCTGAAAGTCCTATGGGACCAAGACAGAGGAAGGAGTAGATGGGGAAACCTCGTGGGGCAGAACGGTGGTGTGACAAACAGCGCAATTAAGAACAAACTGACAACAAATACGTGGCAGGCCCAGCACACATGAAAAATGCACCCTTTCTGCCTCCCATGCCCCAGGTGAAGAGGCAAGCTGAAACAGACATTTAAACCAATGGGCAAATGCAGTGACTGATTGTGGCACAATCAGGTGCTACAACAGAAGGAATGGAGAAACTGCCATTTGGCCAAAAATCTTCAGGAATGACACTAATCGTAAAGGATGGGAAAGTTTTGAAAAAGCAGAAAAGACCTTGTGAAGGTGTCATGTGGTAGAGACAACTGAATTAATCATGGGGGGACTGCATTTGCTTGGCAATGCCTTGGGTTTGGAGTTGAAGAAGGAGCAAAAAGCAAGCAACCAGCTGGGCATGGTGGCTCACGCCTGTAATCCCAGCACTTTGGGAGGCCGAGGTGGGTGCATCACCTGAGGTCAGGTGTTCGAGACCAGCCTGGCCAACATGGTGAAACACCATCTCTACTAAAAATACAAAAATTAGCCGGGCATGGTGGCAGATGTGTGTAATCCCAGCTACTCAGGAGGCTGAGGCAGGAGAGTCACTTGAACCCGGGAGGCGGAGGTTGCAGTGAGCCAAGATCACACCATTGCACTCCAGCCTGGGCGACAAGAGTGAAACTCTGTCTCAAAAACAAAACAAAACAAAAAGCAAGCAACCAAGATGACGCCAGACTGGTGAGGCCGACTCAATATTCTTCCATTTGTGGGCGGCATAACGCACACAAATTCTCCCTGGATAAATTCTTCCTCACTCTCCCCCTCACTCCTTTCCACTTGAGAGAAAAAATATTTAAGAGAAACACTCTCTAGACGGCTGAAATTTCCCCCTCACTAGCTCAATTTAGTTATTTATCAGAACACTTCGGTGCAGTTATTTTCAGACTTCCACATGAAATAGTAATACTTAGCACTTCCAATTCGTCTCCCAAGCAGTTTTCAAATGTCAGCTCATTAATCCTCAAAACCCTTGAGAAGCAGCACTTTGCCCCATCTCTCAGACTGGGAAGATGGAGGCAGGGCTGCCCGAGGATCCCTGTGGATTTCTGCAATGACTCGATGCTGATCTGACTCAGGGGTCCTCTCACTTGGACCACAGAAACCATTTTTCATCGAAGATGACACTGTACTTTAGGACTTGAGGACTCTATTCTAATGAATGGGTCCCGGAACAGCCTTGTGGCCTCTGACCATGGGTGCATGAACACGTGCAAGAACACGCTCCTTCAGCACTTTATCCAGCCAGGTGCAAGCCTCCCAGCACAGCCCACTGTCTGCCATCAGCAGGTGCCCTACATCTCCCAGTTCCTATCTCCCCTTGGCCAGGCCTGCCGGGCTCACGCGCGTATCTGTGAGCTGCACTCTGTTTCCCATGTCTTGCCAATCCCACACATCTGATGGCATCTGAACCAAAACATCACTTTCTGGGGGCAAACTATAGGCTTTGGAAGAGGCCTTCCAAAGAGGGGCTTATGTCCCATGGTATGGCTTTTCTTTGCTCCCTGAAAGAAACACTTCCAGACTTCTTCCCAGCCAGCATCAAATCTTTTAAGCTATTTGGAGCACCCTAAACTTTAGCCTTCAAATGCATTTTGTATTCATCACTTTAAAATGAGATTTAAGGTTCCTGTCATTTGAATCTTCACTTTATTAGTGAAGAAAATGTGTTGATTTTCCTGTGGGCAGGACAGGGAAAGAAAGGGCTGTCAGTGTAGATGCCTCAAATTCTGTACATGGTAGGGGCTGGAGGTCCGGGAAGTCTGCGCTGGATACGGGCAGCAGAGGAAGGGGTGGTGTGGTTGCAGTGTGTGGCATTGAGGTGGGGGTCTCATATCAATGCAGAATGGCCTGTCCAGAGCTGCCAGCCAATAGCGGGCCACAGGCAAGGGAATGGGTGACGAAGCACTCAGGATGGCTTTCCTCTGTCCTGGCCATGAGCTCCCAGACACAGCTGCTGCTGACCTGCAGCAGGAGTTTTAAAAGGGCAATGCCTGCTGCTGCTGCGCTCTGAAGTAGGTCTTCACTAAACACTAACTCATAAACGACCCTGGCCCTTTATCTAGCATCAGCTGGCTTGGTGCCACATCTAATGCACAGCAAGGATTAAAAAGAAAATGCAGCAAGCCAGGCATGGCGGCTCACACCTATCATCTCAGGACTTTGGGAGGCTGAGGTGGGAGGATCGCTTGAGGCCAGGAGATCGACACCAGTCTGGGCAATACAACAAGACCCGTCCTACAAATTTAAAAGCAGAAAAAAATACACCCTCTGTCTTGTTGTTTGATAGACAAATACACCGGAGTGGACGTCATATGGTCATCATCCCCTTCAAAGAAGTCACCATGGAAGGCCCTGTCTTTATTCACTAAGACTTGAAATATTTTCTTGAAACTTTGGTGAGGCGGGGGTCAGGGGGGTGGGGAATTCCCTTCTAGTCAGTTCCCAACTCATGCAAAACAACTAGTCATTATTTTATAGTCCTATTGCATTTTGGTCCAAAAACAGCATAATCAATCTTGGCCACAAGTCATTTGGAACCAAGACTGGCAATGGTTTCCAAAAATCACATCCACTTTCAAAGGCCAAAGATTTATCACCAGTGAGGATATTCAGAAGAAAATGCTAGAGTCTGAATATGAGTTCACAGTGAACACTTTGAAACTGCGCAGAGCAAAGGCAGGATCTTTGGAAGAAGTACACAGACTCCCACTTTGAAGAAGACACACTGCATCTGTAGGAAAAAGCCCAGTTCTCAATGCTTCTTAGTCATTGTCGGGGGTGGGGGAGACACACACACACACACACACACACACACACACACACACACACACACACACACACAGAGAGACAAAGACAAAAACCAATGGGAAGAGATTTACACCCCCCCCCCCCAACACACACAGAGAAACAGATAGATTGAGAAAGACAAATTCTTCATTTAACAAATCTTGGAGGTAAAATAAAAGGGAGGGAAATAAGAAAGGGTTTTTTATAGCTTCATACCAAATACATTATGGATTCAACACTAGGAAAACATTCACCATGTCAATGTACAACAAAATTAGCATCTTTAAGATGTGTTTAACCAAGCAGCAGGGAGGTTTGTGAGTCTGGGCTGGGCCTGCACTGGCTTGAAAATCACCCTACAGATCCTCCCTGACCCCAACATACACACCATTTCCAGGCATTTCCTAGCTGTCAGAAATCTGTCTTCATGAGATTTAAGTCCTTCCCCTCCCAAGACGCCCTGTCTAACCCTGGCTGTCCCCACAGTCTGTACATGGAGGAAGACACAGGAAGGTTTGCCCTTCAACAGGCACAAAAAGCAAGCTCCAGATTTGCTCAACTCGAATCAAAAGGGCTAAACACATCCAGATGTTTGAACGGTTCTGGAAGACGAGGCAGAGCCCCCTCCACTCCCATGGCCTCCCCCGACAGCAGCCTTCTCCCTACTCCCTCGGAAGGCCAGGGGAAGACCTGCCAAGACAAAATGGCTGTTCTCGGGGACGGTGAGATGACTGCGAACGTTCCCAGGGAACATGGCATCAGGAGCACACCAGAAAGAGCAGACCCACAGCCAGAGAAAGAAGCGATGTTTATCCACTTGTGAGACATCTGGAAAATGAAAGAGGCTACAAGCCATCTTTATCACATCTCTGTGCATACAAATACACCACGGAAAATTACAGATCCCTCTCATCTACCAAATGAGCCATAATAACCCCGCAGGTTTTCCCCGAGTCCTTTAGACACTCCGCCTTACACTGTTTATCACGAGGGAGACAAGTGGAGAACCTTGGAAATGTAAAGGAAGATGAGCCCACGCCTTTCAAAGAGAAAGAGCCGGAGCAGGGAAACCCTGATCGTGGCTAATTGGCCCATCAGGGTCCTGCCCTGGACAGACCTAGGTGAGGGCGTCTTTAAAGAAAACGTCCCACCTCCGCTTGCCACAGAGATTTCTAAGGTTTGCCCACTGTCCTTTTGTAAGTGCCTGCTGGGTAAGTGTGGAGATAAGATGAGTATTACATTATGATGCTTCCTCATGCATGAAACTCTGTTTTAAAGAGAGTCTGGAGGGGGCCATCAGGAAGGGAGAGCCTGAGCAGTGGAGGTAGAAGGAAGGCTGCTTTATTTAGAGAAGTCTCAGCTACAGAATAAAACTGCTTTACCTGCAAAGGAAAACTCATTAAAGTTTCTCTTTGGTTCCAGAGAAAGAAATCTACAGCCACAGAATTTCAGAGAAACTGCTTTTATTTCCCATATGCTTTTCACCTTGTCCCCCGACTCCACCCTGACTTACATACTAACTTGAATATATACACAACCCCCCGCCGCACCCCCAAACCAAGATGGCACTCGGCCATACCAAATAACCACTGGCATAGCTTTAACCTGAAATTTCATTCTCTCTTGGTTTTTACTCCCCTGGCAAAAGAGTGAATAGCCTACCAAGTTGTACACATTTCTGCTTAAGCAACTCTGGTGAGGCATTCTTTCTAAAAGCAAGGAATACCTGCATATGTTAGGGGATGAGCTTTTTCCTTGTTAATTTGTTCAGTAAGTCTGGAAGACCCCACCCCTTTTTATTAAATAGGAAAACACGTCAAGGAAAATGTAAGAATATACCTAAACTCCCAACCTTCCCTTATGTCCATGCTTTCTCTGGGGTTTTCTAGGCCCCAGGTGCTCTACCCCCTCTCTGTAACTCTCCCAGGCTCCCTTTTCTTCTCTCACCCCATAAAACTCCAGGGCGTCATCCATCCTACCTGATCCATGGCCCCCACCCTCGCCATCTGAGCTCTCTCCCCTATGCAAGAAGGTGGCAAGAAGAGCCATTGCCTCTCTGTGCTCTGTTGCCAGGCCTGTCCCCAGAGCAGCAGGCTCACTTCTTTGCTGTTGGTTTCCCGTGACATGGATATTCTGGGACCTCCAACCCCAGCACATCTTAACAATGACAAACACACCTTCCCCCAGACTCCATTTCAACTAGTGACCCCAACCTCCTGCAGTTGAAAGCTTTACACTCTTGCCCGGTCCTCTGTCTTCCAAGCTACCCCATCCCATTCTATTATTTCTTCCTTTGATGGGACCCCCCATTCTCCCCTTTCCTTACTTTTTCTTCTTTTTTTTTTTTTTTAAATGGAGTTTCGCTTTTGTTGCCCAGGCTGGAGTGCAATGGTGTGATCTCGGCTCACCACAACCTCCGCCTCCCAGATTCAAGCAACTCTCCTGCCTCAGCTTCCTGAGTAGCTGGGATTCCAGGCGCCTGCCACCTGCCCGGCTAATTTTTCGTATTTTTAGTAGATTCGGGGTTTCACCGTGTTGGTCAGGCTGGTCTCGAACTCCCGACCTCAGCTGATCCACCCGCCTCGGCCTCCCAAAGTGCAGGGATCACAGGCGTGAGCCACTGCGCCCAGCCACTTTTTCTACAACTCTCTTTGCTTCAGAACCTTGTCACTGTAAGTTGTGACCTAACACAAGATGGCCACCTTCCTGGCATCACTGACTGTGACCCGGTTACTTTTCCTGAAGGATCACTGAAAACCTTCCATGTCTCCGACTGCCCACAGGGAAATATCCAAGCACTCATGGCCCGAGGCAAGCTACCCTGCCTTCCAGCATCACATCTAGGTCCCCTCGGACGCACACCCCCAGTCAAGTCCACTGGTCTGTCATTCCACTGAATTCTCTCCAGCCCTTTACTTAGGAGGAACATGACTTTGTCTGTGTTCCACAGAAGGGAAAACTGAAGGAAAGGCATGAGGAGAATCCCGGGGGGCTGCCTTGTGAGGTCATAACGGGAGGGCACACAGCCTCAAGAGCTAGCAACAAGGAGGCTGGATGGGAGACCACGGGAAGGGAGGGTGCCCTGCAGGAAGAGGCGGAACCGAGAGGGCAATGCCCTGGCATCGGCCACCTTCACAGCATCATGAAGGAGGAGGATCCGTGGAGGAGAAACCAAAGTCTGGGGAATTTGAGAGGTCAGAGCCATGGTCAGGGGAAGAGAAAGTTTCTGTCAAAAACCTCTCTCCCGGCCGGGCGCGGTGGCTCATGGCCTGTAATCCCAGCACTCTGGGAGGCTGAGGCGGGCAGATCATGAGGTCAGGAGTTCGAGACCAGCGTGACCAACATGCATCTCTACTTAAAATACAAAAATTAGCTGGGCATCGTGGTGCACGCCTGTAGTCCCAGCTACTCGAGACGCTGAGGCAGGAGAATCGCTTGAACCTGGGAGGCGGAGGTTGTCGTGAGCCGCGATTGCGCGACTGCACTCCAGCCTGGACAACAGCAAGACTCTGTCTCAAAAACAAACAAACAAACAAACAAAAACAACTCTCTCCCTAAACCATAAGCACCTGTGAACAGGAACCACATCTTATGCCTTCTCTGCCCCTCACCCCAGACCCAGGACTCAATGACTACTTGCTGACTGACTGACGGATGAACGTCAGCTCTGGGGACTGAGCAATTGCTCTGGAACTTTAAAGACCTGGAGTCTTTTGCTGATGTGTGAAGTGACCTTGGGCTAGTTGACAAATGTGCTGTTTCTAATCTGTTATAAAGGAGGGCCTGCAAAACCTCTTATTTTTTAATACATGTGTCATATATACATGGCAGAAACTGCCTATGAGCAAAGAGAAGAAAATACAAATCACCCACTGTTAACACTTCAGTGTTTATTTTCAGACCTTTTCCTAGCAAAACGTATATGTGTGTGTAATGACATTTTTAATAAAAAAATAAATCACATGCAGAAGATATAGTAAAGAACACTTATTAAAGTAATTTGCCAACTCCTTGTGCCCTGATTTATTGAGACTTCATCCTTAAATATGTATCACTATTGGGTAGCTGAATATAACAAAACTCCCCATCAGCTCTCTTTCATTCCTTGGACTCGTATCAGTCTCTAAGCCACCCCTGAACTGTGATTTATATGACAGCTTGGGAAAAGCCAACTGGGGACAATCAATGGAACAGACGGAGATAGGCCTGGTGAATGTGCATGAATTAAAAGGAAAACTCCATTGTAATAGGAACAAGATTCTAATCACCACACCTAATTACAAAGAGGAGTAAATCACTGAAAAAAAAAATTAAGTGTCTCATACAGAACAAACAAAGCAATTAGTCATAAACAGAAGCTCAGGGCTTGGTGAGCAAGCCAGGGCCCAGGCCCAATCCACCAGCTGTGCATCTGCTCCCAAGACCACTTGGGGGCCATGGAGGGTGGGCTGTAAGGTCAGAGCAGAGCCTGGGTATGTAATGGTGCTGGGGAAGGGTAGGTGGTCGGTTCCCAACACATGCGCCTCTGTGCACAAACACGCAAACAGCCTCATCAGGACCTCTGATCACAGTAGTGACCCAGCATTAGATGCTAGAAGGCTTAAATCTAGAGCCCAGACCTTCCTGCATGACAGAATGATGACTATATATATATATATATATATATATATATATATATCTCAGAGTCATCTTCTCCATTCCCTGTCCATATCCCTCAAACAACAACAATAATAATAGCAGCTAATTCTTATTACACAATTACTGTAGATCTGACACTATGCCGGCCATTTCACAAAGTTATCTAGTTCAATTCACACATTACACCTTCAAAGGATGCACTATTATCATCGTCTCCATGTTATCAATGAGGAAACTGAAATCCAGAGGGCTGAGAAATTTGGCTAAGTTCATCCTGCTTATGAGGAGAAGAACCTGGATTTAAACCCAACAGTGGACCCCAGAGCCCATGCTCTTAAACTCTGTACCACGTCACCTGTAAGATGAGAAAAGTTAAACTCATCTTTTAATGTGGTAAAGAACCAGGTGCCAAGTGTGAAATGCCAGGTGCACGTGGCCTATTCCATAAATGTTAACGTGATTCTTAGCCCTTTTCCTATTGGTTGCCCCAACTCATTCTCTCTCCCCTGGGGTCTCCTTCCTAGAGGACCCTTGGAGAGCCCCACATCGCTGGTGGGCCCTTCTGAGCCTTGTACTCTGTACCTGCCTATAGCCCAGGAGTGGAGGATGAGGGGAATCTCTTGCTCTTGAAACCCAGGACCCTCCTAGAAACTGGCTATGCAACCTGGAGGTGAGCTCTGAGAGCTTGAACTTAGCAACTGTCTCTACTATAAGTTTCAAAAATTGAAATAGACCTGTAATAAATGGTTGTCCTGCAGAGCTACGCAGTGACTGAAGTTATCTTAAATACATCATCTGACACAGAAAATCTAAATCTTCCTGAAAAACCCAAGACATGTAATGACTGTGTCTATAAGAGCAGGCTGTGTTGAAGGGTCTATGAATAAAATCTCCAGGAGCAGGGGCTATTCTAGGTCCGTCTCGTTGCCAACGGCTGAACTTGGTTCACCCTGACAGTAGTGAGGGGAGATGAATCAGCACACATACTGTTCATTTGGTCACTTCAAAAAACTTCCCTGAGCACGCCAGAATCTCTTTTAGGCACTGAGAGAGACGACTTGGAAAAATCAAATCTAACAATATTCTGTGCGCAGAACCACAGGGATGGGGTGGGGGCAGCCTGGAGGCAGGACCACCCTTGAGGGATAAACTGCCTTCTTGAAAGCTAACAGGGCCTGGCCCAGGGCCGTGGGATGAAGAGTGAGACAGGTCCTTACTGATGAAGCCTCTTCCCCTCAATCTAAACTAGATGATAAAACAGGAGCTTCTGGCTGAGCGTGTGAGGCAGTAAACACACAAAAGCATTTGTTTTGACACGTCTGGCAGAGGGGCTCAACTCAACACAGCAAACACTCCTGCAGATGTCCGGAGTCAAGCCGTTCCTCCAGACTAAGGCCCTGCAGTGGTCAGCTTGGACCCTAGCAGGGCAGTTGAGGGCTCGGGCCCCAGGGCCACAGAGACTTGGCTTCACACCTTACACTCAGGAACCACACGGCGATCTTGGGTGAGCGACAGAACAAGTTACTCTCTGAACCCCAGTTAATAGAATGTTCTTTATGGGGAAATGAGGTGAAATGAGACGGTGTGACAGAGCATTTACACACATGGAAACACATAGGAAGTACAGGCTCTTGATGCTGCCATTATTATTAATCATATTGGTTCATTTTTTTTTTTTTCAAGACAGGGTCTCACTTTGTCACCCAGGCTGTACTGCAGTGGTACAATCATAACTCACTGCAGCCTTGACCTCCTGGACTCAAGTGATCCTCCCACCTCAGCCTCCCAAGTAGCTGGGACTACATGCACATGCCACCATGCCCCTGCTAATCCTTTTTTTTTTTTTTTTTTTGGTAGAGACAGGGTGGCCTCGAACTCCTGAGCTCAAGCAATTTGCCTGGCTCAGCCTCCCAAAACACTGAGATAACAGGTGTGAGCCACCACACCTGGCTAGTCTTCTAATTTAAAGGCCACAGCTGGACTTGTCCTTCATTGAGTGCCCTGACCTTCAGAAGAGACAGGACAGTGCTCTGGGTAAAGCCTGGTCAACACACACACCCTACAGACCCGGATGGCCCTTCCTCTCCTGACAGTGGTTGTAAAAAACTAGCTGCTCTACCAAGCGGGCAACTGTCCAACCTCCTCCTCCAGAGCTCGCTCCTCCTCTTGCTAGCCCACCCCACCTGGCTCTTCCCTCCCTGCACCCAAGAGTCTATATGAGAGAGAAAGAGAAAAAAAAAAAAAAGACGCAACTCATTTCATATGGTGGCGAAGAGAGATCTGAGGTATAGAGCCACCAAGTCCCACCTGCCCCCAAAGGTCACCTGGACAAGCTACTTGGTGCTGCCTTCTTTCCCCTTTTCTCACATCCCTCAGGATATGAGTTCTAATATCCACTTAAGATCTGAGTGACTGCAGGCAAACTACTTTACCTCTCTGGCTTTGAGTTTCCAGTTTGTAAAATGGTGATAATAAGACCTCCTACCCGTCCTGAGCGTGTCTGAGAGTGACCACATGTGGCAGACTGTATTCTCCTAAGATGGCCACAATATCTCCCCCGTGCCACATGCGATCTACGATAGGACCTCAATACGCCTCCAATCCCGAGGTGAGCTCTATGTCCCCTCCCCTTCATTCCAGTTGAGAGTTTGAGACTCACTTGTGTTGTTTGACCTTTGAGGTTAGGTTAAAAAAAAAAAAGTGAACACGCTTCTGCCTTGTCTGTGGAAACATTTGTGCTCCAGCCCTAAGCTTCTGTACAAGGAGTTTGACTGCCTGAGGCAGCCATGATATAAAGAAGCTCAAACCAGCTCATGCAGAGAGACCATGGGGAGAAGTCCTGAGATCCCTTGGACAGATGCTTCGTCAGCCCCTGTTGTGCCAGTGGCAGCCACTAGAACTACAACCTCATGTCTGACTGCAACCTCATGAGATGCTCCCAGCCTGAACCACTCAGTTGAGTCCCGCCCAAATTCCCGCTCCACAGAAACCACGAGAAATAATATAACGATTGCTGTTGTTTTAAGCCAACAAGTTTTTGGGTGATTTGTTATGCATCAATAGATAACCGGAACACCACATATATAAAAACATGCTGTAAACTGATGGGTAAATATTAAGAACTCCAAATGCTATAGAAACTTTTATGATTATTTCCTTTTCAAGTCTGCCCTTGATTTTGTCTTTAGAAAAACATGTGTGTTGTGGGTGGGGTGAGAAGAATGCATACAGAATTGCCCTTAGCTGCCCTTTTTTTTTTTTTTTTTTAAGACAGAATCTTACTCTGTTGCCCAGGCTGGAGTGCCGTGGCACAATCTCGGCTCACTGCAACCACCACCTCCAGGGTTCAAGCAATTCTCCTGCCTCAGCCTCCTGAGTTGCTGGGATTACAGGCATGCACCACCACACCTGGCTAATTTTTGTATTTTTAGTATAGAGGGGGTTGTGCCATGTTGGCCAGGCTAGTCTTGAACTCCTGACCTCAGGTGATCCATCCGCCTCAGCCTCCCAAAGTGCTGGGATTACAGGCATGAGCCACCGCGTCTGGCCTTGCCCTTAGCTTGAGGAAAAAAAGCCCAATTGTCACCAAATGGATGGTGTTAATATGCAAAATGACTTCTCAATTCACCTGGGGGCATATTTTAGAAATAAAAGTTCCACAATGAGAACACTTGGACACAGGAAGGGGGACATCACACACCGGGGCCTGTTGTGGGGTGGGGGGAGGGGGGAGGGACAGCATTAGGAGATATACCTAATGTAAATGACGAGTTAATGGGTGCAGCACACCAACATGGTGCACGTATACATATATAACAAATCTGCACATTGTGCACGTGTACCCTAGAACTTAAAGTATAATTTAAAAAAAGAAAAAAAAAGAAAGAAAGGTTCCATGAACTAATTAAAAAGTGAATTGCAACTAGGGGATTTCCCCCAACAAAGCCAACCTAATTCTACCCAACGATCCTCAAAACATGCTGTGTACTGCAGAGAAGCTGAGCTCCCCGCGCGGCACAGGAAGAAGCCACTTCAGCTGCCCATAGGGAAAGAAGAGATGTGTTCCAGGCATAAGAATGTGGACATGAGGCCTGGCCTTCCATCCCACATTTTGGTACTGGGGTCGGAGAGATGATCTCCACCAACCACAAAATGCATGTGCCTGGGGTAGCCAGGTACCTCACAGTTCAAAACAACAGCTTTCGTGTTCTCATCTCTGCAGTTCCTGGGAGCAAATTGAGATGGTAAGGCCGTCAGCGGCCTAGGTGCTCATCATCTTGACAGATACTTAGCTACTCATTTAAAAACAAGCAAGAGAACAAGCGTCAGCTGTATTTTTTAATTACTCCTGGATAGGACTGGGAACGCTTTGGCATAATTGGGGTATTGAGATTTTTTTCCCCTTTGAAGGCCTTGTTGCAGCAAGAAAAATACCATGTTTATTCTAATTAAAACCAACTCTTCTTTTAAATCATCGTAGCAATAGGAAGGCAAGTGGTGATAGATATTTACTTTTTAAGGGTAGCGGGGGTAACAGCTACTAGGACCAGATCTGCTGTGAATGTATGTCCTTCATGGAATTCTCTTACTTGCAGGATCAGTTCTCTCATTTATTAAATGGGAGATGTGAAGAAAATCCCACATGTTCCCTTTTTGGCTCTAATTTAATTTGAGGTCATGGCTCCCACTTTCTGTTACCCCAGCCCAGTAGGGTATAATGTACCAAGGACCAGCTCTCTTGGTATGAAGAATATCTGAGGACATGTGGTGTTCAAACTAATACCTAGGCATCTATGGGAACACCAGGGCTGACGCTGTCATCAGCTTGTCCGGACAGTGCAGCGGCCCCCAACTACCTGCGTGTGCATCAGTCACACCTGGTGACTTGTTACATGCACAGCCCAAGCTGCTTGCTCCTTCAGAAAGCATGTTTCAGTTGTCTTGGGGTGGCGCCCAGGAATCTTCATTTTGGATAAGGGGCCCAAAGACATCTCTGATGAGGTATTTAGAAGACCATACTTTAAAAAAAGTACAGGACTAGCTGAAAAACATGGCCTTCAGACATAGAGAGACGTAGCTGTCTTTTTGATTTTCCAGCCATGTAACCTTGACAAAGACCCGACATTCCTGAACCTCTCTGTTCCCAAACAAGCGCAGCTCCCCAGCACTGCTGGAGGGTGGGAGAAGACTACACCCAGCACCTTCCTGGTTCACTTCCTGCCACACACAGCTGCCTGCCAAAGTCCTGTTCCCTTTCCTCGCTTTATACGTGGGGTCACTCAGAGTAGCTTTTCAAAAAGCACCAGTGCAATGACCTCTCAGAAAACAAGTCTGGCAGAAAAAGTCACATTTAAAGGGGTCCAATAGGCTGGGTGCAGTGGCTCATGCCTGTAATCCCAGCACTTTGGGAGGCCAAGGCAGGTGGATCACCAGACGTCAGGGGTTCGAGACTAGCCTGGCCAACATGGTGAAACCCTGACTCTACTAAAAATACAAAAATTAGCTGGGCATGGTAGCAGGCACCTTTAATCCTAGCTACTTGGGAGGCGAGGCAGGAGAATCGCTTGAACTCGGGAGGCAGAGGTTGCAGTGAGCTGAGATTGCACCATCGCACTCCAGCCTGGGCAACGAGAGCGAAACTCCATCTCAAATAAAAAAATTAAAGGGTCCAATAGAAACACTTTGGCCATTTAAAATGGCCATACCTCTCTTGGTTAACAGTAAGGTGAGGAGGACAGCTGAATTTAGCCACCAACAAAACAAGTTGTAATTGTACACCTAGCAGGTGGATAATGAAAAATGATAATAAAAATAGTAAGAAGAGGATGATGGTCCCTATAAATCTAACAGCATTTCTAAAAGCCCTTGGGTGCCCTGCCCTGTTCAGGTGCTGAACTGTCTTGTTCCCACCCTTCACCCTCAGACTTGACTGGAGCCTGGGAGGAGAATGAATGCGCTGGAGCCAGGGATGGGGAAGGGCTGCCCGCAACACTCCCGCCTCCTGCGTGCTCTGTCCTCCCGGAGCACACGGGGATGTGGTTTACCTGAGTGCACCTATTTGCAGCCAGACACCTGGCTTTGACCAAATGTGACCAAATGGCTGACAGAGCACATTAGCTTGCCTCCTTCGCTTGTCAAAACAATTAGGCTCTGGAAGGTGGTGGCGGCCTCACCGGGCTGAGAAAATGCCATCAGTGTATGAGACCGTTCATCAGCCTCCTGGAAGGTTCGACAGGGCCAAGAGGGCAAAGGACCTAAGTGGGGAGAGGGGGATTGGGCTGGAGGTAGGACAGGGGAGTCATTAAAACATTAAGAAAACTGAAAGTACCACATAGCCACAGATGGCCAAAGGGATCCATTCCTGTGGCTCTGTAGGGCACACGGCTGGCGTGGCGCTAAGTGTAAGGGGTGGGAATCCTGGCATCCACCGGGTGATTGACAGGCTGGCCCTCCCGCACTTCTACTCTGCTCCAGTAACTACCCATATTATGCCGAAATGACACAAGCGACAATAATTAAGCCCCAGATCTCTGTGGATCATTCGCAGTGATAATTCCACCTTTGTAATTCAGCTTCAGATAAACCCCTTTTGTTCTGCCTTATAACACAGATTCTAGTATCATTCAAGTATATTAACTGTAGCCTATTACTGTCACAAAAAATGCTCCCTGAGCCATAGCAAAAGACTCCCTAGACAAAACTTTATGTCATGTTAATCCAAGCTTCAATAACTATGAGGATATATAACTGTATTCTAATTGTGCTCTGCGTTCCCACATACAAAAACAGAAGATATCAAAAATGACAGCAGCCGATCTCTTCAAATATAAAAGCATTAATTCCTCACTCAGGGCGCTGGGATGCTGGGGTGAAGAGATGTACGTTTATCTGAAGAGAGAAGAGAGATGGGACTTTTGAGGACAGAGAAGGTTTGGGGGCTAGGATGGGACCACCAGGAATCAATGCCACAAAGGTTGAAGGCTGTGGAAGAGGCTGGAAGGCAGACATGGAGAATTGGACATGGAGACTGATATCAAGAGAGCCAGGTCAGAGATGTTCAGGGGATATAGAGAAGCCAAGTAAAGCTTTCTTTTTTTTTTTTTTTTTTTTGAGACAGAGTCTCGCTCTGTCACCCAGGCTGGAGTGTGGTGGCGCAATCTTGGCTCACTGCAACCTCCGCCTCCTGGGTTCAAGTGATTCTCCTGCCTCAGCCTCCTGAGTAGCTGGGATTACAGGCGTGCACCACCATGCCCGGCTGATTTTTGTATTTTTAGTAGAGACGGGGTTTCACTATGTTGGTCAGGCTGGTCTGGAACTCCTGACTTCAGGTGATCCGCCTGCCTCGGCCTCCCAAAGTGCTGGGATTATGGGCGTGAGCCACCGTGCCCGGCCCATATGAAGCTTTCAAAGGCAGCTGTGAGGATCCCCAGGTTCTTGACCCGGTTTGGACATTAACTCAGTGGGTAACCTTGGCCAAGTCATTCCCACTTGCTGGGCCTCCCTTTCTTTCTGAAGAGAGAGCGTCAGTTCAGACATCTTGTAGGGCTCACTCCCTCACCTCCTCCAAGCCCTCTCCCTGCAGCCCAGCCTGGTCAGCTGATGTAAAATTGCAACCCACTCCAGGTACTTCCTAATCTCCTTTACCCTGTGTTCCACTGTTGTTTTTTTTAAGTGGCTCCTACCGTTTTCTAATTGTGCAATGTAATTTTCTTTTTTGGTATATTTTTGCTGTTTATCCTATACCTCCCTCCGCTTGAGTTGAGTTCTGTCATGACCGGGATTCGTTTCTGTTCTGTTCACTGATTTATCCCTGGTGTCCAGCATGGTACCTGACACACAGCATGTGTTCAGCGTTTGCTGAATGACCACGTGCCATGGCCATAGACCAGGTGTGTGGTCCGGGACAAGTTTCTTCAACTCACTGAGCCTCAGTTCCTCAACTGAGGAAAAAAGAGGCAGGTACCTACTTCATAGCATTGCTGAGAGGATTAAATTAAAGAGCAGATGCAAAAGCAACTGGAATGGTGCCCAGCACAACAGCGGTGCTCAAAGCAGGTTATTTTATGGAGGAAAACAACATTCTCTATAAGGCTAAAGATGCAATTTTCACTGCTAAGACCAAACGCAGGTCCTTATGTAGTTATTGGTCTTATTACCCCCACAATATACCCCTCTTCTAGAAACTCCACCTCCTCTACTTCTCCAGCCCCCAAACCCACTCCAGGTCCACAGTCTGTCTCCTGGCACCAAAAAAGAATCAAAACACTAGGCTCTTGCGGGACGCTTCTGCATCATGGAGGCTGTTGGGCATGGGAGTCCAGAAGCCCACAGTGAACTTGGGCAAATCCCAAACCTCCTGGCCTTAATGTTACCTTCTCTTTAAAAATCAGGATACTATATTTTAATGGGTCTCCCTTACTGCAGATGGTGGGAATGAAATGTAACAAAATGAATTCTCCAACAAGAAGAATTATGACTCTGTTGTTGAACCTCTCTGAGCCTTGTTTCCTTACCTGTGAAAAGGGGTATCATAATAACCCTCACTGCCTTATCGCACCCGGTAGTTGTGAATACAAAAGTGCCAGTGGAGCTTCTGCTATGTAGAGAGTGACCAGAGGCAGAACCCCGAGGGTACAAGAGCACTCTGTCCGTAGCAGGTAGACTTGTCTTGCAGTGCCAGCTCCCAGGCTCATGCAAACCACTTAACTTCTGCAGAGGGCCAGTTTTTTCATCTGTATAATGGTAATTAAAACTTTCCCTGCTCCGCCTACCTCACAGTGTTGGGTGATGGTGGGAGAGGTACTTCACAGCCTGTCAATCACTTTCATGCCCACATGAAAATGGCTCCAAGGGGAGGAAGAGCAAGGCTACCTCCTACTGTGGTTTGGGCAGCTGAAGAAGGTTTTAGTAATAATGACCACAGGCAGATGAGATGATGGGATCTCCAATACTCCTTCTCGTGACTAGGAGACAAGATCATCCCGCAGCTCAAGACTGTTTCCCGCCTCCCCTGCAATCTAGAATGCCTTCATCTAGTTGGAGGGACCCAGAGGGCAACTGAACAGAATATCCTTAAAACATTATGACCCACAGGCAATGCAACGGTGCCCATATGGGCTGGATCTCCACTGGGCAAGGACTACCCCATGGCAAGTGTTCATTGACTGGGACCAAAATGGCCAGCCTCTTTATTGATATTTTCACCACACTTAAAAACCAAAGAATAAAAGGAAGGGGAGGTGGCAAGTGAGGACAGCAATTTCATTCATCGCTTCCTCTTTTGCTGAAGATCAACTATGCAACCAGATTTTATCAGAGACAGATCAGAAATCCCCAGTGTAACAGCAATCGCTCCTTTTACCTTTCTTCGGACAATGCAAAGGACATAAAATGCCCCAAAGCTCCCATTCCCAAAACTGCTGAAAGGCAACCACAGGTAGAATATGAAGCAAAGATGATTGCTCCTCACGTCTCCAAGGTGCCCACCTGTCCTTTAGAGCCTGCTGGCCGGAGCTCAGAATTCTGGTGGCACAGTTGGGCAGTGTCTGGACAGCCACCTTGGATTTCCTCCTTTTACCTAGGAGCCTGAGGTTTCTCAGCACCCACAGAGTTTACAGTGGGCTTCATTTCCCTACCCCATCCTACGCTGGCTCACTCTGTTTTAACGAATTCTCATCTCCCCAGAGTGGAAAACTGATGGAAAATGGAGGAAGAACAAAGATATTCCACAAAAGACTGAGAACCCAGGCTGGACATGGTGGCTCACGCCTGTAATCCCAACACTTTGGGAGGCAAAGCCAGGTGGATCACCTGAGGTCAGGAGTTTGAGACCAGTCTAGCCAACATGGTAAAACACCGTCTCTACTAAAAATACAAAAATTAACTGGGTGTGGTGGTAGGTGCTTGTAATCCCAGTTTGGGAGGCTGAGGCAGGAGAATTGCTTGAACCCGGGAGGCAGAGGTTGAGATCGTGCCATTGCACTACAGCCTGGGCAACAAGAGCAAAACTCTGTCTCAAAAAAAAACAAAACAAAACTGAGAACCCAAATGGAGTTCCCTCACCCCTCCCCAGACTGGCACACAGCACATCAGACGCATGGGAAAGAGGCCCCATGTACTCAGCGGCTGCTGAAGCTTCTTCAATACCTATCAAAAACTATGTTTTTCCCTTGCCCATCCAGCATCAGCTGCCAAAGACTTAGATATCTATTTGAGAACCCTCAGTATTGATCTGGTCAAATGCTACAAGGTTTTTATCTCCTGATTTCTTGACCTTAAAGGGACCCGGAGGACATACCAATATAGTAATGCCACAGTGAAAATAATTGTGGAGAAGAAAGATACTGAGTAATTTATGCCGTCCTGATTTTTACTTGTCCATCACCTTCGGTACTCATATAGAATGTCTCACAAATCCTTCCCCCGTTTTTCATGGCGATTACTGAGCCCCTGACAACAGAACGATGCCTCGCTTTACTAGAGGAACACTGTCAAGAATTACAAATGAAAGACTTAGGCAATTCAGTACATTATAAATCAGACACTATCTTTTTCATCTTTGTTAATACGTGAACTCCAGGCAGCAAATCTGTTTTTTTCTTTTAAACAAAAAAAGAAAGATAGAAAAGCTTTAATCGCAACTGATTTAGGTGGTATCAGGAGCAAATTACAACACTAATACAGAACTCAGAGAAAGAAAATAAGTTTTAAAAGTACAAAATGACTTTCAGAGTAATGCTCATCTTCCTTCTGGCCAGACTTGTGGATTCATCATCCAGGGAGGAAAACTGAGGCAAAGCTGCCAGGCTAGAAAGGTTGAATGAACAGCAGGAAGGAGGAAAACTGTGGCTTCATATGCCTATCATTAGAGCAGTCGTGAAGGCTTTGAAAAAATCATCATCATCATTAGGCGTTGGCCATCCTCCTGCAGGAAGGCGCAATGATTCCTGAATTGGAAGTGAGCATTGGCAGCCATTGGTCTCTACCCCAACTCCCCACATTTTCTCTGATGGACTCAGGCCCAAGTCCACCCCCATCTGACCCCAGGCCCTCCCAAAGAGGTCCCCCAAAGGCCAAGACCCTCTGGCTGCAGGAGCTCTGCATCAGGAGATGTAACATGTCTATATTCCATTTATCCGAGGTCTCTATTATCAGCCACAAATGTTGAACCCCAGGCTGGCTGCCTCTGCCCCAAGTGTCCTCCTGGGCTGCTTTCCAGCACCTCAGCTAGTCTGAAAAGTACTCTGGCTGCCAGGGTCAATGTTCTGCTGAATTGCAGCTATGTAGGATCTGGGTATTCTAAGAGTTAACACCCTAGAATCTCAGAGTTCCTTCGCTCATTCACTCCATGACCTGTCTTCTCCAATGCCTCTGCCGGGCTTTGTGCCTGACTGCGCTCTCAGAGAGGCCTCTAGCCAGGTCTTGTAACAGAAAACAGAAATAGGAAGAAGCAGGTAACTCCCCTCTACAGGAGAATCCGAATAAACTGACCAATGCGAGCGCTTGGCAGAAACGCTCCTGAGGTCTCAAGGATAAGCCCTTTTATCCCAGCGCCAGGACACCTGCAAGCTGTGAGGCAATGGCCCACGAGGGGCAGTGTGACACCTCCCATCCGTCCTCCCCACCCCGGAACCCTGGCCAGGTGCTTGGCAGAAACCGCCAGCGTGCCCCTTGGCTCCAAGGAGTCTGAGCCATTCTAAGTGGCAGGTTCCAAGTACTAAGCTGCTGCCCCTGGCTAGAAAAGAAAAAAACAGAGGGGAAGAAAGAGAGGTAGAGGAAGTGAAGAATGCAAAATTTCCCCTAGAAGGCATGTCAGCTACTCAGAAAATCTGGAAGATTGGAGCTGGGAAATGAGGAGCAGGCCAAAATGTTTAACCAAAGTTCTTTTATGATGTGCCCCACAGAAAAAAACATCAGGGCATCTCACCAAGATCATGGTCGCTTCTCGGCCTGTGATATCTTGAAACATGAGCCATGGTATTTTATTCCAAATATTTCTCCTTTGGCAAGGATAATCCCTTTGCTTTAGGAGCCAGGACACACAAGTGAACCCAATACAACTTCTGTCCCAACCATGCTTTACATGACCTCTTATAAAGGCATGCACAAGCCCTTCCTGGACAACAGAGGGCTGTTTTCAAAGCAGAGGTCTACCTTCAGTGGGACTAATCATTTAAGTAGCCCCCAAACTCCGATTAGAGAATGTCTGCAGAACTCTTGCCAGAGGAGATCTGAGAAACTGAAATATGGTACCTGCCAAGAACAAGCCTTTTGGCACTGTAGCCACTTCAAGACACTTGGCAAATTTCATCAGGTGTCAGCAATAGATCTAAACATATTAGACTTAAGAGAACAAAGGAGAGATCTCTGTGGGGCCTAAAAGGAAGCCTGTTGCTAAATCAGCAAGAGAAAGAAGAACTAGCATCTACTGAGTGGCAGGCATCATACATCCACGATTTCACCTGCATCTCTAGTGCAACCCTTCCAGATAGGCTTGATGATCCCCATTTTATAGATGAGGAAATTCAGGATCAGGGAGACTAAAGAGCTTGCCCTGGGAGAGAGCCACAGTCCATGATCTTTGGTCTACTGCCTGTTACCATTAGGTATATTCTTGGTTTTCAGTCTCCTATGAGAATTTAAAGCAGACATAAGTTGTTCATAGAGCCCAACATCTGGACTTTCCAATCACCCTCTCGTCACCCTCCTGCTCACCCTAATTCCTCTTCCTTCAAATAATAAAAACATGAGTTTGCAGTGCCCACAGGAGCTACAACACCAAGAGATACTTGGACTTAGAGATAACCCACTTTGTTGCTTTTCTTCTTTCTCCCCAAGTCCTGTTTCTTAGCAAAGGTTGGGTCACCAGTGTCTCAGTCACCAGTGTCCGGCACTGTGCCCAGCACACAGTGGGCTAATATGGATGCTGCTACTGATAAATAATTGAGAAAGAGCTGCATGTGCCAGGGAGGAGTTAAGGTGGAGATGGTTCTGAGGACAGAAGAGGAGCCAGTGCTGGCTGAGTCCTCCCAGGCACGCAACCCACAGAGGTTCTGGGAAAGCTGCTGGGCTGTACCAGCTGGCCCCGCCGGCCTCTGTCCACTGAGGGACTGGCCGTGCCAGGAGCCTCCCTGGCCACTCTGGAATTCCAAAGCTCATGGTCAGAACCCCAGGGCCATTTGGCTGCTTCTTCCTTGCCTGCAGACCTGCTCTTCTCTTCAGTGTCTCCCTCCCTTCCTCTCTTGCCACAAGCAGCTGGGAGCACCTGCTCCTGGACCCCCAAAGTCTCCAGCCCTCACTCCCCTTCCATCCCTCCCCAGCTGCTACATGCCTCTTTAGGGGCATGTTCTCCCTTGAGAAGCTCCATCAGACCCCAATGCCAACACCACATCCCTGCATCTTTCATAAACTCATGGAAGTGGGAAGCAGGAGAGACTCTTGGAGATTTCATCCGACTCCCTTCTTTGGCAGATGAGGGCTGCCTGGGCCCCAGAAAGCACGTGGCTTGCGGAAGTCTACTCAGCCAGTTGGCAACAGAGCTGCGACCAGAACCCAAGGCTCTTCATGACCCTTAATGACTCTGATGACACATAAATTAGCATAAGGGGGCTGCATCTCTGGGCACGGACTGAGAGTGAAGGCCTCGGGACACTGCCTGGCTCCTGGCAGTGTGTTCCCTCTCCAACCGAGAGACACTCATGGGAAGGGCACTTTGGAGCTCTCTGCCAGCACATCTGATCTTCCCTCTTATCGTGTCTGCACACCGCCAGCTCTAATGTGCTGTCACTTTGCAGGATCTGAACACATTTTTTTTTTTTTTAGACGGAGTTTCACTCTTGTTGCCCAAGCTGGAGTGCAATGGCGCGATCTCGGCTCGCTGCAACCTCTGCCTCCTGGGTTCAAGCGATTCTCCTGCCTCAGCCTCCCAAGTAGCTGGGATTACAGGCACACACCACCATACCCAGATAATTTTTTGTATTTTTTGTAGAAATGGGGTTTCACCATATTAGCCAGGCTGGTCTCAAACTCCTGACGGCAGGTGATACGCCCACCTTGGCCTCCCAAAGTGCTGGGATTACAGGCGTGAGCCACTGCGCCCGGCCAGGATCTGAACACATTTTTAAGCAGCACTTCTGGCTCTGAAAAGTGAGAGGTACTCACCACTGGACCTCCAAAACTAAGGGGAAGAACAAGTCTAGTCCATAAACACTTGGCCCAAAAGGTAGGTGGGGTTAAATATGTCTATGTATTTAAATACATAATATAGTAGGAAAAAAAGACCTGCCCAAGGATAGGAAATTTCAACTATTGCTGATTATCTTTCATTATTCAAGCAAGCTTCCGCAGATGCTGCAAGGAGGCGGATGTTTAGGATGTATGGAAATATCATTTCCTCCTGGGACGAGGAGAAGGGAGCTGATGTTGTTATATACCAGTGAGCTTCCCCCTGGTTGTTTTCTCCAGTAATCTTAGTACCACCCTCTGGAGGAATGAGGCCAACTCTGGGACCAGCATGATCGTCGGGACAAATGAAGGTGGCTTGGCTGCTGCCCTGGGCTCCAAATGGGTCTTCCTCCTTCCAGCTCTCTCCTTCTAATCTCTCCCACACACATTTCCTGGGGTCCTATCATTGGCCTGGCACAGAGCTAGGCACTGGGAGGAACTCACCATCTAGTGACATGATGGACAGGCAGGCAAAAAGTAACCATAAAGCACCGGGCTGTGTGCACAGAGGGGGCACCAAGTACTATGAGAATAGAGGGAGGGAGACGCAACCCAATAGACCGGGTAGGGGAGGGAGGGAGCTGGCATGCGTGCAGATGTCTGTTGGCTGAGGGATGGCTATGGGAGTTCACAAAGGGAAAGTTCCAAGCAGAAGACACAGTCCCTTTAAAGAGACAAGAGAGAGGAAGTGCATCCAGTTTGGTGTGGTTAAAGCTGAGTGCGTGAGAAGGCAGAGGCATGGAGAGTGCACCTGCACCTGGGAGGACCTCATCAGCCTCACCAAGGAGCTCAGGCTTTCCTGGGGAGATGACAGGGCTGCTGCCAGGTATTGAGCAGGGGAAGAACATGGCCAGTGCAGCTTAAAACCATCCCTCTGGCAGCATGGAAAGGGTAGACCAGAGGAGGCCAAGGCTGAAGGTTAAGAGAAGAGTTTTGTCACTTGATGGATGAGTGATGAGGACACAGGGACCACATACAACTAGGGAGAGAGGCAAGCAGTTTTTTTGGGTGCAATAGAAAGACTGATAACTGGAGATGTGGGGACAGAAAAAAGAGAGGCACGGAGATGACAACTCCCAGGTACCACTAGGATGGAGCACACAGGGACAGAATCTGAACAGGCCACTCACCTGTGTGGAACACGTGACTGGCTCCCAACAGCGCAGGCAGAATTCCCAGCCTGGCATCAAAGCTGCTACTATCTTTGCGGTCTCATGAGCTGGCCCCACAGAGCACAGTACTGGTCTTCTCTCTCAGTGAGCCTCCTCCCTCACCCCGTGATCTGAAGTCCCCTGCACTTCCCACTTCTGTACTTCCCTTGCTCAGGGCCATATTGCCTGCCTCTGCCTGCTGAAATGTAACCTAGCCTGCAAGTGAAGCTCAGATGGCAGCTTTTCCCCTCCCTACTTGGCTGGGTTTTTTCTCTTTCTCTTTTACAATCCCAAAGCACTTTGCATGCACCCAGTACTTACTTGCCTTGTATTATGGTATCTGTCACTCTCTCACCCACTAGACTCTGTGATCCCTGCCAGTAAGGACATGGACAGCTTGGTTTATCTTTGCAGCCTTCGTGGAGCTTTGGACAAACGAAGTTCTCCGTGAGTCTGGCAATACACTAAAATAACCGAAACAACACTAAAAAGTCTAAGGAGTGCAGATAAAAGAGCTCTTTCAAACTGATTCTCCTTCCCACACTCAGGATGGACCGCCATTTGTATCCTCCCAGCTCGGAATTAACAAAGACTTCAGAATTTATTGTCTAAAAGGCAGTCTACCCAGAAGAAAAACAAGAAGCCTGACCACCAGTGAATAAGCTTTCCAAACACATACAAGGAAGATGAGTTTGACAAAGTGGGTAATATAAATCCCATATATTATTTGCATAAAACGAAAGGAAATCACTTTCAAGTTCTCTGCAAGAGAGAGGTTATATAAACACTATTTCTTTCATGATTCCAATGACCCAAACTATTTTCGGAGCCCCAGTTTGGCAGTAAGAAAGCCTTGTTTTTGCTGGGTTAGGTTTTTGTTTTGTTTTGCCCTTCCCTATAGAAAGGAGACTCAGCTCATTTGGATTAACTGAAGTGAAAAGAAAGCAATATCTCTGCTCTAATTCCACAAGGCTAGGAGAGAGCCCCTTGTAAATTCATTTCTGGTTCTCAGACAAACGCTTATGAACCTGTTGATTAGAGGGAGGGTATTGTCTGCATTTGCTAGGGGAAAAAATAACCCTGTGATGTTCCTCCTCCACCAACCAGGCAGCCAAAACACTGCTTCTACTCACGTGGGTGTTCAAAGTCAGAGAGCAATTTGCATGAGTGGAGAAAACTCATTTCAGAAGCTGTTATTCTGACACTGTATCCTTGGGAGGTGACTGAGGGAATGAGCCTGGTTGGCGAAACCGACCCCCTCCCTGCAGTACCCTAACGGCTTTCCCTGGAGAGGCAGAGAAGCTGGGTCTATTGCATTGGTGTGGTGTGGGCAGTCTTGGCCTGCAAGAGTGGAGTGGGCTCAGAACACAGGTGCAGATTTGTTCCTGAGGGCTTGCTTCACCTAGTGATGCCCTCCCCTCCACGGCCAGAGCAGGGGGTCACTGGCTCATCCTCAGCCTGAACTCCTGCTTCCTTCATCCCTTTGACACTCATAGTCTTTATGGCAACTTTTCTCAAAGCACATTCCAAGGAATACTAGTTCCATGGAACCACACTCCTGTGGTCAAATTAACCTCATCTGAGGAACTCAGCATGCAGATCAAGATTCAGGAAGCTCATCACTACATATCAAAGGCTCCGTGAAGGTCTGCAGGAAGGGAGCCCGTTGAACCCACATTTCCCCAACTGTTGAATCACGGGCCCTTTCTTTCCTGAGCAGCTCCATGTTTCGCAAGGAAGATGCATTAGGGAGATCAGTATTCCTTCCCTTCCATGCGTGGCTCCCATCTGCACAATCTTTTGTTTCTATCTGTGCAAATGAGTCTGTTTTTTTCCAGATACGCAGGCAAATGAGAAACATTAAACAACAGGCCAACATGGACCCAAGAAAGCTTCATACGTTAACCAGGCGATCTTTAGAAATAAAAGGATTTAAAACTCTCAATTGAGTAGACATGAAAGTAACCCAACAGAGAAAACTGAGGGCAGAGTCCCTGTTCCTCGCTGTGAAACTTGTGCTAAAAGCAACAGTGTGGCCTGTGGCTTCACACCTGGGCCACCTTTCCTAAGACTAGAATAGTCCAGGCCAACCTGTTTGAGGCTGGATGACAGGAAGGCTGTTCTTAAATGGGAAACAAAACCCACTCTGGGAACACCCATTTGAACTGGAAACACTCAGCTCTGCAGTGAGCCGGCACTAAGGGCTCTACACGAGGCACCCTGGGAAATTCAGAAACAGAAAAGATATGAATCTGCTCAGACAAAGACTCAGCCTCCAGTGGGCAGAGGGCCTTGCCTGTGCAGGAGTGACACAGATAAAACCCAGGGGAGTTTACAGAAAGGTGAGACCATGTTTCCCCGAGAGAGAAGCAGGGAAGGCCTCATGGAGCAGGTGGCAGTGGAATTGGGTCTTCGAGCACAGGTAAGAGTTCTGATGGGGTGGAAATGGTGGCATTGCTGACATGAGAGTGACAAAAACAACCATGGGTGGTCTGAGAGAGGACGGAAGCCAAGGCCATGAGTAGCCCAGCAGGGCTGGAGAAGCTGGAACTACCTAGGGAAAGGACACAGGGCATGCTCCACAGAGGGTCCAAGCACTCAGCAATGAAGACAACTGCTTTCTGAGAAGCCTCAGCTTTCTTCAGAGGCCACAGGGAAGAAGAGGAATGACATGAACACAGTTGTTTTTAAGGCACACTTCTCTAATCACAGTTTACTGGATAAACTGGGTAGAGAAGTGTACAAAGAAGGCTGTGGTAACTACTAAGCCAGTCTAATGAAAAACAGATTTAGAATCTGAAATAATCAGAAGAAAGGAAGCTGTTGAGGCTGACAGTACTGAGTTCCGAGGGGGAAGAAATATTTGAGGAATCTACAGAACATTCCAGGTGAAACGTCCAGGAAATCACTGGCCTTCCAAGCTTGGCATTTCCCCCGAAGGAGCCAAGGGTGGAGGTACAGACATGGACCCACTCACCTAAAGGTGATGCTAGGGGTAGAGGTGGAGGGAGAAGATGCAGGGAATGAAGTCCTACGGGCATCTGCCTGAGGAGCAGGGAAAGAGAAGCGACTGCTAACGGAGGCCAAGAACAGTCACAGGGAGGAAGGTGAGCCAGAGAGAATGGCCTCTCAGCCAACAGCCTGAGGTGGGGTTAAACAAGGGCTCTGCAGCCAAACTACCTGGGTTCAAATTCCATCCCTGCCACCCAGTATGAGAGACCTTGGGAAAGTGCCTCCGTTTCTCCATTTGTAAAACCAGCTCTCGGTTCCAAACCCACCCTTTTATACTTATTCTCCACTAGACCTGGGACCCTACAAACCACTTACATTTTTGATTTGCCCCTAGCTCCCTGGTAGGCTCTGCCAACAGCGTGTGCTAGAGGGAGACCCTAAGGCTGGAGGAGGAAGAGGGTCTTGCTCCCTCCCATCTGCTGCCTGGGGGCTTCCTATTGGCTTGTGGTTCCTGTGAGCATCACCCCAGCAATGCTTCTTCATCCTGGCAGTAAAGGTGCCTTCCTGTACCAGCAGCTGAATCCAGCGTGTAGTTTCTCCCAACACTTGCAGAACCAGCAACACAGCATCCACCCCCTCAGAGACATGAGCACCAGTGGCCCAGATCCCTCCTCAGAGGCCTTGGGTTCCTCCTCCAAACATCTAAGTTTTAGTCTTTCCCTCATCAGCCCTAGGTAGGGTAAGGGTGGTGGCTTCCTGCAGTTGCTACCTCCGCAGTACCTGGCAGCAGTGGTTCTCAAAGCGTGGCCCCGCAAAACAGCCACATCAGCATCACTCGAAAACGTATTAGAAATGTGAATTTGGGGGGCGCCAGTCATTTGTGTTTGAATAAGCCCCAGAGGTGATTCGGATGCACCCTAATATTGAAGAACCAATTCCTTAGTTTTCTTTTTACTCTTTCAGTTAGTTAATTTTACATCCCCATGAACACTTCCTTAGCTTAACTCTCTGTGTACAAACAACTAGCATGTTTTCTTTTTTTTTTTTTAAGGCAAGTTTATTAAAAAAGTAAAGGAATAAAGAATGGCTACTCTATAAGCAGAACAGCTCAACTAGCATGGTTTCTATCCCCTAACTAGACTCCAACCAATGCAAGAGGGATAATAGCATCTACCTCCTAATACAACACTAATACTTATTATCATTAGTATATTAGGCTACAGAAGCCAAAAGCAGAAATTAAGAAATGTTATGGTCAGTAGAATCAAATATACAAGGATATTGGATTAGGTTATTGTTGTTGGTCTTTCAGAGCAAAGTTTTAAAATCTGATTTGAGAAAAACCTCCCAGCATGCACACACAGCCGGACTCTCAGAAAATGTTTCCTTTTTAGTCAATTCCTACATGGATGCCATGCAAAACCACTCCATCTATCAAGCTGTCAGAATGAACTGCTAAATTCTTAATAGTCTCACTCACACAAAATGTCCCCACAGTCCAGTGCATCTGGAGGGTCTGGCCTTGACTTGCTAAATGCAGGCACATTCAGATAGCCTTCAGAGGTCCCCATAACAGCACTGCTGTCTACAAACAGGGAATCTATACATGTGAGAGGCACAGAGTCTCGGGAGGTTAAAGAAGGAAGGGACCACCCCAAACTTCTCATGCTTCAGATGAAGATGCTGAGACCCTAGAGATAAAGGAACTTGTCCAAGGTCACACTGTCACCAAAGTCACGGCCAACAACAGCATCAAGCTTCCTAACTCCTCTGGCACCCAAACTCCCTTCCACGCCATGTACACGAATGACAGACTTGGCCATGGCAATATATTTCGTAAGTACAATAATTTAACAAGCAGCAAGAAATCAAATTGTACACGGGTAGAGAAGGACTACAAAAGTAAGTCTGGGAAGAGCTTAGGAAGGAGCATGGCTGTCGGCAGGCAGTTTTCTTTGCCCATCAAAATAATAAATGAAGTCAGGCATTTACTGTAGCGTGAACGCCAAAGCAACTGTGAGCCGATGGTGTTTCCAACAATCTCGGGAGACAGGCAAGACACTCCAAGACAATGCATTCTTAATGCCTTCTTAAACAGATTCTGACTCAAACCCTGAGATGGCTGGGTCTCTTCCAAGAAATGTTAGCCACTGTGAGATATCTCTTTCAGTTCTCTCCAGCAGATCTCCTTGGAATTTGCCAGATAAACAGGCAATTTATCATGTGGCCGAAGGTTGTACGTAATGCATTATCTGCCTTCCACCAGGATTTGTGCATCTGTGTAAGGCCCCTGGTTGGGCCGGTGGACTGACTCGCCTCCATCTTGAGGTGCCATAGCAACATGAAATCAACAAAGAGTGAACTGTTAAATGAATAATTTACTGATTTCATAAGAAGCTGTCTTGCAATTTATAGTTCTATTATCTTTCCTACCCGTGTCTTAACTCCTTTGTATAAAAGCTGCAATCAAGCTGAATAACATTTGAGAATCTAATAAGCATATACCACCCTGTACTCAAGCCGATAGCTATGGATTGATTTTGACAGCAGTTATGTTCCTTTGAGGCCGAGTCTTACCACTGTTGCCTTTTCCTTGCCCCTTCTGCAAAGGGGTAAAAGTTAGGGAGCAAATGACCTCCAATAAGCTTTACATTTTCAAATGAAACATTTTTCTTCTTTGGGATATTTGGAGCCAATCAAGGCAGAGTTGAGTGGCATTCAGAAGTATTATGTGGAAGAAATATCATCGACTACAATCTACCAATTGTCACTTTAAAAATTCCCAAAGAGACCTAGTTACTAGCAAAGGAGAAGGGGGAAAAAAAGCAAAGTATAGTTTCAGTGACAATTGTGGTATTTTAAAGGCTCTTTCAATATCATCAGTGATACCATTTTAGTGGCAGAAGCATATCTTGTCACTCAGCCTCAATTTAAAGGATATTTATGGAGAAGACAATACAATGAAAGCAGACTTATTTGCTGACTTATTTATTTGGGTGGAATAGGTTACAGATTATTTTGGTTCCATGCTTTTCAGCAGAATGGATATATCCTTTTGAAAGACATTACTTGCCGGCTGCTACTCTTCAGTCTCTTCAAGGAAATCAAGCTAAGAAGCAGCAACTACTAACAACAGGGAAATGCAGGCTTTAATACCTTGTCACTGAAAACCCAGATTTCCTTGCACCCACAATGGTTAACAGCCTGGGGAGATTACTAAAGGCATTTGTAATTACCATGAACCCAGAGGAAATGGGTCTTTCTCCAGTGCCTTGTGTATACCATCCTGTACTATGAGTCACTGAAATCCTATGAGTCTCCCTTATCAATGCCATCTCCAGTCTTCACATCCTAATGGTCACTGGCAATACAAACCCACTCCTTTCACTGCATGCCACTAAGGAAGAAGTTCTCTGACTGTATTCCTCATATTTAGGGCCAAGGCTAAAGTCACCTTCTTGTCAATGCTCACCTAATATCAAGGAACCATGGTTCTGTGACTGGGGTGTGGGCTGGCATGAAAACTAACTCATGCCAAGTTACCTAGGCAAACATCATGGCTTCAACGCTAGGACAGCTTGGCCCAAAAGGTAGAAGGTGGCAATTCTGAGAACACAGGATTTTTGAGCTAAATCTCTTTCCCTCGTCTATTTATAGTGCCTCGTCTCTGCGGCTGAGGTCTGAAACCCAGCCAAGCTCAGGCAGAGGTAGGCCTGTTAAGTCCTGCTCACATGATCCAATCTTGAAATTCTGAATATATTACTGAAGGGCTTAGGGTAAGGCAGATACTCTGATGAAGGTGACAAGAAATCTCTTCTGCAGCTTCAAAACTCTCCTGCTGCTGGTTGGAGCCTGAACTTCAGTTAATGTCAACATGAGTCCTGTTTATTGGCCTAAGAAATATTAAGAAAGTTATAGCTTTTGGGGGGTTTTATTTTGGGTTTGTTTTTAATGGTTACATTGATATCTAACATGCCAACATTAATTCTTCATATTTTAACTTTGCTAGGCTGATATTTGAAACAGCTTTTTCTCCTGACAAAAGAGCCTTCGTGGCTGGGCGTGGTGGCTCACATGTGTAACCCCAGCACTTTGGGAGGCTGAGGCAGGTGGATAACTTGGGGTCAGGAATTCGATAGCAGCCCGGCCAACATGGTGAAACCCCATCTCTACAAAAATTAAACGAGCATGGTGGTGGGCACCTGCAATCCTAGCTACTCAGGAGGCTGAGGCAGAAGAATCGTTTGAACCTGGGGAGGCAGAGTGAGCTGAGACTGCGCCACTGCACTCCAGCTTGGGTGACAGAGCAAGACTCCGACTCAAAAAAAATAAATGGACCTTCATGAGTTGGTAATGTGAAGTAGAAAGATAACACATTTCAGTTGTTCTGACCTGGGTTTGAATGCTGGCAGAACGTTGGATATATTACTCAATCTCCACAAGCTGCAGTCTCCCAATGTGTAAAAATTAAATTCCCACTTCTCATACCTATCAATGAGGATCAAATGGATCATGTGGGAAGGTGCCTGTCTAGCCCACAGTAGGTCTCAGGGATGGCAGCTCAGATGTGGCCATGAGAACCTTGCTGTCCAGGTGACAGCCCACCATGAAGAACAAACAAAAATACAAAGTTCAGTGGCTCCAATTAGTGCAGATGTGTCTGAGTCTTTCACCGCTGCTTTGCTTTACTTGAGAACCAGAATTTCTAATCCTGATTCTTTTGATGTGTCCTTCCTGCTCTTCATTGAAAGAAATGTTGAATTTCCCATAATTAAATATAATTATCATTTACGATTAAACCTTAAATATAAAAATGGAGTATCTGGGATGTTTTACCCACAGCAGGGTTGGGAAAACAACCCATTCTGAGAAAGAAGCAATCAGGAACACTGAGTCCAGAGAAGACAGTTAAGACCCAAAGGCCAGGTTTATTGTCCAGGAATATGATGACATAAGAAGGAACCTATGCTCCAGGTCAAACTAACCTTTCCCATCTCCAAATCCTGCATGCCCCAGTACGCAAGGCAAAAGGGGCTGCCTCTCCCTCAACCCCAACACTCAAAGCCCCATTCCCAAAAAATGGCTTGAAACTGTGGGGCTGGTCTCAGAGTGTCCTTCATCCTGATTGCTGTCAGTCCTCCCAATCCCCCAGCAGCCCAAGGGTCTCCATCATTTTGTAGGGCTCTATTGGCTGGAAGGTGCCACTCTGCCAAAGCACTCCCACCCCTTCCCTCTAGTCCTGTTCCTTATCTGTTATCCCCCTGGGGCACACACAGTCTTCTACTTGTTTGGCTGGCAGCCCTTTGCCAGAATTAAGCTCCATGAAGGCTGGAGTTCTGTTTTCCACCCCAGTGCATAGGAAGGCATTAGCACACAGCACACACTCACTGACTATTTAAATGAATGAACGAATGAACAAATGCAGCAGCAAAGAGACAAAGTAGCGACTCTCTCACAGGTTAAACAGTTAAGTCTTGCTTGTTTCCTAGAGAAAAGAAATCAGTATTTCAGCAATGGTGGGGGAACAAAAGCAATGAATGAATGGCTTGGCCTCTTGCCCATGGCCAAAACCAAGGCTGCTTTGCACTAAAATCTAGAACAGGATCCCTGAATTCCTTCCGACTCTGAGAACCACTGTGTGATTCTCCCAGGGCAGTCTGAGACCTCACGGTGGCCTTCGTCATATCTCTGGCTCAACATGAGAATTCAGAAACCCAATGACATCAGTGCTGGCCTTGGATGTAACATGGAGACGTCAGTGGTAATCTGTCTATGTCACTTGGTTTTGTCGGGGAGATAGTAGTACAATGCGTGCTTCAGGGGCCTGTGGACTTTCCTTTCTTGAGAAAAGAAACTAAGATATCTGGCAGTGCATCCTAAAGGCTTCAAGTTCTGTAATTTGAAACAAAACACAAGCATTAAGTAACAAATAAAGGCTTCTCTAGTGCTTTTGTGCTGGAAAAGTAGCTTTAAAGATGTACATCAGAGCCAGCAGGGCACCCAGGATTCTTGAATCTGGGGCCCACTAGGTGCCATCGATTCTGCCTTGCAGATTCTGCCAAATGGCTTCTTCTCATCAGCAGAGGTCAAACTCCCCCAGAGCTAAAGAGGGGGCCTCTGGATGAACTGTCTATTGGCTTTTGGCCTGCAGCCAGTGGGCCCGCCATCAATGTGCCCAGTGTGGCATACCGTCTGCTAAGAGACTACAGAGCACGTGAGGAGATGACCCGAGAGCTTCTCTGGGTGGGCGAGTCTTCTCAGGAGCAGGCCGGGCAGAGGCTCTGTGCTCTCTACATGCTTAATTTACCCTCTGAGCTGCAGCCAGCATCCTAGCAGTGGGGAGAAGAGAGAATAGCTGTGGCTCTCTCTCCACTCCTGGAGGTGCAGAAGGGGCTGGTTACATGGATTAAACCAAGGCTGCGATAGTCTCTTGCTTCAAATGCCTTCCACTCATGACTGCCACTTGTTCCTGACCTTTCTGCCAGGAAATCACCCAGGAGGGACAGGGATGTCAAGTCCCCAACATCTAAGAAGAGAAAGCTTTCTCTCAGAGCCCTCAAAGCTTCAGAAGCTGTTCCTTTTGCCAACCTCTCCACCCCCAGCACCTAGCACACTGCCTTCTCTTGGGGCCCTCCCTGGCTTAGTCTAGTCCCCTTGGGTGCATTTTGCATCAATGCATAAGCAAAAGCTACTTTCAGAGCACTCAGTAGGCTTTGTACAAATGTGTACAGTCTTTGCAGGGCTAGGGGGTGAGGGCCCATTCTCATTTTCCCCTGCAGACATCGACATCACTTTGCTTGCGGGAGGTGGGGAAGGAGGAGAATTCTAGGACATGGGTTTCGGTTAACTACTACTCTGTTGTTTGATCAAGACCATTTCAGGAGCAGCGCAGGGCGTCAAAAGGAAACCCATTTGTGATCAGCAGTGTCAAGGGTTTCGAGCAGCCAGGCTCATTGGCAGTCGGCTTTTGGTGAAACTGCCAGATGCTGAATCCATTAACAGGCAATTGTGTCACGAGAAAGCCCAGCTTGTCAAGAGATTCCTTCGGTGGGGCCCACCTGCTGTGTTTACCTCTCCAGAGTACAGATAAACAGCTCCTGCTTCCTCACCCTCCGACACACACACACACACACACACACACACACACACACACACACACACACACACACACCAGGCCTTATGGACCAACAGAAGTGAATGGTCTAGAATTCATCTTTTGACCCTACCCTGCCTTTCCACAGTTAAGGCCAGGCTCAATTTGGTAGAATTTTTCTGTCCCCACTATGAGAAAGTCCCTGTCTCAAAGACTTGCTAAGCATGAGACAGCTGGCCAGACGGGGGTGAGGCCTTGGAAAAAGAAGAATCTTGTTTTACAAGCTTTAAATGGGGAAGAGAGTGAGAACAGACAGGTCTAGATGGGTTGGGGCATGGGGACTGGGAGGAGAACCAGGTATTTCCTTACTTGGCTCTGGAAAACCCATGACATTCCCATGTGATCCTCAACAAATGACGGAGCCTCTGTGAATCTCAATGTTCTCACCTGTCAAATGAAAACACTATCATCTTCTAAGAGCTGTTTTAAGGGTTAAATGAGGTAATATATCCAAAGTGTTTAGTTTGGTGCCCAACCCTCAGCCACGCTGAGGTCCTAAGGGACAGCAAAGCTCTAAGATGGAAGGAACCTGGATCCCTGAATCAACCGGTATCCTTGAATCACTGCACAGAAGAAAAGGCAACCAGAAACCTCTGTACTGAACTGTTAAGTGGGCAAGAAACAGACTTCTATTGTGTTAAGCACTGAAATTTTGGAGTTCAGTTATACCAGCAGCTAGCACTACCCAACTAATACAGGTAGCAAGAAGGACAGCTTCTTGTTTGGGATTGCACCCCAGTAGGCCACTCTAGACGAAACAGTTGTCTAGTTGAAGGCTCCCACCTATGTGAGGGACCCATTCTGCTCACCCCCAACCTCCATCCAGGCTCAGGGGAAGGTGCCAGGAGGTTCCTAATGCGTTGCAATGCAGTGTGGATGCAGAGGAGGGGAGGGAAGCCTCATCTTCCCTTGACTTCTGCTCAGAGACCCCCAGGAAATATACAAGGCTATTAACCAGAGGGAGCTGCTGATGTAAATCAGCTTGGATAGCCCTATATGTTGTGAGTGGCAGGCACTAACCGTTTGCATGACAAACCTCCTACAAGATGCCGGCTAAACTGCCCTTTTGTGCCAATTAAAAATTCTCCAGAATACAAAGATTACACACCATTCTGCAGCGCTGACAACAATAAAACAATTTTAAAGGCTATTCAGATCTTCAGTTCACAGCTGACATTGTCGGGAGGGAGAGATTGTCTGTGGCTTTGTTCTTTGTTGTTGTTGTTGAGTCTAAAGACTTAACCAAGGATTTCTGGGGGAGGACGAGAGATTGGCAGACAGGAGTTTGAAATGCATTCTTGGAGTTTTTAAAGGAGAAAAGGAACAACTGATGTTCTTTTCGTGTGTGTGTGTGTGTGTACACAAGCATGCATCCACACATACACACACAGACAACACTCTTTTCTCACTAGCTCCTATCTGGGGCTCCTCAGAAAGGACTCCCAAGGAATCCTAGTCTCTCTAGGGTTCTGACACCCTGAGACATGGGGTTACGGGTGGCACTAGCAGACATTTTTGGTACCAATTAATTGAAACTAGAAGAGCAAAGGCCTGGAAGCCTTTCCTCATATGTTTGTTTTAAAGGTAAATTTTCAAAAACAGTAAGAGATTTGAAAAAAAATGTCTTCAGGTTTTCAGAAATGAGAAATGCATGCAGACCCTCAGATAAAGCAAGAGGGAGGTTTATTTTAGATGACAGGACAGTACACTACCTATCAGGTCCTGATGAGGAATGACCAGAAGCCCCAAAGATGCCACTTGGGCTTTATTCTCTCCTCTCTTGTGTGCACGCATGTGTCCTTGGGGCACACCTGGACACTCACCCACGTTCCCACCATCTGTCCATCCAAAAACCAAAAGTGAGCATCTGTTACTCAGCAAGACTGTGAGTGTCCCACTCAACTGGGACCTCTGTGAGAACAGGGAGCCCTCCCTAGGCGTTTTGGTAAATCCTTCAGCTCCTGGGCACAGCAATAAACTCCTGCCTGGGTTTCACTTAGTGCCCACACCTTACAGTGCCTTGCATACCACAGATGCTCAATACACAGTTACTGCATATCTGTTGAATATGTGTTGGCAACACTGGATCAAGCACCTCAGATGTCCACTGATCACCTTAGTATTCAAAAGTACAGAGAGGCTGGGTGCGTGCGGTGGCTCATCCCTGTAATCCCAGCACTTTGGGATGCCGAGGCAGGCAGATCACTTGAGGTCAGGCATTTGGAGATGAGCCTGACCAACATGGTAAAACCCCATCTCTACTAAAAATACAAGAAAATTAGCCAGGGGTGGTGGTGCACGCCTGTAATCCCAGCTACTCAGGATGCTGAGGCAGAAGAATCACTTGAACTTAGGAGGTGGAGGTTGCAATGAGCTGAGATTGTGCCACTGCACTTCAGCCTGGAAGACAGAGCAAGACTGTCTCCAAACAAAAACAAAAACAAAAACAAAAACAAAAAAACAACAAAAAAACAGTACACAAAGTCATATTCCCACAAAGAGTAACAGCATGGGGCAGGCACTGGGCAGAAGAAAGGACTTAGGTTTCAGGTAGTGATTCTCAACCAGGGGCAATTTTGCTTTCCAGGGGACCTTGGCAATGTCTGAAGACATTTTTGATTGTCATGACTGGGGGTGGGGGATGCTATTGGCAGGTAGTGAGTAAAGGCCAGAGATGCTGCGCAACTTCCTACAATGCACAGGACAGTGCCCACGACAAAGAATCATCTGGCCCCCAACGTCAGTAGTGCTGAGGTGGAGGAGCCCTGGCTTGGAGCCTGGTCTGCATGAGTTGAACAGCTCTGCCACTTACAAGCTCTGTCATTTTGTGGGGGATGTTCGACTTCACCGGGACTCAGCTTCCAGATGGGTACAATGAAAATTATTATAACTACCTTGCAGAAGGATTAAATGAGATGCTGAATAAATGAGCACGTCTAGACCCAACTGCTATGAATACCAGTGCACATCTAGAGGCCCCAGGAAACAGTACCGGTGGCCCATTTTTAAGAGGAGAGAGGGAGGAAAAAGCCCTGGGTGCTGCAGATCAGCAAATACCCCCAACTTCGCGTGAGAGTTCCTATATCCCCTCATCTGCCTCCGTCCTGAACTCTGTCCCCTGAAGCAAATTCATTCAAGAAACATCTTCCCCATAAAGAAGAGGAGGGAGAAGGAAAAACAAAACCGAAAAAAACAGCAAAATCATAATAAGTCTGGGTCAGCTCCCATCAGCTGGTTGTGATCAAAACCACATTCATATTCAGTCTGCTGGGGCTAAGCGGAAGGCTGCAGACCATCTCAGGAATGTGAGTTCCCAGCCACTGGCCACCTTCCCCTGCAAACTTTACAAAGAGCTGCTTGCAGAGGGTCAGGGAGCAGGCACTCTCCCCTCACCATCCCTCGGCACCTGTCCAGACAAGGTGGGTAGTAGCTGGATTCCAGGGGCAACCAAACATCCTCTGTTCTCGAAGAGCCCCATCCTCCTGCACTTCAGTGGTGAGAGGAAGGTTCCGGAAGAGAGGCCAGTGCATAGCTTCTGCCCATACCCTCCCCACAGAAACAATTAAGTAGCTCAGGCTGTGGCTGCCAAGTTTCTCTGTCCAATTTGGTAGATATTTTAATAGAGGAGGAGAATTCCCAGAGGCCCCCCGACGGAAATGCCCCATGTCAGGGAATGTTTGTTTTCATTTCTTTTTGCCGTCAATGAATTCTACTCATGGCAAAGGCTCTGGGCTGGATCAGATCCACACAGAAGCTAACTAGAAGCATTTGTGCCTTGAAATAAATCTCTCTTTGGGGAATGAGTTATATATACATCCGTGTGGGGGGACCTATGCACACATACTCACACACGCATATATATTATGCATTACAGACAAAATACATGGGCAAATCCCCAAGCAGGCAGCCCCGAGCTTCTGGGAGGGAAGGTGATCCGCCTGTTAGCTTCAAAGGACATTTAAAGAAAAGTGGAAGGCCAGGCGCGGTGGCTCACGCCAGCAATCCCACTTTGGGAGGCTGAGGCGGGCAGATCACCTGAGGTCAGAAGTTCAAGACCAGCCTGGCCAACATGGTGAAACCCCGTCTCTACTAAAAGTACAAAAATTAGCTAGACATGGTGTCAGGCGCCTGTAATCCCAGCTACTCAGGAGGCTGAGGCAGGGGAATCACTTGAACCCGGGAGGCAGAGGTTGCAGTGAGCCGAGATGACACCATTGCACTCCAGCCTGGGCGACAAGAGCAAGGCTCCATCCAAAAAAAAAAAAAGAAAGAAAAGAAAAGTGGCTTGTTGGGAAAACTCAATGATGGATAGTGTGCCCTGTGAGTAGGGAAAAGGTTCAGGAAAGCAGAACTTGCTGCAGGGTAGAAGGTAGCTCCGTGTGACGGGACAAATAACAACAGCCACCACCACATAGTGTTTACGACGTACCAGGATCCACGCTGAGTGTTTCACACAGCGCACAGCAACGCAATAACAACAGCTATTATTATTACCACTAGTATCATCCCCATATTACAGATGAGCAAAATAAAGCTCAGAAACATTAAGGGGCTTGCTCAAGGTCATGAGGCCAGTTGGCAGCAGAGCTAGGATTCGAGCCCAGATGGGGTTGGCCCCAAAGGAAGTCCCCAGTCTCTAGGACACTGGCCCCCTCCCTTCCCATCACCTTCAATTAGGGGTCAGAAGGCATTGCCCCTCCCCCTGCCTACTATGGCTAGGTTTTTTGTCTTCTGGGACCCCCCAGTCACTACTCCTTCACTAAGGGGATCTGATCTGCAGGGCTCCTCCCCAGAAGAGCCCTTAGGGAAAGCAGGCAGGGCCACAGCCCCTGAGCTCGCCCTGCCCCCTGCCACAAGGAGGCCGGTCCCTGGACTGAGCATAGGTGTGCCTGCCAGGCAGTCCATGAACCAGCTCTCACTCTGAGTGTTCGTGAGTTGACTTTAGAAGCCTTCTTTTGTGAGATGATAATCCCCTCCTAATTTGTCTTTCATAGGCATCCATTATTTCGGCTCTCAACCTTGCTTAAAGCAAGGCCCACTCACAGGCAGGAACCGGCAGCAACTCCAACACCCTGCTGAGCCTCTCACCCTCGCCCCCTGTGTCAGCAAGGGCACGCCCACCCACAGCAAGAGAGAAGCTGCATCTCAGCTCTGCCGTCCTCAGCCCCTCTGCTCCTCAAAATCTAGAGGACAAGCTCCTCAGGCAGGAAGCCTCTGAGTGAGAAAGGAGCCAGGCATTTTGTAGCTGAAGACATTTCCCCTCTCTTCCCCTCCCCTCCCCTCTCCTCTCCTCTCCTCCAGATGCTGATGGCTTTCCAGAAAGCTGATGCTCTGGGGCAGAAGTGGACCTTGAAGCCTACTGCAGAGTCAAGGGCTGAGAGGGTACTTGTCTGGAGGAGGAAAACAAAAATGCTCAACAGCAGGGCCCCAGGCTGGGGGCAGCACGCAGGCGGGGTGGGGGCTTACAGCTGCATGGTCTCCTGCAGCTGCACGCCTTCAGCTACTCTCTGGCTCGACTTCTTCATCTGGAGAAAACACGAAGAGTAATACCAGCCTACCTCATGGGATTAGGGAGCAGCTCAAATGTACTCTTTAAGGCATTTATGATCAACAGGTCACCTGTGAGTACGATGCTTGTACACAGAAAGTGCTCCATAAAGTTCAAGACCAGCCTGGCCAGCCCCATCTCTACTAAAAATACAAAAATTAGCCGGGCATGGTGGCAGCCGCCTGTAATCCCAGCTACTCAGGCGGCTGAGGCAGGAGAATGGCTTGAACCCAGGAGGCGGAGGTTGCAGTGAGCCGAGATTGTACCACTGCACTCCAGCCTGGGCGACAGACCAAGACTCCATCTGAAAAAAAAAAAAAAAAAAAAAAAAAAAAAAAGTGCTCCATAAATGCCGCAGGTTGATGGCTGAGTCTGTTAGCAGAGCCAGCTTGATTCGAGAAACCTTGGATGGAGCTAAAGGTCAATACAGAAGGCACAAACTCAAGTGCCTCAGAGGCCAGGCAGGGGGCATAAACAAAAGAGTAGGGGGTAGGGTGTGAGGTGGGCAGCCACCACCCCCAGGGTTACATGCCACATGGGGTCCCCAACCTCTGCTCTAAGCAAGGTCTTCAGATGGGCCAGAAGCAACCTTGGGCAGAGCCAAGAGAGCAGAAGCATCATAAAGAGAATGCCAACAGCCATCCCTCCTGGGGTGGCCACTCCAGAGCAGGAACTGCTCGCTTTACTAGCAAGTCACTTAACCTCCATAAGGGCCCTACTGTTGTTAACCTCATTTTGCAGATAAGGGAACTGAGGCACAGAGAGTTTAAGCGACTTGCCCAAGTGACAGTGGTGGGGCCAGGATTTGAACCCAGGCAGTCTGGCTTCAGGGTCCGCCTTCTTCACTTTACTGCTTTACCACCTTCCACCCGCAGGAGCTGCTGGCTGCCAGGAGCACTGCTGTCTCCATCCCTGCTGTGGACAGCAAGGCTGATGCCGCCCCAGTGCACACAGTCAACTATTCTTTTACCCTACTCTGCCAGCTAGGTCTGGGCGAAGCTTTTGGGGGACTCATCTATTCATTTTATATTCAGTGTGGGCCAGGCAAGGTGGCTTATGCCTGTAACCCCAGCACTTTGGGAGGCCCAGGAGGGCAGATCGCCTGAGGTCAGGAGTTCGAGACCAGCTTGGCCAACATAGTGAAACCCCATCTCTACTAAAAATACAAAAATTAGCCAGGCATGGTGGTGCATGCCTGTAGTCCCAGCTACTTGGGAAGCTGAGGCAGGAGAATCACTTGAACCCAGGAGGTGGAGGCTGCAGTAAGCTGAGATCACACCATTGCACTCCAGCCTGGGTGGCAGAGCAAGACTCCATCTCAAAAAAATAAATAAATAAAAATTTCAATATGAAGGTATTGTATGTCAAAGCTGTGCAAGGCATAGGGAGTACTAAGCTGGTGAGGATAGAGAGGCTGCCCTCAAGGAGCTTATACTTTACTGGAGAAGACAGATCAGGGTTACAATACAGAGGGGTATGGGCTAGAAGAGGGGAACTGCAGGACAGCACCTGACAGGCCCGCAGTCAGCCTTGGGGTGGGGGAAGGGCTTCCTGGGGGAGGCAGCATCTGAGCTGGGTCCTGGAGGATGAAAAGGCATTAAGCCAGAGAAAGGGGAGAGGTGGGAAGAATATTCTGGGAAAAGAGCGTGAGGCATCATGGCATCATCAGGGGTCCACAAGAGGGTTAGTGCTGGAGAAGCAAAGAAGTCCAGGTGGGCACCACAGGACAGGGGCCCGTGGGCCATGCAGCTGTCTGGATTTTATCCCAGGGCTACAAGCAGTGGAATGCAAAATCAGATGTGCACTTCAGAAGATCCAAAAGCAGAACCATCTGGAAGAAGGGAGACTCTGGAGATGGGGACACTGGAGATGTGCCCTCTCTCACCAGTTGAAAGAAACTTTCAGTTCCTGCCCTTCTCACTTTAGCTCTAGTCTCTCACCAACCCTTCTCTCTCCCCCAGTCTCCATGCTCTGGATAGAGGAGGTTCACAAGCCAGGGCCTGAAGATTAACAGAGCTTTGAAGCCAAAAGGTGACCCCTGGGTAAGAACCAAAATCCCCTGTAAGCCTTAACCCTTTCCTCACCTCCAACCACAGTCACGCGCTCCCCATCAACTAAAACCTGCTCGGGAGACCATTGACTCGGCACCCTCATCATCTGTGTCTAAGTGTAATGGAAAAAATTGACTGTTTGCTTGGTGCAATAGGGCATGACACTGTTTACACAGAAATAATAGCCCAACTGTGATGGGTTCTAAATCTCCATTACAGTGAAAGATTTGAAGGACTAAAGCAGTTAAGAAAAATAATTGGTTTTCTTGTTTAGTTTAAAAATCCTTTATGCTTACAGACCATGGACTTCGCACCTCCTTTCTTAAGGGCTTTAAAATAGAAAAGAACAGGAGCTAGAAGATGAGGCAGAAGTCGAGGACTTCTGTTTTTCTGGAAGGCTCCTCTGAGCCAACAAGGCCAGGGCTGTTCTGGATTTCAGAGCACAAAGAGGCTCTTGGAGCCAGCCATGGTCTCCTGAGGCTTTTACCAACTTGAAAGCAGCCTTTCTCCAGGGCAGAAACGAAGGTGAGAGCTGGTATCGGGCAGCCTGTGTTGGAGTTTATGCCCAGGGGAACACGCAAACTGACAGCTGGAGGAGACTCAAGGCCTCTGCTTTCAAGGGAGGAAAAACTGTCAGAGGGTCAGTTATAAGAACAAAAGCAGAAGGGAAAAGATTCTGTCTCAAGGAGAGAGAGGTCAGCTAATGACTCCTCTCGGGCCCCCTACAGCATCTCCCCAGCGCTCGCCATCCTCAGCTGCTCTTTACAACAGAGCTCACAGGATGCCCGGATGAGGCCCAAGAGACCCGCGTTCTGGGCAGCCACTCTACCACACCGACTGCATCCCCCGGCACTGATGACAGCTCAAGACCTCAGCAAGCAGTGTGCTGTGTGCCTGAGGATCCTCTCAGAAGCCAGGATTCTTGCTATCTCTTCTTCAAGAGATGTCAGTCCCACAACTTTCAGTAGTAACAACAATAAATGCTACATGTATTGCGTTTGAGTACAATGTGCCAGCCACTGCTTGTTTTTTTTTTTTTTTTTTGAGATAGAGTCTCGCTCTGTTGCCCAGGCTGGAGTGCAGTGGCGCAATCTTGGCTCACTGCAAGCTCCGCCTCCCAGTTTCACGCCATTCTCCGGCCTCAGCCTCCTGAGCAGCTGGGACTACAGGCGCCCGCCACCACACCCGGCTAATTTTTTTTGTATTTTTAGTAGAGACGGGGTTTCACCGTGTTAGCCACTTGATCTCCTGACCTCGTGATCTGCCCGTCTCGGCCTCCCAAAGTGCTGGGATTACAGGTGTGAGCCATCGTACTGGGCCGCCACTGCTTGTTTCTAAGGACTCTGTGTGCATTGTCTCGTTGAATTCTCACAATACCCTTAAGTAGAGACTCTTTCCTCCATTTTACAGATGCGGGAACTAAGGCTCTAAGAGGTTACGTAACAGACAGTAAATGGTGGCACCAGAGATTCAAACGCAGCCCCATCTGCCTCTAGAGCCTGAGCTCTTATCCACTACACTTGACATTGCTGGGTTTGAGGCAACGACTTTAGTTGACAGACCACACAGCCAAGGAGGTGACCTTTGTTGGCTGGACCCAGAGAGGACACATCTGGCTCTGGCAGGGGACTGCCAGATACCTAAAAATGGGCCAGAGACTGTCAGTGTGCAGGTCCCTCACAGAGGAGAGGGGGAATGACAGAAGGGGTGGGGGGTGGGCCATATACGTGCAACCCTATGCTTTTAAAGAGAAAGGGTGCTATGAGAATGGCCTTCCTGGAGGGTCAGTCAGTACAGACATCCGTAAATGTTCACGGAAGACTGTCGGGATTCCCTAGGACCAGTGTCCTAGAGGTCCTGGATCACCCTCTCCACCTTCTAGGGGCAGGCCCAGGGAATGCCCTCTGGTTGGATACAGCAGGAGGGAATGAATACTAAAGGGGAAACCAGGTGCTCACCATCCCTCTTTCCTTCCTTCCATCTATCCATCTGTCCATCCATCCACCCATCTAGCCATCTTTCATCAGTTCTTCCTTCCTTTCATCGATCCATCTGCCCATCCATCCTTCATCTGCCCTTCTGTCTATCCATGCATCCATCTATCATCTATCCGTCCATCTGCCATTCCTTTCATTCGTCTATCTACACATCCAGCCTACATCTTTCTATCCGTGCATCTGTCCTTCCTCTTTTCTCTTCCCTTTATTCATCCATTCACACTTCTTCCTTTTTTCCATCCATCCAATGCTTTTCAAGAATGCACCATATCCCAGGTACAATCATCTCTACATGGCCAGCCAGACTCCTGGCCTCAGGACTGCTGGGAGATCCAGAAATGCATACCCACCTGACAGTTCTCCCAGGAGGAGCAATGCCTGTCTTCAGGGACAGAGGCTTGGTCAATAAGAGGTTTGTTTATTTTTTCCCAATCTGTGCACCCTCATCTTAGTCTAAGCTTCTGGCTACCCAGAGACCTTCTCAAGGTGAGTAGGGAGGGATGATTAAGTTTCTCTAAAAAGATACACAGTGACTCCACATATAAGACATCACTCCCTTCTGCTCACAAGATAAGGATCCCTTTGGAAAGAGCTAATAGGATGAAAAATCACAGCAGCCAAGATTCCCTCCACTCTCTCATTAAACTAAAGAGCAGGGGGCACAGAACTGAGATGAATGAAACAGACCTTAAGTTGGTCTGACTTAAGACCAGTAACTGAAATATGATTTTCATTTGAAAGTTGGACCTAAATGTTGCCGACAGCAACCTTAAAAAAATCAATAAAGAAAAGAGGGGATGAGAGTATAGTGAGAAAAATGCAGACACTTATAAGTTCAAGACCCTGTGGGACACTCCTGAATATTTTAAATATCTTGGGGGAAAAAAAATGAAAACAGTTTCTCCCAACTTAAACCAGAGAAGGGAGTCTCTTTCTAGTCTGCAAATCCTTTGAGGCAATTCTTTAAATTATTTACCAGCTTTTTGATTATATTTTATGGTGGGGTGGGTGGCAGGGGGAGGGAGAGAGGAAAAAAGAGCTGGGCAAGAAGTAAGTGGGAAAAACCTGCTGCTGACATTTTCAATATCTGTCTGGAATATTTTAAAAGCCCGTGTCTGTTTGAAATCGCACAGTCTTGGGCAACAATGGACTGCCGCCTCCCATACAGCTTTAGGTCATATTTGCATACAAAAGACCGGCTGCTGAGCAGCTATTATGCCAGGGAGCCACAGCGGGCCTGGGAGAGGCCAGGTTACCAGCAAGTGTAAAGAACCCACAGAGACCCCATTAATTTTTCAGGAATTCTCAGGCCCTGGCCTTTTAAAGGCCAGTGGGGAGAAATTCCAGTCAGAAGCCTCCCCACAGTCATTGCCACTAAACGTTGGGTCCAAATTGAGAAATGAAGAGTGACAGGGCCTCTCCCCTAATTACGGGGGACTCTGGTTCCTGAAGGCTGCGGTGAGCAACACCCTTCACAGAGCCTGGTGTGCACCGAGCTGGGGAGAGGGCTGCCCACACTCCTCAGGGGGAGTGTGCACCCGAGTCTCCCTCTGAGGTCCAATTTCAGGAAATTTATTACAGTTGTAAGCCATTAGGTGCCAATTTTTCAAATCAACCTTATGATTCCAAAGCCATGAAAGCATTTGCCGCCTAATAGACTTTGGAAACCCTTCTACGGGGCTCAGAGCTGAGCTAACGTTCTCTAAAAGCATCGCAATAAAGCTTCATGTTCTTCAGCATTCTCGGGCCTATAAAAACCTGATGTGCTGCCAAGTAGAGTTTGGGTTTCTGGGCTGTTCCAATCCCACCAAGGTGGGTGGAGAGAAGGGTGGAATTCAGGAGAGCATGGCCACTCAGGCTAAGAGCACAGAACATTACCAGCAACAGAGACTAGTGGCCTCTGAAAAGGGAAGGCCAGCACCCACCCTCCCATGGGCTTTGGGTAAGGCCTGAATTAAGGACATAGAACTATTAGCATAATGCCTGGCATACAACGGGCTCCTTTCTCCCCTTCCTCATCCTCCACTCCACTCCACAACCCCTAAGATCAACAGTTTGACACCAAGGGCAACTTATTTCATGGCGAAAAAACAAACACAAAAACACAAAGCAGCTTCTGAAAAAACCCAGGCAGGGATCTACCTCATTTTCCCTGGTTAGGGAAAGGGGCCCAGGAAGACCTTTGCCTTTGAGAGAGGTGTCTGCAATGTGATGTGAGCTGACTCTCATCTCAACAAAATGCCTCCTCTGTGTGTTTTTTTTTCTTTAAGTAGAGATGGGGTTTTGCCATGTTGCTCAGGCTGTTCTCGAACTCCTAGACTCAAGTGATCCACCCGCCTTGGCTTCTCAAAGTACTGGGATTATAGGCCTGAGCCACCGCACCCGGCCTGTGCTTTAATTTAGGTTTTCAGAACTAGTCATCTAATCATGTTAAATAGAAATACAACAGTAATGAAAAGGATAATAATATCACATGCTTAAACTATTCTTGATGGTTCCATCAAAAAAAATTGTTTTTCTGCCTTTGAGAATCATTCATGTGGCCCAACACGAGGGCATTTCCCAGGGCAGGTATAAGATGAGTGCTGTCAGCAGGAAGCAAGGAAGCCGCACCACTTAACAGGGAGGCTAGTGCAGGCTTTCACGACAGTATCTCATGCCAGGTGGGCACCGCTCATGGGGCTCTGTCATATCTGACGATGGAGACGGACCGTTTTCAACTCAGAACCAAGGACTTTTTGGTAAGGTCAGACGTCTTCTGGCCAAGCTGAAGCCAGAGGCTCTGCAGGCTGCCTACTGGACCAATCTCAGAGAAAAGAGGAAGGGACAGGAACAGAGTGGCCTACCAGGAACTCTCAGGCTTCCAAAGAGTGTCCCAAGGGGCAGCAGCGTGGGAGGATGCCCTGCCTCTCCCCATCTCCTCCTTCCAGCTGAAGAGGCTGGCCCACACCCACACCCCGTAACGAGGCAGCAGTCTTCTTGCTTGCAGCCATCCTCAGAGAAATGGATCTAACCATGTTCTCCCCAATCTGACCCCCTACTTGAGATCTGTCCAGACCCTTCCAGAAAGGTGGCCTATCCACTTCTGCTTCTAAGACACCTCTGCTTTTCCTTTTTGTTTTTTGAAATAGGGTCTTGCTCCGTTGCCCAGGCTGGAGTGCAGTGGCACAATCATGGCTCACTGCAGCCTTGACCTCCCAGGCTCAAGTGATCCTCCTGCCTCAGCCTCCTGAGTAGCTGGGACTATAGGCACGTGCCACCACGCCTGACTAATTTTTGTTTTTTTCTGTAGAGATAGGGTTTTGCCATGTTGCTCAGGCTGGCCCCAAACTCCTGGGCTCAAGTGATCCATCTGCCTCAGCCTCCCGAAGTGCCGGAATTACAAGCGTGAGCCACTGCCCTGGCCAACTCTTTTTCTACCTCCAGGTCACTTCTTTCCTTCCTTCCTTCCTCAACTCCCCACCTCATCTCCCAAAATATCAACCAAGGAGACAGAACCACTGTGAGTCCAGAAAATATTCTTGAAAACACACACACACACACACATACACACACACACACACACACACACACACACGTTCATTAAACTGAACCAAACTACATGTGAAAGTAGACAAGGTGGAGACACTTTAGGGGTGACAAAATTCAGGTAAACTCTTCAGTCTGAAGTGTTCCAGTCTAAGGATCCAGAAAGTGTCGAACAAATGACAAAGAAGAGGGCGATGCTGGTTGGATAATATAGAGAATGAATGCACAGAACTGGTGTTGGAGGGTAGGTCTCAACTATTTAGAGAGGGGGAGTGCTCTGGACTGGGCACAGCAGATGTGCTGTCCAGGGCCAGGGGCAGAGCAGGGGGCTGGAGCAGTGGGTTCACACTGCTGAATGGATGAAGCTGAGGTTGTGATTGGACTGGACAGGGAAGGGTCTGGAAGGCCAGGTATGAGAACACCCCGGAGATTCTGATGGAGGCACCCCCATGTGAAGGCAGTGCTCATGGGGAGGCAGAAGAAGCCCCGGGCTGTTGGGGAGGAGACCCAGCCAGCTGGGAGGGCGGGGCAAAGCCTTAGTGGGTGGGTGACTAGGGCCTGGACAGGAGGCAGTCTCAGTGGGGCCATGGGGAGGGAGGCTGTAGAGACAGAAGCGGTGACTGGCTTGACAGGGGGTGGCTTTCTCAAAACTCTGAGAAGTCTCTAGGTTTTACTCATGCTGGAAATTCCCCAAGATCAAATTTTTTTCAAGTCATTTCAAAACTATTGGTCCTAGTCAGACAAAGGTCCTACTCACCCTGCCCACCACCCCCACTCCTACATACACAATGCTGGAAGGTCCAGCCCCACGCCTTCCCTCTCAATGCAGGCTTGACACTCCAGACGGAAAACAAGCCACCCTTGGCAAACTGAGCAGGCCGGGGTCCTAGCAGAAGGGAGAGGGCAGAGGGACACAGGTATCTATCTATATCCCTCCCAGAGCCCAGGACTAGCGTCCTCCAAGCTATAAGCAGGGAAAGGGGCACTCGTTGCGATGAAAACTGCAGCTCCTTAATCCTGAGACCTGTGGTGGAAGGGGCCCCATGGCCTCCACTGACATCCAAGCGGGAGTCTCCCAGCTATCACCATCCTCCGTTATGGACACAGGTGCCCAAGGAAGAGGGAAACACCAGGAGAATGTCTGAGTGCTTGTGTGTATGACAGAGACTATAACAGGAAGGTGCCGGCACAGCAGCCCTTGCAATTCACCAGGAAGGAAGGAACTCTGGCTATCCAGAGGCCTCTGCCACATTACAGACTTAATGGCCCATAATGCTTTGGGGGCCAACATTCCCCTCTTGATGAATTTCAACTCAGTTGTCTCTGCACTTCACCTAAATGGATTGCCTTTGAGGAGGAAATGCTTTAAGTGATAAGGCTTATTCAGGAGAATGTCCTGCTCTGTGCTGGAATATTTTTTGATCGATAGAAGGAAATTCTCCAAGTATGCAGACTCACATAGATATACCCTTTTTCTTGTCCACACTCATAAACCCCTGCTGGGAACTGCAGCCTACACAGAGGAGTTAGTCAATGTTCCAGAAGAAAAGTTTTGTCAGAGAAGGGCAGGGGAATCTAGAAGCTGCAAGGTGAGATGTCTGGGGTCACGTGGGCACAACACCCACCTCTGGAAAGGCAAAGAAAGGAGTCCTGGCAGGGGCTGGCAGCCCAGGAGGCACCTGTCCATCTCTGGTGGATGGCTGGGACCCACACAGTAAGGTGAACCATGAAGGGCCAGGCAGGTGAGGTGGCACCAGAGAGACACAGAGCAAGAGAAAGTCGGAGAGAACCCTAATCCAATGTGACTGGTGTTCTTACAAACAGGGGACATTTAGGCCCAGGCATGAGCACAGGGAGAGGGTTACATAAAGATGAAGGCAGAGATTGGAGTGATGTGTCTACAAGCCAAGTAATGCCAAAGACTGCCCGCAAGCCACCAGAGGCAAGGGGAGAGGCCTGGGACAGACTGTCCCTCAGAGCCCTCAGCAGGAACCAACCCTGCCCGCACCCTTATCTTGGACTTCTGGCCTCCCAAACTGTGGGACAAGGCATTTCTGTAGCTGAGGCACCCAGTTTGTGGTACTTTGTTATGGCAGCCCTAGGAAACTAATACAGAAAGAGAGAAGGACAAGAGGAAGGAAATGGGGTAATGGAAAAGGAAGAGTAAGAGAAGAAAGTTTATGCAGAGCTGCCATCTCCTTCTCAAAACCCAAGGGTTCTAGCTCACGTCTGTAATCCCAGTACTTTGGGAGGCCGAGGTAGCAGATCTCTTGAGGTCAGGAGTTTGAGACCAGTCTGGCCAACATGGTGAAACCTGTCTCTACTAAAAATACAAAAATTAGCCGGTGTGGTGGCTCACGCCTGTAATCCCAGCTACTCGGGAGGCTGAGGCAGGAGAATCGCTTGAACCCAGGAGGTGGAGGTTGCTGTCAGCTGAGATCGCTCCACTGCACTCCAGCCTAGGTGACAGGGCAAGAGACTATGTCTCAAAAAAAAAAAAAAAAAATCCAAGAGTTGGGGCTCTGCCCTACTGTTCCCGACAGCAGCCCGGGCCCCAGAAGGAGAAATTTCCTACTTCCCTGCACATTCCCTCTGCTTCCCTTCATTCCAAGCCCCTCTGCCGAGGCTACCTCTTAGGAGGATTAATTTTTTAATACATCAGCACTCTGTTTTTCTGTACTTATTAAATTTAAGACAATGAGTCATTGAACCTGTGAGACTTGGGTTGACTAATTACCACTGAACAGCTGCCTAGGATGACCGTGTGGCCCTCGGGGAGCAGGCCAAATGCTGTCTGTGTGTGGAGCCCAGAGAAGAGTGGGTGACAACACTGCACCCATGTGATCTGTGCAGTCCACTCTGCGGCCGGGTCAAGGGCAGGGAGAAGCCGGCAGACCCCATGGGCACAAGCTCAAGTGTCATGAAGGGTGTTGCCAATGCCCACTCTTCAGAGGAAATGGGGCACTGAGACAAGGGGAGACTGCAGCCCCTGCCACAGGCCCATAGGACAATCAAATTTAACTTTCCACCAAAGCACCTACAAAGAGGGCTGCAGCCTCTGCAAGGAGGGATTCTGAGCATTGAGCATGGTGAGTGAGCACAGTATGGAAGACACACAGCTCCTGCCTCACGTCTCTCCTTTGGCCGGAAGAAATGCACCACCCAGAGCCTGCCACCCTCCTCAGAACACACTCTGCCATTTCAGTCAACCACGCTTTCTGCCTAGAAAGCTCCTCTCCCTTCTCGGCTCAATGGTGACCTCCCCTTGAAGGCTATAGAAGCCACAGCTCCCCTGCCTATGGATAAAGTACAAGTTTCCTAGCACCACTGGGACCTGCCCCTGCCCACCTCCACCCTACTGCCATGGTTCCTCGCCTCCCTTTGTTCCTTCTGGCATTGCAAACTGCTGTAGTTCTCCAAACACACAGGCGGGGTGCCTCATGTCCCATTAGTACTCTCCCCAGGTGAACCCATCCAGCTCCTCATGATTCCTCTGCCTTCTACCTGCTTTCATGGTGGCGTACATCAAATCTTTTTCTTTTCTTCTCTTTCTTTTTCCTTTTCTTTTCCACTTTCCCTCCCTACCTTCCTCCCCTCTTTCCTTCCAAAGACAGGATTTTGCCCATCAAATCTTTTTCTTTTCTTCTCTTTCTCTCTTTTTCCTTTCCTTTCCTTTTTCTCTTTCCCTCCCTAACTTCCTGCCTTCTTTCCTTCCCAAGACAGGGTTTGGCTCTGTCACCCGGGCTGGAGTGCAATGGTGCAACCACAGCTCACTGCAGCCTCATCCTCCCAAGCTCAAGTGATCCTCCTGCCTCAGCTTCCCAAGTAGCTGGGACTACAGGCATGTGTCACCACGCCCAACTGATTATTTATTTATTTATTTATTTATTTATTTATTTATTTATTTATTTGAGACAGAGTTCCGTTCTGTTGCCCAGGCTGGAGTGCAGTGGCATGATCTTGGCTCACTGCAACCTCCACCCCCCGGGTTCAGGCAATTCTCCTGTCTCAGCCTCCCGAGTAGCTGAGATTACAGGTGCCTGTCATCACGCCCAGCTAATTTTTACATTTTTAGTAGAGACGGGGTTTCACAATGTCGGCCAGGCTGGTCTCGAACTCCTGACCTCAGGTGATCTGCCCGCCTCAGCCTTCCAAAGTGCTGAGATTACAGGTGTGAGCCACCGTGCCCGGCTAATTTTTTAATTTTTTGTAGAGATGAAGTCTTGCTATGTTGCCCAGGCTGGTCTTGAATTCCTGGGCTCAAACAATCCTCCTGCCTCAGCCTCCTAAAGTGCTAGGATTAGAGGCGTGAGTCACCACCACACCCGGCCAAGCCATACTTTCGTTAAATGTTCTGCATGACTCTACCTTACCATGAGGCCATGAGTAAAGGCTGTGCCTCCTGTCTCCAGGACCTACCACTACTCAGATGCAACTGGTGCCTGAATAAACAAACACATGACAGTAGTGACTAAAAGCTGCTCTAATCAAACATCAGGGTTCCCATCTAACAAGTCTTCCTTTTCCTGGGAACCTCGGGACATTTATGGACCTGGAGCCAGAGGTCAAAAGTTCAGGGCCTCCTACCATTCTGATGTCAGAAGAGCAAAAGCCACAGCAGATGATTAAAATCTCTCCCTTCCTGTCTCCAGGCCGCGTGATGCCTTTTTCTAGAAAGTCCGACTGAGGACAATGCCCCCGTGCGGCATCCCATGTTCACCTCACCTTCTCTCACCTCATTCCTTTCCCACCCCTGCCCCCAAAACAAAGCAGGGAGCACTTCAGAAGAAAGTTGACAGTGACCCAAGTTTAACACAAAGGTAGTCATTACCATGTCATGAGGATGTGTGTGAGAAACACTTAGCCCAGGTTCCAAAACACCACAAATGGTTTACCTTTTGTGCCACATAAACACCCTAAACTCAAGTTTTACTCAACACTTATTAAATGGGAAGGAAAACATTAAAGAGCATTGGCCTGCCTCTGCCAAGCTCCCATCCATCCAGCTCTTACAAAGAGGGAGGCATTCTTCCGAGCGACGCAGCAAAACAACCACTGACGAGGTTGAGCTGAAGTTATTTGGTGGCAATTAAAAGGATCTGCCATAGTTACCCAAAGCAAACAACCCAACGCTCTCGCCAGGTGCCCAGCAACCGCGGAGCAGGGACAGGCAAGGGAATTCTCAAATTATCCTCCCACGGCCTGCACAGGGCACCCTCCCACCTGTGAACCAAGCCTGTGTCCCACCTGTATCCCACCTTGAACAAAGCCTGGTTCAAGACATGGTATCAGTAGCAATTAAGAGGGCAATTATTTTCTGGAGTTTATATGCTAACTGATCTGAGTTATGGGCCGAGCAGCTGGGCTTCTTGCTGATAACCCAGAGGCATGGAACACAGAGAGTATTAGAGCTGGAGAGGGGCTCTCCATCCATGTAGCCAGCAGTTCCCAGTCAGAGACTTTGTGCTCCTGAAGAAGATATCAGCAATGAGGCTGTCAGCTTCCAAAAGCCAACCAGAAATTGCACAGTGACCCAGAGTTCTTTCCTTCTGACTAAAGCATGGTAACACTGTGACCTAAATCTCTGATGGCCATTGAGAGATTAAAATATGTATACACACACATATATTAAAAATATGTGGCCGGGCACGGTGGCTCACGCCTATAATCCCAGCACTTTGGGAGGCCAAGGCGGGTGGATCACGAGGTCAAGAGATCGAGACCATCCTGGCTAACACAGTGAAACCCCGTCTCTACTAAAAATACAAAAAATTAGCCAGGCGTGGTGGTGGGCGCCCGTAGTCCCAGCTACTCGGGAGGCTGAGGCAAGAGAATGGCGTGATCCCGGGAGGCGGAGCTTGCAATGAGCCAAGATCGCGCCACTGCACTCCAGCCTGGGCGACAGAGCGAGACTCCATCTCCAAAAAAAAAAAAAAAAAAGGTATATATATGTCAGGCTAATATAGTTTATTAAAATATGTACTTATATATATGCAATATGGTATCTGATATCTATTTTTATATATGTATATGCCCAGTTGATAAAAATATATCTATCTGACTTCAATTTATTGAGTCAGAATTCATCTGACTTCTTAGTTTTATTTTATTTTATTTTATTTCTTCTTTTAAAGACGAGGTCTCACGTTGTCTCCTAGGCTGGAGTGCAGGAGCCCAATCATAACTCACTGCATTCTTGAACTCCTGGACTCAAGTGATCCTCCCACTTCAGCCACCTGAGTAGCTAAGACTACCGGCATACAGTACCATGCCTAGTTAATTTTATTTTATTTGATTTTATTTTATTTGTAGAGATAGAGTTTTGCTATGTTGCCCAGGCTGGTCTCAAACTCCTGGACTCAAGTGATCCTCCTGCCTCAGCCTCCCCAGCTGCTGGGATTATAGTCATGAATTATCGTGCCTGGCCTGACTTCCCAATATTTATTAATTGGTTTCTAAGAGGGAAACATATTTTTCAAGACATAGGGTCTTCTAGGAGAAAAATAATTTTAAAATAATTTAAAGACTAAAGATAATTTAGTCTCCTTAAAATAAGTTCATTGGCCAAATAAGGAATCATTACCTACCTTAACCAGCTCTTAGAAAAGCAGACCACTTGTTAGCAGAGTAAATGCTCTGAGAAGTCCTGCATTTAGGGAATGTTTAATTTAGGAGTTGCCACATGTACGGCCATGGAGCCCTTGCATCTCCTAACACCTCTCAATGCCCTGGGGAAACACGGCTCTAGGGGAAAATGTCTAGTCCTCCATCTAGAGTCCAATTCTGTCCAGAGAAATGGGGAATTTGGTGAAACTTTCTAAAATCTCTTACCCCTTTGGGGGTTCAGGTTTCCCAGCTGTGAAGTGATAGGAGTTATTAGAGTGTTCTCTAACATCTCCACCTCTTCTTTTAAAGTTATTTTTGTCCTAGAGACCCTATGTCCTGAAAGAACATGTTTCCCTCTTGAAAACCAATTAATCAATAAACAGTCTGACCACACATTAAAACTCTAGGCCTTGGAACAGGATGCTGCCAAACTTCTCCTTCCTTTCTCCTCCCAAAAGCCAACAACTTTCCAAATGAAGTGCCAATGAAACCACAGGACCCGGGTGCATGGAGATTGGGTGGGAAAATACGCCTTGCTCCCAACTCAAAGAGCCTTGGCCCATTCAGATAAGTTCTCCTGCCAAGGATACTTAAATGGTTGAGAATGACCTAGAAGGCAATCATCTGCCTAAAATAAACTCCAAGATGATGCAGTCCTGGAAACTACATCAACATCTGCAATGAAGATTTACGGACCCAAAGGCAGCAGGCCTTGGAATTTAGCCCCAGTTGTGCCCTGAGCACAACCCTTGGTAAAGCCCTTGAGCAAGACTAAATCTGCACAGCCATCTCCAACACAGGGCAAGTCAGTTGTGGTGTTCCTTTTTTTTTTTTGGAGATGGAGTCTCGATCGCTCTGTCGCCCAGGCTGGAGTGCAGTGGTGCGATCTCAGCTCACTGCAACTTCTGCCTCCCAGGTTCAAGCAATTCTCTGCCTCCGCCTCCTGAGTAGCTGGGATTACAGGTGCCTGCCACCACGCCCCACTAATAGTAGAGACAGGGTTTCACCATCTTGGCCAGGCTGGTCTTGAACTCCTGATCTCGTGATCCACCCGCCTTGGCCTCCCAAAGTGCTGGGATTATAGGCGTGAGCCACTGCGCCCGGCCAAAGCTGTGATGTTCTTCGCTCCCTCATAGAGATGTTATGAGGCTAAGAGAAGGTACAGACATACAAGTGCCCTGGACTCATCCCTTCTTGTCTGTCTCCCCGTGTGCACCCCGAGTTCCCTGCCAAAGGCAGGAACTGCTCTTCAACATCTTTGCATCCACAGAGGAAAGTTCGGAAAGATCGTTTCTTGCTCCTGTTAAACCGTAGTGGTTGTTCGATGTTCTTGTTCTGCTGCCCGGAGGTCCCTCACCTTGGTAGCATCTCCTTTAGGTGAGAGTTTCAAGAGGGCTGTCTCTGCGGGGCGTCTGGTCTATCTTCACATGCAGTGACAAGGCCCGTAACACAAAGCTTCCTGGTGATGTTTCTACCACACTTCTTTCCCAATTCATCTCCAGAGCTTTGTCCAAAGAGTCTGTGCCTAACACCCACACGCGGGCACCAGCTGGGATGGGAACGTGTGTGTGCCTGTGCCTGTGTGCGTGCTGCGGAGGAGCAAAGCCAACGTTTTCCCAAGGTGACGCAGCAAATCAGCATGAGCAGGTTCCGCTGGGCACTCCACGCGGCCCTGCTTCTCTGAGCATGCAGACAGGAGGCCAACAATTCAAAACTACAGTTCCCCGGCTCTCCCCCACTGTCCCTCTGCTGCCCTCGCTCTCCTGCTGTCTCGGCCCCTGCTCCCCACATCTCTCAAGAACATCTCTGTTTGTTTTGGACTCGCTATACACAAAAACTTCTCCACTCAGGGGGCATGAGGAGAGAGAACTGCGCTTGTTTAAAGACGATCTCTTTTTAACGGCTGTAATCTTTAATTCATAACGGTCCTAGGAACCAGCGGTGGACAAGGGCTGAGAGCTGGCCCCCCTTTTTCAGGGTTTTAAAACACAAGCGGCTGCACAGGAAGTTGGTTTTCACAAAGGCAAAAGAGAGAAAAACATGCTAATTCACAAGCAATGGCTTCAAACCCCCCATTTCAAGTCTTATGATGGCTGCCAAGTGGTCCGACTGTGACCACAGCTCCCTGTGTGTGAGTTGGGGGGCAGGGGCTTCACTGCATTATTCAGAGGCTGACCACAAAACCATCTTTTGTGCAAAGTTACCACAGAGAGAGACCGTTTCATATACAAGCTGCAATAGACAGCTGGCTGTACTCTAAAAGAAAGGGAAGCTCTAATACAAGCCCCAGAGCCACATGAAGAGGCATGAGGAGGGAACTCGAAGTCACTGAGCATCTCCCACGCACCTGAATGAGAGCTAGGCGCTCTGTAAGAACTTCATAAGGTGGGTGGGAAAATCAGGCTCTCAGAGGTTACTGAACAGCCTCAAGGTCATGGCAGGAATAGGGTTCCAGCCAGGTCTTCCACGCCTGCGACAGGAGCAGCAGCAGGCAGGGCTGGTATGCAAAGATGAGGTGAAGCCCCAGATGGAATGATGCTAGCGGCACCCCTCTTCCCTAGCCAGAGGGGCTGCGCTGTTACCTCTACTGGCTTTAATCTAGTGAAGAGCTCAAGCGCCACATGGACTACTTGCCTATGAAGAACTCTAGTCCATGGCAAAGGACCAAAGCCACAGACCTGGGTCAAAGGAGATCTTGAAAACACATGCCATGGCACACGCCTGCAATCCCAGCACTTTGGGAGGCCGAGGTGGGTAGATCACCAGGTCAGGAGATCGAGACCATGCTGGCCAACATAGTGAAACCCATCTCTACTAAAAATACAAAAAATTTGCCAGGCGTGGTGGCGGGTGCCTGTAATCCCAGCTACTTAGGAGGCTGAGGCAGGAGAATCGCCTGGACCAGGGAGTTGGAGGTTGCAGTGAGCCAAGATCGTGCCACTGCACTCCAGCTTGGAGACAGAGCGAGAATCCATCTCAAAAAAAAAAAAAAAAAGAAAGAGAAAAAGAAAAAGAGAGAGAGAGGAAAGAAGGAAGGAAGGAGGACAGACATACCTTCAGCAGCTACAGGGAAGATGAGGCGGGCTGGAACCACTCACTACTGCCCTTCAGAACAGTATATGGAAGCACACGTTCATTGGACACCAGCACCATTGTGGTGACACCGGATGGTGGGCCTCTCACTATCCACAGTTCCTGGTGGTTTTGGGGGCTGCCAAAGGCACTATTAATCATCACTCCGCCCCGAGCTCCATCATTTCAATAACATACTGAGCCAATGTGCTCAAGATCTGCACAGAGCTCCTGGAGCGAGCCAGTCCTCTCCACTTAGCCCTTGGGTGCCTGTTTATTTCACTGAGCCTTCTGCCCTGTGAATGAGGGCTTCCTGCCAGGTATCAGCCTTGGCGGCCAACAGGTGGGTAATAGCACACAGGGTCATGCAGCCCTTTCTTCCCAGAGAGGTACTCATCCAACCAGTGGTTTTTGATGAGAAAGATAAAGGTATGAGCTCTGGGGTCAGGCAGTTTGGATCCTGGCTCTGCCAATTCCTGGCTTTTTGATCTCAAACAAGTTACTATAGCCCAATCCCTCACCTGTAGAGTGGGAATGATGACAGTACCTATCCTGAGGATGGTGTTGAGAATTAACCCATTTATGCCGGAGGTTGCAAATTTTTGTGAAAAATCAGACCTTGGTGATGACCTTGAGCAGTAGGATATAAATAACTCCCCACAAGCTTGGCGTTCCGATAATGGAACACTAGGCATAGATAGGTTAAATGAAGTAATAGAAAAGCGTGCCCGGCACAAGGTATATGCTGTACACAGGCAAATGCTTGTGTCTGCTCAAGTGGCTCTTCTGATGTTGGCATTAAACTTCTTGCTTTGTCCCTCTACTAGGCTGAAATGAGACACAAAACCAAGTGTTCCGTGATACTGTTGACTTCTCACCACATAGGAAGTTCTAGGGATATGGCTCAACCCCAAATCATCAGGTTATAAGGCCTGTAGTGCTCATCACCTGGGCAGCAAGAGAAGGGAGAGCAAGCCTCAGTCACTGTCACAAGATGCCCTGAAAATCAAGACAGCAGCATTGCAGGGAAGTGACCACAAGCAAAAGCAAGAAGCCCCTCAGGCCAGGCTTGGTGGCTCATGCCTGTAGTCCTAGCACTTTGGGAGGCTGAGGTGGGCAGATTGCTTGAGGTCAGGAGTTTGAGATCAGCCTGACCAACCTAATGAAACCCCGTCTCCACTAAAAATACAAAAATTAGCCAGGTGTGGTGGTGCACACCCATAATCCCAGTTACTCGGGAGGCTGCGGCAGAATCACTTGAACCCAGGAGGTGGAGGTTGCAGTGAGCCAAGACTGCACCACTGTACTCATCTGGGTGACAAAGCAAGACTCCATCTTAAAAAAAAAAAAAAAAAAAAAGTCCCTCAACCAGAAACAAGCCCTCAGCCAGCACTGGCCTGGCAGTTCTGTTCCCTATCTACCATGCAGAATCCTTCCCCAGTCTGAGGTTAGAGCCTGCATCCAAATCCCAGTTCCCCACCTCTCAGCTGTGGCACTGAAGGCAGAACCTGAACCTCTCCAAGTCCTCACCTGTAAGACGAGGGTGATGACAGAACCACCCTCATGGGCTGGTAAGAGGAACACGTAAGATGAAGTACAAAATACACTTTGCTCAGCTCCTGGCATGTTCTAGGTATTAAAGAAAAGTATTTATTATTATAACTGCAAAAATGAGAGAATTCAGGCCTTCTCTCTTCAAATCCGAACCATCTTAGAGAGCAATCTTTTCAAGTACAAGGTCTTCCCTCCCACTTTTGTTTGTAAGTCCAGAAAATACAGTCCACATTTAATGATCCTAATGTACAGAGTGGAAGCAAGCAGATGGATTGTTAAGACTGCTGCAACAGTTCGGCTGCCCCTCACGAGTCCAGGACCCACTAACAGGCCTCTGGCCTGGCATGGGGCACACCAACCAGCAGGCAAAAGGCCTGACTTCTAGTCCTGGCTCTGCCACTGGCATGCTTGCAGGCAAGGTGGCCTGGGGAAGTTGCTTCCCCTCTGTGAGGATGGACAGGGGTTCCTGTGGCCACTTCTGGCTGACTGCGGGTCACCTGCTCCCCCTCTGGAGGAGGCTCCCTGCTCTCCTGGTGGAGAAGAGAAGAGGGCTGCAAGATGCATTGCCCAGAGAGCCACCGGAAAGAAGACTAGAACCTGCCTCCCAGACACCAGCTGGGTGAACCTCCATTTCCCGTCTAGGGAAGCCGGCCAAACTGGTTAACCCTTACCATGTCTTCTCACTGGAGCCTGAGGGATGAGGGTGTGGTCACAGGTGCCCACACTGGGAAAGCTGGATTTGAGGACATGGGAGAGCTACTCCTCACTAAAGAAAGAGAAGAGGACATCCCCCCTGAGAACGGTCAGCAAAGCTTGGAGGGGTCACGGCTTCCTGTCTGCACAACTTCCTCACGCCCTGATACTCCTCTTCCCCAAGGCTTCATTTTGGAACCGGCTAGCCAGCTGATGAGGGTGACAGATTGTACCCTGTCCCTTCCCTCTTTCTGAAAAGACCAAACTGCCTCTACTGGGCAGCAGTTGTGAAGAGTTTTAAAGACTACAGCTTCACAAGGATGTGAGGAGGAAGGCTGGTCAGGGCAGCTGTGCCGGTCTCGCTACTATTCCTGAATCGCAGTGTGGCTTTCTCAAAATCTGCAGCTCCAACTTCCCACCTTAAATCTCAGACAGCAGCAAAGCACTGGAGCAATTTTCTCAGCTGGCCTCAGAGCAGAAGTAGAAGCAGGTGAGAATGAGATTAGGGACCCATTTTCTGTGAAGATCCAGCAACAGCTACGAGGCCTCTGCTCTCAGAAAAAGGATGGAGAGTCTCACTGTTCAGAGATGCCATGCCCAGGCTGGCACCTGAAGCTGCAGAAATGTCACAGGACAGCTGGGAGCCCACGATGGGCTGATCAGCATGTTGCTTCTGAAACAACAACCAGTTCTTTGAAGGTGCCTTCCTCCAACACCATCACTTAACATCTGCTGACTTATTTAGCGAAGGATCTCTATTGTGCATTTCAGGACAAAGGAGGGGGTGGCTTCTCCGAGAAATCCTCCTTAAATGTGCACCCACACACATGCACGCACCCACATCGTCACACAATTCACATGCTCAAAATCCGGCAATGGGCACAGATGTCTCGCAGAGAGTTCATTCTACATTCCTAGTTCAGAGAGGTGTCAGGGTCCAGCTAAAGGCACGGGAAGCTCAAGTCAGCCACAGTATCTGGTACTCAACCCCCAACACTTTGCTCCTCTGGATACTTACCTGTACCCTCCAACTATCCATCTACTCAATCTTAACCTGGATTATGAGCAATCGAGGAAGCTTCACAAAGCCCAAGGAGAACCTAGAGAAGAAGGTGGAAACACCACTACCACCCACTGGACCATCCAACCCCATGTTAAAAAAAACTTGTCCATCAAACTTCCCCTCTTCCTCCAGCTAAGTCTCAGGAAAGGATGGAGGAAAAGGCAAAAAGTTTTGGGAGGAGGGTGGACAGCCTGAGAAAACAAGACTATATTATTTTCTCTGAGTATACAGAAGAGTGTATAAATGCACAGAAAAAGCTCTGTTATACATATGAAAATAAGATCAAGGGTGGTGGCCAGCAGGTGGGGGGAGGGGGGACGGAATTGTACAAGGGGACTTTTGCCTTTACTCACCTTTTTTTTTTTTTTTTTTTTTTTTTTTGAGATGCAGTCTTGCTCTGTCACCCAGGCTGGAGTGCAGTGGTGTGATCTTGGCTCACTGTAGCCTCTACCTCCCGAGTTCAAGCGAATTTTCCTGCCTCAGCCTCCCGAGTAATTGGGATAACAGGCATGCACCACCACGCCTGGATAATTTTTATATTTTTACAGGGTTTCACCATGTTAGCCAGGCTGGTCTCAAACTCCTGGCCTCAAGTGATCAGCCCGCTGTGGCCTCCCAAAGTGCTGGGCAGGCATGAGCCACCGCACAACTTTTGCCTTTTCTATGAGGTTTAAATTTTTTTCTAAGGAAAGTGACTTCTTATATTACTTTATGTAATTTAACAAAGGTTTTCTTTCTTTCTTTCTTTCTTTCTTTCTTTCTTTCTTTCTTTCTTTCTTTCTTTCTTTCTTTCTTTAAGCTGGGGAATACCATTTCCAGTTGTTACTCCAGCCCCAGAAGGAAATAAATCTTTTTCCTCCCTCTCATTTTTCATTTTGAAGAAAGGAAAGAAAACCCTGTTACCCTCCAATGTTGAATTTACTGAAGGTCAAATTCTAGTGCCTATAAACTTTGATAATGTCCTATAATTTACTATTTTTTACAGGTGCTACAGTTTTTTGTTTGTTTGTTTGTTTGTTTGTTTTTTGAGATGGAGTCTCACTCTGTTGCCAGGCTAGAGTGCAGTGGTGTTATCTAGGCTCACTGCAACCTCCGACTTCCTGGTTCAGGCGATTCTCCTGCCTCAGCCTCCCGAGTAGCTGGGATTACAGGCACGTGCCACCACACCCAGCTAATTTTTGTACTTTTAGTAGAGACGGGGTTTCACCGTGTTGGCCAGAATGGTCTTGATCTCCTGACCTCATGATCTGCCTGCCTGGGCCTCACAAAGTGCTGGGATTACAGGCACGAACCACTGCGCCTGGCTGGTGCTACAGCTTTTAATAGCAAAAGTCATTTTTCACTGCTCATTTATAGCACGGAAAGGGAAAAAAATCTGTCGTGTCTGACGTGTCTACTCTAAAACACTTTCTTTTCCTTTCTAGTCAGTAAGTGAACTAAAATTTACTTCTTGAAAATAGATGCATATGTCTATAATGGACACATAACCTATGTGTCTACGATCAAGCCTTGGGGAAAAACAATAAAATAAAGATAAATACCCAGAGAGGGACCAATACCATCCGCTAACAGACCCTGACTTTATTAAATATATCTGCATTTGAGAAACCACTGGTCCACAAGGTCAAAGATTTCTTGGGTCACCAACCAATAAAAAGAAACAAATTCTAGCAATCCCAGTCCTCCACACGTGTGAAAAAAATTCCAGAGTGTGGAAGATCTGTCACTTTGGGGCTATGAACCATGACAGGGTTGGAGAAGGAGTGGGGATAGAGATGAGACCAGGAGGAAGCTAGGCAGCTCCATCCTTCCAAAGAGGGGCCTCACCCAAGCCTCAAGGAGGCTCAGTGAGTACATCCTAGCATTCACACAGGACACAGTATTGGCATTCCTGTAAAACAGTGGCGGTGGAGGGAGGATCCAAGGGTGAGTGGGTGGGTACTGGCACATCATGAAAAGTGCACTGGCCTTGGAGTTTGATATGTGGGTGTCAACCCTAGCTTGGCTTTCAGCCAACAACACAATCATGATGCCGCTCATGATAACAAAGAATATTAAACATTTGAACATTTACTACATACCTGCCAGGCATCACGCTAGGCCCTCAGCATGCATGATCTTGTGTGATCCTCGCTCCAATCCTCCACTCCTTCCTAACGATTCTCCCCATTTTGCAGATGAGGAAGCTGAGGCTCAGGCTCGTTACACAGAGAGGCCAAGGTCCAAGCTAGTAAGTGGCTGGTGTCGTCATGACAGTGCCACCTTAACCTCTCTAGGCTTCCCTTGCTGCCCCTCACCTGGTTTCGAGGCTCCTAGAGCCAACACAAACAACAAAAGTCCAATAACCAAGTTGTCACCCAACATGCTCCTGCTCCTGGAAGGGAGGCCCAGGAACCAGCATACCTGGGTCCCAAGGAAGGTAGAGCAGAACAGCCAGACCACACAGTCACACATCTCCCTGGCTTCACCCAACAGGCAACCAGCATAGAATGTTTGTTACTAACAGCCTGGACAGCAGGAATCCACGCTTTCCACTGCTGTGTTGCTCTGATGGGGGTGAGGGCGATGGGAAGAGAAACCTGTTCCGTACACCCACGGGCAGGCTCCCTGCCAAAACCCGCCACACACCATCTTCCTGTTCATTTTGCCTCACGGATGATTTTTAAAGCTTTTTAATTGTCCTTAATAAATTACCTACATGTGCATGATTGTTACAATAGTTTCATTAATTTTTCTCTGAGCATCTAAGCTGTTTATCACAGAAGTGTTAATGGAAAAGAAAAACATGTCAGGCAGGCACTTTCTCACACACTCTGGGCTTGGGCAAATTAATGCTCATGGGATTGCTTTCCCACACCCCAAACAATTAGGGACGTCTTTATTTCATGCCAGCAAATCATCTTTCAGCAAGGCTAGAAGGAGGATGCCCACCAGAGAGCCCTGCAGCTGCCCAGTGTGGAAGCGGCACACAGATGCCTGCCTGCCTCCCGTTCAGTAACTTGTAAATGTATCTCCACTCCTTCAGCTCAAACCTAAACTGATAGTCCTCAGTGCTCACAACTTGCTCCAAACCAACTAGGAGAGACACGTCAGTGATATTTCAGATGAAGGGCTTCTTGGTATCTGAGGCTTCCACAGATATCAAGAAGTATCTTGGTCTCATCTCTATCCCCACTCCTTCTCCACCCCTGTCATGGTTCATAGCCCCAAAGACAGAAGTAAATTGTCAGTGTCAGTGGGGGCTGGGGAAAGATAAGAGGAAGACAGCGATGATCAAACGTGTCATTCCAGAAGCCAAGCAGGTGGTTCCAGAGTGACAATGGCATAGAACGCAGGCACTGGGTCGTGCACTCCTCAGGGGATGATCCATCCTCTGAGGGTTGGATCATCTGGACTTCCAGTTGTCAAAGAGGGAAAAGGGGCTTCTGGGAGTTTGGCTATAAAACCTGAGACACCCCCCCCACCCATGCCACTCCACATACTTATCATCCAACCCAGGGCTTGACTGCACAGCTGTGTCAGCTGGGCCGTACTCATGTGACAGGAGGATCAGGACTCAGATAAAACATGGAACAGGTCCTCCACAACTGGTCCCCCCTATCCAGGGGCCGCCCTTCCAGAGAAGCGTGATTTAAAATGTAAAACTTAAGCTGGGCACAGTGGCTTGCGCCTGTAAACCCAGTTACTCGGGAGGCTGAGGCAGGAGGATTTCTTGAGACCAGGAGTTCAAGACCAGCCCAGGCAACATAGGGAGGTATCATACCTACAAAAAATAAATAAATAACGAAACAAAACAAACCAGCTGAGCATGGCAGCACACACCTATAGCCCTAGCTACTTGGGAGGCTGAGGTGGGAGGATCACTTGAGCCCAGGAGTTGAGGCTGCAGTGAGTTATGATCGCGTCACTGCACTCCAGCCTGGGTGATACAGAGAGACCCTATCTCTAAATACATAAATAAATGATACTTTAAACAATTTTCTAAACTTGTACTGTGGCAGCTGAGATGCTTCAGCTTTGTTGTTAAGGGTGACGGTCAATCTCTTTGCAGCGCATGGATTTTTGGAGGCAACTTTTACATAGCAACCTTGCATCAAAGCATATGTGAGTGTAGCTACACAATAAAGTCCAAAGCTTCAAGGCGTGCCCCAACCTGACCCCAGCTTTTCTTCCCAAAAGGTTCATTTCTTGCCACACCAGATGATTTGGTGTTCGTCTAACACACTGTGCCTTTTGTCCGTGTGGGTTCCTTCTGCTGCAAAGTTCTTCTCATTTTCATCCATTCTATCAAACTCCCACTCATCCTTCAGAGCCCCTGCTTTTTATTCCCAGATGGAGCCATTCAGAGTCAATGATGTTCCTACAGCATGTGAGTGCATCTCTTTGACAGCTTAGTGGCACTGTTAAGAACATTCCCAGAGTTGAACGGATGCTTGACCTTTTCTCCAACTGGTGTCCCTCAAGGTATCGACAGTCAAGCACTTCTGTGGGTGCCTAAACAGGGAAAGGCCCTATTCTACGTGCTTGGCACCTTTAACATTGAGACCAAGTGGCAGAGAGCCCCAAAGGGGGCCAGCTGTGCAGGGACAGAACATCCCACTGTTTTGCTTGCAGTAGGTCCTTCACTTTTAGCTTCTTAGGGCACTGCGAATTCTTCCTTCCGACCATCCCCTGGCAGAGCCCCATGATCTGGTCCTGCCACCTCGCTAACCTCATCTCCCCTCATTTGCTCACTGTCGCCAGCTCCCCCTCCTTCCTTCTGTTCCCTGAAGTCACAAAGCTCCTTCTTGCCTTGGCAACTGCATGGGCTGTGCGTTCTCCCTGTCCTTGGATGATCACTTGCCCCAGAGATGCCTCTCTGAAGGCTATGCCTAAATCGACACCCTCACACACACCCCACCCCACTCCCCAGTCCCTCTGCAGCCTAACACTTTCTTCCATTTCCTCTGCACCGATCGGTATCAGTAAGGAGTGTGTTCGTGTATTTGTCTTCTCATTTCCAGTCTGACTCCCCATTAGATTACAAACTTCATGAGAGCAAAGAGCTTGCCGTCTTACTCACCTCTGTATCCCCAATACCCGGAACAGTGCCTGGCAGAGACAGGGCATTCCTAAACATTTGTCTCGTGAATCAACGAAACTCATTCCGTCACAGAACAAGGTTTGCTCTCCTAAGCCCCTAGAATAGCGTTCCATATTCTGAAAAATGGCCTGGTTCTGCTGAAGGAAGCCCAGGAAGCACATAGAACGGGGCACACTTTGGAATTCGGGGAGACACCTCCGGGGAACACTGGTAAGTACTCGGTATGAATTCACAAAAACTAGTTGCATGTTAATATATGCTGCCCCCTCCTTAAACGGCTTATAAACACTGTAATTTTCCTCACTAAAACATTGTCTAATAGAACCAACTCCCCTAATTACAGACGTTTGTATGCATTATAATCTTTATACAATTAAACCTACTAAAAAGAATAAATGATTAAATGCACCCCCCCCCACCGCCCTGTCACTAACCCATCCCTCCCCTAACCACCAAAAAAACAAACAACACAACAAAAGACCCCAAAGGTGCTGAGGATACCATGTTGAGCTGTAGACAGACAAAAGTCCCAGGAAATTGAAATTCAGGCTGACACAGAACTTTGTCACTACAGGAGGTAAAGTCAACTTTCACCTTCAAACCCCAGCATCGGACAGCTCAGCATCTGACTTCAATGTCACATAAAAGGCTTGTATGTACAAAATGTCTCATTTCAGGAGCAAACATCTTCCTTCACACACTTCATCTCCAGACACAAACACGCGGCTTGGTGACCGAAGGAAGCTTTTCTGGGATCATCTCCTAAAAATTTCACAAACGCATTCCTGGCTCGGGGGTATTTACCAGGAAGTCTGCGGCGACTCCTCTGGAGCCAGGCAGGTTTAACTGATAAGTCTCTCTTTGGGACACTGGCAGTGCATCCTGGGGAAAACATCCATCATGGAATTTCTATGAAAAACGCCCAGATATCAGCTACTCTTCCTATGCTAACACTCCACTTTTTAAAAATTCAGCATTGTGAGGAGAAAAGGGGAACTATGCCCCGTGAATGCCAGGAGCTGAGATGGGTCCTCCTGTTTGAGTGCTGAAAGGGCCATCAGCACAAAGCCATGTTATCTAAACCCCTGAAAAGCTGGTGGTTGAAAAGGAAGAGCAGGCAGAGAGGCTTAATTATAGCCACAGAGCGGACACCTCCCCACCCCCCGCCAACCCCGGGCTTTCCTCTGGATGTGCCTTGGAAGGTTCCTTCTCCTACCTGGGCCACCAGGCCTTGGGCAACCAGAATAATCATTTCTGCCCTTCCAGGGACAAAGTTCTCCAGCAACAAAACAGGATGGCCTAGTGGAAAGATCTGTGTCATCTCATGGGCCCACAGTGAAGGGCTCTGGGCATCTTCTCCGTGCTGTGTTCTTTTTTTTTTTTCTTTTGAGACGGAGTCTTGCTCTGTCACCCAGTCTGGAGTGCAGTGGCACGATCTCAGCTCACTGCAACATCTGTCTCCCGGGTTCAAGCAATTCTGCCTCAGCCTCCCGAGTTGCTGGGATTACAGGTGCCCGCCGCCACGCCCGACTAATTTTTGTATTTTTAGTACAGACGGGGGTTTCACCATGTTGGTCAGGCTGCTCTCGAACTCCTGACCTCATGATCCACCTGCCTCGGCCTCCCAAAGTGCTGGGATTATAGGCGTGAGCTACTGTGCCTGGCCCGTGCTGTGTTCTTGCCTGTAAACTAGAGCAGATAATAGAATCTGCCTCCTAAGGCTGCTGACGGTGCACTGTAGACGCTGTGTGAGCAGTGGCTGTCATTATCAGACAAAGGATGCCTAGCCATGTGCAGGAATTCTGCAGGGTCACTCAGGCCTTGGTAATCTTGACCCTAAAAGGCCTCTCGAGTCCTTTCTAAAAAAGGGTTTGGGGTGAGGGGAATGGGGCAGAAGTCAGCAAGCACTTAGGTTCTCCCGTTTCTTGTCTTCTTCCCTGGCTCTGCCCCCATCCACCCCAAACCAAAGATGATGACCGGATGTCAGCTGCAATTCCTGAGAATCCGTTAGGGCATCTGACACAGACACCACTGGACTCAGGAGGAGAGAGGCATCTGCCCAGTTTTTGGTAAGGAAGAAAGCAAAGTGGCATCTGCTGAGGTTTACTGTCCCAGGCACGTTGCCCTGGGTGCTCACCCTGTCCTCAAAAGCCCCTAAGGTAGGGACAATGATGATCCCCTTTTGTCTCTGGAGGAACTGAGGTACAGAGAGGTGAAAAGCTTTGCCCAAGGACACAGCTAGTGAGTGACACGGTTCAGGCTGACCCCCTGACAAGCCTGTCTCACACGGGCAGAGCAAACACATTCAGGGGGCAGGGAGGAGATGGGGTTTTACGTGTCAGCTCAGCCCCTAACTTGCTCTTCGACCTGAGAGACCCCTCCTAGGCACCCAGTGCTCCCCTCTGCAGATGGGAGTTGGTTCTTCCAACCGTGTTCTATGGATCTGTGAGTCACCAAGTTCTAGGGCTTTCCCACTCAAGCAGCCTCTCTCAGCCCCTTTTCCAGGCCTTTCTTTGGTGGTTGGGGTACAGATTGGGCAGCCGAGGAGAGGCAGTTCCTGCCGGTGCCACGTGTGCCCGGCACAGCTGCCAGGAAGTCCTATTAGTCAGCACCAACAGCTGCTGCCACAAACACGCGGCACAAACGGAGGAGACGCGCCCAAGACTCTGCTGAACCTTGGGGGTGGTTGGAGAACGAGAAGAGCCAAGGAAAAGCAGGAGTCCAGACCTTCCAGAGGGCTCCACACATGGCCCCCCACTCCCTTTACCCAAGGCCGAAGCCACAAAGTCACCTGAAGCCAAAAGGCCCCACTCAGCCCCAGCCAGCCGGCTTGGCTGGATTTTGTTGTCCTAAGTGGGCCTTCAGCTGCAGACAGGCACAGACATCAGCCAGGCAGACAGGCCGCAAACGGTAGCTGTCCCCAGAGCCCTGAAGCCCCCAGCCATCAGGTTTCCTGTTTCCTCAGAGCAGGGAAGGTGCTGGCAGGTGGGAAGTAACCCCTAACCCCTTCAAGGTGGGTTTGTAAGTATAGGGTCTCTCCCATTAGCGCTTTTCTTCATCCCTTCAAACTTTAATAAGGATGATTTTTGTAAGCATTCTCAGGCTCTCCTGTTTCAAGGAGCATTAAATTTCCAGCACTGTCTGCCAGAGGTATCCCAGGCCCCCAGCGTGCCGGCAGGAGATGCCATTCTACACACCTGTCAGGAAGAAAGGAAGAGTAAGATGGCCCCAGGCCAGCACCGCCTCCCTCGCTCCCACCCCTCTGTTCTCTGGGCATTCCAGGGTCTCGTCAGCAACCCCTCTTGATTTTCATCCAGTCTCATCTTGGGCAACAGAACCTGGGGTTGTGGGTTTTTTCCCAGAAGAAGAAACACACGAGGAGAGGCCAGTGGAGAACAAAACACCCATTTCTTCCGGGAGAAGGGGAGGGGAGATGGCTAACTGCTGGTCAGGCTGTACAAAACCCTATAGAATCCCACAAACCTCGTGCTGTTTAAGAAAAATAAACGCCCACACAAAAACCTCTCCAAGTTCTGAATCTTACAGCAACTCCCCTTTACAAAAGTGAGGTTGTTTATGCTTAAAAACCAAGAAGGCAAATGTCTCTAGAAGGTTTATAAAAATCAGCTGTGTTGGCCAGGCGCAGTGGCTCACGCCTGTAATCCCAGCACTTTGGGAGGCTGAGGCGGGCAGATCACAAGGTCAAGAGATAGAGACCATCCTGGCCAACACGGTGAAACCCCGTCTCAACTAAAAATACAAAAATTAGCCGGGCGTGGTGGCACGCGCCTGTAGTCCCAGCTACTTGGGAGGCTGAGGCAGGAGAATCGCTTGAACCCGGGAGGTGGAGGACCCAGTGAGCCGAGATCGCACCACTGCACTCCAGCCTGGAGACAGAGCAAGACTCTGTCTCAAAAAAAAAAAAAATCAGCTGTGTTGATGTACAGGACCATGAACCCACGCGGAGGCCAGTTTAAATGTACAGCCAAGCAAGGGAGGTCTCCAGGGTGAAGGGAAGAATGCCTCCCTGAGATCCCTTCACCCTTCTGTCCTCCCCATGAAGCTACAATTATGAAATAAATAGTGAAATAATAATGAAAGAAACCCCTGCAGGCATCATCTTTGCCTAAAACAATGACTACTATTGCTACACACCTACTGTGTGCCAGGCAACATGCTTTAAGTACTTCCCATATGGCAATTAATCTACATAATGTCCCTTATGAGGCTGAAATTACATGCATAAGTTTAAATAACAACGAAAAGGAAGAAAGAAAGCACAGAATCAGGCTGAGAGAAAAGGGAAAAGAAAGGGACCCTGGTGAGAGATGCCTTCTGTGCTGGACCTCACAGAGGGACTTTGTCTTATAGGGTCCTGTCTTCCTAAAACAAAGTCTCCAAGAAGTTCAGAGATTTACAACATTATTGAGTCCTGAAGCTGCGATTCAAAACCCAGTTCCAGCTGAGTGCAGAGGTCTGTCTATATGCCAATGATACTTTCATACTTCTTGAAAAAAAATCTACCTCCCAGCAGTGAAAACCAGCCAGCCCAGCTGGTTGCAGGGTGGTGAGGTGACAGAGCAGGCAGTGTGTAGGGCATGGGGACACCTCCCAAGGGATTTAGGAGAGGCAAGAGGGGTGGACCAGAGTTCATACAAGCTATTCAAGAGCCTCAGGGCAGCAATTTAGCACCAAATGCATGAAAAAGAGTCAGCCCTGGGCCTTGGAGGGAGTGGAACCTCTCCCTCTCCTTGGTCAGCCATCTTGTCCTCATGAGTCACCAGGCCCAGGCAAGGGTGTGGGTGGTTCTGCAAACCCGTCCCCGTCAATGGAAACAGAATACAAAGACTTCATCCTCACATTAGTGGGTTACCAGCGTCACTGCCTCCTACAAAGCGCTGCCTGAAAACATCCGTCTCCAGCACGACCAGGTCCCTGCAGCCCTGGGAGAGCGGCAGGGGGCAGTGTTGACAGGAGCAAGCTGGCCAGAGCTACAGCTCCCACCCGGGATGGCCCCTGACCCGAGGCCTCCTCTGAGCCCAAGGGAACCCCTCTGGCCTAGTTTCCTCAGGAGTAAAAAGAGATAGTCCAGGTCTACTCCCTCAAACGTTTCTGTGGCTTAAAATACCAGAAACACCAACATCCCAGGCATAAATAAGGGTACCTGTGGCCTCTTGGCGGACCAGAGGACCAGGGCAAAACCTGCTTCCCCACCTCCTCAGTCCTTACCCTGCACGCCAGGAAATCACATCCACACCCATGCACAGGGGCACATAAATGAACAAACCCACGCTCAGACTCAGTACACAGAGTATGTGAGCCTGCACAGACTGCCATTCATTCAAGTCCCATGGCAGCCTGCCAAATTATAAATAGCCCAGCTCGTTTTTAAGATGACCAGCGTTCAGCAAAGCCCTCTGGCCTTCAGCAGTATATGAGCCTCCTCTTAACCTCTTTTAGCTAGATGCTCAACAAGGAATCCAGTCTGACCCAGCCACGCTACACACACACACACACACACACACACACACACACACACACACACACACACACACGGATAACAAACCCCAGGTAAGACTGTCTGATAAACAGCATCTGACTGATGCTAAGCCCACAGATACGGGGTCCAAAAGGGTATCCAAGTCACAAGAATGACAAACACAAAGCTATTTCAAAGGGAATGAGGGGCACGGCTTCCTGTGCCCCAGCAAGCTCTCAGCAGGCAGACCCAGCTGGCCACCCAGTTCACTTCTCAGACCTCTATTAGAGCACAGGGCACCCATCGCTGCCTCCTCAGCTCACAGTTCAGAACAAGCCCTGCCTCCCCACCCTTTCAAGCACAGTTCAAACTGCCTTGCATGGCTTCTAGGTCAAAACACCACAAGTGACTGGTGGTTTGAAATAAACAGCTAACTCTGGGGAGACCAAACAGTGGAGATAGATCACTCAGCCTCACCCTAAGCTATAATCAAAGAGATAACCATTGGTATTGAATCTTAGCTAGAACAGACCCCCCCTCTTATCCCACCCCAAGCATCACAGACAGAAGTTTCCAATGAGGAATTTCTCAATTCTCTTCATTGTTTCAATTTTCCCCTCTGGCCCTCACACACTATCCCAAGACTTCGGGCCATCCGCTAAGAATCCTGGAAATGTATTCACTTATCAGATTCTTAGGAAATAGTCCAAAGTCTGAGCCTTCTACTATGCTGTGAGCTCCTTCTCTACTAAAAATACAAAAAATTAGTTGGGCAAGGTGGCGCACGCCTGTAATCCCAGCTACTCAGGAGGCTGAGGCAGGAGAATCACTTGAACCCGGGAGGCAGAGGTTGCAGTGAGCCAAGATCGTGCCACTGCACTCCAGCCTGAGCGACAGAGCGAGAGATGCCACCAAAAAAAAAAAAAAAAAGACAAAGCCTATCTCCCCAGTGCCTGGCACAGGACCTGCAATGCCATCCTCCATCTAATGAATGAAAGTCACCTCAAGGGAGGTCCCTGTGGGATGTTGATGAAGGCTTGGGTTGACCCAACTCTCTGCCCGCAAATATCTAATCTCTACCAACAGCCAAGGAAGTGCTTTCTGCAGAGTCCTCCTCGTCCTCTAAATCAGGTGAGGCCATAGTTTGACTACGACATGCCACAACCAGGTTGAGTGCAAATCCTCATCCAGACCTACAAATACCTCTCAGCCTCCAACCTGTAAAATCCCATGAATCACATAGGCTTGATCTGAGCAATCAAAAACTGCCAGAAGCCAAGCCTTCCCCAGCATCAACCAGAGGGACGGAGAAATGTGCCTTAAATCATGCCTCGGGAAACAGAAACCTAATGAAAGTGTCCCCTACTGCAACAAGTCCTGAGCAACTCAACTCAACAGACATACAACAAAATTCCTAGGCCGGGCATGGTGGCTTATGCCTCTGCGGATCACCTGAGGTCAGGAGTTTGAGACCAGCCTGGCCAACATGGTGAAACTCCATTTCTACTAAAAATGCAAAACAAATAGCCGGGCGTGGTGGCAGGTGCCTGTAATCCTAGCTACTTGGGAGGCTGAGGCAGGACAATTGCTTGAATCCAGGAGGCGGGGGTTGCAGTGAGCAACCTGCGCCATTGCACTCCAGCCTGGGCAACAAGAATGAAACAAACGCAGTCTCAAAAAAAAAAAAAATTCCTATGGGAGACCTGCAACCCTCAGGCCCTAGGCTCCGGTCAGACTGGGATTGCCATGGGTCTGCTCTGCTCCTCCGACTAAATCCCTCATCTTGACCCACTTCCATTTTCCCCCTCCTAAAATACTGTATTTTTAAAAATTCCTTAGAGGGAGTGTTTTATTTTCTTAACTGAACTGTGGCTTTCAAAACAGGCCTGACCTTCCTGCTTGCCACCCCTCCTTGTCACGGAGCCACAGAAATTAAATTGATTTTCCCTATCAGTGCTCTGCATCTCAGTGATCATGCCCAGCCTCCAGAAAGTCTGCTTTCTGCTCCATCTCATGAACAGAAGCCCTGCTGCTAAATCTAACCCCACTGGCTCAGGAAGGAGGGGATGGAGGAAGAAGGGGTAACTGAAGGGCACAGGTAACAATTTATGGCCCCCTTGGCACTGTGGTCTTATCTCTGCGGCCAGCCCCTTCTGAGAAATGGTACCCGTTACTGAACTCCCCCTGGGGGGAGGCTATTCCTCGGGGCCTGACTGTTTGCAACAGGTGGCCCAGTCAGGGAGAGGAAAGCTTGCTGTGGGGACCCCATCCTGCCTTCCGCACACCCTACTCCTCTGGGCACGTCCCCAGCCAGGCACCCCAGCTCGGGCTAAACCACCTGCCCCACCCCACCTCTACTGGTGCACTGTCTCCCAGGCGCTGGGAGGTGGAGGCTGCTGCAAAGAAGGCCAAACATGTTCAGAAGGGGCCCTCCATAACCACCCAATCCAAATAAGGTCCCCTTCTCTCTTGTAGGACACACTGTGCTTTCTTTTCACAGCACCTGTGGCACTTTGTAATTACACGGGTGCATGTGCACGGCTTTCTGCGTGCGTCTCTAATGTTGGTCAGTCACACCACATTAGGCCCCATGAAGGTGAGACCATTGTTGCCTTCTTCTCCATGGTATTAAGCACTTCATATTTATTGATTAAGTTAAGTAGAAAAAAGATGCACTTTATCACAGGCTACTAGAAGCAGGATACTAACTTATTTTGGGTTAGGCCTCTTTGGGAATTGTTTGGTCCACACAGAATGCAGGGCATAGAATACATGAACTTGTAGGGTTCTCTGTTTACCTTTTCTCATCCCTCTCCTTATTTTTGTCTTGTTAACAAGCCACCAAAAATGCATCCCTGTCCCATACGGAAGAAAAGAGAGCCAAGGACAAAAGTTTGAAGAAAAGTTCATTGCAGTGAACATTGGAATTCTACCTGGCAACCCGCTGAAAACATTCTTTCCCTCCTCTCCCCAGTCCCTCCAGGCATGTCCCCAATAATTCAACCCCCAATCCATCCTATTGCCAACCATCATCCCCAGGAATGACAGTCCCACTGTCAAGTCCCTCCTTCAATTGGAATTCGAGTTCTGACCTGACCCAAGTTCATTATTGGCATCAAAGAGCTCTGGCTCATTGAGTCATCTTTCTGATGATCTGGGAGCAAAAGCCAAGAGACTTCATTTCTTTATTTCCACTTCATTTTGTTCCAAAGGGATTGGAGGTGTCTTACAAAAATAGCTACAACACGATAAAAATAGACGAAGAAATGAGTTAGGATGGGGAATAAAATAAATCCAAAAGTAAGGTTACTGCCCAAAAATATGCATCACGATTGATAAAGGCAATCCCAAGAAATGAGACACCAAAAATGTTCTTCCTGAAATTCCCTCCTCATCAGGAAGATGGAAAATATTTCTGCTGATATTCAACAGACACTTGACCTACCATCCAAGTCTCGGCTCAACCTTGGGGATTCATCAACAATGCACACACCAGGCTCCAGGCTGTAAGTGTCTCTGATGTCCTTGAATCCAATGTCAAGTACTTCTCAGCTGGGAGAGGTGAGTTGCTGGAGTCAACCCAGGAGAAGGGACAGGAAGGGTGGGGAAAATGTTTTCTCTAAAACCAGAGTACTGTCAGTACTCATCTCTGCTTGCAGAATAACCCTGTCTGACCTTGGGCAGAACTAGATGCTCTCCTCAGTCCCTCCAATTCTAAAACTTTTATGATATTAATGATTAACCGCTGTCATATTCAAGGGAGTGGTTTCATTGGAATGCCCACAGCAAGCGGCATCTTTCACTTCCACCCAAGTCTCCAATTCTGCCTGCTCTCACCCCCCTGCCTCCTCGGCGAGCATGGGCTGCCCAGACCCAGGGGCTCCTCTGCCCCAGGCTCTTGAACCTCTCAACTTTCATTTCCCATGCCTTCTAACACTCAGCTTAGCAAAGCAAGGCCCACGCTGGATCTCTCTCCCCACATCCACCCAGCAGAGCATCAGTTTTCTTTAGTCCATACTTTTTGGAGAACCCAATAGCCAGAACACAAGTACAAAAGGTTTTCCCACACATTTGTGAACACACATTCCTCCTTCCATAATCTGTTCCCAGTCCCAGTCTATTTTCAATAGAAGATATTTACTGAGTGCATATTCTGTGCCACAGGCTCTACTAAGCCCCTTTTGTGAATTTTCTCATTTAACCCTCACTGCCCCCATGTGAGGTAGTTACTTTCTTATTCTTCCCATCTTACAGATCAACATATTGAGAGACTCAGTGAGGTCAAGTCGCTTGCCCACGGCCACGCCTGTATTCATCCCCAGGTTCATCTCATTCCAAAGCTCGGAACCACTACACTATACAGTGATACCCGCTTCCACAATCCATTAGGAACCTTCTGCTTTTAATTGCTTCATCACTCAGTTATAGATTTTTCAGGCATGCATTCATTCCAAGAGCTAACCCTCCACCTCCAGCATGGAAGTTTTGGGTTTTGTGGTCCAGCAGACCTGGGCTCTGACCCTTATTCAAGGCCCCACAACCTCTCAGAGCTTCAGTTTCCCATGTGTATAGTAGAGCAAATCCCCCAAGTCTCCTATTAAGAGTGTGGCAGTTCCTGGATGGATAAAATTTTTTCTAGGAGGGATGGGCTTACCCCCTACCCCTCCGACAATTTCACATAAAACATGAATCCATCACTCAGTCCCATTGGAAGGGCAATGAATCCATCCCCAAGGACCGAGGGGCATTCCAAAGGAGACTTACGTGAGACAGCATAGCCCTGAGGCCCTCCCTGGCTGGGGAGGTCTCTTTAGTGTGCAGAAACGATTTTCTAATTAAGTGGTGAGCATGCTGTATTGACTTTAAGTGCACGAGTAGCTCAGGGGAGGAAGACAGTGGATTAGAGGTGTACGACAGAAGAATTGAGCTGGGCATTAAAGCCAGATCACCTTTGGTGCTCCTAGCTCCCCACTATCCAGTCTCTACAGAAAAATCTGAGTGACCTTTAAAAACACTGATCTTGTCACTTGTCTGCTTAAAACCTTCCAAAGGCTTTCCACGGCACTTGGAAGAAAATTCAAACTTCTTCCCCTGGTTCACAAGGCTCTGCGTGGCCCATCTGCCTCTTCCCCAACACACCAGGTGCCATCACACCTGTCTTCCTTCTGAGTCTTGAACTACCAAATTCTGTCCCGTCACAGGGCCTTTGCACTGCCTGCTCCCTCTCGGGAATGACTACCTCCCATATCTGCACACAGCTGGCCTCTTCCTTCATTCAGGGCTTAGCTTCAAAACCAGCTTCTGAGAGAGACTTGCCTTACCACCCCCATCAAAAGTAGCCCCAAGTTGCAACTCAAGGGAAGATCAACAAAAAACAAAAATAATAAAATAATAAAAAAGAAAGTAGCCCCAAGCAGTCTCTCTTACATTAGTGGAAATTTTCTTCATAGCAAAGAGAACTCTCTGCTATGTTTGTTATTTGCTTGCCATCTGAGTGTTTTCCCCTCAACCCTCCACTGAAATGTATGTTTCATGAAAGTGAGAGTCTTGTCCATCTTATATCCCCCAGTGCCTAACACAGCACCTGACATGTTGAAGACACTCAATCAAAATTGGCTGGCCTTATGTTCACTGCAGCACTGTTCACAATAGCCAAGACATGGAAACAAATTAAGTGCCCATCGATGGGTAAATGGATAAAAAAAAAATGTGGTGTATATATATATATGCACTACTCAGACTTAAAACAATGAAATTACATCCTTTGAAACAACATGGATGAACCTAGAGGACATTATCCTAAGTGAAATAAGGCAGGTACAGAAAGACAAATATTACATGATCTCACTTACATGTGGAATCTTAAAAAGTCTAACTCATAGAAACAGAGAGTATTAATAGAATGGGGGTTACCAGAGGATGGGGGTGCATGGGGAAGGAGGGAGATGTTGGTCAAAGGGTTTGCTGGTCAAAGGGAGATGCTGGACAAAGTTTCAGTTAGACAGGAGTAGTAAGTTCCAGTGATCTACAGAACAGCATAGTGGCTATAGTTAATCATAAGGTAATGTATATTTCAAAATTGTTAAAATGGGCCAGGTACGGTGGCTCATGCCTGTAATCCTGGCACTTTGGGAGGCCGAGGCGGGCAGATTGCCTGAGTTCAGGAGTTCGAGATCAGCCTAGGCAACACGGTGAAACCCTGTCTCTACCAAAATACAAAAAATTAGCTGGGTGTGGTGGCAGGTGCCTGTAGTGCCAGCTACTTGTGAGGCTGAGGCAGAAGAATTGCTTGGACCCAGGAGGCGGAGGTTACAGTGAGCCAAGATCACACCACTGCACTCCAGCCTGGGCGACAGAGCAAGACTCCGTCTCCAGAAAAAAATAAATCGTTAAAATGTTCTTACTACAAAGAAATGATAAGTATGTGAAGTGATGGATGTATTAACTCACGTGCCTTAATCACTCCACAATGTATACATGTATCGAAACAAACATCACATTGTACCCCATAAATATAAACCATTACTATTCATCAATTAAAAATAACATTTTTAAAAATTTAAACATCACATTGTATTTCCCCACCAAAAATTAAATTAAAATTTAAAATATTCACATCATACAAAAAACACTGGTTAGGAACAGAGAAGGAGGGGGCCAGAGGAACACGCAACAGTACAACCACAATCCGCATGAGCGGCGCTTAAGGAAGGGGAGCATCTCTGGGGCTGATCAACTCTGAAGACAGCGGGCAATCACCCATTAACAAAGCGAGGGTCCGCATTAGGGAAGTCTGGGAGGCCAGGCATGGGTGGCAGCTGTGTACAGTGAGAACATTCCTGCACTCAGAATTCGTGGCTTCAAAACACAGCTTCCCTATTGTCTTGGTTTTCTAGGGCTGCTGTAACAAAGTCCTGCAACCAGGTGGCTTAAACCACCAGGAATTTACGTCTCGCAGTTCTAGAAGCTGTCCTTCTAAAGCTCTGGGGAGAGTCTGTCCCATGCCTTGCTCCTGCCTTCTGGGGGCTCCTAGCAATCCTTGGTGTCCCATGGCTTGTGGATGCATCACTCTGATCCCTGTCTCTATGTTCACGGGGTCTTCTCCCCATGTGTGTCCTGGGTTCGACTTCAGATCTTCTTATAAGGATACCAGTCACTGCATTAGCACCCTCCTCCCAACAGCATGTTACCTAATTATATCTGCAAAGACCCTATTTACAAATAAGGTCACATTCTGAGGTTCCAGGTGAACACGAATTTGGGAGAGAACACCATTCAACCCAGTACACCCAACAACTTGGCGTGTCACCTTAGAGAAGCCGCCTGCAGTGTCTGAGCCTCCCTTTCCGAGTTGTTCCACACAGGTCTCAAATCCTTTCTCGAAAGGGAGGTGGCAGCACTGATCATGGTGCCTGTCACTCTGGAAGGGCCCACGGACGTGAACTGAGTTGAGAGGACTGTAGATTCACTGTGGCAGGAAGTAGGGAGCCACTGCAAGTTGGGAACAGAGGATCGTCTGCTGAAAACAGGATTTCAGGAAGTCGCGTCTGGTAGCAAAGGGCAACACAGGTTGGAGCAAGAGGGACCGTGACAAGGAATCACATCAGGAAGCAGAAGGGGTTCAGTCTTGCTTGTGATGGGGACAGCAGACAGAAGAGAGAAGGAGTGAACACAGGAATCGCTTAGCAGATAAGCATCGGTCTCAACGAGTGAGTCAGGAAGAGCTGTCAGAAACGCCATTCTTCTCCTAGACAGGGACTCAGGGCAGGAGACCAGACTGGAGTCAGTGAGGTCAGTGTGAGGAGGGCGAAGGTGAGATGAGCCTGGAACATTCAAATGGAAATGCCCAGCAGAAAGGGAGTGGGGGAGTCAGACAGGGAGAGGCCTGGGCTGCCGGCGGAAACCTGGAGGAAGAGGGAGAGTGGCCGAGGCCATGAGCATAAACATCTCTAAGGAAGAAGCCAAAGGGCCAGCTAGCATCTCATCCCAAGGACAGACTGCCTGATTCCAGAGAGGGCAGCCCTTCAAATGCCCACATGTGACTGCGTCCACCTAAAAACCCAACCCCAATGCTGGGAACCACTAGAGAAATGCACACCGCAGAAACCTGAGAATGGCTATGAGCCCAGGAATACAGCCTCCTCCATAAGGAGGCAGTGGGACAAGGCACGGAAAGAGGGACACCAGCTCCAGTTTCTTCTGGGCCACCGACCCTGAGCAAGTCTCCTGGCTCCTCGGGGCCTCACACACCCTCTACGTCACAGACAAGGAAACTAAAATCCCTTCCAAAGCCGAAATTCCGTGATTCTCATCCACCAGAGCCACATTAAGTGCCTGGTAATTCAATAATTCAATTAAGACAGCTCAATTTTTTTCAAGCTTAATATTTAATGGAAGGGTTATGAAGTGCGACACAACTCGGCGTGATTAATAGTTACAATTAAAGGCTGAACGTGTTGAGGGGAGAGAGGCACAGATTACTGGGAACACATTTGTGCTGCAAAGGGACAGAGCAAGTTGTACCTACAGACTGGGGGAAGCCTTCTCTTCATATTCCACACCGCCGCCAAATGCCCGGTGGAGTCTGTGCTGCAAGGGGGTGTTCTGTCTACAGAACCAACTGGCTGACTTGCCCAAGTGCAGGTGGACACTGGGGGCAGAGAGTGAAGTGGGGTCCCTCCCAGCCTCCCCAACAAATCAGAGCTTGTTTGCTGCAAAGCTGGAATGAGGCCCACCCTGATGGGGCCTATCTTCTTGCCACCACAATCAAGTCTTCCAGAAGGCAAACAGGTAAGGGGAGGAATGCAATCTGCCAGACAGGAAGATGCAATGGCTGATCTTGGACAAACAGCTCCAGGGGTGGCAGGAAGTTGTTTTGACATCTGTCTTCTCACGTCAAAGAGATCCTCATTCCAAGACCACAGGTGCCTCTGGCCTCCAGTAACCCACATGCAGGTTATATAAAAGACATGCCGCACCGACCATGCTACAACACAGCTGGCCTTGGGACCCCCAAACCTACCACCTGCCTCTCCCTGTAAATTCAAAGGAAAGCATGGACACTCACAATGCAAGGACACAAACAGCTCATTTCACCTGCGACCCATTTAACATCTAAGGACATTCCCTGGCTGTGCTGCCAGTTCGGGCCCAAGGAGCTGGTGCCACCCACATCCTACATGGTGGCCGTTCTGAACCACAGGGCTCTGATTTTTGTGCTCAGGAGGAGCCTGGCTCTGAGCATCAGGGGAGGAGAGAGGGCCGATGCCTAGAGTGCAGCCTGCCTGGGCTCCCACCTGTGAATCTGTGCCAGTTACAGAAAAACTGGGCCTGGAGGGATAAATTCTTCAAAACGGGAGGGTCACAATGAATGGGCAGGAGATACCATCTGACATGGAATGGGTTTCAGCAACTGAGGGCATTTCACCCAATTGTGGAATAAAACACGTGGTCCTCAGTTAAAGGCTTTACAGCCAAAGAGAGAGGAAATGGAATTTGTTTGTTTCTAATTCTTGGAGGAGTCTTCTCCGTGCTCCTAAAATCATAACCAGTGCCAAATTCAGGAAGAAGAGGCGGGCAGGACAGCCAATGCAGATTCTATAAACAGTGAAAACTCCTTCATCTTCATGGTCAGAGGACCCCCTATGCTCTGATTCCTCCACCCAACCACCACCACAGCCTTGCTTCCTCCCACCACCTCTGCCAACTTGGGCCACCATCCTTGGGTCAGAGGGCAAGCTAAGTCTAGAAACTCAGGGCCACCAGCACATGGGCCAGGGAAAAGTGGGTGCTTAGAGATCTCCAGCCTTGAGAAGAAGACAGACAGACAGAATCTGTTGAGTGCAGCCCCGGAGTCTCTCATATGGGAAAATGAGAGGTGAAGAGCAAGAACAAGAAAAATAAATCCAATGAAAATAAGGCCATTGCTTTAGAGGCATGCATATTAACGAGAACTTTTGAGTGAATGAAGGAACAGCTGTCCTGCAGCACCAGCACTTCCTGAGCCCCCATTTGCCAGACCAGGAGTGGGGCAGGGGGTACAAAGAAGAAACTGCCATTCCTGCCTTCAAGGAACTTGCCCCAGGGGCAGTGTGGACACTGATTACCAACACCAGACAACCACATGATAAGAGAAAGAAGGCGGACTGAGATTTGGCTGGAAAAAAAAAATGTTTATACTAATTAATTACAATCACTGATGTGAACTGTTTGCCATTCATGCCTAATTACTGTGCAGCAAAACAATGGTGTTTACCATCAAAAGAGCATCACTTCACTTTGAGGTGAGTTTTCTTCGGTGGCTACAGAATTTCCAATGAATGGGCACTGTGTACTAGTACTCATGGTCACACGCTAACAACCTCAAGACATTGCAGGGAGTTCCATCCTTACAAATAACAAGGCACATATGATTTAAATAAACATCGGATTGAGAATTCACTGTGTGTGAGGTCCTCTGCTGAGGACTTCCATGCATCTGTTTCCCTTAAGACTCCCAATCCTATCAAATACTTTCTACTGAATCACCATTTTACAGATGAATTTGCCCAAGGTCACACACTTGGGAAGTGATGGGGGCAAGAATGGCAGCCAGGCCTGCCTGCTCCCAGTGTCCACGTTCATCACCAGTGTGACAACTGCAGAGTGAATGCGCTCAAAGTGTGGAAGGACACACACCAGAATGCTGGTTCTCCAGGATGAGACCGGAAATTCTCCCTTTTGCTTAGCTATTTTAATTGTTTTTTTTTTTTTTTAATTATCTAATCAATGTGAAAGACCTGAGGGTTTGTTGTTCCGATGGTGTGTTTGTTACAGACTAGAGCTCCACTGGCTATGACTCCCCACAACCAGGAAGCCTAACCAGGGGTGGGGAGGTGGGAGTCCAGGCATGCAGGGCAGGAAAAACCCTTGCTGGTCATCCAGGCCAACCTTCAATGCGCTGCAAATGTCCTTGCTATCTGGTCCCTAACAGATGGTCCTTACTTCATCACAGCCTCCCTGGATGCTGAATGAGTAGACGGAAGCTCCAAAAACATCCAGGCAGGAAGGACAGCGGCAGCAGGAGTCACTGGATGGTCATTACAAACATCACCCTTTGCCCAGTGTCTGGCAGCACATGATCAGCCTCTCCTTTTCTCACTGGGAGAGCAAAACTACTGAAGATAATCTTTTTAGACACACGCAAAACCCCAAAGTTTCCAAAACCGGGGCCAACCTTTTCTCTCCCAGACACCTTAGAGCAATAGTGCCTATTTGGAGGCTGTGTGGGATCAGCCTGAAATGCAGGGTTAAGTCGGCATAGCCCAGGTGCCATCTAGAAGGCCCTCCCCACATGAAGGGAGATCTGCAGGGGTTAGACTGAGGACACGCAGATCCAGGAAGGACCACTAGCTCTCCATGTTATGAAGAGCCAGATATGCTGGGAAAGGTCTTGAGGGCACTAAGGATAAGGACTATGTCAAATGTACTATATTTAAGCGTGGGGGATCTTCTCCTCCAGGCACTCTGGAGTCCCAATGCCTAGCCCTGTACCTGGCCCATAGAATGCATCACAAATGTATACTGATCATAAATATATGCTGGCTGGTAAATATATTATTACTAGGAGAGCAGAAGGCACTGAAATCACAGAGTAAAAAGAACTGAAAGAACTGGGTGTGTTTACCTTGGAAAATGGACAATACAGCGAGGGTGGGAGGCAAAGGAGACCTCATAATTGTGCTCACACAATTCAGCTTCATGGTAAAGTAGATAAAACATGATATTTGAAATTAGAAGACCTTGGTTTGAGACCCAGCTTTTTGCTACTCAGCTAACTTTGTGTGCCTCTAGAAGGATTACCCTCATTCTAAATATGAAAACAGGTAATGAATGTTTCACAATTGCAGCTGTACATTAGGACTTTTAAAAAAAGATGCCCAGCCAGAAGCAGTGGCACACACCTATAATCCTGGGTTCTTAGGAGGCTGAGGTGGGGGCATCACTTGTGCCCAGGAGTTTGAGGCTGCAGTGAACCATGATCAGGCCACTACACTCCAGCATGGGTCCAGCCTGGGTGACAGGGCAAGGCCACATCTCTTTTAAAAAATAAAATAAAATAAAGGCCAGGTGGGGTGGCTCATGCCTGTAATCCCAACACTTAGGGAGGCTGAGGTGGGAGGATTGCTTGAGCCCAGAGATGGAGGCTTCAGTGAGCCACGATCATGCCACTGCACACCAGCCTGGGTGACAGAGTAAGACCTTGTCTCATAAAAACAAACAAAGATGTTCAGATTTTACCACAGTCCTACCATCTAATCTCCAAAGATGGGTCCATGAATTTGTATTTTTGAAAAGCTCTTTAGATCATTATAATATATAGCCAAATTTGAGAACCACTAACATGTATATCAAAGCACTGATATACAAACATTCCTTTGCTCACGTTTTCTTGCTGACTTTCTCCCCACTATCACCCTGTTTTCCTGCTGCATTCCCCTTGCTGAGACAGTGAAAATATCTTTTATATGTCTATATAGCTAATCTATATAATATATAGTAATATCTATGTCAATATATATTAAAGAATTATTCAAAATATGTGGGAAAGGGAAAGAGTTGTCCCACTGCAGAGCTCACAAAGCCAAAATAAGGAACTATGTGCTCTTTAAGCAGGGAAGCAGATTTTTACTCCTGAAATGTTCTTCCTTAAACCATTAAAAGCCGATCAAATATGAAAGATTAAAAGAGATTCCTAACAAATCAAATTTGTCAGGAATACTGCGGATGAGATTCCCATATGGATTGGATGGAGAGGCTGGATTAAATAACTTTGTAATTCAATGTATTAATAATTAATGACATGGCAACATTTACTAACCCCCATATGTAAAGTGTGTCTGACACTTTACGTACGTGGCCTCATTTCAGCCTTAGGACCACATAATGAGGAAGGTGGTTTTATACATTTCATTCATCAGCGGGAGAGAAGTAGGGTCCCACTCATACCCTCAACTGCAACCAGGCTGGTTTCCCCACATCCCGTGAGGTCCTGTACACATTCCTGCCTTTACATTTTTTCTTTTATTTTCTTTTATTTATTTTTTTTTTTTGGAGACAGAGTCTTACTCTGTCACCCAGGCTGGAGTGCAGTGGTGCGATCTCCGCTCACTGCAACCTCCACCTCCTAGGTTCAAGCAATTCTCCTGCCTCAGCCTCCCAAGTAGCTGGGATTACAGGCATGCATCACCACAACTCAGCTAATTTTTGTATTTTTATTAGAGACAGGGTTTCACCATGTTGGCCAGGCTGGTCTTGAACACCAGACCTCAGCTGACCCACCCACCTCTGCCTCCCAAAGTGCTGGGATTACAGATGTGAGCCACCACGCCTGGCCTCTGCTTTTATTCATGCCAGTCCCAACTAGGAGAAACAGAGAGCTTCTCTCAATGAGAAACCTTCGAAGCAATTCAACAGTACCTTCCGTGGGGGCACCCCGGCTTCAGCCTGGTGAAGAAGTGATTTTAAAATTTAGAAGCCCTGGCTCCAGTGGACACCCGCATCTCCCATTTCCCCAAGAGATGGAAAGAGTTTGCTTCCATTTAATCTCTTCCTCAAACACTTCTCTGTCAGGCCATGCTTCATGAAAATCTTCACTCTAACGCTGAACACTGCAGACCTCCATTGAAATAAAGGTTCTGTGAACTCTAAGCCTTTCTCTGGAGAAGGTTTTTATCAAATGCAGATGTAAAAGGTAACAACAGGAGAGGAAAAAGGCCTGTGCCCCAGGCCTGTGCATTTCCAAGGCTGTATGGACACCCATTCATCACCTGCACGAGGATGGGGACACTGTCACGGCACAGTCACCTCAGCACCTGGTACATCAAAAGCACTCAACAACCATTTACTACTGAATGAAAAAAATAAATTAAAATGTATGTAAGATCAAAAACATGTCTACAATTGGGGAAAAGTTGACTCTCAGAGACCTCCTAATGCTAAAACTTTATAATTGGAGAAAAATCCCAAAATGGGTACTGGGTGACTACTGAGTGTAGGGCACTGCCCCATGTGCCGTGAGGACGCACACAAGAGCAGCAGGAGGGAAGAGATAAACAGGCAACAAGCTGAACGTTATCTTAAAAGAGCAATGCAAAATTTAAATAACAATGGTAATGCTTTCACAAGGCAAGACGTAATTGCCAAATGTATTAGATGAAGGAAAAAGTCAGTATTTGTCTTCAGCTATATCCTGTCTAGGACAAAACCGGTATGCAGCTAGGAACAATGATCAAAAACCCATTAAAAATCACGACTAAACACATCCACTTGAAAACATTTTATTTGCCACCATTTTTGTTTCAAGATGACAATCTGAAACAGAAACACAACCCCCGGTCTATCCTGAAACTCTCCTGCATGTATCTCACTCAGTCAAAACCATTTACAACTTCATGGATTATCAGAGAACAGAGAGGCAATGTAACAAGTATTTAAAAGTCAAGGTATAACAGATTCCTCACTCTTCAATATTAAAAAAAAATGTTCCATATGACAAATTTCAGAGGAATGTAAATTTTAGAAAGACTTGGGCACAAAAATCCTAAGACCAAAAGCTCAAGCTCACTCTTATGCTGCCTTAACTGGTAGAAATGTAAATTAGTACAACCTCCCTGTGGGGCAGTTTGGCAATAAATAGCAAATTGTAAAACGTATTATTATCTCCTTATTGTAAATTCCTAGAAGTGGAATTGCTAGGTCAAAAGTATTGCAGGAGCAGGAGAGAAATGCATGCACAAGGGCGGTCCTGCCAGAACTGGCTATAATACCAAACAATGATCATAATGATACTGCAAACAACCTAAATGATCCTAACTAAGGGTTTGCGTAAGTCAATCATAGTGCATCGATATCACAGAAACAATGAAGGCAACAAATATGACCATGTAGGGTACAATCACATGGAAAAATGCCTCTGACATACTACTGACCAGAAAAGGCCATCTGGCAAACACCACATATGATCTCATTTATATAAAAGTGTACACAACCGTAGTTTATATATGTGCAGACAGACCTCTGGAAGCCTACACCAAAATGTTACTGTGGGTTATCTCATGGTGATGAGATGAGAGGATTTGTTAGTTCTCTGTTTACTTATGTATTTAATTTTTTCTAGTATGTCTTTTCGTTTTTAAACAAAATCATAATGCTGTTAAAAATAAACTTCCTTCATTTACAGATCACCCAATTCTGTGCAAAATGTGGGACTTTCTTCACCACTGATCCCAGCAGCTGAGTCCCAACTGTAGTTGTGGAATATTCCAGAATAACTCCATGCAACTCACCTACAACCCTGGCCCTCCCCTCTTCAGGATACCGGGCAGGATTAAATGTGAGAGTAGTGCACTCCGCCACCCTGGGAAGAAAGGCTTTTATAGCCCATGATTTCCAGGCCATTCCAAGTGCTTCCTGAGTCCTGCCCCACCTCCTGCAGGGCCGGATGACTAACCCTGCCCCAGGAAGGAAATGGGGCCTCGCTGAGGATCAGAAGTTGGACCTCATAAAATTGCAAAGCAGATCAGGTGTCCGACTCCCAAGCACAGCCTCCAACAAATCCCAGGAGGGTCTGCTGGGCTAAGCTCCTCCCTCTTGGTTCTAAGCCACCTCATCTGCAAGCAAAGGGATGACACTGGCTGTCCTGGAGTCATCAGACCCCTGCCCTAGAGTCATCAGGCACAGAGGCCACAGGCACCCCGAGAAGGCAGACAGGGGCCCAGCAACTCCCATGGGAAACACTTCCATCCACCTGGCAGGTGCATGCAGCCTCTGGAAACCAATATGGAAGCCACCCCTGAAGCATCAGGAGATGTCCAGAGCCAGCAGCTGTGACACTAGATAGTCATGTGTTAATGGCTCCCAAGCCTCACACCACACAGACTCCAGGAGGCCAGGCAGCAGCTCTGTTTTCCAACTTCTGGAGCTATGAGAAAACTTTCAAAGGATCTCCAGAAGAAGAAGAAAAAGACTGAAAGAGGGAAACCGCAAGTCAGAATTCCCACTCTGAGCCAGACACAGGCTCTTCTGTGCCTCTGTTAAGCCCCAAGGCAGAGAGAACGCTCATCTCCCATTTAGGAAACAAATACTCAGAGAAGCTAAGAGACTGGCTCAAGGGAACAGAGCTACTAGGTAGAAGATCTTCAAATGTATGTCTGATTTTTCCCTCCTCATCCCAGAAGGATACCTTGGAGTATTAGAGAGACTGCATTTTTCTCATCCTGATTCATTTAGTCCTTCATTCTTTTGTTTGAAGAGCTTAACAGAAGACAGCTCCTACACAGGGCTCTCTCTTTCCAGGTAATAACAAGCTCTGAGAACATTCGGAGAGTTCAGGGTTCATGCTGCCCCAAAGGATCTCTGAGAAGAACCAGCCCTCCACACAACCAGCTGGAACATCACAGTGATTGCCCCTGCAGGAGATGTATATAATAAAAATTGAATGCTGCAGCATGAACTTCATACATACTTGTCCTCTTGGTTTATTCATCAGAAATAATTATCTGTGCTTGCTTTCACAAGAGCACATATTTTATAGGGTACATTAAAATTTAATGGATTTTTAATAATATTGTAACTACCGCAAGAGAAAAACTGGAAAAAGCTGCGCCACATGTCTTTGTGGCATTTTGGTGGTTTGGCTCCAGCTTCGCAAAGAAAGAACTCATTTGGTGAGGAGGGGCGGGCAGGAGAGAGTGAAGAACCCATGCAAAACGCTGGGTGGGTATGAAAAATTTTATATTTGACTACTGGCATGAGAGATCTGTGCTGAGGGAGGGAAGTCAAGAAGGAAAGATGACAAATCAACAGGCATACTTTAACAAATGGCAAATTATGCTGGACTTAACCTGACTTTGGGCAACTTGGGATGTAGCTCAGAACAGAAGGAGGATGGTGATGGTGATCCACGCAACAGACACTTCAATTGTGGAAAGGCATGAGCAGGCGCTGGCCAACAGAATAGAATGCAGCTACAGGGCTGGAAGAGATCTGAAATCTCATCCAATGTCTACAAAGCCGAAATTTGTAGAAAAGATAGCCAAGGCCCAGAGAAGTAAGACGAGGCCCAAGATCACAAAGGAAATTAGCAGGTCTTTACATTTCTGTCGGGCTTCTTCTATTACTGTGTGTGGCCCAGGTTAAAAGCATATACTTAAATCTAACTCGAATGGCGAAGATAATGTTCTCAAGTCTTTAATAAACTGCTGGGTTGCAAGCTGCACATTTTTAGCCATTTCTGGGAAATTTAATTCCATTAATTTTCATAAGCCATCCCATGGTTTTTATTTTGATATGCATCACAAAAGATCACTCTATTTTAACTTTTTGGGAAAAGTTTTTTCTCTCCCTATGGGACTCGAACCCACATATCTGAAGGACTCATTAAAGAATAGAGTCCTATCTAGAGGCCAAGATGAGGTGGCCCCTTTAGTTCCTCATAGAAGGCTGCTATACACGCACCCAGTACAGTCATCTGGAGCCTCCTGAAGTGTCACCAGTCCAGAGACCAGTGTCTATTTCTGGACAAAGAAAGAAACCCATGGTGCCCTGCCACCAATGATGCATCCACAGCCAGGCTGACTCACCCATTCGTAAGTGCACTGCCAAAAATAACACCTTGCCAAAATTACGTTGCCTAATCTTTGACAAAGTAATATCCAAATTAAAATGAAAAAAAGGCTTAAATGTCAAGTGATGATGGTGATTTACGCTGTACTGATTTATATAATGCGCCACATCTCAGATGGGCCAATTTTTCCATGACATCAAAGCAGACCACGAGCAGGGTTAGCGGTGACAATGATGGCTGGAGAATGAGCATGGGTCTGGAGTTTGCTAGCCCTGGACTGAGCGCTCTCTCTGTCCCTTGGCAGCTTTGTGCCATTGGGCATGTACTTTCCTGTCCCGGACCCTCATTTTCCTCACCTGTGACAAGACAAAAGAATACCTACCTCACAGGGAGACTGTAAGAATTACCCATTTATCTTTTTTTTTGAGGCTGAGTCTCACTCTGTCACCCAGGCTGGAGTGCAGTGGTGCGATCTCAGCTCACTGCAACCTCCGTCTCCTGGGTTCAAGTGATTCTTCTGCCTCAGCCTCCTGAGTAGCTGAGACTACGGGCACCTGCCATCATGCTCGGATAATTTTTGTATTTTTAGTAGAGATGGGGTTTCACCATATTGGCCAGGCTGGTCTCGAATTCGTGATCTCATGATCCGCCCTCCTCAGCCTCCCAAAGTGCTAGGATTACAGGCGTGAGCCACCGCACCTGGCCCCATTTATCTACTAATAAAAGCAGTTCGTGTAGTACCTAGTACACAGTGGAGATGCAATTAATGAGAGTTATTATTTAAAATACCTGGTATTTACTATCACTAAATACGATTTGAGTGGATTGATAGTTCCTTTCAATTTTCATATGTAGAACTATAATTGTAAAGCTGTGTAACATTTGATAGTATTAAATATTAAACCACTGTGTAATTAAAGCCCAAAATGTCAAACACTGCAGCATAAACTACCTGACAGGCCTCCAAATGCCCTTTCACCAAGGTGTGATTTCTATTTATTTTGCTTTGTTGTTATTTTTGTGGTTTTGAGATGAAGCCTCACTCTGTTGCCCAGGCTGGAGTGCAGTGGTACAATCATAGCTCACTGCAGCCTCGAACTCCTGGGCTCAAGCGACCCTCCTGCTTTAGCCTCCCATGTAGCTAGGAGTACAGGCACATTTTTTGTACAGATAGGGTCTCACTATGTGACCCACACTGGTCTCAAACTTCTGGCCTCAAGCGATCCTCCCCACCTCGGCCTTCCAAAGTCTTGGGATTATAGGCTTGAGCCACTGCACCAGGACTATTTATTTTGTCTCAGTAAAAGTATACTGTGCCTGAGGAGAAGGAGGAGGAGGAGGAGAATGAATGGGGAGGAGGGACAGAGGGAGAGAGGCAGAGAGGAAGTCCACCAGTAGTCTAGAAGGTTCTACATTCCCAGGCCTTGTCTCTTACTGTTGCCACCTTCAGGAAAAACCTCTCCTTCTGATCTACTCCGTCCTGTGCAAGCATCAGGCCTTCCACACGCCCCATGTTCACGCCCTACATACACACACAAGCTGTAACTATCTACAGCTGGAGATACTCCGTCAAAGTAATCACATGACCTCTCAGTGTCAACATGCGCTTTGACAGAGGGTGAGGGGACTGCCACGGGGCCATTAAGCGTGGACATTAAAAGCGCTGATGGAGCCAAAACACATTAACCTGTGGAGGAAGCCAGGCTATCAGCTGCAGCTCCACCGACATCATAAAAAGTAAAGAGGCCTCAGTAAGGGAACCAATATTACAGCCATTGATATAAATTATACCTCAGAACAGGGGAGAAGGGGGTGGGGTATAAAAATGGAACAAGTTCAAACTTCTTTTATTGTAATAGTCTCCAGTCGAGCATAATCACCAAAGCTATAGTGCAATACGATTGCCAAAACTAGACAAACATCTGTGAGATGGATTCATCTCAGAGGGGAGGCCAACAGCTTGTTATCATTAAAGCGGCGATGCTCGCTCTGCGCCTGAACTGCAGGCCGCCTTGTTACTGCGTTTGCGGAGGCAATTGTACCAGATGTTGGCAACTATCTTCAGATAGATGACAGACACCTGCTGTTGAGGAAATTAAGCTCCTCATTGGCCTCTCTGATTTGGGGGTGGGGAGGAAGAAGCAAGAAAAAGTGACCCTTCCAGATAGCCCATGGGACAGGCACTAACCCAAGAGGGTGGTTGGAGCTTGCCAGATGGGCAGGCCAGCTCAGCTCCTGGTGTCAAAGACCCAAGAAGGGCCCACGGGGTGCTGGTGGAAAGATGGAGAAGTTTGGGAGGAATCTAATTCAGGCTGGGAAAGTACGGAGCTCTGCGCCGACTCCCTCGGCAGGTTGCTCTTGGTAACGGTCTCGGAGACTCTTCAAGAGATCCTAAATTTGAAACATGGCTATGGACATTAATCATCATTAAAAGCCAAACAGGCAATTTTCAAACCATGTCATGCTGACTCAGACAGAGACAAAGGCTCCAAAAGTGGGGGAGAGCAAGGACAAGAGAGATAAATACCACCTATGCCACCATGGACAAATAAAAATCGTGAGAGCCCATAATTCATTTTTCAGACTGCCCCGAACGTCAGTCGCTAGTTATTTGAAAGAAATGATTCATTCCAAAGTTGGCAGGGCTGACCCATGTCTACCTTGCTGGAGGGTGGCCTGTGAGAAAGATGCTGATAAAATGCAATCACCTGCGTCCTGGACCCTAGAGGTGCAACCTGACTCCTTTTCAGCAGAGGGCAGTCAACAGAGCTACCCCAGGACCCAGCAGATGGGTTCAGTCCCAGAGCACTGGTGATCTCCTTACAAGGTCGTCAGATCATCTTGGCCTTCCATTATTTCTGGGCAAGTAGTGATTCTCCTTCCTCTTGGATTATCAAATTTGAACCAGGATACCCCATACTTGATTCATTCTTACTACGATTACTGACACAATCTGACACCAACACCGACAACTGTCCTCAGTGAGAGGCAGCAGTGCGGACTCAGGGGCAGAAGCAGGCCCAGCCAGGGTCCACGGCGTCCTGACCGAAGAGACCAAGGTCAGAATGTTATTCATGAGCCTCAGTTTTCTCATCTGTAAAAGGGTCTGCAAAGCCCCTTCTAGGTCTACACAGCTAACAGCCCTAACCTGTTCTCATCACAACCAAAGAAATTAGATGGCTTGGTGCAGCTAGTTGAGAAATGTACTAGCTGGCTGGCACAGTGGCTCATGCCTGTAATCCCTGCACTTTGGGAGGCTGAGGTGGGTGGATCACCTGAGGTCAGGAGTTCGAGACCAGCCTGGCCAACATGGTGAAATCCCTTCTCTACTAAAAATACAAAAAAAAAAAAAAAATTAGCCAGGCATGCTGATGAGCACCTGTAATCCCAGCTACTCGGGAGGCTGAGGCAGGAGAATCGCTTGAACCTGGGAGGCGGAGGTTGCAGTGAGCTGAGACTGAGCCACTGCACTCCAGCCTGGGTGACAGAGTGAGACTCCATCTCAAAAAAAAAAAAAGAAAAATGTAATAATTGCGTTAAAGCCCAAGTTTTCTACCTCTACTGGCAGCCCAATTTGGGGGTCACTCTAATATTTAGCCACAAAACAAAATGGAACGTGCCTTTTTAGCCTGTAATTAAGGTTGTTTCATGTCCTTAACCAGTAAGAACTTCTTTGCTCTATTTAAAAAAAAAAAAAAAGAAAACCTCCATACTTTAAAGTTCCTAGGACAGAAATGACGAATTTTCAGAGAAACACTTAACTAGAGAATACAGAAATCAAGGCATCAATTTAATTTCACACTCTACCTGCCTTGGACTAATTTGTGTAAATTACATTTCATACTAAGAACCTCAGCCCACGTGACCACAATGGAGAAATAAGCAGCTTGCATCAAATTGAGTTTTTCAGTTATAAATATAGAGCTCTTTTTAGTGTGTGAATGTTTAACTGAATTTTCAATAAAGGTTTTATATAAAAATTTCCAAGTGTTAATTTCCACCATTTTCATTGACATGTCAATGTCACTGGTTTTTTACAGACCTAAACAGTGCAGATTAATCCATGTGGATCCATTTTTTCCTCTTTTAGAAAAGTGATTACCACCAAATTCTCAGCTTATAGATGTGAGTGAGCAGAGTCAAGGACCCGTCGCATAAAGCTGCATAAAAGTTCCCACTTTGGCCTTCCACTTTCAGGAATGTGGCCAGATAAGTGTTGCATGACGAGCAAGCCTTTGCACACGTTTGTGGGTACAATCCTCTAGCTTGTGGCTACCACGTCCACACAGAGCACCTGTCCTTGAGCAAGAGCACCCCACAGCCCAAGAAAAAAGCAAGACCCCAAAATGATCATTCCTTGCCTATTCACTATAACAAACCTTATGTGACTGACAGGGGCTTATGCCTGCTCTTAACTCTCCCTAGTCCTTATTATTTGCAGCTACTTACTCCAAAAGATTTTTCCAAATATCTTGGAGGGATGGCATCAGACAATACAATGTACCTTTCTGACATGTGCCTACATTAAAAGGATGACTATTTCAAATGAGCATAGCCATGCCCCTAAAGTTTATTACTGATCCTGAAAATATCCTCAGTTCTATGAAATCGCTGCTTTCTTTGAGACGTCAAGTTGACGACTAGGACTGTCTATAACAGGGGATAGCAACTTACGGCCCACAGGCCTGCTGCCTGTTTTTGTAAATAAAAGTGGAATTGGAACACAGCCACACTCATTCATTTACATATTGTCTATGGCTGCTTTTGTGCTACAACAGCAGAACCGAGTAGCAGGGACAGAGACCGTATGGCCCACAGAGTCTAAAATATTTGGTATCTGACCCTTTACAGACAAAGTGTGTCAAGCCCTGCTCTCTATGTACTTGGAGCTACGAATGAGAGGAGGAATAATAACAATGACTCTGTAATTCCTAGACACAGGGAGGAAGGAACAATTGTGAAAATAAATGGTATTTCTTTTTATTGCCTCTTTACAAAAAGGCATCTAGAATCAATACATTTGATTTGGGACACCTGATACAGACTTTCAACCAGTGGTTAAGTTATGGGTTTAGCAGAAAACCACTGACTTCAGCTGTCATTCTGTCCCAGGTGCACCTGATCCATCATCTTTGTCCATTTCCTTGGGCGGCCAAATCCCTTCATGAGCAGATCCCAGGTTAATCACATCCGGGAGGCAATAATGAGACTGAATTATAACTGAGACACCCTGACTAATGTTCGCTGAGGTTCTTTCACATTGAAAAGATCACATCTACCGTTCCACTCATGGGTCAAACAAGCAGACCTGCCTTGTGGCTTCTTGGGGGTTGAGGGGTAAGATCTCAGGGAGGAGACTGAACATGGCAAGAAGGGGAGCATCTGTAAAGCCCTGAGGTGCATCCTCAGCAGTCAGCATCTCTGGGCAAGGTGAATGCAGGCATCCAGATGTAAACTGCCTCCCTCCTTGCTCTGCAGCTGATGACAAAGTCAAACTCACGATTTCAGGTCCATGGAAGTGAGCCCTCTCCATGTGGTTCTTTCCAAAATGGGCAGGGGCAGGACTGTGATATCCAGGGGTGTGTGGGGCAAGTCACACTCTGGGCTTCCTCCTCTCCTCCACCTACCATGGCAACACTGGTCCTTTATGGAGCCCAGAATAAATGTCTGTCAAGCACCTTTTCCAGGTCAATGCTCAGGCTGGCATTGAGGCACATGAAGACATGATCTGCCTTCAGCGGCCACCATAGGGAACAGCCGAGTCAGCTGAGGGAAAGGATGGGAGGCCTGGGAGAGGAGCTCCACAGCAGCAACCACCGTCCCCACCTCGCAGTGACACTGGCAGGCTCTCCATTTGCTATACCACACTGCGATTCTGCTTACCACCATCTCTGCTCCTTGACCACAAGCCCCACATGGGTGGGCACCCCACCTCACCCATCTCTGTGGCCCCATCATGGTGCTTAATACCTAGCTTGGGTTCCTGAATGCAAGGATGGTTGGACAAGCACAACCACCTTAGGACCTTTCAACAGCAGCTGATAAGAGACCTTCTTCCTCCCCCTCCAGTTGTTCCCATGATCACCAGCATTCTTAGAGCTCCTGAATGTACTGTCGTCCAGCCCCCCAACCCCAGGAACTCCCTTAACTAACCTGAAGGTCTCCCTGAGTGTAGGCTGTGAGGCAGATCAGCCACACTCAGGTGTCTAAGAGAAACCAGCATAAGCACCCCCAAAAAGGGCAACAACAAACTGAGACGCTCTTTGAGGGAGTGGTGCATTGTAAAATATGGGCGGACACACCCTTGTCAAGAAGGGATGTCACAGACAGTACGAGAAAAATCCCAGTCCACGAGAAGGCAGCAATTTCTATCAGAACAGGCCTTTTGAAATAACTTGCAAGTGAATTACAGCGGCTGCTTCCTATGGGAGGGAAAATTATTTCGGGCGGCTTCCAGCCCCATGTGCCTCCTTTAATTCAAGTCATATGCAAGAAATATTTATTGAGGGTGGAAGTCTCCCCATAGGTGTGTTTTAAGATCAGGCCACACTGGAGCACTCCAGTTAGCTTTTTAAAGCTGCCTTAAAAGAACATTTTTAATGCACCATCTCCTTTGCTTTGAACTGATTTCTCATTGCAAACAAACAACCCCCTACAAATATCTGCTTTCCTCTGCTTCTCCTCTGGTCTCGGCTGCCAGGCAAGCACTGAGTGCTTGGGGACACCACCATTAAGATGGTGGTTTTCAATAGAAACTTGGCATTTATCATAGTGAGAGTATTATCTTCTCAACAGAAGCTGACAATTTGTCCTATTCCTCCCTTGAGAGAATCCAGTGAGATCACATTTGCTTCCCCTGCATGCTGTTTCTCCTACTACAACATTTCTTTGCCTGGAAAGAAAATATTGTGACTCCTTGCCATATTCACTTCATTAGCATAAGAGGAAAAAAAGCCAAATCCTCCACTTAGCCTCCCCCAACACTAACTCCAGCTGGGTTAAATCTAGGAGGATCTCAGAATGAGGACTTCCATGGTTCCGGATTTGTCAGAGGGATAGCTGTGGAGGGGTGGGGGCAGAGGCTGGGAGCAACTAAGAAACTGGTCCAAAAACCGTCCATTTGGCACACAGAGAGGGCTTTGTGCAGATTAAGGGAGGGAGTTTATCAGAGGGAGTGAACCTGGTGAAAGTCAGCAATTTGGGGGTTCAGAAACACGGGATGTTGGGGGGAATGGGGAGCAGAAAGGGAATGCAGGCAGGGGAGACTATCATTAAATACCCATGTGCCAGACCCTGGGCAAATGTGTATCTTTTCATTCTTACAACCCCATTGTAAATGAAATTGTATGCCCACTTAACGGATGAGAAACCAGGCTCAGGAGACAGTTGAATCAATAGCCCAGGGTCACAATGCTAACAGCAAATGATCTGGATTCAAACTCAGGTCTGCCCAATTCCAAAGTTGAGAATTGTTCAACTTCACCCCACATAATCCCCCCACAACCCCACATAATTCCCGACAGTCTGGCAGTAAATGCCAATGGCAAATTCGGTTCATTCGAGAGGCAAAAATGTACCCACAAACACATTCTCCATGTCCACAGCCAGATTTCTCAACATCAGGGAGGATTGTGCTGTGGCTTAATGTTGTTGGACCCATTTTCATTCCCCACCCTGGCTGATCACAAGACGGCAAGTCTGGGAGAGAAACTGCCCGATGCCCATCCAAGTACCCCCATCCCTGGTGCCCAGAGGATCCATAACATCTATGAGCCTAGATGAGTCAACGCTCTCACCGTCTCACCAGCTTTTCAAAGTCACTGACCTACCCTGGTACCTCCCAAGCAGCAAGTCTACTGCTTTTCTTAGACCAAAGACAGAAAGAAGAGAAGGAGAGAAGATGAAACAGAGTTGCATATCCCAATTTTTACCCTCCTGACATCCTTCCCTTCTCTGTGTCTACCCTCTATGCCGAAACCTGCCTGAGAATCTACCGACTCTGAAAAGGGCATTACTGACCAGCTCACCCTGCCCAGATATTCCCTTAGTTCTATTAAGCTTTTGCTGCGGGTTGGAAATAGCTAAGGGATCCTAGGATGCAGGGAAATAATGGGTTTCACATAAGGAAATGCTCCAGATAATGGAATATACTCTCTTAATGCCCCATTTTAAAAAGAAAAATCCTGGCTGGGCAGGGTGGCTCATGCCTGTAATCCCAGCATTTTGGGAGGCCAACACGGGCAGATGCTCACCTCCTTTTAAGGCCAGGAGTTTGAGACCAGCCTGGCCAACATGGCGAAACATCATCTCTACAAAAAATACAAAAAATTAGCCAAGCGTGGTGACAGGCGCCTATAATCCCAGCTACTTGGGAGGCTGAGGCAGGAGAGTTGCTTGAACCCAGGAGGCAGAGGCTGCAGTGAGCCAAGATTGCACCACTGCACTCCAGCTTGGGCAACAAGAGTGAAACTCTGTCTCAAAAAAAAAAAAAATCCTAATTTTACCCTTTGAAACTCCTTCTCCAATGACTGGAACTTCCCTGCCCTCCGATACAGAGGATCCATTCATTCCACCACTGTTTACTGAGCACCAACTACTGCCCAGGCCATAGGCCAGTCCTGGTGCTACAGGGTGAGTAAACAGACCCAGCCCCACTTGGTGGAATTTACAGTCAGGTCAAGGCAAAGAGACTACACATATCTGACTTCTTGATAAGCCAAGATTCCCTCTTCCGTATTCCCATTATGGATTCTCTCAGCTCCTGGTTTCTTTCCTTGATGACACAATCTGTAATTATTTTTATTATTTCCTTGCTTGCTTTTGGCTGGTCCTCCGCCACCCACACCCCATGCTTGTTAAGCTCCAAGTAAGCAAGGATCTTGTCTGTTCCACTCACCAAGGTGCTCCTGGCTCCTAGCTCGGTACCTGGCATTCAAGGTAATCAAGGTCTGCTGAATGAATCAATGAACAAATGAATGATGCGTGAGGCTGTAGATGCAATGCCTTGTGGGCCTAATGAGGAAGGATGACTGTTTCCCTGCACTAAACAGTCCTACATTGCGGAGCTTTTCAAGATCGAAGCCTCTTTGTTTTTATAGGTTTTCTCCCTCTCGCTTTACACTGAGTTTATTAACATCTTTCCACCCCTTAATATTTGCTATAAATTTAAAAGAAGCCAGAAAACCAAGCTTATTAGAATCATATGTAAAGGAAAAGGAAAGAAAAACTTAAATGAGGATCTGAAAAGCTCTCCCAGGAGGCAAAATAAATGCAATAAACAGATTAGTGGATCAATATATATAAAGATATTTTAACAAACATCAGCCAAATGATACTGGGACAATTTCCAGGCAGTATCCGTTACCAAAAAAAGTTTAATTATTCGAGAAAGAAATGTAAAGAGTGTTCATCAGAAGGATCCACCCAGAAGAACTCTCTTTGGGCCTACATCGGTTCAACTCTTTCATCAAAGCCAGGGCAACCGGCAAGTCAGTTCCACAAACTGGAAGCAGCGGGGTAGCCGGATGGAACTCGAGGTACATCCCACCAAAATTGCATAAAACTGAATCGTCGTCTTTATGCTCAGAAGATGCAGGAAGGGCTTTTTAGTTTGCATCATTGCCAGGGTGGGTAGAAGAATTGAGTGGTAAGCTCCCCCACAGGATAGATGGAAAAGATGAATGAGAGAACGAGACAGACAGAGAGAGAGAGAGTGTGTGTGTGTGTGTATATAAAGGCTGTTGCACTAGCAAGCCTACTGCTAGACAGGACTAAAGTGGAAACTCCAGAGTCTCAGAGGACCTGAGTCTCCAACGTTGAAAATAACACCACCAGCTCATGTTTCTAACATTTGTTAAGTGCTCACTCTGTTTCTTAGCAGGATGCTAACAACTATGTGTGCATTAGCTCATTTAATCCTCATGACAACCCTATGGGTTAAAGACCATCATTATCCCCATTTTACAGATAAAGAAAGTGAGGTGGGAAGAAGTTAAATGACCTGCCCAAGGTTACCAAGCTAGTAAACAGATGAGCTGGGTCTAATACCAGACAGACTGAGTGTAAACAACCTATGCTCTTATTAGCAGGCAATATGCTCAGCCAAGGGGGTATGAAAACTATACAGTCTGAGGGCCAAAACCAGCAGCCTCCTGACTTTTGTAAATAAAGTTTTATTGGAATATAGCCACAACCATTCATTTTCATATTGTCTTTGGCTGTCATCGTGATAGCATGGCAGAACTGAATGGTTCTAGGAGACCATCTGGGCCACAAAACTAAAAATAGTTATTATCTGGCCTTTTGCAGAAAAAGTTTGCCAGCCCCTATACTAAGGAGTAAACAATAGAGATTCTCAACTTTTCTACCTATGTACTCCTCCTAAAGGCAAAGTACGTTAAGGGACAGCCCAGAATGACCAGGAACTGATGCAGCCAGAAGCGATCCTGAAGTGTCTGCAAGTATCACAGTGTTTCAAAAAAGAATTATGCAAATATTGCATTCTGTGCCATAATATTTGTTCTAATATAAAATATTTTAGACAAACTGGCCAGGTGCGGTAGCTCACACCTGTAATCCCAGCACTTTGGGAGGCTGAGGTAGGCAGATCACTTGAGGTCTGGAGTCCGAGACCAGCCTGGCTAACATGGCGAAACCCTGTCTCTACTAAAAATACAAAAATTATTCAGGCGTGGTGGCACACGCCTGTAAACCCAGCTACTTAGGAAGCTGAGGCAGGAGAATTGCTTGAACTTGGGAGGCAGAGGTTGCAGTGAGCTGAGGTCGCGCCACTATACTCTAGCCTGGGTGACAGAGAGGAAGGTCAGAGTGACTTTCCTCAAAGAGGTACCATAGTAATTCTTCCCCCGGCCCCGCCCCCAGACGGAGTCTTGGTTTGTCGCCCAGGCTGGAGTGCAATGGTGTGATCTTGGCTCACTGCAACCTCTGCCTCCCAGGTTCAAGCAATTCTCCTGCCTCAGCCTTCTGAGTAGCTGGGATTACAAGCGCCCGCCACCACACCCTGCTAATTTTTGTATTTTTAGTAGAGACAGGGTTTCACCATGTTGGCCAGGCTGGTCTCAAACTCCTAACCTCATGATCCACCCGCCTCAGCCTCCCAAAGTGCTGGGATTACAGGTGTGAACCACTGCGCCTGGCCATACCATAGTAACTCTATGGCACTACAAACAACTGGTCAGGGCCACCCCAAAGAAGATCACCTCAGGATAAACAGCTTAAGTTTAACAACAAACCCAGAGTCCTCACCCAGGAAGTCTAGATTTGAACCTTGGGCCCCACTGCTGTTGGGCTAAGGGGTCTTACATAGTCATTTATGCTCTCCTAGTCTTCCTTACCTAATTTTAAAATAGGGATAATTATCCTACCTCACAGGGCTGTTGGGACAATTACAAGGTAAAAGATACATGAACGGTTCGGGCAAACAGGAATCCCTAAATCTGAACACAAATACCAACTTAGTTGAATGGAAAGCAGTGACATCAATACGTCCTCCCTTTTTGCTAAGAAAACAAGTCTGTTGATAAAAGAAATGGGTTGCTCTTATTAAAGAATAAAAATCGGCTGAGTGTGGTGGCTCACGCCTGTAATCCCAACACTTTGGGAGGCTGAGGCAGGCAGATCACTTGAGTCCAGGAGTTTGAGACCAGCCTCGGCAACACGGTGAAACCCTGTCTCTACTAAAAATACAAAAAAATTAGCCAGGCATGGTGGTGCATGCCTGTAGTCCTAGCTACTTGGGAGGCTGAGGTTGGGGAATCACCTGAGCCCCAGAGACTGAGGCTGCAGTGAGCTGAAATCGTGCTGCTGCACTCCAGCCTGGGAAACCATAGTGAGACCCTGTCTCTAAATAAATAAGTAAAATAAAATAAATAAACAAATAAATAAAACTGTTTCCCTATCAGAGAATCTGCAAGCTCCCTTGCAAACTACTCCAGCATTTCATCTCCCTGTTGCTTTCCATACCCTTGTCATTCCATAAGAAAGCTGGGAATAAGATCAGGAAGCCCGTCTCTGATCATTCCATACTCTCACTTATTTTTCCTTAAGTGAAAAACACCTTAAATTGTTTTGTCAATACTAACACTCTATAAGCAAATCTGAAAATATTTACCTCTGCCGCCAATTATAAAAGATGGTTAGCGACCTCGACAACCCAAAATCTCTAATTTACAACTAATCTACTTTCACAAATTACATCTTCTATAACAGACCACCTAAAAACGACTTCCTGTAAACAAACCACTCTGCTGGGTTTTCTTTTCTTTTTTTTTTAATTTAATTAAATCCTTATTTTGCTCTTTAACTACAAGAAGCTCACTTTTCGCTACATTGGGGCAGAATTTTTTTTTTCAAGAGACACAGAAATAATCGCCAAATAGAAGCCCAGAGGGGTGCACAGACAGACAGACTGTGGGTCTGTCTGACCTGCCTTCAGCAGCCACTTGCTCATCTAACACTTGCCGGCCTGTGCTCACGCAAGGCCCCATGCTGGCTGTTTACCCAGCAGCTGGATTAAATGAAGAAGGCAGAATGTAAACAGGTATGAAGTTAGTGTTCTGGAGCACGCAGGAAGGAGTATTTAAATCTCCTTGGAGGTGGTCAAGGAAGATGCTGACCCTTTTAGAGTGTCAGGCCAAGTGTCTTGACTTCTCCAGACTCCGCTTGAAGGTGACCAATTCATTCTAGTTTGCAAGGCCCAAGTTCCTAGAAACCCCCTTAGTCACAGGCAAACCCAGACAACCAGTCACCCTACCTGCATCCTGCCCAGGTCTTCTCCCTACGAGGAGGAATCATCATAATATTAAGTTGGCCTGTGGTGCACTGGCTCCCATACTCCCCATTTTTTTTTTTTTTTTTGGAGACAGAGTCTCACACTGTCACCCGGGCTAGAGTGCAGTGGCACGATCTCGGCTCACTGCAACCTCCACCTCCTGGGTTCAAGAGATTCTCCTGCCTCAACCTCCCGAGTAGCTGGGATTACAGGTGCCCACCACCACGCTCAGTTAATTTTTTGTATTTTTAGTAGAGACAGGGTTTCACCATGTTGGCCAGGCTGGTCTCGAACTCCTGACCTCATGATTCGCCCGCCTTGGCCCCCCAAAGTGCTGGGATTACAGGCGTGAGCCACTGTGCCTGTGCCCCACACTCTTTCATCTGTCTCCCACGCACTACTTGTACCAAGTAATCATCAACATTTCATGGTAACAGCCCCTCCATCAGATTCTTCCTTCCTGGAAACATCAATGGTCACACAAACGTCCCACAAAGAAGAAAGGCCCATCACCTAGGCTGCAGAAGGTATGAGTCCTTGTGGCAAATCAAATCCCACTTTGCCAGTAACTCGACTTAGGAAGACAACACAAAATGGAGGAAGAAATGGAAGCAGCATATACAAATTCAATCTATTCCATCTCCTATTTATTTTATGCAAAGTTTTCCTGGTCCTTATTAATGCCGGCTTTCCCTCCGCCATTTAATCTCTGCTTCCATTTCATTCTTAGAGGCCTGTGATTATTCTAATTCAGCATTTGGATGACTTCATTTCCACTCAAGTACACCCAGGTCAACTTGGATAGAAAAGAAAGAGGAGGAGAAGAAAAATAATCAGCTAAAAGCTATTAAATATCAGCCGTGTGCCTCATGATTGGTTTTAAAGGCAGTGGTGAGGTTAGCAACAGTCAGAAACTCAACCCTTTTGCCTCTTCCTGCATATTAACATTTTTTTCTGGGGCTCTCACTAATATGGCTTCGAATGTAAATAAAGTACAGATTGGCAGCCCACTTTTAGCTAATTCACAAATACCAAGTCTGAATATACGGAGCTGTAAAAATTTAGAGGGTGGTAACTTGACAAATCTGGCCGGTCTACAGAGAGACTATTTCTAAGAGGACAAAAGAAGAAAATAAAGAAAGAAAATGGAAGAAAAAGAAAAGCATACAGGACCTGTGTAAGGGGGTATCCTACGGAGGTGGGGGGCGGGTGGGAATCTCCATATCAATGTTCACTCCACCGAACAACAGAGTTCGATTTCAATGCCAAGTCTAAATGAACTGCGCTTTCTCCTCCATAAGAACCACCCCTTGCACCCACTGGCACAAGCTTGAACCATGATTTCTGGTACACTTTCAGTTCCCACTGAACTACATCTAGGGAGAAAAAGGCTTTATTTTCTCCTACTAACAACTCCATTGTTAAGTGACGTCTTCAGAGGGCCCAGGAGGACTCTGGGAAGGTGAGCTGGTGGAAGTACTTCATACCGCCCCCCCGCCCCTACCCACCCAGGGCTCATTAACTCCTTTGTGCCCAAGGGCTCCCCTACCGCTGGCTCTCCTCTCCTTGCCGCAGCAGAAAAAGTAAATACAGCTAAATCATACCAGGAAATGCGGTCAAACAGCAAAGCTGAAGTTTGAGCCTTGTTCTTCTATTCGGCCTTGTTCCTCTACCTACTATGCAAATGCACATGGCATTTGATTAGCACAATCTCAAAGTTTTCCCAGCTTGCTACCCAGAAGGCATCCTAGTTTTCTATTTGTATATTTTAAAACACTGTTAACGAGCAATAATAATGTCTGATGCCTTTGCCTAACAACAGCTGGCTATATTTTATATACTAAGAGGGAAATGGGAAGTTTTCCTAGAAACCCAGTATTTCAGAATCTCCTTTTTGAAGCAAAAATACGAAAATTTAAGAGAAGTAACGTTAGGGTGCTCAATCTTTAGAACTCGACAACCTTACTGGCTTCAGCCGAAATCAGTCTATGGAGGAAAAGTTCACCAGGAAAACACAAAGTTGTTTAGCAGGAGGGTTTACCTGCAAAGCCCCAGGATCATATTACTCATGGGTAAGGTTTGTTTGCCTCTGCCACCTGGCCTAGAAGGTGGAGGAGGCAGAGGAAGCAGGATTCTCCTGTCTACTCGCTGTGCTGTTTCCCACTGAGCAGCTTGGCCAGGGGTCAGGGGGCAAATAAAGTCCCCTCCCCTTATGACACACTTCCAGAGGGAGATGCTGACACAAACCAGGCAGAAGATTAATAAAACATGGGGACAGTGTTGGCTTTGTTCTGGGCTATTAGAGGAAGAAAATTTAAACACAAAAGTAGCCTTCAGCCAGGGAAGAGCGTGCGCATGGTCCTTCCTGGTCCAGCCTACAATTGTCGTTGAAGAAGGTCTGAAGGGCAACACCCAGGCTCTCCAGAAAAAGGTGGAGCAGAGGACAGGGTGAGGCCCGGGAGGCTGACCACTCCCCGGGCAACCCACCTACATGAACCACTTCAGAGGACAAAGCCTCACGGGAGCTCAGATGTCCACAAAGGACACACAAGACTTTTGTTTTCCAAGCCTCCTCTGAGAGAACCACACTGCACAGAGCTCTGTTTATCTACGACACACATTTAAAGCAAGAAAACACTACCTGAGGATCACAGTCCACTCTCAGGCTTATTTATCTTCTCACAGATCTCATGCCTTTTAAATTTCAAAGGGCTTTATGAGACTTTTATTCCAGGTATGACTCTCCTCACACATACAGTATCAAAAGGGGTGTCTGAGTGGGGGCCATGAATGCAGCTTCGCACCTGCACAGAAAACCCCGGAGCTGGGAGATCGCAGGCACCCAGCGCTTCCTCGGGCCTCACTCACCCACAATCGCCCACGCTGGCCGGATAAACGGGAAGGTCTCATTACATTAAAAAAAACAATTCACTCTTGTTTTCTTTTTTTCTTCCCCTAAAAAGCTTTCACACACCATTCTCCAGAGCTCAAGTTAACTTTTATGGGCCCCCACACAACCCCAATCCGACACAAAGGGCTCCAAGGACCCTTTCACCTGGTTTCCACAGCGATCTCCCACTTTGACGAGACCTCAAGAGCTGTAACTTTCCACGCCGGTTCCTGGAAGGCCTTTTCTTCCCGGCCACCACAGTGAGGGGCTGGCACAGGAAGGGGTTAAAGCCCTCATGTCAAACCACAAACTCAGGCACTGGCCCAGAAGGGACATGGGAACCAGAGCAGCCCGTGATAAAGGCCGGATTGTAGCAGCCCACTGAATTGGAAATGACTTGTAGGCCTAATGAAACAGAACTTTGGCAGTAACACAGAATGAAAGGAATGAGACAATAAAAGGCAGGAACAAAGGGTGCAGAGTCGTTTCAGCTTAGCAAAATAAGCTCACTTTGTTGTTGGGGAAAGCCAAAGCCGATTAGGATAAACCAATGACTAAGCATAAGTCTTCCAAACTAATTACACAGTTCACCATGTGAAGTATAATTGGAAGCCTCCAAATGCGGGCTGCTTTGCTTTCACAGGAGTTCTAGAAAGCGAGAATTACCTAGCGAGCTCGGCACTGAGCTGCCCTATCATTCCCGGGAACAGCTGAAAGGTGCGGAACGGCTCCATCCGGGACGAAGCGGAGAATTCATTAAGTTTAAAGGCCTCTTTTTGATCTCCAAAATCCTATAAGTGAGAATTTAAGAAACCGGTACTTGAAGGAGGGGCCTGAAGGGGAGAAGGAGGAAGCCCGTGTGTGTGGAGTTTCTTTGATCCAGTGCATTTTAATTACCAGGCTGGGCTCTTCCGGGTGGCTCTGCCGGGAGAACAGTGCAGAACAGGCCGCCTCGTCGCCAGGGTCTACACGGGCATATCTGGAGCATCATTTACCTGCCATTTTTTGGAATGGCCTATATACATCATTCCTGTGTGTATGGAATCAGGAACACAGATAACGTCCACTAAGAAACCCAGGGCAGTAAAACAAATTACTGTATATCAACGTTTTTGACAAATGAACAAAACCTGCTCCTTCTGAGAAAGATGCTGCTTGGTGGTAAAGTGGGAGGTGGGGCTTTATAAAAGTAAAAAGAGGCGAAGGGTAGGTTGTGCACAAACAAGTGACTATCCAGGCTCTCCTCAGCATGGGCTGAGTGATCTTGGAGAACTTCCTCACCTTTCTCAACATCAGCCTCACCACCTACATAATAGATCTGCCAACCATCTCACTTGACACCCTTGAGAAGCACATTGTAAAATGCATTAGAAAGCTTAGCACCAGTAACTCCAATTCAGAAACAGCGCACAGTAAAAGGATCTTCATAGTAAAACCTGGACCTCAAAAATTCCGAGTGTCATTAATTACATCTAGCTGGTGAAATAGGGAGATGGAAATACTATAACAGTTTTTCTGGCTCTTACTCATAGGATGAAGTTCCAGTTTATAAATAGTGGCTTTTTCCAAATAAAGAATCCCTTCACTGTCCCTGCGTCATGAAGTCCCAAAATAAACTCTAACATGGTTTAGACTGCTGATTATATACCATGCTTATTACTACTGACAACGTATTATTTTGGTTATAGCCTATAGATACCTTAGATTATAATCTATCCATCCTATTAATGTTTGAATACTTTCTACATTACTGACTTTTCAAGCTTAAAACTAACCTCAGGAATAATTCAGTCCAGGGGTCAGCAAACTATGGTCCACAGACCAAATCTGGTTCATCACCTGTTTTTGTAAATAAAGTTTTATTGGCACACAACTACATGCATCTGTTTACCTGCTGGTGATGGCTGCTTTCATCCTACAAGAGCAGAAGTGAGTAGCTGCAACAAGGACTACATGGATTGCAAAGCTGCAAATATTTAATATCTGGCCCTTTTTAAGTTTTCCAACCCCTTCCCTGAGAAGAGAAGCCGAGGCCAGCAAAGGAACAACCCATCAGGCTGTCCCAGGGAGGTCAGTCCACTGTTAGGCCCAGCATGAAGCCCTGGAGTATCTGCTGCCTTACCCTTCTCCAAGGACAGACAACCCCGGAACAGCTACCCAGGGGTGGGAATGCCATCTTCACCCCTGGGTAGCTCATGGTGACGTGTGGATTCTGCCAACCTGTTAGCTGTTAACCTCAGTTGGCAGAGTCCTTATGCCAGTGGCCACGCTTCGTGACCTGATCTTAAATATAAACAAGTAACAACATCTCTAACCTTGGGGAGAGGGGGTGTGTTTTCTGGGAGGAAGGTGGAAGAAAAACACAAAAGGGTTTACAAGCCTCCAATTTAAGTTATTTAAAGCTCCCGGTGTGTCACTCTGTACCCACTCCACTTACAGTAATGACATATTTAAACTCCCTTAGCTCAGCCCCTTGATAGCAGTCTTACCCATCTTGATTGCCACCTGAAATAAACAGTTGGAGAAGCTGCCACCTCGGGCAGGATGGGATGAGGGAGAGGAGAGAGGAATGACGGCAAGGAGACCTAAAAAGAGAGTGGTACACCTTGCATGGAAGCTGTGAAAGGAAAGTTCTAGACTTGGAGGAAAAGGAAGTAGGGTATGAATTCTGGCTCTTACACTGTCTTACCTGGGTGACCTCTGCTGACACTCAGCCTCCCTGGCCCTGACTGTCTACCTTCGCCAAATAGACTGGAGGATACCAATATCTGCTGCACAGGTAAAATGAGGTGATGAATGTCCAGGTCCCCAGCACTCCGGGGCACACTGAAGGGCACAATATCTTCCTGTCCTTTGCATCTTGCCCATCGTCAGTCCATCTTGGGGACTGATCAGCAGTTGGCACAGGGTGCAGAGTTCAGATGCTGTTATCAGACAAGCCTGGAGGGGGAGTCCACACCCAGCTCTACCTCCTGGAGAGCTGTGACCTTGAGTCCAAGAGACAATCCCATCAAGACCCCACTTAACAGTCTACAACATGGAGAATACCACTACCAGCCCCCCAGAGAAAAATTAAATGAGATAATGTGAGTAAATGGCCTGGCCTAGTATCCCACACTTTGCACTCGCATACACCTCATTAAATTGCAGTTGGTTAAAGAGAGTCAAAAACAATTTCATACAGTTAGAAATGTGTGTGCACAGGGGGTGTACACATGTGTGTGAATATACTTCATGCAAGTGTGTGTGTGTGTGTGTGTGTGTGTGTGTGCACATTCATTCTGTTTCCTTCAACCAGAGTATAAAGTACCGAAGGGGAGAGGCAGTCTGTCAATTTACCTGTTACCTCCTTTCACAACCACTGGATTTAATCATTGTAGTGCTCCCAAGGCCCAGCAGCAGAGTCTCCCTGACTTTGATCATTCTGGATTCAAATAAGTTATGCCAGAATCCTGAGAGGTGGTGAGTCCTGCCCAAGGGGACACACACAGTAACACAAGCCACCAGCCAAATGAGAAATAAGCCATTCTGCAGACAGACACAAATAATGCACAGAACCTATGTATGAAAAAAAAGCTACTAAAATATGAGCATTGAAGAGCATTATGGCTTTGATACATTCAAAAGCCTCTTTGGTCTTTTAATAAAACACTTGATAAGTCTGCACATCCTGCCAGAGTCCACAAACATTACTGCAAAATTAACTGGGCAGCTTCAGACCCAGCGAGTGCCATGCCAGGGAAGATGGTTTGTGACTGCTTCTCAGACAAAAGGACAACTGTTCTAAGGGCAGCAATGGTGGCCACTGTGGGCATGGCCAAAGCTTGCAGTGTGTCTTACTGGAGGCATACTGGGTCACAATGATAAGTGTTAATGAAAAACAACAGAGAGAGAAACAGAAATACAGAAAGGAAGAAAGAGAGAGAGAGAGACAGAAAGAAACCAAGGGTTGGGGACGTGCAGAGATGTGCTATGTGTTGGCAAGTAGAAGCCTGTCTGGAATACTCTAAAAGCCCATCTGGGCAGCACCGACTTTTCTGACACAAATAGGCCCATGAGATTCCAAGGCAGGTTATGGCTCGAAAAAGAAATCCCACTTCATGTTTGCAAACACTACCCCTGGACTTGTTTTAAAAGCAGAAAGATAGCAAAGAGGGCTCACCCTCCAGAGCTTTCCATTATGCAAGCCGGACCTGTCTCATTTAATTATTTCCAATCCCTCTCCCTAGGCAGGGTGGGGCTGGGTGATGGACAAATCCCCCTTACTGCTTTACATCAGTCTGGAAGAGAGAAGTGCTATAACGTACACAGTCATCAACACACTTGGCTATTCTTTAGACCCAGCCAGAATGAATCCATCCCCAGCTGACAATACCAGAAAGGGCCATGGGGGAGGCCTTTTCAAAACCAACCTGGAAGGGCAGCTCAGAGCCACTCAGAATGCAAGGCTGGGCTGGAGGAGGCTGGCTTCTCTTTGTTGCACGGTCTCCTATCCAGGCAGAAATTAATACCAGAGACAAGAACATCTCCATTTTGAGGCTGAATAAAGGTCATGGCCCTCATCCCAGACAGTAGTTCACAAACAGACACACCTGGGGACAGGGTCATAGCTGCCTATCACCCTGGGCAAACCAACAGCACAGAACCTTCAGCCTGGCCAGTGGGTGGCTGTGCCTTTGTACCCATGGCAAGCACGACACCCATCGTGGGAGGAAACAAGTGATGGAGCTTAGCACGGGCACTGTGTCTTCTCAGGACGCCTCAGCAGCTCTCTCCCATGTCAGCCCTTCAGCAGGGAAGACCCAAACCTGTCAGGAGGAGACTGTCCCAGACCTGGGCTCCCACGCGATGTCCACAATTACTCAAAGATGCAGGACGCAGCCTCCTTGAACCTGCCATTTCCACAGGGGCCAGAGGAGGGTGGTATACACAAAAGCCAACAAGGGTCAGCCCTCCTAAGGCAACAGGGCCATCTGAGGAATGTGTCATCCTCAGCAAGAACCCACTCTCAAGGCACCATCTCCCTTCACCCACTAGAAAGAGGCCGAATTAAACACCTCACCCACGGTGACATGTCCTATCAGTCGGTCTGACTCTCTATCATACACACACCTTCTCACACTCTGTTTCCTGGCTGCTGTGGGGCTCTTGGGTTGGTCCCAGCCTGTTCCAGAAGCAGAGCCCAGGGGGTAATTTTACTGCTGTCTCACAGACATTCAGGTCAGAGAATGCTGACAGGTACAGGCCTCGCATGGTTTCCGAGTCTCCTTGGGCATTTGACAGGGGAGGGTTCAGCTGCAAAGGGCCCCAGGGAGACTCAGCTCTCAATGCATTTTCCAAACAGGCACAGAAGGGAGAAGCCCAGCACCAACCTGCAGGCCTCTAGCAGCTTCCATGGGAGCTCCTGCCCTGCGAGTCACAGCCCCACATCCCTCCCCAGCTGCCGTCACCACCAGCTCCCAGCCCAGGCCCCGTGTGGCCAGCAAATGCCCGCAAAACTGCACTAAAAGGCCACTCTGTCTGCTCCTGCCAGCACGTGGGACATCACACCAAATGCAAGCCAGACTCTTCCATCTCAGCTTCTGCTGAATTTCACTTAAATCATGATGGCCAGGTTCAAGGACAAGGTTCTTGAGGACACAGCTGTAGCAGGGGCGGGGGCCACGGTAGCCTCTTCTTAGGACTGATGAGGCTACTTCTGGCATGTGCCATCCAACCCCATCCAGCGCTTACCTTGCCAAACTGCTCGAAATATTGCTTTACATCTTCCACTACTGTGTTCGCAGATAACCCGCCTACAAATATTTTCTTTGTTCTTGTGACCATCTGCAAGAAATGACAAGAGAAAGGCATGGGTTAACCAGGTTATCTAAAGCAGGGCTCAAGAGGCTGCTGAAACAATCTGCTCTCCACATTTCTCTAGGAAGGCAATTTTAGATATATTCAAGCTGCATGGCGCGGGCGTTTAGATGTCTAAGGATGCTAGAGACAGTCACTCTGCATATCTCAGGCATTCAGATGGCAACCTAAAAGCTTGAGTTTCATACAGACACAGAGACTTCAGAACCTCATTAGCCACAACACGCAACTTCATTCTGATGGACTAGCAAAAAGAGAAAAATCACATGTCAAGCTATTTTAAAGCTAAGAGACGTGAACAAAACAGACCCAAATGCATAAAAACTGCTGCCCAGAAACCATCCACAAAACCTGTCAATAAGAAATGCACACGATTCAAAAGTACGCACAGGCTGTCTACGCTGAGCTGTTTGTGCTTGGTGCTGGTATACGTCTGCAAGCAACACAGACGCTGACCTCGCACCTGGAGACCACCCTGCAAGCTTTGTCCAGGATTCCTCCTCCTGATTTCCTGTGATTCATCTTGATTCACCCTGCACCCAGTCAAGCCCAGCTAATCCCCAGATCCCTACACTTTCGTTCCTGCAGGTCCTTCTCCTTGGGGTGCCTCTCCACTCCTGAACCTAACTACGGCAAGTTGTAACCTTCCTCCAGGATCCAGCACCTTTCTCCAAAATTCAAAATAGTTATTTATCAATCCAGCCAGGAGTTAGTCCACCCTTTTCTGAAACCCCCTAACAGTGTCTCCATATCCCTGTCTTAACACTCACTGCTCTCCACCTTGTGTGAAGTTACTTCCTCCTCCAGACAATAAGCTCTTGACTCCTCTACAAATCCTCCACCAGGCCAGGCACAGCGTCAGGCACATAGAAACCAACACTGAATGTTTTGTAGATGTACGTGTGAAAAAATGTGGCCACATTTCCAAATCCTACCAGCTCCAAAGCCAAAGGAGTAGGAAGCTCAATGACATTAACTGCTCAGAGTGGAGACCAAAATCTTACATGTAGGAGCCAAAAATCAAGAAAAATTTCTTTCTAAAGACTGAGTTTAGGCTATGTGCCATTTTAGTTTTACTGTCACAATAAAAAAAAAAAAGGAGAATGACATTAACTGTTCAGAGTGGGAACCAAAATCTTACACGTAGGAGCCAAAATCAAGAAAATAAATTTCGTTCTAAAGACTGAGTTTAGGCTATGTGCCATTTTAGTTTTACTGTCACAATACAAAATTGTAGAATTTGATGGGTGAGGGTCTGACCAGTTTGTTGGCATATAATCAACACACAATGTCATCTGTTTCTACTGCAACTCGATGTGATGTAGGATGCTGAAGCATAGGAGCCATGGCTGCCCGGGTCAGTCATCACAGAGGCTCCCGGCGTATCTGCTGAGTGAATGAGTGAACCGACCCACCTCAACAGGAGCCTGAGGTGAGTGACACCAGGGGGCACAGTGGTTACTGGCAGGCTGTGCTGTAGGGCACTGGAAATCCAGCTCCTGGGTCTAACTCTGGGTGTGACCCTGGGCAGGACTCACTTCCTCCTAGGTATGAGTTTTCTGCAGCACGAGATGCTGGGTCAGGGCTCCAAGGTCCCACCTAATGCCCGATTCCCATGAATCCATGAGCATCATAGCCATGATGCAGAGAGGCTTGCAGACTCCAGGGAGCTCTTGCTTTAGCTTAGTAGCTCCCACAGAAGACACATGCCACCATAGCCTGCTGGTTGACCCCAAACTTGGAGCTCGTAGACTCCAGGGAGCTCTTGCTTTAGCTTAGTAGCTCCCACAGAAGACACATGCCACCATAGCCTGCTGGTTGACCCCAAACTTGGAGCTCGTAGACTCCAGGGAGCTCTTGTTTAGCTTAGTAGCTCCCACAGAAGACACATGCCACCACAACCTGCTGGTTAACCCCAAACTTGAATATCCTTGTCATGGACGTTCCACAGTGTTTTAAGAGGACATTATTCTAACAACTCAGTATACCACCTACTCCCTACTTCCTTCTGCCCATTAGAACCAAGCAGTGGCTTGCTCATGTGTTTAAAGCTGGGATTGACTGTTTTTTCACCTCTTTTCAGATGAATGGGGGATTAGATGAGATAGTGCATGTGAAAAATTCTATGAAGATCCCACCACTGTGCACAGCACTGAGCTCCAAGTACCTCTCATGACCTGGTTGGCCTCTTATGCTCACTCATTATTGTCCATCTCCCTTCTCACCCATTCCTTAAGTCTCCCTGGTAAATCGAGGTCACTTGAATGGCAAAATTCCATCAAGCCCTTTCCAGATTTAAATCTGTCCCTACACTCATGAATCACCAAATTTTACTAATCTAACTTTGCTAATGTATTCATTCAACAGATACATTAAGTGCGAGGTGCTGGAGCTTACATTCTAATAGAATGTGGAATGTAATCCACTATAAAATGAAGATATAATGATTAGCCCTTTCCAGATTTACATCTGTCCCTACACTCATGAATCACCAAATTTTACTAATCTAACTTTGCTAATGTATTCATTCAACAGATACATTAAGTGCGAGGTGCCGGAGCTTATATTCTAATAGAATGTGGAATGTAATCCACTATAAAATGAAGATATAATGATTAGCCTACCATACAAGGTTCCTATCAGGAGTAAATTAAGTAATGTATGCCAAGTGTCTAGCAGGGCACTGTGTAGTCGCTAAATAAATGGTCACTGTAACTGACCAAAGTCAGTTACTAGACTCATCTTTCAAGCTCAGAACCAAACACGCAGCGAAAAGACACATTACACAAAAACGTGTCTTTGAAAAGGCATCTCTTACTGTCCTATTGTCTTCCACTATAATTTCAAAAACACTTTCCTGCATCTCTACATGCTTTCAGATGGGCAGAGATTCCCAATAGTTTAATTTTAGATTTTTCATTCCTTTTTTTCCCTTACCCCAGCCAAGTAATTAAATGTCTGTAAAGAAACACTAACGTGATCTACCAACATACACTAGTAGAGTTCTCAATTTGAAGAAACTCTGGAGAGCCATACTATAATCTGAACCCCATGGTCTCATTTATACACTGTTTAGAGTCGGGCGGGTATACAGCAGCCCTGTCTATATTCCAAACGTTCATGTGGTCCCAGAGAATTCAACAAACAACATGTCTTCATTCCAAATAACAGAAGTCAACAGATTGTTCATTCCCCAATAACTGGTGAAATGAAAATATCTCTTCATACACCCTCCACCGTTGCCTTATAGCCATAAACCTGCCTAGCCAGAGCCCTAAACACAGAGGCAGCCATTCAGCTATAAATCTACACAGTCCCCAAAAGGCCTTTAAAACACCTTTTTTTAAAAAAGGATGAGAAATTCCAGGTCCCAGACAATGCACCAAAGTGTCCAAGTTACTAAAACATCCTCTCCAGGGACCAGCTCAGATACAGTGATGGATCCCACTCCTCAGCAAACACTGAAAGAAACTGTTTTAATCAAAACCTTCCAAACGTGAAAAGGCCAGTGGAAACATGGGCAACCCTTGGTTAGCTGCTCACCAGTGTCTCGGCTTTAGGAGAAGGGGGCACAGCTATGGGGGCGACAGGGCTGTGCACAGTGACCTCTCCCGCCAGGGGCATGCTGGGGGAAATGGAAGTGATTTACTTTGAGAATGCTGCCAGCATGACTGCCAAATGGACTGTGGCCTGCTCCACAATTTGCATTCTGGTGAGGGACACGAGAGGCAGAGAACCCTAGAGTCACACATTCTTCTCTCGGTTTCCTTGCCATCTCCATGGCTACTGAGGAGGGCAGGAAGGGGATGGGGCTGGGATGTTGTGTCCTGACTTTCAGTGGGACTAAATGGAGGTCCTCGAATTCCCATCAATACTATGCAAGGTTTCTATGGACACGTGAGGGTGCACACACATGTATATGCACATGCATGGGTGTGTGTTTGGGTCAACTCCAGTCCCACTCCTTGAGTCTTGGCTTCCATTTACCTAAGGAACCATTCAGTATCCCTGGAACTTTAAACCTGGATACAGTGAGAAGGCTGGACAAGGCAGGCCCCCGGGTTCTATACTCCTTTTGGGTTATAAAAAAACAAAAATCCTCTTTACCCAGTGAAGAGAGAGCCACCTGTTTTCCTCCTAGGATAGGCCCTTCAGGTAACTGTTTCCTAACCTGCAGCCTTAATACCAGTAGAGTACCCATACAGGGTACAGGGAAGCAGCCACTGCATCCCAAAATGCTCAGATGGCCCCACTCAGCTCCACAGTGAACTGAGATGGAGAGCTACCCATCTGTTTCAGGGAGCTCAGTCCAAAATCCATTAGGAAATTGATCTTAAATTTCCTTTGCTTGGAGTTTTAGTGGAGAGGTTGCGGATAACATTTTGGTATGTGAGTGCTTCCCACCATTAGAGACACCAGATACCTACCCGACAGCCTTGCACCATGTGGGGACAGCCCCCTCTCCCAGCAGGCGCCCCTCCTTTTATGGTTTAAGGTGTCACTCTGGGAAGCAGGAGGTGTCCGTGTGCATGTGTGCGTGTGTGCGCTCTTGCCTGTGTGCACAAAGGGCAGTGGGGAGTGTTCAGGCTCTCACAAATCATTGCTGGAAAGTTCTGCATCTAGACCTGTAATTTAACTAAACACCGCTGCTCTCCACATACCCCTTGGCTCCATAAAGAAAACCCCAGCACCCATTCCCGTTTGGAAAATTGCTGTTTACACGTAAGAACTGGCCAAAGCCAGTACTAACCAGAGCTGCAAAGAGCACTCCACCTCCCTGCCTCTAAACAGAGAGCTGGCTTTTTGAGTTAAAAAAAATTCCCTTTTAAAAAATGTGTTTGCATCAGAAACGGTCACTAGGAATGGGACCACTGTTTGTATTTTTATAAAATAGGATAAAGCAAATGGGATGTGTGTGTGTGTGTGTGTGTGGTGTGTGTGCTGTGTGTGTTTTGTGTGTGTGTTGAAGGCAGAGTGGGGTAAGGGGAGGTTAGAAAAGAGAAACTACTTTTAAAAATGAGATTAAAGGGAAAACTTAATTCCAACAGCACTGGCCTAAAGATATTCATTATCACACAAGGAAAACAAAAACAAAACAAACACCAAAAAAACCAAATATTTCTTAATCAGAACAAATACATGAAAAGGCAGGAAATGGCTCTGGAGAGCCTTAAATGAGTATGAGAAAGGCCCACAGGAATTAAATCAGCTCTGGCTATTATCATGTTCCTTAAAAGAGTTCAAATTCCCCATGATGAAAAAATGTAAGCCATCTTCACTCCCCAAGAACACAGGCTTGTTTGCAGATGATGCCTCATCTGTGGGAACCCCAAGGTGGAGAAAGCCCAGGAAAGATGTTAAAATGCTAGCACTGGGTAGGATGCTGCAAACCTTCTAGTTCATCCTCCCCATTGTGCGGATGGAAAAGTCAAGTCAATGAGATGACTCGCATGCTAGTTAAAGGCAAGGCAGGTAGTTAGGAGGACAGCTTTCCCAGGCTCAGACAAGGGCTCTGTCTATTACCCCATCCTGTCCAGTGACACTGAAGAACAAAAGTGCTCACCAAATTCAGAATCCAGGATGAAATCCTATGTATCTGCCAATGTGGCAGTCTTCTCCTATCAGTCTGCATTTGAGAATTAAGTCCAATCTTTGTATGCCAGACCCACGAGCAGGGCTGCCTGAGATCACAGAACTCCCGAACACCAAGACTCCATTCCCCAAGGTGTTTCATTCAAGGTACCTCCCCTCTAAAATCCCTACTTCTCCCCATATTTTTCCCATCCTCCCTCACCCTCACAACTGCCAATACTACCATTCTTGCCACCACCAACTCTACCACCATCACCCTCGGAGCCACCCTCCTGCCACCTTCATCACTACCATAACTACTATCACCATCACATCTGAATCCAGTGGCAAACTTACTTAGCTTGCAAAGTCAGAACACAGGTCAGGTATTGGGCATCTTCTCCAACTGTTTCTAGGATCACATGTGGAAAAGAGACTGGGTTGGATCAAAAAGAGTTCCTCCAAAATTCGTGTCCATCTAGAATTTCAGAAAGTGACCTTATTTGGAAACAGGGTCTTTACAGATGTAATTAGTTAAGAATCTTGAGATGAAGTTATCCTGGACATAGGGTAAGCCCTAAATCCAGTAACGGGTGTCCTTCTAAGAAGAGGACAAACAGACACAGAAAGAAGGTGGCCATGTGCAGATGAAGGCAGGGCCTTGAGTGATGTGCCTGCAAACCAAGGAACACCAAGAATTGCGGGCAACCACCAGAAGCTAGGAGAGAGGTATGGGACAGTTTTTCCCATGGAGCCTCCAGAGGGAACCAGTCCTGCTGACACTTTGATTTCAGACTTCTGAACTCTTGAACTATGAAAGACTATATTTCTATTTCTTAAACCACTCAGTGTGTGGTAATTTGTTACAGCTGTCCCACAAAACTAATACAGAGATCTATTCGGGAGAAGCGCAAGGACACCACTGCCTTGACCTCACCTTTTTTTGGTGACAGCAGAGCCACAGTCCACATGGAAACTCTATCAATTATGGGGGAAGAGGGCATCACACCCACCCAAGCAAGGCAAGTCACGCCCACTGGCAGAGGCCACAGGGAGGACATCTCTGCTTTAAATGGTCAAATGACACCTGTCTTGAGGTGAAGAATGGGAAGGACAAAGCCACCTGTAAGGAGAAGCAACCCAAAGGTGACACAAGGATTCAAGTTCCTCTGATAAAAACACATGATGAAAGTAAGGCCAGAGTTTACGCAAGGGCAGGCTCCTGCCTAATAAAATCTGAGCTGTTGAGATATACTTTTCCCCTATGGAAAAGCCCTTTTACTGGTGTGTCTGCTTCCCTGCCTAGAATTCTCTGCCCTCACTGTAGATCATCTGTGGGCCAGGCCTGAGGTATGCACTTCCCATGAGTTGCCTGACTTAGTCCTCATGTCAATCTTATGGCAGGTCCCAGCCACTCTTCCACAGATAAGGAAACCAAGACTCAGAAATGTTAAGCATCCAAAATCAAACAGCGTATGGAGTGACAAATGGAGAAGCCAAATCTTGCCCTTCCTATTCACTGCTCTAACACCTTCATTTGCTACTGTGTCATCTTCTTTCTTTCCATAAGAAAAAAAACAATTGGAAAAAGGGGAGGATTGAGGGCACCATAAGGAGCAGGTATGTCTTCACCTTTTCTAATTTTGCAGCAAAGATGCAAAAATGACAAGCCAGATCTTCCTGGTGGAAATTTAAAATAGTGCAGCTGCTTTGGGAACAGTCTGGCAACTCCACAAATGATTAAACACAGCGTTGTCTGTCAACTCCACAAATGATTAAACATAGTGTTACCAGGCTGGGCATGGTGGCTCACACCTGTAATCCCAGCACCTTGGGAGGCCAAGGCAGGTGGATCACCTGAGGTCAGTAGTTTGAGACTAGCCTGGCCAACATGGCAAAACCCCATCTCTACTAAAAATACGAAAATTAGCTGGGCATGGTGGTGCACGTCTGTAATCCCAGCTACTTGGGAGGCTGAGGCAGGAGAATCACTTGAACCCGGGAGGCGGAGGTTACAGTGAGCCAAGATCGTGCCATTGCACTCCAGCCTGGGTGACAAGAGTGAAACATCTCAAAAATAAATAAATAAATAAATAAATAAACAAACATAGTGTTACCATATGATCCAGCAATTCCGCTCCTTAGTATATGCCCAAGAGAAATTAAAACCTATGTCCACCCAAAAACTTTTACACAAGTGTTCATGGCAGCAACAGCCAAAAAATAGAACAACCCAAATATCCATCAACAGACGAATGGATAAACAAAATGTGGTACATCCATAAATAGAATATTATTCAACTGTAAAAAGGAACGAGGTACTGACACATGCTGCAACATGGATGAACCTTGAAAGCGTTATGCCAAGTGAAACAAGCAAGACACAGAACATCACGTATTACAGTTTGGGTATCCCTTATCTGAAATGTGTGGAACCGGAAGTGTTTCAGATTTCAAATGTTTTTGGATTTTGGGATATTTGCATTATACTCAATAGTTCAGCATCTCTAATTCAAAAATCAAAAATCTGAAATGCTCCAACGAGCATTTCCCTTGAGCACCATGACAGCACTCAAAAAGTTTCAGATTTTTGAGCATTCTGGATTTTGGATTTTCAGATTAGGGATCTTCAACCTGTATTTGATTCCATCCAAATGAAAGTCCATAATAGGGAAATCTGTAGAGACAGCAGGTAAATTAGTAGTTGCATAGAGCCAGGGGAGAGGGAGGGAGTGATGGCTAAAGGGTATGCGGTTTCTTTTTGAGGTGATAAAAATGCTCTAAAATTGACTGTGGTGATGGGTGCACATATCTGTGAATATACTAAAATCCATTGAATTGCACCATTTTAAATGAGTGAATTATATGGTATTTGAATTATATCTCAATAAAGCTGTCAAAAAAAAATGACAGGCCAGAGAGATCCCTAAGCCAAGAGTCTGAATGCAAAAATGACTTAAAATAAGCCCACATGTCCAAGAAAGTGTGCCTGCCCACCATTCCCACCGCTTCGTCTCTCATCAATTCCACAGGCCTCAGGTCACCCACAGGTGACCACTGGAAAAAGGTATAACAATATTTTACGTTGCCGATTGCTAAAATTAATTTAACTTCAAAGGAAACTAATTACAAATATAACCCCAAATGTTCCTCCAAGTTCTCCCTCCCTGTATATAGCTATTAGCCAGAGAGCACCAGGGTTCAAGCTACAATTTGGCCTTCCCTCTAAATAGCTTTAAAATTGGAAGGAAAAAAATAGCCCTCGCCTATATGGAGCTGGAATATAATTCACACACAATTATACAACATAGTCAGGGCACAACGTTACCTCTGATTAAAACAACAGAAACTCACCTACAGGAGAAGGTGATCTTGTAATGAAATGATCAGGATGCTTCGGCTGGGAGCTGAAGCTCCCCACCCTCATCTCAGAGCTCTCTACCTGGCTCCCTCCTAGGCTAATTTAAAAAATACTACTTCCTCTTACCCTAGGGAAAAAGCCGCAGCCACAGGGGTGACCTGTCCACAGATTACTATCAGAGAGTAATATCCTAAACAGTAGCACTGACTCCTATTGGGGGCTGGGGGAGGTAACCGACAAAGGTAGAGAGATGAGGGCTGCCTTGGAAAGCACAGGAAATTAAGGATCATGATCCCTGCATCAAGCGCTGCAGAGCGAGGTGGCTGGCTAGCCGTCATTCCGATCACAGGCACCCAGGCTGCTCTGCATCTGCAGGCGGTTTCTCCATCACTCCATCCCTCTGGGAGCCGCTGCCCCCCAGTGCTCACCACACGGTGATTCAGACCCACTATGGGGAAGACCCCAAAGACTTTCTCAAGTGTTTGAATGATTACCAATACACTGATGCAATTAAAACCCATAATCTTTTACAACAGTGGTATTAAGCAAAATTAAGTAAGAAACCTTCACTGTTTTTGAATCTGCGAGGAAGTCGTGCATTTCTGCATACAAAAGAGGCCCCTCTAAAGCCCCAGCATGAGAAAGGCAGCCAAAGCAGATTCTTAATAAACCTCAGAAAGAGGTGGGAAAGAAAGAGCCAGACAGGATGGTGGGGTTGGTATGAACTCAGTCTTTCCATCTGTGCCTGTCACTCCAGCAGTGGGAGCCCGAGTTGCCCACCCAGGGTGGAATTCTTCTGAAGATGCACAGATGACTCACGGTGAGGGGTAGGGCCCTAGAAATGGTGGCACGATGGTCTCAGGGTCCCATGACTAAAGCACAGGCCCAAGGTCATTCTGCCTACAGAAATGATGCAAATACAACAATAATAGGAAGTTCCCATTTTCAAGCACACCTATGTAAACTGAGACATGCTAAATAACTGACCCTGGTTTCTCAGATGAGGTTGGGTCAAGTCTCCTAACAGTTCCGAGCCTCACGTTCTCCGTTCTATAAAACAGGCCTAGGACACTGGCTGAAATAACACAAGCTGAAACAACAAATGTGAAATCGTAACCCTGAGAACACCATCCACACAAGGGTTCTGTCTCCTCCAGCGCAACCTTTCTCCCAGCTTCTCCTCCTGGCTGGAATCTCCTCAGTGCCTATTCCCACGCTGAGAAATGCCTGAGGCTCTTCACACCGGCTGTGCTCAGGGTAAAAGAAACCAGCCCAAGTACAGGCTGCAGGATTTAGGAACACACAACCTTGGTGACAAGCTCAGAGCTCCCAAATTGCTCTTTTCCCAAAACATTTCCATTTATCTGGGTAGCAACTACCAGGGAAAATGGTTTCTACACAAAAGTTGAGCATGTCAAAGTTCCCTGTAAACAGAAGTAAATAGCCACCCCCGATCTATCATCTTGGGGAACCTCTGAGTCCTTCACTATGACATTTGGGAAACATCACAGACAGGCTGAGAAACCATGTTAGAAGGAATGGCCGAGACTACAGACCCTCGGATACACCACAACTTAAGGAAAACCAAGCTTCAGAGAGAAGCCAGACCAAGAGAGGATTTCCAGAGCCCATCTCTCCAGTAAACTGGGAGCCACCTGCCAGAACGAGGCCTGTTCTCATCAGCAACAATCTGGCCTGCTCTTCTTAGGAGCGAGTGTATAAAAACTTTGCTGGTAGGCAGGTTCTAAAGCCAAGTTACCCCATCCCCCAAACCCTCCAGTTGATTTCACGAAAAGAACAAATGGCAGCCTCAACCCTTAGCCTTGATTACCTTCATTACCATATTTTAGATGTACGTGGCAATCAGTTTCTGATGAGCAAGTTTTACCTAATCCACACACTGACACTCCTGTAGTGCAGAGGTTCTCAATTCTGGCTGCACATTCGCATGGCCTGCGGGGTGGGGGTCGTTAAAACTTACTGATACCTGGGCCCCACCCTCAGGGATCTCATTGGTTCAAGGTGAGACCTGGGCATCAGTATTTTTAAACACTCCCCAGAACATTCTAATATGCAGCCAGGGCTCTGTAAGAAGCTACTTCTGCCATCTAACGGGAAAAATGGCAAGGATAGAGGCCTCAACAAAAGCCAAGTTTTTTGAGACAGGGTCTTGCTCTGTCACCCAGGCCAGAGGCCAGTGGCATGACTATAGCTCACTGCAGCCTTAACTCCTGAGCTCCAGTAATCCTCCCATCTCAGCCTCCTGAGTAGAAGAGACTACAAGCATGCACACACGACCACATCTGGCTTTTTCTTTTCTTTCTTTTTTTTTTTTTTTGGTAAAGACAGGGTCTGGCTATGTTACGCAGGCTGGTCTCAAGCTCCTGGCTTCAAGTGATCCTCCTGCCTCAGCTTCCCAAAGGGCTGGGATTACAGGAGTGAACCACCATGCCTGGCCTTCAGATTCTTGTTCATTAAAACCCTTCCTGAGCATGAGGGGTGAAGAGCCACAGAAGAGCAGAAGGAGCCTGGGATTTCAACAAGAAACTGCTGGACTTGAGTCCTAGCTGGGTAATTTTAGGCAAACTACGCATAAAGTGGGGGCAATACCTATATGTCACAGAGCTGCTGTAAGCATCAAATTATTTTAATGCACCTGGCACGTAGTAGGTGTTGAAAAAAGGTTTGCTGAGTCCTGAGAAAGACCAAGAGGGTAAGAAAAGAAATGGCAGCTGAGTGTCTCCAGTGGCAAGCCATGTTCATTAATCCACTCTCTCATCAAACCTGTTGTGAGGACCCACTATGTGCCAAGCACTGCATGAGACCTCATCTCTGCTCCAAAGATGCTTACATTCAAGTAAGAGCCTGTGTTAGTTCTAGTATGGTAGAGCTGTGAGAGCACAGGGCTGGGCATGACCTGCAGCTTAAAGGTTAGCAGGGGAGAGCCAGGAAGAAAGGGGAGAAGGGCCTTTGCAGCCTGTCTGGCAGAAGGACTGTTAGTGGTCCCAAAAGACTGCAGCATAAGACATTGTGGGATGCAAGGAGGATAGGCCAGGCCCAACGGGAAGGCTGAATCTCTGTGGGGTTTAAACGGGAGAGTGACTTTTCAATCCAGCTATTAAAAAGAAGAGCAGGGGGCTCGGGCGCAGTGGCTCACACCTGTAATCCCAGTACTTTGGGAGGCCGAGGCAGGCGGATCATGAGGTCAGGAGTTTGAGACCAGCCTGGCCAATATGGTGAAACCCCGTCTGTACTAAAAATTCAAAAATTGGTTGGGTGTGGTGGCACATGCCCGTGGTCCCAGCTACTTGGGAGGCTGAGGCAGAAGAATTGCTTGAATCTGGGAGGCGGAGGTTGCAGTGAGCTGAGATGGTACCACTGCACTCCAGCCTGGGTGACAGAGTGAGACTCCGTATCAAAAAAAAAAAAAAAGAAGAAGAAGAAGAAGAAGAAGAGCAGGGGCTAGGTGCTGTAGCTCACGCCTGTCATCTCAGCACTCTGGGAGGCAGAGGCAGGTGGATCACTTGAGGTCAGGAGTTTGAGACCAGACTGGCCAACATGGCAAAACTCCACTTCTACTAAAAATACAAAAATTAGCCAGGTGTGGTGGTACACATCTGTAATCCCAGCTACTTGGGAGGCTGAGGCATGAGAATCACTTGAACCCAGGAGGCAGAGGTTGCAGTGAGCCAAGTTGGCACCACTGCACTCCAGCCTGGGTGACAAAGCAAGAAGTCTCCAAAAAAAAGAAAAAGAAAAAAGAAGAGTAGGGCCATTGGGTGGGGAGGCTGGGTGATCTTAACACTTAGATGTTGACAAGGAAGTAGAGAAAAAGGCATGAACCAGGAGCAAGACACCTGGACAGCAGTCCTAAGCAACCCGCATGCGGGCTAGGATTAGCTCCCCCACCAGCAGGTCCCTTCTTGCCCAGCTATTCTACTGTTCCAGAAACACCCCAGGAGCAAGAGAGCAAGTGGGGGCAGGTGGGGAAGGCATAAGAAGCGATAAGCACATTGCACCCTGAGCGCAGTGGTCTTTGGAAATACACTCAGCCATCTGTTAAGTCATAAATTTTACCTATCAAGAAAAAAAGTCAAATTCCCCCCAGCCCAGATATGCTGATCTGGCCTCTTCCAACCTCCACAAGTAACTTCCTTTGAGGGAAAAGGGGGAAACCCAAAGAAAGGCTTGTAGTAAAAGAGAGAGGCCAAAATCATCATGAGCAAGTCTCTCTGCCTTTTATTGAATGTCTCAACCCTCTAAGGACGGAAGATGATTTTTCTAAACCTAAGAGGGCCATAGAGGCTGAAAAGAGCATCAGATTTGAAGATTTTGGAGATTGGAAGGCCAGGTTCCAATCCCAGTGCCCTGAGCAGGCTGAAGGAGTGGAAAGAGGACAAACTCAGGCAACCCGATCCTGTAATGCATTTTACTAGGTGATCACTGCAAGTGACTGAGCTTCTCTAAACTTGTTCCTTCTTCTACAAAATAGTATTAAAAGAGATAACACATGAAACATGCTTATTTGGAATGGACTGCAATGACAGGCACACAATTAAGTCCCTCTTCCCCCTCCCCACCACCTTCCCTTCCCCACTAGTGACTTCACCTCTGTCTGCTCATCTGTGAATGGGGATCAAACCTTCCCTGCCTGTTTTATAGGCTAAACAACAGAAGGAAAAGTACTTGGAAAAGGCATGACACACACTCTATAAATTAAATACTAATTATTATGAATTCTACTACCCTTGATTTCTCAGACACCACCCTGAATCAATCCATCGCCAGCCCATCAACTTCCAATGGTTAGAGATGCTCTAGCAAAAATGATATGCTACCTCAACACAAGGCAGTGTCTTTATCTGCCTTAACCTAGGTAGCTCCTGACCCTGTAAAGAGTAACAGACTGTTGCACATTAGGAAGATCACTCTCTATGAGATAAAGCTGGCCATGCCTCGGAGGTAATATTTCTCTGCTACACCAATATCCTAATACATCCATGCTCTCCACATGCCAGGAACATATTTCTATAAATCCTCACATAAAAGAAAACTTATTTTCCAGAGGGATAAACAGAAGAGAAAAGGAAACAACAGTCGCAGCAAAAATATCACCAATCAAACAGAACTCAGTCCGCCAGGAACTTTACTAAATGTGTAGTGTTACAGATGTTTTATAGCCATGATGTCTGTTCTATTTAAAACACTTGCACTAGGCCAACCAAACAATGAAAAAGAAAAAAGGAAAAGATATATTCCCCAATGCGCCCAACCCAGCTAACTGGTCTGGGCTGGCTGTTTATTGAGGCAAAGAGGCAACTGGGGACCTGTAGCTGTCAGCCGGAACATGGAGGGCTCATTTTGTAGTTCACCCTGGAGGGCTGTCAAATCAGACACATGGCCCAGCAAATGGCGTGTGGCTCTCTCTGAAGGGCACTTCTGCCTGGAAGCCCAGGGTCTTCTAAGGGGAAGTTGCCCTGCACCTGGCAAGCACTTAACAAAATCTGGTTCCCTTCCCTCAAGAAAGAAAAATCTGTACAGTTAAACCTCATTTGTCCAACAACACTTAATCATTCCCTCCACAAACATTTGTTGAGTGTCTGCTACGTACAAGGTACTGGGCTAGGGACTCATAGTCAAATCAGCTGCCATCAGGATGCCCCACAGAAGGTGTGCTTCATAAGGGAGGGCCATGGTCAATGCACCCTCCAGCATGGAGGCTTCAGAAGGGAGGGTCGTGGTCAATGTCCCCTCCAGCATGGAGGCTTCAGAAGGGAGGACCATGGTCAATGCACCCTCCAGAATGGAAGCTTCAGAAGGGTTGTGGTCAATGCACCCTCTAGAATGGAAGTTAAGGACTTGCATCTGTTTGGTGCACCCCTGTATTCCTAGCACCTAAAAGAATGCCTAGCACATGGTAGGCATTCAATAAATATGGGTTGGACAAATGCTGGATGAATGTTCCCTGTTCTGAATTACTCTGTGGATTATTCTAGGTTCCTGGACACCCTACTTGTTTTCTCTCTTTCCCCTCAGGTAATCCCAAACACTCCTCACTGCTACACTGGGCACAAGCACTAAGAAGATAAAAGGCTTTGTTCCTACGAAGAACAGCTGGCCAAAGTTCTGTTCAGCAGCCACTGAGGACCCAAGCAGAAAGTGCCACAATCAGAGGATGATGTTAGAAGATAAAGTTAGAACATCAGAAGATGAAGTTAGATGAAGTCAGACAAACCCTTCCAGGCTACTTGGACACGCACAGCTGGTGATTCGATAGGGGTATCTTTATATCTAAAAAAGACCATTGGTGACTCTTGATAAGAAATCAGTCAAAAGGTCAAGTAAAATAGGGAAGGGCCAGAAACCACTGGCATTCATAGATTCTAGGACAACTGCCATTGTCTGTATTACCTACTCCTGATTCATTCCAATCGACATCAACCATTAATGAGCACCTAACAGGAACTGGGATCCCAGACTACAAGATTTCGTTCTGTGCCCTTGAAGATCTCCCAGACACCTAACACACACCATGGTATGGTATGCAAAAGAGACAGGTGTAATAAAATGGTTACCTGAAGCTGCTAAATTTGAGGGTAATTTGTTCCACAGCAACAACAACTATAACACAGAAGTCAGACCAGTCAGGGAAATATGATGAACTATGTCAGTAGAGTCAGGGCAGGCTTGAAAGAGGAGATGCTTGGCTAGGGTTTGAAATGATGAGCAGCAGGAGTTTTTTTGTTTTGTTTTTTGTTTTTTGAGACAGAGTTTTGCTCTTGTTGCCCAGGGTGGGGTGCAACGGCACTATCTCAGCTCACTGCAACCTTCAACTCCCAGGTTCAAGCGATCCTCCTGCCTCAGCCTTGTGAGTAGCTGGGATTACAGGCATGTGCCACCATGCCTGACTAGTTTTTTGTATTTTTAGTAGATGGGGTTTCACCATGTTGGCCAGGCTCGTCTCGAATGAGCAGAAGTTTTTCAGGAAGACAAGAGAGAAGGGCAGACAGAGTCACAGCAGCATGGAATATCATTGCTTGTTTCAGGCACTAAACTTTTGGATTGCTAGAAGTCAAGTGAAAAGGAGGGTCTGAGGGGAGATGAGGATGGAGACATGAACAAGGGTTATATCACAAGAAGTCTTGCAGACCATAACAAAGAAGACTGGACTTCATCCTGTAGACAAAGGGTAACCATTTTAAGCTGGGGAATAACATGACCAGCTTTGTGTTTTAGATAGGTTATTCTGTAGAGGATGGATCTGAGAGGTTGAAAATAGAGCCTGTAAGAACGGTTAGGAGCTTATCATAATAGTTCAAGATGAAGGGACCCTGAACTAAAGCAAGGATCATTTGCATAACAAAGAGGGAAAAGATTTAAGAGAGAGTAGGAGACAAAATTATCAGGACTGGGTAAATGGCCAAAGGCAGAAAGGAGGGAGAGGGAAGGGTCTTGAGTTTACTGGGTGGCTGATGGTGGTGTCACCAATTGAGATAGGGGATGCAGAAGCAGCAGGTTTGCAGAGGAAAGATAAATGTGTTCACTTTGAGTATGTTAAATTTTCAGTGTCTGTAGGACAATCTGTGTATCTGCTCTGGAACTCAAGAGAAAGATCAGACTAAATTCACCAACATCTAGTGGCCACTGAAATCATGGGAGTGGATGTGATGATGGGGTAGAGTAAAAGCAAGGACAAGAACAGTTTCAGGAGTTAGCCAGCATCTTTTGGAAACCCAAAGCACCACTCACTGAACTAGGGGAGGAGGAAGAAAAACTGCTTTGCCAATTGCAGCACATGGTTCCTTGGTCTCTGTCCCTCCCCTCGAGTCTGAGGGAGCTTCTGACTACTTCAACCAACAGAGGACAGAAGAAGGGATGAACATGAATTTCAATGCTGAGTCATAAAAAGGTGCTGCAGCTTCCAGCTTGTTCACTAGAACACTTACACTTGGAGCCCTGAGCCACCAAGCAAGAAGTCCCACTCCTCTGAAGCCACCATATTGTAAGGAAGCCCAACCATATAGACAGACCACATGTAGGAGCTCCATTCTTTGAATCATCCCAGTTCAGGAGCCAGACATATGAGTGAACAAGCCTTCAGATAATTCCAGCCCCTTGCCATCATGTCTCCCCTTGATTTCAAGTCTTCCCAGCTGAGGTCCTACACCAGGTGAAAAAGAAACCAGCTGTCCCTGCTATGCCCCATCCAAATTTCTGACCTGAGACTCCATGAGCATAATAAAATTGTTACCTGAAGCTGCTAAATTTGAGGGTAATTTGTTCCACAGCAACAATAACTATAACACAGAAGTCAGGCCATTTCAAATAGAAAGGAAGGGTCAACAGTGTTCAATATCACAAAGATGTTTAGTAGGATGAAGAGTCAGTTTTCAGTTTCACTGGATCCAGATCTCAGCCACACACTTCCCATGATGGATCTGGGTGCTTGCTGGGCCAGCAGTCTACACGCAGCTATCAGCAAACTCTGAGCTGCCACGTGAGCAAGTCTCCCAGACAGGCCCATGGGTGCACCAAGCCGTGGAGTGACCTGGCAGTCTCTGGTTAGTTGTATTCATTGGGGGTAAACCTCGCTGCTGATGGCATTGAAAGATTTATCCATAAATATGATAACCACCCCCAAGGCACACCACCATATGCTTGTAGTGGTCAACTCTGCCTTTAGAAAGGCAGGAGTCTAAAATGTCAGTTTTTTCTGGGTAGAAATGATTTCTATTTTATTATTTTATTTTTTTTAGACGGAGTCTTGCTCTGTTGCCCAAGCTGGAGTGCAATGATGCAATCTTGGGTCACTGCAACCTCCGCCTCCTGGGTTCAAGCGATTCTCCTGCCTCAGCCTCCCAAGTAGCTGGGATGACAGGCATGCACTGCCATGCCTCACTAATTCTTTTTTGTATTTTTAGTAGAGACAGGGTTTCACCATGTTGGCCAGGCTGGTCTCGAACTCCTGACCTCAGGTGATCCACCCGCCTTGGCCTCCCAAAGTGCTGGGATTACAGGCATGAGCCACCGCACCCAGCCTAGAAATGGTTTTTATATCTATTATCATTGTAAATGTCAGTAGTTCCAAACAGCCACCTTAAAACAGGCTGATGGGCGATGTATTTTTAAGAGGCCTTTCTTGCCCTTGCCAAAGGCCCTCCTCCTCTTCCTAGGCAAAATCTGAATTCTTAAAACTCAGGGTACATCTAAAACTATGATAATCTTGTATAGTTGTTCTCCAAGTGGCATCTGTGGCTCAGAACAACTCATTTCCTGTCCAGCCATTAAGTCTCTGGGTCTCTGTCCTTGCTGGGAAATGAAGCATTCCTCTCCCTGGACACAGACCCTGTTCTACAAGCCTCCTTGGTCCTCCACCCTGTTCCTGCTGTTCACAGGCCCTTTCTTCCTCAAACCTTCTCTGTGTCCCAAAGTGAATCCAGGGCAAATGAACATGTTCAAACACAGGGACTGAGACACCTGGGACATAGCAGAGTACTCAGTCTGCACAAAGAGATGCCTAGAAATAGCATAAGAGCCAATGGTACAATTACCCAAAGGAGAGACCTGATCTTATTAGACTTTTGCTTTCTCAAAATTTCATCGTAAGACATTTGGCTTAGTTTTAACTGTCCTTTAATAAACACAATTTCTGAGCAGCTACTTGGAATAAATCCCTATGGGAAGAACAGAAGTAATAACTGGGACCACTGTCCTCGTGGGTGGAGGGGGTAATATGTTAATCAGGGAGGCAGGGTATCTGCAGAGCCATCAAAAATTGCCAGCAGGGTTTTCTAGCCCTTTGTTATCAGTTTCCCAACTAACATTGAAGCTTCATCTTCCTGTTCTGTCTACCCTCTATGCTCCAACCACATGTCTCTGACCACTGCTCACATTTCCACACCCCAGATCTTCATTCAAGCTGTTCCCTCACCCAGGAATATCCTCCCACCTGTCTTTACCTCCTATCACGATTCTCAGACCCTCAAGTCTTGGTCCAAATGTCTGTGCTCAAATGTCACCATCTCCACTAGGCCTTCCTTAACTACTCCATTGAAAACTTCAATTCCGCCCACACCTCAGCACTCCCTAGACCTTCTCCCAGCCTCTCATCTTCTAGCACATTCTATAATTTGCTTGTTTTATTTCTCACCTGTCCCCCTCCTACCAGAAAGTAAGCTTTCTGGTCAGGAATTTTGTCTGTTTTGTCCACAGATGTATTCCCAGTACCTGGGCCATTCAGTGACATGCAATAAATATTTACTGAATGAATGAATGACCATCCTAAAGCATCTCCCCAACACCCCTCAGTCACATACACTATTGTTTTCTCTACACCTGCACAGGATGTAAACTATTCCTGAAGAGTAGCATTTCATTTCATTCTGCTTCCTATTATCACTAAGTATTTACCCGTTAGGTTTAAGTTCCTTGAAGGCAGAGACCATGTCTTTTCATCTTTGCATCCCCCAAAGCACTGGTGGTGCTCAAGTATATAGTCTATTGAATTTAACTTAAAAATCAAATTGCGTGGAAAATAGGCAAAGAATGCATAAGCTCACACGACTCTACACCTAAGTGATTTCTCAAGCCTTTTCTTGTGAGCAGAATACAGTGCCAGGGCCTCTGAAAATACAAAGATAAGCAAGATGCACACAGAATAGCACCAGCCACACATGGCTACTGAAGTTAAATTGTAAATTAATTAAAATGAAGTGCCATTAGCAATTCAGTTCATGGTCACCCTAGCCACATTTCAAGTGCTCCATGCCCACGTGCATTAAGATGAGCATTTCCTCCATCACAGAAAGTTCTATAGGACAGCAGTGACACCGACAGTCTTGTCCTCAATATGTAACCTGCTACTGGGGCATACAGGACAGGAACAAGAAGGACCAGGGGGAACAATAAGGTAACAGGTTCTAAAAGAACCAGCAGAGGCCATAGGGCTAGGAGGAGGGAGGGTCACTGCCTTGGGGAGGGAAGAAAGCAGAAGAGGCTTCAAGGAAGGGGAGATATTTGAGATGAGCCATTTAAAAATGGGTGGGTTTGGCCAGGCACGGTGGCTCACGCCTATAATCCCCGCACTCTGGGAGGCCGAGACAGGCAGATCGCTTGAATCCAGGAGTTCAAGACCAGCCTGGGCAACATGGTGAAACCCTGTCTCTAAAAAAAATACAAAAATTAGCCAGGTGTGGTGGTACACCTGTAGTCCCAGCTACTAGGGAGGCTGAGGTGGGAGGATCATTTGAGTTCAGGAGGTTGAGGCTGCAGTGAGCCATGATCATGCCACTGCCCTCCAGCCTGGGCAACAGAGTAAGACCCAGTCTCAAAATAAAAATAAAATTGAGAAGTAAATGGGTAGGGTTTTCCAGGCAAAAGAAAGGGAGGTCAGGCCAAGGAAGAGCCACTGGTGTGGGAGCTGGGGGTATGTGTAAGATGGGGGTCAGGGGAGCCAGAATTCCAGGCCAGGACTGCTGAAGACCCCCTGAGAACCTGGATGGGGGAGCACAGACAGACCACCAGAGAGAAAGCCAGAAGGATAACTCGATGCCAAGATCTCCATGGGTAACAGGGACATCAGCACACACAGAAGTGAGAGAAGGTACACACCTGGTGGTGTCAGGTATAGGACTAGCCAACTACTTTACCCTTGGTGCTGGAAGAGTAACAGATGTCCAAATTCAAAGCACCCAGGTGCTCACAAAAGCAGAATCCCCCTGCCCTCTTAGACTGTTGGTATCTAGAAGGCAAAACCCACATCCACTTGGTTGTTTGGGGGTAGGGGGCTGAAGGACTAACCCTTTAGTCCAGCACATTTCACCAAGGACTGTCTAAAGACCTCACTTTGAATAAATCCCAGTGGGCACTTACAGGTCCCCCAGCTTGCCCCCGCTTCACTCTCCCTGTTAGGAGGCCAGAACGATGGGGGCCTTCCAAGTTTCTAACTTGCTGACAAGCACCGCTACTAACCAAAATGAAAGTCTGGGTGGCTCTGCCTCAGAAGCCGCCGCTTAGAAACCCAGGGGCACACACTCCACTCAAGTTCAGCAGGCCTACCTTCCACGGTCCTGCCCAGGCCGCCCGCTGTGGGTTAAAGACTTGATTTACGCACGCTCTGGGGGCTCAGCATGGACCAATTCCAGACGTAGAACAGGGCCTTAACCAGGTGCTTAAGATGCAGGGCACAACGTGGTTAATGCTATTGTGGGTGGCTCCACAAAGACATGGGTGCGTTTCAGCAAACAGCTAATAATAAGAGCGGGAAGAGGGGAGAGGTGGAAACAGTCATCCTGGCATTGGCTGGGGTTCATCCTCCTCCCACCCCCTAGCACGGCACCTCTGTGACAACTTGCTTCTATCTCCAATTAGCCTATTTTCAGCAGCCAATACCCAATATGCTAGGCCTTCTATTCAAGAGCCTTTATCTAACATGCACATACTTTGCAGAAAAGAAAAAGGAAAAGGAAAACAAAAAAAAGAAAGAAAAGAAAGGATTTCTAAAGTGGCCAGGCCAAAAAACAAAGAGAAGTTGGGAGGGGTGGGGAGTCACCGTATTCGAGAACAAAGAAAACTCTGGAAACCCCTGGAAGAGCACTGCCTGCCTCTTCCTATTAAACAATCAAGAGCTGACCGGGTGCTGAACGCATAGCCACTGAGGAGGGTTAAGAGGGCGAGGGGCCACTCCAGGGGCCCCACTTCTCTCCCCACAGCATCCAGCAGGCCCCTTATCGCCAGCCTGCAGGACAGCAGGGGCCTCTGCCTGTTTCAAGAGGGGACTGTGGTGAGAGGTAAAAGGGAGGAGAAGCCAATCCGAGAAGTAACTTCCTGATGGCCGACAGCTGACATTCTTAACTGAACACAGGATATGCCAAGAAAGTATCAGGCCTGGCTTTTCTCTCCCTGATAGATGACAAAGCAAAAAAAAAAAAAAAGAAGAAAGAAAACGAAAAAACAACCACAGCCACACACATCTCATAAATCACGACTTTTATTGAAGGCTTCGCCACATAATAGCAACAGTCAAATTGAATAAAGACACCCTTCCATAAAGTACCAGTGAGAGACCACATCTCCCCCAGCCCAGGGTGGGCGGGAGGGAAAACTCAACCCTGACTCAGAGAAGGGTTTGGGGAAAGTAGATCGAGTAGTAGAGGCAGGTGGTAGTTTTTTTAGGTTTTTCTCAAAACACGGAAACCTGGCAGCCAAGAGAAGTGGGGTGAGCTGAGAGCAGGGCCACACGAGATCACAACAAATGCATGAGGGAGGATGTCAGGGTTTTGTTCCTGAAGGGTCTGGGGTGGGTGAGTTTGATGAGGGGATGGAGAGTGAAATAACAACCTCTGGTCGGTCTGCAGAACACACGCAAAAGAGCAAAAGCGAGATAGACCCAGGTAGGCAACTGAACCCTGTCAGAGGACTGCAGACCCCACACGCAGGCTGATGGCTCACATATAACACAAACTCAGCCACTTAGCACAGGTAGCATTTTGGGCCCATGTCGCTGTGAGAAGAATGCAGCTTCCACTCATTTACTGTCCCAGTCATTCCACATTGGGTGCAGAGTCACAGAGGGATAATTCAGTTTGGGGCAAGTCCTTCCTCATGGGTGGCTGGTTCACTCTGGAACCTTCTCCCCAGTGGACCACACTCAAAGCCTGGTATGCCAACACCCCTAAACTTGGGCAAACTAAGAAATTAAGAAGATAAACAAGAAATGGGCCGGGCATGGTGGCTCACTCCTGTAATCCTAGCACTTTAGGAGGCTGAGGCAGGCGGATGGCTTGAGGCCAGGAGTTTGAGACCAGCCTGGCTAATACGGAGAAACCCTGCCTCTACTAAAAATACAAAAATTGGCCGGGCACAGTGGCTAACGCCTGTAATCCCAGCACTTTGGGAGGCCAAGGCAGGCAGATCACTAGGTCAGGAGATCGACACCAGCCTGGCCAACATGGTGAAGCTCCACCTCTACTAAAAATAGAAAAATTAGCTGGGTGTGGTGGCGTTCGCCTGTAATCCCAGCTACTCGGGAGGCTGAGGCAGGAGAATTGCTTCAACCCGGGAGGCGGAGGTTGCAGTGAGCCGAGATTACATCACTGCACTCCAACCTGGGCAACAGAGTGAGACTCTATCTCAAAAAAAATAATAAAAACAAAAAACAAAATTTAGCCGGACATGGAGGTACATGCCTGTAATCCCAGATACTCAGGAGGCTGAGGCTACAGTGAACCAAGATTGTGTGCGCCATTGCACTCCAGCCCGGGACACGACAGAGCAAAACTCCGCCTCAAAAAAAAGAATGTCCATAATGCCTTCACTTTTTTTTTCTTTTTTTTTTTTTTGAGATGATGTCTCGCTCTGTCACCCAGGCTGGAGTGCAGTGGTGCAATCTCGGTTCACTGCAAGCTCTGCCTCCCAGGTTCACGCCGTTCTCCTGCCTCAGCCTCCCGAGTAGCTGGGACTACAGGTGCACACCACCACGCCTGGCTAATTTTTTGTATTTTTAGTAGAGACGGGGTTTCACCATGTTGGCCAGGATGGTCTTGATCTCCTGACCTCGTGATCCACCCGCCTTGGCTTCCCAAAATGCTGGGATTACAGGCGTGAGCCACTGTGCCTGGCCATGCCTTCACTTCTGAAGTGGGATGGAGCGAGTGGAAGACAGGTTCTATCTAGTTCTATCCTCCTTCTCCTCTACTACTCATCAAAACAAATTAGCTTTTTTTTTTAAAGTAATGAAGAGCAAGGGGGAACAAATGAATGCATGTCTTTCCAAATTCTGCCATTTGCAGAATCCAGGGAAATATAGTCAAATATATCAGAAGTCCTTGTTGTAAAGATGATGACTTCCATAGGGCAGGTCACTGAGAAGGTGAAGGGGCATGAAGCTCTAAGCACAGGAGGCCTCCCTTCCAAAAACACTTGCTGGACTGAACTGTGGAGAATCCCTGCTCACCTGGGCAGAGCCCCAAATTCCCTGTCCTTTCCCCGACACAGAATTCCAACTGTGGAGCCAGCCACAGTGATGCAACACATGAGGTGATGTAACAGGGCAGAAGGATATCTAAGGAAAGAAGTGGATGCCCTGATTCAAGTCAGAGTTAAAGATTAGCAGACTCGTACCTGAGGGAAGTCAGGCTTGGCTCATTCCTTCCTTCTGAACTGACTATCCCAAGTAGGTTAAAAAAGTATTTGTGGGCCGGGCACGGTGGCTCACGCCTGTGGTCCCAGCACTTTGGGAGGCCAAGGTGGGCAGATCACAAGGTCAGGAGATCGAGACCATCCTGGTAAACACAGTGAAACCTCGTCTCTACTAAAAATACAAAAAATTAGCTGGGCGTGGTGGCGGGCGCCTGTAGTCCCAGCTACTTGGGAGGCTGAGGCAGGAGAATGGCATGAACCCAGGAGGCGGAGCTTGCAGTGAGCCGAGATCGCGCCACTGCCCTCCAGCCTGGGGGACAGAGCGAGACTCCGTCTCAAAAAAAAAAAAAAAAGGCACTTGCAGGTCAACGTGACACCCAGAATGACCATGTTCTTCCCCTTTCCTGGGTCGGGGGTGGGAGGAACCCAGGGGAAGGTGGGATCTTATTGACATGCAGGTCTTGGCAGCAAATGTTGCCCAAAGGCAAAGGGCAGATATTCTCAAGTCCAGAAAGCAACTGAGATGCCATATTTTCCCAAAAGAGGAAGACGCTATTTCTGAAAGGCTAAGTTTGAGCCAATCAGCTGCTCATAAACAGAAAACTCTTCAAAGGGGTAAGGAAGACAACGGTGGGCCTCAGGATTTTTATTTCTGCTGTCTACCTTTAGGAGAATGGAAAAATCACAACCGAAAACCCAGATCTCCAGTCAATCTAGCAGAAGTTTCTCCAACTCCAGAACACGGGGTCATGAGAAGTCAGGGTCTCACCTGCCGTGCTTGGCCCATTTGACTGTGTGCCCTTCAGGGGCTCCCTACCTAGGCGAGAAGGGATTTGAGCAATGAAAACCAAGTCCAAGTGGACACCAGCTTGCACTGAAGGAGAGGGCAATAAATTGGATCCAGACCGGGATAGGGTTCCCAGACCTGCTGTCTGCTGGCTACTTGGCCCTGAGCAAGACTCTTCATCCCTTTGAGCCTTCGTTTCCTCATCTATGAAATGGGACATTTCCAAAGTATTGTATACCTTTTCTCCAGGGATCAAATCAGATTCTATGTGAATGTGCTTTGCCAACCTGAAAGGGCACTGGAGGTATCAGTCTTGACGACCTGCCAAGCAACTCACCCACCACTTGTTCAAACATGTGATTTTCCTATCTCAGACATCCTGTAACAGGGCCTGAGGGGAAACTGGAGAGAAGGAACTCTAATCCCACATTGGCGTCAATAGCCGATCACCTAAAGCGAGAAATCTTCTCTCAGGAAGATAAGGGAACCCACATATCACCTAATTAAAGCAAGCAGCTGCACACAAGTTCAAAGGCGGGACAGGCTGACTCAGCCTGCTGCTCCTGGGCGGTCAGAGTGAGCATCGGCTAACGCGGCCTGGGGTGCCTTGGCTACAGGAACAGACATCTACCTGTAAGGGCAACGCGAATGAAAGGAGAAGGATGGGGGCAGGGGAGTCTCGTCATCCTTTATCTCTAAATTTATCTCCTATTTGCACTCAACACCACTCCCCATTCCCCGAAATGGCTGTATCTCAGAGTCCCCCAAATATGTTCACTCAGAGTGGCCTCTGTGCCTCCATTCTTGCTGGGCAGGCCTTAATAACACTGCCTGAAGTCATTATTGAATTCTTAAGTAGAAGAATGTGATAATGTTACATCATCATCTCCTCCTCCTCCTCCCTCAACTATTCCAAGAAGCTCTGGCTGGCTTCACAGCCCCACTCCCCACGCCGTGATCCCATGGCTTCCATGCTGCCTGGCATACAATCCTCCGTATTCCATCACCATTTCTACTCGCTCAGAAATTGTTTCCTGGCAAGGCTTCACCCACCTGAATAGGAAAATAAATGCCTCTGAAGACAGAACTGCATCTTTGCCTCTTGAGTTTCCTCTCCTCGGCTCCTGGCTCTATACCACAAAGCAGAATGTTTTACAAACAGCCACGGGGGAAGTGCGGCTGACCTACTTGACTAGCTAGAGGCCTGGGAAGGCTGCTGACCACCGCTTGTCAGAGGCTTAAATTTGCTGATCACTACACTTTGTGCCATCTCTCGCTCCATTTTTGACCCTCTATCTAGTGCTCTCTTCCTTCTTCTTCCATAAGTCTGATTTTCAATGTAGTCATGCTGGATGTTTGTGGATAAGCCTCACCATTTAGTAAAGATGCTGCATTAACCCAGGCAAATCTAAACTCAGAGCTGTGTGAACACCAAGCACTCAGCCGCCACACCAACAAGCTGGCAATGACCAGGAAGAGCAAATAATGATGTTCGATCTGTATGGGGAATGTTCAGGGATGTCCTGAAGTCTCACTAGAGATGCTGAAGAGATGGAAACCAAGATGATCATTCCCATAGCAGGCAAGACTAGTGCTCTGGCTGCCATCTTGCCTAAAGCACATCCCAAATGTCAACTGGACATGGAATAAATGCTAAGTGGTCTCCTTGCTAGATCAAAGATAAGCATTTATTTATTTATTTTTATTTATGAGATGAAGTCTCACTCTACCGCCCAGGTTGGAGTGCAGTGGCATAATCTCGACTTACTGCAACCTCTGCCTCCTGGGTTCAAGCAATTCTCCTGCCTCAACCTCCCGAGTAGCTGGGATTACAGGCGCTGCACCACCATGCCCAGCTAATTTTTTGTATCATTAGTAGAGATGGGGTTTCACTATGTTGGCCAGGCTGGTCTCGAACTCCTGACCTCAGGTGATCCACCTGCCTCAGCCTCCCAAAGTGCTGGGATTACAGGCGTGAGCCACTGTTCCTGTCAAGCATCTTTTTAAATTTTGGATTTTGAGGGAAAATGTAGGTTCCTCAATAGTATAAGGTAAATAAAACCAGGAAAAGGGCAGGAAAAAAATATTGAGGAAGTTAAAGTTTTAGGGACAAATATCAGGATACAAGTTCAAGGGCTAGAAAGGGAAACTTCAATACTCAAGTTGGAATTGGATTTGAATTGAATTTCAGTCACATTAAGTATAAACTACCACATACCACTTATGCCTAGGGTTGCAAAAATGCAACAGGACTTCAAATGATATATCCTAAAACAGTACAATGTAGTGCTGCCACCCTATTGACGCTATGTTTCTGCATATAGCTTCTGTCTTTGTCTGTCTTAAATTCTGGACAATTCTCTAGTTGTCTGGCTGCTTTTTTGTTTTTGTTTTTTGCTTCTCTGCCAGTCTACCTTGCATGGCCATAACACAGAACTGAAGTCTATTTCTTATCATTTGATCTGTTTACTAAGTAGACATGGTAAATCGGTCCCCATCATCCAGTCCAACCTCCTCGCCATAAGCCTTTCTGTTATGCAGGATCTGGAAAATTAAGGAGTAATATTCCAGGTTCCCTTGCAGCTAGGTATGAAAGGGAAAGTAGTATATTCTGTACTTTAACTATTTCCCCTGGCAACATGGCCAGGGAGGTGTTAGGTTATTCTGCAGCAATATCCTCTGTCTCTACTGACTAGTCATGGAGAACCTATTTTGCTGGAGATCACAGCAGGACAGTGGCAGCCATGGAGGCCTTCGGATGGGGACAGTGCGGCTGTGGTTCTGAACCTGGCAGCTGTAGCACCATCTTCCCAATTTGGTGGGGACTTCCAGATGACAGAAGAGACAGTAGGTATTTGAAGACCCAGATCTGCTGCATAGCTCTGAGGGCTGTTCCCAAAAGCACAACCTAGAGGTTTCCGTGTATCTCCTGATGATTTCTGGAAGCATTTTAATGCCCTCAAACAAATTCCTTTCTGCTTAAACCAGATGGGAGTGGATTCAGCTCTCTGCAACTGAAACTAGACTAACACACGGCCTTTGTTCTTGTTTTTAAAAAATAGATCAATATCTTCATTTAAAAAGAAAAAAGGACACAAACTAGAACCTGAAATCTGTTTTGTTCCTAACTGGCTGATTGACCTGGGGTGAGGCAATTACTAATGTTTGTTGGGCCTCAGTTTTCTTATCTGTAAAATGAGAGGGTGAAATTTGATCTCCCAGGATCTTAACACACCTAATATTTGGTGATTTTTTTTTTTTGACAGGCTGGAGTGCAGTGGCGCAATCTCAGCTCACTGCAACCTCCGTCTCCTGGGTTCAAGCGTGCCTCAGCCTCCCAAGTGGCTGGGACTACAGACACACACCACCACGCCCAGCTAATTTTTGTATTTTTTGGCAGAGACAGATATGTCTCTACCACTATGTTGGCCAGGCTGGTCTTGAACTCCTGACCTAAGGTGATCCACCTGCCTTGGCTTCATAAAGTGTCGGGATTACAGTCGTGAGCCCCTGTGCCCAGCCATATTTGGTAATTCTAAATCCAGATGCCCTTTATTTTCATAATTCTGAATTTATTTTTGCAGTCAATTAATCAATACGATCGATCCCTCTTGGCAGGAAAAAAAAACAAAACTGTCCTCATTCTCATTGGGGTGGCGGATTTCAAATCACATTCAGAAACACCAGATTGCCAGGTAAGAAAACTTCATTTTCAACTGGAGCTGGACATCTCCTTTAAAGCGTGAATAGGGGCGATGAACAGTACACCCTTTTATAGTTTCTTCTAGAAAGGGGAACACTACTATTGGTTTCTGTATCATTTATATTTTTTACAGCAGAAAGTATTCATTGATAATAAAATGTGTAATAAAAGAAACAGAAAATAGGCACAGCTTGTTTTCAAATTTCTGTTCATCTGTAACTTTTTTCCTCCAAAAAGAGAAAACATATCAATATGTTGACTATAATTATTTCTGTGTGGTGAGATCTCAGGTTTCATTTTATTTTTCCTACTTTTTGACATTTTCCAAATTTGCCACATTTGTAAACCCAAGCGGTAAAAAGACAGCAGGAATCTTCCTCATTCTCTTCCCTCTTCCCACATCTGTGGTGGCGGTTTCTTGGAACAGTTACACTGAAAGTTCTGATTCAGAGGAAAACTATTTCCATCTTCAAACTTGGATAAATGTTAACCAAATAAGATACACAGGTGGGTAGGTCAGTGTGTTGAAGATAAGTAGGTAAGTAAACAAATAAACCCGAAAGAGAGAGCTTTGCCAAACTACACTGAAGAGGGCTGTTTAAAATAAGCAATTCAAGTTGATCCAAGAAACCCCAATCTTTTTAAATTAAGCCTTCCCCTTCAGCACATATAAAAATGTTTACCATAAACACATCATTTTTACAAAAACAGTAATTTTTTTTAAATTAAGTTAATCTCTCAAACTTTTGGTGAGGTTAGAAAATAGTACCATTCTCCTTATCGGGAGGGCCAATGTAAGATAAAAAAAATTTTAAGAGATTATATATAAGTATATATATTACAAATTTTTTGATATTGTAAAGGAGATTATATATCTCATATATATAAGCTCCTTTATATATTTTTCATATATATTTATATGTAAAATCTCCTTCAAAATATCCATAGCCTTTAACCCCAAAATTCCACTTCTAGGTAAACATATTAAGGAAGTGATCAGAGATGTTGCTAAGGGGTTATGTACAAGGATATTCCACAATGTTACTTATAATAATAATAATAAATCACTAACCAGCTAACTATTCAATAACAGGCTTTGGTCAAATAAAGTATAATTGTAAGTCACAACACCACATAGACAATAAAAACCACAACATAAAAACAGTGAATGAGGAAAATATGATAAAGTTATAAAGGCAGGTTAGCCAATGATTTGTGTGTGTGTGTGTGTGTGTATACCTGTGTCTCTATATAATTTTTTGCCCTTTTTTTTTTTTGCCATGAAAAAGGACAGAAAAAAATGTACCGAAATGTTCATAGCAGTTATCTCTGAATGGTAAATAGTGGCGTTGGGGGGATTTTTACTTAGTTCTTGCAGTTTTCCAAAATTTTCCCAAGTGTTTGTGATTGGAGGAACATGGCAGAAGCAGTAATCAATGTTCTAAATAAACAAACTGCCCAAGTCTCTCCTTTCTGTAAACGTCTAAGTTGGAGTTAAAAACATTTTTATCACAGACCAATCTCGTAATTTTACCCCATCAACTGGCTGAATGGAATAAACATTACAACCTTGCCATGTTTTGTGGCTGGAGTGGTGTTTTATTCTGTTTTTTAATTAATTAATTTGAGTCACGAGCATTTGAGATGTATCTATTTTACGGGGCTGAAATTTACATTTATCTCCTTTTTAAAAGCCCATTTAGCAAATTAACAAGAAAACAGCAACACTCAGGGAAGATACTGAGCCTACTGCATGCGTCATATATAAAAGAGCGACTATATAATTGACCTTACAGGATTCTCCTGCGGATCAAATCAGATTGTCTTGTAAGGAACTCTGGAAAAAATAAAATGCTATATAAGTCACAGTGAAATATTAACATTAACATTTAAAGTCCAGCTGTTTGGTGACTTCAACACAGGGTTTCTTCACTCTAATAAGGCCATTCATGTCTGAGCACCAGGGATCTGTGCATCCTGACCCTCAGTGCAAAGCTGTATGTGGCTGTGTTGTAGCGCAAGTCTCTGGGTAAAGGGTCCATAACTTTCCCAGCATGATCCCTGGGCCCAGTCAGGTTAGAAACACAGCTCACAGAGGTTAAATCCATCACCTGGTGCTGAGGAGTGTTACCTAGCCATCAAAGCAGGCGTAGCAGAATCTCAACTTAAAACCTAACAGAAACATCTTGTGGTCAACTGGCCATCATTGAATCCCAGGAGTCTCATTCCAGTCTTAGGACTAACTCCTGATAACACCCCCAGACCTGGTCTCTGGGCAGAAAAGAACATGAGAGAGCAACAGAGGCCACAGATGGGACAGCAGCCTTGGGTCAAACACTGGAAGGCAAAAGGCCTTTCCAAAGGGCCCTTTCTTGCTACCAGGACTCTGTGATATTGCAAAACAGAATGGCATTTCTTCTATTTGGAAAGATATACGTAATCCTACTCTTTGCTGATTCACACTGTCCTTTTCCACAATCTAGCTGCATTTGTGAGGTTCTGCCTAAATGTTTAAGATATTTCGATTAAAAACGCAAACAGCAGCAACAATCACAAGACCTTAGGCACCAGGGCAGGCCTGGGCAGGAAAGAACACACAGATTCCCCTTCCACTAACCTCAGCTTTCACGGCTACTCAAACCAATGGCTTGAAATTAACTCACTCAGTTAATCATTCAAACTCATGGGCTGGGCAAATTTTAACGTTTCATTGTTGGTTTACAATTAACCCAGCGACAGTGTTTTAAGGTGTTTGATTTTTAATTAGTCTACTGATTTGCCAGTCTGGTTAACAATCCTTTATCCCTGTGCCCTTTATTCTGTCTTCTATTCTTGTTAAGAAATGAAGAGCAGAGATTACTCTGGCTCTTTTCTCCTGGAAACCACTCCAGACTATGGCCCCTTCCTTTCCCAGGGACACAGGATATGGAGTTAAGAACAGAAGGCATGAGGCCTGAACACCAGGATTCTGTGTGACCTTGGGCAAATTAAGGTAACCTCTCTGTGCCTCTGTTTCTTCATCTATAAAATGGGATGACAGCTTTTACTCACAGGAACAGCGTGACCATTAAATGAGATGAGTCACAAAAAACCCTCAGATCAGCACCTGGCACACATGTGGGCCCTGGGCCCCTCTTTTCCCTTCCTTAGTAGTTCAGAAGCTTTACGATTTCTTAATCTGAACATGTCAGTATCTTCCTTTGCAAAACCAAGAGCAGCTGAGAAAGTGTGTGCCCCATGGAATACTTTCTAGGAACAAAACCAGAATGAATTATTCATCAACAGGAGGGTCCCTTTCCCTGGCAGATTTAAGCATGCCTATTAAGTAAGGTCTGTCCAACCTGCTTTATTCCTAAGAGGACAAACAGGCTCAAAGACTCAAGACCCTTCCCAAGGTCATGCTGCTTAGAATCCAAGGTCCCCGAGCTACAACTGGCTGCCCCTCTCATTATGCTGTATTCTTGCCCCTTTCCCCACTGTAGGTTGATAGATGGTGTAAAGAAGGAATGGTATGTGTCCAGTGACACCTGCTGCCATTCTGGCATAGCTGACAGGGTGGCATAACCCTGGCTTGCTGCAGGACAACTGTGACGTCACTCTCAACAAAAGAACCGAAAATGGTACAAACAGCACCCTGTCATTCCCACCACCAGAGGTAAACAATGCTACCAACCATCAGTAGAGCAAAGCACACCTGGGAACTAGCTTCACCAGTATTTCCATAAACCTCACCAAATGACTCTGAGATGCAGCCTATTTTGGAAATTCCCAGTAGAAAAAAATCTCATGGTGAGGCCAGGGTGACCCTATTTCTGACCCCCACAGACTGGGGAGGAAAAGCTGACACACTGATATTTCAGGCATGCCGTTCCTTCCTTCTAGAATGCTTTTTCCTTCCTTGTCTCTCTGGTAAACTTCTATTCATCCTTCAAAACCGAGGTAAGAAAACCACTTGTCTTGAAAGCCTTCCCTGACAATCTCCTCTCCAGCTCACTCACAAGCACCTGTTATCTACCCCTAGAGCTCTGCCTACCTTAGTACCTAGCATATAACTTCAACTTGCCACTTATCTGCCGATATTCTAATTCTGCGGTTCTGAAAATCTTTGATGTCATGACACCTTTTCCCTCTTAAAACATGAGGACCACCAAAGAGAATTATGTGTGTTATATCTCTCAATATTTATCATATTAGAAATCAAAATTGAGACTTTTTTGTTTTTGTTTTTTTGGAGTCACAGTCTCACTCCGTCACCCAGGTGGGAGCACAGTGGTGAGATCTCTGCTCACTACAACCTCTGCCTCCTGGGTTCAAGGGTTCTCCTGCCTCAGTCTCCCGAGTAGCTGGGATTACAGGCGCCCACCACCATGACCAGCTAATTTTTGTATTTTTAGTAGAGACGGTGTTTTGCCATTTTGGCCAGGCTGCTCTCAAACTCCTGACCCCAAGCAATCCGCCCGCCTCAGCCTCCCAAAGTGCTGGGAGCCTCCCAAAGTGCATGAGCCACCACGCTCAGCCAAAATTGAGACATTTTTAAACACAGAAATACACATATTCCATTAGCCACCAGAACTATGATGTCAACAGAGGTCATGTAGCCTATGAAAAATTCTACTGTATATTCATAAAAGGATGAGAATGAAAAACACAAAGTCTTAAAATTATTATTTAAGAAACTTCGTCACAGACTCTTTGAAAGGTTATCAGGAATGCCCAGGGGTCCCGAACCACAATTTGGGTACCACTGTTCTAGTTCATTCATTTAGCTGCTTGAGGACAGGGTCTTTATCTTACATATGTCTGTGAAATGCTTTTGATAACCACCTAAGACCCAGGAACCCTACAAAACCACCTGTGGCTCCCCATCACTGGAAGAGAACTTGCGGCACCCTCCGTCTCCTACCCAGGCCTCCAGGATGCCACACAGCTGTAAGAGGGATGGCCTGGTGGCAGCATGGTACCTCTACACACACAGGCCTTCACAATGGCAACTCCAACCCTCTCTCCCGGAGTGAAGCATCTCTGCAGATAAGCTTCAACTCGGGGGATGAGCACTCATGACATTTATTTATAAAAGGTTTCTCCCTGGAGAATTAAGGGTACCTTGCAGGTAGGGATTTAAGATGCTCTGATTTTCTTTCCACTGATCCCCCTTAATAAGCCTCCAGGGAGGGGCCCAGGAGCTCGGTCTGCTGTTCCTAAGCTACAGGAAAAGCCTGAGGCAGCTTTGAGGAAAGGGGCTGTTCCGGCCCAATGGGGCAGGCCATGGAACCAAAGGCCTCTCCAAGGCCCAAGAGTCTTCCTGAATCCTCAGCCAAGACAACAACATCACAAGGACCAACCGTATATTAACTGCTCACAACATATACCTCATTCAGTTCAGCTGAGATCCCTTCAGAAGGGAAGCAGATGGGAGACACTCCAGACCTCCCCCATCTACTGAGTTAATATTCCACTTGTATCTCCTGATACAACTTAAAATTTGAAGGAAAAAAAAACATTTTAATCACAATTCAGAAAAACACACCCACGCATCTTGTTCACCAAGCGTGAAGCCATTCCCCTCAGTGTAGCTTCGTCTGTGCTCTCCAACAGATAGTGGAGGAGAAGGAAATGTCATTTTCATACCAAAATGCTGCCTCATTCTTCCCCTTCAGGGCCCCTACCTGGGTGTGTGTTTGCAAGTCTAATTTAGATATCACTATTTGTATACACTTTCGAGCTTGGAAAACAAGCCAATAGTTCAGAGGAGCCAAGGCAAACTCAATCTGACAGCCACAGCCCTGACGGCTGCCAAGTCTGATTGACTAGTTGGATATATTTAGATAGGAGAGAGGAGGGGGATCAAACACTGTTGTGCCTCTGAACTCAAGAATACTGTGTTGGTAACGACAGACTAGCAAATAAACAGCCAACAGCCATTCAGCCACATCATCTGGTATCCCAGGCACAGGATCCTCGCCTCCGTAAATTACGTGCAATTTCAAAAGCCACCCACGCTATGGCAAAAATAAATAAATAAAAGGCAATTAGAAAGGGTTCTGCAGTGGCATTCCCCACAGCTACTCGTTAGAAATAAACAAACAAATAAGTAAATATGATCTGTTCCTTGGCTGTCCCCACCTCTTCGCTCCTCCCCTTTGCTTTCCTGTTCCAGGACAACCCGTAGGGAGCAAAGACAAGGCCAAGGGTACCCAGTGAGGTCCTGAGCCCTGGCTGCTGCTTTTGCAAAGGTTCTGTTGTAAACTTGGCCCTCTCCACCTCTACTATATGTGTAAAAATAAAAAGTTAGGGGTTGTCTCTCATTTCTTCTTTCCTTCACGGGGTGGAAATTTAAGAGCAGCATGTGGTCAGAGTTATGAATTACAGAATGTGTCTCCAAGTCTCCAAGTCATTCAAACGTGTGATCCCTTCAGGGGAGGGAAGAGGCGTGAGAAGGGCCCAGGCTGGGGGAGACAGATGCTGTCCAGCACAGAAACCCACCCCACCGGTGGTCTCGGACCTGGGGCCAGCAGATTTACCTTCAGTCCACCTCAACTTCCCCAACTGAAAAGTTGGGATAATAATAGCCAACGCTGGGCATGGTGGCTCATGCTTGTAATCCCAGCACTTTGGGAGGCCGAAACGGGTGGGGCTGCTTGAGCTCAGGAGCTCAAGACTAGCCTGGGCAACACGGCAAGACCCTGTCTCTACTAAGAATACAAGAAAATAGCCTGGCATGGTACACAACGGTGGTCCCAGCTATTCGGGAGGTTGAGGTGGGAGGCTCCCTTGATCCGGGGGAGGCAGAAGTTGCAGTGAGTCGATATCACACCCACTGCATCCAGCCTGGGTGACAGAGCGAGACTCTGTCTCAAAAAAAATAGTCAACATTGGGAAGATTCATTTACTGAGACTCTACTATGTGCCACAATCTGTAGAAGATACTGAGATACATCTAGGAATAAAGTAAGGGTTAGACAAGATGGGCTGTATAAGGTTCTGAACAGCACCAGGTATACTGTCCAGTAAGTGCACAATATGTGGAAGCTCATCTCCCAGGACAACATTCTCTGTTTGCTCATTGCCAGCCTTTCTCACACTATCTCCTCCCCCACATGGCCTTCTATTGGGTCTTCTGGTACACTGAGCCGTGAGCTCACTATCCCCTCTGCCAAGAAGGCTCCTCCCATCCCTCCTAATGCTAAGTCATTTCTCAGAGAAACCCTCCTAATGTCTCCCAGTAGACACTCCCAGGTCACCCTCTACCCTGCCTGCAGAACACCCATCCCAACTTGTACTGATACAGCTACTCATAGGATCCGTGCAGTATCTGTTCCCCACACTTTCCTGTGAGCTCCACGCAGGCAGGAATAGTGTCTTCCTTCACCACTGAACTTCCCCTTAGCATTTAGAAAAGCTAAGGTACCTAATGCATATTTGTTGGTAGAACAAACGAATGGATGAAATAACCATTTAAAGTAGGTAGCCCAGATGTGCTCAACTGCCTCTCCTCCAGCTTTAGAAACATCATGTTTCACAGAACTAGTCCCAAAGCAAGGTATATAAAAAACCATTGTGCCTCAGTTTTCTCATCTGCAAAATGAAGTTCTGGTAAACACCCAAGATCTTCAGGTTTCCTTTCAAATGAAATCTCAACACAGGATACATTTCTCTGCACATGACTGGATGTTTGGAGATCGCAAATATTTTCTTACGAAATAAAAGTAAGTTAGCTGGGTATCTACTATTAACAGACAGGAAGCAAGTTCTGAAAAACAGAGGTTTTTGTTCAGTGTGGTTTTTATTTTTTTAAAGAACAAATAAATTGAGACTTTTGTTTTGGGCAAAAATCCTGTGCCATGGAGGAAGAAAGTCAGCAATGCTAAAAAGGAAAAAGAAAAAAAAAATGAATAAATAAATAACCCAGCCATCTCTGAGCAACACATCCGGGTTAGCAGAGCAGAAAAGGACACACAGGCCCGAAGAAATCCTATTGTTTCTGTTTTTAGGACAAGACTCAATCCCAAAAGGGAGCTTGGGATCACAGGAAAAGGAGCTGGAGGTCTTTCCCACTAAACATTCAGGACCCAACCCTAGGCTTCCCGAATGTCATCTGGGGGAGCTGGGTTGCTTTCTTCTTGCAGCGATGTCCAAGCTGGAGAGGGGAAAGGGGGCATCCTGGAGGTGATGGTTATTGTATGGGTGGAAAACGGGCTTAAACACAAGCCCATTAGAGAAGCAGAACCTTAATTTATCAATTAGACACCATCTGTGGATTGTGTTCCTTGAAATAATTGTTGAATTTGACAATGCATTGCAGCTTTACAAAGTTTCTGCCATCCTTGATGCCGTTTAATTAAATTTCTGCACTTAACTTTGATTGCACTGAAAGCACTGATGCCTTCCACAGATTGAGTTCCTCGGCCACCTGCTGTGTTGGAGCCAAGCGCATTTCCAGAGCAGGGAGAAAAATATGTATTTTATTTTATTCAAAGCCTTGTCTTTTCTCAGCCTTCACCTATAGGGAATGAAAACTCCTGCTGCACAGGAGGGACTGTGTCTCCAAACCCAGCCAGCCGAGCCTTCTGGCCCCTCACCACCTACATGAGGTCTTGCTGTTCTTTTATTGTGTCTCACAGAGAGGGCTAACAAAACAGAATCCCAGACGGTTACCAAACTCAGAGGAGTGGCTTAAAATAGAACACAATAATTATCACATAAAGCAACCAAGAACATAGGTTTCAGGTGGGAGCTGCTTCTAGACCTGAAATCCCCACCTAGAAGGAAAATGCAGGTCAGCACGGGGATGGAGCCCCTTACCTGGGAAGTGGCCTGGGACCTAAGGACCACGTTAGCTGGCTAATATTGACAGACCAGCCTGGGCAGTGCTATATTTTCAAAGGACATCTAGAGGGCAGTTCTCACCTGTCTGGCTTAAGAGAGACATTAACCCCACCCACATAAGGCTTCCCATCAGCCTTCATTTATTATGTTTTGTTGTTGTTGTTGTTTGTTGTTGTTGTTGTTGTTTGTTGTTGTTGTTGTTGCTGCTGCTGTTGTTGTTTCAGACAGAATCTCACTCTGTTGCCCAGGCTGGAGTGCAGTGGTGCCAATTCGGCTCACTACAACCCCTGCCTCCCAGGCTCAAGCAATTCTCATCCCTCAGCCTCCTGAGTAGCTGGGATTACAGGCGTGCGCCACCACACCCAGCTAATTTCTTTACTTTTTAGTAGAGACAGGGTTTCTCCGTGTTGGCCATGCTGGTCTCGAACTCCTGACCTCAAGTGATCTGCCCACTTCAGCCTCCCAAAGGGCTGGGATTATAGACGTGAGCTACCATGCCCAGCCTATTATGTTTTTACAGTGGTAAAATATCCATAACATAAAATCGCCACTCTTTCTGTCACAGAGCTCTTTTTGTCACAGAGCTCCCCACCCCCTTGTGACCTAATAAATAAAGTTGCTGAGTGATGTCATAAGGGGTGGGGAGCTCTATGGATTTGACTGCTCTAGGAACCTCATATAGGAGGAGCCATAATCTCCTTTTGTAACAGGCTGATTTCACTTAGCACGTCTTCAAGGTCCATCCACATTGTAGCATCTATCGGAATTGCCTTCCTTTTCAAGGCTGAATACTATTTAATCATATGTCTATCACATTTTGTTTATCCATTCGTGTATCAATGGACATTTGGGTTGTTTCCACCTTTTGGCTATTGTGAATAATGCTGCAATGTATGTGGGTATACACATGTCTGTTCAAGTCCCTGCCTCCAAATCTCTCATGTATATAACCAGAAGTAGAACTGCTGACCACACAATAAATCTATGTTTAATTTTTTGAGAAACTACCACAGTGCTTTGTACAGTGGCTACACCATTTTATATTTCCATCAGCAACACGTAAGGGTTCCAACAGCCTTCATTTTTAAATGGAAACTTTATAATCATAATTCATGCACTTGGGTTGAACATCGCATCTCCTGACTCTTTTTTCATACAAATATTCTATGAGTAGCATTATACAAAGACAAGCACTTTAGTATGAATTTTTTTTTCAAGTAGAAAATATCAGAGGGGTGGCATGTAAAGAGGGAAAAGAATGGGGGGAAGGCACAGCTCACAGACATAAAGAATAAATCTGGCACTTTTTTCCCCCCTAGAACCACATGGCTCCTCCAACTCAAAGCCTTAAGTTCAAAAAATTTATGGACTAAAACTTCAGAACTGTAAAATAAAATTGTTAGAAAATGCTGTTGCAACAGTTGACGGATCATTACAACAGCCACTTAGCAAGCCATAAACTCACTGGGCAAACAGAATTGGGTCAGATATTAATTTCCACAATGGGAGGGTAACCAGAGACAAGTTACTTCGCCATCTCTCCCTTTTCTGATCATCTGGTGAGCTTCCATTGCAGGAATGCCACAGGATCTTCCGTTTAGGAAATGAAGGCTGCAGTTCCCTCAAATATAAACAAAGACAAGATTTCCCATATCCAACACTATTACCGAACAAAATGGAAGTGCAAATAGAAATATACGTTTAATTTAAATGTCTGAGCCCAGCTCTGTTTCTACAAACTGCAATTTGGTTCCACATTCATTCCCTGGCCATTGAAAGCCAACCTCATTTTGTTTACAAAGATACTGCCCACCACTGGGTTCCGTGCAGTTCCACGAGCCATTCACATATTCTCAGTTCCAGAAGGAAAAGTCAAGACCACAGGCCAACAAGGTAGACCCCTTTCCTAATAGCCAATTATCCCAATCCCAGAGATAAATTCTGGCTTTTCCAGGAGACCTCAGTTTTATGTATTTTCTAGATTTTGACCAAAATAATTTGTAGAAATATGTAAGAAAATGGAATTCCATTTTTCTATCTTTGTAAGCCTGACCATACACATATATAAAATGATCCAGGACAGGGCCTTAGGGCATGTGTTCCAATTTTGGGCTCAGAACGTACAGTCAAACCTTGAACAACACAAGTGTAAACCATGTGGGTCCACTTATATGTGGATTTTCTTCCACCTCTGCACCCCTGAGACAGCAAAACCATCCCTCTTCTTCCTTCTCATCAGCCCACTCAATGTGAAGATAACAAGTCTGAAGTCCTTTATGATGATCCACTTCCACTTAAAGAATAGTAAATATATTTTCTCTTCCTTATGATTTTCCTTTTTTTTTTTTTTTTTGAGACAAGGTCTTGCTCTGTCACCCAGGCTTGAGTGCAGTGGCATGATCTTGCCTCAATGTAACCTCTGCATCCTGGGTTCAAGTCATCCTCCCACCTCAGTATCCTGAGTAGCTGGGACTACAGGCATGAGCCACCATGCCCAGGCTAATTTTTTTTTTTTTATTTTTTGTAAAGACAGGGTTTCACCATGTTATCCAGGCTGTCTCGAACTTCTGAGCTCAGTCCATCTGCCCGCCTTGGCCTTCCAAAGTACTGGGTTTACAAGCATGAGCTACTGCACTCAGCCATGATTTTCTTAACATTTTCTTTTGTCTAGCTTACTTTATTGTAAAAATGCAGTATATAATACATATATAAAGCATGTGTAATCAACTGTTGATGTTATCAGTAGGCTCTAGTTGATGATAGGTTAAGTAGTTACATTTTGGGGTACTCAAAAGTTATACGCAGATTTTCAACTGTGCAGGGGGGCCGTAACCCTTGAGTTGTTCAAGTGTCAACAACATATTAACTGTGCACAACATACCCCCCACTCAGTTCAGCTAGGATCCCTTCAGAAAGGAAGCAGATGGGAGATACTCCTGACCTCCCCATATTCCGAGTTAATATTCCACTTGTTACAATCCATAGCAAATTTTATGGACAAGTTATAACCGTCAGAATTAAGCAGCTCACACAGAAATCTGCATCTTCACCTTAACCATGTGGCATCTACGCATCCCATAATTAGCCTCTGCTGAATGAATATTAAGTTGTACGCAGGTACAAAGGGTCAATTATATCACCAAATGAAGAAAAGAGAAGACACTTGTCTTGGCCTCTGGTTCTGTCTTAAATTAACTTTTAATATTGAACAAAATGTTATATTCGCTCTTCCCATATTCTAAAAATTTCTCTTCTGTGGAAGCAATAAGATATTTTTAAAATTTAATAGAACTAAGAAACTGTAGAAGAATCACTCCATGGGCATAAAGCCTAGTTCTAACATTTTCTCTTCATGGGTTCACACAAAACACTCAGAAACACTGCCCACCTCAGTGCTACCAGATTAAATGAGTTGAGATGCTATGGCCCTCACGGGCCAGGAGAGCATCTGGGGACAAGAGACAAGTCAGCTGTGCAGCTAAAAGTGGAACCTGGAGCCCTTGGACAGCCCCAACAAAGCCAAAACCCTACTCAGCAAGGGAGAGCCCCTAAACCAAGGGCTGACTAGCCTCTCCTAGAGATCAGAGGCTCGGAGAAGTTAGGAAAAGGCAAAACTGTTCAAGAGAAAAAGTTTCACCTATTATACCCCTGGGCCTCAAGCCCTTTCTGATGTGAGGCAGGGTAGAAAATCCACCAATAAACAAATTAAACACACAAGCACGAGCATGTGGCAGCAGCCCAGCTCCTTCCTTAAGTCCTAAAACTGCAGTCTAAGGAAGACCCAGGCTTGCTCCAAGTAGCTGCAGACATCTGGCTTCTGAAGCCCCCATCATAATAAAACATGGGTGCAACCCCCAGTGCCTCCTCGCCTGCTCTGGGCAGCCACTCCCTCACCACACGTGAAGGCACGGAGCTTTCTGGAAAACAGGGTCTACAGCACTTCTCTGGTGCCAAACCCTGGGACACCTGAGGATTTCCTAAGAGATAAGATGGAGGGCCAGGCTCCCTGAGTTGCCTGTGAAGAGTTTCCCAGAATACCCCACATCACAAATAAAGGTGCTGAGTGGCATCACGAGGGGTGGGGAGCTCAGCATAGTGGGTGACAGGCTAAGGCAGCAAATAGGAGAACACTCATAAAGAAATTTTAAACTATATTCATTGCAAAAGAAAGCAGAGTAAGCCAACCATAAAGGAAATGGTAGTGGGGTCACCAAGGGCTCGACAGGGCTTCAGCCAGGGCCTCAACAATTGGGATTTCCGAAAGGGAAGCAGCAATGCCTGCTGTAGCTGCCAGGATCCTATAGTTTGGGGTGTCATCACTTGACCTCAGCCACTGGATGGCAGATGCAATTCCCCTACCCATGACTGGGTACAAACTTTGCCATCAAGTGCTATTAATCTCACTACCAGCTTTTATTGAGGACTCACTCAGACAACCTTGGCAGGGAGGCAGTACTGGGACATCCATTTTATAGTTGAAGAAACTAAGACTCAGACAGGTAAGTCCGCCCCCCAGAATTACAGAATTACAGAAGTTGGTAACTGGACTTGGAGCCTTTGTCTTTCTGACTTTAAGACCCATGCTCTTAACTATCAATCACCCTATTCTATCTCCCTTGTAGCTGAATTCAATAATATTAAAGCTGAATTCAATAAAATTAAATTTTAAAAATAAATAAAGATTAAAATGCCCATATTGAGTTGGAACAAAGATATGCCACCATGAGACCCAGACAGCTTGATGGGCTGGCTCTCAGCAGAGATGTGCCCCACTCCCCAAACCCAAGCAGTGGGACCTAGGGGATTTGGGGAATCGGAGAGAGTGCATAAGATGCAGGGTCATTCCTCCGGGAGTGGCGGGAGAAAGGAAGGGGCCCCTGCCACTGGGATGGCAGGACCACCTGTTCACCTGCTCTGCTGAACAGTTCCCATTCTCCCACCCAAGTTCTGGCCAGCAATGGCATCAAGAGACTTTTGTGGGTGAACAGAGTTGCCCTCTATAAAACCAATCGCAAAGTATAAGGAACAGCCCTCTATAAAACCAATCTCAAAGTATGAGGAACACTCCTCAAAAGATGATACGTTGCTAGGGCTGGGCCCTAGCAACATATCATCTTCGATTTCACCTACAATCTTCTTGACCATATTTACATTTTAACATGTACAACACTTTAGGTACAGACACTTCTATAAAACTGTTAGAAGTGCAATGAAAATCAGCACTTCTTTTATTTGTCCTAAAATTATTTTCCTCAAACCTTGTACTTATGGTTTTCATGGAATTTGTGTGACCTTCCCTCTTTTAACCTCACTGGGCCATTTCATTTGCACAATGAAAGCTTTGATCTAACAAACCTCCAAGGCCCCCTCCAAACGCTAATGACTAGGATCTCACATCCCATATTCACCTTTCTAATACATCACTTTCATACTCAACCTTCTCCAATCTCACTTTTCCAAAAGATCCTTGTACTAGTGATGACTTTCTAGGATGACCATTAGTCCATAAGATGCCTTTGCATGAATCAGAAAAAGATGCTTCCTTCCTTCAAATGGACGCAGCCTGGCCTCAGAGCCTTGAGTCATTCAAGGTGTTACCTGGCAAGCCCTTAACCTTAAATATCATTGCAATCTTCAGAAGAGCCAGCTTCAGCCCATGAATGCAACCACCCAGGAGAAAAAATGCCTGAAGGAGTCATTCTGGTTTTACAGGTACAAATGCTGTCCATAAACACACACACACACACACACACACCCCCCCACACACACAGAAAAACCCACGAAGATCTTTCTCTTCTTCCCTCTGCCCTCAACTTTTCACTGATGCTTTTCTTTAAGGGCAAATAGTTGCCAAGGTCTATAACTGCAAGCTTTGCAACTCCCCGTGGGAGCCAAGCCTGCCAAGTGTGGTGCCTCAAATAGCAGCCCCCAAAGCTGTGGGGTTCACTGAGTATCATTCAAGACAGAAGCAGGAAAGCATGTGTGTGACCACAAGACCTCAGAAAGGAGATGGGGCTGTACAGAGATCCTGGCTGGATGATCAAGTCACTAAGGTCAAAGGTAAGGGCAAAGACTCAGTCAAGAGAAACAACAGAGCACCTTCAGCTCATCAAAAAAAAAGATTAATGTATTAATCGGAACACTAAGCATTTCTCCCTTGAGTATTTTCTCTTCCTATTTACTGATCAAATCTTTGTGAATGAAAGCACAATCCTCTTACTGGATCAAGAACGACACATACACAAAAGCCCCTCAACTGAAAAATCAAGTCGGGCAGGTCATGATTTCACCTTTATGTGAACAGGATGCAACCACAAAGGCCTGGATAGGGAGCTGGTGGCGCAGCTCCCACCAGCGTCATCGTTAATAAGTAAGCAGCAGCGGCCTATGCAAAGCTCTCCTCGCCCTGGCAAGCACACTGACCAGGTCTGAGCAGGCACGACCCAGCGGTGCCAAGAAAGCACAAGGTCTGGGGCAGAGCAGGAGGGAGGGGAGGTGTCTGTGTGCTGCCGAATGAAGCTCAAGTGGCTGGATCCAGCTCCGAAGGCCAGAAGCTCTAAGCAGCCCCTTCTACACCACACCACCCACTTCCTAATGTTGTTTTTCCCACCGGCGGTGGACTCTGACTCTGGGTGGCCTTGGGGGTCCTGGAGCTTAAGACCATGCAGAAGCTGTCACTCGGGAGACCAGAAGTTCAGAAGTAGGAGCTGCAGCCGCCTGGGTCTGTGGTTCTTGGCTGCCCCGAGAGGCAGTTCCTCTGCTTGGGGAGAAAGCAGGGTCTTTGTGGCAGTGAACAAGGCTGTCCTCAAGGAGAAACGGGGCCAGAGCTGCTTTGTTTTCTCAGGAAGGCCTGAATCATTAAGGAGAGAGCAAGCTCTCGAGCACACAAGATGAGAACAAATCAGCCCCGAGAAGCGGGGAAGGGTCTACTGAATGGGCCCTGGGCAGCTGGCCTGGGAGGTGCAATGTTGGAGCGTCTCAACCGGTCCAAAATAACCACACCAATTTGCACACGAATAAGCAAACACAAAACCCCAAAGCGAGGACATTCAAAACCGAAAGCAGCTGCTAATCACCTGTTTAATTTTTTTTTTCTTAAATTAGCTGCAACGAAGAATTTTCAAACTCTCAAATACAATACACGGCTTAACATTTTCATACACCTGTAAAACCAGTAAGTTAAATCCCATTACAAAAGACTCCAACTTATAAAGGAGCAGTTCAAATACAGTTCTTATCAAATATAAACAATGGAAAATGATTTAGGCATAAAACATCAGTCACTGGAAATTAACATTTGAAAAAAATTTTTTTACATAAAAACCATCTGTGTATTGAGATGGTGCACTCTGCTAAACCACAGGCCTAATTAGGAAACTAGGAACCAAGGCATTACAGAGCAATGCATTAAGTTTTGTGTGTTTTCGTCTTTGGGGGAGGGGGGATCTTGCTGAAATCTTATCAATACTGTGTTGTTCTTTCTTCTCTGTACATCTAAAATGATGTCTATGTCGGATTGCTAAGAGTGCTTTTGGCTGACAGACAAAACACAACTTGTCTTAGTCTGGGGTGGTTCTCCCTGCTGACGTCCCCACCCAAGGATAATCTGCTTAAGAGTCCAACCAGGGCATCAAAGTTATCAAGAAGATAAAAATGAAGAAACATGCCCGCCAAAAAAGAAGTTATGCAAAGAGGGGAGATCTGGTATGTGTGGGTAGTAAGGTCCAGAATTAAACCTTTCTTTCCCCGTCACTCTCTTTCCTAAGCAAAAGATTAAAAAAGACTGGCCAGGCACGGTGGCTCAAGCCTGTAATCCCAGCACTTTGGGAGGCTGAGGCGGGCAGATCACCTGAGGTCAGGAGTTCGGGACCAGCCTGGCCAACGTGGCGAAAACCCAACTCTACTAAAAACAGAAAAAATTAGCTGGGCGTGGGGGTGGGTGCCTGTAATCCCAGTTACTTGGGAGGCTGGGGCAGGGAGAATTGCTTGAACCCGGGAGGCAGAGGTTGCAGGGAGCTGAGATTGTGCCATCGCACTCTAGCCTGGGAAACATAGCCCATGTCCTAGCCTGGGAAACATAGCCTATGTCATCTAAATGCCACTTTACATCTTCCAAAGTATTTGATGGATATCTTAGTTGATGCACCCAGCTCAGAAACTAAGTCTCAGAAAGGTTAAATGGCACATCCAGGGTCACAGAGCAAGTTATTAAAAGGTGAGCCAGAGTCTGGAACCCGCCAGGCCCTGCCTGCCCCCATGGCCTCTCAAAATAGCATTGCCAGAACAAGGGAGGGGGTTTGGCCCAACCCTCAGAGCAAAAGAATCATGTGGTCATGATCAGTGGTAACCACGAAAATCAGCATGTGATTATAATTCAGGAGTCTGTGTTTTGAGGGTAAAGACACCAGTTCCACTTGAGTTTTGGCACGCATCCCTAACAGAAAGGTCTGAGGCAGAAAAGGAAGAGAAAAATAAGGGAGACCAAAGAGGACAGACCAAAGCTGGACATACACTGTTGTGTCTGTTCAGCACCCCTGTCTTCAGGGAACCTACCCAGTTCCAAGGGACTATCCATCACAGACTGGTCCAAGGGCTGGACCTGTGACCTAAGCAAGGCCAATCAGGGAACTTTCCTGACAGTGATATGCAGATGCTGAAAGAAAGCAGTACTATTTCCATGGGAGCTGCCAAGCTCCTATGTGCATCCAGAATCCTGACGGCCACTTCACCAACTCATGGAAAACATTTACGTGCAAAAGGAGTGAATGAGGCCAACCCACAGAGAAAAGGAGAGAGGAGAGATGAGGGACAGAGAGAGCCATGGTGACATCACCGGAGCCCTGGGACCAGCTGTGACAAAACCAGGAAAACTCCTGGACTTTACAGTTATGTGGGCCAAGGTATTCTCCTTTCTGGTTGGGTTCCTTTGAGTTGGGTTATTTGAAACCAGAAGGATCCTGACTTATGACACAGAAGACAATCTTAAAAATATGCTGGTCACAGACTCCACATTTTTCAGACTATCTTTATTTTCAACACTCAGTTTTGTGGCCCCATAAAACCACTTCCACTCTTGCCTTCTAGAGTCTACTCTGCCCAGCAGCTAGAGAGATCTTCTCCAACAGTTAATCATACTGCATCATTCTCTGGCTGCTCGAATCCTTCCAACAACATCCCATCGCATGCTCCTTTGTATTAATACAAGCTCCCAGGCTCCTTGTATCTGGCCCCTGCCTCTCTCCTCAAACTCCTCTCCCACCCCCTTCCTCATCACACCCTCTCTGCTCTCACCTGCACTTCCTGGAGGTTCACACTTATCAAGCTTTCTCCTATCTCAAGATGTTGCCTCTGCTGCTGCCTCACCTAAAGTTCTGGCGACCATTCCCTCCCTTAGTTCAGATCTCTATCCAAATATCACCTCCCAGAGAGACATCCTTTAAACACCCCTCCCCCACCTGGAATCAAATTTTATATTCACTTATCATCTCTCTTAGAATGTAAGCTCTCCCAGGGCATTGACCTTGACCATCCTGCTCACTTCTGTATTTCTATTGCCTGGCCTCTCTACCACTATTTATTAAATACACAAAATTCCAGTGTTGTGGCATTCAAACACCTTCCCAGCCATTCAAAGAGCAACATGGGGTCCTGGGCCATACCACGTCCTTACACTTTCCACACCAAAACTAACATCACCAGAGCTATGCTACTGACTAGGGGTTGGCAAACTATAGCATGCAGTCCACATCAGGTCTGCCATCTGTTTTTCTCTTACCTGAGAACTAAGAATGGTTTTTACTGACAAACATCTATAACTGACTTGATAATAGAAAACAGTAACTTTGTACTCCAATTCAGCAAAATGTTATGCCCCCTGAAACAAAATCCATTCTTCTCATTAGCAAATGTGTATTTTAAAAAACTGTACTCAATAATTGTCATTATATTTTGAATTTCATCAGTAAAAATTCTCCGTAAATGTTTTCTCTCTTGTTATGTTAAATACCTACACAAAATCCTCAATATTGCATCCTGATCCCTGAAAGCCTAAAATATTTACTATCTGGACCCTTTACACACATAAAAAAAAAGAGTTTGCTGATCCCCATGACAGACTTACTGCTCATGGATGGGGGAAAAGGAGACTTAATAGGTCAGTCCAACCCCTGCACCATCCAGGACCAAAATTAATGAGGAAACAAGAGAACCAGGTCTTCGAATACTCTTAATGTTCTGAGACCCAAGGAAAAAATTATAATCAGACTAAATCTTCAATCTACTGGTACTGGAAGCTCTTAAATTCAAGGACCCTCCAGAGGAAATAGATACTTTGACTCAGCAAATGCTCCTACAAGAGAAATGGCATCACTGGTACCACCTACATCTCCACCAACTACTCCCTAAATAACAAAGGAAATAAGAGTCTACGATTTCCCTTAGAATATCTTAGGTAAATGTCTTAGGAGCTCCTCCACTATCTGTTCCTAACTGAACCATGTATCAGTGCACCAAGTCCATCTTTAGCCTTGTGTCCTCCTGGGCACACAAGTCCTTAGTACAACCCCAAGAAAACCCAAGGAATCACATCGAATCAATCAAGCCTCCATCCAATGTGGAAGTCACAGCCATGCCTGCTTTACACCTACCCACAGTTGGTCCAAGGAAGACTTAAACAGGAGCAGTGGGTACAAGTGAAAACCCACTCCCATTTGGTCAGTACAACTCCGATAATGGTCTGGGGAAACACAGGAGGCCAGGCTATACTTGAGTTGCCAGAAAACTAAAGGAATGAAAAGTGTCCTTCTCTGGAGGAGAGCGCATTTTCGGGAGCTATCTGGGGAAAGATGGGCCAATGAACTGTTGATATTCAAATCATCATTAAATGACTCAACTTTCCAGAAATAAAAGGCGTCACAGTGGGAAATTCTCCATCTTGACTTTTTTAAAGCTGCAGAGCAGAGAACCGATTAATTTTTAAACATTTCTTTAAAATTACAAGAGTCACCCTCACCCAGTCCAGTCATTACTAATTTCCTACTCTCCACACCCTGATCCTTAACACCGCCCTGTGAAATTGCTCAGTGCCCAGCAGGGCTGAAGCAGCAGAGGAGGAGGCTAGGAGGAGCCCTTCTCCTTCTGGCCAAGGCAAACTGGTAGCCAGAGGGATTCCATCCAAGTTAAATCCACATGGACCAAGAAGAGACCAAGAAGCTTGAACATAAGAAACTGGCTCCTTCAAGACCACAAACCCTGTCTAGGTACAGCCTTTTAAGGTGACAATTATTCAGGGATTGGCTGATATTTATTCCTCTGACCCTACCCTTTATCTTTCTTCCAGGGTCCCTCAACACCTCCTCCTAAAATCACAGACCTTTGTGAGCATGGAAGAGCAAGAAGAAACACAGAGCTGCTCAGTGTGTGAGTCCGAACAAACCTGTTCCCATTTAGGAATCAGGGTTCCACCCTCCTTCACCTGGGAGCTCCTCTTCATCTGCTTCCCTTCTCTTTTCCGCCAAGGTCTTAGAGTCCTATTTCCTCCCCTACTTCCTTTATAAAATAAAAGGAACAAACATCGAGTCCTCTATTCAGACATCTAAGTTCCAGAAATCAAAAGAATAAATAGGAAGGGCGGCCACAGATTTCTCTACTTGGGAAAAATACCAAAATGGTCCTAGGTCCCAAAACAGAGATGGTAGCCCAAGACTTTACACACTGGTGAACCTCAGAGTAGACCACTAAAGAAGAAACCATCCAGGTTCATGACTTAACATCCAGATTCATTTACGTGACATATACTTGTTGAGTGCCTACTTGGTGCAGACACTGTGCTGGAAGTCAACAGCAAACCAAAGAGATAGGAAAGGCCGACTTTCCTGCGACTTATATCCAGTACCTCCAGTACCTTATGAATATGAAAGGGAACCAAAGAATGAGAAGCTGACCTGCCTCACACCTTCCTCTCAGTGTTTCTTCACACAATGTATGTTCTCATTCATTCATTGTCTCACTCATCTATCCATTCATTCATTCCATCAAGTATACACTGAACACAAACTTTGTGTGTGTGTGGTTTTTTGGGGCTGTTTGTTTTTGTTTTGTGTGTGTGTGACACAGTCTCACTCTGTTGTCAAGGCTGGAGTGCAGTGGCACGATCTCGGCTCATTGCAAACTTGCCTCCTGGGTTCAAACGCTTCTCCTTCCTCAGCCTCCCAACTAGCTGGGATTACAGGCATGCGCCACCACACCCAGCTAATTTTTATATTTTTAGTAGAGATGAGGTTTCGCCATGTTGGCCAGGCTGGTTTCAAACTCCTGACCTCAGATGATCCACTCACCTAGGCCTCCCAAAGTGCTGGGATTACAGGCATGAGCCGTTGCACCTGGCCATACACACAAACTTTGAATCAGGCATTGAGCTAAGTAGGTGGGGGCTCCAGAATTTATATAAAACAGGGGCTTAGGAGCAGCACCCTTCTAAGTGGGAACAGGCAGGGGGCTGAGGATTTGTTTCAAAGCTATACAAGCACTCAGTTTTGGCTTAGATGGTGTATTTATTTGTGGTGGCTAGGAGGTGTTGATGAGGACTGGGGAGGGCAACTAAGCCCTAGTCCCAGCACCCCACTATGATGGGCCCTGGGAATACTGGAATGACATGGCTAGTGCCCTTACTGAGCCTACACTCCCACAAGAGAATGTGGGTGTGCTAGTTACTTTCTGCTTGACCCTCCAGAACCATCATCTGCTCTTTTCCTCCCTGCTTGTGCCTTGCAAGACTGACCTCCCTAGAATGGTCTCCTGGTTTCCGGTTGGGCTTGGCCAATGGAAGACACTATCAAGAGAAGGTGGGAAGAGAGAAGTTGAGGCAGTGATGCCCCTGCTTGCTGGGCCTCACTCCTCCTCGGCCACAGGTCCAGTTGGGAACCTCCACAACAGCTGAATTTCAGTACCTGCTCCCTCCTCTTGCCCCTCAGGCCTAGGGGTGGTTAGCCTGCTTAGCATTGCTGATAACCCTGAGGAGCTTCATCCTTCCTTGCTGAACCTTTAACCCTGTCTACACCTCTGTAAACAATCCCCTCATTCAATCTTCTCAAGTACCCCCTCCCATGAGGTGTCTGTTTCCTACAGAGACCCTAGCTGATACGATGACAGTGGGTGAACAAAAAGTCTAAAACGTGCCATGGTATTGACAGAGAGGAGCACAGCCTAGCAGGCACAGGAGGAGGAGGCAGAGGGGATCAGGAGGCGCTCAGAGACCAAGTGATGCTGAAGCCAAATTGACAAGATGGGGTTGAGCACTTTCCGGGCCAGGGATCCCCTGCGCAAAGGCAGGGAAGCATAAACAGCCAGTGTGATCAGGGCACTGCCAGTGGCTCAGTGTGGTGGGGTGTGAGAGGGAGAAATGACCCTGCTGGGGAGGAGGGAGGAACACACCACGGCCACCCTCCAGGCCATGCAACAGCACTTGGACTTTATCCTGAGGCAATGGGCGGTCTCCAAAGGCCAATCACATGGAGAGGCCATCCAGTACTCCAAGTGTTTCCAGACACATCCCTTCCTTGCACAAACCGAAAATTGGCATTCATGCAGGACAAATAAACATAATCCCTACAACGGCTATTCCAGAGCACCATGTCTGGACTCTAAGGCAAAAAAATAAAAGCTATCAGCCCATTACATATGGTCCACAGTAACATCCTTCTATGAACACACACACACACACACACACACACACACCCCTACCTCTGGCACTGTTAACAATAGGCTTTGGAGCATTAACAACCTCAGGTGAAAACAAACCAGTCATTAACAACAGATTCTGAGAAGATTACAACCTAAATAACTATCACTGGAACACGTAAGTTACTTAATATAAAGTGGTTCCATATGGTTCATTTATAATTCACACAGCGCCAGGCAGCAAGAACCCATCAGATGACACCTACTGGTGTCACCAGATATGCTTTAATCTTTCCAAAAGGGCAGCAAAGGAGGATGTATTTGAGAGATTTTTCAGGTACTACTGGGTTCTAGAATATTCTTAGAGTAAAAAATTATTTCTTGGCTTCCCAACCGTCACCTCTCCTTTGAGTTTTTCAGTATATATCTTCCTGAAATTGGCTTTAAAAAGCTTCAAGGAGAAAAAATTTTGAAGTGTATCTGCTTGCTAAGCTTACCATGACTAATGTTAACTCTTTTTGTGTGGTTCCTGGTTGTGAGCAGACAGGCTGGAACTAAGCACACATGTGCAGTGCACCAACTTGACTCCTGTCATAAAACTGATAAAAGGTGATCTGTTCATCTTCTTAAGTACTCTTAGCACTATTATTCATGACATGGTACTTAGACACAAATGTACACAATTCTAAAGCAGATCATTCAAGTATTTCATTTTTCCTCATCTTTCTTCTTCCCCCAGTACATATAATTGACATACACATATGTTGAGAGCTTTCCTATATTTCTTTAATCACTGTCAGGATCACTCATAAATGTTAATTAAGAAGAAGATTTAAACGTTACTCCTCAACTGTGCCAAATGGAAAAACTTTGAGTTTACCACACGCTTCTCATGAGCATTCGTTCTCCGTGAGTGTTCATGCTGCCCTATGCCTCTCTAGTGAGCTCAGGGATGGAAGCGCACGTGCACACACACACAAACACACACACGGAGACACACACTGAAAATCCCCGGGCTGCTGGGTCAGGAGTCGGGCAGCAGTGACCAAAAGGGAGAAGGCAGTGAGCTGAGGAGAATCCCAGTAACAGGAGAAGGAAGGGCTCCGAGACGAGAGCCTGGAGTCCTCATCCCAGGCTTCCAACCCCGAGGCAGAAGACAAGTGGTCAGCCAGGAACCATGGAGGAGGGCAGCCCGAGAATGCTCTTATTTCAGGAACTTCAGGAAGGCTTCTCTGTGCCCCTAAATATCTCCTTAGTCTACTGGCCAGGACTTGAAGCCTTAAACCAGAGATAAAGCTTTTCAGTCCACAATTTGAGATAAAAGGCTTGGACAGCACCTGGGAGAGTTAACAGGCACGAGTGTAAATAATATCAGATCTTTCCTAATTCAGAAAGTAACAGAAAGCTAAGAAGCCAGAACACCCTGAGAGGGGATGTGAGTTGGGAAAGAGAAGGACACCAACCTAAGAATGTCACCATTCTCCCTATAGGTCATTGGGTTAGTCCATTTTTGCATTGCTATAAGGAAGTACCTGAGGCTGGGTAATTTATAAAGAAAGGAAGTTTTTTGGCTCGCGGTTCTTCAGGCTGTACAAGCATGTTGCCCACATCTGCACGGCTTCCAGCGAAGGCTTCGGGAAGCTTCTAATCATGGCGGAGGGGGAAGGGGAGCCAATGTATCACATGGCAAGAAAGGGGGCAAGAAGGAGAGGGAAGAGGTGCCAGGCTTTTTAAACAACCAGCTGTCATGAGAACTCATAGAGTGAGAACTTACTTATGACTAAGGGGATGACACTAAGTCATTCCTGAGGGATCTGCCCCCTTGATCCAATACCTCCCACTAGGCCCTACCTCCAACATTGCAAATCACATTTCAACATGAGATCTGGAGAAGACACATATCCGAACCACATCAGTCATCCTCCCTGGGTACAGAAGTGAGCTGAACACTAGAACTCCTGAAACTGAGCAGTGGCCTCTTGTCCCAAGGGACAACCCAGGCATCCATCACTCCCTGCCTGCCTCCTGTGACTCCCAACTCAACCCCTAGTCTAACCACCCTCATACTCCTTGGACTACCATAGATATGTCCAAGTGAGATGTATCACAAGCAACTTGTACCACTAGGAAGGTGCCAAAGCATGCACAGAACTTAGCATTTAGAAAGGCAGAGTAGAGTCTTCCTACAGCCACGTCACCTTCTCTCCCCTTCTAATGCGATGTGTGCATCCATGAGCAGATGAGAAAGGCTGGACACGCAGCGCAGCACAAGGGCACCGTGCACACAACTGTGCAAATGACCTGTGAGCTCCCGCAGGCAGAGACCAAATGCACTTACCTTGCTCACCGCTCTATCGCCATAGTCAGCCCAGGGCCTGGCAAAGGGCACAGCCTCTGAGTGTTGGTTCAGTGAACAGAAGAAAGAAGAAATGGTCAGATACGTGGAAACCCAATGTCCTGAAAAAGACTGAAGGATCGCTGAAATGACTTGAGAAGGAGTTGCTAACATCATCGACTCCAGCCAATTCCACGGAAGCAGGTATTGTGGAGAACCTAGAGACAAACCTACTCTACCAAGAGAGAAACCAGGACAAAATTTCCACTTCTTTGCTTTCAGGGGGGTAGAAATCCCAGGGAGTGACCTCGCTGAACATCACATGTACAATCGTGAAGACAGAACAACTCCAATATAAGTACCATGGGTTTCAACATACATGATGCTGAGAGAGAAACGCAAGACAGAAGCATGTACATCTGTACTCCAATAATGCCTGCATGAAGGGGTCTGAACACATGCGGATGGGGCTGGAAAGCAATGAGACCCACAGGCAGGATGATGGGTAGATGTGTTTCTTTTCTTCACTTAAAATTTGAAAAGTGGTGCTATAATGCCACACTCATTATTTTAAAATAACGGCTAAGATCATTTTAAAAGAGCTATTTTGGAATACAGGTCTCATAATTCAAATCTTGATAAGATGGTACACTGTGGGGTGCTCTGATAATTCCCACTTCTTTCTACAATGCTAGTCTGAAACACACTGCATCCTTATTATCTATGGCAACCTAAGGGCCAGGGCTTCTAGAACTCATTTCCAGGAACAATGGTGAGGAAGGGTATTAACTAATAGCTGCTTAATTAAGAAGTCACTACAGTAGAGTGCTGGGAAATTTTCTATTTGGAACTCCATGAAAAGACATAAGCATAACTGATATGTGTTTGATCTGCCTAAGATGCAGCCCTGAATCTTTAAGGCATTATCTTAAAGATAACCAGAGTAAATGTAAACTGTGCACACACACAAACATATATATGTTTAGCCCTACTCTGTTCGATTACCTATTCTGTTTAGGTTTTGTAAAAATAGGACACTTTGGCTGGGCACAGTGGCTCACACTTGTAATCCCAGCACTTTGGGAGGCCGGGACAGGCAGATTGCTTGAGCTCAGGAGTTTGAGACCAGCCTGGACAACATGGCAAAACCCCATCGCTACAAAAAATAGAAAAATTAGCCAAGCATGGTGGCGTGTGCCTGTAGTTCCAGCTATACAAGAGGCTGAGGTGGGAGGATCGCCAGAGCCCAGGAGGTTGAGGCTACAATGAGCCATGATCGTGCCACTGCATTCAGTCAGAATGCAGTGAGACCCTGTCTAAAAAAAAGAAAAGAAAGAAAGACACTTTGCAAAATGTTCTGCTAATGATTTAAACAACAAAAAAAGAAAGATTATTTATTGTTCTTCAAAGCATTTAACTCACCCAGCTTGGACTACACTTATTCACATTTTTATTTTATTTCCCCATATGACTCAGCTCTTTCTCAAACCCCCGGAAGGCTCAGCCTCAGTTTACTGCACATTATCAGAGCAAAGGGGTAGATCAATGAATTCCATGGGTTTACATCTTCATTAAGAAAAAAATCAGACCCCCCCCCCCAAAATGTGTTATTTACATGTCTCAAGTCCTGTTAAAAATAAGGATGAGAAGGGGTTACTTCGCTGTTAAACTTTTTAAACTTCAAAATGCTGCAATTTCTATGCAATTCTCACGAAATACAAGTGAGCAAGTGGTTTCTCATTTATAGTAATGATGTAAAGTTTTCTTACAAAATGTTTTTATGGTGATAAAATAAATCAACAAAAAGAAAAGTATTAAGTAAATAATAATACATGTAGCAGGTGGATATAGAGAAAATCACAGAAGTGATAAATAACAACATTTGCAGGATATGGACCTAACATTTTTCATCTCTCACCTTTCACCTTCTCTTTCTCCGTCTTGTTCAACCGCTACCTACCTATTGATACATTTCAAAAAATAAGATGCGACTGTTACAAGCAAGAGGAGCCTACGAAGACAGGGCTATTAAATGTAAATGATGTCCTAGAACAGAAAAAGGACAGTAAGGAAAAACTAGGGAAATTGGAATAAAGTCAGGCATTAGTTAATTTTTTTTTTTTTTTTTTGAGACGGAGTCCCACTCTGTCGCCCAGGCTGGAGTGCGGTGGTGTGATCTAGGCTCGCTGCAACCTCCACCACCTGAGTTGAAGCGATTCTCCTGCCTTAGCCTCCCGAGTAGCTGGGATTACAGGCATGCACCACCACACCCGGGTAATTTTTATATTTTTAGCACAGACAGGGTTTTACCATGTTGGCCAGGCTGGTCTTGAACTCCTGACCTCAGGTGATCCACTCGCCTCAGTCCCCAATACAGGCGAGAGCCACCACATCCAGCTGGACTTTAGTTAATTTTTAAAAATAATAAGATGCTTTAAAGAGTATATGCTACACTACCTCTTATATAAGAAGGGGAAATAAGAAAATATACATATATCTGTTTATCTTTACAAAAAGAAACACAAGACAAATCAGAAAAGGGTGAGGTTGGTTACCTCTCAGGGGTTGGGAAACAGGGAAGGAGAGATCTAGATATGGCAGCAGGGCTTCTCTCAGTAAACTTTTAAACACACATGAATGTCCCATATATTAAATAAAATTAAATTAACAAGGATGGGAAGGGAAAAGGAAGAAAACCCTGAAACTGACAGCAAACCATAACCACAGTGCAGGTGGGAGGGAGGGAAGAGGTAATCCAAATGACTGAGGAACACACGGTTGAACTATGCACCCTAGGTCTTTAGCTGGGATGGGGGTGGTTGTCGGATGCAAGAGAAATGCAAACAAGCCTTGAACCCTTCCTTTTTAGTAGGCCTTTTTTTTTTGAGACGGAGTCTCGCCCTGTCGCCCAGGCTGGAGTACAGTGGCACAATCTCGGCTCACTGCAAGCTCCACCTCCCGGGTTCAAGTGATTTTCCTGCCTCAGCCTCCTGAGTAGCTGGGATTACAGGCACATGCCACCATGCCCGGCTAATTTTTGAATTTTTAGTAGGGACGGGGTTTCACCATGTTGGTCAGGCTGGTCTCGAACTCCTGACCTCGTAATCCACCCACCTCGGGTAGGCCAGTCTTTTGTAGTGGAATGGGCAAGCCACTCTGGCTCTATTTTAGACGTATTAAGGATTGAGCAAACTAGTAAGTGTGGATTGAGCAAACTTGGAGGTGTGGTGTGAACCCATGATTTCCAAAATATGTATGTATATGATGCATGGACATGCCCATGTATCTGTGTGTATATGTGTACACTCATGTTTCCTATATCTCTCCACTGAAATGGCCTAGAGACGAAGACACTCCAGTAACATTGAGCAAAGACGCTCTAGTAACCTTCTTATCTTGGTCTCTAAATGCAATCCCCACTACAAGAAACCAGCTCCTTGGAGAAGTGAGTAACTCCAGGTCTGGAGCAGGGGAGACACAAGATGAGCTTGGAACACCTTGTTATGCCAGAAAGTAAAGAAGTGCTTAAAAATAAACTCCGGCGCAGGATCATGTTGTAGGGAATCAGAATGAAGGGCCTCCCACTGGCCAAGTGTGGGCCAATTTGAGCACCAAAATTGTTATGTACAGTAATGATTATAAGCCATTGAAATACTAGGACTCCATGGGTCCATATCTATAAGAAATAGATTTTAAAATTAGTGGGTAAGAAGGAGGGGATCTTGCTTACCGCAGATGCCAAGGGCCAAGTGGTAAATAAAGAGGGGATGTAGGAATTAGAAAATTATTTTGTAACCATTGCTGTAAAGACTAGATCAGGCAAGAATCATCAGTGAATGCTAGCTTTCAGAGGAAACTTCCATGAGGAACATCTTAAAGCATCTCCCCACAGACTGCTTCTTCGTTGCAAGACAAAACATAGTAACTATACAGTGGAGAAATCTAACAACACCTTGACCAGGTGATCAAAGAGAGGCAGATGGACATCAAGTGCTCCAGATGCGATACCCTGAGAAGGACACAAAAACACTTACGTCGTGTTCTGGCCAGGAAAGCATAACTTGAATCTAGTCATGAGGAAATACTAGACAAGAATGTTCTATTGGGAAAAGGTGGGGGAGGATTGTATTCTTTATAAATGGCAATGTCATAAAAGGCAAAGAAAGGCTAGGGAAATATTCCAGGTTAAAGCAGACGAAAGAGTCATCAAAAAAACCTAAATGTTATACCTGATCCTCCATTGTATCCTGTACTTGAGGGAAAAAGAATTCTATAAAGGACAGATTGGGGCAATTGATAAAACTGAAATGCAGATGGTAGATTACATAAAAGCACTGTATCAATGCTGGATTTCTGAAGTTCATAACTGGACTGAAGTTGGTAAGGGAATATCCCCATTAGGAACACTGATGTATTTAGGAGTGGAGGGTCACAATGCGTACAATTATTCCCTAATGACTCAAGGAAAAAACCCTATTAGTGAAAAAGAGAGCAACTGATTGAGCAAAGAGGGTAAAATGCTGATAAAGGATATATGTGAGTGGAGCATACAAGGATGTTCTTTGAACTTATCCTTAAAAACTTTCCTGTAAGTTTTAAATTACCTCCAAATAAAAAAAAAAAAAGCAAAAGGGAGAGAAGGAAAGACAGTTGACTTGGTAGATAAAGCTGGGGACTGCACCTCCTGGCTTCGAACTTTGCTCATCTCAGTTGCTGTCCTCCTTCTAAGCTTAGCTCCATTTCATCTGCAAAGTGGGTCAAGAGGGCTTAACCCTTCCCTACCTCACAGGCTGTGCAGAAAGATAAAGTAACAAACAAACGTACAGACAGCAAAATTGATTGTAGTCACATTTTCTGAGAGAAGTCATCATGACCCGTGTCTCTTTTTTTAAAATCTGCTATCAGATTTTGCAAGATAATATTGAACTTTTGCAAAGTTGGGTGACCTCAGAAAAGGAATAAATGTCACAGAACTCTTTAACTGGTATTATTAAATAAATATTTGCTTAAACACAATCCCCAAAGTAATCAATGACTATTTCAAAATGTGTGTGTATGTAAGTAAGACTTATAATGGCAAAAGACAGGGTAATATTAATACATTAAAATTTAAAACAGCTGTTATTTAGAATGATGTGATTATAACTCATTTTCCCCTTCTATCATTCGAAGTTCATGTAGTAGTATTTTGGTTTCTAATTTTTTAAGATGGTTTTGTGGTCACTGAAACATTACTGAAAGTCTTCAAAAATTCACTTAATTTTCACAAAAAGACATGATACCATCAGATGCCAGTTAACTCCAGAAGAAAGAGACTGCAACTGTGAGCTGACAAAGTGATTTCTGCATATAAAATGAAGAACGGACAGTCTGGAAGTTTTTAACTAATATCCTCTCAATTTTCTAGTCCAGATTTAGACTTTCCTCTGAACAAGAGGAAAAGTCATTCTTCAACTTCATGTCTTCGCTAAAACACACTAGAAGTCAAATCATGAGCTACAAACTTTTCTACTAAACTTTGTCCTCCAGTGCTCCCTGGCTTTCTTCATCCAGGCACAGACCAACATGAAGATTTGGAGAAAGACCAAAATCTCAGGGGGTGGCCTCTCAGAGCGTTCAACCAGGAAGGTAAACAGCGTTCCAACCCTGCCTCTCACTACCCATCCTCCTGCTGATGGAGGGACCGGATGTCCATGTATCAAAGAGGTGTTTTGCCAACATCCCTCAGATCTGTATCAAATATAATTTTCAAACCAATTAGCTCAAAAAGCATCACAACCAAAGCAGTATCTCCCACATTCTCATTACGGGGCCATCCTATTCAATTCCTAATGAGAGGAGAGACAAAGGCAGTAGATGCAATAGGATCTACTTCAAAAATTCTTTTTTCTTTTAGAAAACAGATCCTCTTTTGTTCTGGTTAAACACCAATTACTCTGCTCTAACATGCAAATCAGCTGAAAATAGGGCAATATGTAGCTCACTCTGGTTCCATGGCAAGTTAGAAGGAAGAAAAGAGAAAGAGAACAAGGAGGAAGAAGGAGAGGAAGAAAAGAAAGGGGGAAAAAAAGAGGGAGAGGAGAGAGAAAAGTTGAGCAACAAAGGCAAATCCCTGGAGGTCTTCAATTCCAAGTACTCTGTGCTGACATAAAGCTCTTTTCAAATGGCTTTTTTGTATTATCTGTGGCGGTGCCCACAAGCGGTGATTTTGCCGTTATCCAAAAAAAATAAAGCAAGAAAAGAAAAAACACACTAAGGTGTACAATACAAGCAAGAAAAGCAAAAGCTGCCAACAAAGCTATTTACGTAGTGCTACCACTTGCTACAAACACTCTCCCAAAAAGTCATGTTCTCAGCACAATGTACCAGGGAGTGAAAGAGGAGGGCTCACCTTGGCAGAGGGGCCAACAGACTGACAATAGGAACCTGGTCGTACACAGGACATCCTGGCCTTAGATGGTACAGGGTCCCCAGCCAGGCGGCAGTGTGAGGACCAACCCAGGATGTACCCAACTCCAGTTCTCACTCAGGCACTGTTTGGTTTTTCCCCACTTTAGTTACACTTAACTCACTTCCATCTTCTAAATACGTGATTACCTTTCTTTTAAATGCAGGTGGGTAGGTAGAAGGGCACATCCCAGTTCTTCTCAGACCTCCTTCTGCACACACACCACTGCGAGCTGGATAAGATGCAGATTATTTCCGACACGTTCCTAGGTGATGCTGGGGCCACACTGAGCTGCCAGCATCCTTCCCAGCTCTGTCCTGACTTGACCTCCTTCCCTGGCCCACCCCAGCCCTGGTTCTGACTGGGGAGCCCCTCTCTACTCTCATATCATCCATGTTCTAAAAGAAGAGGGCTAGGGAAAGGTGCAGCAGCTCTCTCACACCAGCCCTGGGGCAGCATCTGAATTTGTCTACATGGACCTGCACTTGAGCACACCCCAGGACAGAATGGATACCGGGGGAGCAATGCAGATCCCAGGTCGGAGGTGAACCTGTATTCCTGCTGAGGCTCCCTGCAGGTGCAACTGCCAGGGCTTCAAGCCAAGGAGGAGCAGCCAAGATGCAAACAGTGACCAGGGACTGGGCTTCCCTGCTGCTGGGCTCAGATGCGCTGATAAGAATGTCTGGCACGCTGGAAATCGGCAGAGAGTGTACCTGCGTGGTCCCCATGGCCCAATCCCATGTCTACCCCAGAGTCAGAAGGTCAAGTACCCAATCTCTATCCCAATCAAGACTCAAGTGTCTACCTGACAACACTTCCCAGTGTCACACCACCCTCCCATCCCCCAGAACCACAGGCCATTGCTGGGGAGGCTTCTGCGGTAAAATGACTCAGCCACAATGATGGGGATCCTCTACATTTTCCCTTCCTTGTCCTGCCCTCTTTACAATCAAGGTTGCCAGGCAGAACATCAATGCCCCTCTATTTCTCATGCCCCACCCTTTGTTCCAGGGCAACAAAAGGAAGGAACTAATATTTGTTAGTGCCAGAGCTTGATCCATTATATTTCATCTCATTTCAGCCTCCAAAGAGCCCTGCAGTGTTGACACTGTACCTCCATTCTGCAGATGCAGAAGTGGAGGCTCTGGGAAATGAACCTTTGGCTGTACTGGCAAAAGGGTTAAGTACAGCACAAGGGTTAAGGCAGTGCAGTGTAGTGGCTGGGAGGAGGTGCGTCTGGAGGCCGACTCCTTGGGTTTGCACAATGGCCCATCACTTACTAGCTCCATGGATCTGAGCCTCTTTGAAGCCTAGTAAGGTAAGAATAATACCTTTCTCAGAGGGCTACTGTGAGGACTAAATGAGACATCATGGAGTTAAGGTAAGCCAACCTAGGGCAAATGGTCAAGAAATGTTAGTCAGTATCACTCAAGGTCAACAAGCTAGGAAGGGCTGGAACCCACACTTGAGCCCAGGTGGGCTGAATTCCAACACCTCTGCTGCCCAGTTTTGGGCAGGCTCACAACTTTATAGCAGTCAGTTCCATTCCCGGTCACTGATGAGCTTCTGAGGGACCGCCACACTGGAGGCCAGGGACCTTGGGGAATCCATCTCAGCTGGGAAAATGGTTTTCCAGGAGGCCATGGCCCAGAATACACCCTAAGCACAGACCATGGGAAGCTGGAAAAGTTTCTGGGAGTCAGGAGACCCAAAGGTCCTCAACTGGTGATGGAGACTCACGGGTGGAGACACAGAAGCAGCCCTACCAATGACTGATCACAGGAAGGCAACAGTTCACCCACTGCAAACGTGCATGAGCATCTTTCCTTGGAGAGAAAATGTCCCAAAGAATGAAAAATGGATATACTGTCATCATGGCAGGGTGTGAAACGAAAGGCTGAGAAGTTAGAAACACCAGGAGCATGGCAAACGGGACTCAACCCCTTGCACACAGACCATCATCCACGACAGCAGGGCAAGTCCGTGCCACAGGGAGGGGGCCCGAGGGAGGGAGGAGCAGCCCAAACCAACGCTGCCAGTTCTTCAACCAGAAGAGAAAGCATCACGCAAGTGGAGGCAGGAGCTGAAGGATGGTCAGTGCAGATCAAACAGAAGACAATGGAAATGGCTTTGACTTTCTTAAGCGTGCATGCAAGAATGAAACACTTGGAAACCGAGTTGGCTTTTAAGACAATCCTGAATCAATCCGTGAGACGATGATCTAAATATGCCGACCCCCTGGAGGCTGCCCAAACGCGAAGCCACCACTCACCCTCTGCTCAGTGAAACCGGGTGGTGCCTCGCGGGCTGCTTGCCTTTCCCAGGAGCTCCTGTGTGATGGACAGTTCTAAGGAATACCCTATAATCTGCATTTATGCCATTTGTCTCTTTGATACAAAAAATACAGATATTTGCGTCATTTATTTTAACGTCCGTGATTTTCTTTTGAAAGCCACAAAGAGAAAGAAAAGTCTGATCCCCTCTCCCCCACCACTTCTTTAGATGCCTGAAAACTTAAGCCTGGCACCCCTGACAAGCCAAATTGATCTGGAAAGCCTCTTCAGAGAGGCCAGTTGCATTAAAAGAACAAATAAAGGACTCTCCTTGCAAAGGAGACAAGGAAGACAAAGGGGAACTCAGGGGTGGGGCCCTTCCCCATCTCGGCAGCCCCTGTAGGTGAAGACAGGGAGGCAGGGCAGTCCCTGCGTGAGCTGCTCATGCCACATTATCTGCTTTGTGGTAGAACTCAAACCACAGCCTTGAATAAAAAGCCATAGCAGGGACCAAAATGAGGAAGAGAGGTTTTCAGCACCAACAAGATGGAGAGGCTGACAGGCAGGCACAGCTCCCCGGGTCAGTGAATTAACACCAGCCCGCTCCTCCAGGCAGAGACCCGGCTACGAGTTATGCAGCCTTCAGGGTCCCCAAGCAACTGGGATGCAACAAGTCTGCGTGGGGCCTGCCAAGCTCCTTATTCTTTATTTATGGTCTCATGGACAGAGACCGCAGAGATTATGGTCTCAGGCAGAGACTGCAGTGAGCCTAGATCGTGCCATTGCACGCCAGCCTTGGGCGACAGAGCAAGACTGTCTCAAAAAATAAAATAAAACAGGCCAGTGCAGTGGTTCATGCCTGTAATCCCAGCACTTCGGGGGGCCAAGGTGGGTGGGTTATTTGAGGTCAGGAGTTCGGGACCAGCCTGGCCAACATGGTGAAACCCCATCTCTACTAAAAATACAGAAATTTAGCTGGGCATAGTGGCGCACACCTGTAATCCCAGCTACTCAGGAGGCTGAGGAGGAGGATTTCCTAAACCCAGGAGGTGGAGGTTGTAGTGAGCCGAGATCACGCCACTGCATTCCAACCTGGGCGACAGAGAGAGACTCTGTCTCAAAAATAAATAAAAAACAAAATAAAACCCATACAAATCTCGTCCTTGGCGGTAAGGTATATTTAAAACGTATCTGTATTTTACATTGAGATGAGAGAACGTTACACACCAATTAAAAATCATGTTTTTACAACCATCTAGTAACACGTGAAAATTATTACTAAGTACTAGTAAATGCAAAAGCACATACACATGCACACAACACAGCGTGATTCTAATTCTGGGTTCTTTTCCAATTCTGTTTTTAAATACGTATGCACACAAAAATGATAATATACCAAAACATTCATTTATTTGCACTTTTCTATATGTTTTGAATCTTCTGTAAGGAGCATGCATTCATTTTCTAATTAAAAAATAAATATGAACAACCTTTCCTTCTGAAAAGCAAGCAGCCGCTGTTTTGGCTTGGCAAAAGACCAATTCATGATGTGAAGAAGGAGCCCCCAGCCCGAGTCACCGTCCAGCTAAGGACTCGACCGTGGTGCCAAGAGCAGCGCTTGTTGCCAAGGTGGTAAACACGACAGGGACAGCCGCCAGGGATTCTCACTGCCCCTGAGACCCAGGCTAGCCAGCGACACAGAGACAACAGCCTTCCCAGAGGAGAGAGCCCAGCCTCTGAGACACCCAGCCGTGAAGGCTAGAGGCCGAGAAAGTGGAGAGAAAATGAGTCTCAGAGACAATCAGATGGTTTTAAAGCTGTGAGTATTCGCATGGACCACACCAATGCCATCAGACAGTGGAAGTAAAATGTAATGACCCCAAAGGGGTTCCTGGGGTCAATCCTAGATTGCAGCATTTGAGAAACATGGGCCACTCTGTGGGGCCGTGGAAAAGAAAACAAGGGTTTTCTTGTCAGGCTGATCAGGGTCAGGGCCCTAGTCTAATACTGGCTTCTGTAAGTTGGGAAGAAGGTAATCAACTTCCTTGAGCTTCAGTTTCCTCATCTGGAAACCTGGGTTAAAATCCCAAGCCTAGAAGAGAATTTTAAGAGCCAAAAGAAATGGTGGTGCCCAAGCTCTGGAGGAGACAATGACAACACTGTGCAGACACAGGTAGCCTCTGGAGGGCCCCACATGGAGAGTGGCCGAGACCTCCAGCAAACAACCCTGCAAGGGATCCCGGAAGGCGAAGCTCCTGCTTGGCCATGTCTTCAGATGACTGCAGCCCAGAACAGCTGCTTAACTTCAACCACATGAGAGACCCTGAGTGGAACCACCCAGCTAATAAGCCCACTCCAGATTCCTGACCCTCAGACACCGTGAGATGATAAACGTTTGCTATTTTAAGTTGCTAAATTCTGGGGTAATTTGTTACGCGGCAGTAGGCAAATAACACACATTTTAGTTCCTCGCACGCAAGAGCTCAATATATAATGCCTATAATATTTCTTTAATTACTGTATGTTATAACAACCATAAGATGCAACACCAATTAATAACACCTTTTTCAAGAATGAAATGCCATCATATTAAATATGTACATTATTTAAATGCATTCAGATTTCACAAGCATTATGAACAAGAAATAAGTCTCAGAATGAAGGAAAGGCAGGTTACCTGTATATATTTCCTGATTGAGTAATGCAGTTTTGGTTTAAAGACCATTGGTAACACAGGTGATTTAACTACTATTCAAGTCCTGTATTACCCCGAAAAAAGAAGCAGTAAAGTAGATGGAGTCATTCCTCCAACTCTTTCCCAAAGAAAACGAGTAAGAGAAGAAGAAAACTGGGAATGTGGAAAGGTTTCCAAACGCTGACTTTCACCTCCAAAGCTATTCCTCACAGTCTTCTCCCATCATAGGAAAAGGCTTTTATTTGCTCAGGCCAAAAGCCTTGGCCTTACTCTTAATAGTCCTTTCCCAGAACTTCCTACATCCCAGTCTTCAGCAGATCCCATAGCTCAACCTTCAAGACATAGCTGGAATCTAACCACTTCTCACCACCGTCCTCACCACCACCCTGGCCCTTGGATAAGTGCAGCAGCTCCCACCTGCCCTCTTCACCGTTACCCGTGCCCTCTGCTGTTTCTATGCCATGCAGTAACTGGTGGGCCTCCTACACAGAAGTCCTCTCTTGTCAAACTCTGCTCTGAAGTCCTCTCTGCTCAGAACCCCACTGTGGCTTCCCCTTGCACACCGAATAAATGCCCAAGTCCTTATGAGAGTCTTACAGGATCTGATCTTCCTGTCTGTCCAGCCTCAGCTCCTTCCACTAGCCCCAAATAGTCTACCTGGACCTCCCTGCTACTCCTCACACATGCCAGCTTCTGCCTCTAGGCCTTTGCCATCACTGTGCTCCCAACCTGGAGCACTGTCCCTGAAGAGCACTCACAAGGGCCTTGTCTGACAATCCTACCTAAAATAACACTCCCCGTTTCACCCCGTTTCAGTCTCCATGCCTTTACTGTTTTATTCAGTCACAGCACTTATCGCTAATTGACTACTATACACACATCTCAGCATTTTGTTAAGTTCACTGCTCCATCCCCAGTGCCTACAACAGCGCCTGGCACACAGTAGGCTCATTATGTATGTCAGGAGTCAGCATCCTTTGCTATAAATGGCCAGGTAATCAACACTTGGCTTTGCATCCCTTATAACCTCTGTCAAAACTACTTGACTCTGCTGTTGTAACAAAAAATCTGCCATAGGCCATACGTAAACAAATGTGTGTAGCTGGGTTCCAATAAAACTTTATTTGTGAAAATGGGTGGTGGGCCAGATTTGGCCTGCCCGTTTAAGAGCTGGCTGGTGTAAAGGCAGGTGGGGGTCAGCTCACTTCTGTCACAGTCTTGAGGACTGCAAGGCAGGTATGGTCTAAGATTCTAGCACATCGCACAGCTGCTAGAACATCCACCAGTTACTATATTATCCACTTCAGAGGAAAAGCTAACAATTCATACTTGCTGGCTTCTCAAAGAAATGGCAGACAGGGATGGTGGGGGCTGGGGTTCGGGAAGACACCAACAAAGCCAAAATATGTCCAGAGAGAAATCTCCTGGCACTGACGGATTCCTGGTCAGTGCAAAAAAATAGTCATGAAAATAAATATATGCAATTCTGGCAGGACAGCCAGCTAGTAGACAAAGATTATGCTTATTTTAAATTAACTACAAAGAACAAATCATAACTACAGGGCACGGTTAAAAAAAAAAAAGCTACTTGCTCAAGTCTTTCTGCTTTAATTGCCATTAAATTCATAGTTCAGAGTCTCCTACCAGCCTTAGGTTGTCTCTCTTCCCAAACCCTTTTCCTCCATCTCAGTCCATTGGAGGACGTATTTTTTTATCTTATTTATTTATTTTTTTTTTTGAGATGGAGTCTCGTACTGTTGCCCAGGCTGGAGTGCAATGGCACAATCTTGGCTCACTGCAACCTCCGCCTCGTGGGTTCAAGTGATTCTCCTGCCTCAGCCTCCCGAGTACCTGGGATCACAGGCATCCACCACCATGCCCGGCTAATTTTTGTATTTTTAGTAGAGACGGAGTTTTACCATGTTGGCCAGGCTGGTCTCGAACTCCTGACCTGAGGCGATCCTCCCACCTCGGCTTCCCAAAGTGCTGGGATTACAGGCATGAGCCATCGCACCCGGCCAGAGGAAGCATTTTAATGAGATCTTGGGGAGTGTTGCTTTCAGAGGCGTTCCCCAGCTGCCCTGCCAGTCCTCAGCCAACCCCTAATGCCAAGCCCCTTTGCACATCCACCTTCAGCAGTGCCTCAGACAGCTCTCCAAGGGAAGCTGTGAGGCTTGCCATTTTTAATCACCACCTACCCAGATGGCAGAGGACCCTGAAGGGCTATTTCATTTCATCCAACCCTCAGATTTTATCAGCATTTTGCCATCATCAAAGAGTAGGGAAAAGACAGGAATCAAAAACCCTTCCATTCGAGGGGGCTTTTTCTAAACCTACTCTCACTTTGGTTATCTTATTTCAAACTCCGAAGAAATGCACAAGGCAGCCAAGCAGAGGCTTCAGTCTCCACGCATCCGTGTGTTCAGCAAATGTCTACTGAATGGCCCCCGGTTGGGGATGGGGGAAGGACAGGAGGAGACAGAAACCATGCTTTCCTGGAGACAACAATGGAGTGAAACGGATCACCAAGGTACTATAGGGAAACTAAGGCATGGAGAAGCAAAGTCATCTTCCAAGATGACAAACTGGGGTAAAGCCCTCATTGCTAAACCACACAGATGGATTGGGCCAGACATGCCACACTGTAGCTCGAGACAAGAGAAAGTACTTCATCTTTTTCTTGATCTTCTAAAAAAAGTATGCAGATCCTAGAGGGCAAATCTTTTTGTTTTTTTTTTCCCTTTCTTATTTAAAATAATAATAATAATACGTTTAAAAGGTACAAACCAGGCCAGGCACAGTGGCTCATGCCTATAAATCCCAGCACTTTGGGAGGCGGAGGCCAGCAGATCACCTGAGGTCAGGAGTTCGAGACCAGGCTGGCCAACATGGCAAAACCCTGTCTCTACTAAAAATACAAAAAAATATTAGCTAGGTGTGGTGGCACACACCTGTAATCCAAGCTGCTCAGGAGGCTGATGCAGGAGAATCGCTTGAACCCAGGAGGCAGAGGTTGCAGTGAGAGGAGATTGTGCCACTGCACTCCAGCCTGGGCGATGGAGTGAGACTCTGTCTCAAAAAAAAAAAAAACGGTACAAATCACAGCAGGGAAAAGTTGGCTTGGTAGATTAAGAATTAATCTGTAAAAAAGTCAGAGCTGGGAGAATGGGAGAGAAGAGGAAGAGCTCAAATGCCACTGGGAACTTTCCAGGGGGGAAAAATAATTCCAAAAAGTAGTCATTTGCTAGTAATAGATAAAGCTTACAGGCTGCTTATATGTTCTAGACACCTTTCCCAGGGTCTTTGGTATTAACTAACCCATCTAATTCTCACAGCAACGCTATGAGGAGGGAGGGGATATCATTTCCATTTCACAGATGTGGAAACTGAGGAACAAAGAGGTTTAGCAACTTTTCCAGGTCACACAGCCACTAAAGTGAGACAGCCAGGATTTGAGCCCTGGCATCTGACTCTTGCATCCGTACTCTTTTTTTTTTCTTTTTTTTGGACACAGAGTCTCGCTCTGTCGCCCAGGCTGGAGTGCAGTGGCATGATCTCGGCTCACTGCAACCTCTGCCTTCCAGGTTCAAGCGATTCTCCTGCCTCAGCCTCCCGAGTAGCTGGGACTACAGGTGTGTGCCACCACGCCCAGCTAATTTTTGTACTTTTTAGTAGAGATGAGGTTTCACCATGTTGGCTAGGATGGTCTTGATCTCTTGACCTCGTGATCCACCCGCCTTGGCCTCCCAAAGTGTGGGGATTACAGGCTTGAGCCACCATGCCCGGCCTGCATCCATACTCTTAAATACCATGCTAATCAGCCTCGCTCTCTTTCTCTCTCTCAAGAGAAGCAAGTTTTTACATTCTAAAGCTTTGCTAACAGCATGAAATCCTTGCTCTTTCTCTTTCATTGTGTGTTTGTTTTTAAAGTATTCTTAACCCAGTTCTTTGCACAAAGGCTCTGAGATGGCTAACAACAAGAAGCATAAAACCAACAGTAAAATTACAATTACAGAAAATCATGTCCATGGAAAGGATGTATTATAAATACAATAATAACTGGACCAACAGATTGTGACTCTCACACTGGACTCTCAGCTTCCTGGCAGCCCAAATAAAAATGGCAACATAGGCTGGGCACAATGGCTCATGCCTGTAACCCCAGCACTTTGGGAGACTGAGGCGGGCAGATCACTTGAGGTCAGGAGTTCAAGACCAGCCTGGCTAACATGGAGAAACCCCATCTCTACCAAAAATACAAAAATTAGCCAGATGTGGTGGCACACGCCTGTAATCCCAGCTCCTAGGGAGGCTGAGGCAGGAGAATTGCTTGAACCGCGGAGGTGGAGGTTGCAGTGAGCCAAGATCATGCCACTGCACTCCAGCCTGGGTGACAGAGTGAGACTCCATTTCAAAAAAAAAAAAAAAAAATGGCAACATGACCAATTACAAACTTTTCTTCATCAAAAGGAGAAAGGTTCATCAGTGCCTGGGAGAGGACCAAACTTTTCTATTATTAAATTTCCATACCATTTTCTCATTTAGTTTAAGAGACCACAATGAGGTGGTGAATGAATGTCATCACTGATATTTTTGAGTACGATTTTAAAGATCAAGGTTGTAACACTAAAAGCAACTCGAGAGTAGCAATTCTATAAAGAGCTAGGGTCATATTGTGTGTAACTTCCAGCTTTACTGGTGTAAACTTACAAAATAGAGAGAAGTTTAATATTTAAAAAAAATTCTCTGTAAACAGGCAGATCCTTGGGGTGGCTGATACGCCTTCACTGTTCTGAGACAGACCCTAGAAACGCAGAACACTGACGCTGGTGAACACAAAGGAAGGTTACATGCCAAGCACCTCCAGTCACATGCCGGTCACATGAAATGCAGCTTCAGGAATCCGCTGGGGCTTCCATGCACGTCTATACTGCATAGATGTGTCCTAGTCTTCAAAGCTTTCAGATCTCGCTCAGGAGGGGCAGAAGGAAAACAGCAGCTATTCAGATGATCAACCCTCACGTGGCTCACCCATGGTCCTCACCAGGGTGACAGTCCGACTCATCTCACATATTTCCTTTCTTGATATCTCTGCTCTCCTCCACTTAAGTTTCCAGAGAAGTTACTGAAAACCCAAGCTCCCACTCCCTCACCCTGCCCCCTCCCCAGCTCAGAGGCCTCAAAAAAGAGGTCTGCGTTGGGTTCCAGGTTCATCGAGGAACCACGTGGAAACACAGAAGACTGGACAGTGTGTCCTGGGCCAGTTCTTCAAGAAGTTTCATTATTTAATTTAAACTGCTCTGAGACACAAAGAACATGGCCAGGCGCAGTGGCTCACGCCTGTAATCCCAGCACTTTCGGAGGCCGAGGCGGGTGGATCACCTGAGGTCAGGAGTTCGAGACCAGCCTGGCCAACGTGGTAAAACCCTGTCTCTACTAAAAATACAAAAATTAGCTGGGCATGGTGGTGCGTGCCTGTAATCCCAGCTACTCGGGAGGCTGAGGCAGGAGAATTGCTTGAACTAGGACCCAGGAGGTGGAGGTTGCAGTGAACCAAGATGGCGCCACTGCACTCCAGCCTGGGGTACAGAGTGAGACTCCGTCACACACACAAAAAAAAAGAATAAAACCTCTTTGGGCAAGGCCAGGAATATAATCTAATCCCCCATTTTACCGAGAACAGAAACTGAAGTCTTGTTCAAGGTCACATACACTAGAAACTTGAACCCCAGGGTGCCACCCCAGCTGTGGTGCTCGTTCTACCACTGCACAATGCTTCCTTGAAACAGACAGAATGAAACCCAAGTGTTTTTTTTGAAACCATCCACCCACTTCAACACTCTGTTAGGATAATGGCCAAGGGTCTATGGATGCGGAACGCCTGAGAGACAAAAGTCTTCACAGGATCTGAATCATGCAGGTACCCTTTACAAGTTAGGAATTAATTAAAGGAGGCCGGACACAGTGGCTCACGACTATAATCCCAGCACTTTGGGAGGCCGAGGCAGACAGATAACCTGAGGTCAGGAGTTCAAGACGAGCCTGGACAACATGGCGAAACCCCATCTCTACTAAAAATACAAAAATTAGCCGGCGGCAAGCACCTGTAATCCCGGTTACTAGGGAGGCTGAGGCAGGAGAATCGCTGGAGCCCAGGAGGCAGAGGTTGCAGTGAGCAGAGATCACGCCACTGCACTCCAGCCTGGACAACAGAGTGAGACTCTGTCTCAAAAAAAAAAAAAGAAAAAAAAGAAAAAGTTACAGGCTTTTGGAGGTAAAAACTGGGAGGAGAAGGACAATCAAGAGAGACAGGCACAGTGTACTGAACATCCACTAAACCCAGGACCACAGTAAAAACAGCAGCAGTGCTGAACACTCAGGCACATGGCTTTCCTTCGGACTAGATGCCCTCTTGTCCAGTTTGCTGACTTAAAGAAGTTGGAAACTCTACCATCCGCCCTCGCAAGTCATTATTCAACAACAAACAGGAGCTATATTTAGAACTTTTTCCATGAAGGCACCATAGGCAAAGGCCACCAACCTCTGAGACACAGAAAGGTTAAATAAGGCTATCTGACCAAAAAAAAAAAACAAAAACAAAAACAAAAAACTTTAATAGGCAAGTTCCATTTCAGATTCATCTGTTCAACATAGCTTCTAATTTTATAAATGGACCTTAATATTAACAGGCGGACAGGCAGTTTTTCCCAGGAGCCTCTGTGTCCGTTCTGCAAAATTACGTAACTCGGAAAACAGGGGTTCTGATTTGATTATACTTTAAACAGCCTGCTGGCTGAGATGAATTCATCGTGCACATCAGCTCCTCACAAGGGACTCAAACACCGGGGAAAGAGGGAGAGAAGAAGGACAAACCTTTTTTCACTAACTCATGTAAATAAGTCTTTGAGAAAACCTCTATATACCCTCAGTGACACACACCCCCTAACCCTCCCCACACAAACACCCACAGTTACATCCTAGTAAAACCCCACTATGAGTTTCTGGCCCACCCAGAGGGGTAAGAAATTACACATTTCTGAGCTTGGGTTTACCATGTTGTTTGCCATTAATGGAAGTTTATACATGCCTCCCACACAGGGGTATTGTTAGAAGGAATCAAATAATTTACTGTTGAACACAGCAACTTTAAAGGACAGAACACACTCTTGGGAATGCAAAATATTACCATTTACCTTTTTAAAAAAATTATTTACTTGTCTTTAACAACCAAGCCAAAAGAAATACAGTGTTTTCCAAATGTAATTGAAGGTGCTAAAAACCTCCTCTAATAATCCTATTTCTACAAAATGTAGAGCTGTTTTGCAGGGAGAAATTCAAATAAACCCCTGGAATGCATTCTTGCAAAGTGAAACAACACACAATCCCAGCATCTTCTATGTCATTACTGGGTACTACTGTCCAAATACCATCTCAGGGCACACACCAGCTAGAGTCTCCACTCCCCTCACCCAGGCTGGAGTACAATCTTGGCTCACTGCAACCTCCGCCTCCCAGGTTTAAGCGATTCTCCTGCCTCAGCCTCCCAAGAGATCTACTTTCTTAATCATTCACAAATATTAAAATGAATTTATATTCCTATCGGGGCCCCCAAAACCTAATGACTGAGGAATCAGCAAGACAACTAAAATTCAGCCACATAAACCACCAAAATGTATTCAAAGTCCCCCTCCACCAAACCCAACCCAAACCAAACACACAAACTTTAACCCACCTATTCCATATAGAGGAATGTCTCCTCAGGCAATAATCAAACAAGTGGGTTTAAAAAAAAAAAAAAGACTCTTCAAAGATGTTCATTGTCTGTTTATACAGGCAAAGCTGAGCCACACAGCTGTCCAACCACAGAGGATTAGTTAAATTAGGTTATATCTATACAATGGAGCATTCTGCTGCCATTGAAAATGTTGCTGTTGATGTGTGTAACCGGCAAAAACTGCACTGGGAGCAACTTACAAAACAACATGTTTTCTGTAGTGGGGTCTAATTTTATAATGTGATCTAAATGTATAATGTGATCTAATTTTTTAAGAGGAGAAATATATACAAAGTTATGTCTACATTTACATCAGAAAGCCTACAAGGAAAGAAAGAATTCACCAGATGGGGGACAAGATGGATGGATTGATGGATGAAGGATGGATGGATTGATGGATGAAGGATGGATGAATGGATGGATGCATGGATGGATGGATGGATAAATGGATGCATGGATGGATGGCTGCATGAAGGATGGATGGATGGATGGATAGATGAATACATGGATGGATGGCTAGGTAGATGCATGGATGGATGGATGGATGGATGAACAGAAGGACAAAGAGACAGATGGACAGAAGCCAATACAGGCACATTTTGGGATTTTTGCCATAAAGAAGTAGTTACCTTTGAGTCTGGTTATTTTGCTATTAGAACATGAACCTTGCTGAGATAAACAGATAGTTAAAGAAATTAATAAAAAGAAAGAAATCTGTGTCCCCTACCCACTCCCCCCAACAGTAGTGCCTTTGCATACTAAATTATAGGGGGTGAAGCCAAAAACATCTGAGCTACTCCTGGGAAATGCAACTCACCTGTCCCAGATGGAGGGGGAAAGAAGTATCAAACTCAGACCAGATTTACGGGCCTGCCTGACAATGGGCTCCCACACACACAAGCAGTCAAGGGCAAATGTCTCACCCTGAACAGAAGGCTGAGCCTGAACTACAAGTCCCTCATATCCCAGCTTTACTCACAAACTAGGGCCTCCCTAGCACAACACCATCAGCCAATGACCTTGGAGGCATCCCATAGTGGCTTGGTTTTTGCGACAAGATTGTGAAAGCAGTCATCACACTAACTGGTGAAAGAGACACAATCAATCCTGTTTTGTCTACCCGAAGCTCAGAGAGTAGGAGCAAAGGATTGGGGCCCCCACACACCACATTATCCCTTGATGCCACAAAGAAGAGACGTGTTGAATAGAACACTTCTTGTGTTCTAAAAGTTTGTCTGACACCAATTCACAAATCACATGGTCAGCTGGAAGAAGATAGCCAACCAAGGGTAGAGTTTCCACAATTCTGGGCTGAAAGCCACAGGACTCAGCACTCATTCCAGGTACCTTGCTGAAGCAAGAGAAAAGGCACCCACTGTATTAGATCTGGGTCCCTGCGATGTACACTGGCTGTGTGACCTCAGATGAGTCACGTTACCTCTCTGGGCCTCAGATTTGTCACTTTTTCTTTTTCTCATTTTTTAGAGATGGGGTGTCCCTCTGTCACCCAGGCTGGAGTGCAGTGGCACAATCATAGGTTGCTGCAACCTCAAACTCCTAGGTTCAAGTGATCCTCCTGCCTCAGCTTCCCAAGTTGCTTGGATTACGGTGGATTACCGTGCCCAGCCCTGTGGTTTGTCATCTTTTTAGATGTTGGACAAGATGACCATGAAGACAGCTATTACTTCCAGTGGATGGTCTGTTTCTGTAAGTACCGAGCTCCATTTGGCACTCAGTAAAACACTCAATAACCACGGGAGGTTTTTCCCTTCTTAACTCTCATGTCTAGTCATTTTATCACCCTATCAAAAACACTCTCAGATGAGCAGTTCTATTCCAACTGTGACAGCCAGAAGGCACAAACACTGCAGTGGGACAAGGTATAGTCCTTCCAATTGCTACTAGTCCGTGGTTTAAAATCAGGCTTCCTGAATTCAAATCTCCCTCTCCACTTCCAAGCCACATGACCCCAGGCAAGCTACTTCAGCAGCAGCTGCCTTGGTTTTCCCATCTATCAAACAGGGATAAGATAAGTAACTTCTCATAGGGCTAGTGTTAAGATCAAATGAGCGGAAATAAGTAAAGCATTTAGAACACAGCCTGACACACAGTGAGAGCTTCATAAATGTTAGCTACTATTATCCATTCACCAAGACAGTCTCACTGGGTATTTACTCTCACAGTGCCAGTTAATCATGAGGCCTCTAAGGAAACACAAAGATATTGACTAGGACATAGTCCAAGGCCCTACAGTTTAGTAGGAAGAGGCCAACTTGAACCAAGAAATACAGACCTATATCTCTTATCCCAAGCCCTGGGGCCAAATCGGTTTGGATGTAGGTGTTTCTGCTTGCAGACAGGTAATAAGTCATGTATCACATAGCCTACAGTACCCACCTCCTCTCCCCCAGGGCTTGGAACAGCACCTGTGATCAAACCCGCTGGGAGTAAGCAAAACCCACAGATAGCCACACTAAGCGGGATCAAGAAATACTACCAAGTGTCTGAAGACAGTTCAGATTTTGTAGCCAGATGAATTACAAAAAAAAAAAGTTTGGCTTTCAAAATTTGGGGGATATGAGAATTGTAGCTAAGGGTCTGTAACCTGCACCATACAGCAACGAAGCATTAGAGGCTACAAAAGCAGCAGCAGCAAACAACCTAATGGGGGTGACGGGAAATGTTTTGCTAAAAAGGCACGGTTTAAGCTGCCGCTTGAAGGAAAAAAGGGAGCCCCACTGAACTAGGCAGGTGGGCATTCCCAGCAGAGGGACCAGCAGATGCAAAGGCAGGAGGTAGCAATCAGTGAAGAATGTTCAGGAAACACAACAGGTCATGGAGCGCAGTCTAAGATGTGTGTGCAGGAGTAGCAAGAGGAGACGCCAGAAAATGAGGCCGGGGCAGATCCCAAATTGTGCATAAGTCATGCTGAAGCATCACGCTTGGTACGGCAGGCATCCGTATGGGAGCCCCTTAAGAATTTGATCTGATCTACATTTTCCTAAAATCCCCCTGGGTAGGTGCCTGGTAAATGGACAGGCAGAGGAACAGAGGAAGGAGGTGGCCAGCTGGAGGTGGGTCAAATGGTCAGGGAAGAGATGACAACACCAACTCGGTCAGCAAAGGGGGTAAAAAAGAGGAATAGCCGCTGCACACCCAGTGGTGCCCAGGCTTGGCCTCTTAACAGGGCCGAGGGGGCAACCGGTGCAAGAAGACAGCCCACACTCATTTGCTCTGTGTTCAGGACTCAAACACGTCCCTTTTTTAGACTCCACTTTCTTTTTTTGTTTTTAATAATTTTTGTATTTCAATAGCTTTTGGGGTATAAGTGGTTTTCAGTTGCATGGATGAATTGCATACTGAAGTCTGAGATTTCAGTGCACCTGTTAGCTGAATAGCATATATTGCATCCAATATGTAGTTTTTTTATCCTTCACCCTCCCCCACTTTCCTCCTTTTGAGCATCTAATGTCCATTAAACCACTCTGTGTGCCTTTGCACTTGTAAGTGAGAACATGTGATAATTGGTTTTCCATTCCTGAGTCACTTCATTTAGAATAATGGCCTCCAGCTCTATCCAAGTTGCTGCAAAAGACATTATTTTGTTCTTTTTTATGGCTGGGTAGTATTCCACAGTGCATATATACCACATTTTCTTTATCCATTCATCAGTTGATGGGCACTTAGGTTGGCTCCATATCTTTGCAACTGGGAACTGTGCTGTGATAAACATAGGTAGATACCACTTTCTGATGTACCAAATGACAAAGTGGTGATTTTGGCAGCACTGGGCTCTGAGCTGTGGCAACTCAACCCTCCTCTTCTGCATGCCTGCCTTGCTCTCCTCCAGCTCACAAGCAGGTTGGCAAAGTTCAGCAGTCAGGTGCATGTGGCCCAGTCAGTCCCTGCCCCAGTGGCTCAAAGAAGCAAATCTGGTAAGAGCAATCAGTGGGTCAGTGAGGTGGGGACAGCACTTGTCACATGCCCTTCTGAGCCACAGGTCAAGAGGAGAGGCTGGAAGAAAGTGAAGGAGGAGGGAAAGGTCCAGGATGGAATGGAGTTGGCCTCTGCTGGTTCAGGAGGAGGATCTACAGCCACCCATCTCTGAAATGGCCACTGCTCCCTTATTAAAGACAAACCAAACTAAAACAAAACACCTTCCGAGCCAGGCAGAAGAAGAGAGGTGTCAGCTGGTGACATAGATATAAGTATCCATGGGCCAACATGCACAGCCACTTGGAAGACAGCAGAGGCAGCTTTTCCCCATCTTACCTGCTGGCTCCTTCAGGAACTGAAAAGCCAAGGGCTACAAGGGAAGTGTCACTGAATGTCCCATCAGAGGTCAGAGGTGTCTGTGACTGACCGGGGAGTATATGACCGCGGGAGCCAGCGGGTAAGATGAGGAAAAGCTGCCTCCTGTCTGTGCAGCCACCTCATGCGGTACCCCTCCTTGGGTCAGGCACTCCTGCATCCCTCGCAGGACCAGGGTGTGGGCTCCGGCGGGGCGCTGCCTCAGCCCATGTTGTGCTGCTCAGAGACTCTCCCGGCCACCCCTCCTCCAAGGCCTCAGACTCCACCCGCAAAATGAGGGAAAAAAATTGTTTTAATTTCTCGTACAGACATGGCCTTGCTATGTTACCCAGGCTGGTCTTAAACTCTTGGCCTCAAGCGACCCTCCCACCTCAGTTTCCATAGTGCTGGGATTACAGGCATGGGCCACCACACCTGGCCTTATTTTTGTGTGTGTGATCCTTAAGGACAGGGACAACCTAGTCTTCCTTTTACTGTCACCTAACATACAGCTGCATAACCTGGGAAATCCAGCCATCACCAAAAATAAAACCATCTCAGAACCTGTGGGAAGAATGCTCCTCATACAGCAGGAACAAATGAGGGTGATGGGGAAATAATGAGTTCGTGCAAGAAATTAAGACCTAGATGTCCGTTCAAATCAGTGGGTGTCTATGCCACACATAGCTACCCCATGATCCACCTAAAATGCCCCCGTTGACACCCACAGCGGCAGACAGTGTGTCTGCTCCATCCCCTCTTCTCTGCCCATCCTGGCAACTAAGACAAGTCTCCCCTGGTGAGGCCACAGGACGCTGACCTAGGCAACTGCTCCTCCACGGAGCTTGGCAGCGCAGCACAGGCAGATGCAGGCCCTCTGGAGCCCAATCCTGGCCCTGCCAGGGACGCAGGAGCACCTGTCCCAGGGAGGCGGCACCAACCAAGGAGGCTGCAGGGACAGGAGGGCAAAGGCTTCCACTGGAATGGGGAACCTGGATCTTTGGGAGGGCCCAAGTGCCCAGCGGACCCCCGCATTTCCCTGGAGATTCCCTGAGCTCAGTCCGACTTGGGAGCAGGGAAAACCCAAGGTGCTTCTCAGGCATGGATGTCCAGAAGTCCATGGGAAAACGGACTCTCTCAGTCAAAACTCTGAAAAAAAATCAGTCTCACATTTTTTCTTCTCCACTTTCCTGCAGGATATGAGACCTGGGTCTTTGTAGACTCAATCTGTGTGGAACAGATGAGGAAACAGACCTACACCTGATTCAAGGGGGTAATGCCTTGGGGGTGGGAATCTTGGGGTCAGCTGCTCCCTTTCTTTTTGGCTTTTGATCTTTCTTTCTGGCTTCTGACCTTTGCAAACTTTCACAAAAGTCATGAGATTGAGAGAATGAACCCCCGGTACCCATCACTCAGGGTCACTCACGACCAACACAGTCCCTCTCCCCCCACCAATATGCTCCCCGCCCCAATATACACTAGATTATTCTCAGCAGCTGCTTCTTTCTCAACCTGTTTCTCACCAACACAACACATAACTCCCAAGTGGGCTTTGCTCCCTGCCCTGCAGCCCTCATTTTCACCTGGGAACCCCCCAGGTGTCAAACTAATCCAAAGACCTGCAGTTGCCACAGCTGGGCTTTCTGTCTTGAAAACAGCACAGGAGAAAGGAAGGGAAGAACAGGTCGGTGACCAGAGGCTCTGAGAAGCTGTCTGCTGTCAACAAGAGCCTTTCAGGAGAAGAGAGAAAACCCAATACTTGTCCCTTAGTAGCCAAGACCTTGTGGGCGGCACGTCACTCCAACAGCCAAGCACAAATCTGACGGCCAGGGATGCAGCTCCTGGTTTGAGTGAGTGGTACGTGGTTTGTTGTTTATGTTCGATTAAGGGTTGATTTATGCTTCCTTGGGGAGTTTTTATTTCTATGCTGTTATTTCACCCCTAAAATTTACAATGACTGAATTATTCTGCCCTCTCACTCCCCTCCCTAGTCTGCAAATGGCCAAAAATAGTTTCCATTGTCATTGACTTAAATTTCCATTTTGATTATGGAAATAAATATTTTTACTGCCCTTTCCTGAAACAGGAATAAATTTTTCCATTCAAGTTCTCCTAATCAGACTCTGAGAACCAAACCCTGACCACAAAGTGCAGAGGACACCCAAACAGACAAGACAAGGTGTGTCTGCCTCCTGCGCTCAGGACCAAAGAAGTTGGCCTCAGCTCCCTGCTTCATGGCTACCACATACTGGGTCCATTCCCTGATTCAGCTACCACATTCTCCTGAGCTCTGGTCTCAGTACTGTGGGGACAGCTATAAACATGACACACCCTGCCCCTACCCTCATGGAGCTTAAAATTTAAACCCAAGGCCTGGGCGCGGTGGCTCACACCTGTAATCCCAGCACTTTGGGAGGCCAAGGTGGGTGGATCACCTGAGGTCAGGAGTTCGAGACTAGCCTGGCCAACATGGGAAAACCTCGTCACTATTGAAAATACAAAAACTAGCCGGGCATGGTGGTGGGAGCCTGTAATCCCAGCTACTCGGGAGGCTGGGGCATGAGAATCACTTGAATCCGGGAGGCAGAGGTTGCGGTGAGCCAAGATCGCGCCACGGCACTCCAGCCTGAGTGACAGAATGAGACCCAGTCTCAAAAAAAAAAAAATTTGTTTAAATCCATGGCAAAGTTGCCCAGCCCAACACAAAAGGATTTCTTTGGAGGCTGTTTCCCAAGACTGAAAAAATAAGAACATCCAACAGCAGGGCCCTTCCTAATTTGACCAAATCTCCCTTTCCAGCTCACCCTTGTCCCCAGGCACCTCTTTAGCCCAAATTCAATGGCTCCTCAGGTGAGCAGGCACAAGCTAGAAGACAAATCGGCTGCAGGGAGCTCTTCTGGCCTAGTCCAAGAGAAAGCTCAGCATGGATTCTGGTGCAACAGAGTTCCCTTGTCCTCCTGTTTCCAGAGAAGCCGAGGCATTTCCATAACTATTATTTGGGACGGAAGGCTAGAGTGCTAGGATATCACGGGAGGTTGGCGTGGGAGGGGGGCTTTCTTTGATCACTTTTTTCTCCTTCTCTAATTCTGATCTAATGTTCTGAGTCACCTTGCCATGTGAAGCAAATGGCGGCTCCTAAAGCATCTATAATTACCATCCCTCTCTGCTTGGTGGTGCACAGTAACAACGGAGAGATTGGGCCTGGAAGCCGCGGGCGGGAGACTCACCAAGAACACAGCAGTCTCAGAAGCTGGAATAAGAGACTCCTGGTCACTTTTCCCAGCCTGTCTGGCTGAGCCACGTTTGGAGGGTTTAGGGGTACTCAGAGTCCATGGGAAGAAGCTAGACCATCCCAGGCCCCCAAATCCATCCCCCCCACCGCCAATTATAGCCCAGAGTAAGACAGCCAGTGGATATCCTTAAATCCTTCTCACCTAGCTCCAGGTGAGTGGTACAGAATCTAGAGGGCTGGATGAAAGGTAGGAGGGGAACAAGGAGGGATAAAGGGGCCCAGATGCAGGGAAGGCAGCATGGCAGGGAGCAGGCTGCAGGAGGACAAGACGTCCACTCTCATCTCTAGGAAATGACCACATATATGGCTGAGACAGCTGCCAGAGCCCTTTGTACCCATGTCTCTTCTTTCTCCCTTCCTGACACACCCTCTGCAGGACCCCTTTGCTTGGTTGCAAAGACAGCAAGAGTCCGCTTAGTATTTCTTTCTGTATGTACCCTAAGACGGGGCCAGGGGCATCCCTCAACCAGCCTGCCTATTTCAACAAGAAAGCAAGAGGAAAGCTTAGGACTCCGAATTCTGGAAGAATTATTCATCCCCTTTGGGCATCACTCAGCGCTTTGATGAGACTCTAAGGGTAGAAACCTCTGACCCTTCCCAACTGTCTTAAAATATTACCTCCAAGCACTCTGCAAACTAGTGAGGAACATCTGACAGTGCCTCCTCTTCGTGGCTTCTCCCTTGAGGATTCTCCAAAACAGCCCCAGCATACCTAACAATCCTCCCTATTATCTTCCTACAAACTGGCTTGCACCTGAAAGAAGTGAGACATCACCTCTGCCCTGGATTCAAGCCCCCGCATTCACACCTAAATAAAAATAACTCTCCTCCCTCCCCAAGAGAGGCAAAAAGCAGACCATCCCTGTCCCTGTGATAGAGCCAGTCCTCATACAGATCAACCTCCACCCAAAGATGCATTTCCAGTCCTCTCAAGAGAGACACTCCAAGCAAGTATTGAACAAGAAGGTGACTGCAAGAGCTCACAATCGCCCCTCAAATCTCAGAGAGTAATTGTATTTCTTTCGATCGGAACACAGTTCAGCAGCAAGTGTCCAGAAAACTCAAGGCAGCAGCCTGGTGCCCACTCAAAGGAAGAAAGCACTGTCATTCCAGAGAAGCTGAGAGTGAGACGATGCAAAGGGAAGGGCCAAGTAGGAGGGGTGGGGGACTCACAGCTCACTCATTTGAGGAACAATAAGGGATCTGAGAGCTGCAGTCGCCCCTCTCGCTCCACTTTACCACTGAGCAGAAAACCCCTACTCGGCTGGGCACAGTAGCTCGTGCCTATAACCCCAGCACTTTGGGAGGCTGTGGTGGGCAGATTGCTTGAGCCTAGGAGTTCGAGACCAGCCTGGATGACATGGGAAGACCCTATCCCTACAAAAAAATACAAAAATTCGCCAGGCATGATGGCATGTGCCTATGGTCCCAGCTACTAGGGAGGCTGAGGTGAGAGGATCGCTCAAGCCCCAGAAGTCGAGGCTACAGTGAGCCATGATCGTGTCTCTGCACTCCAGCCTGGGCAACAGAGTGAGACCCTGTCAAAAACAAACCCCTACTCAAGAGGGTTTTGTTTTGTTCAGGATTAATTGAGAAAATGTGTTCAAAGCCCAATACCAGCCATAAAGCAGCTCTCGATCAAAAGTCTCTACCATATTTGATTGAATCTAACACAGGTGGATCATAAGATGCATCATTCTGACATGATGCCATCCATTTGTAAGATGCACTGGATTTTCAAGTGCAAATGTGAACAAAAGTGCATTCTGAATTGAGGAAATATGGTGTTTCCAGGGGGAATCTGGACATTCATGTTCCCGTCCTGGCCATGCCACCGAAACACATGTGTGATCTTGAGAAGGTCACCTCGCTTCTCTGAATCTCAGCTTCCTTGGCATGAAGAGATAGAAATGATAACCAGTTCAGCCCTAGAAAATGCTAACAAGCATCCCCAGTCACCAGTGACAGCACAGGCTTCGCCCCTGTCGCACTATTTCTGAACACCTCCTTTACAACCATCTAAGCAATTGTCTCAGCCCGCCCAGAGTCAGAAGGCCCTGCTCTGCATAATCACCGGCTGCTCCCCATCACCAGCTCAGAAGAGAGCAAGACTACGGCCACAGCTCCCCACACACACTTTCCAGTGGGCACAAAAGTTGTCCTTTCAGGGCCCACACACCTAAAGGCAGGGGGCCTGGGCTGGCCCTGGAGCCACAGGCACCAATATTAAGTTGAGTGGAGAAGGATGTTTCCCTAGCCTGCTTCCCTGCTTCTCTCCCTCAACAGCTCCATAACCTACATTAGGAAATTTATATGTAACAAATCAGCCACGGAATCCTAAGGAGCACAGATGTTCCTGCAGCGAGGCATCTTCTTTGCACTTAACAGGAGAAACGACACAAGAAAATTAAAAAGGGGGAAACTTGCCACAAAGGCACTCCTCGGACTCCAAGGCCTGGATTCAGGAACGTGCTGTATGTGCTTCTATGTCAGCTACCTTTTCTCCCCGGGACCCTCCGCCCCCACCCCCCACAACAGGCACCTTTTCAGACCCGGGTTTCACACAGAAGGTCCCAGCACCCTCTGCCTTCAAGCTTCTTATGAGCAGCACCAACGCCCCAACCCTGACACAGCCCACAATTTCTCCGGCCCATTCCCAGTCCTCTGTGATATGGTGGCCACACTCTCTAAACAGGCGAAGAAAATGAAAACTGGAGCACTCCCCCAAAGCCAGAGCCCAGGGGTAGCCTCAGAAGTGAGGAAAGAGTCTTCAGACTGACATTCAGGACACGGTCCCATGAGAGAGACACAGACAACCAGTGAAGAATCCGGAATGGGGGAAAGGCTCCGATGAAAGAGCACTCAGAGCACAGAGTCCATCAACAGTGAAAAACCTCCCCGGGTCTCCCACCTCACCTCTATGGTCCTCCTCTTCCAGGACATGCTCACACCTGCCCACCTTCCCACCTTCCCACCTTCCCACCTTCTCACCTTCTCACCTTCCACCTTCCATTTTATTTTATTTTTGAGACAGAGTCTCCCTCTGTCACCCAGGTTGGAGTGCAGTGGTGCAATCTCAGCTCACTGTAACCTCCGCCTCCTGGGTTTAAGCGATTCTCCTGCCTCGGCCTCCCGAGTAGCTGGGATTACAAGTGTGTGCTACCACTCCCAGCTAATTTTTGTATTTTTAGTAGAGATGGGGTTTCACCATGTTGGCCAGGCTGGTCTCAAACTCCTGGCCTCAAGTGATCCTCCCTCCTCGGCCTCCCAAAGTGCCGGGATTACAGGCGTGAGTCACTGTGCCTGGCCCACATTCTGCTTTCAACCACTCCCTGGAGCACCCTTCCCAAGAGGCACATTCTGAGGCTGGGGCACCACTACCCCAAATACACATTATCCTGGGCTCTGCGTTTGCTGGCTGTGTAACCTCAGGAAATAAGTCCCTATCTCAGTGTCCTGACTTCTTTCTCTGCCTTATATATTCATTTCTGTCCTATCTATTCCGTGTGTCAAAACTATAACATGGAGTCCCAGCTACATGGGGGGCTGAGGCAGGAGGATCACTGGAGCCCAGGAGGTGTAGGCTACAGTGAGCCAAGATCATGCTACTGCATTCCAGCCTGGGAGACAAAGTGAGACCCCGTCTCAAAAAAAAAAAAAAAAAAAAAAGCAAAACTATAACATGGGATAGAGTGTAATGGGTGGTTATTACTAAATTATGCTAATAATGCTAATGCTAATTGAGATTGTTGAGATTCTTTAGGCATTAAGGCCTCCTTGTGCATATATTCTGCCTTTCTGATGGGGTTAAAATTTTCCCAGGGACAGAAGTTATGTCTCCTTTTTTCAAAATGCCTGAAATAAGAGTCTCCAGGCATCGTCATCATCTCAGTTGGTGGTATAAGCTGAAGAGATGGCAACAGACAGTAAGCATGCTGCCACCCCCATGCCCTGGCCATGGCAGGCGTGGCTAATCGAGTGCATATGCCCACCCACTGATCAGTACTCCAGCAGTCAAGCTTCTTCCAACCTATCAGAGATGGCAAAGAGGTGAAAGGCCCCCTAGTCTAGGTGGCATGCATGGCCTCTGACATGTACAGATCTTAACTATTGACAGGGCCTCTGAAAACACAGCCCACCTCCACAAATGGCTTTTGAGCACTCTTGTGGGCAATGGAAACAAAGAGCCTGATTCCTGATTCTATCTCCCTAGGTGCCCCCTGCCTTTTTTTTTTTCCTGCCTCAAAGTCTTTTGAGAAGATCATCAGCATGCAAATTATTAAATTATAATTTCTAGTGTCCCATCACCAACAGAGTCTGTAATTTCTGACACAGGAGAAAGGGAACAAAGGATAGCATTTGTGATGAATCCACAAAACCGGACCTCAAGCCTTCACTCAGTTCCCATAGTCACCTCCCAAATATATCCATGCGATTAGATTAACCTCCCTCCATCCCTCACATGCCTCCAAAGACCATGGGGAAGGGGGCAAGTACACATGGGAAAGGAAAGAAAAGCACAGGATTTTCCAAACTCAAAAGTAGGAATGGACTGGGAGCAGCGGCTCACGCCTGTAATCCCAGCACTTCAGGAGGCTGAGGCAGGAGGATCACTTGAGGCCAGGAGTTTGCGACCAGCCTGGACAACATAGCAAGATCCTGTCTACACAAAAATATTAAAAAATTAGCCTGGTGTGATGGCATGCACCTGTGGTCCCAGCTACTTGGGAGGCTGAAGCAGGATTGCTTGAACCCGGGAGGTCAAGGGTACAGTGAGCCATGATCATGCCACTGTACTCCAGCCTGGATGACAGAGATCACAGATGACCTTGCCTCAAAAAAAAAAAAAAAAAGTAGCAATAACCCTAGGCCTCAGATTCCTGGGCTTATAAAGTGAGGGACTGGCTAAGATAGCTCCTAAGGTCCCTCTCAGCCCTAAAAATTTAGAGATTGTAAATGTATTACTTAGCAGTATCTACTACTTTGTACCCTCCAGATAGATTTCCCTTCTCCTTCATGCTATGGCCCTGGGTTAACAGTACAAGAGGGCACCTGGTTGTATTTCAAGAGACATGTAACAAGACCAGGTGTACTCACATGATGGCCTTTCTCTGAAGAACACCTCTATTCTCTCGGTGGGACCTCAGATATTCCATAATAATGATGATGATGACAAATGTGATTTCAAAGCCCTCTCCTGTTTACTGTCTAATGGTCTCTCAATACCCCACGTGAGTCTGTATTCACACAGCCCGTGTACACCCTCCGCCACAGCAAGGACCTAATTTAGACAGAGGCAAATTAGCTCTGTGGGGTGAAATGCATTAACCAAGTCTCCCAAACAGCACAAATCTAATTAACTGAAAATCAGAATTGCAAAGCTGCCGAAAAAGGTTTCCACGGAAGAAGTCTCCCAAGGATTGAAGGAAAGTTGTGGGCCATGTGACCTGCCTAATCCAAGTCTCGCCGCTAAACTGGGATAAATGCTGTTTGGGTGTTCGGGTTTGTTTGCTTTTTCACTGATGTTTGTTTGCTCTAGATCACCTTTACCACCAGTGGGCTTTGGAGAGCTTATCTGGTGCATGCAACAGCCACAAAAAGCATCCTTTCTGAGGAGTGGGCCCAGCCTTCAAGAACCTTTGGTACTATGGGAAATAAGAATGTACCATTTCCAGAAAACCTGGCTGGGAACTCCCCTCTTCCACCCGCATATCTGCCCTGCCTCCCCCAACACAGGCTCCCCTCCACCGACCCCCAAGCCCCCAAGAAACGCTGCCAGCAATGGAGTCAAATGCCCCACGTCTGTGGTCCTTGAGTCGACAGGACACACTCAAATCAGAGCCCTCACCCCCAATGACAGGCAAATCAGCTGGGCCTGTGTTTCTCCTTTACTCGCCTGACCTGCCCCAGGCAAAGGACACCAGGACAAGACATTGGTATCCGGCAGGGCTGCTTTTGGCTCCAAAGACCATGAGCTCCTGCTCTTGGTCAAGAGAGGGCAGAAAACAGTTTCTATACTTTCCACCCCACATCGCACCCCTGCTTTAAACTCTTCCTGGCTCCCCACTGCCCAAACAGCAGTTCTGAATCCTGGCTGCACAGAAAAATTACCTGGTGAGCTTTCAAAAGCTCCTAAAGCCCAATCCACACCCCCAACCAAGTAAATCAGAGTTTCAGAGACCAGCATCCCTCCGCTTGATGATTCTAACCTGCAGCCAAGGCTGAGAACCACAGCTCTGGACTCATGTTTCTCAAACTTCACTGTGCACATGATTTACTTGGGGCATCTTCTAAAAACGCAGGCGCGGCCGGGCGCAGGAGTTCACACCTGTAATCCCAGCACTTTGGGAGACCGAGGCGGGCAGATCACAAAGTCAGGAGATCGAGACCATCCTGGCCAACATAGCGAAACCCCGTTTTTACTAAAAATACAAAAATTAGCTGGGTGTGGTGGCACGTGCCTGTAATCCCAGCTATTCGGGAGGCTGAGGCAGGAGAATCACTTGAACCAGGGAGTGGGAGGTTGCAGTGAGCCGAGATCGCGCCACTGCACTCCAGCCTGGCAACAGAGCAAGGCTCCATCTCAAAAAAAAAAAAAAAAAAAAAAAAAATCCAGGTGCCTGACTGAACAGGTGGTCACATATGATCTCACCCTATATTTTCCCTTTTCCATCTCTTGCCACTGCCCACTCTTACACCCCACAATACATGAGGCTCCCCAATGCATGATGCTCTACTTTGCCCGGTGGCTGTACCCCTACCTTTCCCTTTGGCGGGAAACCCCTTTCCACAATTACTCCATCTCCTTGAAAAACTCCTACCATCTGTTATGGGCCAAACTGTGTCCCCTGAAAAAATCATGTTGAAGTCCTAAGCCCTGGTACTTCAAAATATGACTGTATTTAGAGATACGGTCTTGACAGAGGTAATTAAATTAAAATAGGATCATTAGGGTGGGCCCTAATCCAATAGGACCAGTGTCCTTGAGGAAATCTGGGCACAATTTATACATGTGCACTCATACAAAGGGATGGCATATGGGCACTGGGAGAAAACAGCCATCTAGAAGCCACGGAGGGAGACCTGCAATGATCCTTCCCTCCCAGCCCTCAGAACGAGCCAACCCTATCAAAACTTCCATCTTGAATTTCCCAGCCTCCAGAACCGTGAAGCAAAAAAATTCTGTTGTAGAAGCCGCCTAGTCCGTGGTACTTTGTTACACTGGCCCTAGCAAACAAATACATCAGTTTTCAAGACCCAATCCTAGGTACAGCCTCCTCTGGGACACTGCCCGGACCCACCCCAGCAGGCCCGCCTCTTTGGTCATCCTTGGAGCCTCCAGGTTCCCTGACCTGCTTATCTGACAACCAACAGCTTGTGAGCTCAAGGTAGAGCCCTGTCTCACCTGTCTCTGTGCCTAGCACCTTATACGGTACACACAGAAGGCGTTGATAAACATGAACCGGACCGAACTGAAAGCGGACCTCACCTTGCAAGCAGTAACTTCTCAGCAAGTTCCCCTGCCTGTGCCAGGGCCCACTGAGCCTCCCCTACTCTTGTTTCCCACTAGGCAGCCAAGAATAATCATTGTTTTGAGCTGGGTTTTGTTTTTCTGGTGTGTGTGAGTTTTCTTTAAGCCACCATATTGAAATGCAAACTGCCAGGTGTTAGAAATGCTGCCCCCAGCCCTCAGAGGCAGCTGGTTTCTACAGACTAGCATTTATCATATTTGCAGTAAATACACAAAAGGTCTTCAATTCAAAACCAGGAAGGGAAAGTAATTCTTTTGTCAAAAGGCAGCGGTGACTAAATGCTGGGCAGGGAGTGAAAGCAGATTTGGACTGTTGCTTTACCATCTTCCGAGTGTGGACGTGTTTTATGCTAGAAAAGGAGACCAAACAGAGTCAGACCAACACATTCTGAATGCATACTACAGGGACAGACATTTGCACAAACCCACTGGGTTTAAACTTAGCTGCAGCCCTAAGGCAAGCAGAGAAAGTCTGTATGAGACATCAGAAAACGAATGCCGGCCGGGTGCAGTGGCTCACGACTGTAATCCCAGCACTTTGGGAGGCTGAGGCTGGTGGATCACGAGGTCCAGAGATCAAGACCATCCTGGTCAACAAGGTGAAACCCCGTCTCTACTAAAAATACAAAAATTAGCCGGGCATGGTGGCACACGCCTGTAGTTCCAGCTACTCGGGAGGCTGAGGCAGGAGAATCGCTTGAACCCAGGAGGCTGAGGCTGCAGTGAGCCAAGATAGCACCACTGCACTCCAGCCTGGCAACAGAGCGAGACTCTGTCCCAAAAAAGAAATCCAATGTCGACCTTTGCAAAGGGGAAATCTTAACCCCCCTTGGAACTATAATGGTGCCCTGGACATCTGTGTTCTAAGGAAGAAAGATCCAAAACAGGCCCATTAATTCATACACATACAAAATCCTAAAATCCTTCACAAGCAAAGAGCAGAGAGGAGGGAGTCAAGTTAAAAGTTATGGTGGCTTCCAAGCCTGTAAAAAAACACAGCCCAGGCATCTTCAGAGAATTTTCTTTTCCTTCTCACACAGGACCTGAAATATGAAAGGGTCACTTTCTCTTCAATTTACACTCTGGAAGACTGCAGGGTTTGCTCTTTTGAAGGTTACAAGGCTGGTCAGCCTTGAAACTGCAGCAGGGTGCTTTCTCTCTCATCAGGCACCTCCCCAGGGGAGGCATCCCAACCCGGGCCCCAGGGAGCCTGCAGCCTTGAAGCCAGAGGTCAGCACCCACCCGGAGCCTCTCAAACACCACCACACCAGGTTTCCTCCAGTTGGCAGTTTTGAAAAAGAAAAATTAGGAAGGAAGTATAGAAGGTAGGCAGGAATTGCTACACAACCCAACACAGTCTTAAGATTTAAGGCCTTTCCTTCCTGCAAAGTTGCCTTCAGGCATCAAGAAACTATACAATAATGTAGTTCTCTCGAAAAGAAACTATACAATAATGTAGTTCTCTTGACATTGCACTCTCCATAACTCTCTGACAGCAAGGCCAAGGGCCTCTCCCTGCAATATCCTGGTTGATGGCTCGGCTGCTGGGACTGTGCTCTGTCTCCGACCTGAACACAGTGATCACCCTTCCAGGCTTGAGTGCTATGACTTGTCTCCAGAGAAAGCAGGTATCAAAAGGCAATACCTGGCCGGATGCCATAGCTCACGCCCGTAATTCCAGCGCTTTGGGAGTCCAAGGTGAGAGGATCACTTGATCCCAGGAGTTCCAGACTAGCCTGGGCAAAATAATGAGAACCACTCCCCATCCCCACAGTCTCTACAAAACAAACAAAATTAATCAGGTGTGGTTGCATTAGTCCCAGCTACTTGGGAGGCTAAGGTGGGAGTATCGCTTGAGGCCAGGAGTTTGAGACCAGCCTGGGCAATATAGCAAGACCCCATTTCTGCAAAAAAATTTTAAAAATTACCGGGCATAGCAGCCAGCCCATGCCTGTAGTCTCAGCTACTTGGGCAGCTAAGGTGGGAAGGATCACTTAAGCCCAAGAATAGGAGGCTGCAATGAGCAATGTGTATATACTGCACTCCAGCCTGGGCAAGAGAACAGGGCCTGTTTAAAAATATATATATAGCCAATACTATGGCTTTCATTCTGTCCTTTCAGCTTTCCCACTTCCCCTGAGCCAAAGGTTAACAGCACCAACTCCCAGCATATAGGGTTTCTTTCAGGTACCTCTCCAGGAACTTCCTTGAACAGTGGGGAGTGTTTTACCGCATGTAGAACTGCTGTGGTTTCTCTCTTTTATCTTTAATCCTTTGCAAAATGAGATTTCAGAATCCAGGGAACCCTGCTTCTGGCAAAGAAGCACCTCCATCCTTGAGCTGTCCAAGAAAGACCCAGCACCACTTTATCATCTGCTGAGAAGTCACCATAGACCCTATGTGTCACACACATCCATGACTGGTCTCAACAGCTAAAGGTCTCCCACAGTTTCTCTGAGTGCCAAAAACTCCCAGGCACAAGCCACCAGTGGGATGGACCCGAAAGCCCAATTTTCTACAAACAACACCAATAATAGTAATCAGAGCCACCACATATTGAGCATCTACTGTGTCCTGGGCACTACAGGAATTTGACACATGTTGCAGAGAAACCCATCAGATCCTCACAACAACGTTGTCAAATGAGTATAACCATTCCGTTCAAAAAATGGTGTTATTCCTTTTAAATTGACAAGAAAACTGAGGCCGAGAAAGAACAGGCAATATGCCAAGGGTCCCCAGATAGTAAGGGGCAGAAAAGGATTTGAAGGTGGGTCTATCTGATGCCAAGGCGCTCTGCGGTGCTGCCACACCATCTGTGAAGGCTCTCGGGCCTCTCTAGGACCAACCTCTATCTGCACAGCATCCATGTGGGAGAAAGAGTCAAGTGAGGCACTCATTAATATCCCCGTGGCACTGGTAGGTAAACTGAGGCCCAATGAAGAACCAAAGTGCCTCTAACCCTTCACGAGGAAAAGACAAGTTCCTTCCTGTGCTGCAAGTACAAAATGACACAGTCGGCCAAGCACAGTGGCTGATGCCCAGCACTTTGGGAGGCCGAGGCGGGTGGATCACTTGAAGTCAGGAGTTCGAGACCAGCCTGGCCAACATGGTAAAACCCCGTCTCTACTAAAAATACAAAAATTAGCTGGGAGCGGTGTTGTGTGCCTGTAGTCCCAGCTACTTGGGAGGCTGAGGCAGGAGAATCACTTGAACCTGAGAGGCAGAGGTCGCAGTGAGCCAAGATCACGCCACTGCACTCCAGCCTGGGTGACGGAGTGAGATTCCAACTCGGAAAAAAAAAAAAAATAACACAACCTTCAGGGGTCCAGCATCTCCACTGAGCTCTGCTCTCAGGCCCGCTGTCATTCCCAGGTGCCCTGTGCACCGATGCCTTTAGGAAGACAGGCAATGTGCTAGCTGCCCCAAGGTCCACTCCAGCAGCAGCTCCTCAGGAGGCAGCACAGTGATTCTCAGTCCAGGATACAGAAGCAGAACACAGGTCCAGGCAGGCCTGCTGGGCCGGAAAGAGGGAGAATACAGTACCAGAAAGGGCTTGACTTGCCCTCTGCCACCTGGACTTCCAGGCCAGCCGGGTCTGAACTGACACACAAATGCTAAATTCACTGACTCATCAAAGCCCAAACCCTTCATACTCCCCAGCCCCTGCACCCCCATCATCACCGTCTGCCAGGAGAGAAGCTGAGGCCCAGCGGACAGAGACCAACACTGCCAGCTTCTCGTGGCAGGCCCAGGCTGCTTCTGAATCTATTGATTACTAATAGCACTCCACTCGGGCCTCGAGAACCCTTCTGCCACTGAGTCGTGCCTCCCTCTCTCCTCTCTTCTGGCTGTGTCATCCATTGAGACTCCCCAAGTAGGGCCCTCTCTGCCTCCTCTTCCCCAACGACTCCTTCCTGAGCAGGATCTCAGGAAACTGACACGTGACCATCTGGCACTAACACCTGCTTTCCTGAGAAGGAATTCCCCTCAAGGATGATCAAGTCACAAAGACTAAATCCTTGCTCATTTGTGCAAACATTTCCCAATATTTATTGCATGCACTTTTCTTTCACCATTATACACCTACACAATATGTTTAACACATACAAAGTCCTCCCGCCCCAATATATTCATGTTTTATTACACACGTTTCCCCATGGTAGGGATATATAACAAGTGGCCAACAGACGATTAAAGCCACTTATTCTGCAAGCCCATCCTGGAAGCTAACTGGTGGCAGAGGGGGAATATGAGCTGTCAGAAAGCCCAAAGCAATTTCAGAATAAAGCTGGCACCAGGGGCATGATCCAAGTATAAGAGAAGCTTGCTCTGAACACAGCTTCCAGCTCATGGGTAAGACAGAAATGCTTACAAGTTCCTTAGCCCCAAACTTGAGGCAAAAATCCCCTATGATGATTAAGCCCAGTAGAATAGATGATCTATAGAACTACTTATGTTCAAAGATTCTTCTACAGTGCATTTTCACTTATTAAAGAGTATTAACATTTCTTTCCAAAGGCTTTCTCCAGTCCACAGAAAACCTGCGTTGAGACTACAAAGAAGACTCAGTTGTAGCCTGTAGGATCACATGAGCTAATAGCTGAGGAGGTGATATCCCCTCATGCTGATGAAAATACAGGCAGCCCTCAACCTGGGAAGCCTGCCAGGTGACAGCTCTGTGGCCTTGCACGAGTAACTGAACTCAGTTTCCTCCATGGTACCACGGACAAAAGAAAATAGCCCAACTGTACCCTCGCCTGTGGCATCACTGAAACTTCTGCCTTCAATGATGAACAATAAAACTCACCAGGAAAAACAGCTCCTCCTCAAGGACAACGTGGAAGTGGAAATGAGGGGGGTTGTACCTTCTCAAGAGCCAGTCTCTGAGAAGACTCTCAGGGATGGAGTGGCAGTGCCAGAGGAAGAGAGAGCAGGCTGGGTCCCTGGGACCACACCAAGGAGGTAAAGGAGAGCCTGCTAAGGAACCAAGGGCTCACCTGTGGTAGGGAAGTATACACCTGTCCATACCAAGCAAAAGCTGATGGTAATGAAATGACAAGGTCAGGGGAAAAGCAGGGTCAAACATCATATGCCAAAGAGGAAATCCCAACCGTTAAGTCGGCACACAATAAAACATTCTGCTTACTGAATGTCGGGTAAGCCACTTAAGTTCTATGCTTTCGTTTCTCAGCATTAACATGGGGCAATTAAAACTGCTTCATGGGATTTAAATAGATATTATACACTTAGCAAAAACATACACATGAAAAAGCTTGATATTTAGAAGAGAACTAGCACTTATGATCCCCTATTATGTGCTAGGAATGTTCTATCCATTATCTCCTTTAATCCTCAAAACAACCTTGGAAAATGGTGGCGGTGGTGGTATCAGGAGTAGCTAACATTATTTGATTTACCTCGCATGACTTACTACATGCCAGGCACGTCGTCTCATTTAATCCTTACAGCCAATTGGGAGGCAGATATTACTCCTCCTCTGTGACAAATAAGGAACTTGTGATCCAACAGCTAATCAATGGTGGGGCCAGGACTCCAACTCAGGTCTGTCTGACCACAAAGGGTCAAAAATCCACTGCCTCTCAGTGAGTACAGATGCCTTCATTCATTCTTCATGCATTGACTGAGCATCGTCTGTCTGTCAGGCTCTATGGAAGGCACTTGGAATGGAGCAGAGAACAAGACACTGTTCCAGTTCTCATACAGGTTATGGTCCAAGAGAGAGAAAAAGAGAAACAAGCAACTGCTATGATAGGGAATGTATTAGTCAGGACTCTCCAGAGACATCGAATCAACAGGAGAGAGAGAGAAAGAGGGAGAGAAATTTATCTTAAGGAATTGGCTTTTGATTGTGGAGGGTTGGCAAGCCTGAAAATCCTAGGGCAGGCCAGGCACGGTGGCTCATGCCTATAATCCCAAGGAGGCCAAGGCCAGTGGATGGGAGGCCAAGGCAAGTAGATCACCTGAGGTCAGGAGTTCGAGACCAACCTGGCCAATGTGGTGCAACCCTGTCTCTACTAAAAAGTACAAAATTAGCTGGGTGTGGTGGCAGGTGCCTGTAATCCCAGCTACTCAGGAAACTGAGGCAAGAGAATCGCTTGAACCCAGGAGGTGGAGGTTGCGGAGGGCTGAGATTGCACCACTGCACTCCACTCTGGGCAACAGAGAGAGACTCCATCTCAAAGAGAAAAAAAAAAAATCCTAGGGCAGGCCAACAGTCTGGAAATTCAGGGAGGGTTTCCATGTTGCAGTCCAGAAGCAGAATTGCTTCTTCCTGGGAAAACCTTGGCCTTTGTTCTTAAGGCCTTCAACAGACTGGGTGACTCCTGCCCATGGAGAGTAACCTGCTTTACTTAAAGTCAACTGATTAGAAATGTTAATCACATCCACAAATACTTTCACAGCAATACATAGACTAAGGTTTCACCAAACAATTGGGCACCATAGGCCTAACCAAGTGGACATATGAAATTAATCACAGGGGGTTGCACAGAGTGTTAGGAAATAGAGGAAAAACTCCTAAGGATTTAGGAAATGTTGGACAGCCCAAGGAATAAGCAGGCATCCGAAGCTCAAAATGTTCCTCAAAAACTGCACAAATGTATCAAAGACCAAGTCCTCATGTAAACAAACTGGGGACCCCCTAGTTAAAGGAGCTCCAGTGAATCTTTCTGAACACCAAATAATTACTTAGCCCATCACTTTGCTTTTGAATATGATATGGGTATCCTCACACCACATTTTCATGAGGGCAGACACATTGTGTATACTAAGGAATATTAAAATTGGCAGCAGATCACAGTGAGCCAAGATTCATGCCATTGCACTCCAGCCTGGGCGACAAGAGCGAAACTCCAACTCAAAAATAAATAAATAAATAAACAAACAAACAAATAGATAGATAAATAGATAAAACAAAATAAAATTGGCAGCAGAGCATGTGAACAGCGATGACATGTATACACATCTAACTGTCACCAGGTACACCCCCAGTTCCTGGGAACAGGAGGGGTGACAGGATCTCTTTCCTGCCCCTCCATTTAGGACAAATGACAGTGTCACACCCTTGAATCTTCCAACCTCATCCTCATTTGAGCAAGTTGCAGAACCCTGATGGGAACTCCAGAATCTACACTGGGGAGAGGGAAGATAATGTGGGGAGGACGTGTCTACAAAGGAAGCCAACATAAAGGGGCGGACAGGACTTCGTTTTGTGACTTAATCACTGTAAGGTCATCTGTTTGGTGAAATTGCAGATGAGTCTAACTTTTTAACAAGCAGATCTCAGTGGGAAGCTCTTTCTCTCTCTCTCATTAGTAGGAAGGAAGGGATCTTCTCTATAGGCGGCAGTGAACTCCAAGCCCCAGAAGGTCTGCAGGTGGTAAGGCACAAGGAGAAGGAAACACAAGAGGCAGCCAGAGAAGCTCTTCCTCATCAGCCAGAGGAGCCAGTGGGACCTGATTCAGCGTCCCCAGAGGCTCCCAGTTGCTTCCCCAACCCCCAGAGCAAGCAAAGGCCAGGCTTCTCTCTACTCTGTATGGCCAAGCAGAAGGAAAGCCCCACCAGGTCCAGGATCCTTGTCAGTTTTATTCACTGACATGTCCTAGGGGCACATAACAGACATTCAATAAATATGTGTTGAATGAATCAGTATATCCAGACCTTAATACAGTTAGACCTTAATAAAGTATGGGCATTACACCCTCTTTAAATATAGATTGAGCAGATGGTTTGAAATGCTTTTCTAGTAAGAAGTGATGGTTTACATAGAGCTTTTCACAGTACCTTGTGGGTCATGTTACCTATTATTATTAAGCGGAAGAAAAGGATAAAGGGAAAGCCAACTCAATGGCAGAGAAGGAACAGAATACGCAACCCTAGCCTCCAGGGACTCGTAGCTGACCTTAAGTCGATTTTATTCTGTGTGTCAGGCTCCTCATCTGTAAAATGGGACTAGATCCTCCAGGGTTGTTGTGAGAGCTCCATTTAACACACTTTATCTTCCTTCACCCTGCCTGAACTGCCCGATATCAAACGCACCGAACTGGCTGCCTAAAACCTCGTCAGCAGTAACACACAGTGATCAGCGTGTGTTTTGACTACATTGCCCAAGTCTCTGGCCCTGGCTGCTAGAGGTCTTGCTGGCGCAGAGCAGATTCTTTTTCCCAGAAGATTAATTTATTAACTCTTCTTGAAAGCTGTTTGTTTGCAAGAAGGCACAACTGGCTCCGGGTGAGTGTGTGTTACTAAGGAAAAAGGGCCCCAGAGAACAATGCTGCTCTTACCCTATCCTCAACATCGGAGGCTCCAGAGATGCCTGACTTTCCCCAAGACCCTAGCTGAACGGTTCACCCATGCCGGTCAGTGAGGTTCCTCCTGAGAAGGTGCCACCAGACAGATGCTCGGGCCCTTCTGCAACTCACACCGTGGGATTCTGTACCCCTAAATATCCTCATTCTGAATCCCAACTGAGGGGGCCTTTCCTAAAGGCTGGGGCCACCTATCACTCTTCCCAAGCATCTGGTCTACCTCCTAATAACACTCTCCTGCCTGTAATCACGTCTTCAGCATCTGTCCTTCCATTTAGACTATAAGCTCTCTGAGAGCGAAGACCTGGCTTGTCTTATTTTTACTGTATCCCCCCGTCCCACAAAACATCTGGCACTCAGTAGATGCTGGATACATATTTGCTACACTGCCAAGGATGGGCTGTGGGGAGTCTTCCTTAAGAAAACCCCTCTGTGGGAGACCTCTTGTAGTTCTAAGGGGATTTTTCTTAGGAGAGGGTCCAGAGGTTTCACCCTATGCTGAAAGAGGACCTACCCAAAAATAGCTTAAGACTACTGACAAATAGTGAATCTCAGGGAGGAATTCTGGGTAAACTCTTAATAGCTTCTCCTGGCTGGGTGCGATGGCTCACACCTGTAATCCCAGCAATTTGGGAGGCCGAGGCAGAAGGATCACCTGAGGTCAGGAGTTCGAGATCAGCCTGGCCCAACATAGTGAAACCCTGTCTCTATTCAAAATACAAAAATTAGCTGGGCGTGCTGGTAGGCGCCTATAGTCCCAGCTACTCGGGAGGCAGAGGCAGGAGAATCGCTTGAACCGGGGAGGTGGAGGCTGCAGTGAGCCGAGAGCACACGACTGCACTCCAGCCTGGGAGATAGAGTGAGACTCGGTCTCAAAAGGAAAAAAAAAAAAAAAATTACTCTTTATCCTGATAGTCAATGGGTTTCTTTTTTTCTTTTTTCTTTTTTTTTTTTTTTGGAGACAGAGTCTCACTCTGTCGCCCAGGCTGAAGTGCAGTGGTGCAATCTCGGCTCACCGCAACCTCCACCTCCTGGGTTCAAGCGATTCTCCTGCCTCAACCTCCCAAGTAACTGGGACTACAGGCGCACGCCACCACGCCCAGCTATTTTTTGTATTTTTAGTAGAGATAGCATTTCACCATGTTGGCCAGGATGGTCTCAATCTCCTGACCTCATGATCCACCCGCCTCGGCCTCCCAAAGTGCTGGGATTACAGGCGTGAGCCATGGCGCACAGCCATCAATGGGCTCTTAATATGGCTCCCAACTATTTTTCTGGGTGTTCCCCTTTGGATAAAGCTCTCCCTCCCTGCTCCTTCCCTCCAAGACTCCCTTCCCTCCTCCCTCTAGTAATTCAGGTCCTCCCATGCTTGAGGGACTCTCTCAAGGCCACCTCTTCTGAGAAATCCTCCTGAAAGACCCCAGGAAGAGCCTGTACTGTTTTCTACTTCCTTTGACAATTAACCACACGACACCTTGTGTGACGGCCCATTACGCTACTGAACTATCATTCACATCCTGGGTATTTACAGTCTAGCATCCCATAATAGTTTGTAAGTTTCTTGGAGGCAGGGACTAGTGTCTTCTTCCTCAAAGGGCCCATCATATTAGGAACTCAATAAATAAATGTGTTGACAGGTATTCCGAGTGATGTAGCAAAATAACAGACCGCTGAGGCCAGGATTATTTGAGTAAAGATTTTTTCCTGTACAATAATAATAATACAATAATTTTTAAAACACCCACTATCCCACCACACAAATGAAATCAACTATTATTTTTCCCTGTTCCTCCTGGACCTTGTCCATAAGCACAGGTAATATTTATATAGTTGTATTCACAACAGAAACACAATGTTAGCCTCTGATATTTTTCCCCCTTCACACTGCGTTTCTAAACATGCTTTCTCACTTGGGAATGAAAGCCTGTGTTTGGTCCTGCAATTCTTCTCATGGGGTTACTAGAACAACCAACCCAGCATATGTCGAGCTGTGCAATTCCATTCTTTCGTAACATAACTTTTTTTTCCCCTTCCATAGGCAGCTTCTCTCCCCCAAGTGTTAAAGCAGATTTTCCAGAACATCAAAGGTCTATTTTCACAGGAAAGCACTCAGCTGAACATGTAGTAAAACAGACCGCCCCCGCCAAAGCTACAGCCACAGCAGAACCCTCCCTGGCCAATGGGTCCCTCATTGAGATTTGGGGACTTCCCCGTGAACACCGGACAGGGAATCCTGTGCTCCAGCAGTCCTGCCCAACCCCGCTCTGGCCTCTGATCACCAGCTGGAGCCTGGTGGTCCTTTTTCCCTCATCCCTCCCTATGAAAAGTGTGTTGCTGTTTCTCCCTCTCTCCTCCTCACTCGGCCAGTTTCTACCTTGGGGTTTCTATCTTAGGTGTTGATGTTTGCCTGGGGCTGTCCCCCAACTCCTCCCCAAAGCCACTCCCTTGCCCACGATCTGCTGCCACCAAACACCCAGGGACTCTGCCTGAAGTCCCATTTATTTGCCTATTTACATGAAAAGTAATAAAATGCTCCCCTCAAAAGAGGATGTGGATTTAGGGGTTTCAACAGAACCAGGCATCAGCTGGGTTCTCAAAATGTAATACACAGAATCCAAGAAAAGTGCTGCAAGCTAATAGACACTCCCAAAATTCTCACAGTAAGTGAAAAGATTTGTCTGATTCCATCCCCAGACAAGAAAACAGCACTGGGGAGAACATGTCCTACCAAAGCAGCCATTTGTGTCATTTAATAAGTGTGTTTAAGTGTGCCTGGATTCCTTTCCCTAAAAAATAAGCAAGAACAAAAATACACTTGGGAAGAAGGAACAGGTCTTAGTGTTCGACAGAATAGTCAAGTGACTATAGTTAACACTAATTTATTGTGCATTTCAAAATAACTAGGCCGGGCACACCGTGGCACACACCTGTTATCCCAGCTACTCAGAAGGCTAAAGTGGGAGGCCCTACTGAGCCCAGGAATTCGAGTCCAGCCCGGGCAACACAGCAAGACCCTGTCTCAAAAACAAATAAATAAAGGTATTTCAAAATCGCTGGAAGAAATGAAATGTCCTCAACACAAAGAAAAATGTTTGAGGTGACAGATGTCTCGATGACCCTGATTTGATCATTACAGACTGTATACACATATCAAAATATCGTATGTACCCCAAAAGTATGTAAAAGTATCATGCACCAATCAGTTAGTCCATCAATAATAAGCATGAAGTTCAATCTTGTTAGTGATTAGGGAAATGCTAGATAAAACCACAACGAGATTCCACAAGATTGGAAAAAATGTTTTAAGTCTGAAAATAACAACTGTCTATAAGGATGCAGAGCAATGAAAACTACAATATATCACAAAAGGTGCAAGTGCAGAAAGAAGGGGATCTTTGCAATGCAGTTTCTAGTTAACCTGAAGTTGTAGATACCCTAAGACTCAGCAATTCCACTCCTAGATACACATTCTGGTAAACTCATGTATAAACACCAGAAGATATATACAAGAATATTCACGGTGAAAAAAAAAAAACCAAGAATATTCGCTGCAGCACGGTTTGAGCTAGCCAAAAATTAAACTCGGCAACTCAAATGTCCCTTAAAAGAAGAAAAGACAAGGGGTGGCCCATTCATTCAATGAACACGCTACAGCAATGAAAACAAATGAGCTGCAGTTGCCTGCATCAACATGAATGAATGCCACAAACACCACATGAATGGAAAAAAGTATTCTAATACAAGGGTGAAAAGCAGGCAAACCCAAATGTGATAGGAAGGCAGGCAGGTAAAACCGGGAAGAAACACCCAGGGGTATCAAAGGTATTGGTAATATTCTCCTTCTAAGCCGGATGGTGACTATGTGAGTATTCCTATTTACACGGAGATCTCACATGTTTTTGTATGTATGCGATATTTTATATGTGAGGAAGGAAAATTCAACTAAACTCAGGTTGCACTCCTCTCCTCTCAGCACCATCACTGTCCTTCTGGGACCTTGCATCCGCTCTAAAGAAACCTACTTCTTAAGGGTGCTCAGTACTTACTACCACCTTTTTCCCTTGTGTCAAGTCAAACTTCTATCAAGGAGACACAAAATCAAAGGGAAATGAATCAATCCATCCATACCACAAAGCAAGATTTATTCTAGAAAAATCCCTGTATCCACACCACTTCACTAACTGGGGTTGTAACAACACTGATAAGGCTTCTGGGATGTTTTGTTACATAAGGAAGGTCTCCGTGTCTAAGAACTCCTCACAGCCCCGCCTCTCCCAGAGAAGAAACAGGAGCTTACAAAGACTTTCTAGGACCTAACAAGTGAGAGATACACTCTGTCCCCTGCCTCACTGATATGGTTTGGCTGTGTCCTCACCCAAATCTCATCTTGAATTGTAGCTCTCATAATTCCCACATGTTGTAGGAGGGATCCAGTGGAAGATAATTGAATCGTAGGGGCAGTTTCCCCTGTACTGTTCTTGTGGTAGTGAATAAGTCTCACAAGATCTGACGGTTTTATAAGGGGAAACCCCTTTTGCTTGACTTGCATTCTCTCTTGTCTGCCACCATGTAAGACATGACTGTCGCCTTCCACCATGATTGTGATGCTCCCCCAGCCACGTGGAACTGTGAGTCCATTAAACCTCTTTTTCTTTATAACTTACCGAGTCTCGGGTATGTCTTTATCAGCAGCATGAAAACGGGCTAATACACCCATGAATACATCATCTTAAAGGTGGCACTCAGCATTTCCTTTGACAATGAGGCATTCCCAGTGGAAAGTACAAAATGGTATGTTTAATAGGATCTCACATTTGTAAATCATATTTGTAGTACACGCAGAAAAAATATAGAGAAATATACTCTAATTCATTAACAGTGGTGGTAGCAAGGAGGCAGCCCTACGGAAACCTTTACTTTTGATGCTATAAATTCTCTAATATTTATTTATTAAACACATGCATTATTTATGTAATTGGGAACATTTTTTAAATGGATTTTAAAAGAAAGCAAGCAAGATAAAAATTCCCACCCTCAGGAAGCTTCCAATCTGGCTGCTAAAAGTTAAGACACCTGGAATGAGAGTAAACAAGACAGCATTAAAAAAAAATCCCACTGCTTGGTCCTTAGAGGAGAATGACAGCACGTCACCAAAGGCCATCTGCCCATCTCAGGCAAGGAGTGCCTATGGAGTTAGGAGAGATCAGCTAGATACCAGTTTCAGAAGGGTATGTGGGCAGTAAAGCCGTGCGTGGGTCCACGGTGCTGTGTAGAGATGGGCAGAGATGAACAGAGTGAAGGAAGCGACAAGCCAGAAGCCAGGGTCTCCCTGCATCCCCGAAGGCCTTAGTTTCCCAGTCCCCAAGGCAGCAAGGAAATAATCTGCCCTCCCTAGAGGTCATCACTATGAATGCCCATAAACCAAAGGCAGGCACACCTCATTTCATTGTGCCTTGCTTTATTGCACTGTGCTAATATTGTATTTTTTACTAATTGTAGAGCTGAGTAAGTCTATCAGCATCATTTTTCCAACCACGTGTGCTAACTTCATGTTTCTGTGTCACATTTCAAAATATTTCAAACTTTTTCATTATTATTATAATAATATTTGTAATGGTGATCTGTGATCTTTGATGTAACTGTTTTGGGGTGCCACAAACTGGCAAACTTAATAAATATTAAGATAAATATTGATTAAGATAAATAAATAAATAAGATGGCAAACTTAATCAATAAATATTGTGTGTGTTCTAACTGATCCACTGACCGGCCATTCCCCCACGTCCCTTCCCCTTCCCGCAGGCCTGTAGACACAATACTGAAATTAGCCCAATTAATAACCCTACAATGGCCTCTATGTGTTCACGTGAAAGGAGGAGTTACGTGTCTCTCACTTTAAATCAAAAGCTAGGAAGGCTTAAGCTTAGTGAGGAAGGCATTTCAAAAGCCCAGACAGGCTGAAAGCCAGGCCTCTTACACCATACAGCCAAGATGTTAATGCAAAGGAAAAGTTCTTGAAGGAAATTAAAAGTGCTACTCCAGTGAACACATGAACGATAAGAAAGCAAGACAGCCTTATTGCTGATACGGAGAAAGTTTTAATTATCTGGATAGAAGATCAAACCAGCCACAACATTCCCTTAAGCCAAAGCCTAACCCAAGGCAAGACCCTAGCTCTCTTCAATTCTATGAGGGCTGAGAAGTGCAGAAGAAAAACTGGAAGCAGCAAAGTTGGTTCATGAGATTTAAGGAAAGAAGCCATTTGTTTGACATAAAAGTGCAAAGTAATACAGCAAGTGCTGATGTAGAAGCTACACAGCAAGTTATCCAGAAGATCTAGCCGAGATCACTGATGAAGGTGGCTACATTCAACAACAGATATTCTCATGTATACAAAAGTCTTTTATTGGAAGAAAATGGCATCTAGGACTTTGATAGCTAGAGAGGAGAAGCCAATGGCTGGCTTCAAAGCTTTAAAGGACAGGCTGACTGTCTTGTTAGGGGCTAATACAACTGGTGACTTTAAGTTGAAGGCAATCCTCATTTACCGCTCTGAAATTCCTAGGGCCCTTAAGAATTATGCTAAATCTACTCTGCCTGTGCTCTATAAATTTGAACAACAAAGCCTGGATGATAGCACATCTCTTTTTTTTTGAGACAGAGTCTTGCTCTGTCACCCAGGCTAGAATGCAACGGTGCAATCTCGGCTCACTGCAGCCTCCAACTCCCAGGCTCAGGCAATTCTCCTGCCTCAGCCTCCCGAGTAGCTGGGATTACAAGCATGTGCCACCACACCAGTGGGGTTTCACCATGTTGGCCAGGCTGGTCTCAAACTCCCACCTTGGCCTCGCAAAGTGCTGGGATTACAGGTGCAAGCCACCACACCTGGCTGACAGCACATCTCTTTATAGCATGGTTTACTGAATATTTTAAGCCCACTGTTGAGACCTACTGCTGAGAAAAAAAGATTCCTTTCAAAACATTACAGCTCACTGACAACATACCTGGTCACCCAAGAGCTCTGATGGAGGTATACAAGAAGATTAATGTTGTCTTCATGCCTTCTAACCAACATCCATTCTGCAACCGTGGATCAGGGGTAATTTCAATTAATTTAAGAAACATATTTTGTAAGGCTATGCCTGTCATGGATAGTGAGTGATTCCTCTGATAAATCTGGACATAGTGAAAGGAAGCCCTTCTGGAAAGCATTCACCACTCTAGATGCCATTAAAAAATTTGTGACTTATGGAGAAAGTAAAAAAAAAAAAAAATCAGCATTAACAGAAGTTTAAAAGAAGTTTATTCCAACCCTCATGCATGATTTTGAGGGGTTCAAGATTTCAGTGCAGGAAATAACTGCAGATGTGGTGGAAAGAGCAAGGGAACTGTAAGCAGAGCCTAAGATGTGACTGAATTGCGGCAATCTCATGATAAAACTTGAATGATGAGGAGTTGCTTCTTATGGATGAGCAAAGAAAGTAATTTCTTCAGACGGAATCTACTCCTGGTGAAGATGTGCACGTTGTTGGGAAGGTAACAAAGGATTAATAATATTACCTAAAAGTAGGTGAAAAAGCAGCTGCAGGGTTTGAGAGGACTGACTGCAATCTTGAAAGAAGTTCTACTGTGGGTAAAATGCTATCAAACAGCATTGCATGCTACAGAGAAATATTTCGTGAAAGGAAGAGTCAATCAATGTAGCAAACTTCATCATTGTCTTATTTTAAAGAAATTGCCACAACCACCCCAACCTTCTGCAACCACCACCCTGATCAGTCAGCAGCCATCAACATTGAGGCAAGACCCTCCACCAGCAAAAAGACTATGACTTGCTAAAGGCTCAGATTTTTGTCAATTTTTTTTTATCAAATGTATTTTTTAATTGAGGCATGCACATTGTTTTTTAGGCATAATGTATTGCACACTTAATATTGACTACAGTATAGTGTAAACATAACATTTATATGCACTAAGACACACAAAAAATCATCTGACTAGCTTTACTGCAATATTCACTTTATTGCAATGGTCTGGAACTGAATCTGCAATATCTCCAAGGTGTGCCTGTATAATCTCAACCAAGCCAAAAGCAATATTACAAATATACTTAAAAAAAAAAAAAACAAAAAAAAACTGGGCCCAGCATGGTGGTGGCTCACACCTGTAATCCTAGCACTTTGGGAGGCCAAGGCGGGTGGATCACAAGGTCAGGAGTTCAAGACCAGCCTGGCCAAGATGGTGAAACCCCATCTCTACTAAAAATACAAAAATTAGCCAGGTGTGGTGGCGCGGGCCTGTAGTCCCAGCTACCCAGGAGGCTGAGGCAGGAGAATGGCGTAAACCCAGGAGGCAGAGCTTGCAGTGAGCAGAGATCGCGCCACTGCACTCCAGCCTGGGCGACAGAGTGAGACTCCATCTCAAAAAACAAAAAAGCCTTAATATTTCAAAATAATTTTTGAATGACAGAAGAAATGCAAAAATAGCTTAGAGTTCCCCATACCCCTCATTCAGCTTTTCCTAATGTTCATCTCTTACATAACCACGATGCATTGATCAAACTAAGAAATTAACACTGATTCAATATTCAATACTATTAACTAAACTACATGTTTTATTTGGATTTCATCAATTTTTTTACTGATGTCTTTTTTCTGTTCAAGGATCCAATCCAGGATACATGTTGCATTTTAATATTATTTGTTTTTAAATATGTAAACATTTTATGATTATTTATTCTTCCTTGGTAAGTACTGGTACTCTGGGCAAAGACTTAATCCTTCTCCCTATCGTCAAAGAAAGCAATCTTTGACACGATCTTCTGGCCTCCAAAGGGAACAGAATTTGATCCACAGTGAGATAAAAACCCAGACAATGACCAAGCCTCTTAACCTTCCATAAGCAGCCACCACCCTGGCCTCTCTCCACAGCAACTAACTGGTATTTAAAAGTAATTTATGTTAATTGCAGTCGGCCATATATGAACACTACAAAGCCAGCCGGCTTCAAACAAAAAGGCTCAAGAGAGGAGCCTAACAAAAAATTAATTTTGTAAAAGACCTATTTCTATTCCAACTTGTTTTTAAATGTATGTTCTGAGTCACACACCATTAACTGTCTCAATTTATTAATAATCTCAGGGCAACCAACTATCTCAGATAATGCAACGATGAAATCTTGCATAAAAAAAGAAAATGAAATATCTATATGCAAACATTAAGCAGGTAGTCAGCTGTGATGACCAGAGAGGATTATTATTGTTTTTTAAACCAGAACATGTAGTAAGGCAAAAAAAAAAAAAAAAAAAAAAAAAAAAAAAAAAGGAAGGCTGCGTGAACTGGTAACTCAAACTTTGTAAAGAAAATTCTTCTCCTCTGAGCATGAGATTCTTTTAGAAAGACCAGTTCAAAGAAAAGTTCTATGGAATTCCTTCCTCCTCTCCCCCAAGCAAAGATTTGTGACGGGAGCAGAAAGCCCCATATTCTCAAAGACCCTTCTTTTCGCTGAGGAAATGACGGTGCTGTTTTGGCATTTTAAAGCAAGAACAAATACTTTAGCTATAAAATCCACTTTGTAGATTGAATCAGCAAGACAGCTGTTTATACAGAAACCCTTTCCTTTCTCCCTCCAAGCCCCTCAGTGATTCATATCAGCAATAAAACATTGGCTAGAACAAAGAAAAACGGAGTTTAAAGAAGAGAGACACAGGGCACACCCACCACCTTAATAAGTCTATTCCTTAACAGATAGAGCCTATTTCAACTTAGCCTATTTCCATGAATAATATTTCTCAACCTACCGCACCTGTATAAAAAATAATAATAATAATAATCCCCCAAAAACTGACCAACTTTTTGCTGCAGAGTCAGAAACTGAGTTCTTATTTGTGTAAAATGCTCAGTGGGTGTGACACAACCCATCTTTGATATGCTCTGGGCTTTGAAGTATGCTCTCTTTTTAGCCATGGGGAGCCTGATGACTCACCAGCACCCTTCTAGCTCCCCTCCTTGCCAACTGTCAGCCATCTCCCTAAGCAAGCAGGGCGGCAGGGCCACCAGATGCTGGGCAGGAGGCGTATTAATTCTCCTGAGTGACAGAGGCTTGGGGAAAGAAGTGGGCAGCGCTGCACAGAAAGACACATGACCATGACCATCCATCATCAGAAGCTAAACCCCAGGACCCAGTTTGCACTGGAGGGTGGGCACATTCCCCCCATCCCAATTCTTTCCTGTTCACTCTTCAAGGCCCAAGCCAAATGCCACTTCCTCTATGAAGCCTTCCCTGGCTCTCCCCAGAAACGACTCTCTGCTCGGTGGTCCTGAAACACCTTTAGCATCCTTCGCCCGCTGATCACCTGCCTCCCCAAACAGACACACACTCAAAGGCAAACTAGGCCCTTCCCTCATCTCTGTAACCCTAGCCCCCTGGCCTGCACCCAACCCAGAGCAGGGGATCAAGAAATGTTTGCTCAATGAATGAACCCAACTCACCTACCCCAGAAACCACATTACTAAATGCTAATTACCTCTCACTGCATGAATAATGGATGAGGAAATGAAATAACAAATGTCTCCTTGTTAGCCAAGTCGCCAAGTCCTTCGGGAGCACAAACACAGGATCGACTGACTTGTGGCTGTTGTAGGATGGGTCAGAGACAAGACAACTCATCTTGAAGGGGTGAGAGGCAGGGAAGGAGGAGAACCACATTGGTCCAGCAGCTGGCAGTACCCTGAGATGTTACCAATCAAGTTCTAGACAACTCAGACTCACTTCTTCACCTTCCCCAGCTTCAGCTAGCCCCTTGGAGTTGATTCTTGCATGGTATACTTGGAAACATTAGCAGGAAGGCAAAGAGTTGCCCAAGAATAAGCTCAACTCCTTTTTCTCCCGTGAAACTCACCCCCAACAGTGCCACGCCAGCTTTTGCCACATCTCGTTCATCTGCCACGGCCCCCTGAGATATGCCTGCCCCTGCACCTGCCGGCACTTAAAAATGAAAGCCAGATGCTCAAACAGCACCCAGATGAAGTGCTATACTGGAGCAAACAACAAGGCAAGATTTATGATAAAGGAGGTACCGGATCTCTTCCCACTCACTGGAATAAAAAGGTCAAACAAATATCCAATTTGTGGCTGGTCAGAGCCAGATCCTCCCATGTCCAAGATTCATTCTGTCAAAAATAAACAAGTCCGCCTCCAGAACATAGGGACATCTGCAGGGTCCCCTCCAGCCCCTCTCCTCTAAATCCCACACTACCCTGGAGAGACAGTACCACAGAGATGCACACAAGGTGACAGAGGAACTTTTTTCAGTTTCCCTGAACAAGCCTCAGAAAAAGTGAACATGCATTGCCTATCCATTTACAACATCTAACAGCCCATATTCCTTTAAAAAAAAAAAAAAACAGGCTGGGCACAGTGGCTCATGCCTGTAATTCCAGCATTTTGGGAGGCTGAGGCGGGCAGATCACCTGAGGTCAGGAGTTCGAGACCAGCCTGACCAACATGGAGAAACCCCATCTCTACTAAAAATACAAAATTAGCCGGGTGTGGTGGCGCATGCCTGTAACCCCAGCTACTCGGGAAGCTGAGGCAGGAGAATCGCTTGAACCCAGGAGGCGGAGGTTGCAGTGAGCCGAGATTGCGCCATTGCACTCCAGCCTGGGCAACAAGAGCAAAACTCCATCTCAAAAAAAACAAAAAAAAACAAAAAAAAAAACAAAAAAACAATAAAGCACTGATTACATATTCAGAGGATGTGCTATATATCCAGGAAAAAATTATGATCAGATACTTGAGCCTTTTCTAATTCTGCAAATAATCAAGTAATGGCAAGGTACAGCCAAGCGCTGTTGCAGCGTGAGGAGGAGGCGGAGGTGGAAGGAAGCTCTCCACATCAGGATCGCAGTGCTCAGGCGTTCAGAGCAGGCCTCAACCTGACAGCCCCGTGGGTCCAGGAGCCTCCCCGCCTCCCATGCTGGAATGCGAGCTGTACATACCTCTTGGTGGTTTCATACTCCAAGCCGGAAGCAGGACAAGTCATGTGAAGGCCATTCCAACAGTAGGGCCCTGAGTCTCTCCCCAGCCTCCCCTGTGGCCCCAGGCTCTGGAGCAAACACCATTCTCAGTTCACCCAGGGGTGGCTCTGAAAACCATGGGCACTGGGTAATGCTGACCAAGTCGACTGACTTTTTTTTTTTTTAACCTTAATGAGCCAATGCAGTAAATTCTTCAAATGTTCTCAGATTTACAACAGGTGACCTCTACAAAAGAAAGAAACCACTGTCTTATTTATTGGTTCAGAAGGTCAGCTTACTACTTAAACGGGTCTTTTTCTGAAACCTTTGGTACTGGGAAGAACTCTCTCTCCTTGACAAATCTTACTCCAAAAGTCAGGGTTTTCGTCTAGCGGGTTTTCTTAAAGTGGGGCATACCTGTGAGAGGGAGGCTCTTGGAGGGTCACTGTACATTTATACTTCCTTCAGCAACCAAAGTCTTAGGCCCCTAAAGCAACTCACAGAAAGGCTGTGAACTCTTCCAACCGTGCTGGCCCCAGAAAGGCTCCTTTCCCTCCTAACACTTTGTGAAATGACTCGCTCGCTCCCAAGGGCATCGTGGAGCCACATCTCCAGGTGAGACCAAGGTTTCCAGGCCTCAGCATCCTTTGGGGACCTGGTTTCAGTCACAGATGTCCAGGCACCTTAGCAACTGGAGATCCACAGGTGAGGGACCCCCCACCAACCTCCATTTCTAACAAGCACCCCCGAGGGGTTCTGATGGAAGTACTGGCTGCTCACAAATCCACCCTTCCTCCAGGTACCCTGCCACCCCAACCCCACTGGAGTCACCAGGTCTAAGGCACATGGGAGAGTTTGCCTCTCACCCCTCCTCCTTTCATACTCACTCTGCCCCCTGCTCTGGTCCAGGCCCTGTTCTCTTAGCTCCCTGGTCTCCCCCAGTCCATGACTTATAACACTGCCAAGAATTTTCTCTCTAAAATATCAATGTGATGATGCCCTGGCTCCTAAGCCGCCAGGATTCCAGACTGCCTTCAGGCAAAGTCTCTATCTCTTGAGCGGAATGCAGAACTTTTCCTGCTCTTGCCCCTAAATCACCAGTCCAGCCTCCCCTCCCATTCTCTAGCCCCTTCCCCCAGGCAGCTGTCCGAGGGTCTCCCTAGCCCCCAATCCACTGGACCTTCTCGGTGAATGCGTCCCCTCCTCTACGATCCTGCATTTTCACGCAGGTCTCGCCCACTAGCCCTCCTGAGGAGGGGGACTGTCTAGCTTTTGTTTCCATCCCTGACTCCCAATCTCCAGCACAGCACTCTGCCCATGGTAAAGGCTCAATCAGTGAGTTCACTCCATGAACAAATCCTCTCCTGCCTGGCCTGGTTAGTTAGAATGGCGGGGGAGAATGAGGCTGGGGTCTTCAGATGAGATCGGGCACATTCAGGGTGGTATGGCTGTAGACAGTGGGGTCTTCAGTTCCAGCTCCCCCGTCCTTCACTCAAAAAAAACCTATTCAATAGGCAGCCACTTAAACTTCTGGCCACAAGCAGGACAAGGCCAGGGTATATTGACAGCTCAAAACAATCCAGTCCTACCGTAGAGAAAACAATTCAAGTGCGGGACCTGCTGACAACAGGTCAGGTGTGTCATCTCCACACATAAGAAAAAGCAGCAGAGTCGATCCATCTTTCAGCATCCCCTAATGGTACTAAGCAGCATGTTTAGCTGTTATTTCAATAAGCCTTATTAAGACCCAATTTTCTTGGGTCTTCTTTCAGATTCTGCAACATTAAAAGCCTCGCTGCTTAATTACATTAGGAGCACCTGTATATATTATGTGCAATAAATCAACTTTAATTTACCACCACACAAGGCTATTCATCTTCTCTGGGTTATTTATTGCTCGGTATTATTGGTGGTGAATTGTATCCTCTCTGCTATACGGAAGAATAGTTGGGGTAAGAAAGCCAAAGCTGTATTTCAGAACACTCCGGGATGCTGATCACACATGTACACAGCGAAAAGGAAAGAAAAAGAAACATATAAGCGAATCTTGGCAATCTGCTCCTTGCTATTTTCCTAAAACACTCCCCAAACATTTTGATGTTTTCTTTTGCACGCATGCACACACATACCAGTTACCCGCTGAAACGACACAACCTGCAAAACAGGCCCACAGCTCTCGCCGGCAGAATTGAGTATGGGATGCTGGCTGAGCTGAAAAACAGGGACACTCCATGGGCCAGAGGAGACAAGTCTTCCCTCATCTGCTGCTGCCCCCAGTCCTAACGATGGGGTGCAGCCAGGACCTGACACCCAGGGGCATCTCGCAGAGGTTTACACCCAGGACACTGACGCAGGGCCCAAATCAGGCCCCCCAGCGTGGGCAGAACTGTTTCCCAGATAATCCAAGGTGGAAGACACTTCTCCTTGTGATGACACGGGGGCCCTTCATTCTTTAAGAATCTGACCAACACTGCCATTGAAGGAGCCACCAGGTTATATGCGGGCTCCCTGCAATATCACCACCTGAGATATTAAACACTGAGTCCTGGGCCCCAAGACTGAGACACCGATTTCAGCATGCCCAGGAATGGGTTCACCTGATTTTTCTGCATAGTAAAGTCTGAGAAGCACTTTCCTAAAGCCTCAGGAGCCAGGCTAACCATCTATTATAGAATAATATAACCAGGCCAGGGACAGTAGTTCACACTTGTAATCCCAACATTTGGAGAGGCCAAGGCAGGAGGATCACTCGGGGCTAGGAGTTAGAGACCCCCACCTGGGCAACATAACAAGACCCCATCTCTACAAAAAATTTTTAAAAATTAAATGGGCATGGTGGCATGTGCCTGTAGTGCCAATACTTGGGAGGCTGAGGTGGGAGGACTGCTTGAGTCCAACAGTTGGAGGGTACAGTGAGTTATGATCACACCACTGCACTCCAGCCTAGGTAACAGAGGGAGACTCTGTCTCTAAAAAGAAAAACTAAAATAAATTAAAAAGAATAGTGTAACCAATGATAATATAATTAAGGATGACTTCCTTACCCCTGGCCAGGCTATAGGCTCAGCCCTTTTCTTGCACAAATTCCTCAAGATGACCCCAGAGTAGGTACTATTACTCTCATCCCCATGTTATAGATGAGAAAACTGAAGCACAGAGAGATTAAATAACTAGCCCACAGTCCCACCTCTATAACTGGCTGGGCAGTCTGGTCCCTGCATCCATGCTGTCAACCATGGGCTATACTGCCTCTCCAAGGCCAGACTCCCCACACCCTCTCCAACTGGACAACCACCTTCTTTGGTTCTAAGCAAAAGAGAGGCAAAAGTCACCAAGACATCATGGGCTCCGCTTCTACTCCATAAAGCCATCTGGTTCTCCTAAGTCCAACATCTAAAACTACTTCATGGCAACTTGCCGGCAACACACAGTTCTGTCTCTGAGCTTCCCACCAACGTGATTCAGCGAGCTTCTCACAAGAGCAGGGTGCACCGGGCTGCCGGGCAGCACTCCTGCAGCAGAGGGAAGCCAAATCACTGGAAGCCGAAGTAGCATCACTGAGTGTTTCACGGCCTCCTCCTTCTCACCAAGGGAGCTGTGATGGATTTTATGGCACACAAGTGACTTTTTTACAAGCACAGCAGCAACCTCCAACTTTCATCTGATAATTTACCTTTAATCAGGGCCTAGAAAAATCCCTGGCCAACCAATCCCACCAGACAGCTCCTTCCAGGCTCGTCTTACAGACGACAGAGAGAAATAAAAGGGAAGAGAGGACGGCAGAGTCCTGGCAAGCAAAACTTTTTTTTTTTAATGAATTCATTTCAAATAAAAATCCATTCAGTGCATGCAGAAAAGCCAGTCCCTCTGAGTGACAAATTTGTGTGTGCCAGGGATGAGAGAGCAAATCAAACTCGTGGAGCTTGCAACCAAACTCCTAGAGGCCCAAACACAGGACTGCCAAGAGCCCAGGAGTGCAGAGTCATTCTGCTAAAAGAAGTTCCCACTCCAAAAAGCTCTATAGAGATGCTGGCCTGGGTGGAAACGTCCCCTCTCCCTGCCCTTTCACTTAACCAAAAGGGAAGACCAGCAGGAGCCGTGGAAATCAAACCCAGGGCATGTGGCTAGCCACCTGCGGGAGGCTGGGGCCTGGACCAGGTGATCTCTCCAGGCACTTTCCTGCTCTTGAATTTCATGAATATTTCATTGTCCAGGTTCCAATCCATGCAGAACAGAACCTCAGAAAACATACAAATATTTCCCCTTCTTATAGAGAAGTGACCTATAGTGCTAGACCAATGACTCTCATCTAAGGGTGACTGTGTCCCCCAGGAGACACGTGGCAATTGCTAGCTGTCACAACCAGGGAGGGATTGCTACTGGCATCTAGTGGGTAGAGGCCGGGGATGCCGCTAAACATCCTACTACAGATACAATGCACTCCAATGCACCCCCACTTCCCCAACCTCCACCCTTGCAACAAAGAATAATCTGGCTCAAAATGTCAACAGTGCCAAAGTTGTGGACCCCTGGCCTAGAGCACAGAAGGTAATCAAACGCTCACACTCCCAGCCTTCCCACAGCCTCCGTTCCCTGTAACACCACTCACTCCCAGCACCTCTCTAAATCAAGCAGGAATTAGAAACCAAACTGCACCATCTATCATCTAGACACTGGGATCCACCCTCAGCTGAGAGCCAAGGGTCTGTGCTGATTACAGCCAACCTCCCTCAGTCTCCGGTGCACGCTGCTCTCAGGCAGAGGCCAGAGAAAAGGATGATGACCCAGGAGAAGCTGGGACTCTGTGAGGCTAACTCTCAGTTTAGCAAACACCAGGAAGGTTAGGGGGAAGATTCTGTAGAGAAAGTCAGAAGGGTACAACTAACCTTTCAGGGCCTGGAAGGCTAAACAGCACACTCGGGCCTCTCGGTCCAAAGCAGTAAAATCAATGGTGTAGGGTTCGGTAACTGCACGACCTCCTCCCTGTCCCAGCGACAACAGCTGGGTCCAGGCTGGCTGCATAATCAACACTGACTAAGCACCTAACAGATGCCAGGAATTGTGCTACGTGCTCTACAGAAAGTTCTGTCTGTTCCCAGAGCTGCCACACAAGTCTTATTATCCCCATTTTACAGATGACACACATCAGGCTCAGAGAGGTTATGTCACTTGGCCAGGTCACATAGCCAGGATTCAATCCCAGAACTGTCTCCAAAGAACAGGCCTATCTACCATACCACATTGCCTCTCTTCTCCCAAACATCCCACCCCAGACAGAGGGATGGAGGAATAAAGGAGGAGGAGGAGGCTCAGAATCCTCCTGGAGCTCCTCCTGCTCCTCCTGGTGCCGCCCTGGCCTGCTCTCCCACACTCCCCACTACTGCTGTCTCCAGGGGCTCATCTGACCACATCTGTTTCGTCTATAGGGTCTCTCTGGGAAGATGGCCCAGTGCATTCCTTGCACTCCTTACGCACAATGGCATTGCCAGCACAGGACTCTGATTTCATTCATAACCGGCCGAAACAGACATCCTGCTCCGCTCTAGGCAGGGGCTGCCATGGAATCCATTTGACTGCCAGGCCGGCCAGGTGTGCAGTTTGCGAAGGTTTCAACCAGGCAGGGAAAGGGCTTTCCAATGCCCCACGTAGGAGCCGAAAGGCAGAGAAGCACCACAGGCCTCTTCCCTGGGCTAAAGTCCCAGTACCCAAAGCAAACCAGAGGACCAAACACCTAACACAAACCAACAACCACAGGAAAGCAGCAGCGGCCAACCAAGCCCAGGAGAGTCAACATGCAAGACTCCGCGACTGAGCAACAAGTTAGGATGGTAAGCCCCGGCAGTCCTCCACCCGCAGACAGCCCCTCACACACACTATTCTGTCCCCCACAGGACCCCTTCCTTGAGGCTGGCCGAGAGGGACCCATGGAAGGGGTGCTAGGCCAGCAAATTATATGGCACCCAAACTCAGGCCCAGCAGGGCTTCCAAGACACACAGGACAGCCTCGCCAGGCTGGGTGTTCACTGAGGGAAGCAGTTTCACACTTCCTTTCCTTGGGCCTGCACTAATTTCCCACACTCACATTGCAAGGAGGCATTCTTGGGCTCACGGGGCCCTCAGAAAGGGTCCTATTATAAAGGTTCAGCAAATTAAAAAAAAAAAAAAACAACTTTTTGAGACCACTTATTTGTAGGGTACTATAGAGATGATAAATATGGAGCAAAAGGGGCTGCTTTTTTTCTTTCTTTTTAAATTTCCAATGAAGAAATGTGGCTTCAAAACTCTCTGCGGCGCGAGCCAGTTGCCTCCAGGCCAGCCTCTCCCTAGGCCTTGCTTTGTTTCTGGGCATCACACTCTGACCTGCAGGACCCGCACTTGGCAATCAGCTTAAACCTACCTCGGCATTTTAATGAGCCAGACTGCCATCTCCTCCCACACTGCCCGCTCTCTCCTGGAAGAACACACCTTTCCTAATTCTGTTTGTTCACCAGAAAAATAAATAAATAATAATAAGCGGGGGAGGGGGTGTGGGTTTACTGGAAGGTCATTTTGCCTTAGGAAAGGAACAAATTAAGTCGAGGCTCACAGTGAGCCGGGAAATACATTCTCCATCAGACAAGCGACCTTGGGGCCTTCGGTTTTAGGCGGGAAAGGTCACTGGTAAGGCAGCCCCTTGTTTATGGAGCCCGGATACCAATGACGTGGTCACCTCCGAGAAGCACAATTACCAACAGGGGCACGCCAAACTCTTTTATTGGTTACCTCTTAAACACTCCAGAAATCTGTCCAAGTCCTTGCAGAATAGCAGAAAACAAAAGTGCTCTCAGCAGGAGGGGGAAGCCAGGACTCGATGATGAGCAATTAGTGAATCAATGACTCTCAGAGACACTGATTTAGACCAGCAGTTCTTATTAGCGACCGTCGAGGAAAATGCAGGGACACACAAAGCTTCCAGGAGAGACTAAAGCTTTAAAAACATTTTTTTAAAAATCACCACAAACTGCCTTCAGAGCTTCCCCCTAAAACACTTAAAATGTGTGCTCAGTCTGAGGAAAAAAAAAAAAAGACTATTTGTTGTTTCCTTAATGTCAAAAAAACAAGTGAAACTACAACCACTAGTTCTGTCGCCCCACATGAAAATTATTCTCTCAAAATCCCAAAAATGAGATAAGGAATTAGGTATTAGACAAAAGAAAGAAAGAAAAAATAAAGAAGAAAGAAGGAAGGGAGGGAAAGACAGAAAGAGGCTGGCTAGCTAATATGAACAGCATGAACTTTTTCTTACCCTCATCAGATTGCAGGAATATAAAACAGATTGGTCTCCACTCCCACTCCATCCATGTTGAATAAAAAGATACTGATTCACGTGATAAGACGTATTCTTTAGTACTTTCTTAATATAACCCCTCATCATCTAAACACCTGTTCGGAAAATCAGAACTACACAACAGAAAGTGAGTGGTAGGAGGCTTGGCTAACTGACGGGCAAGGAGAAAAGAAAACATTTCTAAAAATATAATGATGCTTGCTAAGAAAATAGAGTTCCATGTACACAGAAATTCTCAGGAATACCTACTTGGGGAGACGTTCCTGTAACTGTTTTTAAACATTCAGTTCCATCCCACAGAATTCAAAACACCTACTAAGAACACAGAAGCTTCCCAGGCATGACTGTGGGGGCCGGAACCTTCCACAAACTTTATTTGAAGGCTGCTAATAACATGCAGCTGGGCATACTTTCCCCACACCCCAGCCTCTCCTGAAAAGTGCGCCCTCCCACCACCACCTTCCTTTCTTTCTGATTTTGTGAATACCAGCGAACGCTGAGACAATGCGGTTCACCGTGAAAATGGAAAACCGCAAGTTGGCCTCCTCAGCAGCAGCCAGCCCCCAGCCAAGGGCCCTCTGCAAACTTCCCCTTTATTTGTTCCTTGGTTTGGTTTCTGCTGGGTTGCTAATCTATTTGCTCTAAGCTATTGGAAGAAGTCGGCAAAAGAAAACAAAAAGGCTTTCTTCCTAGCAGGGGAAAAATGGGTAACCTTGAACCCAAAGAACCCTCCCTCCCCTGAAACTCCGGCTACTCTGAAAGTTTGTTGCTATCTAACCTTGAAAACAGTATGTGCCTCAGGGTCCCCTCCGCACTGGGCTCTAACAAGGATGTTGACGGTTCCTTATCTAAGGGGAAGGATGCAAACAATTTTTTTTAAGGTGAAAAGAAGAAACTTCTAAGAAACCGACGCCAATCTATGCACAGAAAAACCTCCCCTATCCTCCTACAAGTCTTCCAGAAAGGGGAGGGGTTGAAGAAAGAGAAAATCCAAAAACTGATCACTGCTAAGCTCCATAGTTTCAATAAATTGTTACCAATGTTGTCTTCGAAGGCAAAAAAAAAAAAAAGGTCATTTTAATTCTGGTTGAGGAGGGCATAGGGTAAACCCCTGGCCAACTTGAGCTTCTCCCATCCCCAGCAGATGAGGCTGAGGTTGATCCAGAGGTGACCTGTGCCAACAAGCCCTCCCCCAATGGGGGCAGATGACGCCATGAAGCCCCATGCTTCTCATCTCCATGGTGACCCCAAAAAACAAAATCAACTCTACACTAGGAGACACAAGAGTCCCATCAACTTAGAAACTTTCTTCTTCTCAGTAATAGTCTCCTACAACATTTTAATGAAATACTTTTTTAAAAATTGGGGTCAGAGTGTTTTACGTGGGATTACAGTCAAACCACATCTTCCCATCTCTTCGTACTTATTCACTTAAAAATATATATATGCTGCAGATTTCAAAGTGGGCTGTGACTGCACAGCTGTAGGGAATGAGCTTGTCAAGAGAAAAAACACACAGGCACACCTCTAAAACACATACATAAAGCACACAGATTTATTTTTTGTTTGGAGTGAGAGACACATCAGTTCGAGTTCTAGGCCAGCAGCTGTACTACAAACGTTTCGGGGTGGCGGGTGCGGGGTGGATGGCAGGGGCAGGGGGAACACAGGAGTGAGCCTCAAGGACAGCTGAAATGAGGGCCACCTTCGAAACCCTGCAGCCAGGCGTCACCAGGACTACCATGACCGGGTGGAGGGCCCAGCACAGCCAATCCAACTCTTTCATTAAAGAAGGGAAAAAATTCAACAGGGATGAAAAGAAACCAATACTTGGGCAATGCTCAACTCAGCGGGCCCCTTTTGAGAATTAAAAAGGAAAATAAATCTGGGGCTGTGTCGATCCAGAAAATCAGAGCAATGGGCTTCCCTGTTGAGAGGAGGCCACTTGATTCGCCTGAAGTTGACTATTTGTGTTGGCACTAGATCCCCTTAAAGATTGTTTACAAATACAGAGCAATCAATATTTCCTAACCCAAGGGTCTCCGGGATAGAAACATGGACCTGCTGGGCACAACGTGAGTGCTTCCCATGCGTCCCCACGCACCTGCCACCCTCTGCTCCAAGCCTGGGACACACATTCCCCTGGACCCGGCAGGCCCCACCTGAACCACGCTTCCGGGAGTGCGCGTGCGCGTGTGGTCTTCTGCCTCCTTTAACCTCCTTCACTGGGCTGTTCATCCCAGACTAAGCACCAACTTGGCTGACTCTGGAGCCTAATTTTCTCCTCCCATGCTTTCCTAGGGCCTAAATCGAGTTTTTTTGTTTGTTTGTTTTTTGTTGTGTGTTATCATTTCAGTATTGTTTCTAGTTGGGGGATTTGGAAGAGGCTGTTTCTTTCCTCATCCTCTCTCTTCCTTTCTTTCCTTTATATCTAAACACATTTTCACATGCTCTTTAAGTGGCTTCAGGTTTGGCATCCATCTCAAACACATCTATAATGGATCAGGAGCCCAAAATCTGTTTCCGATTATAACAGACAAATCAAGCCCCCCTGAAGTTGGAGGCGGGGAATGGGGAGAAAAAGTCTTTAATGGGTCAGCGATACAAAGGGACTTCTGGGGTTCTGCCCACAAAGGAAGCACTTCAGCCCCAGGGGCTGACATTACTGACTGACCCTGTGCGGCCTCTGCTTATAAACTTCCCAGCACTCACTCCAGAGACTTTACGGGCCAGATTCCGCCCTTAGTGAAATGGCATTTTCTAGAAGTCCCGGTGAGTTTGAAAGGGAAAAGAAAGGGAGTGGAGAGGAGGCACAGAAGCCCCCTCCTCTTCCAAAAATGGCAAGCCCCCACACAGAGAACACAGCTGCAGGAAGATTAAAAACATTTTATTATTTAAAGAGGTACAGAGGGTTACTGGACATGGGCAATTTAAAATTAAATACAACTCTCGTCACAGCCGTTTGCAGTTAAAGGTGAACATGGTTATTTTAAAAGCAAAATCGCCCTGCCAGAAGGACTGCCGTTCAGCAAGGGGCCCAGATGCCGCCTCAATTATTAAAGTCGTAAGCTGGCCATTCAACTGCCCTGACGGCAAGTCTCTTCTAGAGACAGAGTTCCCTGAAAAAAAAAAAAAGTCTGCCCCCCACCCCCCAACCCCAGCCCAAGCATAAAGTAAACGCTTTAGAGAAAGTGAATAATATCTTGTCACGGAGGTAAAAGACTCAATTATAAAACCTTCAGAAAGATTCTCAAGGAACATCTACCTACGGTGACAGAGACTTACACAAAACCAGAAGACAAGCTAAAATATTTCTCCCCTATCCACCCCTACCTACTCCTACCCCTAACAAAACAGAACAGGGAGAGGAAGCAGGGAAATGGGGGAGAGGCTGCCATAAAAAAATGATCTCGAGACCTGGGCACTTATCTGACATAAAGCAACATCCTCCAATCCTGAAAGATGAGCCTGCCACACACACACTTCTTTATCATCTCAGCAAGAAATATGGCTCAGGAGGCCAGCACTAATTTTAGTATCAGATTTATTATACAGCAGGGGGCAGGAATTCTTCAGGCCTGTGCCTTGTCTCCCAGTGCAGGACTAAACTGCCTTCAGGATGGCTCCTTGGAGGAGCAGCAAGGCTAACAAATAGAAACTTCTGGATTCCTGATATTCAGGAATCCTTGGAAAATACGCAACTGGCCCTCCAAGCTGCTTCCCAGTCCTTTCAAAGCCTCTGTGGGTGCTTCTAAGAGCTCCCCACTCTGAATAAAAGACCACAACACACATCTCACTTGTTTGAAATGAACCCGTCACCCCAAGCAAAGACAGGAAACCCCAAGGTCATAAAGCAAGGGTACACCAACATAGTCTGAAACCAAATCCAGTAGTGACAACTCCTAGTCTCCCCGCTTTGATCTGAAGGGAGATAAAGCTAGGGAAGTCAAAGCAGTGACAAATTTAAAATGTTGACATCCTCAGCCAGCCACTCCAACCTCGCTGCACATAAAGCCCTAAATGGATGGAAGACACATTTTCAGGTTGTTTGATCTCACTCAGGCTTCCCCACCTCCAGTTTCTGGACATCCTTTTGTCTGCTTTTGGCCCTGATTTTTCTCCAAGTTATCCCACGGAGCAGGACTGTCACTGGTAGCCTCGGCAGTTGTCAGTCAACCTGATTGCTTTACTCCAGAAGGCCCTTTTTACACAAAAGGCCTCACTGAGGCAGAACGGGCTCACCTTTGATTTGTTCACCTCTCACATGTAAAAGCAGCTCGTACGCCTCTCCCGAGCATGGCTGCACTCGTGGAAAACTGAAACGCAGTATATTGGGAAACAAGGCTTTTTAAAGCATTCTCTGGAAGGCAAGATCCTAGCTTGGGTTCTGCTCGAAGAAAGAGCTAAACAGAGCGAGCTGGAACAGAATTAGCCCCGAGAACCCAGGGATGGAGGGAGAGTGGCAATACCAATTTGCTGGAAGGGATCTGGAGAGTAAACGAAGAGGAACGTTTGGATTGCAAAGATAGAAACAATTCACTTTGCATCATTTTCAGTCTTTGGAGTTCAGTAGGGAAGTATGATTATCAATCCACCAGAGAGACGGGGAAGAGTGGCCCACATGAGCTCAGAATTGGCTGGTGATGGCGTTGCAGGTAGTAGAGGTGCTGAGAACTGACACTATATCCCTCACGTGATGCTCTCTTTAGAAGATCAGGCTCTCCCTGGCTAACTATGGCCTTCAGCCCTCTAGACAGGAACCTGCTGGACCACAGGGGAGTGGGCCTTGCCATATTCCCATAGGTTGAGCACACACAGACTAGCAAACATCAAACACCAATAAGCCCTCACACACCTGGTATGATATTGCCAACATCACTTCTCGGGGGATAGCAATTATGCCACAATTTCATGTCCCTGACTCACCAGGCCACACACGACAAGACTGCAAGAGCACCTCCTCCTTGGGCCCCTGGCCTGGGCAGAACTCACGGGAGAGCCCCTGGATTGCAGAGTGCTCTTTCCCCAACACCCATCTGACCTGGCCACCCCCACCCTAAAACTCATTAAGTGCTCCCCATGGCCAAAAGCAGTGGTCTCCGAAGTAGGGTTTAGAAGAAAAAGATTAAAATGTTTATGTGTGCTTAGCTTTTTTTCTCATCCTATTTTATTTTTAATGATTTGCCTTATTAGGAGCATGCTATTTTAGTACAGAAGTATATGTATGTCATTTATAAATAAATATGTATACAGTGCAAGCTCAAAAACAAGTTTACCAATAGGGGTCCGTCACTAAGAGTATGCCGATTGCCAGCCAAGGGGTTACACTCAACCCCCTGAGCCAGGCACACCTGCCCTGCCTGTCCCCTGCATGGGCCAACACTCTCAATCTCACGGAGGTGGGGGTTGGGGGCTCTGCTCACATCAATGAGAAGTCAAATTTGCCTCTCACCTTTAACACTTGCTACTCCTCAACTAACCAAACCACCAAGCTGCTGCTCCAATTCTCAGATGCATCTCAAATCCATCCACTGGTCTCCATCACTACCTCCAAGAACTCAGCTAAGCAGCCATCCTTCCTCAAGTGGATCACCACAACAACTTACTCACTGATTCCCCCACAGCCCCCTGGGGTACCCACAAGCCACTTTTCGTGTAGACTGTCAGAGAGATATTTTCAAAACGCAAACCTGATCATTTCCCATCCCATCCCTTAAACTTTTAAATGGATGGCTTCCCCAACCCTCCTAAGATAAGAATTTTTATCCCCGCCAACGCAAGTGTGACCTCGCCTGTCCCCCTGTCCTCCTCACTCTCTGCATTCCAGCCACCCTCTCTTCCCTCAGCACATGAAATGCACCCTGCTACTTCCCTCCCTACATCAAGCTCAGCCTCAACGTTATTTCTCCAGGAAGCCTTCCCAAAACCCAAAGGACACTGTTTTTTTTTTTTTGTTATGATCCCTTTAACATCCAATGCATGGATGTATAGCATTTATGGTAATGGTACTTCAATCATGAATCAGGCCAGGCACTGTGGCTCACGCCTGTAGTCCCAATACTTTGGGAGGCCAAGGCAAGAGGATCACTTGAGCTCACGGGAGTTCAACCAGCCTGGGCAACAAAGTGAGATACCCACCTCTACAAAAAATTTAAAAAACTAGCCAGGCACAGTGATGTGTGCCTGCGGTCCTAGCTACTTGGGAGGCTGACGCAGGAGAACCGCTTGAGCCCAGGAATTCAAGGCTGCAGTGAGCTTTGATTGTGCCACTGCACTCCAGCCTGGGAGACAGAGCAAGATCTTGTCTCACAAAAAAAAGAAAAAAGAAAGAAAAAGAAAAGTAGTGAATCATGCAATAAGTTGTTTAATGAACATGCCCCTGCCAGCCACAGACTCCACAAGGGCAGGGACTGAGTTGCTATTCCCCAGCTTTGGGCCTGGTTCAGGACTGGAGCTCCAGACATTTGTTGCATAATGAGCAAATCAATCTTCCCTCTGCCCTCCTCTGCACATTACACCCCAGCCCATAAGGAGCAATGTGCTACACCCCCCAAAATCCAAGCTGTCTAACTGCTCCCACAGTTCCCTCAACTTGGAGGATCTCCTCTCTCTCAAGATTCAGCTCACAAGCCCTCCTCCGTGAAGCCTGCCCTGCTTGCTCCGTCCTCTGTGCCCCTCCTGTGCACGGCTATAGTCCCCTCTAGCTCACATCCTGGTTTAGACACCTACCTCCCTGCTAGCCTGGGAGCAGCCAGAGGATAGGCTAGTATCTGATTCTGTCTCCTCTGGGCCTAAGAGCATGCCGAGCGACCTCATGTGTGTCCATATGCGGCCTGTGTTGTGCTCACTGGCATAGATTCCCCTTTCCACCTTCCCTTCCAGAGAGTAACAATATAATAGTTCACAACAAGTGCTAAGGCTTTTCCCACCTAGAACACCTGTATCAGGTCTGCCCTGAAAAGAAAGCTGAGATACAGCCAACAGACACCGACTCTCCACACAAGTACTGGCGTCCACAGCTCCACGTCTGCAGTGGCCAAAGGGCATGAACCTGTCCCTAGTTCACAGTTCCTGCTGCATACGCAAGGCATGAGAAACAGGTGCTGGTGCCAACTTAAAACCATCTCATCAGGAGGGACAGCATCATGATAAACAGCTAATGCATGCAGGGCTTAATACCTAGGTGATGGGTTGATAGGTGCAGCAAACCACCATGGCACATATTTACCTTGTAACAAACCTGCACATCCTGCACATGTATCCTGGAACTTAAAATTAAAAAAAGAAAAAAAAACACATCTCACCAAGCTCACCAAGGGGTTGGGGGGGCAGTGGGGGGATGGAGGTCTTAGTGGGAATGGAAGCAATAAAAAGACAACTCTGTCTGCCAAGCACACATAGGAACACTCTAAAACAGCAAATGGCCTTTGATCAGCCCCGCCTGAGTCAAGCAAGGCTTTTAAATTCAGATAGTACCAGGCGTGGGTTCCAAAACCTAATGTGGGTCTCCGTGTCCCTTGGGGATTGGTCCTCCTCTTGTCCCTCCTCCCCTTTCCTGCAGTGAAGTAGTTAAGATGTCAAGCAAGGGGAAACCCCAGTCCCCATCTCCTCGAAGCTGGGTGGTGCAGAGCACTTCATCAGCTAAGTCCCAGACCATGCATTGTGGGCAGGCCTTGCCTCTTTCGCCGCAATTCTCCCTCTATGGGAAACTGTTCAAATCAGAATGTCAATCTATGGAGCTCAAATGTTTTCTTTCTTTTTCTCTCTTTTTGAGAGACAGGGTCTTGCTCTGTTGCCCAGGCTGGAGTACAGTGGTGTGATCATAGCTCACTGCAGCCTCAACCTCCTTGGCTCGAGAGATCCTCCCACTTCAACCTCCTGAGTAGCTGGGACTACAGGCATATACCACCTCACTTGGCTAATTTTTGTATTTTTTGTAGAGAGGGTTCTCACTGTGTTGCCCAGGCTGGTCTCCAACTCCTGGCCTCAATCAGTCCTCCCACCTCTACCTCCTAGAGTGTAGGCGTGAGCCACTGCATCCAGCCTCAAATGTTTTCTCAATGTGGTCCCATCTAGTCCGCATCTTGGCTCAACTCTCAGAAACCTTTGGTCAAATCACTATGGAGCTGTTAATAGTAAAAGTAGCCCCCAGGAATAATGTGCTAGCCACCTCCCAGGCGGTGTACTTTACGAACACTGTCTCCTGTAAACATTACAACAATCCTGTCAGGTAGATGCTCATATGGTATTATCCCATTTTACATATCAGGAAATTGAGGACTAACAAAGTTAAGTGAACTCCCCAAGGTCAAGCAGCTAGGAAACTATTATGCCAGAAAGAAACCCTAAGACTGTCTGCCTCCTAAGCCTCTTCTCTTAAGCCCTAATCAGCACTGCTTCCCACCACATGCCTTCATTCTTCCCGTCTACAGATGGGGAAATCGAAACATGGAGCTGCAAGGCAAAGTGCCTGAGGTCATGTTCAGCACATCAGCATTGGGCTAAGAGACCAAGAGACAGAAGTCAAGTCTCTCCTGCTAGGACTGGAACTTTCACACCCATGGTCTGCCATACTCCCTCACGACCCAAACCACCCTGTCAAAAAGAAAACCAGCCCGGGTGCGGTGGCTCATGCCTATAATCCCAGCACTTTGGGAGGCTGAGGCAGGCAGATCACTTGAGGTCAGGAGTTCGAGACCAGCCTGGCCAACGTGGCGTAACTCCGCCTCTATTAAAAATACAAAAAAATTAGCTGGGTGTGGTGGCGGGTACCTGTAAACCCAGCTACTTGGGAGACTGAGGCAAGAGAATCACTTGAACCCAGGAGGCGGAGGCTGCAGTGAGCCCAGATCCTGCTACTGCACTCCAGCCTGGGCGAGACAGCAGAATTTTGTCTCAAAAAAAAAAAAAAAAAAAAGAAAAGAAAACCAACCCAAACCCCCAGTCCGTAGAAGAAAGGTCCCTAACATGATACAACCCAAGGAGAACAGGTCCCTTCCTCTCCAGGTCTCCTTTCCCCTGACTATGCAGTGGGGCTCACTCACTGTCTCTGGTCTCATCCTTTCTGCCACCGTTCCCCAGGAGACCGAGTCAGCCCTGGGAAAACTTGGGAGCCAGGAAACCTTGAGCCTCGGCACAAAAATGAGGCGCCTCCGTTACCTGGCACTCACCAGGGACTTGCCTCAGAGAAATTCTAGCGTCACCCAATTTGGAAACCAAGGAAATGAGTCATGGCCCTTTTAGGAAGCTAGAGAGATGACCTTTACTTACAAAAAAGGAAACTGAGGCAAACAGCAGCGGCAGCACGCCGGGAAACACAGTAGCTCAGAACCCACACCCACCCAGGCACTCTGGTCTTGTTCCTCCCTCAAGTTCTAAGAGAATGCTTTGCACTTCTTTAGTAATTGTCCCCTCCTCTATCTTTCTCTGCATATTTCTTCCTTTGGCTTTTAAACCCAGAAACTTTCACCAAAAGCAGGCACAAGCAAAAAGGAGCCACATTCGTGACAACAGTTGAAGCTACCTCATCAAGCAACTGAGGTCTAAACTGGCTCCTAATTAATATTAACCCTCCAAATCAGAGTCATGCTCAGAAAACCTTGGATGAAGAGACGCCAGGCGGGAGGGGAGTCTCCAATTTTCTTTTTACTTCATCTGGAAAATTAAGAGCACTGCTGATTTGAACAAGAAATCATCAAGGAAAGCAATCACAACTCCACACGGCCCATAACTCGATGGACTTGGATGTGTAACCTGCCACTTTCATGTGCTGAAATTAAAATGATTGTGGCAAGAATAGCAATGATGACATGGGTTTGTCCCTCCTCCTTCAGCCTTAGAAAACATAAAAACCCCTACAGAATCTTCTGAAGGAGGTCAGGTAAAAGATCTTCCTTCTTTGTCAAAATAAACCAGTAGAAAACTGGTCCAAGACTGTGCTAAACAGCCCTTCCCAAAGAGATGCTCCCCCAAGACTCTTTCTCTCCAAGGATAATGAATTTGAGGGAGGGGAGGGAGACAGTGAGCACAGAGAACTGAAGGAGGGAGGGGGTCCTGAAGACCCTCCACTCCAAACTCAAACACTTACTTGCTGTTTCTGCATTAATTACAATAAACTGCTTCATAGCCTAGTGATCACTTAATGGAGCAGCAAATATGGCTTTTTCCCTATAATTAGTCAATGTAATCTACTGCTATTTCCCTCCTCCTGGCCACCCCTTCTCTCCTTCCCTTTCCGTCCTCTACACACTAACATTCACACGCACTCCATCCCCTGTCCAGGATCCACTTATAATCATGATCTTGTTCCCCGTTCCCAGCAATACCTGGTAAATTCCACCCAGTGGACATGAAGTGAAAGGGACCCACATACAGGGGATGCCCCAAGGGGTCTGGGGGCTTTCCCAGCCCCGACAATAGGTCTGAGCGTCAGCATCTCCCAGGCCAATGGCTGGGAACTGTGTTCATTTCCTGAGCTCTACCAATCTTCTTCCCACTCACAGGACAGGGCTCATGGGTTTGTAGATCAAAACCTACTATTCCATATCCCCAAGCAAAAGTTTCTATGAAAAAGTAACCCTTGCCCTCAATCCCAAGGTTCTCCCTCGCTCCCTCCTAGCTGGGGCTCTTTCATGTCTCTGAAGTTACTCTCTCCTCTTGGACCATCCAGCCCTGTGCTCCCAGTTCCTACCAAGTGTCAAAGGAACAAAGGCATCTTCAAAGGCTGGGGACACCATCTAAGGTTCCTAACTGAAATGATTTCCCTGCCCTTGAAAATGTGGCTTTTGTGAAATGAAGTTGCTAAAACAGCCCTTTGGCATGTGGATTAAGGATGACAACACCCTCTTTTATGGCCTGCTTTTCTCTACTCAGACCTCTAAGGACTTATCAACTAACTTCAGATACTCTCATCACCAGCAAGAACAGAACACTTTGTATCTTTCCCATGTTCGAGATGGCTTTAAAATTTTTCTTTTGTTGTTTATGGAGAAAAGAATTCACATTTTCTCAGTATTCATCATACACCTGGTGCCTTATTTATACTGGCTCATTTAATCCCCACAACCCTACTATTCCCCTTTTTTTAAGTACAGAATTGAAACCCAGAAAGGCTGGAACACCTTCCTAAAGTCACAGAGTTAGTGGCAGTTATCAAGTTTCAAACTAGGTCCCTCTGAGTCCAAAGCCCGTGCTGCCAACAAACCACACACTTCGTTATGGCACATGAATTTGTCTGAATCCAAATTACACTGCAATTCTACCCGTGTCACATACATTTATATGCATAAACGCACAACCACGTGTGTGTGTCTTCTTTTGTATTTCTCAAACATTACTTAAGGAAAAATACGTAAGGCAGAAGACAGCAGTACTTAGCGTTCTCCAACTACTACGTAAGGCAGGCACGGAGCACTTACCCAAACCTGCCACAGGACGTGCTCCTTTCTAACAACCCCACAACTCACACACCCATACACTTCCTTATGTTGCAGACACCATTCTAAACACTTTATTATGTTAAGTCCCATAATCCTTATGACAACCCCATGAAGGTGATACCATCATCATCTCCATTGTACAGATGACAAAACAAAGGCACAGAATATTTAGATAGCTTGCTCAAGGTCACACAGCTGCAGTGGCAGAGCAAGGATTCAAAGTCTGGTTCCAGAGTCCATGCTCTTAAACGCTCAGCTAGAACACCTGGAGAGAAAGTAATAAAAATAACGACAGTAAAAATAACATTTTACTTCAATGTGTAAAATGCAGGGTGATGGGGGGTGAGTAGGATCCAGCCTCTATTTGCAGTTTTGTTTTCCCATATTCTCAGGCCCCGGCCTATGTGGCATCACGTCATTCACAAGCTGGTTTCATGATTTCTCTATTGTGAACGAATTCTTCTATTGAATCTCTCCTGTCAATATCTGAGACAAGGCCCAGAAGGCCCCAGGAGCAGGTCTCTAGGAAGCTTTTTAGAGCCCCACACTGGGGTAGATGTTTGAGGATGCTTGAGTTCAAACTCTCAGAGCAGTTCCCCCGCTCTGACACTTGGGGGTTTTGTCTGGATAGCCCTGAAAAAAACAGTTATTTCCCATGAACACAATCAGTCCTTCTCTTGGGATGCCCAGGGGGTCTGATCATCCTCACTCCACCGTCTCTTTATAGCTTGGGGAAAGACCCAGGTGACTGTTTCCACGGCACCTTCTACTCTAATCCACTGGGGTCATGCTGCAGAGGGGCCGCTTGGAGGGCTAATGCTGTGAATGCACAGGCTTTGAGCAAACAGGATGACGTGGCAATAAAGGCAATCACAACATGCTAAGGCGATGGCCTGCCAAACGCAAACTGCCCAGGCAGGACTTGTGCTCAAAAGAACTTTAATTGAATTCTTTCAGCAAGTGCAGCAGAAAAATTCATAATGAGGTCCCCCCCCCCACCCACATCCCCACTATGTCAGTCTGTTCTGCAGTTGTGTGAATCCAGTAAAAGAAAAAAAAAAAAAAAAATCATTTTTAACAAGAATATGGGACGTGTATGGACATTAACCTGAACATCGTGTACTGCAGGGAAAAACAATGATCAAATCCAAGGATTTTTATTTTCAAAGCAATTTAAGTAAAGCATTCTGCCATAATCAGCTTTACTACCCCTATTAGTACAGGAAAACAAGTTCTGAACCTGGCTCCCTAGTGAAAAAATGCAAAATTTGTATAATTAAAATTATACTTGTGAAATTCAAACACACTCTAATTTCCTAAGGGCCCCCTAATCAAGTCAGAAGTTCTTACTAAAACCAATTATCTTCTTTGGAAAACAGAAGAGGAAACATATACATGTAGCAATCTCGTGGAGATTCACAACCCAATTCTCTCCTAGGTGCAAGCATCCTAATTTGATCCTTTTTCCCCAGGTAGAAGACATGATGAATCCACTAGTTAGTTTTTATTAAGTAGTATATCTGAAAGTTGAAACATTTTTTGCTTGTTTGCCTCTAGCTACAAAAAGGACACATTTGAGAGATATCCCAGAGGGAACTGAGTTGAAAGGGATTTAAAAAATAGAGTGTATCAGTAAATACACACTGTGTTTCCACCCACTCCACTATACACCAGGCCCTATCTGGCTATTTTTCTTAAGATGTCGCAGCAGTTTTTCAGAACACTCGCCCAGTACTGTTTAGAATGGTCACTCTAATGCCATGGCGAGGAATGGGATGAAAATACGAGCTTCCTTTCTGAAACTAGTTCGCAACTGAGCCAGGTACTCTCGAGCTCCTATCCAGGAAATCAGCAAGACCTAGGTTTCTCACCTTCTTCTACCCCCAAGGTTGCAGCTTTTCTTGTTCTTGAGTGAGTGGAAATTCTTGCACAAGAGCAACATGGAAATACGGATTACTTTCCAAGACACTGAAATATTTAAGAAGCAGTTGTTGCCATGTTTAATTATGCCACCAATATGAAGTGTTATCGATCTAGGGCCTTTGGAGGGGCGGGATCTGTACACCAACAGGTTTTCTTTTCCCCTCTCCCTGGAATTCATTTCAGAAATGAGAATATTGACTTTTCACACTCTTGGTTTGGTGTTCCAACAGTGCCCAGCTCTGTGATGTTGGCCTGACACGCCGCCCAGCCAGGCTCCGGCAGGTATCCAGAAAGTAAAAACAAAATGCCGCTAAGTTGAAAACTTTACTTTTCAGCAGGTGGGAATAAAGGACAAAACTCAACATTCACGGCCTCTTTAGGGTGGAGAACACCACAGTAAACCAAACAGGGTTTGTTGTTAAAAATTCCATCTGAAGACTTAGGAAACACAACGTGTGCATGCACAAACACACACAGGCGCCCATGCAAGCATGCAGAAGGAAACACTCAGCTGAGAGCAAGTCATGGGAACTGCTACTTGGCTGGTTCCTTGCCTCCCTCCCACCAGAGCGGTCACCTCATTAATGTCACTCAGCATCACATTTTGCTACACTAGGTCTTTCTGCACTCTGTTCCCCTAGGCGGCCCAAAAGCCCGCTTCCATTGTAAACTTCTGTGCTTTAGGAAACTATCAAAAGCTTTGATGGCAGAAAAGAAAAAAACTTTTATAGCGCCTCCCTCCTCACTCTTTCCCCTCCTTCAGTTTCTTTTCTTTGGTGCTTTATTCAACATCACTACACACACAAATCATGGTCTGAAAGTCGTTTACAATATGTCAGCTTAAAAAAAAAAAAAAAAAAAAAAAGATTGCAGTGGCCCGTCTATTTTGCAATTGCCAAAAGAGAATAATTCATTTCGGTGGAGGGTATGGATGAAGCCCTGAATACATTCCTACACCATTTTCTGCCCTTCAAAACAATAAAAATGTAAAAACCCAGATGAAGGAAGGCCCAAGGTGGCAGGAACGAGAATCTCTTGACCCCCAAGGAATTTATTCTCCTAGATCTTCTGAAGCACTCTCTCCCCAGAATGCATCATCAAGACCATTTTATTAGATTTTTCTAAACCCTTGAAATTGTCACATAATTGAAACAGAAACAGCAATTTAGAGCTCTTGAATGGATTTCTTAAAAAGAAGACTCTGTGCTTGCCCGACACCCCCGCTCCTTGGCTGCTCATACCCCTAACCTAAATTTAAGGTCCTTGCACACAAAACCCTATTTATTTTATAAATCCTCCCCTGCCATAAAAGTTACACATTCTCCTAATGCCTTAGATTTCAGGACGTTTGAGAGAAACTCATCCCAGACAACAGGCTAAAAAAAGAATCCATTAGCATTAACTTGCCTGTCACAGCCAGTGACAAATAAATGAATGTGATGCTTTCAGATCAGTCATTGGTAGAGCTACCCCCGGGCAGATAAAGACCAGTACAGGGAGAGAGAAGACTCATGGGGAGACCTCTCACACAGCAGTGTCTCAGCTGTTCCCTAGCTGCTCCCCGGGACTTTACTCTCAGAGGCAGCAAAAACACAGGCATCAGATACGGAAAAGGAAATGAATTCCTAATGCCCATCAAGCATCCCCAAGATAAAGGCTGCATGCTATCTCGCCTCGAGAGCCAGGACCTCATGAGCAGGCCAAGCCACTGACACAGAATTTTCCAATCTCAATGTGCTGTTCTATCCCTCACCCTAGAAAGGAGCAACAGTGCTAATCAACCCACGAGCTGCTCGGTTATAAGGTCCCCTGATGATGGGGGCAGGGACATTTTTCGGGGACAGTAACAGATGATGAATGCTTATACTGTACCCACAACATGCAGCTATCACCCTAGGCCATTCATATGCAGTAGCTCAGTCCATCTTACCCTTAGCAATTCTACAATGGAGGGACGGTTGCTATCCCATTTAACAGGTACAAGTGGAGGTGCAAAACCACTAAGTGACTTGTCTAAAATGCCATAGCTGGTAAGTGGCACTTACCTATGCTAAACAAGCTCTCAGAAAACAGGTAACAAAAATTAACCTGAAGCTTTCCAGCTAGACTATCACAAATTCTATTCCTCAGCCTGAGCATTTTATAGCCATCAGGCAAAGTGGCAACCTCAACTCTGCCCACTCATGTTGGATGCAGCAAGGCTTAGCAGAGAGGAGAACAAAGCCTTGGGATTCAGAGAGACTTTGGTCCAAAGGCCAACCCTGAACCTTACTAGTTCTATGGTTCTAGAAAGCTGTCTGCCCTCTCAGGCCCCAGTTTACCCACTGTCAAACGGAGATAATACCAACTATTTCAAAGGATTGTTGTAAGGATTAAAGAAGACTAAGTGTATAGTCTCGGTACTATGCCTATAACATATAAACTCACAATAAATGACAGTCATTATTCTGAATTAGGATTTTTCTTTTTAACTATTCAAAATCTCACAGCTAAAATAAAGCAAGATAGCAGCCAGGCATCCACCCTAAGGCTAACATTCCAGATGGTTGGAAGCCTGGTGCTATCTTCAAAAGAAGGGAGAATGGAAAATATCTTATCCTACTCTGGACCCAGTGGGACAACTGTCCCAGCTGGACCGACCAAGTGAGGCTGCTGCTACAACATACCACAGGGTGCTCAGCCCCAAGACCACACCTGCGCACTTCACACCACACGGAAAGCAGAGATCATGATTCCAAAAATGCATATTCTTCACCAAGCAGACACTCAGCCAAAGGCGACCCCAAGCAGATACCATCTATGAAGTCACAGGTCAGACTGCTCTGAGCCACGGGACACACACTGGGGTTATACAGGCAATCTGTGATGTCCACATTGAGAAATGACATCTCACTGTCTACACATGGTGAGGTCACGATCACGGCTTAAACAAGGACAAAGTACAGGACTTTGGAATTGTATCTATATCATGGTCCCTTGTTAAGGAGGAAAAGAGGAGAGAACAGAAGGTAGAAACAAGAGAATGAGAGAGCTCTTTGTAAGCAGCCACACACCCCAAAGGTAGAGGTGGCATCTGCTAAGAGCATCACTCCTGAAGAAGAAGAGTCTATGGCAAGAGAGACTCTGGCCAGAGAGAACATAGCCTGCATTAAGCTTAAGCCACAAGCCCAGGTTGGAAGTTCTCCAGGCAACAGCATCCGCCATGGTCCTATCAGTGACCCCAGCTTCTATATGGGTCTGAATGAGCTCAGAACATTCCACAGGGCATCCCCATACACCCGCACAGACACACAACAGGTTCCCCACAGCACCTGTCAGTTTGCCTTATTGGGCCCTTGAGGCCTTCTACAAACTGGCTCCAACCTACTTTGCAAGCCTCATGCCAGGCCACTCTGCAGCACATACCCTTTGCAACACCTGCACACCCTGACCTTTCCTAGTGCCTAGCCGGAAGGAAGAACAGCATTCCTGCCATTATTCCTTCCTATCTGATCTTCAAGACCTGGGGCAAAGACCACCTCTTCCTAGAAGCTTAGATTGCCCTTCCTCAAAATGCTGTTCCTACCTCTTCTACTGTGCTTATCCCACCCTTTCCAGTATCACAGGTCACCCCCTCCTCCCAACCTGGAGCTAATGATGTTCTTAAAGACAAGAACTGTGTTTCTTCTGGCATTTTTCATTCGCTCTACCTAAATGGAAGTCCACGATGTACAAAAGTGCAGAAGTAAGGGCTAAGGATGGGGTGTTTTTTGTTTGTTTGTTTGTTTGTTTGTTTGAGATGGAGTCTCGCTCTGTTACCTAGGCTGGAGTGCAGTGGCGCAATCTCGGCTCACTGCAACCTCCGCCTCCCAGATTCAAGCAATTCTCTGCCTCAGCCTCCCGAGTAGCTGGGATTACAGGTGCCCGCCACCATGCCTGGCTAATTTTTGTATTTTTAGTAGAGACGGGGTTTCACCATCTTGGCCAGGCTGATCTTGAACTCCTGACCTCGTGACCCACCCGCCTCGGCCTCCCAAAGTGTTGGGATTACAGGCATGAGCCACCGCACCTGGCTGGGTTTTTTTTTTTTTTAATTATTAGTAAAATATGCTTGTGTCCAATGGAGAAGATAAGGCATGAACCTAAATACCATAAAACTCAGAACAAAGTACCTAACGCAATCCCCGGTGCTGAGCAGAAACTTGGTAAATAATTTCTGAACTACTGAAAGTGGCAACTGACTGTACCATAGATATGGTCCACCCCACTCCCGCCATCGCTCCTCCCTGGCTTTGGTGATCACACCTGAGAGCATGTCATAAACTTATCTGTTTGCTCACTGCTTATTTGCCCCACTAGAGCAAAAGTTTGGTGACAGCAGGAACTTTGTCATATTCTCCACACTATCCCCCGAATTTTGCACAGTATCTGGCAAACGGTCGGTGCTTGTTTGGTGAATAAATGAATGAGTGAATGTCTAGCACAACATGCAACAGATGTATGTGCTCCACAAGTTTCTGCTAATTTATTATTGTTGGAAGGGGCTTAACCAAAGAAAAGGTAAGTGCTGTGGAAATCCAAAGAAGTATGACTGTTTCCACAAAGGGGCAGGGACAGCTTCGTGGAAAAGATAATGATGAAGCTGGGCTTTCAAAGAGGGTCTGTTGTGTACAGAGAAGGGAAGGGCAGTGCAGAGAGGGAAATCTGCAAAAGGACAGGTTTCTCAAAGAAGGGTGAGCATTCAGTTTCAAGGCAGCAAAAACTAGAAGAATTGAGAGATAAGGTGGAAAAGACCCTGGTACAGATTTTGAAGGACCTTAATTAAGCACCAAGCTAAGACGTCGAGACTGTGTTCCATGCACATCAGGAAGCACCGAGTATTTCCTGAATCCCTCCAAAAGTGGGTGCACGCATACAGTTGGCAATGAACAAGGATTAACCCAGCTCTTGTTAAATGAACACACTAGATCAAACGGGAAGAGAGAGATGATGAACTACATCTCCCCTGTGTGTTCTCGGGGTTTTCGGCCGAAGATTGTCCGGGTTTAAAAATACAAAATAGGACACAAAGAATGGACGCTGCCCCAAGCGGCACCTGAGATGGTCAGCTGGTTCCTCCGAGACTGCCTTCTCCTCCCTTCCCGGGCAGCAGAGGAGGCTCACCTGTCTGCCAAAAATCATCTGACAAAGAACACAGGAGCTTCATAGTCCTAGGAGACTGACCTCAACAATGAAACGAAAGCATGTGAGGAACGGCAAAATCCAGGGAAAGGACATTTGTAGGACAAGGTGCCCCTCCTCCTTAAGCTGACACCTGCTACTGACTTGGAACATAGGAAGGAGCGGTGCTCACCGACAAGAAAGAAGCTAAGCCACTAATCCTCCCAGGTCCTCGCTGCTGTGGAAAAGGGCTGCAGACACACCACCACATCCTCGCTGGGAACGAGAAAACCCACTGGCAGGCCAGTTCATGGTGGCTGCCGAGATGACAGCTGCAGATCATCCAAGATGGCAAGATGCTAGAATGACCCGACCCACAGCAGCAAGGGAAGGCCAGATGCCGAAAACTCACCCTTCGCCCTTGAGAAGCTGCCAAGAAACCACTCCCCCAGAACAGGAGGTGTGCGTGTACACGCTCGGGCTGCCATTGCACCCATCTGGATGCGTGCTTAGCAGAGAACCTTCCAGGGCCCTGAAGCCACGTCAGAGGACAAGACAGGAACAGGAAAACCTGACTGCTAGCTCAGCCCTGCTACAACCTAAGTGTGGATCTGAAGCAACCAACGTAACTTTACTGGGTAGCAGCTACCTCCACGGTGAAAAAAGCAGGCTGGACTCAGTTCGTTCATTTAGTTACCAAACAGCAGCCACCAACAGTTCCCTGCCCTCAGGGAGCTTACATTCCAATTAAGATTTTCCTTCAGTCATTTCACCATTGTACTTTTTTTTATTCTATTAAAATAATTATCTGGTCGGGCACGGTGGCTCATGCCTGTAATCCCAGCACTTTGGGAGGCCAAGGCAGGTGGATCACCTGAGGTCAGGAGTTCAAGACCAGCCTGGCCAACATGGTGAAACCCCATTTCTACAAAAATACAAAAATTAGCCAGGCATGATGGCAGGTGCCTGTAATCCCAGCTAGTCGGGAGGCTGAGGCGGGAGAATTGCTTGAACCCGGGAGGCGGAGGTTGCAGTGAGCCAAGATCTCACCACTGCACTCCAGCCTGGGCGACAGAGTGAGGCTCCGTCTTAAAAATAATAATAATAAAAATAATAATTCTATAATAATAAGATCAACAGACATTTGCGGAGTGCTGTTTTATGCCAGACTCCCAGTGAAGAATTTTGCATTTATCCTCCAAACAACTAACTGCAGGCAGTGAGTACTATAATTCTCCCTCTTTTACAAAGGAGGAAACTGAGCCTTGGGGAGGCTTAAGTGACTCGCCCCTGGCCACCCCGCTGTGACTGAAGGCAACTAGAAATAGGTTAAAGAAGTGAGATCTCCCTGCATCAACAGATGAGGTTCTGGCCTCTAAAAGTTAAGGAAGGAAATGGCAATTGGGAAAAGATGGGAATGTTTTCTTATACACAAGGATAATTAAGACAGATGGTGAGTACACCCAGACCTCGCTCTTGCTGAAAGATGCTAAAGAGTCTCTTGGTTCCTCCACATAGAAGAAAATAACCCACGAGCTCAAGCAAAACTCTTCCAGACAGCCAACACTCCAGTCCAAAGGGAGCAAAGAACAGGGAGTGATGGATCCCCATCATCCTCATGTCTCCAAAGCCTTCAAATTAAGTCATCTTTTTAGAAGAGCATGACCATTTTAATTTTTAAAAAGATAAGGGGCTGGGGGGGAACTCTTACATATTTTACAAAATGAAATAATCATCCAGAGAAATACGAAGATATAGAATGAACCAGTCTTCTTGCCCTGATCAAAATATACCTCACTAATTAACAGCCTCTAGTCTCCGAAGCGTCTCCCCACTCTACTTCACTTGAGATGTGAACATTTACATCGCAAAGGGGGATACATAAACTGTAGGATTCAAAACCTTCCTTTGGTGACTTATTAAAATTCTGGTCTAAACAGATTTTTATTTATATGATACATTAGAGAATATTATGACAGTACTAATATGAAATCTGTTCTTCACTGCCATGGATTTTCTTTCTTTTTAAGTTACCATTTCTTTCCACTAGTCTTGTTTTAACACCTCCACGGAATATTTCTCTGGCGAGCGTTAGCAAGGAGGGACAGCCAGAAAGCAGAGAAACTCATTTTAACTGAAACACACACTGACATATCATTTACAAGCTCCTCGCCCATCCCACGAGGAGGGGCAGGGTTCCCTCTGCCACTGTGACCTGAACACAAAAACACAGAAGTTTTATTGAAGGGAGATAATCGATAAATAAATCAGGGTCGACTTAAAGTTCTATGCTCCTGGGTTTTGGCCCCCAGCGCTAACTCCAGTCTGAAATCCCGGTGGCCAGGCTCAAATTCTATTGGAAAATAACCGTAGACAGGGAAGACACTTTCTCCCCACCCTGTCCCAATTCCCAACCACCATACAACCTTGGCATTTACTCTGTTGCCTCACTGGGGTTGAGTAACTCCAGAACCATCTGAAAAGATGGCCTGAGGGGTCAGATCAAAAGATACAAGACAGTGTCACACACTGGTATAACATGATGGGGCAAGGCAAATCACCTAGGCCCAGGAACGCAGAACTTCAAAGTACTGGGCCTCTGGCTATGGTTCCCTCAGCACAGCCCGCTGACCTCTCCGAGCCCATCTCCTGTCGCATAGCAGAGGGGCCATCCCCTGAGGTACCCCCACAGCATGGCACAGTGGTGAAGGGCCCAGTTCTACAGCCAGGTTGCCTGGGTATGGCTCCTGGACATCCATCTGTGCCTCCGTTTCCTCATTTACAAAATGAGCTCATACTAGTACTCTCCTCATAGGGCTGCATGAGAATTAAATGGATTAATAAAGTCTCTGCAATAGTGCCTGGCATATAAATTCAACTAGTATCATTATTATTACTCAACCTCTCACAGGATTGATGTGAGGACTTAATAAAAATGGCAGAAAAAAATAGCAGGTTGGCCAGGCACAGTGGCTCACGCCTATAATCCCAGCACTCTGGGGGGCAGAGGTGGGAGGATAGCTTGGCCCAGGAGTTTAAGACCAGCCTGGGCAACACAGTGAGATCCCATCTCAAAAATAAATAAATAAATAAATAAGATAGCAGGTTAACGCTTCTATGGCATTACCATGCAACGTCTTTTTTTTTTCAGTCCCTTTACCTTTATTAATTTACGTAATCTGCAGAAAAACTCTATGAGATGGAAAAACGAAGGTTCAAGGAAGTTAAACGACCTGTTCAAATTCACACAGCTAAGGAGTGGCACCACCAGCATCCGAACCCAGGCTGTCCCACTTGCAAACAACAACCGGAACAATGATGAGAAAACCGACAAGAAAAATAATGACAATGACGAAGACCTTTGTCGCAGACCATGCTCTTTTACTCTACACAAAAACCTTCTGGGAGAGCTATGTCATCACTCCTACTTTACAGATGAGCACACTGAGACTGAGAGAAGGTTAGGGACAACAGCCAAATGCCCCAGGAGATGGAATTCAGATGGAGATAATGAACAGCCAAGTCCTCCGTAAAGTGAAGTATGTCATACACAGTAAGGTGTTATTATTAAATCCCTAGAATTCATGGAAAGATGTTCTCCCCCAAGTGGTTTCATGTTAATTCACCTACAAACATTCCAGATGTGGAGTTGAGGGTTGGGAAAGGAATGCACACTTTGACAAGTTTGAGAAACATTCTGTCTCGTTTTCAAGTTGAATGCATCACTGCAGAGTGTATTAAAGTGAAATATTGCTTTTCTCATTTAAAAACAAAGTTAAGGAAGGGGGACAACAAAGGGGAGAGAAAAACAGGTCAAACCCATGGTTTTACCAAGTAAGGGATTTTTCCAGCTTCCCTCTTGGGTAATCTGATCCAAGCTCTGAGTGATCAAATGACTAACCTGGAAATTTGAAGATTCACACTTATGGAAGAAACAGCAATTCCTCCAAACCCAGGAAATACTGCTAACTCTGGGAAGCCCTCTGAAATGTGAAGGATCACAGACAGTTTGGGAAGTAACTAAAACAATAAGGGCAATTCCAAAGTTTGTGCTAAGTACAAAAATAACCTAATCATTAATTCCTATCATTTGCTTAAGCATTACAAAAAAATGCCTGAAGAAAATATTTCATTGTATTTACTTAAAAAGTTGTGTTTCCATCTTTAAAAAAGGGAGAAGAGAACAAGGAGGGAGGGAGAGAAAGAAGGAGGGAAGGAAGGAATCAATCAATCAAGTGGTATGCCCCAGACCTGAAATTCTCAAAGTACCATCACAATCACCAACTTTTTCTATACTAATGTGCAAAACCATTCCTCTCTTTACACGATTAAAAGGTTCCACTTCTGGGAGACTGTGCATAAAGAAATAAACTGAATTTGCTAAAGCCACAACCTTTTCCGACTTAGAAGCTTCAACTTTTCCCCTTTCCCTAAAAGAATGACAAATCCCGAAGATACATAAAAAGCATTTCTTCCAGTGCTACATAAGGAAGAAAAATAGTAACTAAAAAGTGTAAATGTAACATGTAAGCCATAAGCCCTTCCAATTTAACCTTAGGCTTCAAGCAACTGTGTTCTCATAGCCACACCTGGCAAGCTCAGTGAAAACTATGTTAACGACACACTTCTAAAAAAGTGAAGCCCTATCTCAATTCTTTAAGCAAGTCTTGTAGTGCCACTCCTACAAGGTTACAACATTTTCAGGACTTCTCCACCCAGGCACCAGCACTTGCACAAATAAGAAGCACTGTTGGTTTCAAGTATGCCCTGACTTATCCAACCAACCTAAAACCAAGATATCCACTGCTTGCCCTCCCAGATTTAAGGCTTTATGGGCCTAAGAAGTTGTCTTTTCCAAGAAAGGATCAGCTGTTTAGTCAAACTCTACTCCTCTGCATTAACTCCAAGTTGTAAAGCCTCAAAGAGTACCCTCCGAAAGAGTCACAAGGAAATGTTCGACTTTTCCTGATATGATATTGGAAATGCTTAAAAAACAAATAGAATCCTTGCAAAAAATACTGCAGTCGATGGAAACACGTCCTCCCACTAAGCATCAGACTTGTCCCTGCCCCCAGGTGGATGTTCAGAAGCCACCTTGGGATGGCTAACTTAGAGACGCATGGTTATCTCACAGGACTACTTGCCCAGCCTGTCCTGATACCCCGAAGGAACAGTGAATACCAGGCTTCAACAGTTCATGGCCAATGCTGTTTGAAATTTGAAATTCTTGGCAATCATCTCTGAGTGCTAAAATCCTACTGTTTATTCTCCTACTTACCTTGGGTTGCGCTCGACGAGGAAATGCAACTTTGGGGTCAATCTGGGAAAAAAAATAGAAAAGCAGGAGTCAATAAAGTACTTTAAGGAAAAAATATATGATTAATCACCTAATTATTAATCACTCATTTCTCAGGCTTATAATCCAGCTTTTAGTAACTTCTCAGGCAACTCAAAAGTTTCTTAAACTTTGATCTCAACTTTAACCATCCCTCCAACAGATCAGGTAACTAACATAGCTAGCTAGCCTTTCTGAAATGACCCACCATGCATTTCAGTGTGTGATGCTCTTAATAAACCAGATCTCATGTAATTCTTATTTAGGCAAGGGCTTCTTCTTCCAGACACTGAATATTAAATGGTATCTACATCTAATTTGCTATGCGTGGCTGGGAGAAAAGATGGGAGCATCATTATCATTGGGAAAAAAATCATAACCTGAAAATTAAATGTAAGTATTCTCTAGCAGTAGGTAATTGGATGGTATTTCTTCTCCCTGATGATAACTAAACAACACAGGAGGGAAAGGAGCTTCCAAAAATTTTTTAAATCAACAACATCCAAAAACTCCCCACAGACATCCAACACAGTGCTCTGCTTGAGTTAATTAATTCATTTTAGCAAAAGTAAAGTTACCCAGGATTAACCAAAAAGATCATCTGTTCTGTAGCTATACCTCAAAAGATAAAAAATAATTTTTTGAAGTAAAGAAAATGAAGCATGTGAGCTAAATCCACCTGGATTTTAAAAACAACAGGGAGTAAAAATCTATAAGCAACCTAAACCCAAATTAGAAAAGAAATCCCATCATGGGGAGGGCACCAAAAAAAAAAAAAAGTTACTGAATACAAGAAGTAGTCAGAATCTAGTGCAACAAGTAGGGAATTCCCCTACCCCAACCTCAATCCGAGTGGAAAAACATCCTCCAGTCCAAATCACACACTTGCAAAACGCATGATGCTCAATCAGGGTCTAGCTGTACAGCTCAGAACAGTTCTCCTGGAAGCATGTGAATCTAACAGGCTGATGTGAGGGAGGAAAAAAGTGACTGCACAGATAAAAAGAGGAGGAAAGAAATGTGAAAATATTCCCGTTGTCGGTTTTCATTGAATTTCTAAATGTCACAAATCTTTGGGTAAAAATGTAACACAGATAGTATAAACATGCTACCAGTTATTTATTTCCAGGCTTTGGCTTTCATATTAAAATGTTTTCCTTTTAAAAAGTAAATCTGAGCTTTGTTTTCACTTCTGCCATGAGAAGGAGCAGGGGAGAAAAGAGTAATGCTGTGGAGGAAAGTAGGGAGGTGGGGGTGGGGAGTGGGAAGCACGGAGGATAGTTCATTTGTTCCCTGACTTACATCACCTAGGGTCCCAGCCAGAAAGACATATGAGGATTTCCTGCTGTTATTACGGGGGCTTAAAGACCTAATAAAAGTCTGCATTGCATTCCCTACCTTTAAACATCACCTGAGAAATGAGAGATTACTTTTCAAAAACTAAAATAGACAAAAATCTCTGATCTAGAAAACTACCCTTTCATAAAGATTAACATTACTGCATCTACAGGTGTGTCCAGCACTGACTAGCGCTTGTCTACAAGAGAAATACAACAGGTGTGGATTTTCCATTCTGTTGACGTACGTAAGACAGAGGTGTCTTTTTATAAATACTCCCCAGAGGGTGTTTTTTTTAGTTGGCCGGCACACAATTGCAATCAGAAATCACCTTGTTTATGGGGTAACAGGTGTGGGGTATGTTGAGGGAGGTGCCAGGAGCTGGAAGAAGTAAGGTGCAATGAAGAAAGTGAAGTACTAAAGAAAATTTAAATCACAAAACGAAAAAGCCAATTCAGAACTCCTGGATGGTGTGTGGCCGTATCAGAGCATTATATCATGATCGAAGTTCCTCAGTGTGCAAAGTTTACACGCTGAGATCTCTGAAGGAGAGGAAGGGTCAAGTTAAGCATGGCAAATCCCAACCTTTTGCACATCCCTGTCAACTATTTTTTAAAAAACAAACAAAAAAGAAAACTACCAAAAATTAAAACATTAGTTAGTTAGGTACAGCTCTACTTACTGTATCTACAAGTCCTCTAGGAAAAGACTAGGGTACTATTTTGGATGTGAATGGCCGTTACCTAAACAAAGCTTTTAAGGTAACAGTAAACAAGATCCTCGTTTCCATGTCAATAAACCAACCGCTTCTGCCTCCTGCACTGAACGTTGAAACAAAGTCAAAAGCTAGGTTACACTAAATAATAGTGACCAAAACATGTCTATAAACAATCAGAGAGGGAAACTGCAGGCTTTGCACCTGATACAGAGGAATATGACCCACCAGCCACCACAGAAACCAAATACTGTTTCTCCCACCCAGGTAGCAAGAGGGGGTGGATGATAAATTCCCAAATTTGCCTTGAAAAGATTTTCCTCTTTAATTTCACTAGCTTTTTGAAATGGCTAGCCACGAAATCAAGGAGAGAAAAATTTTTCAGACATCTGTTATCATCCTACAAATCATTTCTGAAATTAAATTATCTAAAAGTACAAAAGGCTGGGCTGCATGCAAGCTATGACAAGTCCAGGACAATTAATAAAGCAACTAAGAGTGTAGGTGGGTTTCTTTCTTAGGAGAAGGCACGCATTCCTGATCTCTTTGATCAGAGAAAGAGGGTGAATTTGCAAAATCAATTCAAGTGCACCGAAGGTTGCCAGGTTTCTTTATTTGCTTTCCTTCTCTTCCATTCAATGTTAAAGCCAAAAGGGGCTTGAAAGATCACCTTGGTCCACTTATTTTACAGAAGAGGAAATTGAGACCCAGAGGTAGGGAATGTCTTGCTCACTTTCATAAGAGGCGGATGGAAGTAGAGCCCCATTTCTGGCCTTGTCCCACTACCCCATCACAGAGGAGTGAAGTTCCATGCAACCCAGCACTACAGCCCAATGTCATCTTAAGGCCTCTGTTTGGGGCAGATATATATTAATAAAAACCGTGGGGAAACTCTGGTAGACATAAAGGGAAGGGAGGAGAGGCAGGAAGCCCACACAGGGGCTAAATAAAACACTGCACACTCCCCCTCCCATTAAATGTATTGTTATATACAGACACTCTTTCTTCCCTTCCCCTTCTGACCTCTGCCTGGAGACTCTTCCCCCTTCTACTCTGGATTTTTAAAACTTGTGATGTATAAAAGTACCCATACTCAAATGAAAGGATCTGAGAAAGAAAAGGAAGGAAAAAAAAATCACTTTGAAACCCCCAGGCCTTATCAGCCTTAGATTTCATGCCATCTGGAGTCACCCCAGTGGATGCCCAGCTCAGCTCCGCCAGCGTCCCCTTCCCTTCCCAAAGCACATTCCAAATCCCAAGTGCCCCAAGAGAAACCTGTTGCCTGGACCTGTAATTAGCGCCCTCTCCCCTCCTTCCCACTGCTGTCCCCCTTGGCCACAAAGCAGGCTGTGCCTTCTCAAAGCTGATCCCCACAGCCACAGTTGGTAACGCGTGCTGTGCTTGGCTGACAAAGAAAAGTTGCATTTGCTCTCTGGTGGAGTTTCTCTGCACAGTCCCCAGGCCGGGAAGGCAGACTCTCCAGGAGCCGAACCCTCTCCTCCCCAAGCCTAACCTTGGCAGCCTCTGAAGCTGCAATGGGACAGGCTCTAAAAAGAAAACCCCAAAGCCAGCCACAGCAGCAAACTTTTGAGCCAACTCGCTAGCTCAGTTTAAAACTACCCAGTTCTAGCACAGAAGCAAAAGAAGGCACTGTCCCTTTAAATGGGGCTGTCAATGCCCAGATCGTTCCTGAAAAGGGGCGAACAACAACAACAAAAAGCAACCTACCGTCTTGGAATCTAACTCATGGTGGGGCTGACCTAATACTTTATCTACACTTGCTGGGTCTGCGAACGTGACGAAACCGAAGCCTCTGAAAGGAGACAAAGAGGGAGAAAAACAAACAAGAAAATGTGACACCATTGAAAGCAACCAGGAGTGAGACCTAAGGCTGAATGAGGAGCAAAAGTTGCCCCCCACGCACCCCCACCTCCCACTCCCCTCCTCCAATTCCCCTCCTGCCTACAGCCCTCCACCTCGCAAGAAAAAACATCAAGGTTAACGGGGGAAGTGGAACGGGGGCAGGGAGGGTGGAGGTAACTTGGAAAATGCTGGTGCCTCCACTCTTTGGCCACCTCAGTTTCCTCTCCTCCTCCCCTTCCCTTTCTTAACGCTTTGTTTTATTCCGAAGAAAGCCCGGCACTTAGAAGAGATTTACCACCATCTTTCTAAGAGGGATCTTAAGAGTTTGGGGAGCTGGGAGTGTGGGGGAAACACACATTAAGATCAAAAGAAAAAAAAAAACTATGCGAAAGTAAATGAAGCTGAATGTCATTTTAAACAGAGAAAAAGAAGCGACGGGAAAATGACTTAAAAGCAGAGAGATGGGTATCTCTGTATCCAGAGTTCAGCTCCAATTAACAATAACCTCTGGGGTTACTAGGGGGCGGTGGGGGTGGTATAGAGCGCCGTTCGAGATCAGCCACGCGCCTGAGCCCCATTCTAATCCGCTTAGCTACTTCCGAAGACACCTCCAAAAATAAAACTTAAACTTTGTTCTAAAATAAAGACAAAATCCAGAAGGGAATGGTTTACCTGGAGCGTTTCGTAGTGGGATCTCTCATGACCATACATTCTCTAATTTCTCCAAATTTGCTAAAATAGTCTCTAAGGCTATCTGTAGAGAGAGAAAGAGAGAGATGGGGGGGGGAGAGAAGGTGTGGAAAAAAAAAGCAATGCAAATTTTGATCAAGGACAAAATCCAAAAGTAGTTTTCTGTTGTTATTCTGTTTTGTTTTTGCATTTTTTGCACACGCGGGGGAAATTCGGCAACAGAGGTCGCATAGAGGGCTCAGAAAGGATTTGCTATTTAAAAAAAATAACCTTGCACAGGAGAAGTGGGGAGCCAATGGCGGGGGGGGGGGGGCTCCTACACCGGGATAACAAAGAGCAATAAAGAAGCCAAGAAGGGGGGGACCCAGGCGTCCCCCCCTCCCTCCCTTACCTGGTGAGGTCTGCCAGCTCAGTCCACCGATAAACATTTTACTAGAGGGAGAAAACATAACAGAAGTGAGCACCGATGTCAGATCGGCCATTTTGACGTGTAACTTACAAAAGCTAAAAGGAAAGCGGGGGGGAGCGAGCGAGCGAGAGCCGGGAGGTGGGGTGGGGGAGAAGGTGACGGCGAAATGCAATCCAAAGGTGTGTAACTTCCACGGGGGGGGCGCGCGGGAGAGGCGGGGGGGCGCGGGAGATGCCCGGCTCCGCGCACCGCCGTCCCCGCCGCTGCAAGGAGAGCGAGCCCAAGGCGGCGCGGTGGGCAGCGGCTGGAAACTTACCCGGGGTCGTGCTGGGAGTCGTTGGCGCTGCCCGAGGTGCCTTGGCTCCCATTTGCCTCCATATCTGAGCCCCCCCGCCCCCCCACCCCCAAAAAACCAAGCCCCACAGCGATCGGAGCGGAGCGGCGGCCGGCTCCGAGCCCCGAGATCTCCGCTCCCTCCTCCCCCTCCTCCTCCCCCCCGCCCGGGCTCCTCCGAATCTCTCTGCGAGCGGCGGAGCCGGGGCAGCGGCGAGAGCCGTCACACGTGGGCTCGGCTTAGCTCAGCCCCGCTGCCTCGCACACCCCCCCGTCCCCGCCCCCCCGGCCCATCCCCACCTCTCCCCCTCCTCCTCCCCACCCCCATCTCCTCCTCCTCCTCCCCCTCCTCCCCGGCGCACGTGGGGCGGAGTTCTAGAACGTCGTGTAACCAATGCCGGTGACGTCACGCACCCCCGTGCGGCCCCCGCCTGCCCGCGCGCGCACACTCGGCCCCCCACGGCCGGACCCACAAGGGTGGCGCGCGAACCCCGCGGGCGGAGGGGACCCCGCCTCCGGGCCGGCAGGGCGCAGGGCGAGGGGGAGCGCACCCCGACTTCCCTGGATCACATGGGCTGCGGGGGGCGGGTGGATCGGGGGAGGGGAGGCGCGGGGAGCTTGCTGCGGCTCCTCACCCGGACCTGGGAGAAGACGCCCCCCACCCTCTCTAGTTCGCCCTCTCCATTCAAGTTTGCCGGCCCCTGCCGCCGAGATCCGGGAATGGCACCAGCCGCCCGCCCTCCGCTGTGCCCTGTTTCCAGCCACCGCTCAGAAATTTAGGTCAAGGACGTCGGGAGCAAACCCACACCCTGGCGCTCCTTTGGCGGCCCCCGAGACGCCCCAGGATCGGGGGGCTTCAGGATGGCGGAGACCCTCCTGCACAAACACCAGCCACAAGTTTTATTTTCCTTTTGCGCTGGAAGTTCTCTCTGGCTCTGGCTCCACACCGGCACGTCTTGCGCGGTTCCCCGCCCTTCCCCAGTAGAGGTACCAATCCGTGCCCGGGAAAGGTTATTTTGGAACTTTGAGAAACTGACGCGATTCCAGTGGCGAGAAAGTGCCGAAGAAAGGGTTTCCGCGTTAATCATACAGTGTTTTAAAAATGTAATAAGATAGGTTATAGGAGTCAAGGTCACATGATTGAGGTTCAAAGCAAATGTTTGTATATAACGAGAAGTACTTTTGGGGTGTCTCTGGGATGGATGGGAAGGGTGGTTATTTCAGGAAACCCCTGTGTAATCCGTTCGTTATATATTTTATTTCTCACCCAGCCTTTGTATGCCAGGATAGTAAAGTGCATGATACTGAAATAGCCCAAGACCCCTCACGACCTGCAGAGGTAGCTAGGGTGGCAGAAGGCTTCAGAATCACTCCCACCTTAGCAGCAGTAGTATTGTGCAGCACGGGTTCTGGCATACAGTAGGTGCTTAATAAATGCGGTTTCATACCTTCATGCACTGAAAACTCCAAAAAGACAATGTCTGTAGCCTTCCAAAGGCATCGCATGAAAGTTTCTCCGGCAGATTCCAGACTGCCCAAATTCGGGCTGGTTTCAATTTATGGGGCATTTGAAACAATACGGATACAATTACCCATATTGTTTTAAATCTGTATCGTTTTAAATTGTTGCAATAAACTGAGTTAATATGGCATGAGGGGCAACATAAAGTTGTGGTTCATCAAATACTGAGATTAATGTTAAGCATGAATTGATGCCCAATTAACACTTTTCCATTAATTTTCATAGGATTAGGAGACAAAGGAATACACTCAACACCAAAACTGAACCAAATCCACTGTGGGCTTTGGAAAAATGGAATATTGGGAAAATCTCAACACCAGCCATAGCCTTGAGTGACCAGACCCTCAGTCTCCCTGTTCCCTAAATTGCAGTAATTCCTCCTTGACAGGATTGATGTGGTGAAGGTGAGAGGCTGAAGTGAACCAATGTTGTAAAAGTTCCTTTTTCACTGTAAACCTGAGTCGTGTTTATTATCAATCACTACTCAATATAATCATATTGAGAAGGTGCTCTAAGGCTTTAAACCACAAACCCAAACATTTCCTGTCACTCCAAGCTCCTTCCCAAATCATCTGGGGTCTCATGTGTTGAACAGCCAGTTGTTACAATGATTGTTTATTATGATTGATTATTCTAAACAAAATGCAGACAACAGAGCTAATTGTATTGTGTTTGGGATTTTTACAGTAGAACCACAGGCCATCCTAGGTAGAAAGGCCTTTCCTAATCTAATCCCCTCATTATACATCAGCGTCTCAGAGGTGCCAAACTCACCAGGCTACACCCCACCCCCACCCTCTGACCATCAGTCCAATGCCGTGTGGCCTCTGCTGCCTGCGTGTTTATTCTGTCCCTCACAAGGCGAGAGTTGGGGGCCCTTCCTGTCTGGTATAGACCTCCACAAGCTGACACTTATAGAACTGATTTAAAATCCAGAGAGGGGCTAGAGCTGCGGTTACAAAGTCAGGGCTTAGAAAGAACTGGATTTTAAGTCTCCATTACTACATTGTTTTTACTCATTTATTTTTAATTTATATACGGTAATATTTACTCTTTTTGGTCTGTAATCCTATGAGTTTTGACATATGTATAGAGTCATGTAACCACCACCATAATCAAGATGCAGAACAGTTTCATTGTCCAAAAAAATTCCCTCTTGCTGCCCCTTTGCTCTACATTATTTGTAATAGCTTATTATTATTATTATTATTATTATTATTATTATTTTATGCATTTTTTTTCTCCAGCTCACTCAATGTAGCCCCTGCATCAGGAGAATTCAAGCAGCACAATATCAGTCCTCAACCCTCTGAAAGTCTCAACAGCCCAAGACAATGTTGGACACTTCCTTCTTCAAACTCAATCTTCCAGGATGGGTTTAAACACATGGTGATGCCACTCAAATTGAAATCTCCAGCCCCACCCTTCCTGAAGAGCTCCAGGCTCTGGTCAATTTCCTATTCAACATCTCCACTTAGCCTTTCTAAAGGAAGCCCAAGTTCAAATCCATCTTTCTTGCTGCTGCATCCCAGATCTCCCACCTGAGGCCCTGCAACAGCTTACAAAACAGTCTTCCCACATACACCCTTACTCCACTTACATGCCTGGAAATCTTTCCCAGACCTCTCTGACAGGGTCGAATGCCCTTTGATATGCAGTTACCTTACCAGAACGTCCTCTGTGTACCTTACCCTGTATGATCATTTGCTTTATTGCCCATCTCCTCTAAGCCAGAAGCTCCCGTGCCTTTCTGCTCTCCATGTACTAGCACAGTGCCTGCTGGCGCACGGTTGACGCTCAATAAATAATGATTGACTGAATGAGTGAGTGGATGAATGAATGAATGATGGCCAACATTTAATTTCATTCTAGGATTCTTTTTGTATTCATGTTCATAAGTCAAATTGGCTGCAGTTTTTCCTTTTCTTACTGCCTTTGTCTGGTTATACTGGTCTCATAAAATGAACCGGTAAATGTTCCTTCTTTTTTCATTTTCTGGAACAGTGTGTGTAAGATTGGAATTATGTGTTCCTTGAATGTTTGGTAGTTTTGCAGGTAAATTGTCTGGGTCTGGGATAGACATTTCGTGGGTTGATTTTTAACTACTGATTCCATTTCTTTAATGCTCGTAGATCTCTTCAGGTTTTCTGTTTTCTTCTTGAATCTATTTTTATACACTATGTTTTTCAAGGAAATTATCCATACCATCTAGGTTTTCAAATGTGTTGACAAAATGCTGTTCATAGTTATCTCTTAATGTATTTTAATCTCTGCTCTATCTATCCATAATGTTTTTTTTTCATTCTAAATATCATTTTATATGTATTTTTTCTTATCTGGATCAGCTGTGCCAGAGATCTTTTTTTTTTACTAATGTTTTCTTTCTACTTTCTATTAGTGTTTCCAAAGAACCAGACTTTAGTTTCAATATTGTTTCTTTTTCTGTTCCAGTAAGTTTTGTTCTTATATATTATTATATATTATATTGTTATATATGGCACAATAGAAAATATATACTATTATATAGTTTGTGAGAATATAATATGTAATGTAATATTAATATATATCATATAGTATTCCCTTCTGCTTCTGCTCTTTTTGGATTTATTCTGTTGCTCTTTTTTTTTTTTTTTGAATTGTTGCCTTAGGTAATTAATTTTTAGCCATCTGTTTTCTGATTTTAACATTTAAGACTACAGATTTCACTTTAAGTACCACTCAAGCTATATTCCACAAGATATATAGACTTTTTATCACCAATGAGGTAAAAAAAGTTTAGATTTTAGGCTGGACACAATGGCTTATGCCTGTAATCCCAGCACTTTGGGAGGCCAAGGTGGGAGGATCACTTGAGCCCAGGAGTTTGAGACCAGCCTGGGCAACATAGTGAGGCCCCATCTCTGCAAAAGAAAACTTTTCTAGAAACTAGCCAGGTGTGCTAACATGCACCTATAGGCCCAGCTACTCAGGAGACTGAGGTGGGAGGATCACTTGAGCCTGGGAAGTTGAGACTGTAGCGAGCCATGATCATGTCACTACTCCAGCCTGGGTGACAGAGCGAGATCCTGTTTAAAAAAAAAAAAAAATTAGATTTCAGATACGATTTCTTGTTTGACTAGTGAATTAATACAGGTGTATTTGAGGGGTATTTGAGGTTATTCTTTAGTTACTAACGTCTAACTTAACTGAATTAAGGTCAAAGAATGTGATCTATATGAAGCAGATTCTTTGTTATTTATTGAAACTTGCTTTGGTGCAGTCAATTTTTATAAATATTTCATGTAGATTTGAAAAGAATGTATATGCCTTAATTTTTAAGTACAGCATTTTATATGGGTCTATTAGATCAGACTTATTAATTATATTGTCTAGATTTCCTGTAGCCTTACTAATATTTTGTCAGCTTGACCTGTTGGTTTTTATAGAAGTACATTAAAATTTCTATATGACTAGATTTGCCAGTTTCTCCTGTAATTCTCTCAAATTTTGCTGTATTTTAAAAGTATGTTGTCAGGTGCATCAAAAAGAACTGTTAAAATTTCCCACTGTAACTATACATTTTCTGCTTCTCATACTTTTTGCTTTGTGTATTTTAAGGCCTTGTTATTCAGTGCATACGAGCTTAGATTTGCTATTTTCCTAGGAATTATTCCTTTAATATTGGCACAGAAGATACTTATCCCTAATGCCTTTTGCTTTAAAGTCTACTTTGTCTGTAATAAATGTAACTACTCTTTTAATTAGCCCTTCACTTATAGATCTTTCTCTTTCCCTCTTTCCTTTTACTTTGAACCTTTCCATGTCCCAAATTTTTTGTTCAGTCTCCTGTAAATAGCATATAGTTAGCTCTGGTTCATTATTGTGCTAACTAGTAAGTTTAGTCCATTTACATTTATTGTGATTGCTGATATTTTTAAAGATCACAAAATATCACAATTTAGGGGCACAAAAATATATTAGTCACAATCTCTAGTATAACACACTATCATCATTGTGTATACTCATGGCCCTATTTTATTTTATTTGCTGATATCATGAATACCTGTAAACCTGCTATTCAACCAGAGAACTAAAACAGAAACAATGACTTGACTTATGTAACATCTGCTTATGTGTTCCTCCCTATTTTGTTCCTCTAAAGTAACCACCAGTCTGAATCTTGTATTTGTTATGATTTTTCGCTTTTTAAAAAGTTTTATCATGCATATCAATGACTAATATTTGTTTTGTTTTACTTTTTGTTTTGAAACTTTATGAAAAATTTCTGAGGCTTGATAATTTACTCAATATGAAATTATTAAGAATCAATTAGATCCTCTAGCCAGGGCCCTGGGGGGGTGGGGGGAACAAAATTAGATTTTTGTATCAGGTTGTAGTTCATTCTTTCTCCCAGTTGTATAATATTCCATTATGTGACTGTGCCACAGTTTAGTTTCTCTATTCTCACAAACAAGCCTTTGGGTTGCTTTCAGGAATTTTTTTTTTTTTTTGGCTATTATAAACAGTGTTATTATGAACATTTTTACCTTCTGATGCACATAGATCAGAATTTCTCTTTGGAGTAATTGCTGGGTCGTAACATACGTGAATGTAAAATTTTACAAGGTAATACTAAGCTGTTTTCCAAAGTGGTGTTCCAATTTGTACTCCTACTAGCAATGTATAAGAGATGCTATTGGCCGGGCATGGTGGCTCACACCTGTAATCCCAGCACTTTGGGAGGCCGAGGCCTTTTTTTTTTTTTTGAGACAGAGTCTCACTCTGTCAGCCATGCTGGAGTGCAGTGGTACAATCAGCTCACTACAACCTCTGCCTCTTGGGTTCAAGCGATTCTCCTGACTCGGCCTCCGAGTAGCTGGTATTACAGGCACCCACCACCACACCCAGCTAATTTTTGTATTTTTAGTAGAGACGGGGTTTCACCATGTTGGCCAGCTGGTCTTGAACTCCTGACCTCAATTGATCTGCCTGCCTTGGCCTCCCAAAGTGCTAGGATTACAGGCGTGAGCCACTGTGTCTGGCCGGAAGTTGTAAATTCTATTTCTACTCTTTCGGTGATTACAATTTTAACCTGTACATGTGATCTAAAGTAAATCAAATGCCCTAGAACTATCCAATAAGCTAAGAATGATTCAACTTCAGTTACATCCTCTCATTATGTTTTACTGTTGCTTATTTTTAGATCCACCTACTTTTTATACCCCTAATTTTAATCTCTATTGTAATTTTATATACAGTCAATTCATCGTTTAGATTTGCCCTTATTTACCAATTTCCTTCTAGATATAGACCCTTTCCCCTGAAACATACCTTTAGTTTTTTTCAGGGGATTGTTGAGTGGTACGCTCTCTCCGCTAAGACAAACATGTCATATTTCACTCTCATTCCTGAATGATGATTTCTCTGGGTGTAATACTCAAGATTGGCAGTTATTTTACCCCAGCACTTTTTTGAATATACCATGTCTTCCTATTCTTTATTTCTGAAACATTTGCTATGAGTCTAATTGTCATTCCTTTGTAGGTAATCTGTCTTTTCTCTCTGGTTTTAAGACTTTTTCCTTGTCTTTGGCTTCCTACATTTTTACTCTGCTATATTCAAGTATGAATTTCTTCTTCTTTATCTGATTCAATACTCATTGTATATGCATAATCTTGGGATTCTCTAAATGAAGTATCCCTCTCATTGTCTTTTGGTACTTATATGAAATGTATAATGCATCTTCTCCTTCTATCCAGCACACTCTGAATCTGTCAGACTTTCCTTCACTTTGTCTTTGCTGCTTCCTGGGCAATTTTCTCAGATCCATCTGTGGTTCTTTCTTCGACTCTGTCTAATCTGCTGTTTAACTCATCACTGAGCTTTTCATTTTGGTGACTATATTTGTCATTTCTAGAAATTCTATTTAGTTCTATTTAAAATCTACCTTTTTTAGAGTGTTATGTTATTTTCTCATGGTGTCAAAGGTTCCTTTGTGTCTTTTTTTTTTTTTTTTAATTGAGACGGAGTCTCGCTCTGTGGCCCAGGCGGGAGTGCAGCGGCGCAATCTCGGCTCACTGCAAGCTCCGCCTCCCGGGTTCACGCCATTCTCCTGCCTCAGCCTCCCGAGTAGCTGGGACTACAGGCGCCCGCCATCACGCCCGGCTAATTTTTTTGTATTTTTAGTAGAGATGGGGTTTCACCGTGTTAGCCAGGATGGTCTCGATCTCCTGACCTCGTGATCCGCCCGCCTCGGCCTCCCAAAGTGCTGGGATTACAAGCGTGAGCCACCGCGCCCGGCCTCTTTGTGTCTTTAATAATTTTCAATTTGCTTATTTTATAGTCTGCCTGATAGTTCTGTTACCTGAGGTTCTTGGGACCTTTGTGTCTGCTACATCTTGCTTGTGGAGGATTATATCCACATACATTGTATAGTTTGGCATTGGGTCTGTATTTCTGTATTCATTCTCAGCTTTGGGGTTCCTGGACCATACCACATTATAATCTCAAATTCTCAGTAAAGCCCTTTATTCCCCACCCTCAACCCCTGCAAAGACAGGCACATTTTCTTGTTTCCTTGTGACATTGGGGAGATTATTTTTCCAGTGATTATTTCTCTAGTGATTCAGGAGGTTCTAGCTTGATGGGATTCCAGCTTTATGGGAATTCTGAATTCCATTTTCCCACTTTTAATGGACCTTAAGCATAGTCTCCTTCCTATTTTGATGCTCAAACCTCAGGTTCCCAACACCAGCAAACCTGCCTAAGACCAGCTCAACCTCAGCTTACTTGCATACCATGCTAGAATCTCCCTCTTCTTCCTGACTCTGAGAGCCTTTGCTTACTGTCCTGAGAGCTCATTTAAATGGGTGTTTATTACATTCTGACCAGTATTTATAGGTGGTTTATGATGGGAGGATTTTCAAGTTACTTAGTCTACCATATTGCCAGAAATGGAACTTAGTTCCATTTAATTTTTAATATCTTTCATTTCAAAATTGTAATATCTTCCACTTTAAATGCATTTTTTTTCTTAGAGTACTGTGGCATCTAAATGTTGGGATTTTTTTCTGAATAATCCCTTATAGGTGAATTAGCATTAGAATTATCTCAAATGTGGCAAACATAGGTCAGTTTGGCTGTATGTTGTAATCACTTGGGGAACTTTAAAAAATGCTGATTCTTGGTTTTCCCACGAGATTGTGATTTAATTGGCCTGGGGGACAGGCTGGGCAGTGGGCTTTTTTAAAGCTCCCCAAGTGATTCTAATGTGCCAACAAGGCTAAACATGATTAGTTTTAAATGTACTGATGAAAACAAGCCAACAACCCGTGATGGTACCAGAGTTCCACCCCAGAATGACTTATATTTTGCCTAGGGAGGGCCCTAGGTATCATATTTTTTAAAAATTCTGCTCATGATTGTAGTGAAGATGGAGAACCAACAATTTACATGGGCATACCCAGTCTGATGGGGAGAGTTAAAATAATGTTGGCCAGGCATGGTGGTTCACGCCTGTAATCCCAGCACTTTGGGAGGCAGAGGTGAGCAGATCACATGAGGTCAGGAGTTCCAGACCAACCTGGCCAACATGGTAAAACCCCCATCTCCACTAAAATACAAAAAAAAAAGCCAGTCATGGTGGCGGGAGCCTGTAATCCCAGCTACTTTGGAGGCTGAGGCAGGAGAATCGCTTGAACTCAGGAGGCGGAGGTTGCCAAAATCATGCCACTGCACTCCAGCCTGGGTGACAAAGAGAGACTCTGTCTCAAAAATAAATAAAATAATGTTAAAAGTGGAAGAGTGAGAAATCATGTAGCCGAGCAGTTCCTACTGTCTGCAAAACAGGCCGCCAGAGTCCCCAAGTGCTTTTAAGTGGTACAGATTCCTGGACATTGTGGATTTAACACAAGATCAGTGAGTTTTTAAGTCCCCAGAGGACTTAAAGGCCACCAACTTTGGAAACCATTCGGCTAGCCCATCATATTTTGCAAAGGAGGAAAACATCCCTTAGAAAAGTGTTTTTGTTCTCATGGTCCCAGAGCTGATTAAGAGGAAAGCTGACTCTTAATCAAAGGCTGACCCTTCCAGTCTAGTGTCCATCTCATCCATTTCTAAACAGAAAGCATCCTGCCACTTTTAGAAGGTCTTGGACATTTGAAAGAGACAGATTTGGGATTCATGTGCAGTTATTTCAAGAATGTGGGTTTTCTGTTTTGCTTTACAATAAATAAAAAAGCCTGCCGCCTTCCAGGTGGGGTCTTACCAGTAGTTCGTTGACCTTGAGCAGGTAAGCCACCATCATTTTCAACTGTCCTTATGTAAATAGGGGATTGCGGTGCCTTTAAAATATGCTCACAAATTCTTTAAGACTCCTTCAAAAGATGGAGTCGAATTGCCCTCTCCTCGAGTGTGGACTGTGCTTAGTAACCGGCTTCTAAGGAGCAGGACCTGAAGGAAGTGATGATGGGTGAATTCTAAGGCTAGATCATCCAAAGATATTGTAGCTTCCGTTTTGCTTTGTCTCATGGATCATTGGCTCTGGGGGAAGCCAGCTGCCATGTCATGAGGATGCTCAGGCATCTCTCCATGCCCTACGGAGAGACCAGTGTAGAAAAGAATTGAGGTTTACTGTCAACATCTCAAACTAACTTGCTGGGATTGTGAGTTAGACACCTTATGAGTGGATCTGCCGGCCCTCATCAGGTCTTCAAATGATTGTTAATCTGGCCAATGCCTTGACTACAACTTAATGAGAGCCTTTGAACTAGAACCTCCCAGCTTAGCCATTCCTGATTGATGCTGAGATAATAAATATTTGTTGTTCGAAGCTGCTAAGTTTTGGGATAATTTGTTACACAGCATAGATAACTAACACAGAGATACTTCAAAATGCACCAAAATAGAGCTGCTTAGTTTATAGGTTTGCAACAGGATTCATACTCTAACATTTATAGAATGCTTTAGATTCCAACCAAATGAACTGCATATTAGATACAAAGTAGCGATCACATATTATTAATGTTATCAGATGGTAACACATTTCATGTTCAATTAACTGAAATGCTTTTTCTGCAGCAAGGCTTTGCTCATCTTCTTATCCCCACTGTACACTTATAAAAGGTCACTGTCAAGATCTAAAAGTATATATATGATTTAAATGTCTTGACTCAGTTGCTAACAACCATGAGCGTGTTTTTCAAATAGGAAAAGCAAGATTCATTTCAACTTGCTCTTTTTCACACGATGCTCTTTGTTTACTTTTTGGTATTGCATTCCGCCGCCACGCTGGACGCCTCTCTTATTAAAGAGGCTGTTCACTTATCTCTCTCCCACGGTCTCGTAAGCCTCGCTTTTAAAAACAGCGTGGCAGACTTTGCACCAAAAAAGCAAGCCATGTTTTTACTAGAAAATATTTAGGGAAATGAGTTTTTTTGTTGTTGTTTTTTTTCCATGAAAATTTCACCAAGTATAAATTACAGGTCTAAAACTAATGGTCCTTTATATCGATTTAAATAAATAGCCTCCTTCCTCAAAAATCATGACTTCTGAGCATGTTCTTAAATTCAACACTAGTTTATTTTCTTCCAAAAAATATGAAATAATCATGTGCATAGAGATCCTAAGTTGGTCTTTCTTCTGGATCTGTATAATATGGGAAAGCCAAGATGGTATCTTTATTTATTTTTTTGAGACAGAGTCTCACTCTGTCTCCCAGCTGGAGTGCAATGGCGCGATCTCGGCTCACTGTAACCTCTGCCTCCTGGGTTCAAGCAATTTTCCTGCCTCAGCCTCTCGAGTGACTGAGATTACAGGCGCCTGCCACCATGCCCAGTTAATTTTTGTATTTTTAGTAGACACAGGGTTTCGCCATGTTGGCCAGGCTGGTTTTGAACTGCTGACCTCAGGCAATCCACCTGCCTCAGCCTCCCAAAGTGCTGAGACTACAGGGGTGAGCCATCATGCCTGGCCCCCAGATGGTATCTTTCTACAGAGTCATAACTGGAGGTATAAAATATCTGGAAAAATAAACACACAAAACCATGGAGGATGTGAGGCTGACAAAAAGTGAAATTATATTCTTATTTTTTGTTGTTGTTTTTGAGACAGGGTCTCCCTCTGTCGCCCAGGCTGCAGTGCAGTGGCTCAATCTCAGCTCACTGCAACCTCCACATCCCCGGTTCAAGCAATTCTCCTGTCTCAGCCTCCTGAGTAGCTGAGATTATAGGCATGTGCCATCACAGCCCACCTAATGTTTGTATTTTTAGTAAAGATGGGGTTTCACCATATTGGTCAGGCTGGTCTCAAACTCCTGACCTCAGGTGACCCACCTGCCTCAGCCTCCCAAAGTGCTGGAGTTACAGGTGTGAGGCACCTCACCAGCGAAATTCTATTTTTCAAACAGCCTTTAACAATCTAACAAACAAGTATCTTTATGTATAATTTAGTTACTCCTAACATTGTTTGATGTATTATATTTAGAGACATAAAGGTCTGTTTTATTTAAATGATAGAGAAATTTGTTTTCTTTCATTTTTTTTCCAAATTGGGGAGGAAAATGCAAAAAGCTCCCAAAAGGAGGGAAAAACAAACCTAAAGCGTGTTTGGCCAATTTTTTTTTTTTCCATTTTCCCTTTCCATTTTCACGTTGGGCATAGCTGAAATCTAGTGCTGTGGGTGAAGACTTTTACTCCCTTTCATTCACTCCTTTTTCCTTGTCTCCAACTCAAAATTATCACACCCAAGCAGGGCATAGGGTGCTTATTAGTCCAGCTGAATAAGAAAGAGCTAGATTCCTAATTAAGAAATATCATTTATTGAATGACCACAACAGAGGACCCTTCTGGTGTAGGGGGGGGGAAGGGATCAGAAAGCTGTAATCTTCAGGAGTTGCAAAAGGTGGGCAATAGCTTAGGGTTGGGAGTGAGGCTGGCTGTAGCCTCTCCATGTGGCAGCTTCCTGCAGGGGACTCCCTAGGCCAGTCTGGTGAACCCCCTCCCCAATCATGGGCGGTATCTTGTGATACCAGTGTGGGTATGGTAGGCAAAAGAGACAAGCCTCGGGAATTAAACAGGAAGTCACTGTTCTCATTAAAAATATCCCAGGGCTGCCCTTCCATGTCCCCTAAAGCTGTTTCACCACTGTTTGTCATGCTGTCATCATTATTCTTAAACGTGTAAGTAAATATTTTATTCAACATCTTCACTGCTTGGCAGTTAGGGAGCCCTTTGCCTCCTAGACTTGGCTGCCTCCCAGTGCTGCCTGGAGGGGTGGGAGTACAGTGGGCCACTGGAATGCTCCACGGAGTTCGGAGTCACGGCACAAGAGCACCATTCTGTCAAGCCCTTTCCACCTGGAAACCATTTTCTCCTTTGGCCTCTCGAGCTTAATTTTTTAAATCTTTTTAAACCAGTCACCAACTTCGTCTTGATGAAAGGTGCCAAGGCCCCCAGAAGAAAATGATTACACCTTTCAACTCCACCTGGAAACAGTTGACAGAGGGCCACTGTCACCTTCCCTTCCTCCTCTCCACCACCCTTGCAGCTTGCCCCATCTCCACCGTGACCTGCCTTGCCAAACTGAAATCTAAGTATCGCAGCTGCAGATACACAGGGTCCGCGCACCCGGCCTCACACACTCTACAAGTTATGTCTGTGAACTTCCAACGTTCCCATCATCACTTCCACGCCTTGCCTTGGAGTCCCATCTGCTTGCAAATTTGCCAGCAGCAAACACATAGACCCACAAACCACACGTGAGCTTGGACAACATTGGGCCTGCTTTTTAATAATTCTTTGCTTTTGGCCATTTACACAGCATAGGAGGCGGTCAAAGCAGCAATCAGTAGCACAGCTGTAATGTCATCCCATCGTATGTTTGGGTTACAAGGAGGCCAACCCGACAATATCTGTTTTGGGGCGAGAAATTCCAACTTTGGAGGACCATGGGTATGAGCGCCCTCGTCTGGCGAACAGAGGAAACGCCTTCTTGCGCCCCACATTTCAGTTCCCTCTAGTGGCCGAGCAAAGAGAAGCTGTATCTCATGTCACAGCCCCACATTCCAGAGTTCAGGGCCTGGCTATCAGATTCTGAAACCAGAGCCCCCCAGATTCAGAGGTTTCCTGGAGTTGACATTGAGACCCACCACAGTAGCCCACGTTGCAATTTCTACAATCACCCATCAGCTAATTCCAAGTGGCTGAAAAAACTAATTGAAGGGAAGGAAGGAGAGGGAGAAAGGGCTGTCATCTGTGAAGGGAGAATTCAAATAGGTCAAAATCAAATCTCTTTAGCCAAACGTGGTATTGATGCATAGGAGAGGCAGAGGGAAAAAAGAAAAGTATTAGATGTGAAGACAATAGGGGATAGACTGTACAGCCAATTTCTGAGCAAGATATTCATGCTAAAAATACTACTACTATTTGGAAAGGGCATGAGAAATCAAAATGTGGCTGTGTCCATGGGTGGGAGGGAAAAGAGGCTGTGCATACAAACACCCAGCATTAGAACAAGACCAAGAAAGGACCTAATCCAAGAGGAGTAGGGATGAACATAAGAATAATTTGAAGTGAGCCAGAAAATTAATTTCGCCATCATCCTCTTACTTTTGTGGGGCCGATGATGCTGGTGGCCCCCAGTGGCTGGCCACAGCTCTGGGTCCTGAACAGGACCCCTAAGACCCCATCACCCACTCAGCAAAATGCCACATGAGAAAGAAGGGCATGATCTGGTGTTGTACCTTCTAGTCTAAGTCACAAATAATCATGAGCATTCAAAAACATTCATTGCCCAAGTGGCTGCTGGGGAGGCCTGGCCTGACAGAAGGCATTGCATGAGAAAGACCCGGGGGGTTAGCTGATCACCAGCTTGATGTGAACCTACAGCGCGAGGAGGCTGTTGAGAACCCTAGTGCAATCTGAGGCTCTATTAATAGCACAGCAGAGTGTGGAAGGAGGGAAGCAATACTCCCAGCGCGTGCTGGCAGGTCAGGCCACATGCAGTTTTATGCTCAGTCCTGCGGGCTGTATTTTAAGAGAGGCACTGGAAAATTCAAGCCTGCTCAGAAGAGCATGAAAGGATTGGATGTCGGTATTTAGACAGCATCTCTATTAGTTTTACAGTCCTTTTGCAATTGGCAATACCAGAATGATTATTACACGGAGTCTCCACAGCCAGTCACAGGAATCATGTTTCTAATGTTTGCTTTACCTCCTTGAGCTTTGGGGTCCCCTCTCTATATAATGGGGGTAATAATTTCTGCCCAATCTACCAACTCCGAGCATAATTTGAGAATGGATCAGTTGGGCCCGTGTGTATGGAGCATTCACTGAGTGTCCAGCTCTGTGCCAGGTACTGGAGGCACAGAGACGAACACAGTGAGGGATCTGTTTTTGAGGAGCTTGAGGTCTAGTTGGACAGACAGATCCATAAGCAGATACTTTGCATGTAATGTGACAGAGGATGATAGATACATGCATTGATTTGAAATGAGATACAATTAATTTCTCATAAAGAGTGACAAGACAGAAAAGCAGAGTCCTTGTGGAATATGGACTTTCGAGTGCAGAAACAGGAAAAGAAATCATTGGAGGTCAGGGTAGAGAGGCCATCAGGGAGAAAAGATTAGAACCAGAAAAGTTCAGAGTCACAGAAGACAACTGAAGTGTCACAGCAGTGTCAGATGCCATTATGAAGTCAAGGAGGAGGAAGACTAAAACATTTCTAAACCACTCACTGGACATGGAGATGAGGAGTTCATCCTTAGTGGTCAAGAAAGATCTTTCAGGAAAACGATGAAGGAAGAAATAGACTTCATTTAGGAAGTGTGTGAAAGATACATTTATTGAGCACCTACTACATACCTAGCATAGTGTTACTCACTGTGGACATTCAAAGAGCAAAAGGTTTTGTTCCAGCCTATCGCAATATTGGTTGGTGCATTAAGACTAACACCTGTATGTCCATTAAGGAATAGTGGAAGATCATTATATGAACTGTTCGACTAGGTGAGGCAGACAGCATGGTGGTTTAAATGACCAGTTGGCCTGACCCAGGATGATGTTGCATATAGTCACATATGCATACCAGAAGAAAAAAGAATTGGTATTAGTGCACTCCAAATATGTCCAACCTTCTTCCCCTTTCCCTTGATTCTTGGAGAGTTTCCATTCCCAGAAGCATTCAAAAACACAAGTCTTGTCTTAACATCCCTCATGTTTGCTCCCATTTTGTTATTTGCCAGTGAAATTAATATTACTCTTTACCCTGCTCACATTCTAGATCCAACATGCGTTTTTTTTCATCAGTGGGTTTGTGTTTGGTTGATTAGTTATTCATGTATAATGTAAGATGACAAGAGCTGTAACACAGAGAAATGATTGTGGAGAATGCAGGCGTACAAGCTCTGGGGTTGGCTTCTTATTTTTCTTTCTTTCTTTCTTTTTTTTTTTTTTTGGTGGGGGTGTGGATGGGTAGGCAGGTTAGTAAAAGCATTTGGATTACTTGCAGATGGTTGAAACTCTCCCCTTACCAAACTGGTGACTCAAGCAAAATAGGCGGAATGAAAAGAAATGGCATTTGCCTGCTCATCCCATCTCTTTGATCTGCATCCTGGGCCCCTCATCAGCTTCTGGTTCTGTCCCATACAATCACCCAACTCATTCAACATCTGGACTTGAGATTCCACCTCCCGGCTGCTCTTGGAAGTCTTTGATCACTTCCAGTGTATCTTTTGTATGTTGGCTTCTTTCATAGGTTGATTTTTCACAAAGGCGGTCCGCTTTATAGACTAGTCTTCCTCTACCTTGACTTCTGGAACCTTCCCAAAATGTCTGTTTCCCTCACAGTAGCCAAAGAGGTCTTTATGGGATGCAGGTCGGATCCCTCCAGCGGTTTCCCACTGCATCGAACCCCCTTGCTGTCACCTAAAAGACCTTCCGTGGTATGTTCTAGGTCTGCTTTTCCAACCTCACATTACACCACCATCTTCTATCATCTCTTTCATTTTTTTTAATTAATTAATTAATTTTTTAGACAGGTTCTCACTCTGTCATCCAGGCTGGAGTGCAGTAGCATGATCACAGCACACCACAGCCTTGACCACCTGGGCTCAGGTGATCCTCCCACCTCAGCCTCCTGAGTAGCTGGGACTACAGCTGCATGCCACCAAGCCCGGTTAATTTTGGCGGTTTTGCCACGTTGCCCAGGCTGGTCCCAAACTCTTAGGCTCAAGCAATCTACCTTCCTTGGCCTCTCAAAGTGCTAGGATTACAGGCGTGAGCCACCACGCCCAGCCTTCTATCATTTCTTAAACAAAACAAGCTGTTTCCTTCTTCAAGCCCTTTGCAGATGCTGTTTGTTCCTTTTGCCTGGGATGTTCTTTGTCTACTCACTATGTGGGGTATCTGCTTATTCTTCTTTTAAAAAAGTTGTTTGCTAACTTAAAAATTATTTTTTAGTTTATTTATGTAAATTTATGAGTTACGTGTATAATTTTGTTACATGCATAGATCACATAGTGGTAAAATCAGGGTTTTTAGGGTATTCATCACTCAAATACATTGTACCCATTAAGTAGTCTCTCATCATTCACTTCCCCCATCCCCTCACCCTTTCTTTTTTTTTTTTTTTTCTTTTTTCGAGACCGAGTTTCGCTCTTGTTGCCCAGGCTGGAGTGCAGTGGCGTGATCTCGGCTCACTGCAACCTCCCACCCTCCCGGGTTCAAGCTATTCTCCTGCTTCAGCCTCCTGAGTAGCTAGGATTACAGGCACACACCACCATGCCCGGCTACTTTTTGTATTTTTAGTAGAGACAAGGTTTCACCATGTTGGCCAGGCTGGTCTCAAACTCCTGACCTCAGATGATCCACCCACCTCGGCCTCCCAAAGTGCTGGGATTACAGGCATGAGCCACCATGCCTGGCCCCCTCACTCTTTCAAGTCTCCATTATCTGTTATTCCACACCCTACATCCATGTGTACACATGATTTAGCTCCCACTTATAAGTGAAAACACGCAGTGTTTGTCTTTCTGTCTCCGGCTTGTTTCACCTGGGGATAATGTCTTCCAGCAATTCCATCCATATTGCTGCTGTTTGATTTTTTTAATGACTGAGTAGTACTTTATTGTGTACATGTATCACATTTTCTTTATCCAATCCTCTGTTGATGGACACTTAGGTTGATTCCATATCTTTGCTATTGTGAATAGTGCTACGATAAACATACGAGTATGGGTATCTTTTTGATATACTGATTTCTTTTCCTTTGGGTATATACTGTTAAAGGTTACCAGTAGTGGGATTGCTGGATCAAATGGCAGTTCTATTTTTAGTTCTTTGAGAAATCTCCATACTGTTTTCTATAGAGGCTGTACTAATTTACATTCCCACCAACAACGTATGACGTTCCCTTTTCTCTGTATCTTCATCCTCTTTCAACTCCACCTCCTCACAAAGGCTTTCTCTGACCAATCTCTCTAAAGTTTCCTCCCTACCCTTTGCTTTATTTATTTCCTGCATAGGACCCAACACCATGTGAAGTTATTTTGTTTACTTCTTTCTAGAGAATTGTCTGGAAACTCTATGGAACAAGGCCTCATCTGTTTCACCCTTTACCATACCTCCAGCACCTAGAACAATGCCAACATGTGGTAGGAGAGCAACAAGTATTTGTTGAATGAATAAACTTTAAATTTCTATAATTCTCTTTCAAAAAACAGCTTATTTTTAAAAAGCTCAACATTCAAATATCAACTAAGTAAAGAGACCTATTAAAAAGACAATTATTTAAATTACAAGGTGGACTCATTGATGTAGGAAAGTTTCCCTCTGTCTTTAACAACTGTCTGTGAAGTCTAGGGAGAAGAGAAATTTAATACCAAAATCTAAAATATTTTCCACCTATTCCCAAATCATTTTCTGTCACGTTATTCTATTTTTTCTTCTTCCTAGCACTTTTCATTCTGAAATTATTGTGCTAATTTCTGTTTCCTTGTTAATTGCCTGCTTCTCACCCCCTATCCAAGAGAGAAGAGACTTTGCCTGTCTTATTTTTTTTTTTTTTTTTGAGATGGAGTCTCGCCCTGTCGCCCAGGCTGGAGTGCAGTGGCATGATCTCGGCTCACTGCAAGCTCCACCTCCCAGGTTCATGCCATTCTCCTGCCTCAGCCTCCCGAGTAGCTGGGACTACAGGCGACTACCACCACGCCCGGCTAATTTTTTTTTGTATTTTAGTAGAGACGGGGTTTCACCGTGTTAGCCAGGATGGTCTTGATCTCCTGACCTCGTGATCCACCCGCCTCGGCCTCCCAAAGTGCTGGGATTACAGGCGCGAGCCACCGCACCCAGCCTGCCTGTCTTATTTGCGGCACAAGCCTAGCACAAAGTAAGTGCCCAGAAAACATTTGTTGAATAAGTGAATTTTAAATGCTTAGAAATAAAGAGAAAGAAACAATTAAGATGAACATGAAATGCAATGAAACACACAAATATGCACATGTTCACAAAAAATCAGGCCACAGAGACCTTTTTGGCAAGAGCTGCAACTGAAGGGTGAAGAGCAGACCACACAGTGAGCCAGGCATGAATTAGATTCCGTTTGTAACCCACTCCCCACGTGCTGTCAGAACTCATCACAGAGTTGGACTGGGAAGTGGTGGGTCAGGCACAGGGACCCAGCACACATAGGGGACCTTGCAGGTAGCCAGGATCAGAATACAAGCTGGACCTTCAGGGAAGCAGGCTGTGCCTGGATGTCTCAGGTCTCCAACAGGATGGTGTTATTTACACTTCCCTGAGGTCTACCATGAGCTGCCAGGAGGGTGGGAGTGGCGGCAAGATTGTCCTGTGCCTAGGAGGGCTTTGGTTGCTTTACTTGCTCCTAAGCCTGCAGAGGGAGATGATCTTGATTTAACCCAATTCAAACCAGCACCCATTATATGGAAAACAGTGTGCTACGTGCAGAGGGTGGTGGAGAAGTGAGAGGTGTGCCACCTGTGCCCAGGCTGAGGATAGCCACAGACAGATCAGGAAAGAGCAAAGGTGTCTCTCAAACAGGATGGATGGGCAAAGTGGCAGGGGAAAGGGGGCCAGCAGCCTGAAGTTATGACAAGAGAGGCAGAAAGATTCCCCAGAGGGACCAGTGCTGGAGGTGGCTGGCAAGGACGGCCTTCCGGGGCAGGCAAGCTAGGGCTTGTTTGAGGAGCCTGAGAGCCCTATTAGGCTGGAGGCAGGTACGGTGTGCAGGTAGGGTCTGCAGGTAGGTGCAAGGAGAGCAATTTATTACCAGAAGTTCCAGTAAAGTCCCTCAGGACCAATGAAGCCACCAAGCAAAGGAAAGTGGTTTTCCAAGTAAATGCCTGGAGAGCAGCTGCACAGCTTTGCCAGGAAGGGGAAGGCAGGCAAGGGCAGGCAGAACCACAGGCGGCACTGCAGTGATGGACGATACATCCAGAAAGGTATCTGGGGCATGTTGGGATTGAACAAGATAATGAATGACCACTGGGAGGCATGAGGGGAAACTGGGGAAGAGAGAGGGTAATTATAAAAGTAGTAGAAGAATGTTTTGTTTGGTCCTGGACAAACTGACTCTGAAATTAATCTGGAGTACACCAGTGTTCATAGCAGCATTATTGACAACAGCCAAATGGTGGAAACAACCCAAGATCCAAGTGTTCATCAACAGATGAACTGATAAACAAATATATGTAGGTGGTACATATATACAATGTCATATTATTGAGCCATAAAAAGGAATAAAGGAGCGATACATGCATGCTATGATGTGGATGTGGATGAGCCTTGAAGACACTATGCTAAGTGAAATAGGCCAGATACCAGAAGATACATATTATACAATTCCACTTATATGAGCTACCCAGAGTAGTCAAATTCCTACAGACAGAATGGTGTCTGCCAGGGACTTGGGGAAGAGGAGAATGGGAGTTAGTGTTTAATGGGTATAGAATTTCAGTTTGGAATGATAAAAAAAAGTTCTGCACTAGATCTTAGCCAAAAGGCTGAGAAGTGATCATTTTTTAAAGTTCTGGAAATAGATTTATTTTATTTTACTTTTTGAGATGGAGTCTCTCTCTGTCACCCAGGCTGGAGTGCAGTGGCGCGATCTCGGCTCACTGCAACCTCTGCCTCCCAGGTTCAATCGATGCTCCTGCTTCAGCCTCCCAAGTACCTGGGATTACAGGCACCCACCACCACACTCGGCTAATTTTTGTATTTTTAGTAGAGATGGGGGTTTCACCAAGTTGATCAGGCTAGTCTCGAACTCCTGACCTCAAGTGATCCGTCTGCCTTGGCCTCCAAAGTGCTGGGATTACAGGCATGAACCACCATGCCCAGCCTGGAAATAGATTTAAATGCCCTGGAAATGCATAGTGGTGGTGGTAATGCAACAGTGTGAATGTAGTTAATATCACTGAATTGCACAATTTAACATGGTTAAAATGGTAAATTTTATGCAATGTATATTTTGCCACAATAAAAAAATGTGGAAAAATAAACAAGCCAAGACTATCCAGGATATTTCTGAAAAAAGGAAGTAATGAAGAGACAAAACTCTACCAGATATTAGCACAGATTCTAAAACCTCAGGAATTAAGAGTATGGCACTGGTGCTTGATGACAGGGACAGAACAATGAAACAGAAAGAAAGTCTAGCAATAGGCCCAAATCCTTCAAGACTTTCATGTGTGGGAAAGGTGGCATCTGGAGACAGTGGTGGGAATAACAGGAGCCGTCAAGGAAAAACAAGGTTGGATCCTCATCTCATAGTTACTGCCGGAAGAATTCCAAACGGAGAAAAGATCTGAATGTACAGCACAACCCATCCAAGTACTAGAAGGAACCAGGGAAGAGTTCTTTTTTAATCTCAGCTGTGACTGTGGGTCAGTACATTCATCTCTCTGTGCCTATCTCATGGGGTCGCTGTGAGCGCTCAGGAATGAATGACATACATGCAAATGCTTAGAACAATCCCTGGAACGCAAATGACAATGGTCACTTACTATTCCTTTGTGATGCCACACCAAGACCGTTATCATCATCATCATCAAAAAGAATGAGGACATTTTATAAACTGACATCAAATGAGTATGAAAATATATTACTAAGTGAAAAAAAGTCAGATGCAGAGCATTGTATATAATATGCTAATTTTGGTTGAAAAAAAAGGACAGTAGAAAAAATGCACATATATATCTCTACATATATTTATAAGTGTATAGATACACACTCACACACACACACACATCTTTGGTGAGGCTGCTGCATTACACAACTCCAGGGGGCACAATTCCATTGTATTCCATGTCAATGGCATCCCAGGAGCTCAATATAAATGATGTCTCTTGGAGTCGTGCAACACAGTGGTGGCCCTGCTAACTTGGCTGCATGTGGGTAACATAACCTCTGGAAGAATACAAAGGTGGAATAACATTGGTTTCCTGTGGGGAAGGGACAGAGGTGGCTTGGTACATAGGTGGGAAGGAGACTTTTCACAATTCAGCCTTTGTGTCCTTTCAATGTGGGACTATGTAAATGCATTATAGAAAATTTCTCCTCCCAGAAAATAAATCAAAGAAGTTGTAAAAATAAATAGATATATATAGGAGTAATACATACAAGTAACAGAACATGTTAGAAAATTTGGGATATACAGAAAAGTATGACGGAAAGAATGATGATTAAGCATGATTTTTTTTCCTGGTCTCTGGTTGTGTCTGTATGTATGGGTGTGTTGAATGCTTTGAAAGGCAGCATCATGTTCATAGGGCAGGAGTGGGCAAACTGTAGCCCCAGGCTAAATCTGGCCCATCACCTGTTTTTGTAAATAAAGTTTTATTGGAAGCCAGCCACACACATTCAGCTGTGCATTATCTATGGTTGTTCTCCTGCTATAATAGGATCATTGAGTAGTTGTAACAGAGACCATATGGTCCTCAAAACCAAAAAATATTTACTATCTGGCCCCTTACCAAGAGAGCCTGCCAACTCCTGGTGTAGGGAAAAAGCATGGGTTTTGGAATGGGCTGAGTCTGGGTTCAAGTCTTGGCTCCATTGTTGACCAGCTGATGGGGTCAGGGGAAATTATTTACAATGTGTATTAAACATTGATATGGTTTGGCTCTGTGTCCCTACCCAAACGTCATGTTGAATTGTAATCCCCAATGTTGGAGGAGGGACCTAGTGGGAAGTGATTGGATCATGGGGACCGGATCTCCCTCTTGCTGTTTGCATTATAGTGAGTGAGTCCTCACGAAATCTGATTGTTTGAAAGTGTGTAGAATGTCCCCCTTCGCTCTCCCTTCTGCTCCGGCCATGTAAGATGTGCCTCCTTCCTCTTCACCTTCCGCCATGATTGTAAGTTTCCTGAGGCCTCCCCAGCCATGCTTCCTGTGCAGCCTGTGGAACTGTGAGCCAATTACACCTCTTTTCTTTATAAGTTACCCAGTCTCAAGTAGTTTTTTATAGCAGTGCGAGAACAGTCTAATACCAACATCATCCCCAGGACCTGGCCCTTGGTGAGTGTTTCATAACTTGCATGTATTCATTTTTAAAGCAATGTTAAGACCATATTGTATACTACTGAATGTACAAAAAATATATATGCTGTATATACAAAATTTTATATATAAGTTTTATATAAGAATCAAAATTTTATATACAAAAATTTTCATTCTTACTTTTCTTTTATCTAACATTATATCATAGTATTTTTCTACATCATTAAAATTATTTATAAACGTTATTTTCTTCTTTTTCTCTCTTTTTTTTCTTTGTACTTTTTATTATGGAAATTTTTAACCATAGATAGAAAAGTAGAAAAAGTAGGATAATGAACACCTCCATACCCATCTCCTAGATAACAACTGTTAACATTTGATGTATTGACTTCATCTACTTCGTTGCTAAAGTATTTTTAAGTAAATTGCAGACATCATGACATTTTAGTTCTAAACACATCCATATACATCCCAAAAGGGATATTTTCCTACATAACTTCAAAATTCACAATAATTTCTTCTTCTTCTTCTTTTTTATTTTATTTATTAATTTATTTTTTTGAGACGGAGTCTTGCTCTGTCACCCAGGCTGGAATGCAGTTGCTCAACCTTGGCTCACTGCAACCTCCATCTCCCAAGTTCAAGCGATTCTTATGTCTCAGCCTCCTGAGTAGCTGGGACTACAGGCATGTGCCACCACGCATGGCTAATTTTTGTATTTTTATAGAGACGGGGTTTTGCCATGTTGTCCAGGCTGGTCTTGAACTGACCTCAAGTGATCTGCCCGCCTCAGCTTCCCAAGGTGCTGGGATTACAGGCATAAGCCACCACACCTAGCCCACAATAATTTCTTAATATCATCTAATACTTGCTCCATATAGAAATTTTCACTTGTTTTCCACAATTTCTTTTATAGATGGTTTATTCAAACCAAGATCCAATCAAGAACCATGCATTTCAATGGACTGTGTCTTTGATGTCCCTTTGAGGTTGCAACAGTATCTTGTTCCAGCCCCTAACCAACCTCTCCCACTCCCCACTTTCTTTGTGTATAACTTTGACTTGTTAATGAAACCAGGCTAAATACATAGTATGCTAAATAGCTGAATGTAGCATAACTGTGCACTCATTTTCTTATTTCTGGACATTTCTGTGGATTCTAATGCTTCCCTAGCATAAACAATGTGGCAAAGAACATCCTTAAATCTTAGTTTGTCATAAAAGTACAAAATTATTTGCCATCTAGTGTGTTATTGTACTACCCTGTCTGCTTCCTCATCCTCTCTTTGATGTATATCTGGTGACCTGTGATATCAACTTGGATGCTTGTCTTACAGTCATTCTGTTCTCAGGAATTTGATTATGTCACAGTCTAACCTGGGTGCTCCAGGAAAACTGGTCTGCCTTTGCTTAAGCAAAATGAGTTATGCCCAATGCCCTCCTCCTCAGCCCATCCTGCCTCTCCTCACCCTGTCCAATTTCCACCCATCCCAAAGCCTCCAGCCAGTGTACTTCTTCCATGTACTCCTCCTTCCTATGTCTCTTCAGCAGAGTGGCCTCCTGCTTTTGTGCTACTCTGGTGACAATGATGCTGCTGGGTTGTACTTGGCCTCTGGGCTTCTAGCAAATCTTCTCTCCTCTCCTGGAGAGTGGGGACTGTGATTTATGTATTCCTGCCTTCTACACAGCATCCAGCACCGTCCCCTTCTCACAGCTGCACCATGCATACTCATTGACAGAATAAATGGACAGTTTGCAAGACATCAGTAGTGGGATGCAGGGTGTCAGCCACCTTGTAATCAAGCCTAATTAAAGATCTCAGAGACCTTGGACAAGTTATTTTGCCTTTCTAAGCCTAAGTCTCCTCCCCTATCAAAAAAATAAATAAAAGTATCTACCTAATAGAGTTTTTAGAAGAATGAAAGGAAACAAATATGTCTGTGTTCTTAACCCTATTAGACCCTATCAGACCTAATTTTTTTTTTTTTGAGATGGAGTCTTGCTCTGTTGCCCAGGCTGGATTGCAGTGGTATCATCTCAACTCACTGCAACATCCACCTCCCAGGCTCAAGTGAGCCTCCCACCTCAGCCTCCCAAGTAGATGGGATTACAGGTGCCTGCCACGATACCTGGCTAATTTTTGTATTTTTAGTAGAGTTGAAGTTTCACCATGTTGGCCAGGCTGGTCTCAAACTCCAGACTTCAAGTGATCCACCCACCTTGGCCTCCCAAAGTGGTGGGATTACAGGCATGAGCCACGGCGCCCAGCCAGACCTAATTTCTAAACATATATTCTGTAAAGGCCTCTTTCACTATCCTGAAATTAAATTCAGAGACAATATACCTACAAACATAATTCCTCCAAAAATGATGTCCAAGGTATAGTATAAAGGGTAGATAGATACACACAAATTTGTGTTTCAACCTGTGACTGCCTTGGCATGATTCCATTAGAAGACACATTGAAGGAGTGAAATGATAGCAACTAGTTATAATGAACATATTAGCTTGGATTTAGAGCTTAAGGAAATCAAGGAGCAGAGGTACAGGTGTTCACCACAATGACCCTGTTAGAAGAAATGAAAACAAACCAGGCTTGTTTGCATATGATAAGAAACAAGAGAGATATAATCTTAATTGAAGTAAGAATAACATGCCAAGACAAATTAAAAATTATCAAAGTGGAAAAATTGAGGAAGAAGAAGATCTCACAAATAAACTGGTCCTTATTAAGAAGAGAAGCATGGCCAGGCACAGTGGCTCACGCTTGTAATCCCAGCACTTTGGGGAGCCGAGGTAGGAGAATCACTGGAGCCCAGGAGTTCAAGACCAGTCTAGGCAACATAGTGAGACCCCCATCTCTACTATATATATATATTTTTTAATTAGCTGGTCATGACGGCACATGCCTATAGTCCTAGCTACTTGGAGGCTGAGGTGGGAGGATTGCATGAGTCCAGGAGTTTGAGGCTGCAGTGAGCTCTGATCACGCCACTGCACTCTGGCTTGGTGACACAGAGACACCCTGTCTCCACAAAAACAAAACAAAATAGGCCGGGCGTAGTGTCTCATGCCTGTAATCCCAGCACTTTGGGAGGCCGAGGCAGGCAGATCACCTGAGGTTAGGAGTTCAAGACCAGCCTGACCAACATGGAGAAACCCTGTCTCAACTAAAAATATAAAAAATTAGCCAGGTGTGGTGGCACATGCCGGTAATCCTAGCTACTCGGGAGGCTGAGGTAGGAGAATCGCTTGAACCCAGGAGGCGGAGGTTGCAGTGAGTCGAGATCTTGCCATTGCACTCCAGCCTCGGCAACAAGAGCGAAACTCCATCTCAAAATAAATAAATAAATAAATATAAAATAAAATTTAAAAAGAAGAATTAAAATAAGCCCCTATGCTATGACACAGGACAAGGTATGATTTTCAGTTTCTGAACGACCAGGGGATACTGAAAAGTCATATGAGACACAGTGCAATTATTCTTTGGGCAGGACTGCCCTAGGCACTGTAGGAGTCTAGCATCTTTGGCTCCCCACTAAATGCTGATAATGGCTCCCATCCATAATGACAATCTAAACAACTCCTTCAGATTTTCAAAACTCCCCAGAAGGGCAGTGCCACCCCCCCCTTGAGAACCACAGATACATGTGAAAACCATTTGAAAAGTTAAAAGAGCTTTGCAAATACGCACTATGATTAATCCATTAACGTTACAGTGGATTTTCAGTGGACACTGTACATTGGTACTATTTAAATGAAGACTGTTGAATTATAAAACATGAGTCTTTTTTTAATAAAATTGATTTCCATTTCTGGAAACATGGCAAGTGAATCAATATACTTATTGAAAATAACTAAAAATTCTGGATTAAAAATAATTTAAGAGCATCAGTGAATAAGCAGAAAAATTAACAATTCTTAGTCCAGGGATTTAGCGGAGTAGTTGAGAGATGTGGGTAGAGCAATGTGTTCCAAAGGCATTTGCTAAACCTGCTGAATTTGAGCTTTGGTATTCATGGCCTCACAAGACTGTGAAAAAGGAGACAAAGCCCACCGTCTGACCAAGATGAGGAGTTTAATAAGTAGTCTTCCACCATAAAGCTGGGATGCTTCCAAAGGCTATCCCCTTTGTGTAAGGGGAAATTCAGAAACATTTCCCACATTCGGGCCAGGCGCGGTGGCTCACGCCTGTAATCCCAGCACTTTGGGAGGCCAAGGTGGGTGGATCAGCTGAGGTCAGGAGTTTGAGACCAGCCTGGTCAACATGGTGAAACCCCATCTCTACTAAAACTACAAAAATTAGCTGGATGTGATGGCAGGTGCCTGTAATCCCAGCTACTTGGGAAGGCTGAGGCAGGAGAATCACTTGTACCCGGGAGGTGGAGGTTGCAGTGAGCCAAGATCGCGCCATTGCACTCCAGCCTGGGCAACAAGAGCAAAACTCTGTCTCAAAAAAAAAAAAAAAAAAAAAAAGGAATATTTCCCACATTCTCTTGAAGACTGCAGGGGAAATCTGCCTCACACTTGCACTGAAGAGGGTAAGACAGGTGCGTATGTTTATGTGTGTGTCTTTGTGTGTGTTTGTGTGCGTGTGTAGACACACGTGCCAAGAATCATCACTAAACATTCAAACCACAAGCTGTCCATGACACAGTTTATAGCAAAAAATCCACACTCTGGGTGGTCTGGATAGACCAAGTGGAGAATGTAACTGGAGTGATCCCAGAAATAGTAATGCCTCCAGAACCTGGCAGAAGCAAAAGTGAATCCTTTATAGAGGAAGCCAAATTTATCCCAGACTTCAAAGTATTCCCACACATAAAATGTCAAGGAAAACGATCAGTTTAAAGTTAAATGACAGAGAGAGAGAGAGAAAGAAACTAACTACACAATAAAATAGGGCACTTAAGAACTAAGTGCAAGAAGCAGCAGATAGCTAGAACAATCCTGCAAAAACTTCAGATCTTGAAATAAGACAAAGACTTTTAAACAACCACGTTTCATACATTTAATAAAAATAAAAATCATGCATGAAAATGTATGCAAGAAAAAGAAAACAAGAAAACAAGTGATTTTGAAAAAGAATCTAAAGAACTTCTAGAAAAAAAGAACTCAGGGGACAGATTTACTGGAATAATAACATGGGAAATATATAAATAGCTAACTATTTAGCTAGCTAGCATTTATCTCTATCATAATGAAGTTGCAGAGCACCAAAGACAAAAAGAATATCTTAATAACAGTGAAAGAGAAAAGACAGATTATTTTTAAAAGAGTTTCAGACAACTGGCTGGGCGCGGTGGCTCACGCCTGTAATCCCAGCACTTTGGGAGGCTGAGGCGCGCGAGTCACGAGGTCAGGAGATCGAGACCATCCTGGCTAACACGGTGAAACCCCATCTCTACTAAAAATACAAAAAATTAGCCAGGCGTGGTGGCGGGCGCCTGTAGTCCCAGCTACTTGGGAGGCTGAGGCAGGAGAATGGCGTGAACCCGGGAGGCAGAGCTTGCAGTGAGCCGAGATCGTATCACTGCACTCCAGCCTGGGCGACAGCGAGACTCTGTCTCAAAAAAAAAAAAAAAAAAAAAGAGTTTCAGACAATTTACTACTCATTAGCAGCAACTGAAATCAAAAGACAATGTATGATATCTTCAATGTGCTGAGAGAAGATGATTGTTCATTTTCAACTCTATATTCATAATTAAGGAGGAAAAGTCATTTTCAGGCAAACAAAAACTGAGACAACTTGCTACTAACAAACCTTCAGTTCTGGCAGAAGAAAAGCTAGTTCAGATGGAAGGTGTAGAGAACAAGAGGAAATAAAACACAAAAAAGTGAGAAAATAGGTGAAACATTGAACATTTAAAGCAATAGTAATAGACTTGTGGGCTTTTGAAAGAAAAGTTGATAGAACTAAATGCACAACAATAACAGCATATGTGTCAGGAAGGCATAAGTGGAAGTTGTAAGATTTCATATTTTTCCGAAAAAGAGTAGAATTGCTAAGTAACTTTGATTTTGCTAAGTTATTTGCTGCTATTTCTAGAGATTCCATTTACAGAATAGAAACAGTTCTCAAATCGGTGGAGGGAAAAAGTGGAAATGGAAAAAAGAACAAATCAATCCAAAAGAGGGCAAGAAAGTAGAGAAAGAATGGAACTTGTGGGAAAATAGTAGTAAAAGAAAAGGTATAATAGCTATAGAACCAGAAATATGAAAAATAATGACAAATATAAATGAATTAGATGTTTCATCTAAAATACAAAGCTTGTCAGAATGAATTTTTTAAAAATCAAACTATATGCTGTTCATAAGAAACATATCTCAAGAGTATACAGAGAGTCTAAAAGCAAAAGGGGGGAAAAGGTGTACTAAGAAAATGTGTACTGGGTTTAGCTATGTTAATGAGCAAAGTAGACTTAAAGCAAAAAGCATTGCTAGAGACAGATGCCACTTCAAGACGTTAAACAAGTCAGTTCAACGCAGACTATTTTAAATTTACATACTCAATAACTTTTGAAATATATTAAGCACAAATTCTGCATGGAGGATAAGGTCTGAAATCATATGTATATATATCTCCCCAAAATTGGTAATTACCAAAAGAAATAAACAAATCAGGAACCATGGTGGGGCACTTAACACACCTCTTCCAGTAACTGGTAGAACAAACAGAACAAACAGGAAAAAACATCAGTAAGGATACAGAAGATTTGAACAACACATGCAGTACAACTGACCAAAGGGACATTATATCAATTCAGGAAACAGATGCCAAGATAAGATTAGACATGCCAGAGGTGTCTTGGGGAAACTGCCCACGAAGGATAAAGGAAAGGAAGCAGTAGCAGGCAGAGAGAGCCTTCTGCCCACAATACCAATCTGAAAGGAGTGGGAAAAGGAAGAACACTTGAGTAGGTAGAGTCTCAGACTACAGTGCAATTCTATAAAGGGCATGGCCAGGCTGATGGGGTGCCTTTGAACCAAAGTTGCCCATTTAAAAAGTCTCAAATCCCACAGGAATGGGCCTGCACTAGTAACCACGACAAGCTCAGCTCCACCAGCTGGAAGCAGCTCAGAGGAAGAGTGGTCTCAGCACAAATGCATTGTGGGATCCAAAGGAATAGTGGTTAGGGCTGCCAGTCAACTGTGCACCCCATAGCAGGAGAGCTGAGTTGCACACGTTCATGACCACTCTACGCATATTTAGCAGAAGAGCTGAGTGGCGCGTTTTCATTGCCATCACAGACATATTTAGAACACCATACCCAACAACTGCAGAAACTCATGCTTTTCAAGCACACATGGAATATTTACAAAAGTTGCTGATATACCAGGTCATAAGGCAAATCTCATATTTTTTAAGTATTGAAATCATATAGAATACATTCTCTGACAACAATGAAGTTAAGGTAGAAATCAGTAACAGATAGTTAATAGAAAATCCACATATACTTATAAATTAAGAAACCCGTGTTTAAATAACCAGGGGCTCAAAGAAGAAAACAGCAGAAATTAGAAAATATTGAGTATGGAACTGTAATGAAAATACACAGCAAAACTTTTGGGATAGATGAAACAATTCTGAGGAAAATTTATGGCCCAAAAGGCTATGTTTAAAAAAAAAAGAAAAGAAGGCTGGATGAGGTGGCCATGCCTGTAATCCCAGCACTTTGGGAGGCCAAGTGGGTGGGTCACCTGAGGTCAGGAGTTCAAGACCAGTCTGACCAACATGGAGAAACCCTACCTCTACTAAAAATGCGAAACTAGCTGGGTGTGGTGGCATGCGCCTGTAATCCCAGCTACTCGGGAGGCTGAGGCAGGAGAATCACTTGAACCTGGGACATGGCGGTTGCAGTGAGCCGAGATCCTACCACTGCACTCCAGCCTGGGCAACAAGAGCAAAACTCTGTCTCAAAAAAAAAAAAAAAAAGAAAAGAAAAAAACTAAATACTAATGAACTAAACATCCATTTTATGAAGTTAGAAACACATCAGCAAAATAAACTCAAGAAAGGTAGGAAAAGAAATAAAGAGAAGCATAGAAATTAATGAAATGGAAAATAAACACAACAGAGAAGATTAGCAAAGCCAAACGTTCCTCTGAAAAGACTGATAAAAATGACAAACCTCTGGTAAGACTGACCAAGAAATAAAGAGAGAAAGCATAAATAAACAATATCAAGAATGAAATACTGATATAAATATAAAGGCTTCACAGATTGAAACAAAATAATAAGAGGACATTGTTGAACATTTTTATGTCACTAAATTTGAAATCTTCTAAGAAACAGACCCACTCTCAGGAAAATCTAACTGACTAAAAGAGAAACCCCAAACAATCCTATAATCATGAAAGAAATTGAATGTGTAAATTAAAACCTTCCCACATATTAAACTCCAAGCCCTGCTGGCATCACCAGCAAGTTCCAGACACTCAAAGAATAAATAATTCTAATTGTATGCAAGCTATTTCAAAGCATGTAAAAAGAGGCCTCATTCCCTCAACTCATTTTATTAACTTAGCATTAACTTGCTGCCAAACCTGACAGTACAAAAAAGAAAAATTTCGGCCAGGCACGGTGGCTGATGCTACAGGCAGTTTGGAAGGTCAAGGTGGGTAGATTGCTTGAGCCCAGGAGTTTGAGACCAGCTTGGGCAACAGGGTGAAATCCCAGCTCTATAAATAAATACAAAAATTAGCCAGGCGTGGTGGTGCATGCCTATAGCCTCAGCTACTTGGGAGGCTGAAGCAGAAGGATCACTTGAGCCCAAGAGGCGGAGGTTGCAGTGAGCCAAGATCGCACCACTGCACTCCAGCCTGGGCAACAAAGTGAGACCCTGTCTCAAAAAAAAAAAAAAAAAAAGAAAAATTTCAGGTAAACCTCACCCAAGAACATGGATTCAAAAACCATAAACAAAATATTGGCAATCTTATTCAGCAATGTATGAAAAAGATAAGGTATCCTGTAGTATTCCTCCCTTATCTGTGGTTTCACTTTCCATGGTTTTAGTGACCTTCCTGCAGTAAACTGTGGTCCAAAAATATGAAATGGAAATAAACTATGTGTTTATTTCCAGCAATAAACAATTCATGTTTTTTGTTTGTTTGTTTGTTTTGAGACGGAGTCTCGCTCTGTCTCTTAGGCTGGGGTGCAATGGCGTGATCTCGGCTCACTGCAACCTCTGCCTCCAAGGTTTAAGTGATTCTCCTGCCTCAGCCTCCCGAGTAGCTGGGATTACAGGCATGTGCCACCATGCCTGGTTAATTTTTGTATTTTTAGTAGAGACAAGGTTTCACCATGTTGGCCAGGCTGGTCTCTAACTCCTGACCTCAGGTAGTCCTCCCGCCTCAGCCTCCCAAAGTGCTGGGATTACAGGCATGAGCCACTATGCCCAGCCAACAATTCATATTTTAATGTGCATGTTGTTCTGAATAGCGTGATGAAATCCTGCACCATCCTACTCCGTCACTTCATCTCATCATGTAGGCATCGTCTCATCTCACTTAATAAAAGAAGGGTGAGTACAATACAATAAGATATTTTGAGAGAGAGAGACCACATTTACATAACTTTTATTATAGTATATTGTTACAATTTTTCTATTTTGTTAGTTATTGTTAATCTCTCACCATGCCTGATTTATAAATTAAACTTTATCATGGGTATGTAGTCAGGAAAATACATAGTATACATAGGGTTTGGTACTATCTGCAGTTTCAGGTATCCATTGGGGTGGGGTCTTGGAACATATTCTTCACAGATAAGTGGGGACTATTGTACATCATGAGAAAGCAAGATTAGTTGAACATTTAAAATCAATGAGAAATTTCCACTTTCACATAATAAAGGAGAAAAATCATATGATTATTATCTACAAATGCAGAAAAGCATTTGATAAAACTCAACATTCGTTCTTGGTTTAAGAAAAGAAAGCTTTGAATAGAAGGACACTTCCTTTATATGATAAAGGTTATCTGCAAAAAGCACTATACTAGAGGTCCCAACCAATGCAATGAGGTAAGAAAAAGAAACAAATGATATAAAAGTTATAAAGGAAAAAACTACCAATATTTGCAGACAACACAGTTGATACATAGAAAATCCAAAGGAATATGCACACACTATTAGAATTAATAAGTCAATGTACAAAGTTTCTAGATACAATATAAATATGACCAAAACCAATTAAATTTTATAATCTGGCTGTAAGCATGTTGAAATAAAAATTTTAAAATATCTCTTACAATAGCATCAGAAAACATAACAATTCTAGGAACAAATCTTCACTAGATGTGCAAGGGTTCTACATAGAAATGGTAAAACATTATCAATAAATATTAAAGAAAATTAAACATATAGAATTATATTGTGCTTATCTTACTATTTGTCTTCTATTTGTTCCATTTCTTTTTTGTTCTTTTGATCCTCTTTTCCTGTCTTCTTTTTGCAATGCTTGAGCATTTTTTTTTTTTGAGACGGAGTCTCGCTCTGTCGCCCAGGCCGGACTGCGGACTGCAGTGGCGCAATCTCGGCTCACTGCAAGCTCCGCTTCCCGGGTTCACGCCATTCTCCTGCCTCAGGCTCCCAAGTAGCTGGGACTACAGGCGCCCGCCCCCGCGCCCGGCTAATTTTTTTGTATTTTTAGTAGAGACGGGGTTTCACCTTTGTTAGCCAGGATGGTCTCGATCTCCTGACCTCATGATCCACCTGCCTCGGCCTCCCAAAGTGCTGGGATTACAGGCGTGAGCCACCGCGCCCGGCCGCTTGAGCATTTTTTATGATTCCATTTTAATCCCCACTATTGTCTTACCCAGACCTATTTGTGTGTTTACTTTTAGAGGTTGCTCTGAAGTTCTCACTATACATCTTTAATGTAATATAGTCTGTCTTTACTTCACATTTAGCATATGAACCTTACAACAGTATACTTTCATATCTCTTTTCCCATCTGTGCTATTTTTGTCAGACCTGTACATGTGCTATAAATCCCACAATACTTTTTTTTTTTTTGCTTTAAGCTATTAATTATCTGTTCAAGAGATTTAAAAGTGAGGAAAAAATCTGTTACATTTTCCTATACCTTTACCACTTGTGGCACTTTGTATTCCTTTGTATAGATTCTAATTTTCTTATTTATTTATTTATTTATTTATTTATTTATTTATTTATTTATTTATTTATTTTTAAAATAAAGATACGGTCTCACTATGTTGCCCAGGCTGGTCTTGAACTCCTGGGCTCAAGTAATCCTCCTGCCTTGGCCTTCCAAAGTGCTGGGATTACAGGTATGAACCACTCCACCTGGCTGATACTAATTTTCATCTAGTGTCATTTTCTTCTGCCTGAAGAACCTCTTTTAATATTTCTTGTAGTACAGATTTGCTTGTGATGAATTCTGCTGGCTTTGTTATCTCCAGAGAAAGTCTTTATTTGTTCTCTATTTTTGAAATACATTTTTGCTGGCTATAGAATTTAGGGTTAACAGTTTTGTTTTGTTTTGTTTTGTTTTGTTTTGTTTCTATCAGTAATTCAAAGATGTTGCTCCATGTACTTTTGGCACGCATACTTCTAGAAGAGAAGTCTCCTGTCATTCTTATCTTTGTTCCTCTGCACATAAAGCGTCTTCTCTCACTCTACCAGCTGCTTTTAAGATTTTTCTCTTTATCACTGTTTTCCACAGTATGGAAAGCTGTGGTATGGTATGCCATAATTTGGTTGTTTATTCTGTTTGGAGTTTGTTGAGCTTATTAGATCCATAGATTTATAGTTTTCTTCAAATTAGGAAAGAAATTCATTAATCATTTATTCAGATATTTTTTCCCATCTGTCTTCTCCTTCAGGAACTCCAATTGCATGCACATTAGACTTCTTGATATAGTTCCATAGGTCTCTGATAATTGTTTAAATTTTTCCATATTTTTCTCTGCATGTTTCATTTGGAATACTTTCCATTGCTGTGTTTTCAAGTTTACAGAACTTTTCTTCTGCAGTGTCTAACCTGCTACAAATTCCATTCAATATATTTTTAAATTAATAAACTTTATTTTGTAGAAAAGTTCACAAACCTAAAGGATCACATCAAAACTGAGGGGATAGTACAGAGAATTCCCATGTTCTCCTGTCTTCACACATGAACAACCCCCTCCCCCCACTATCAGCATCCCATATCACAGAGGTGCATTTGTACTTATGTCAATAAACCTATATTGACACATCATTATCACCCAAAGTCCATAGATTACATTAAGGTTTACTCTTAGCATTGTACATTCTATGGGTTTTGACAAATGTATGATGACATGCATCTACCATTGTAGTACAGGTTAAGTATTCCTTATTCAAAATGCTTGGGAACAGAAGTGTTTTGGATTTCACATTTTTCTCGATTTTGGAACATTTGCATTATAGACTTACCAGTTAAGCATCCCAACATGGTGTTTAAAAGTTTTGGATTTTGGAGCATTTCAGACTTCATATTTTTGGACTTGGGATGCTCAACCTGTATCATATAGAATAGTTTCACTGCCCTAAAAATCCTCTGTGCTCTGCCTATTCGTCCCTCCCTCCCTCTCTTCTCCAACTGGCAACCACTGATCTTTTTATCGTGTTCATAATTTTGCCTTTTCCAGAATGACACACAGTTGAAATCATATAGTATGTGTACTTCTCAGATGGGCTTCTTTTACTTAGTAATATGCATTTAACTTTCCTCTATGTGTTTTCATACCTTAATAGTTTATTTCTTTTTGTTGCTAAATAATATTCCACTGGTGGTCAGGCATGGTGGCTCAGGCCTGTAATCCCAGCACTTTGGGAGGCCAAGGTGGGCAGATTGCTTGAGCCCAGGAGTTTGAGATCAGCTTGGGCAACATAGTGAAAACTCATCTCTACAAAAAATTTAAAAAATTAGCTGGGCATTGTGGCATGTAACTGTAGTCCCAGCTACTCGAGAGGCTGAGGTGAGAGGATCACCTGAGGCCGGGAGGTCGAGGCTGCAGTGAGCTGTGATTGGGCCACTGCACTCCATCCTGGGCGACAGAATAAGACCCTGTCTCAAATAATAATAATAATAATATTCCATTGTCTGAATGTGCCACAGTTTATTTATGTATCCATCTACTGAAGGACATCTTGGTTGCTTCCAAGTTTTGGCAATTATGAATAAAGCTGCTATAAACATCCACGTGCAGGCTTTTGTATGAAAATAAGTTTTCAACTCATTCGAGTAAATACCAAGGAGTGTGATTGCTGGATCACATGGTAAGAGTTTATTTAGTTTTGTAAAAAACTTTCAAACCATCATGTAAAGTGACTGTATCATTTTGCATTCCTACCGACAATAAATAAATTCCTATTGATCTACATCCTCCTCAGTCAGCATCTGGTGTTGTCAGTTTCGGGATGTGAGCCATTCTAATGGGTGTGTAGTAGCACCTCAATTGTTGTTTCAACTTTCAATTTCCTAATGACATGTTAAACTTCGTTTCATGTGCCTACTTGCCATCTATATATATTTTTTAAGTGAAACGTCTGTTACAGTCCTTTGCCCATTTTTAAATTCGGGTTGTTCATTTTCTTTTTCTTTTTAGAGATGTGGTCTCACTCTGTCACTCAGGGAGGAGTGTAGTGGCATGATCATAGCTCACTGTGTCTCCAACTCCCGGCTCAAGTGATCCTCCCATCTCAACTTTCCAAGTACCTGGGACTACAGGGATGTGCCACCACACCTGACTAATTTTTTAAAAAAATTTTTTTGTAGAGACAGGGTCTTACTATATTGTCCAAGCTGGTCTCAAACTCCTGAGCTCAAGCAGTATTTCTGCTGTGACCTCCCAAAGTGCTGGGATTACAGGCATGAGCCACTGTGCCAGGCTTCTTATTCTCTTGACATTTTCTTTGGGAGAGCAGATGTTTTTAATTTTAATAATATCCAGCTTATCAATTATGTCTTTTGTGAATTGTGCCATTGGTGTTGTACCTAAGAAGTCATTGACATACCCGAGGTCACCTATGTTTTCTCCTGTGCTATATTCTAGGAATTTTAGTTTTGCATTTTACATTTAGGTCTATGATCCATTTTGAGTTAACTTTTATGGAGAGTATAAAGTCAGTCCAGATTCATTTTTTGCATGTAGATATCCAGTTGTTCCAGCACCATTTGCTGAAAAGACAATCCTTGTTCCATTATATTGCCTTTGCTACTTTAACAAAGATAAGTTGACTGTGTCTATTTCTGGGGTGTCTATTCTGTTCCATTGACCCACTTGTTTACCTTTTCACCAATACCACACTGTCTTGATTACTGTAGCTTCATGGTAAGTAAACGATACAGTACATAGTAAGTCTTGAAGTTGGGTAGTGTTAGTCTTCCAACTCTGTTCTTTTTCAATATTGAGTTGACTGTTCTAGATCCTTTGCCTCTCTCTATAAACTTGAGAATCAATTTGTTTATATCCACAAAATAACATGCTGGAATTTTCATTGGGATTGCATTGAATCTATAGGTCAAGTTGGGAAGCATTAACATCTTGATAATATTGAAGTTTCCTATTCATAAATATGGAAAATACCAAACTTTAGTGACACTAGTGTTAATAAGTTCTGATAACCCACTACCATCCGACCAGCTTAGAGTTTTGTCGTTTCAATAATGTTACACATATTTTGTTGGATTTATACCCAAGTTCAGTTGCCCCTCAGTATCCATGGAGGATTTGTTCCAGGACCCCCAGAGATGCCAATGTCCAAGGATGCCCAAGCCCCTTATATAACAGGGTATAGTATTTGTACAACCTACACAACATCCTCCACTATATATTTGTGTAAACCTCCACATATTCTCCACTATACTTTAAATTATCTCTGGATTACTTATAATACCTAATACAATGTAAATACTAAGTGAATAGTTGTTATCCTGTATTGTTTAGAAAATAATAGCAAGAAAAAAGTGTGTACATGTTCACCACAGACACAACCATCCATTTTTTTTCAAGTATTTTCAACCCACAGTTGGTTGAATCCATGGACACAGAATCCAGGAATATGGATGTTCTCAGGCAAATAAAAATTGAGGAAATCTGTTGGCAGTAGACTTGCCTTGAAGGAATGTTAAAAGAGGTTCTTACAGAAAAGAAAAATAATGTAGGTCAGAAACTTGAATCTACATAAGGGAAGAGTATCAAAGAAGGAATAAATGAGGAAAACAATGAAAAGTTTTATTTTTCTTATTATTAATTGATCTAACAGATAGTTTGTTCAAAATAATAATAGCCACAATGAATATATACGCTTTGTATATATATGCTTATGTATAAGAGAAATGAATGACAGCAAGGACACAAAGGATTATAGGGAGGAATTAGGAATATTTTCCTGTTATAAGGTATATATACTACCCATGAAGCAGTATAATGGTAATAAAAGTGATTTGAGGCTGGGCACAGTAGCTGGCCTGTAATCCCAGCACTTTGGGAAGCCAAGATGGGCAGATCACTTCAGGTCAGGAATTTGAGACCAGCCTGGCCAACATGGTGAAACCCCGTCTCTATTAAAAATACAAAAATTTGTGGTCATGCATGCCTGTAGTACCAGCTACTCAGGAGGCTGAGGCAGGAGAATCACTTGAACCTGGGAGGTGGAGGTTGCAGTGAGCCGAGATCACACCACTGCAACTCAACCTGGATGACAGCGGGAGACTCTGTCTCTAAATAAATAAATAGACTTGGCTTAGTTGTGAATATATATTGCAAACTCTAGAGCAACTACTGAAGAAAAGTTAAAAAAAAAAGAAGTAAAATTGATGACTAAGAAAGAAGGGAAAATGGAATCATATAAGGTTTTCAATTAATACCACAAAAGGCAAAGAAGGTGTGGAAGACAAAAATTCCCATTATGTCTGTTATTCCTTTTTTTAGTGGTCCCACAGCTCATCACGGATATTCTGTTGTGGTTTTGTTTTGTCTTTTTTTCTCTTTTTTCACTTTTGGAAGTTTCTATTGTCATATCCTCAAGCTCAGAGAATCATTCTTTAGCCACATCTTTAGCCATAATGAGTCCACCAAAACCATCCTTCATTTCTGTTACAGTGTTTTTGATCTCTAGCACTCTTTCTTAATTCTGTCTTAGAATGTTCATCTCTCTGCTTACATTATCCATTTGTTCTTTAATATTGTCTGTTTTTCCATTAAAGCCCTCAGCATGTTCATCATCATTTAAAAAAATTACTCGTGGGATAATTTCAATGTTCCTGCCATATCTGATCCTGGTTCTGATGCTTGTGTAGTCTCTTCAAATGATGAGGTTTTTTGTTTGTTTGTTTGTCTTTTAGTACACTTTGTATTTTTTTTTTTTCGAGACAGAGTTTCACTCTGTCACCCAGGCTGGATTGCAGTGGCACAATCTTGGCTCACTGCAACCTCCAACTCCTAGGTTCAAGCGATCTTTTCACCTCAGCCTCCCAAGTAGCTGGGAATACAGGTGCGCACCACCACACACAGCTAATTTTTGTATTTTTAATAGAGACAGCGTTTCACCATGTTGGCCAGGCTGGCCTCAAACTCCTGACCTCAAGTGATCTCCCCACCTCAGCCTCCCCAAGTGCTGGCATTACAGGCGTGAGCCACTCTACCCAGCATAGTGTGCCTCATAATTTTTTGTTGGAAGGTGGACGTGATGTACTGGGTAAAAGGAACTGCACTAAATAGACCTTTAGTAATATAGAGGTGAGCCAAGCATGGTGGCTCACATCTTTTAATCCCAGTGCTTTGGGAGGCTGAGGTGGGAGGATTGCCTGAGGCCAGGAGTTGGAGACTCGGCTGGACAACACAGCAAGACCCTGTTTCTACAAAAAATTTTTAAATTAGCCATGCATGGTAGCATGCACCTGTAGTCCTACTACTTGGGAGGCTGAGGCAGGAGGATCCCTTGAGCCCAGGAGTTCAAGATTACAGTGAGCTATGATTACATCACTGTACTCCAGCCTGGGTGACAGAGCAAGACCCTATCTAAAATAAAAAAATAAAATAAAATATTTAAAAAGTAATATAGAAGTAAGGTATGGCAGAGGGAGGGGAAGACTTCTATAATTTTATAGTTAGGTCTTTGTCTTTTGGTGAGCCTTTGCCCCTGGACTGTGAATTTCACCATTGTTTCTCAGATGTCTCCAACCCCAACTCCTTATGTGGGACAGGATGGCTAGATGGGGCTGGAATTGGGTATTTCCCTTCTGCCATGTGGATGGCTAAAAGCAGCCAGAGTTGAGCATTTTCCTTTCTCCGAGTAGGTTCGGCTCTGATACACCCCAGCAGGTTAGGATCTGGTAAAATAGTTACTTCTGAGGGTAGGCCTTGTTAGGAACAACAGAATGTTCTGTAGATCTGGATCTGAAAGGAACAACACACACACACACACACACACACACACACACACACACACACACAGAATGCTCTGGCACATTTAAAAATGGGTCCTTTCTCTTCCTTCTGCCAGAAGCTTGAGGCAGTTTTTGTCCGATATTGACTTTGAGGTCCGGGTAGTGCTCCTGCAGGTAAAACTACAAAAGCATGGGGGTTCCTCTATCACAGGGTCCCCTGGAGTTTTCAACTTTCAGACCTGTCCCTACTGACCCTCCAGGAATTTGTCAATTATAATTTAGGTTTTCCTACCCTAGTGCTGGCTCCTGATGGTTTCTGCTCTGGTAGGTTGTGATTCTCTGTATCTGTTTGTCTGTCTAATTTCGGGGATGGCAGTTTGCCTTAGGACCTCACTTCTTTGACAGATCTAGAAGACTTGATTTTTCAGTTTATAAAGCTTTTACTTGCTGTCTAGGATGGAGTGCTGACTGCTAAGCTCCTTGCATGCCAGACCAGCCATTCGATATATTTTTCATTTCAGGTATTTTAATTTATACTTTTTAAAGTTCCATTTGGTTGCTTTAAATTTATTTTTATTTATTTTTATTTTTTTAGAGATAGGGTCTTGCTCTGTCGCCCAAGCTGTAGTTGTTTTCTTTTTTTATGCCTTCCATTCTCTCCCCATTATGCTCATGATCTCCTCCACATGTCTTAACGTCTGGAGCAAATTTATACACTAGTTCTCCCTCATCCACAGTTTCATTTTCCATGGTTTCAGTTACCCATGATCACTTGCAGTCTGAAAATATTAAATGGAAAATCCCAGAAATAAACAATTCATAAGTTTTAAGGTACACGCTGTTCTGAGTAGTGTGATAAAATCTCACGCCACCCTGCTCTGTGCCGGCCAGGACATGAATCATCGTTTTGTCCAGTGTATCCATGCCATCTACACCACCCACCCTGCTAGTCACTGGGTAGCCTGCTCGGTTATCAGATCAACCGTCAGGTATAGGTACGGCAGTTCTTGTGTTCAAGGAACTTTTATTTTACTTAATAATGGCCCCAAAGTGCAAGGGTAGTGTTGCTAGCAATTCCAATATGCCAAAGAGAAGCATAAAGTACTTCCTTTGAGTGAAAAAGATGAAAGTTCTTGACTTAATAAGGAAAGAAAAAAATTTTATGCTGAGGTTGCTAAGACCTATGGTAAGAATGAATCTTCTATCCGTGAAATTGTGAAGACGGAAAAAGAGATTCATGCTAGTTTTGCTGTTGCACCTCAAACTACAAAAGTTACGGCCACAGCGCCTGGTAAGTGCTTAGTTAAGATGAAAAAGGAATTAAATTTGTGGGTGGAAGACACGAACAGAAACATGTCCTGATTGGTGGCAACATGTTGCAGCAGAAAGCATTGAGTTCATACAAAGACTTCAGCAAGGGATCCCCTGAAATGAGCGACAACGAGCCATTTACTGCAAGTGAGGGATGGTTAAACAGATCCAGGAATAGGTTTGGACTGAAAAATAGAAATACTACTAGAGAGGCCGCATCTGCCAATGAAGAAGTTGCTGCCACATTTCTGGCAAAGTTGAAGAAGTTAATTAACGAGAAAGGATACCCTCCAAAGCAAGTCTTCAATTGCAATGAAATCTGGATTTTCTGGGAGAAGATGGGCAATAGAACCTACATTCATAAAAGTGCAAAGGAAGTACCAGGGCAGAAAACATGGAAGGACAGATTAGCTCTGTTGCCATGTGACAATACTGCAGGGCATATGATATAGCCAGGTGTAGTATACACAGCAAAGGACACACATGCTCTCAAAAAGAAAATAAAAAATTATCTGCCTTTGCTCGGTACTATCTGTGGTTTCAGGCATCCACTGGGGGTCTTGGAACTTATTCCCTATGGATAAGGGGGTCTAGCTGTAATCACGGTTTAATGTCCTCATCTGCTAATTCAATCACTTGTTATTTACACCTCTGTTTCTATTGGTTAATTTTTCAATGATTGGTGAAGACCCCTCTGCAAATCTCTGGTTGGTACTCACTTGGGTGTCACCTCATTATTCTTCTTTAGGATGTAGTTACATGTTTGATTCATTCATCTGTATGTCCGACATATTTCAAAATAATAAAATAAAATTATCCTAAATTCTCTATATTGTTTCTTTATAGTCAGAGATGACATGATGATTTCAAAGTTTTGAGAGTCCTTATTCATCCACTTCACAGCCATTTGTTGCATATTTCCTATGTGTTGGGCATTATACTAGACACCAGAAATAGATTTCTTTAATATATTAGATTAATTTATTATATATCAGGGAGCTTTCATAATAAAAACAATAGCTAATATATTATTGTAACGTATGACATTTAACTGTTTACTGCTTGCATTAAGCACTTTGCATTGATCACCTCATTTAATCTTATGAACTACTATTTCCCTAATTTTAAAAACGAGGAAATTGGCCAAGCATGGTGGCTCACACCCGTAATCCCAGCACTTTGGGAGGCTGAGACAGGCAGATAACTTAAGCCCAAAAGTTCGAGACCACCCTGGACAATGTAGTGAGACCATGTCTCTACAAAAAATACAAAAAATTAGCCCAGTGTGGTAGCACAAGTCCATAATCCCAATTACTCAGGAGGTGGGAGGATCACCTGAGCCCGGGAGGTTGATGCTGCAGTGAGCTGTGATTGCACCACTGCACTCCAGCCCTGGCAACAGAGTGAGATCCTGTCTCAAAAAATAAAGGAAATTGAGCACAGCAACATTTAGTAACTTGCCCAAGCTTAAAGAGCTCAGAAAGGCAGAGCCAAGATTTGCTCTTAACAGTTGTGGTTTTCTGCCCAGCATCCACTCCCTTCCTTTTGGATGACAACACCTGGATTTTCCTTCAGGGAACCACCCTTCTCACATTTGGTCCCCGCAGTTCAGTTGGAACTGACTACCCAGGCCTGGTCCGAGGACTGAGAGGTTGACCCAGGCCTGGCCACTCAAGCTCCTGGATGCACTGATTGGCTCAGACGTGAGCATGTGACCTTTAAGAGACCAATAGGATTTAAGTCTGAAGGTTGGCTTTTTTTGTTGTTTTTGTTTTTTGTGGTCGTTGTTTTTGTCAGTTTTGGGGAAAATGAGCTGTCTTCTCACTCAAATTGGAACTGTTGGCTATAGAGATAAAGTAATCCTGGAGATTTGGGAGGGTCATCTGTTGTAGAGAATGACACCAACCAGAAGCAGAATGAGGAAAGTTGGAGACTGAGTACTGTTGCCATGATTTGAACCCTTCGATCTAGCCATGCCTGAAGATTTCTCACTGTCTCGTCTTTTCAGTTACAGAAGCCTCAACTTGGCTTCTCACACTTGCAAAAAGGAGTCCTAGCTGATACAGGGGTACAGGCCCCTAACCCAGTAAGTATTATACCAGTTGAGTGATGAGGGCTGAAATAAATGTGGAGGGGCCAAGCACAGTGGCTCACACCTGTAATTCCAGCACTTTGGGAGGCCAAGGTAGGAGGATCACTTAAGCCCAGGAATTCAAGACCAGCCTGGGCAACATAGCAAGACCCCATCTCTACCAAAAAAAAAAAAAAAATCAACCAGGCATGGTGGTGCACAACTGTTACTCCAGCTACTCAGGAGGCTGAGGCAGGAGGATCACTTGAGCCCAGGAGTTTGAGGCTGCAGTGGGCTAGGATAGTACCACTGTACTCCAGCCTACATGACAGAGCAAGATCTCATTTCTAAAAATAATAATAATACAAATTAAATTAAAATAATAAAGTAGATGCGGGTATTTAGGGTGCACTTAAATAGCACTCAGTATATGTTTAAAGTGAGATGTTTTTCACTTTCTTCCTTTTCCCATCCTAAGTCTGAAGCCAAATCTCCGGGAAGATATGTTTACACTAAGAGAGAGAGAGAGTCATGGATTACCTTCATGCCAACACTGACCAAGCCAGTCATCCTTCACTGGGGGGGTTGGATGGTTGTACCCAGTGTCATGAAAGATTATCACAAAAGACCTGATCTCAGGGACAACAATAACAACAGCAAGAATTATTTAGGTTCTGGAATACATTTCATCTGAGGTTTACGAAGCCTTTGACAGCAAAATTAAATCTGACATCACTCCCCAGGTTAACAAAGCAATGTTGCAGTCTTCGCAGTGGAGTGAGCTCAGACACTTGAGGGCCCTCTGTCTCTGAGGGTTGGAGTCACCTGCTTCGGCTGGGCTCTTGGTGCCCCAGTGACCTCCAACAGCGACTTGTCATGAGGGGGTAATGCAGCTCTTGGAACAAAAGGAATAACATACACAGGACCTCAACCAAGCCATGGGCTCAATCAAACCCATCCTTGGGTTTAACTCCTTGGCCACAGGACGATCTCATCCTTACCCCTCCCCAACCAGGTTCAGAGAGAACTTCACCACCTCACTGTCTTGTGAAGGTCAGATTTCAGAATCAGTAGGTAGGTTAATTAGACCACTAACGCCCTTTGAAAGGAATGTAACAGCTGACATTAAGATCTTCACAAAAGGTCATATATTTTTCTCTCCATTGGAGAGGACAATTCCCACATTCAGGCAGCAGAGGCATGAGAGCATTAGCATTCACGACCAACTCCAGAACTATGTAAATAACCACACTGTTTAGCACCCTGGCCCATAGGCAGTTCACCCTCTTCCATGACTAAAGGTGACCATCACACTTAGTGTTTGTATTGCTAAGCACGGTGAGGTCATATTTCCCCTCCAGAGACGGAGACAAAAAGGGGGAAAAAAAAACCCCACACTTTTTCTCCCTGATAAATCTGAAGCTGTAATAAATCAGAATTTAGATCTTTAGTGAATAATTCATGTTTATCTAAAGGAAAAAAATAATGAGTTTCATTATATTTCATCTTCCTTTTACTAAGTTTTGGAAACTGATTCCCTGGACTGGAGCTTCCAGAAATCCATAGAAGTTTTGCCTGATGGCTCACCCTTGAGGGTGCCTCCTGGGACCTCCACTCTCCCTGCCTGGCTCTCTTTGGCTCCCCTAGGATTATGGGGGGTGGGGGCAGTGCAGGAAGAGTCTGGGCTAGTCATGGTACTGGCTGTGTCAGACGCCTAGAGCTGACTCTTCTCTCAGGGCTAGCATGGGATGCTGGAAGTTCCCCTCCTGGGCCCTATGACTGCATCCTTTAACCCAGGTAGGAGGTCTCGTAGGCTAACTGCTATGATCTCCCTCCCCCTCCGTCAGGCACTTGACAGTATGCCCTCCACCTTTTTCTGCTGAAGTCTCCTTGCTCCATGCAAGAAGTTCAGTGGGCAGGGTTCTTTTAAAGCAACCCCACCCTTCCTGAGTTATTTGGAAGAGCACACTTTTGACCTTTGTAGTGGTGCAATGATGGCTCAAACACAGTGATTTCTTCTGCCACAGGGAGCTGCAGCCACCCTCTCCTCCAGTAAACACTTTTCCTTCTCTTCCAAGCTTGAGCTAAGATTCCAACCTCTTTGTTCTCCCCATCACATAGGGCACATATTGAACTCTCTTAGTGGGTGATCTATTCAGTGTTTCTCTCATTAGGCTTGAGGTAAGGAAAAAACATGCCCTCCTTTCTGCCAAGAGGAGAATGGGACTGACATTACACCGCAGTTCTCTCCAAAGAAATCTATAATAATTCCCAATGTTTGGCGTTTTCATTGTCAACCCTCCAACGCCCACCTCTTTTTTCTTTTACACTCAACTATGCTTATTTTAATTAATGCACATTTCACATACAGTAAAATTCACCTTATTAGTATAGAGTTCTATGAGATTTGACAAATTAAATACAGTAATATAACCACCCCCACCATCAAGATACAGAATAGTTTCATCCTTGTCCAGTATTTCTTCACCTCTCTTTATAATCCACTGCTTCCCTCACCCCAGGCCCTGGCAGCCACTGTTCTCTTATTTGCCCCTAAAGGTTAGCCTTTTCCAGAATATCATATAAATGGATTCATTCAACATGCAGCCTTTGAGATTGAGTTCTTTCACTTAACATAACACTTTTGTGATTCATCCATGTTGTGAGGATTAGTCATTTGTTCATTTTTATTGCTGAGGTGTACTGCCTTGTATGGATGTACCATAGTTTACTTATCCATTCATTAATTGATGGGATTTTGGGTCATTTCTGGTTTTTGGCAATTATGAATAAAGTCACTAAAAAAATCATTTTATAGGTTTTTGTGTGAACACAAGTTTTCATTTCACTTGGGTAAGTACCTAGGAATGGGATGTTAGAATTGCTGGATAATGGCCAGGTGCAGTGACTCACACCTGTAATCCCAGCACCTTGGGAGGCTGAGGAGGGCAGATCACTTGAGTCCAAGAGTTTGAGATCAGCCTGGCCAGCATGGTGAAACCCTGTCTCTACTAAAAATACAAAAATTAGCCAGGCATGGTGGTGTGTGCCTGTAGTCCCAGCTCCTTGGGAGGCTGAGACATGAGAATCGTTTGAACCCAGGAGGTGGAGGTTGCAGTGAGCCGAGATCATGCCACCACTGCACTCCAGCCTGGACGACAGAGTGAGGCTGTGTCTCAAAAAAAAAAGGATTGCTGGATAGTATTATAAGAAACTGCCAAACTGTTTTCCGCAGCAGCTGTAGCTGTACCATTTTGCATCCACCAGCACTATGTGAAAGTTCCAGCTGTCCCACATCTTTGTCAGCACTTAGTATTGCCAATTTTTTATTTTAGCCAATCTAATAAATGTAGAGCAGTATCTTATAGTTTTAATGTGCTTTTCCTTAATAACTAATGACACTGAGCATCTCTTTATCTATTTATTTGCCATCCATATATTATCTTTGATGAAGCACCAGTTCAAATCTTTGCCTACTTTTAAATTATGTTTTTTAATCAATGAGTTTTTAGAGTTTTTCATATAGTATGGATCAGATAAGTGTGCCGCAAATATCTTCTCCCAGTCTGTAATTTGTCTTTTCATTCTCTTAATGGTGCCTTTTGAAGAGCAGAAGTTTTCAACTTTGACACAGTCTAATATAGCATTTTATTCTTTTATGAATCATGCTTTTAGTTTTGTAACTACAGAATCTTTGCCTAACCCAAGATCACAATGATTTTCTCCTACATTTTCTTCTAGAGCTTTTATAGCATTGGGCTTTACATTAAAGTTTATAACTCATTTTGAGTTAATTTTTTTTACATGGTGCAATGAATAGAACAAGGTTCACTTTTGCCTATAGATGTCTAATTGTTTTAGCACCATTTGTTGTAAAACTATCCTTTCTCCATTGGCTTGTCTGTGTCTTTGTCGAAAATCAATTGATTATATATGTATGGGTCTGTTTCTGGACTTCTATTTGATTTCTTTGATCTGTGTATTTTCTTTTGACAATATCACATCATCTTGGTTACTCTAGCTTTAGAATAAGCCTTGAAATCCTATAGTGCAAGTCCTCAAATTTTGACCTTTTTCAAAATTATTCCTTTGCCTTTCCATATAAATTTTAGAATCAACTTGTCTATTTCTACAAAAAAAAATCCTGCTGAATTGGAATTGCAATGAATCAATAGATCAGTTTGAGAAGAATTGCCATCTTGACAATTCTGAGTCTTCCAGTCCAACCATCTACTCATTTAGCTTTTCTTTTTTATTCATCAGTGTTTTATAGCTTTCAACATCTAGATCTTATACATATTGTATTAGATTTATAACAAAATATTTCATGTCTTTGGACGCTATTGTTAAAAAATACTTTAAAAAATTAGTTCCCCATTGTTGTTAGTGTATAAAAATACGATTGATTTTTGGTTTTTGACCTGGTATCTTGTAATCTTACTAATCTCATTTATTGGCCCTTGTAGCTTTCTTTGCAGATTCTCTGAGATTTTCTGTGTAGAAAATTATGTCATCTTTGAATAGAAATAGTTGTATTTCTTCTTTTACAATGCATATGCCTTTTACTTCTTTTTTCTTGCCTTATTGCACTGGCTGCAACCTTCAATAAAATGTTAGATAGGAATGGTGAAGCAAACATCCTCATCTTATTTCTGATTTTAGGAATTAGGGTTTCTATGGAGCTTTCTCACTAAACTTGTAGTGAAAGGAAAACATTTCTTAGCTCTCTCTAAAGAAAAGAATAAAACTCCTATCTCACTGACAACTCTTTCCAAGAAACCTAATTGCAACTTCTGGACTTTATGACTTCAGCCTGGGTCATATCTTTGAGGTGGACAGAGCTAGGGGTCACAGAACTGGTTCCAGGATGGCTCCATAGACTTGCAAATGTGTTCTAGTATCTTATTTTTTGCAAAGGGGGAAAGCTTGCCACTTTCGTTTTTCTCAGTATTTTGGGGCCTCAGCCAAAATCAAGTCATCTACCTACAGATGGAATTATTACTTTTATTTTACAAATGAGGGATGTTAGGCTCAGAGAGTTTAAATAACTTGCCCAAGGTCATATAGTTACAAAGTGACATAATTCAAATTCAGCTTGGTCAGGACCAGAGAAGATGTTATTTCCACTAGGCCATATCAGTACAGCTAGAAAAATTCAGACAGCATTTATCATGCCCCCACCTCACACATAAAACCAAAGTGGCTAAGGTATCTCTAAACTTCATTTAGTCATTCTAAAAGACCATACTATGGCTAATGGAGGAAATAGTGTTGCATTTGTCCTTCAAATGGCCAAAGAATGATAATCATCCTAAATCCTGAAGCAGGTGCTGAGGTCAGAAGCTGAGAGTCTCTAATTATCAACACTGGTCCCCTCAGGCTTTCCTTGAATAACCCAGACAGGAAATCAGGACAGACAATATGGAGTCTATTTTGGTCAAGAAATTCGACCATATGTCTCTAGATCAAGGAGCCCATGACAATTTGCTTCTGTGGCCACTTCAACAAAATCAGGCCCCAGCTGGAGATCACTTCTTGCAGATCAGAGTCAGGCAGGCCCTGAGCAAAAGCTTAGTGTTGAAACTGATCCCAGCGAAATTACAAACTGAAAGAAATACTCCCCTATCATTCATAATCCCCCAGCAAGTGAACAAAGCTTTTGTGTAAGTTTTCTAAAAAATGAATTTTCCTGGGAACTAAAAGTTATAAATTAAAAAGAGGGGTCTCAGCAATTTCACTCCTGGGCATATACCCCAAAGAATTGAAAACAGGTGTTTAAGCAAAAACTTGTACATGAATGTTCACAGTAGCACATACTATTCACAATAGTCAAAAGGTAGAAACAATCTGAATGTTCATCAGCTTAAGAATGGATAAATGAAATATGGTATATCCATACGATGGAATATTATTCAGCCATAAAGAGGAATGCAGTAACTGATCTGTGCTATGACATGGATGAATCTTGCAAACATTATGCTAAGTGAAAGAATCCAGACACAAAAGGCCACATATTGTATAATTCTAATTATATGAAATATTCAGGGTAGGCAAATCTATAGAGACAGAAAGCAGACTGATGATTGCCAGGAGGTGAGGGAGAGGGGAATGGGGAGTGACTGCTTTGTAAGTATGGAGTTTCCTTTCAGGGTGATGAAAATATTCTGGAACAAGATAGTGGTGATAGTTGTACAACTCTGTGAATGTATCAAATGCAACTGAATTATACACTGAAAAGTGGTTAAATGGTAAATTTTATGTTATGTGTATTTTACTACAATAATTTAAAAAGAGAGCTCTTTGCTTAAGAGCAGCTATCAGGTTGCTATTATGTTATTGTTGTCTATCCAGGTCACTTCCTGAAACACCTCTCCTGCTTAGCTCAGTGTTTTTGTCATATGCCAGTTAGATTATAACAGTAGCCTCCTAACTAGTCCCCTGTCCCCAGTTTTACTTATCTTCACTCCATGTTCCATGGATTCTCTACAGTGTCAAAATGAGCATTACATTCCTTTATTTAAAATCTTTCAATGGTCCCTGAGCTTCTACTGCAGTAAGATAGCATTCCCTTGCACAGCGTTGAAAGGCACTTCCCGGTTTGGCAACTGATTGCTTCTCTCCCTTTGCAGGCCTTATGGTGAGTGTGCCCTGAGATGGCAGGGCCCATGGTGCTCTCAAGGATTCTTCTGTCCCAAGCACATAGAACGGCCCCTGGTGCATAGCAGGTGCTCAGTAAATATTTGTGAATGCAGTAATCAGGCTTCAGCTAAGCTATCTAGCTCCAGCTCTTGCTACTTCCCCCAAATACCTTGTATTCTAGCCAAACCAAATTCTCCCATAAGTTAGGCCAATCCACGCATCTGAACCGTTGTTGAATTGCTCTCTCCATTTGGAATGTTTTCTGACCATCTGTAAATCTGAGCAAAGGGGTTCATCCTTTAAGACAGCTCAAGCAGTTTCTCTTTTGAGACTGGCAGTCACTCATTTCTTGGTATTCCCATAGCACTTTGAACAGCCCTTTGTGGCAGCTTTAGCATATCTTGTCCTAGAATCATTTGTCTACATCCCTGACTCTCTTACCAGACTATGTGGACTAAGTAGCTCATCTTAACTCCTCCTGCATCCCCTCTTGTGATTAACATATTATAGGTGATACTGGGGGAATAAACAACACAAAAAGTAACTAAATGATTCTTCTTGAAAGATCAACCTTGGGGCTGGACGCAGTGGCTCACGCCTGTAATCCCAGAACTTTGGGAGGCCAAGGCGGGCAGACCGCTTGAGGTCAGGAGTTCAAGACCAGCCTAGCCAACATGGCGAAACCCCATCTCTACTGAAAATACAAAAATTAGCCAGGTGTGGTGGCGGGTGGCTGTAATCCCAGCTACTCAGGAGGCTGAGGCAGAAGAATCACTTGAACCCAGAAGGCGAAGGTTGCGGCGAGCCGAGATCACTCCCAACGCATTCCAGCCTGGGTGACAAAGTAAGACCCTGTCTCAAAAAAAAAAAAAAAGAAAGAAAGAAAGAAAGAAAGAAAGAAAGAAAGAAAGATCAGCCTTGGGAATTTTTTTTTTCCACAGAAAACAATCTGAATTAAACTGGAAATTGAGGACAACCATCACTGAATCTCTTGTCATTCTATGTACTTGGCTGTGGTAAATGGCAGGAAGAGAAGGAGATAGAAATGGAAACAAGTGGAAAGGGCAGGAAACTAGCAGCATAATGGATGTCGCCCTTTCTCTTTCTGAAGGATCCCACCAGGGACTTACTGAATAGATCAGAAAGTGAATGGCAACCATTACTCTGTTTCCAGGAAGAGGAGCGGCCACGTACTCTGGGTGCTACATTTGGTACAAGTGTAGCCTCCCACCAAGCCTGAGTAATTGAGAATCAACCGTGAAAATGAAATTCCAGTTTTCCTTTACAGCATTTTCCCTTTATTGCTTCGTCCCCTCTTGCCCACTGACGTCAGGAGTGTATTCCATTCTATCTCTTTCTAATCATGTTTGTCTCTCCAGCTTGGGCAGAATGTGCTGTGCCGTCTGTGCCCTTTTCAGCAACTTGTGCTCTGTGTGCTTGTCTTGTGCTTTGTTGCTCCTCATGTCTGCTGCTGGGTCCTTTTGGTTAACATCATCCTCCCTTCCCCAGTATACAAGAGAGCAGCCACTCGGAAAGGCTTGGTTGCAGAGTAGGACTCAAGGAGAACGTCTCTCTGGCTCTTTCTCAGACTGCAAGGCACTTTGAATCCTGCATTTCAAAGATAAGTGGAGAAGAAGAAATTTAGGAAGAGGTAGGGGTCCAAGAGCATAAGGGAAAAGAATTGATATGGTTTTGTGTATCTGCTAAGTGATCTCACTTAATTCTCTCTTTCCGATGAGATCGTATTATTAGTTGACTGATGAGGAAACTGAGATGAAATAACTTTCCCAAGACCACTCAGCTGGTCAGTGTCAGAGTCAAGATCCAAACCCAAAAATGTCCACTCCAGCATTGGGGCCCTCGCCTTCCCCACCCACCTCTGGCTGTGGGAGTAGGCTGCCCAGGAGGCTTTGGGGAAGGAAAGGCAGGAGACACTTCGAATGTAGATCTGATTGAGGCTGGCATCCAAGGCCACGGGGGTCCGATTTGGCCATGAGATTTCCCGATGCTCTTCACACCAGGCTATTGCCCATCAGGTCCAGATGTTTTAGAGATGGGGATGCAAGGAAGCCACAGGAAGCCTCCAGAAGAAAGGGGTTGGTGAGGAGTTGGGCAAAGTCTAGGCCCTAACCAGTAAATGGAGGTGGACTAGGACCAGGCTCCCATTCCTGGAAATGGAGGTAGAAATAAAGCCATCAATCAAACGGGACACTCCAGTGCAGGTTAGGGAAAGGCCTCAGTCTGCGGCCCAGGCACGTGGAAGACAGCATCTCCAGCGGATGGGACTGCTGATACCCACCTTGCTCCACCAGGATGAAGCTTGATGCCATTGGATACAAGACTCTGTTTTTCAGTTTCCTACTGATTTTTTGGTGCCTCTACTTGCATGCACACACTTTACCTACAGTAACTCAGTGCCGGCCAGTTGTGGTGCAGTGCTTGCTTGTGCAAAGCTGCAGATTAAATTCCTATATTCATTCATTCATTCATTCATGTATTTATACAGCAAACATTTGAGGGGCTACTATGGTCTAGGTGCTGGGGAAAACCAAATGAATAAAACACAATCCCTGCCAGCGCAGAGGTCACAGGTGCCCAGGGGCAGATGTGCATGTGAACATTTATAGCAGGAGTCATCAGTGACAGAGGTGTGCCGAGGTACCCAGAAAAGTATGTGTTCCTCTTGGGCTTGGAGGTAGGAGAAAGCATCCCAGTGGACAGGGCAGTCAGAATGTCAAATCCCTATCTCTCATGGTTCATCAAAATGCCCTCTCCTGCCTGTGCTGGTGACAAGGCAGGGCTATGGTCAGCCCACAGAACTGTGGGATAACCTTGATGGTGCAGTAAGGGTTAAAGCACAGAGGGGTGGAAGTAAGAAATTATTTTCATGATAAGGCAGATCCTTGGGTTCTGACATAATGCCTCTGTGAGGTATGAGCCTCTCCTGGACAACAATAAAAAGGTATAAAATATAGCAAGGCTGCTCCTCTGAAGTAACAAATCCCTTCCATTGTGTAAGCTGCTGGGACTGCCAACTTCAGGCCGGCCTCTGTGAGGTCCAGGCTTCTCTGTGAGGCCCAGGCCTCCTCTGTAAGTACAGACCTCCTCTGTGAGGTACTGATGCCCCAGTGTGAGGTACAGACCAGCATGAGGGAGCTGCCTTCTTTCACGCCATTATATATGCTTGATTTCATCATTCTCCTTTGCACTGCTTATGTACAGGTTAGGAAGTAAAGCCAAATGAAAGCTAGCAACAGAGGCAGAGTGATTATTCTCTCTAAGCTTTGAACTTGGACCAGCCACGTTTCCAGTCTAGTATAGACAACAATGTCAATCCTCTGCCCAGATATCCTTTTTTTTTTTTTTGAGATGGTGTCTTGCTCTGTCACCAGGCTGGAGTGCAATGGCACAATCTCGGCTCACTGCAAGCTCTGCCTCCTGAATTCAAGCGATTCTCCTGCCTCAGCCTCCCGAGTAGCTGGGACTACAGGCGCATGCCACCACACCCAGCTAATTTTTGTATTTTCAGTAGAGACAGGGTTTCACCATGTTGGCCAGGATGGTCTCGATCTCTTGACCTCATGATCTGCCCGCCTCAGCCTCTCAAGGCACTGGGATTACAGGCGTCAGCCACTGTACCCAGCCCCAGATATCCTTTAGGACATTTCTAAAGTGACCCAGATGGGGTCAGGCTGAAGCTACCCTCTACAACGACTGGCGTGAGACTCACCCTTGCTTTGCCTCCTTGCCTGTCCTGCCCTGACTGTTCCCTCACTCTCCTACTTGTCTCCCCTGAAAGCACTTCTTTAGAAAAAATTACTTGCACATAAATCCTCATCTTAGGGTCCGTTTCCAGGGAACCTGACCTAAACACTTACCTTCAAGAACACGAGAGAGAAGGTTGCAACTGTGCTTCATTCCAGCCAGGGCCACATTATGACTTTCCTGCAGGGCTGCCAGATTTAGCAAATAAAAAATACAAGATGCCCAGTTAATTTGAATTTCAGATAAACAACAATTGTTTTCTTAGTACGAATGTGCCCCATGCAATATTTGCAAAATATTTATACAAAGATATTATTCATTGTTGATCTGAAATGCAAATGTAACCGGGCCTTCCATATTTCATATGGCAGTCCTTAGAAAGGACCTCAAGTCCTTTTGCTTTTGTGGGCCCCTTCTTCTATTAAAAAAAAAAAAGTTATATTTACAACTGCACTGGTATATAGATGAATATAGGCTGGGCATGGTGGCTCATGCCTGTAATGCCAGCACTTTGGGAGGCCAAGGCAAGAGGATTGTTTGAAGCCAGGAGTTCAAGACCAGCCTAAGCAAGGTCTTGAACTAGTAAGATTCTGTCTCTCTGTCTCTCTCTTTTTTTTTTTTTGAGATGGAGTCTCACTCTATCACCCAGGCTGGAGTACAGTGGCACAATCTCAGCTCACTGCAACCTCTGCCTCCCTGGTTCAACCCATTCTCCTGCCTCAGCCTCCTGAATAGCTGGGATTATAGGCTTGTACCACCATGCCTGCTAATTTTTTTGTATTTTTAGTAAAGACAGGGTTTCGCCATGTTGGCCTGGCTGGTATCAAATTCCTCACCTTAAGTGATCTGCCCGCCTCGGCCTCCCAAAGTGCTGAGATTCCAGGCATGAGCCACCACATCCAGCCACAAGATCTTGTCTCTACAAAAAAATTTTTAAAATTAGCCAGACATAGTGATGCATGCCTGTGGTCCCAGCTGCTCAGGAGGCTGCAGCAAGAGGATCATTTGAGTCCAGGAGTCCAAGGCTGCAATGAGCTATGATCATGCCACTCCAGCCTGGGTGACAGAGCAAAACTCTGTCTCTAAAAAAAATTGTTTTAATTAAAAAAAGAATATAGGCCGGGCGTGGTGGCTCACGCCTATAATCCCAGCACTTTAGGAGGCTGAGGCAGGCAGATCTCCTGAGGTCAGGAGCCTGAGACCAGCCTGGCCAACATGGTGAAACCCCCATCTTTACTAAGAATACAAAAATTAGCTGGCCGTGGTAGGCGCCTGTAATCCCAGCTACCTGGGAGGCTGAGGCAGGAGAATTGCTTGAACCTGGGTGGCAGAGGTTGCAGTGAGTCGAGATTGGGCCACTGCACTCCAGCCTGGGCGACAGAGTGAGACTCGGACTCAAAAAAAAGAAAAAGAAAAAAGAGACAACGTAACCCAGCCTGGATTCATTATTATATACTCATTATTACTATTATTGTACTCATTTTTCTTGTACTTTAAAGGAAATTAAAATTAAAACATGCTTGAGGACCTAAAAGTATCATGGACCCCAACTACTATACCTACCGTGCCTAATAAGTCAGCCCTGGTGCCAGCTTATAAAGAGCCTTGAATGCTGTGATTAGACATGATGGACTTTCTTCATCAATCATTGTTCAAACAAGAGCTCCGCGACCAAACAGTACTTTAGAAAGATAGCCCTAGTTGAGAGTGTGGAGAAGAGGCCAAAGAATGAAATATGTGATGAGGGAGAAGATGGTCACCGTGACTGAGATGGGACACTCAGGGCCTTAACAAGGGCAGCTGGCAAGCTCATTAATTTGAGGGTTTACACCCTATAATGCTCACCAGGTCTCCACTGGGCACAAGTGTGTCCTGGGACACAGGTAGGGTGGCGGTATGGTCTTGCCTAAGTGGATCTGAGCCATTGCTGGGCTCACCCCCTCCTCACGAGAGCAGATAGAATGCCACCTTGCAGAAAACCAAGATGTGGGCCTCCAACATGAAGCATGGAGAGATGCTCTGAGCCAGGGACCAGGACCCACTGTCTGGTTCTGTACATAGCTTTACTGAACACAGGCATGCCTATTCAAATCCATATTGTTTACGGCCACTTTTGTGCAGAGTTGAGCAGTTTCAACAGAGACCAAATGTCCTACAAAGCCTAAGATATTTACTATCTGGCCCTTTACAGAAAAAGTTTGCCAATTGCTCCTCCAGGCTATGGGGGATTCACAAGATGGGATTTTGTCAGAAATGGATGTTTCTGAGTATGTAAAATTTAAACCAAAGCCCTGCCTCTCCATCATCACTGGCTGCGTTATAATACAGTGTGCGTATCTCCTTCCCCATGCCCACCAATGGAAAGAAAAACTCCACACATTATCTCCAAGCAGATGGAAAATGGCTTCACTCTTTGGGTTATAGGGGAAATGCAGCAGAAAAACTTGTCCAGATGGTGGGTATGAATTCAAATGAAAAACCCACCCTTCAAAGACCAGGGTGTGTTCCCGGTGGGAGCCACACAAGCTTAGAGAGAAGGAGAGGAGAGAGATTTGGAAAGAAGTGTGGCAATGCTATTCAGAAATTCCTACCTGCCCTTTTGCAATCGTTTAAATAATCTGTGCTGCTCAATGGGTACTTTACCTGACCTAGTTAAGAATCAGATTGCTATTTTAACTGAGAAAAATGGTACTTTCAATCAGTTTAGAAAGAAGAAAAGAATAAACATTATCAAGACCATCTCTTAGAAGATTAGGACAAAAAAATCCAGGAGACGCTTCAAAGCTGTTTTTGTTTTTCTTGGCTTTGAAATACATAGACAGTCCTGATAATTTTATCTTCCTCGAAATATAGCAAATAAAGTCTATTTACTACTCCCGGGCAATTCCATACATAAATTAAAATAAAACACACACACATACAACACAAAGCACTTTAAACGAATCCTCCTGCGGGTCTCAAATCCATCATTTCTCTTCCTGTGGTGAGGGTTTTATGCCACAGATCAATGCAATTTGAACGTTTTGGAGGTGATTTTGTTTTTCATACCTTGCTATTTGATGAGTTTTTAGATGGCCATCTAAAGAACAGCTTACACGCTGTCTCTCATGGATCTCAGGGAGGCCTCAGATGAGCTGACATGTTGAAAGATGGTTAGCAGAGATAGAAGTATATTTTATCTAGTTTGTCGAAGTCAGCTTTTAAAGTTAGTTCAAACACACTACTTAGTGAATTCATGAAAAATCTTTTTTAACCCTGAGAATGATATTTCCATTTCTTGTCACCATATTTAGTAGGAGATGCTTTAAGAAACATCATCTTTCCCATTAAAAAAAGGCTTTCTAGGCACAAACTGTGCCACAAAAAGCATGTGGAAAGATAGGCTGATTCCCTTTGATTGTATTTCTGAATGTGTTGGTTTTAAAATGGGATAAGATATTCCAATATCCCTAATTAGAACTTTTTTTAAGCTGGCCACATAGGAAGGTGTTTCTGTGTCCATAAAAATCATCTTGTCTTGGTAGAACGTGCATTTTAAAATAATTTCATATGTGATTCATTATTTTTTTTCTTTCAACAAATCATCTATTAAGCACCCTGTATGGGCCAGATACTGTGCTAAACCTAGGAATACAGAGATTGAAGATACCGTTCTTGCCATTAAATTGCTCATAGTCTAACAGGGAAGATGGACACAGAAAAAAAAATTACAATGCAAAGCAGCGAGTGTGCCCCTAGACCCTCTCCCTGAAGTCTTCTCTTGTTACCGATGGCATGCATCAACAAGATTGATTGGTTGACTGGTTGACTGATGGCTACCCAAGCCTCATTCCTAAAAAAGACATTATCAATATGGCTAATCAAATGGTATAGCAAAAGAGCAAATGGATAGATTAGGTAGAAGTTAGCTAAATCTCCTACATTCTGCCAGAGAGGATAAATTTCTATCTCGACTCTTCCATGAAGAGCAGATACAGTACACTGATAGAGCTACAATAGCTTTCTCTTCCAGGCCACAGATATTAGACAGTTTGCCTTTACCCTCCCACCACCACCTGATATAAAAAATAAACACAGAAAGACATTATTGCTACCTAACAATGGGTAGGGGGCGGGAGTGGTGGTGAGGAAGGAATGAGATAGATGCTAACAGGGCTGCAGTCCCCCAAAGCTGTGCAAGTGAAGTCCCCACAGATGCAGTTCAGATGTGACTGGGTTCTGTGAACCCAAACTATGTAGTTAGAAAGCTTTTGGCTGCAAGTAACTGAATATCCAGTTAAGTGCTTTTTAAAAAAGTGTTTATTTTCATTACATACCAATAAATCCAGAGGCACTGATTCCAACCAAGGGGTATTCGAAATACTTAACAACCAATCTGTCCCAGACATTGACAAATGAGAACCGAAGCCTGACCAGTCAGAATAAAGCCTAGCCTTAAACAACCATTGCTGCTGGATCATACTTCCGGCTACACTCCATCCCTGGTTCCAGGCTGGCTCAGCATCACAATGTCAGGGCTCGGGTCCATTTCTGAGAGATTCTCTTAGCCCTCCCTTTGTGGTGATGAGATGGCTGCGACATCTCCAAACATCACTTTTCTTCATCTAGAAATAAAGTCTAAAAGCAGGAAGGAAGGGATGAAGGATTCTCTTAGTTCACCTCTCTTTTTTATCAAGAAGAAATCTTTCCCAGAAGCCCCTGGCAGACTCCCTCTTAGTATTATTGGCCAGAATTAGGTCACATGTCCACCCTGAAACCAGTCATTACCACAGGAAAAAGGGAGTACAGTGGTTACCTTGGACCAGTCACAGTTCATTCTCTGGGGAAATGGAGGGTCCTATCTTGCCAAAACGCATTGCTACTTGTACTGAAACCAAATTAGGGTTCTGTTAGCCTGGAAGAAAGCAAAGTGTGTGGGGGCAGTAAGGAACAGCTATTGGGTAAGTAACCAGCAATAATTGCCACATTGACTTTTCAGTAAGAAGAAACTTCTTTTTTTTTTTTTAAGGCAGGTTCTCACTTTGTCATCCAGGCTAGAGTGCAGTGGTGTGATAGCTTACTGCAGCCTTGACCGCCCAGGTTCAAGCGATCCTCCTGCCTCAGCCCCCCAAGTAGCTGGAAGTACAAGTGCACGCCACCACACCTGGCTAATTTTTGTATTTTTTGTAGAGACGGAGTTTCGCCATGTTGCCCAGGTTAGTCTCGAACTCCTGAGCTCAAGCGATTCACCTGCCTCGGCCTCCTAAAATGCTAGGATTACAGGCGCAAGCCACCATGCCCAGCCTAAGAAGCAACTTTTCTTTTTTTTATTGTATCACCATGGGGTGGGGTGGATTGATCAGGGAATCTAGCCACCTCACGAATGCTGCTTCTTTTCTCCCAGAGATGGCAGCATCATGGGTCTGTGTAGGCGGCTCTAGACATATTCAAGGACATGATTCAAGACCAACTGATACAGCCAAGTTGAATGCTTGAAAGCCTTGCTCTCAATAACTGGATGGGGCACCACGGTTCACTACAGTCCTTAGTAGGTCACATTTGTGCCCTAGATTTACAAAATTTGATTTATAGCCTTTAAACCACAAAGCTTGGCTTACTCTCCTTACCTCTTCCATGTGTGCAGTACCTTAGGAAGTCAGCAGGAATCAGTGAAACTATAGCGTAGAAATATTGCAATCAGTTGTTTCCAAAGAAGAATGTTTGATTGGTTTAAACCTTATTTCAAAAAGAAATATCTGTCAAAAAAAAAATAGCCCCAAGCCCTTATTTTGTGGTTCCCTTTACTGCAAAATGCAGGAAACACTCACAAGGGTATTGAGAGAAGAAATCGTAGGTAATATTTTGAAATGGGAAACACTTTGGACCTACAGTTGCTGGCTTAGGGACACAGGCCCATTGAGGTTAGGGCTATGTGTCTGATTCCTCTATGGTATACTCGTTTCATACAGAGATGGCCTCAGTTCCAGGTCACACATTGTAACCCTGGCCCAAGTCAGCCATCTTGAAAATACAGCCAACCCATTTGTGTAGGCTGTCTACAAATATGGCTCCAATGCTCCAAACCTGCCTTTACCCACACCATTGATGATGTGATTTTGCAGGTCCTCCCATCAAGAGATGGAGTTTATTTCCCCTGTCCTTGAATTCATGCTGACCTTATGGATTGCTTTGGCTGATGGAATGGAGGTAAAAGTGACACTGAGCCAGTTCCGAGGCCAGGATTCACACTTCTACGCATTCTCTGGGAACTCTGCCACCACCAAGGGAACAAGCCTAGGCTAGCCCGCTAGATACAGAGAGATTCATGACTCAGTCACTGCCATCGCTGCAGCCAAAAGCCAGCCAATCACCAAACATATGAGTGAAGCCATCCAAGACCAGCCAGCCCCCAGCCAACCTGCCAGCTGGCAAGAGAGGCGTGAGCCAGCCATGCCATAAACAGCCTAGTCTAGCCCAGACCAGAAGAAACCACAATTGTTCCATAGATGACCTGTGAGGAATAAGAACTGTTTGCTTTAATAAGCCATGAAGTTTGGGGGTGTTTTGTTACACAACAGTAACTAACTGATACATAGAGGTGACTCGAGCCTCTGCTTAATCTATTCTCACTTTGAGAGAAAGTGCCTTTGATACCAGGGAGCCAAATACAACATCTTCATTTCAGGACAGCATGTGGTAATGAGTCATCCTAAAAGTCTTGCAGATGATCTTGGGGTTTCTTACGTCTTTATGAAGTCCACAAGTTCTTTGGAAATCCATGCTTCTAACCTGAATCAACTTCTTACTTTTTTTTTTGAGACAGGGTCTCCCTCTGTCACCCAAGCTGGAGTGCAGTGGTGCAATCTCGGATCACTGCAACCTCCAACTCCTGGGTTCAAGTGATTCTCATGCCTCAGCCTCCCGAGTAGCTGGGATCACCAGCATGCACCACCACACCCGGCAATTTTTTTGTATTTTAGTAGAGACAGAGTTTCACCATGTTGGCCAGGCTTGTCTCGAACTCCTGGCCTCAAGCGACCCACCCACCTCGGCCTCCCAAAGTGCTGGGATTACAGGCATGAGCCACCAGGCCCCACCTGGATCAACTTCTTACTGCCAGTGAACACCATTCTATTAAATCTGTTCATGGGTACCTTGTTAGGATCAAAGGTTGAACATGAAGCGACAAATCCTTGAGTTAGGGTCACATGCTGTCCAGGTGGCAACAATCTCACTCCTCTAGGACTCTGTGATCTATCTTGATGTCAAGACTCTGGATAGGCTGGGCATGGTGGCTCACGCCTGTAATCCTAGCACTTTGGGAGGCTGAGGTGGGCGGATTGCTTGAGCTCAGGAGTTTGAGACCAGCCTGGGCAACATGGCAAAACTCTGTCTCTACAAAAAATACAAAAATTAGCCAGGTGTGGTGGTGCACACCTGTAGTCCCACCCACATGGGAGGTGGAGGTGGGAGGATGGCTTGAGGCCAGGAGGCAGAGGTTGCAGTAAACCGAGATCGTGCCAGTGCACTCCAGCCTGGGCAACAGAACAAAGAAAAAAAAAAAAAAAGGACTCTAGATACCTCTTAGCATCAGACTTTTCAAGCCATCTGAGAAAACTTACTCCAAATACAAACCAAGATATGATACCCCACCAGCCTATGGCACCCATCTTTCTCATGGGCATGGTTGTAATACTCCCTTGTCCACAATTCAGACAGCAAACCAAATGCTCCCATCTTTCTCATGGGCATGGCTGTAATACTCCCTTGTCCACAATTCAGACAGCAAACCAAATGCCCCAACATACCCAGCACCTCTAGGTGCTTCCACAGCCCATCCTTGCACACCCTTATTTTACCGATTCCATGCACCAAATATTTCTCTCTGTTCTCTGTGCCAGGCCTTTTCCCAGGTTGAGGGATGGTGGTCCCTAACTTGTACAACTCAGTACAGGCATAAGGCTTGGGAAGAGCCTTGATCAGAAAGCGACACAAGGCCTCTTTCAAAGTGAACTTCTGAGAGGGGCAGGAGGCAATCAGTCAGCTTTTTGAGAAGTGGAGTGCTTTGGTCCAAATCCATTTTTTTCATCATTAAATATTACATAAATTATAGCCTGGAGATCCAAAAACCCACTTGCATAAAAGCTTAGGTAGGAAAAATGTCAAGATAAAAATGGAAAGTTTAGTCTGTGGAACTTCCAATGATTTTCACAGCCTTTCCAATCCCCACCATCAACTGGTATGTGCACCATTTTCTTGTTCATGTCCAGATTTGCTCAATCGAATTCCAAGAGTTCTTTCTTCTCTCTTCTTCTTCCCATCTCCTCTCTTTTTCCCCTTAAAGCCTTGTTTAAAAATCTGTAAGAGGGCCTTGAATACTTTGGTTTATGCTGGTGTGAGGTTTTTGGATGATTATTTTTTTTCTCCTCATGAAAGGGGCCCTTGAATAGTTTTGCTCCCTCCCAGGGAGACGGCTGAGGACTGCCTGAGTTTCCTGAGAAAGGTGACCATTCTGCCAAACTCAGAGCAGAGTGTGAAGCAGAGACAGTCATCAAGTCCCAGACTCCCAGATAATGGGGACGCTGTTCTGCTAAGTACACGCCCCTGAGATTTGAATCCCGCCAGAAGCCTAGAATTACCGCACAAAAGTGAAACTGAGGATAACCTCCCCCAATTCAGGAAGCTGATTCTTCAGGCCTCGGGTTCAGAAGGTATGGAATACTTATACTGAACATTCATTTTTAGGCCCAGTTTGGCAGTGGGAGTTGGACATTGACAGTTACGTTTTTCTTTCTTTATTTATGATTATTATTTTGAGGCAGGGTCTCACTCTGTTACCCAGGTGGGAGTACAGTGGCAAATCACAGCTGATTGTAGCCTCGGCTTCCTGGGTTCAAGTGATCCTTCCACCTCATTTTTTGTAGAGACATGGTCTCACTATGTTGCCCAGGCTGGTCTCAAACTCCTAGGTTAAAGCAATCCTGCCTCAGCCTCCCAAAGTGTTGGGATTACCGGCATGAGCCATGGTACCCGGCCATTATTACTATTTTTTAGAGACAGGGGTCCCGCTCACTCTTGTTACCCAGTCTGGAGTGCAGTGGCGCCATCTCTGCTCACTGCAGCTTTGAACTTCTGGGCTCAAGCTATTCTTCCACCTCAGCCTCCCAAGTCGCTGGGAATACAGGCACACACCATCATGCCTGGCTCCTTTTTATTTTTATTTTTTTTAAAAGCATGAGAAGCTTGAGGGCTAGAAGATCCTTATTATGTAATAAGTCAATCAGACTCCAAGGATAACAGTCAGCAACCTACCACCATGTGCCATTCTAGCTAAAAATGGAATTGAATGAGAAAACCCCAATTTGAAACCACAGTCCTTCATGCACTTCTGTTGTGTTGCCAGTGAGGCTGCTGCCATTTCCCCTGTGGCAGCTTTTGCAGTAAAATGAGCAAGAGATTGAGTCTTCGGAGTTTGAAATCTGGCTCTGCTCCCTTTACTGGCTGTGCTGTTCTGGAAAGGTGACCTAATCTCCCTATGTCCCCATCACTGCCTCAGAAAATAGGGTTAATTATAAGTCCAGAATGGTGATTAAATATTAGATGACATGATGCATTGTTAAATAAAATACATTTTAGGCAGCAACACCAGAAGCCAGAATTATGTTTAACTATTGTATCAGTGTGAATAGACTGGGATAATCTGTGTTAACAAATGATTCCAAAAATCTCAGGGGTTTCGAGATTTAGTTCTTGCTCACTTAACTGTTCTGTTGTGGTGGGGGTACTGCTTTGCTCCAAGTGCTATTAACTTTGGGACCTGGGCTATCAGCGTGTCTATGACCTGGGGCATTACTGGGCTCAGGGCATAGAAAAAGAGAAAATGGTGGAATGACACAGTGGTTCTCAAAGCTTCTGCTTAGAAGTGGCACAGGTCACCTCTGCTAAATTTTCATTGGCCCAAACCAGTCATATGTGAGTCTGTCCTCAATAAAGCAGGTACATAATCCCCCCACCCAGAAAGAGACAGGAAATGTCTTCAACAATAGAATCTATCCTTGCCGCATGTAATAGAAAGCCCCATATACCACAGGCAAATATGCAAGCTGCTCTTCTCTCTTGCAAAATAAGCCCCAAATAGGCAATCTTGGGTTCACAGGAAAGCTCCCAGTCACCAGGGACCCACACCTGTCCTTCTTTTCTGTCGTTCTTAGTTGGCACGTCACTTTCAAATAATAGTAGATAATTGTGCGTTCTTTAGTGAATGGTAGAAAAGTGAGTCTTGGTTAAATGGAAAGTGCAGTGGTATTCCTTAGCTGAGCAGGTGAGAAGCAGAATGAATAGGAATTGGATCCAACTGGTCAAAGGACGGGAAATGAAAAGAAGAAACAATAGAAAAAATAATCAACACAAAATGGAAGCACTAAAAGCACATTTATGGACTTTTACACCGAAAGGGTCCCAAGTGAAGAGGATGTGGAATAGAGCTGCCGTGCTCATAAGGGACACGGAACATGAGTGAGATCGCACCTTTCCTGTCCGAGCCAGCAAGATGAGGGCATTGCTTCTTCATCTTGCTATGTCCTGAGGTCTGTAGTGGATTCGTTGGTTGTTTTGCCAGTCTTTCTCAACTATTGTTCACAGACAGGGATGTGAGTGATATGCTCTCAGTTTTTGCGCATCTGCACACTCCCGTTGTTTTGTGCGTCTCCTGAGTCTTCTTCTTTTTTTTTTTTTTGTAAGCAATCCCTCCTGAGTCTTCTTGAGTGTGCTTATTAATTTTTGGCTAATGTGGATGCTTGTGTCTTTTTCATTTGGCACAAATTCTGTTGGTTCTTTAGAGATTCTGTCACCCAGGCTGGAGTGCAGTGTGGCACTATGTCGGCTCACTGTAGCCTCCGCCTCCCGGGTTCAAGTGATTCTCCTGCCTCAGCCTCCTGAGTAGCTGGGACTACGGGTACATGCCACCATGCCTGGCTAATTTTTGTACTTTTTGGTACAGATAGGATCTCACCGTGTTAGCCAGGCTGGTCTCGAATTCCTCGCCTCAGTGATTCAACCGCCCCCGCCTCACCAAAGTGCCGGGATTACAGGTGTGAGCCTCTGCGCCTGGCCAAATTCTGTTGTTTCTGAGCCATCTTTCCATGGTGACCCAAGGACCCAGCCCAGCCATCCAGCTCCTGTCTAGCCACTTGGCTTTCATGTGGAAATAGCAGCCCAGGAATCCTCCGGTTTCTGAGGGCCAAACTCGCTCCAGAGCTGGTGGGCTGCTCCTCCGCTTAGGTTCTCTGAGGCTGATCTCCTGCCTCTCACCCAATCCACAGAGAAGAAAGTCTTCTTCCATTCCTCCCAAAGCCTCACCTACAGCTGATTCTCTATCTCCCAAAAAAATTCTGGCTCAGGAAGGCAGATAGACTGGAGCTGGACACAGCAGGATGACAGTCTTGCCCAGCTGACATCTCCTAAAAAGACATTTTTTTTTTTGACAAGATCTTACTCTGTTGCCCAGGCTGGAGTGCAGTGGCATGATCACTGCTCACTGCAGCCTCAAACTCTTGGGCTCAAGCTATTCTCCCACCTCAGCCTCCCAAGTAGCTGGGACTGTAGGCATGCACCACTAAGCCAAGCTAATTTTTAAATTTTTTGTAGAGATGAGGTCTCCCTTCAGACCAGAATGAAGAGTCAGTAAATAATTAAGTAATTAATTAATAAAAACAAGAGATGAGGGTCTCCCTATGTTGCCCAGGCTGGTCTTGAACTTCTGGGCTCAATTGATCCTCCTGCCTCGGCATCCCCAAATGCTGGGATTACAGGCATGAGCCACACCCCCTTGGCAAAAGACCTTTTTGAACAGGCAAGTGTTTTGTCCCTTTCAGTTGCCAGTAGAAGGACTGAATGCTGTGTGGATCCTATAAGAGAAGAATCAGTAGCCATTCTCGCTTCTTGAGGCAACTTGCTGAGAAACACAATTGCCACCCCAATGCCCAGCAGGCCAAGTCCCCAGCCCAGCCACAGCCTGGGTGTGGGTGTTCCTTCCTCTTCTATGGAAGTTGTGATGAGTAAAGGTAAACCCACAGGCCACCAGGATGGTGCCAGCTTTGCCTGGAGGGGAGGCCCACTCTGGGCGGGCCCTTGTGTGGCTTTCAGCCTCTCGTGGTAACTAGTGAAGGAGTCCAGTGTCCCTGGTCACTGGGGCAGAGACTGGAAATGCCTTTTTAAATGGCCTCATATGGCTGCCCTTGTTAGACCAGGCTCCGCACAGGCCTGATTGCACAAACACGGCCAACATGACAGGGGAACCTTCCACTTGTATTAGTCCCCAAACATACGGCTACATTTTATTTTTGCAGAATTATACAGGCAGCCCTGTCTTGTGGTATTGACATTTTACTGCCATGCTCAATGAAGTAGATAAATTGAAAGTATCCAACAGATGCAATACCATTCCAGCTGCGTGTGGCTGGTGGACCACACTTTAAATTCCAGCACTCAAAGTCAAGGTGAAATGCACCCTAGAAGCCCAGCACTAACTCAATTAAACACCATAATTGGCCAGGCACAGTGGCTCACACCTGTAATCCCAGCACTTTGGGAGGCCAAGGCAGGTGGATCACTGAGGCCAGGAGTTTGAGACCAGCCTGGGCAACATGACGAGACCCCCATCTCTACAAAAATACAAAAATGAGCTGGGCGTGGTGGTGCGGGCCTGTAGTCCCAGCCATTTGGGAGGCTGAGGCATGAGAATCATTTGAACCCAGGAAGCGGAGGGTGCGGTGAGCTGAGATTGTGCCACTGTACTCCAGCCTAGGTGACAGAGCAAGAATTTGTCCCAAAAAAAAAAAAAACCCCATAATTATATAAGTATAGATTCAGATCCCAAAATATTCCCCTTCCCACTGCATAGTATCATTAGGGCACATTTCTGCTAGGACCAATCCTCAGATGATAGCTTTAATCCTAATCCCAATCTCTGTGTGCCTGTAGCTGCTGCAAGGCAGGAGGGCTTCACATGCTTCTTGCTGATCCTTCTTTCACACAGAGTTGATTGTGCCTGGGTTCCCTGCTTCTCTGTCTCCTGGTCAGAAAGCAGCCCAGGAGTCCCTTGCTCTGGTCATTTTCCAAGAAATTAGGCTGGAACTCCCAGAAGTGGCAAAGGGAAACTCTGTAGGAGGACCCATGCACAGAGCACAGGACCTGCTACAAATGTGGACGGGGCCAGGTTAAATGCGTGGGCTGTGTATTCGTTTCCTATGCTGTGTAAGAAATCACTACAAACTTAGTGGGTTGGAACAACACACTTGTATTATCACAGTTTCTGTGGGTCAGGAGTCTGAGAACGGCTTAGCTGGATCCTCTGCTCAGCGTCTCACAAGGCTGCAATCAAGGTGTTGGCCAAGCCACCTTCTCATCTAGAGGCTCAACTAAGAAATAATTTGCCCCCAAATCCTTCAGGTTATTGGCAGAATCCATTTCCTCGTGGTGGTATGTGTGGGAGCCCCAGCTTCTTACTGGCTGTGGCTGGAGGTGGCCCTTGTGTCCTAGAGGCCACCCACAATCTTTCCCATGTGGCCCTCACAAGGCAGTTCACGACAGGGGTACTTGCTTCTTTATGGCCACCGGGAGACTCTCTCTTGCTCCAGTTGGCTAAGCCAGAGTTTTAAATAAGGTAGCACAGGCCGGGCACAGTGGCTCACACCTGTAATCCCAGCACTTTGGGAGACTGAGGTGGGCAGATCACAAGGTCAAGAGATCGAGACCATCCTGGCTAACATGGTAAACCCCGTCTCTATTAAAAAATACAAAAAATTAGCTGGGCGTGGTGGCGGGTGCCTGTAGTCCCAGCTACTTGGGAGGCTGAGGCAGGAGAATGGCATGAACCTGGGAGGCGGAGCTTGCAGTGAGCCGAGATCGCGCCACTGCACTCCAGCCTGGGCGACAGAGCAAGACTCTGTCTCAAAAAATAAATAAATAAATAAATAAATAAATAAATAAATAAATAGGGTAGCATAATCATGAGAGTGATGTTTATCACCTTTGCATCATTCTATTGACAAGAAGCCAGTCAGAGGTGGTGGCCACACTCAAGGGGACAGGATTATACAAGGACATGGTCATTGGAAGTCACCTTAGGGTGTGTCCACCACTGCCTGGGAGCTACTGCCTGTTTTCGTATCTTGTCTTCTTCACTTATAGTTAGGTTAGGTGATCTCAGGCAAGTTGCTTAGCCTCTCAGCCGCAAGTTCCTTATTTGTAAAACAGGAGTAAACCCTATAGGATTCTTGGGAAGATCAGATAAAATATTCCATCTCAAATGTTCAGCAGAGTGCCTGGTATATAGTAAATACTCATAGAGACAATATGGTGGTAACTAATATTAATATTATTGGCACCGTGAGACACCCAGGCCTGTCTTGGATATTAAGAAGCGGAAGAGTAACTCAGGCTACAGCTACCTCCACCCCTGGTTACAAAGCCCTCTTTGAAGGCCAGATCACATGTTGGCTGCTCCAGAAATCTCAAAGGTGATCAGCTTTAGTCTGAGCTGGGACATGGGGCATTGTGGGAGGCAGGCAGTGCCAGCCTCCCAGTCCCTGGAAACCTGCGAGGTGATGAGTGTGCTCAGAAGATGCAAGGGTGCTTCAGCAAAGACATTCTGCTCATCTGCCATGAGACTTGAGGCAGCTGATCTCAAGGCATCAGTAGTCTTGTTGGTCTGCGTGCGAGAGGCCAAGGTGAGCATCTCCCCCAGGTTGGCTGTGATCGGTGGCTCACCTACAGGAAGCTCTCCTATATTCTAATCATCCCTGCATCTGAAACCCTTTTCACCCAAAATGGCAAGAGCCATTGTTTACCACCGGAGTCCCATAAATCCCACAAAAAGAATTTTCTTTTAAAACGGCAAGTAAAATACACACTCAACCCCAACATTACCATAACAACCAAAACAGACATACCAGAACACACAAGCCAAAGATAACAAGAGTTATAATAATTCACACCAATAACAACAATAACCCACAGTGGATTTTTTTAAGTTTAGCGATAAATCTTTGCTCTGGACGTTGGCTCATGGAGAAATGTACTCTCCTGGCTGGGCCCCTTCCTGAATAACATGTCATGAGAGCTCTGTTGTTCTGCTCGTGCCTTGATGTGGCACCTCATTTGTGCAACACTGTTCTTAAGGATGCTTGGAGACCTAACTCAGTGTTAGCCTCTCAACCTCATGGTGTTCCTGTGTCAGGAACACATACTGGACACTCAGGACATCCTAATTATTTCTTTTGGAAATTTTGGAAACAAGGAAATTTTTATTTCTCAGGGAGGTAAAATACATTTTTCTGGTTATTTTCATTTTTTTAAAGAACAGCCACACCACCTCTGGAACTTGACGGGGTAGGTGTTTTGAGACTCATGGGCTTAGGGAAAAAAACACACATACCAGCCATCTTGCTTTATTTCCAAGACGGAAATGATCCTTCAATAATATCCAAGAGAATTGGGAGGGTGATAGTCATCAGTTCTTTGGGAATCCGCAGGCAGCTCTGTTGAGAGAAGGGGCAAGGATCTACGGTCTACTTAGCTTTCCATCTGGGGAAATTTCCTCTAGAGGATTTTCTTTAGATCCTGAAAGCCCCATGTCCATGAGGCATGAAGCTATATGCCAAGTAAACCAGGACACGCAGTTGATGACTGAAGCTTGGGTTTCTGACTAGAGAACCACAGCTCTCCCCTTCCTTTATTCTCTCATTCAACACGTGCAGTGGGCACTTCTCATGTTCCAGGCTGTGTGCCAGCCTTTGGAAACAGGACCATGAGGCTGTGATGGAAATAAACATGGCCTCTGTCCTGCTAGTTCACCATCATAGGAGACAGACAGGCAATTCACAATATGTTGTGACAAGAGGTAAACTTGAGATCACACAGAGCACTGGACAAGTGCAGAGGAGGGAGGGACACCCCACCCAGCTTGAAAGAGGGACAGGAAGGAGATGAGTCTGAGACAGAATTCCTGGCAGAGGGAGTGAAAAAACTGTGAAAAGTCTCTTCAGCACGAGAAAGCAAGGTGTTCCAGGAACTAGAGGAAGTTCTGAGTAGTGGGAGAACAGAGATGGGGGGCAGCGAGGGAATCCAGGGGAGGGATAGGCAGGACTCTCCTCACAGCCCCTCCTGGAAAAGTGACCTACACTGCAGCCTCTGGAAAAGCCATGAGAAAAACAAGGCCATCTGGCAAGCTGCAACAGCTGTGAACAGCCTTGGGTTGAGGGTTAAGGCTAAAGTTAAACTTTAAAGCAGAAAATTCCCTTATTTTTCATCAAGTTTTATTTTTAATCTTTATTTTCTTTATTTTTTGTTTTTGTTTTTGTTTTGAGATAGGGTCTCTGTCTCTGTCTGCCCAGCTCTGTCACCCTGGCTGGAGTGCTCCATCACAGCTCACTCCAGCCTCAACCTCCTGGGCTCAAGCCATCCTCCTACCTCAGCCTCCTGAGTAGCTGGGACCACAGGCACATGCCACCATGCCCAATTTTTTAATTAAAATCTTTATTTTCTAATATACACTTGTTTTAACAAATTCAAACGATACAAAACTACATCAGTTTTTTTAAGTGTCCCCATTCCTCTCCATTGCTATTCTCTGGTGGTATTCCCTGTTAACAATGGACTTTCTTTAAAGACATCTTTTCTATGCATATAACCAGCCTGCGTAACGAGACCCCCATCTCTCTTTTTTTTTTGAGATGGAGTCTCACTCTGTTGCCCAGACTGGAGTTCAGTGGCACGATCTTAGATCACTGCAACCTCTGCCTCCCAGGTTCAAGTGATTCTCCTGCCTCAGCCTCCCAAGTAGCTGGGATTACAGGCACGCGCCACCATACCTGGCTAATTTTTCTATTTTTAGTAGAGACAGAGTTTCACCATGTTGCCCAGGTTGGTCTCAAACTCGTGACATCAGGTGATTTGCCCGCCTCAGCCTCGCAAAGTGCTGGGATTATAGGCATGAGCCGCCATGCCCAGCTGACCCCATCTCTTAAAATAAAAAACAAAAAAGAAGGAATGAAGCACGAACACATGCTACAATGTGGATGAACCTTTAGGGAAAGAAGCCAGACACAAAAGTCCACGTATTGCAGAACTCCATTTATATGAATTATCAAGAACAGGTGAATCCATAGAAATAGAAGATTGGTTGTTGCTCAGGGCTGCTTTATTTATACAGGTCTCATTTGGGAGTGATGAAAATGTTTTAGAAGTAGATAGAAGTGATGATGGTTACACAACATTGTGAATGTTGGCAGGGCACGGTGGCTCACGCCTGTAATCCCAGCACTTTGTGAGGCCAAGGCGGGTGGATCACGAGGTTAGGAGATCGAGACCATCCTGGTTAACACGGTGAAAGCCCATCTCTACTAAAAATACAAAAAAAATTAGCCGGACGTGGTGGCATGCGCCTGTAGTTCCAGCTGCTGGGGAGGCTGAGGCAGCAGAATAGCGTGAACCAGGGAGGCAGAGCTTGCAGTGAGGACTCTGTCTAAAAAAAAAAAAAAAAAAAAAAAAAATTGTGAATGTGTTGAACACCACTAAATTGTTCACTTTAAAGTGGTTAATTGTGGCTGGGTGCAGTGCCTCACGCCTGTAATCCCAGCACTTTGGGAGGCCAACACGGGCGGATCATGAGGTCAGGAGATCAAGACCATCCTGGCTAACACAGTGAAAACCTGTCTCTACTAAAAATACAAAAAATTAGCTGGGCGTGATGGCAGGCGCCTGTAGTCCCAGCTACTCGGGAGGCTGAGGCAGGAGAATCGCTTGAACGAGGGAGGCGGAGGCTGCAGTGAGCCGAGATCGTGCCACTGCACTCCAGCCTGGGCGACAGAGTGAGACTCCTTCTCAAAAAATAAAATAAAATAAAATAAAATAAAATAAAATAAAATAAAATAAAATAAAATAAAATGGTTAATTTTACGTTATGTGAATGTTACCTCACTAAAAATAAATAAATAAAAATATATCCTCGATTTTCCAGTTTCAGCCATGACTCAGTATCTGGTTTCAACCTCAACTGTAAATAACCATAATCATGAACAAAAGATAGGAAGCAACTGATTTCAGGCATTGGGCAAGTGCTGAGCTGTGTCTTTGTAGCAGTGGCAACCCCATATTCGCCCTGGCTTTCTGCCTGGGAGGGTGGTTTCCAAGCCGTAGTGGAGGCAGTGGAGCCCAACCATGGTGTAGTGTTGCACTGGGCAGAAAAAACAGGGACCTGGTGGAGGAGACAGATCAGAGTTCAGGGCTCTAAGATGGCTGGAACTTGTGGGCTATGGAGCAGAGGGAACTGCAGAAAAGGAAACCCAGAAATCTGTGAAGCGGTTCCCTTCAAGCACCTGGACAAATCCTGAGCTGCTTGTGCCCAGGGTGGTAATTCACAAGGTCTGGTAGAGAACAGCTGACGAAGGGCTGACAGTTGAACAGAGATTTCAAGGATTGAAATCCCCGGGCACTGTGGCTCATGCCTGGAATTCCAGCACTTGGGAGGCCGAGGTGGGTGGATCACTTGAGACCAGGAGTTCAAGACCAGCCTGGACAACATGGTGAAACCCCATCTCTACTAAAAATACAAAAATTAGCCAGGTGTGGTGGTGGGCACCTTTAATGCCAGCTACTTGGGAGGCTGAGGCAAGAGAATTGTTTGAAGCTGGGTGGCAGAGGTTGCAGTGAGCTGAGATTGCACCACTGCACCCCAGCCTGGGCAACAGAGCAAGACCCTGTCTCAAAAAAAAAAAAAAAAAAAGAAAAAAAGAATACTGGCAAGTCTTTGGAATTCTGACCCAGACAGAGCCAAGACACACAGGGCCTTCAGTAGAGACCCCCCAGAAAGACCTCGTTGTAGAAATAAGGACCATGTCCTAGGAGCAGGTGCTTGGCCTAGGAATAAGGGTGAAACTGAAATAGATCCACCTTAACAAAAACTAAAACCAAACCTCAACAAGAGTGAGGTGACCCATCAAAAATTTAGCTACCTGCCCCCACCCCCAAAAAATTCAACACTCTTTAGAAAAACATTTTTAAAATCCAGAGTCGCTATGATACATCAGTCACAATACCAAGAATGTAATGAAAAATTACTACCCATTTTTCTCTTTCTATGTTCTTGGCCTTTGTCCTGTGATATGATTAAGTTACTTAGAGACAGTTTGATTCTTTCAGGTATTAAGCTTTGTCAGGTGAGACTAAAGCAGCATTTTGGGCTAATTTTGTACCATTATTTGAGGCAAAACTCTTCTGAGGACACTAACTGGGGACTCTCTCTGAATCATGAGGCTTTCTATTCTGGCAGAAACAGGAATTATTCCCAGTCCTGCGTAAGTTTGGGGCGTCGTTCTCTCTGATGCTCTTCAGTTGTTCTTTCTTCAGTTCTGCATGGTTTTCTCACATGCACGCACTGACAGGTATTTAGCTGAAGACTCAAGGAGAGTTCTCCAAATGTCTCCAGAACTCTCTTCCCCTCCCTCCTCCTCCAGTTCCCTTTCCCCTCGCCTCCTGATCTCCCACCCCTATCCAAGCTCTATTCTCCCTAATACTCTGTCCTATAAACTCTAATTACCTTGGCCTCCCCAGGATCCCAGCTCCATATCCTCAATTCAGGGAAACTGCTGGCTTCCATGTGGGTTTTCCCTCCCTATTCTGAGGCCTGGAATCTGTCTCTAGGCAAAGAGCTGGGGCAATTGTAGGAAGCTCATCTTATTTGACTCCCTAACCTCAACTGTCATTAGCCATTGTTGCCTGATATTCTACTTTATTTATTTATTTATTATTATTTTTTTTAGTCACTCCAGGCAGAAGGGCAAATCTGGTTCCTGTTAGTCCATCTTAACTATAACTTACAACAATACATTCAATTACTTAGAGGAAATGAAAACATTTTTTGAAAAAGAAAACTTTTGAAACTGATCCAAGAAGGAATAAAAAATATGAATCATCCTATATTTGTTAAAAATTGAATTCATCAGCTGTGTGTGGTGGCTCACGCCTGTAATCCCAGCACTTTGGGAGACCAAGGCGGGCAGATCACCTGAGGTCAGGAGTTCAAGACCAGCCTAGCCAACATGGAGAAACCCCATCTCTACTAAAAATACAAAAATTAGCTGAGTGTGTTGGCGCACACTTGTAAACCCAGCTACTCGGGAGGCTGAAGCAGGAGAATCACTTGAACCTGGGAGGCGGAGGTTGCAGTGAGCCAAGATTGCACCACTGCACTCCAGCCTAAGTGAAAAGAGTGAAACTCCATCTGAAAACAAAAACAAAAACAAAAACAAAAACAAATTGAATTCATCATTTAAAACCTTTTCACAAAGAAAACTACAGGTCCATGGCCGGGTGCAGTGGCTCACGCCTGTAATCCCAGCACTTTGGGAGGCTGAGGCAGGCAGATCACAAGGTCAGGAGATGAGAACATCCTGGCTAACATGGTGAAACCCTGTCTGTACTAAAAATACAAAAAAATTAGCCGGGTGTGGTGACAGGTACCTGTAGTCCCAGCTACTTGGGAGGCTGAGACAGGAGAATGGCGTGAACCTGCGAGGTGAAGCTTGCAGTGAGCCGAGGTGGCGCCACTGCGCTCCAGCCTGGGTGACAGAGTGAGACTCCGTCTCAAAAAAAAAGAGAAAACTACAGGTCCATATGCCTTCACTGGTGAATCCTATTAAAATTTTTGAAAATAAATAATACTAATGTTATACAAATGTTTCCAGAGAACTGAGGAAGATAAAATAACACCCAATAATACCCAACTCAGCAGAAACCTGATATCAAATTCTCACAAGGCCATTATAAGGAAAAGAAAATTTTAAACCAAAATCATTTATGAACATAGACATAGACAAAAATCCTAAACAAAGGCCAGCCACAGTGGCTGCTGCCTATAATTCCAGTACTTTAGGAGGCCAAGGCAAGAGGGTTGCTTGAGCTCAGGAGTTTGAGACCAGCCTGGGGAACATACTGAGACCTTGTCTCTACTAAAAATTAAAAAAAAAAAAAAAAAACTAGCCAGGCATGGTGGTGCACATTTGTAGTCCCAGCTACTTGGGAGGCTGAGGTAGGAGGATTGTTTAAGCCTGGGAAATGGAGGCTGCAGTGAACTGTGATCACACCATTGCACCACTGCACTTCAGCCTGGGTGACAAGACCCTGTCTGAAACAAATTAAAAATCTAAACAAAATATTGGCAAATTAAATCTATCACTACATTTAAAAATGCATCTGGCTACATGTGGTTTATCCCAGGAATACAAGGCAGGGTTAATATTTAAAAATCAATCAATGTGGCTGGGCACAGTGGCTCATGCCTGTAATCCCAGCACTTTGGGAGGCCAAGGTGGGTGGGTCACTTGAGCCCAGGAGTTTGAGACCAGACTGGGCAACATGGTGAAACCCCATCTCTACAAAAAATATAAAAATTAGCTGGGCATGGTGGTGCACACCTGTAGTCCCAGCTACTCAAAGCACTGAGACAGGAGGATCACTTGCACATGGGGGGGCCGAGGCTGCAGTGAGCTATCATTACACCATTGCACTCCAGCTGGGGCAAAAGAGTGAGACTCTGTCTCCAAAAAAAAAAAAAAAAAAAAAAAAAAAAAATCAATCAATGTAATTCACAATTACAAAGGATAACAACCATGTGATCATCTCAATAAATGCACAAGATGTATATAACAAAATCCAGAGTAATTCATGATTTTTTTTTAAAAAAGAAAACCTCCACAAACAAGGACTAACATGAAATTTTCTCAACCTAATAAAGGGCATTTATGAAAACCAACAGCTAACATCACAGTGGTGCAAGATTGAATATTTTCCCTTAATATTGGGAAAAAAGCAAAGATGTACATTCTCACATCTGTTTAACATCATTCTGGAGGTCCTAGCCAGTGCAATGAGAAAAAGACACTATATATATATATATATATATATATATATATATATATATATATATATATATATAGAAAAAGACACTATATAGAGAGAGATTGAAAATGAAGAATAAAACTGTCTTTATTTGCAGATAACATAATTTAATGCATAGAAATCCAAAGAAATGTATGAAACCACTACTAGAACTAAAGAGAAAATTTGCAAGATACAAAGTCAATGTATAAAAATCAATTGTATTTCTATATAGTAGCAATGAAGACTTTAAAAATAAAATTTAAAAATAACATTTACATTTGGGAGGCTGAGGCAGGAGGATCCTTTGAGCCCAGGAGTTCAAGACCAGCCTGGACAACATAGTGAGACCTGTCTCTACAAAAGCAAAAATAAAATAACTTTTACAAAAATACCAAAAACATCAAATACTTAGGGAAATTTTTAATGCAATATGTCCAAAATATATACATTGAAAACTATAAAACATTGCCAAGAGGAATTTTAAAAGATCTAAATAATTGTAAAGATATACCATGTTCATTGACTGGAAGACTCAATATTGTTATCAATTCTTCCACAAATTGATCTATATATTCAATGCAATCCTAACTAAAGTCCTAGCAGGGTTTTGGGGTTTGTTTTGGGTTTTTCTTTTTTTGATAGAAATTGACATCCAACATTCCAAAATTTACATGGAAATGTGAATGACATAGAATAGTCAAAATAGTTTGAAAAACAACAAACTCGGAAGCCTTACATGAACTGCTTTCAAGATTTACTATGGTATTGACATGAGGATAGACATAAAGATCAGTGGGAACAGAATAGTCTAGAAGTAGACAAATGCACATAGAGCTTCAATTGAATTTGGACAAAGTTCCAAAGCTAATTTAATGAGGAAGAGACAGTCTTTTCAACATATGGTGGTGTAACAACTGTATACCCAGATGCAAAATAATAAACTTCTACCCATACCTTACAGCATACATAAAAATCAACTCAAATGGATCAGAGGCCTAATATGACAGCTAAAACTATAAAACCTCTAGAATAAACAGGCAAATATAACCTTGGAGTAAGCAAAGATTTCCTTCCTTCCTCCCTCCCTCCCTCCCTCCCTCCCTCCCTTCTTTCCTTTCTTCTTTCAGACAAAGTCTCACTCTGTCACCCAGGCTGGAGTGCAGTGGTGTGATCTCAGCTCACTGCAGCCTCTGCCTCCTGGGTTCGAGCAACTCCCCTGCCTCAGCCTCCCAAGTAGCTAGGATTACAGGCATGTGCCACCATGCCCGGCTAATTTTTGTATTTTTAGTAGAGACAGGATTTCACCATATTGGCCAGCCTGGTCTCGAACTCCTGGCCGTAAGTGATCTACCCACCTCGGCCTCCCAAAGTGCTGGGATTACAGGCATAAGCCACCACACCTGGCAATAAAGATTTCTTAAGACACAAAAGTATTAAATATAAAAGAAAAATAAATAAGTTGTACTTCATCAAAATTAAAAACATATTTTTCAGAATGCATAATTTTTAAAAAATGAAAAGACAAATCACATACTAGAAGAAAATATATGCAATATATATGCCTGACAAATGATTCATATCCAGAATACAGTCATCTCTCAATATCTGTGGGGACTTGGTTCTAGGAACCCCTGTGGATACCAAAACCCAAGTGCTGGGATTACAGGCGTGAGCCACCACACCCGGCCGCTCCATTCTCTTATATAAAACAGTGTAGTATTTGCATATATCCTATGCACATCCTCTTGTACACTTTAACTCATCTCTAGATTACTTATAATACCTAATACGATGTAAATGCTATGCAAATTGTTGTTATACTGTATTTTTAAAATTTGTATTATTTGTATTGTTGTATTGTTATTTTTTATTTTTTTTAAACTTTTTCATCTGTGATTAGTTGAATCTGTGACTACAGAACCCAAAGATATGGAGGGCTGTTTATCAAAACTTGTACAAACTAAAAAGAAAAAAAAATAAGAATGCAGTAAAAAAAATAAAGGGCAAAAGACTTTTAAAAGCATTTCGAGGCCAGGCGCAGTGGCTCACGCCTGTAATCCCAGAACTTTGGGAGGCCGAGGCGGGTGGATCACGAGGTCAGGAGTTCGAGACCAGCCTGACCAACATGGAGAAACCCCGTCTCTACTAAAAATACAAAATTAGCCAGGCGTGGTGGCGCATGCACTCAGGAGGCTGAGGCAGGAGAATCGCTTGAACCCGGGAGGCAGAAGTTGTGGTTAGCCGAGATTGCACCATTGCATTCCAGCCTGGGCAACAAGAGCAAAATTCTGTCTCAAAAAAAAAGAAATTTTAAAAGACGGTATTTGAATATCCAATAATCATACGAAAAGGTGTTCCACATCATTTGTCATCAGATAAATATAAATTAAAACCACAAAATAGACCATTAAACACACTAAATGGCTAAAATTTAAAAGATTGAAAATACACAATGTAGGTAAGAATATGGATCCATTGGAACTTTCATATATTCTGCTAGAAGTGTGAAATAGTACTACTACTTTGAAAACTGCTTGGCAGTTTCTGTTTGTTTTTTTGAGACGGAGTCTTGCACTGTCCCCCAGGCTGGAGTGCAGTGGCGCGATCTTGGCTCACTGCAAGCTCCGCCTCCCGGGTTCACGCCATTCTCCTGCCTCAGCCTCCCGAGTAGCTGGGACCACAGGCGACCGCCACCATGCCCGGCTAATTTTTTGTATTTTTAGTAGAGATGAGGTTTCACCGTGTTAGCCAGGATGGTCTCGATCTCCTGACTTCGTGATCCTGCTTGGCAGTTTTTAATGAAGTTAAACAAACATTCATCATATGACACAGCAATTCTTTCATTGCTGCTTTTGTTTTTTTTTTTAAGAGACAGGGTCTCACCTTGTTGCCCAGGCTGGTCTCGAACTCGTGAGCTCAAGTGATCCACCTGCCTCAGCCTCCCAAAGTGCTGGGATTATAGGCAAAGGCCACCGCGCCCGGCCTGACACAGCAATTCAATTCCTAGGTGTATACCCAAGAGAAATGATATATATACATATATGCACAAAAGACTCATACAAGAATGGTCACACTTTTATACATAATGGCCAAAAACGGAAACATCCTAAACGTCCATCCACTGTGAATAAACAAACCATGGTATACAAATGAGTAATGGCATACTACTCTGCAACTGTCTTAGTCTGCTCGGGCTGCCATAGCAAAATACCACAGCTCTGAAGGCTAGGAAGTCCAAGCTAAGGTGTCCACAAAGTGATGGTGGTGGGGGTGGGACCATCTTAATTAAGTAATTTAATCTTAATTACTTCCTTGGAGGCCCCATCTCCAAATACAGCCACGCTGAGGAATTAGGGCTTCAATATATGAATTTGGGGGGGAGGTAAAAATGTCCAAAACAGCAACAAAAAGGAAACTACTGATCCTTGCAACATGACTGAATATAAAAAGACCTATAATTCAAAAAATATGAAGAACAAAGAAATGATCTATGGTGTTAGAAATCAAAACAGTGGTTGCCTCTGTGTGGGTGGGGAGAAACTGACCAAAAGGAGGCACAAGGGAAATTTTCAGTGATGGAAATGTTTTTTATCTTGATCAGGGTGGTATTGACACAGGTGAATATATTTGTAAAAATGCATACAGACTCATCCTTAGAATATGTAAATTATGGCTCAATAAAGTACATTTCTCTATATCAGCTCATATGGACTTACCTCTGAGTAAATTTACCTTTTTAGCAGCTGTATAATCTTCTGTTGTATGAATGTACCATAATTTATCAAACTGTTTCCCCATTGATGGACATTTAGATTTCTCCTAAGTTTTTGCTATTATAAGCAATGCCATAGTCAACATCCTTGAAGGATAGATCTAAGTTGGATTGTTACAGCTGTTTCTCTGTAAAGATGAAGAATCTGAAGCCCAGATGTAAGAAAAGACTTCCCAAGGCCTATGGTAATTACCCATTGTGAGATATGGTGGTAGAACGTGGAACTGAAGAGGCTTGTGTCATTGCATAGAAATACGGATGGGGGGAGATACTGGGTTTCCAAGCAGAATAATAGGAATCATTTAGAATGATTCCACTTCCTATTTTGTCTAACTGCTACATCCTGTGAATATTAATGCCTTTGGCTGCCTTAATCTAACATTATGCTAAGTTAATTCCTGGGATCCTATGGTACCCTGGACTTAATAACAACTCACTATGTTCCCAGCAATGTGTTAACATTTTATATGCATTATCTCATTTGACCATTGCAACTTCATTAGGTATACCTGTTATTAATTCCATGCCTATTTTATAGAAGGAAAAACTGAGGCTTAGAGCATTTAAGTAACTTGCCTAAGGTTGCACAGCTAACAAGAGCTATAGACAGGTTTCAATCCAGGTCCCCAGTACAAAAGCCTTACTCTTTTTAAGAGTCAGGGTCTCACTCTGTTGCCCATACTGGAGTGCAGTGGCACGATCTTGGCTCACTGCAGCCTCAGACTCCTGGGCTCAAGTGATCCTCTAGCCTCAGCCTCACAAGCAGCTGGGACTACAGGTGCACACTGCCACACCCGGCTAGAAAAGGCCTTACTATTAACCATTATGTTACACTTCAAGAATAATGCTTCCCAAGGCTGTTGTGAAGGTTTCAAAAATTGGTTGCAATGTTGATCACTGGTCTCGCTACTCCTTGAATATTGTTATTACTTCTTTATCTTTCTAAAATCTGGCACACAGTGGAGGTTAAAGGGCTTAGCACTGTGCCTGACATATAGTGTGCACTCAGTGAGTGCTAATTATTATTACTATTATTGGAACTACCAAACATTTTTTGAGTAAGTAAACATTTGCATGAATAACTAATTACCTAAATTATTCCTTTAGCAAATAAACAATGAACATAGGGACAACAGGCGACAGTCCTCCTCTCCTGCCAAACATCTCATTTGGAGGCAGCTGAACCATGAAGGAATTGCCAGCCCTCCTCTGTGCACATGTCTGCTCCCCTGTGGGACACAGAAACGGGAAGGGCATCCAATTCAGTGTTGGGGTTCCAGCCCACACTCTGTGCAGGCACGGAGATGGGCAGACTCTCCACACACTTGTGTGTGCAGAAAAGAACGAGTTGGTGTGGTGGTGGTGATGGGGTGCATGTGTGTGTGTGTACTGCCTCTTATTCCTTCACAATGAAACCTGACTGCAAATGGCACAGGGTTGCAGAGATGCTTTGGGCAACATCAGAGCATGCACAAAGGATGAACATGGGCTTAAGGGTAAGTCACACACGCAGGGTCCCAGAACATCAAAAAGGCCCTTGAACCTCTGTTGTATCCGGTTACTCTGCCGCCTCATCTTCATTGGAGGAAGATCCTGTGGCCTGGAGGTAGAAGGCATACGTTGGGGAAGAGTTTCTTCAGCCCCATGGGCCAGGAGAGTGCTGCTTCCTTTGATCCACATGGCCTTGAGTGCCCGTCAGCATTCAATGCCTCTGTCCACTTATTAGCCGCCCCTGTCGTCCACTCAAGCTGAGCCCTGAGCCCTTGCCTGAGCCTAATTCTTCATTTGCCTGCCTGGCTCCTGCCTCCTCCTGCCTAGTGCATTGATGGGTTTGTCTCCTTGCTAAGAAGACCACCGGCACTCTTGATCCAGCTGCCTTGCTCAGAGAAGACCCTATCACAGATTTGGGATTTGACTCTTTCAGCCCCACTACCTGACTTGCTGACATTACCCACTTCTTGGCAGGAATGGGGAGCAGGGGACAGCATGCCCACAAGCCTGTTGACCTGAGGCAGCACCTGCAACCAGTCGCTAAGATAGCATTTTTCCCCTGAGCTGGCTCCTGCCTCGCCTAGCATAGTTACCGCAATCCTCCTTTTATGCCTCTAAAAGCCCTTACTCTCATTTTGTAGTTAAGTTTTCAGAGCCTTGCTCATTTAAGGCAATTTTGGTTCCTCTTTTATGGTAATTCTTAAACCATTGAGTGAAACTTGTTTGAAATGTCTGTCACTGTTATTACAGAAACAATATAACAAGAAATACATTTTCATGTAAGACTCTATGTAGCAGCCAGAAAAGATAAATTGTTCTCACACTTAAATATTTAAATTTGAAAATATCAAGACAAAGAGATGGAAAAAAATGAGCCAATAGATAAGGGGCATAGAGGATCAAATTGGGATCCAACTAATAGGAGTTTCTGAAAAAAGAGGACAGGAAAAACAGAAGAGGAAATTATCAAAGAAATAATATAGGAAAATTTCTCAGAGGTGAAAGACAGAAGAGCTGAGATTAAGAGATCTCAGGACAATGAATGAAACAAGACTCACACCTAGAAACTACACTATGAAATAAGAGGTCACCAGGGATAAAAAGAGCACCATAAAACTCCCATGGAAGGTCACATTCCTTATGAAGCAATAATAACAATGAATCCGTGTTTTCTTTTAAAAAAAAAAATTTTTTTTTTTGAGCCTGGAGTGCAGTGGCATGATCTCGGCTCACTACAATCTCCACCTCCCAGGTTCAAGCGAATTCTCCTGCCTCAGCCTCCTGAGTAGCTGGGATTACAGGTGTGCGCCACCATGCCAGGCTAATTTTTGTATTTTTAGTAGAGACAGGGTTTCGCCAGACTGGTCTCGAACTCCTGACCTCATGTAATCCACTCGCCTCAGCCTCCCAAAGTGCTGAGATTACAGTCATGAGCCACTGTGCCAAGCCCAAATATTTTTTCTTTTTTGCTTCTAAGTATGTAAAGCAAGAATCAGGATTTTTCAATAGGAAAATCAATATGGAGGGGAATAGATCAGTGCCTTCAAATTTTAAGGGAATTCTATTTACAACCGAGGATTCAATGCCCAGCCCCATTATCAGTCAAGTAGAAAGGCAGAATAAGTAAATTTCTAATCATAAAGGATTCAGAAGTTTTACCTACCACACACTTCTGTGTAGGATGTCACTTAGTGGGTATGCTCTGGCAAAATAAAGAAAAATCTAGATGGCAACCTAAGTCTCAGAAATTGTGTCTGAACCCAGGAAAGCATGGCGTGAAGTCCCCAAATGATAACTGTCCAGACCGAAGGAGGAGGACAGGGGCTGTAGAAGGTAGACCTTGGGGAGGACAAAAAAAACTCAATAGAATGCCCACTGGGAAGGAAAGTCAGGGGGAAATTGAGAACATGATAAAGTCAAATAGTGCAAGAAAAAAAAAAAAGCATTTTGCAATTCCAGATCAAAGAAAAGTATCACAAGAAAGCAATCATAAACAGATATAATACCGGCTGGACAAAGAACCATAGGAGTATGGTTTCAATAATGTAAGCATTGTTTATTGATTTTACAATCAATCTATAAGCAAAGCATAGAAGACTTAATTAGAATTATGAAACAGAATGAGGAAGCTTTCAGTCAGTAGAATGTAAAAGTATATATGACAGAGGCTTGGAGAGAAAAGGAAGGAGGAGAGAAGGAAGGAAGGCTGAGGCACCAGCCGCCTCTTATAAAGCATTGGTGGGCGGTGTCAGGAGATACTAGTAGATGAACAAGAGGCAGTCTAAGCCTATTTCTGAAGGTGACAATTGTAGCCAAAATAGTGATATAGCTGTGTTGGGAGAATGAGAGGAAGGGAGATGGAGGAGGGGTGTAAGTGAGCTAAGTCATTTTCCAGTGTAGCAGGAAGTCAATGAGTAGGCATTTAAAATGTGAAATAAAAAACCGGCCGGGCACGGTGGCTCACACCTGTAATCCCAGCACTTTGGGAGGCCGAGGTGGGTGGATCACCTGAGGTCAGGAGTTCAAGACCAGCCTAGGCAACGTGGTGAAACCCCGTCTCTACTAAAGATACAAAAATTAGCTGGGTGTGGTAGCGTGCCCCTGTAGTCTCAGCTACTTGGGAAGCTGAGGCAGGAGAATCGCTTGAACCTGGGATGGGGAGGTTGCAGTGAGCCAAGATCATGCGACTGCACTCCAGCCTGGCAACAGAACGAGACTCCGTCTCAAAAAAAATAAAAAAGTAAAAAATTTAAAAAAGCAGTATTTACTTAAAGACATGCAGAAAACACTCAGAGAAAAACATCTAAAAAGGTGGGAAGTGGTTGCTCTGGGGATTGAAGAACAGGGGACTCTGTTATTTGACTTAAAAAAGCATCTTAAATGAAAGCACAGTTATATCCCATATGTTCTATACTTGAAGGGATGTAAGCATGTTAATAAATAAATTGGAGATTTCTCAAATATAGCTAGGGGTTGGAATGAGAAGGAAGCTGGCTTCGGTTGCAGTTAGCTGCACTGATGTGGAGCCCCTCTTCCCTCTGCAGTTAAATAGGAGCAGTGATGCCCATATTTGTTTGGTGGGATCCAGCGAGTTGGGTTATTCTACATCTACTATTTCATTCTATCCTCTTCCCAACCCTATGAGTTGGGAATGTGAGGACGGGGACTAGGTCTCCTCATTTTACATACAGGATCCAGGCTTAGGAGGCTGAGTAACTTGTCAGAATGTGAAATGGCCCACTTCCGCAGCAGTGGTGCTAGGACGGATGCTTGGTCCATCTCGTGTTGACATCTGTCAGTCCTGAAATCAGCAGAGGAAGAGCGGGTGGTACTGAGAACAGGACAGACAGGGAAGGTTGGGCAGGGCTCTGCAGGGGCAATTCAAACTCCTGAATTACCACACGACCCAGCAAAAAAATGTGGTTTCATTCCCAGCAGCACACAAAGCCAGAATTCAAATACAGGCTGTCCCCATATGACCCCCTGCCACATCTATTTTTTTAAATCATATTATTGTCAAAACAATATAACAATGACTTTAAAGGAATGTGTTTAAATCACCCATCATCTTCGCCATGCCTGTGCACAATTAGATTTTTCGTGATCCTTTTCTAGTCTTTGTCTGCATTATACATAATTCTACACAGTTCTGATCCTCATGTACATATAATTTTGTAAGCATTCTACCTCTTATAAATGGTGTTGTTTCTACACAGTCTGCATAATTATTTGTTTTAATGGCTACATATTATGCAGGATCATTTTTAATTAACTATAATACCCTGGGTTAACAGTTCATTATAATGCCAAGGATATCTTTATTCTTTAACCTCCATTTTGCTTTTATATAAGGCTGTTCCATTTACAGAAGGTATTCTTATCCAGCCCATAACTTCAGAGCATATAACAGAGGCTGGTATAATTATCTCCACTTTGCAGATGGGAAAACTGAAGTCTGGCATGATCGAGCATCTTGCCCACCGACATCAGACAGACAGCAAGGATGGGGCAGAGTAGAAACCTTCCTCCAGGACTTTCTCTCCAAGGCCAGCGTTCCTGACATTGGCCATCTCTTGGCACACTCTCTCTCTGAGCCACACATCTTCCCAAGAAATAATTATTACCACCCCCATTTTTACAGGTGAGGAAGCTGGGGCCCAGAGAGGCAAGGTAACTTGCCTGAGGTCACATAGTAGAACCAGAAGTCAAATTCAGGCAAGCTGACTCCAGATCTCGTTCCAACAATCTGCATGGCCTCCCCAGGCCCCTCCATCTCAGAGTGCCTCTCTTGTTTTTCCGCATTCTCATCACTTCTACCACCTGTTCTCAGTCTTGGCAGGTGGCAGCCCTCAGGTCAGTGCCCGGCTGTCCACATTCGTTTTAGAGGAACCCCCAGGCTCAACCCAGAGCCAGCTGCAGGAGAGGCATGCTTCTTGGGCAGAGTCCATGGGTGAGTTGGGTTTTTTTTTCTTTTCAGTTTTCTTTCATTTGGTTAATTGATACTTATGGTAAAATATACATAAGATTTACCATTTTAACCTTTTTTTTTTTTTTGAGACGGAGTCTCCCTCTGTCACCCAGGCTTGAGTGCAGTGGCACGATCTTGGTTCACTGCAACCTCCACCTCCTGGGTTCAAGTGGTTCTCCTGTCTCAGCCTCCCGAGTAGCTGGGATTACAAGTGTGTACCACCCTGCCCGGCTAATGTTTTATTTTTTATTTTTAGTAGAGACGGAGTCTAACCATGTTGGCCAAGCTGGTTTTGTTTTGTTTTTATTTTTGGTTTTGAGACAGAGTCTTGCTCTGTCGCCCAGACTGGAGTGCAGTGGTGCAATCTCACTCACTGCAACCTCTGCCTCCTGGGTTCAAGTGATTCTCCTGCCTCAGCCTCCCGAGTAGCTGCGATTACAGGCACCTGCCACCACACCCGGCTAATTTTTTGTATTTTTAGTAGATATGGGGTTTTGCCATGTTGTCCAGGCTGGTCTCAAACTCCTGAGCTCAGGTGCTCTACCAGCTTCGGCCTCCCAAAATGTTGGGATTACAGGCCTGAACCACTGCCAGTATATTCACATTGACGTATGACTATTGCCACCCTCCAGCTCTAGAACTTTTTCCACCTTCTGAAACTGAAACTCTATAACCATTAAACAGTTCTCCATTCTCCCTTCCCTCCTCACCAGCCCCTGACAACCACCATTCTACTTTGTCTCTAGGAATTTGACTACTCTAAGTACTTGATATAAGTAGAATCATACAATATTTCTCCTTTGTGTCTGGCTTATTTCACTTAGTATGAAGTCCTCAAGGTTTACCTATGTTGTGGCATGTGTCAAATTTTTTTTGAGACAGGGTCTCACTCTGTCACCAGGCTGGCATGCAGTGGCATAATGTAGGCTCACTGCAGCCTCTGCCTCACCCTCTGGGTTCAAGTGATCCTCCCACCTCAGCCTCCTGAGTAGTTGGGACCACAGGTGCACACCACCATGCCTGGCTATGTTTTTGTATTTTTGGTAGAGACAGGGTCTCACCATGTTGCCCAGGCTGGTCTCAAGCTCTTGAGCTCAAGTGATCTGCCTGCCTCAGCCTCCAAAAGTGCTGGGATTACAGGCATGAGCCACCATGCCAGGCTCATTGTTTTTTTAAGTGGAATAATATTCCATGGTATGTATATACTACATTTTGCTTATCCTTTCATCCATTAACGGTCATTTGAGTTGTTTCCCCTTTTGGCTATTGTGAATAATGCTGCTATGAACATTGGTATACAGATATCTTCTATGTTTGAGTCTCTGTTTTCAATTCTTTGGGGTATGATATGGTTTGGCTCTGTATCCCCATCCAAGTCTCACATTGAATTGTGATCCCGAGTGTTGGAGGTGGGGCCTGGTGGGAGGTGATTGGATCATGGGGGTGGTTTCTAATGGTTTAGCACCATCCTCCTAGTGCTGTCTCCCGACAGAGTTCTCTTGAGAACTGGTTAACAAGTATATAGGACTTCCCCCTTTGCTCTCTCTCTCCTGCTGCCATGTGAAGATGTGCTGGCTTCCCCTTCACCTTCTGCCATGATTGTAAGTTTCCTGAGGTCTCCCCAGCCATGCTTCCTGTACAGCCTGTTGAACTATAAGCCAATTAAACCTCTTTTCTTTACAACTTACCCAGTCTCAAGTAGTTCTTTATAGCAGTGTGAGAATGGACTAATACAGGGTATATATCCAGAAGTAGATGAGTTTTTAAAAACAAATCAAAACTCTCCTACTGTGTTACCAGCTTTGCAGGGGGCAGGAAGAGGGAGGAGAGCACTGTGTAAGAGTGGATGGTGGGAGACATTATTTGCAAATCATATATCTGATAAGAGACTTGTATCCAGAATATAGAAGAAAAAAAAACTCTCACAACTCAATAATAAAAAGACAAATAACCCAATTAAAAAATGGGCAAAGGATCTGAATAGACATTTCTCCAAGGATGATATGCAAATGGATAATAAGCATATGAAAAGATGCTCTGTGTCATTAGTCATCAGGGAAATGCAAAACAAAACCACAGTGAGATACCACTTCACACCCACTAGGATGGCTAGAATAAAAACGTTGGACAAGGATGTAGAAAAATCAGAATCTTCATATACTGCTGGTGGTAATGTGAAATGATACACTCGCTTTACAAAACAGTTTGGTAGTTCATCTCATGGTTAAATATAGAGTTACCATATGGCCCAGCAATTGCTCTCCTAGGTATATGCCCAAAAGAACTGAAAACAATATTTGTTTGAAAACAGGCTCAATTTGTTCATAACAGCACTGTTCACAATAGCCAAAAGGTGGAAACAACCTAAATGCCCATCAACTATAAGTAGATAAACAAAATGTTATATCCATGGAATATTATTCAACCAAGAAAAGAAATAAAGTATAGCAGCCGTATTGATAACTGCCCAAACTTGGAAGCAACCAAGATGTCCTTCAGTAGGTGAATAGAGAAACTGTGGTATATCCAGACAATGAAATGTTATCGACACGCTACTAAGTGAAAGAAGCTAATCTGAAAAGCCTACATACTGCGTGATTCTAACTACATGACATTCCAGAAAAAGCAAAACTATGGAGACAGTAAAAATATCAACAGTTACTTCGGAGGAGGGACGAATAGCAAAGCAGAGAGGATTTTTAGGGCAGTGAAACTATTCTGTGTAATACTGTAATGGTGAATACCCGCCAATGCCATTACACACTTGTCAGCATCTATAGAATGTCCACCAACAGTGAATCCTAATGTAAACTACGGACTTTAAATGATAACAAGGTATCCATACAGTTTCACCAGTTCTAACAAATGTACCACTGGTGCCAGTGTTGACAGTGGGGGAGGCTATACATGTGTGGGGTTGAGGAAATTCTCTGTACTTTCTGCTCATTTTTGCTGTGAACCTAAAACTGTTCTACAAAATAAAGTCTAAAAAAATGGAATGAAGTGTTGAGACATGCTACAACATAGATAAATCCTGAAACCATCATGCTATGTGAAAAAAGCCAGTCACAAAAGGCCACATATTATATGATTCCATTTATATGAAATGTCCAGAATAGGGAAATTGATAGAGACAGACACTAGACTCGTGGCTGCCAGAGGCAGGAGGGTATGGAATGAACAAGAGGGGAAGTGACAGCTAAAAGGTATGGGTTTCTTTTTGAGGTGATGAAAATGTTCTAAAATTGACTGTGGTGAGAGTTGCGTGTATTTGTGAATACATTAATACTAAAAATCACTGAATCATACACTTTAAATGGGTGAATTATATGATATGTAAATTATATCTCAATGAAGCTGTTTTAAAAAACTGGTAGGGTGGAGGTGGGAATAGTGGTTCATGCCTGTAATCCCAGCACTTTGGGAGGCTGAGGCAGGAGGATTGTTTGAGCCCAGGAGCATGAGACTAGCCTGGGCAACACAGCAAGAACCCATGTCTACACAAAGTACAAAAATTAGCCAGGCAGGGTAGTGCAAGCCTGTAGTCCCAGCTACTCGGGAGGCTGAGACAAGAGGATCATCTGAGCCTGCGAGATCAAGGCTGCGGTAAACTGTGATTGCACCACTGCACTCCAACCTGGGCAGAGGCCCTGTCTTTAAAAAAAAAAAAAAAAAAAATCAGTCAGGACTGCAGCCTTCCAGGAGTCCCTGCTAGTTAGCTTCACCTGTGGCTAAGGAGCTGACCCCACCCCCCCTTCCCCACCACCCTACCACCTTTGACCACTTTGACTCTGTTGAGGGGTGGGGGTTAAGGTTTCTGCTGCGAGGGCTCATCAGCATAAACACAGCTCAGCTTAGCTGCTTAACAGGCATTCTCATCTCAGAAAGGGCACCTGGACAAGCCACACCCTTTCTGTCATAACGTTATGACAAAGACCATTACAGATGAGACATCGCTGACCTATTGCCATTGAATCAGCAAAATGGGTGACCTGAGAGAAAGGCAGACAGCTCTCATGCAGCGAACGATCCGGGAGGCTTTCCCCCCCTTTTCCAGCCAGGAAAAGGCAGCCAACCCTGCAGTCCTCCCTCAGCCTCGAGGCAAGTGCAGGCCGGGGCTGATTCCTGAGGCCCTCGAGCCTGTAATTTGACCTTTAGAGTTAAGAAAGAAAAGTTACAGAAGTTTAGGCTGGAAGAGTCCTTGGATGTCATCCAGATAGTGGCTTCTAGACTTTCAGGTTTCACATCCCATATCATTCTAAAATATCCAGGGACACTGACAAGGAACATTATTGGATCATTAAATGTCATTATTGGATTTTTTTTTAAAGAATAATTGAAAAGATAGAATGTCAGAATAAAAGAAAGCCATTTAAATGGAACAATTCAGCATTATGAAAAACTCATTACCTTTCTCCCTTCCCCTCCCCACTCCTCCTCTTTCCCCAGTAGTGAAAACTTGCCAAAGACAAGTGAAAACTTTATCCCCAAAACAGGATGGCTTATGGACCCAGGCTTTAGGTATCACTCTCCATTCAGCACTTGGATCTCCTGGAAACCATCTTCTAAATCAGCAGGATCTAAGTACCAGCCAGATCTAGGTTCAGTTCAAATCCTGCTTCTGCAATTTACTGGCTAGATATAGATTTTTGCAAGTTTCTTATCTTCTCTGAATCTCAATTCTCTTATCTGTAGAATAATTCTTATCTCAAAAATTTGTGTGTGTGTGAGAATTACCACAAAATAAAAGAAAAATATGAGAGTCCTTGGCACATAGTAGGCACTAATCATCATTTCTATGCTCGCCGGTGGTGAAAGACAGTCTCTGAGATAAGTCATTTCATTTTCCTGACTTTTTAGTTGATAAAAAATTCTTCCCTAGGTATGGCTAAACCTGTGTCCCTGTATATTCGCTCATGGATCTCAGACATCTACTTTAGGGTTTCATGGAACAAATCTCATCTTTCTGTCATGTGACACATTTTACTCTCCTTTCTTAGGTTCCTTTTTTCCTTCCATTCTCCAGACTACATATGCCTTCTGTGTCAATCATTTCTTAGAGAAGTTCTCATTGTCCTGCTTGTATTAGTCAGCTATTGGAAGAATAATGCTGTGTAAAAAGCCTCTCCAAAATTTCAATGGAAAAAAACAAACTCAGTAAAAACCAAAGAACTCAATGGCATACTACCTTAACCTGGGCTTGGCGGAGCTTGACTCTGGGCTTCAGGTTGGGTCCAGGTCTGCTCCAGATGTCTGTCATCTTCCTGGGACTCCCCAAAGCATGTTCTTTTAATGGGAAAAGGCAGAAACACACAGGGATATTCCCAGCTGCATAAGCACATTTCTAGCCCTTGCCACCTTCACATACTATTGGCTAAAACAAAGTTACAAGGTCAAGCCCAAAGTCAAGAGACCATGGTAGAAGAGTAGACATAGAATATGAAGGAGTGAAAAATTGATTGGCCCTTTTCTACTGGACACACTCTTGCAAAGTCTCATGGGTTAGTGGGGAGTAGGCAGCTTTGGAGAAAGGAGCAAGGCCTTGCAATGGTCTGGCCCCTGCCTACCATTCTTCTTCCTCCTCACTCATTAGCTGTAACGAGTTTCTTTTTTGTTGTTGTTGGAAACATAGTCTCGCTCTGACGATCAGGCTAGAGTGCAGTGGTGTGATCTTGGCTCACTGCAACCTCCGCCTTCCAGGTTCAAGCAATTCTTGTGCCTCAGCCTCCCAAGTAGCTGGGACTACAGGCATGTGCCACCACGCCCAGCTAATTTACATATTTTTAGTAGAAACAGGGTTTCACCATGTTGGCCAGGTTGGCCTTAAACTCCTGAGCTCAGGTGATCTGCCCACCTCGGCCTCCCACAGTGCTGGGATTACAGGCATGAGCCACCATGCCCAGCCGGTTTGTTCTGTTTTTTTTGAAGGCCCTAATCTCTTTGCTGCCTCAGGGCCCTTGCATGTGCTGTTCCTTTGTGCTTTAGAATGTGCTTTGCATGGAAAACTCTTCATCCCCTAGCCACTTTCTTTACCTCGAAATGGGCTCCTTCTCATGTTTAAAACAGGACTTAACTGCCACATCCTCAAAAAGACATCTTTATGACCATGGAATCCAAGTAAGTCTCTTAGTGTTCTCTAGCAAAGGGTCCTGTTTACTTTCCTACTGGCTCGTTACCTTATTTGTAATTATTTATTTCTCCTTCTCTATTAGACTCCAAGCTTCGTGAAGGCAAAGATGGTATCTGGTTTGCTCATTGCTGCATCCTGAGTGCTCAGCACAGACCCCAGTAGATGCTTAATACATAGTTTTTGTTGTTGTTGTTTGTTTGTTTTTTTGAGATGGAGTCTTGTTCTGCTGCCCAGGCTGGAGTGCAGTGGTGCGATCTCGGCTCACTGCAATCTCCGCCTCCTAACTTCAAGCGATTCTTCTGCCTCAGCCTCCCAAATAGTTGGGATTACAGGCACACACCACCACACCTGGCTAATTTTTGTATTTTTAGTAGAGACAGGGTTTCACCATGTTGGCCAGGCTGGTCTCGAACTCCTGACCTCAGGTGATCCACCTGCCTTGGCCTCCCAAAGTGCTGGGATTAGAGGCATGAGCCACCATGCCCAGCCAATACATAGTTATTGAGTGAAGGAATACAGGATTAAATGCAAAGAATAGATGAATGGACGAATTCCATCAGGTCTCATTCTCTTTCCCTTTGTTCAATGATAAAATGCGAAAGAGCGAAGGTAACATAAAGCTGCTCTCTTCACAAAGCTACTGCTCTCTCTTCTTCATACAGGACCAGTTACCAGCTGGTCCTAATGACAGGAGCATGGCTTGGAGAAGGCTCTTCATCTTTCTCAGTGTGCATGACCTTTGCCACCACCGCTTGACTATTTTTTAAATAAGGATTTGCTTCCATGACTTATTTTGCGTAGAGACCTACTCAGAGGAATTCATGCTCTCTGACCACATGCCCACTGTCTAGGTAGATGACCAGATATGCGCCAGGTGGTTTGGGATCAAAAACACATCACCAATAATTCACCAGGGAGATAATTGACAAGGGTTGGTGTAGGGGAACTATAAATAAATGAAGGTCAGTGACACAAACCACAGCTGGAGAGGCTGGGATGTTCAGCAGTTGATGGCAGTATCACTGTATCATCTGCCAATAGTGCCCATTCCAATCCCCTCTTCAAAATCCTTCTCTCTCCTCCCTCACAGTCCTTCAATCAGACTTTGCCCTTCATCGCCCCCACAAGCCACTGAAGTTTTGGTCTTTTGTGTCTGTGGCCTTTTGAAAACACCTGGACCTATTTAATGACATCCTCTGTAGCCTATAAACCCAGAGAAACTAGCACAGCTTGAGTCCCAACTCTCTCTCTGCCCCTTACCAACTGGATGGCACAGGCAGGAGACTTAACATCTTCAAACCTCAGGTCCCGCCTCTGATGAATGAGCATAGCCAAACGTATTTACTGAGCAATGATCAGGATTCACTGAGACAGGATAACATTAAATGCTTCCTAAACTATAAAAGAATTGAAATGTTAGTGGTATGATTTCTCTTCTTCAGTCAAGTAGGGCTGTGCTATGGAGCAGAAAGGGTTAAAGATTCTGGAACTGAAAAACTCTCTCTACAACAAAACAAAAGAGAAAATAATGCCCACTTCCAGATGCACTTGAAGGACAGATTGCTTAGGATGGGATTGCAATTGTGTTTCCAAGTGGGAGAAATGATTGCTGCCCTCATCAATATTGCTGCCGGCGAAATCTACATGGGACGCGATCAGGTAATTGAGGTCCCAAATTTAGTTTTTATCCAGACACCAAGATTAATAGGAATGGCTTCTTGGAATTAACTCTTTGTAGCTTTCTAATGCACAACGCACTTAGGAGTTGACATTAACATTTTAGGCCTGAACATTTGGAAGGTAAAGATCTATTGTCTGATTTAGCTAGTCCAAATGTTAAAATGGTCAAGGTCACAGGATTTATGTATAGTTGTCAGCTCTGGTTTGACTCCAGGAAAGACTCACCTGTATGAACCCCTGGACAGCCATTTCTAAGAGGTTGTGACAAGTCAGGTACACTGAGATATAGGACGGTGATGACTAGGGGCAATTCACCTTAGATGCTGTAGAAACACCACCACCACCAATTAACCACACATACACAACTAAAATATTCAGAAATACTCTGTTGTTAGGCAGTGGCATTTATGTCATTAATGCAATCAATATTTACTGAGTTTTTTAATCATGTATCTTGCCCAATGCATGTCTTCCATTTGGCTATTCCTGAGTTGCATATTTTATAACAAACTGGAAATAGTGTTTTCCTGAGTTCTGAGAGTCATTCTATTCAACTATTGAACCTGGGGAGGGGTGATTGGAACTCCCAAAATTGTAGTCGGCGGGGAAGAAATTTGAGTATCCTGGTCACTCCATTTATGGCTGGTGTCTGAAGTGGGAGCAGTCTTATGGGACTGAGACTTTAACCTCTAGGGTCTGGGCTAACTTTGGATAGTTCATATCAGAATTGAATTGGATTATTGGCCATGCAGTTGGCGTCAAAGAACTTGAGAAGTGGTATTGGAAAAGATACCATGTATTTGGTGTCGAGAAGAAAAAAAATCTCATATATTAATAGAATAAGAAAAAAATATATGACCATGTTAATAGACACAGAAGAAATACTTAAAAAAATTCAACACCCTTTCATAATGAAAATACTCTACAAGAAGGAAACCTTCATCAACCTTGATAAGGGCATCTATGAAAGTGCCTCCACCATCATCATACTTAATGGCAAAAGACTGAAGGCGTTCCCCTTAAAGATCAGGAAGTAGACAAGCACTTCCACTCTTGCCATTTCTATTTGGCATTGTACTAGAGGTTCTAGCCAGGGCAATTAAATGGGGGCTGGGGGAGGTGGGGGTGTGACACAACTACATTGGACACAACTATATTACAAAGCTATAGTAATCTAACCAGTGTGATACTAGCATAAGGATAAATGGTAAAAATAGAATTGAGAGTTCAGAAATAAACCCACACATCTATTGTCAATTGATTTTTGGCAAGACTGCCAAGACCATGTAATGGTGAAAGAATAGTCTTTCCAATAAATGTTGCCAAGACAACTAGATATCCACATGCAAAAAAATAAAGCTGGGTCCCCACCTCATACCACAAACAAACATTAATTCAAAATGGATCCAAGACCTAAATGTAAGAACCCAGTTCTTAGAATAGAACATAGGTGTAAATTTTTGTGACCTTGGATTAGGCAAAATTTTCCTAGCTAGAACCCCAAAAGCACAAACAACAAAAGAAAACATAGATAAATTGGATTTCATCAAAATTTAAAACTTTTGTGCCTCAAAGAACACTGTCAAGAAATTGAAAAGATAGTCTACAGAATGGGAGAAAATATTTACAAATCATAGATATGAGTCCAGAACATATAAAGAATCCAGAATATATAAAGACCTCTTACAAGTCAACAACAAAAAGACAAACAGGCCAGACACAGTGGCTCACTTCTGTAATCTCAGTGCTCTAGGAGGCTGAGGCTTGAGGATCACTTGAAACCAGGAGTGGGAGACAAGCCTGGGCAACAAAGCGAGACCCTGTCTCTACAAAAAACTTAGAAATTAGCTGGGCATGGTGGCGTGTACCTCTAGTCCCAGCTACCTGGGAGGACAAGTCGGGAAAATCACTTCAGCCCAGGAGTTTGAAGCTGCAGTGAGCTATGATTGTGCCACTGCACTCCAGCCTGGGTGACAAACCAAGATCCTATCTGTAAGAAGGAAAACAAAACAAAAACAACCAACCCAATGAAAAATGAACAAAGAACTTGAATAGACATTTCTCCAAAGAGCATATATAAATGGCCAACAAGCATATAAAAAAGATGCTCAGCATCACTAGCCATCAGGGAAATGAAAATTAAAACTACAATGAGATATCACTTCACACACACAAGGATGGCTATAATAAAAAAGACAAACAATGACAAGTGTTGGTGAGAATGTGGAGAAATTGCAACCCTAATAAATTGCTGGTAGGAATGTATAATGGTTCAGCCACTGTGAAAAACATGTGGCAGTTCCTCGAAAAGTTAAACGTAGAATTACCGCATGACTCAGCAATTCACCTCCTAGCTGTATATCTGAAAATAATTGAAACAAGTGTTCAAACAAAAATTTGTACACAGGTGTTCATAGGCACACTACTCACAATAGCCAAAATGTGGTAACAACCCCTATGCCCATCAACTGATGAATGGATAAACAAAATTTAGTATATCCATACAATGGAACATTATTCAGCCATAAAAAGCAATGACGTATTAATACATGCTACAACATGGATGAACCTTGAAAACATTATGCTAAGTGAAAGAAGCCAGAAAGAAAAGGCCACATATTGCATGATTCCATTTATATGAAATGTCCATGGGCAAATCCAGAGAGATAGAAAGTAGATTATTGTTTGCCAGGAGCTAGGGGTAAGAGAATGAGGAGCGGGTATGGGGTTTCTTTCAGGCGTAATAAATATGTTCAGAGATTAGATCATGGTGATGGTTACATGGCATTATGCTAAAAAAAAAAAAACTAAACTCAATACTTGAAAGTGGTTAAAATGGTGATTTTTATGTTATGTAAATTTTACCTCCATTTCTTCTGTTTTTTTTTTTTTTTTGAGACAGTCTCACCCAGGCTGGTGTGCAGTGGTGCTATCTCAGCTCACTGCAAGCTCCGCCTCCTGGGTTCACGCCATTCTCCTGTCTCAGCCTCCCAAGTAGCTGGGACTACAGGCGCCCACCACCACGCTCGGCTAATTTTTTTTAGTAGAGACGGGATTTCACCATGTTACCCAGGATGGTCTCGATCTCCTGACCTCGTGATCCACCCACCTCGGCCTCCCAGAGTGCTGGGATTACAGGCGTGAGCCACTGCGCCCCACCTTTTTTTTTTTTTTTTTTTGAGATGGAGTCTTGCTGTGTCACCCAGGCCAGAGTGTGTGGCACAATCTCGGCTCGCTGCAGCCTCTGTCCCCTGGGGTCAAGTGATTCTCCTTCCCCAGGCTCCTGAGTAGCTGGGATTACAGGCAAACACCACCACACCTGGCTTTTTTTTTTTTTTTTTTTTTTTTAGTGGAGACGGAATTTTGCCATGTTGGCCAGGCTGGTCTCAAACTCCTGACCTCAGGTGATTCACCTTCCTTGGCCTCCCAAAGTGCTGGATTAAAGGCATGAGCCACAATACCTGGCCCATTTCTTCTTTTTTTAATTTAAGAGAAATAAAAAATAAATGGCAGGTCAAGATTTGTTTGCTTGTAGAATCAGTGTTCCCAACAATAAAAGGAATCAAACTCTTGACTCCCTGCCATAAGATTCCTGCTAAACCCCTGGTTCTGTTTGTAATTTTGTTGTTGTTGTTGCAGTTGGAAGATGTCATATTTAACCATGTCATGACTTTTGTATTAGTCCATTCTCACGCTGCTATGAAGGAGTACCCAAGCCTGCATAATTTATAAGGGAAAGAGGTGTAACTGACTCACAGCTCTGCAGGGCTGGGAAGGCCTCAGGAAACTTACAATCACAACGGAAGGCACCTCTTCACAGTGTGGCAGGAGAGAGAATGAGTGCCAGCAGAGGAAATGCCAGACACTTATAAAACCGTCAGATCTCATGAGACTCAATATCTCGAGAACAGCATGGGGGAAAACCATCCCCATGATTCAATTACCTCTACCTGTTCCTGCCTTTGACAGGTGAGGATTATAGGGATTACAATTCAAGGTGAGATTTGGGTGGGGACACAAAGCCAAACCATATCAACTTTGATCACCCATGGCTGTCTCTTTCCTGCTTCATGGGGGCAGGGGCAGAGTCCAGATCCTAAAGTCTATCACAGTGCCAAGGAAATACTGAAAATAGTGAGACGTCAACACTTAGAGAAGTCATGGAGACAGCCAGTTAACAATTGACCTAGGGAGGAAATAAGACAACCTTTATTTCTGTCCACACCTAGTGGTCCCTGTTTGAGTAACAATATGAGTAGAAAAAAAAAAAAAGAAAACTCCCTAAAGCACATGAAACACAGAAAAACAATCTGGATTCCCTCTTTTAAGGCATCAGGACTGAAAAAGAAAACCTCCCTGATCAGGTGCAATGAATGCCAAGGTTACCAAAGGGAAATCACGCTGATTTTTGAAATGTGAAGACTCATCCACTCAGAACACCAGGAGCTCTTAAAAGCAGAAGGAGCCATTTCCATGAAGGAATCAGGCAGCCTTTCAGGGGTTCTGATGACAGAGCTTGGAATGCTGATTTCAGAGCAAGTAGGAAAAAAAACAAAAGCCAAAACTATACTTCACCACCTGACATGTCACCCTTTTCCTCAGGCGTGGCTAAGCCCCCGCTCTCAGATTCTCAGACACTTAACTCATCTTTTTCCTTCACCACTGTGAAAATACATCTTGGGGCGTGGGCTACAGTTTTAGCCATATCAGAATCTCCCAATTGCTCAGAGTCTCCTTGGGGTTCAGCCTGTGACCTTTTGGTTCTATACCTGGGTTCTGTCCCGCAGCTGCCTGCAGTTCTTCAACCATTCATGTCCCTGGGTGTTTGCAAAGAGGCACCATTCCAGTTGGCTAACTCCTATTCCTCTGCCAAGACTCAGCTGAGAATTCCTCCCTGGAGAGAAGTCCTTCCTGATCGCTAGGCCAGATGAGACCACTGCCTCTCCATTAACTGCATTCTAGAGGCCACTCCATTATAGTCTACCTCTATTTCCTACCTTTTCCCCACACATGACTATGAACGCCCTGAAGGCAAAGGATCTCTGAGTGGACTGCCTTTATTTAAATCAATAAACCCTCTAGGGCATGTTTCTTCTCTGTAAAATAAGGGGATTGGGCAAGATCATTGATATGATCTAAATAAAGCCCACAGAATATTTATCTTACTTAAGCAAGCTTTTTTTCTTTCTTTCAAGAGACAAGGTCCTGGCTGGGTATGATGGCTTATGCCTGTAATCCCAGCACTTTGGGAGGCCGAGGTGAGCAGATCACTTGAGGCCAGGAGATTGAGACCAGCCTGGCAAACATGGTGAAACCCCATCTCTACTAAAAGTACAAAAAAATTAGCCAGGCATGGTGGTGCGCACCTGTAGTCCCAGCTTCTTGGGAGGCTGAGGCAGGAGAATCACTTGAACACAGGAGGCAGAGGTTGCAGTGAGCCAAGATCACGCCACTGCACTCCAGCCTGAGCGACAGAGTGAGACTCCATCTCAAAAAAAAAAAAAAAGAGAGAGATAAGATCTTGCTCTGTCACCCAGGCTGGAGTGCAGTGGTGCTATGATAGCTCACTGCACCCTTTAACTCCTGGGCTCAAGAGATCCTCCCACCTTAGCCTCCTGAGTAGCTGGGACTACGGTCATATGTCATCATGCCTGGTTGTTTTGTTATTTTTGTTTTGTTTTGTTTTTTGTGATGGAGTCTCGCTGTCTCCCAGGCTGGAGTGCAGTGGCGTGATCTCGACTCACTGTAACCTCTGCCTCCCGGGTTCAAGCAATTCTCCTGCCTCAGCCTCCTGAGTAGCTGGGACTATAGGTGCGTGCCACCACACCTGGCTGAGTATTGTATTTTTAGTAGAGATGGGGTTTATGCCTGGCTAATTTTTTGTATTTTTAGCAGAGATGGGGTTTCACCGTGTTACCCAGGATGGTCTTGATCTCCTGACCTCATGATCCACCCGCCTTGGCCTCCCAAAGTGCTGGGATTACAGATGTGAGCCACCACGCCTGGCTGCCTGGCTTTTTTTAATATAATTTTTTGTGGAGATGTGGTTTTGCTATATTGCTTAGGCTGGTCTCAAACTCCTGGCCTCAATCAATCTTCCCACGTCAGCCTCCCAAAGTGCTGGGATTGCAGGCATGAGCCACCATGCCCAGCCTAAATGAGCATTTTTTTTTTTTTTTTGAGACGGAGTTTCACTTTTGTCACCCGGACTGGAGTGCAGTGGTGCCATCTCGGCTCACTGCAACCTCTGCCTCCCAGGTTCAAGTGATTCTCCTGTCTCAGCCTCCTGAGTAGCTGGGATTACAGGCACCCCTGCGACCACGCCCGGGTAGTTTTTGCATTTTTAGTAGAGACAGGAGTTTTGCCATGTTGGCCAGGCTGGTCTCAAACTCCTGACCTTTGGGAGGCCGAGGCAGGCGGATCACCTAAGTGCTGGGTGAGCCACCACACCCAGCCTAAGCAAGCATTTTAAATTGAGAAAGTTTATATTAACATCTTGAATTCTAGGCTGGGCTCTGTGGCTGATGCTTATAATCCCAGGGCTTTGGGAAGCCGAGGTGAGTGGATTGCTTTGAACTCAGGAGTTTGAAACCAGCCTGGCCAACAGGGTGAAACCCCATCTCTACAAAAATTAGCCAGCCATTGGTAGCTCACACCTATAGTCCTAGCTACTAAGGAGGATGAGGCAAGATAATTGCTTGAGCCCAGGAAGCAGAGGTTGCAGTGAGCTGAGATCGTGCCACTGCACGCCAGCCTGGGTGACAGAGTGAGGCCCTGTCTCAAAACAAAACAAAAAATCTTGAATTCTGTCTTCTCTTGAAAACTCAGAGGAGTGTGATGAAATGGGGCCCACATTCATGGATGGAACAGCTGGCTGCTCCTTTTGAAAGGGGCAAGGCCAGGCATGGTGGCTTACACCTGTAATCCCAGCACTTTGGGAGGCCGAGGTGGGTGGATCATCTGAGGTCGGGAGTTAGAGACCAGCCTGACCAACATGGAGAAACCCCATCTCTACGGGGAAAAAAAAAATAATGATAATAATACAGGCTGGGCGCAGTGGCTCACGCCTGTAATCCCAGCACTTTGGGAGGCTGAGGCAGGCAGATCATGAGGTCAGGAGTTTGAGACCAGCCTGGCCAATATGCTGAAACCCTGTCTCTACTAAAAATACAAAAATTAGCTGGGTGTGGTGGCACACACCTGTAGTCCCAGCAACTCAGGAGGCTGAGGCAGAAGAATTGCTTGAACCCGGGAGGTGGAGGTTGCAGTGAGCCAAGATCGCACCATTACACTCCAGCCTGGGCAACAAGAGTGAAACTCCATCTCAAAAAAAAAAAAAGAAAAAGAAAAAGAAAGAAAGAAAGATAAAGGGGCACATGCTGGTCCTTCACTCATTTAGACTTCCGTAGGCAGTGGACTTGAGCTCCCTGGTTAGACTCCTTCTTCAGCTCCAAGTCTGAAGGCCTACTACCCCATGATTACAATTTCTCTTCTTCATCCTCTATCCAGACAACATCCTCACCATTTTTGTTTTTGTATTGATAATAGCCAATGAACTAAGATATTCAACTTTTCTTGTTTGTTTGGACTTTTTTGGTTTGGGGGGGTTTGTTTGTTTTTACTTTCCTTGCACTTTAAGGCAGTAGACCCAGCCTCCCTGCCTAGTTCCTAAACAATTTATCACCAGATAAGATTTAATCATCCTTAGAAAGAATTAATGCCACCTTCTAAATGCATTATTGCTTTTAGGTTATACAAAAAACCCTCCTGTTTCTCAGCACTAAACTGGGAACAGCAAACTCCAATTTCAAAAGCACATTTCAATGGTAATCCAAATGCATGTGGACTTTTAAAAAGTATACATCAAATGCTTGAGCAAATCCTGCCTATATAACCATTTAAGCAATTTCAAATACATTTCCGTTGCATAATTATGCAACGACTGTGGTCATAAAACATGCTGCTGCAAACTTAAGTGAAATCACCACAGATTATTATTTGCAAGAAAAATGCCCAGTTGCAAGGTAGACCTGTCATCAGCTTCTCAGTGGATTTCCATCTTGTCATTTCCCACCAACCAGTTGGCCCCAATCAGTCCACACTCAGGTTGTTGAAAAAGCCACAGAGAACAAGACCCAGCCCAGAGAGGAAACTCAATTAGCATCTAACTGGGGCTGAACAGATTGGTTTATAATGCTGTGGGTTTTGAGCTTGAAAGCAGAAGTCATTATGTTTCTGTATTTTAGGGAAAAAGGACCATTATTTGCCTTCAGGAACCTGCTACTCCTTCTATACTCCCTATTGACAGCGTTTAGAGGAGTAGTCCTCATTCCTGGCTGCACATTAGAAAACAACGCCAATGTCTAGACACCACTGTGGACCAATTCAATCAGACTTTCAGAGACGGGGGCTGGCATCAGAATTTTTAAGTGCCCAGGTGATTGCAATGTACAGCCAGGGTTAAGAACCACTAGTTTGCTAAAATGCATTGGTTCCCAAAGTGTAGTCCTTGAATCAACAGCATCAGCATCACCTGGGAACTTGTTAGAAAAGCAAATTCTTGGGCCTCACCCAAGACCCACTGAGTCAGACCCCCTGGAAATAGGACCCAGCAATCTGTATTTTAACAAGCATTCCAGGTGATTCCGATACATGCATGAATGTGAGACTCACTGAATCAGACCCCTCAGAAATAGAGCCCAGTAATCTGTAGTTCAACAAGCATTCCAGGTGATTCCAATACATGCGTTAATGTGAGAATCACGGAATCAGACCCCCGGAAATAGGGTCCAGTAATCTGTAGCTTAACAAGCATTCCAGGTGATTCCAATACATGCGTTAATGTGAGAATCACTGAATCAGACCCCTCGGAAACAGGGCCCAGTAATCTGTAGCTTAACAAGTATTCCAGGTGATTCCGATACATACGTTAATGTGAGAATCACTGAAGTCTTGGATCTCAGCAGGCTTGGGTTTCCATGCCAAATCCGCCATTTACTAGCTCCATCTCAGCCCTTGTGCAGAATCTGTACCTCCCTCAAATGCAGGATGATGAGGACTAGGACTCTTAGTAGTGGTAGAAGGAAAGAGGAAGGGAAGAAATATTAAGGGTGTAGGATGAATAGACTGGATGAAGGATTGCACGTGTGGGTGATAAGAAAGCAAAATGGAAGGTAACTTCCAGGTTGGACACCTGGATAATATTAGCCAACATTTAATTGAGTGCTGATTTTATTATGTCAGATAGTATATTAAGTGCACAATGTATATCATTGCATTTAATTCCTCATTATCCCCATTTTATAGATGATTTCCCAGCTGAGATTCAGCTTTCACATCTATAAAATGGGCCGAGACTAGGAACACAATGAGAAAGAGACAGAGGAGGAGGGGGGCCCTCCCTGGGACATGAGACTACAAAGTCACCAGAGGCAGGGCCTCTTCTAAGGCAGAGGGTGAGCCCCTGTTGGTCAACTGTGTCAACATTTTTCTCCCTTGGGATTTCATGCTGCATGACAAGTGTGGCCCTGAAATTTTGAGGAAAAGCTTTAGATGGCAGACTTGCTGTCCCTGTGGTAGAGTCCTGAAGCTTCCTGCGTCATTTGCTGGAGCTCAAGGAACGCTTGACACTTAATGAAAATGTCCCTGATCTATCCTCAGGGTTACCACCCAGAAAATGAGAATGCCACATCAGGGGCCTTGGCTAGGAGCCTCTGTTTCCCAATGAAGCCCGATCTGTGTATTCATTAAGCAGTGCTTTCAGATAACTCAAGCTGGAGGGGAAACTGGAGAACACTTGTGTCCTCTGTCTTCTCCTTGAAGGGCGTGATTGCCCATCTTGAGAAACAACTCCTTATTTGTCCTGCTTCTCTGTGGGTGGCTATACCAAAATGGTCCCTCCAGGCAACAGTCACATGGCTGGAATATGCAAGAAAAGCATATTAGAATCAGAGGCTTGGTGACACATGAAACATGGCCTCATGATTGCCACACTTCGTCCCTGCCAATGGCCCCACAGTATCCCTCATGCTCTTCAGTCACACTCCCGCCCTTAGGCCTCTCTGCCAGCCACCGCCTCTGCCTGGCTCATGTGTGCTCCAGAGGGGGCAACCTCCTCATGTCCTTCACAGCTTTGCTCAGAGGGAAGCCTTCACTGAGCCCCTCCTTGACTATCCCGTTTAAACTGCAGACTCCCCATCTCCCTCCCTCATTGCTCTGCACTTTTATCTGTATTACCTTTTAGGTCAGTATTTCTCAAACTTGAGTTGCATTAGAATCACCTGGAGGGACTGTTAAAACACCGACTGTTGGGCCCACCCCCAGAGTGTCTGATTCTAACAAGTTTTCTTGTTAGATGCTGCAGATCCAGGGACCTCACCTTAAGAGCCAAAGCACTCGCATACCACACACCTTGTTAGAGTGCAAGCCCCATGAGGGTAGGGACTTTATTTTGCTCACTGATGAATCCCAAGAGCCTAAGAGAATATCAGCCTTAGAGCAGATGCTCAATACCTATGCTTTCATTTTCATAGAATAGAGACAGTGTCTTGCTATGTTGCCCAGGCCAGTCTTAAACTCCTGGCCTCAAGCAATCCTCCGGCCTTGGCTTCCTAAAATTCTGGGATTACTGGTGTGAGCCCCTGTACCCGGCCTCAATATATACACTTTGTTGAATGAAATGCACCATAATGGTGGGTTTGGTCTTGAACACAGACAGGGCTGTCGGACTACCAAGTGCAAAGTCCACCATTTCCTAGCTATGGCCTTGGGCAGGTTATATAACCTTTTGGAGCCTCAGTTTCCTCATTTATAAAGTGGGTATAATCATGACCTACTACCAAATTTGTGGAGTCCAGTGCAAGATGGAAATGCAGCACATAGTAGTTCATTCTCACACTGCTGTAACAATATACCTGAGACTGGGTGATTTATAAAGGAAAGAGGCTTAAATGACTCACAGTTCTGCATGGCTGAGGAGTCCTCAGGAAACTTACAATCTTGGCAGAAGGCAAAGGGAGAAGCAAGCACCTTCTTCACAAGGCAGCAGGAAAGAGAGAGAGAACGCGAGGGAGGAAACGCCACACTTTAAAGCCATCAAATCTCGTGAGAACTCACTCACTATCGTGAGAACTCACTATCATGAGAACAGCAGCAGGGAGACTGCCCCCATGATCCAATCACCTCCCACCAGGCCTCTCCCTCGACACGCGGGGATTACAATTCAAGATGAGATTTGGGTGAGGACATAGAGCCAAACCACATCACAGTGACAACAGGGCATTAAACAGCGCAGGTGTCCTTCTGAGCACAGGACTCCCTATGAGCACACTGGTTGCGGGCCAGCAAAGCGGGGCAGGGGGCTGGGATTTATAATACATAGTATCTATTTCATGGGACTGCTGTGAAAAGCAAACAGGATAAGGCATGTGGAAGCACCTCACACAGTTCCTAGCACATTGTAGGTACTAAAAAAATATGAACTCCCCTCCATTCATCTAACCTTCATCTTTTGCCCTTCTGTCACCTCTCAGAACAATACATTTTCGTAGCTCCAGAAGCTCTAGTGCCTGCCTTTTTTTTTTGAGATGGAGTCTTGCTCAGTCGCTCAGGCTGGAGTGCAGTGGCACAATCTTGGCTCACTGCAACCTCCACCTCCCGGGTTCAAACGATTCTCCTGCCTCAGCCTCCCGAGTAGCTGGGATTACAAATGCACACCATCATGCCCGGCTAATTTTTGTATTTTTAGTAGAGACAGAGTTTCACCATGTTGGCCAGGCTGGTCTCTAACTACTAAGCTCAAGTAATCTGCCTGCCTTGGCCTCCCAAAGTGCTGAGATTAAAGGCATGAGCCACTGCGCCCAGCCTTCTGGTGCCTGCCTTTAAGGGTGGCCCTTCTGAGAACTCACAGAAAAGCCCTCTGCTACTGTTGACTTGGCTTTGCCAGCTGTTCCTGGGCAGAAGCAAGGACATCTCCCACCAAGAACTCTCTTTAAAATTTTTTTTTAGTAGAGACAGGGTCTTGCTACATTACCCAGGCTGGTCTTGAATTCCTGGGCTCCAGCGATCCTCCTGCCTCAGCCTCCTAAAGTGCTGGGAATACAGGTGTGAGCCACTGTGCCTAGCTCAAAGAATTCTTTGTGGCTACAAAGTCTGGCTGTTCTAGAGAGGAGCAGGCTGGGCAGTGGGAGTTGGGGGGGCCCCTTCCCACACGAGGTAACTAGTCAGGTAGAGCAGGGGAGGAGACGGCTCCCCCACACCACACACACTAGGAGTGATGGGCAACCATCAGGTGATGGTCAGGCAGTTGTTAACTGTTTCTCTAAAATAATAATTGGTCACAGCCAGCGCCAGGGAAAGGCAGTCTCCTAATAGACAGAAAACACCTAAAACTGATCAGCAACTTCCCAATAAGATCTGCAGAGTGGGGAGAAGTAACGCAAGATCCCGGAAGTATGCCAACGTATAAAACCCCAAGTCAAGAGGTCAAGCTGTGCCCTTGATCTCTCAAGTTGCCCACCTGGCCCTCTTCCAAGTGTACTTTCCTTCCTTTCCTTACTGCTCTAAAGTTTTTTAATAAGCTTTAACTCCTGCTCTAAAACTTGCCTCAGTCTCTCCTTCTTTCTTATGTCCTTCAGTCGAATTCTTTCTTCTGAGGAGGCAAAAACTGAGATTGCTGCAGACCCGTATGGATAACTACCACTGGTAACAGCCCCCATGCCCAAGAGTGGTATGGCCGGCACCAGGACTGCCCCCCTTAGATGACTGAGTGATCACGGTGACCAGCCATAGCATGAGCACGTCCCATCCAGAGCTTGTGATTGCTCCTCTCACCCACCTGAGGGGACAAACAGAACAATTATTTTTGGAACTGCAGGGCATCCCTTTCTATGACTTCACTAGCTGTGTTAGCTTGCTTCACAGGCTGAAATAAACAGACCTGGCAGAAATGACTGGTCTCTCCACAAGTGCTGGGGTGGGAAGTAGGGAAAGGAGAGGAGCCTGCCCCTCATGCGTGAACCTGAATCCTGTGGGCTGTGGACACCTACCTGGCCACAAAGCAAAGAGCCAGAGTCAGGGGCTCTGACCACTTCGGGGTCTCTGCAAACCAAGATAGGACACTGAGCCTCTTGCAATGTACACATGCTAGCACTACAGTGGGAGGGAGGCAGCGGGGAGTGGGTCCATGCGAGTCCCAACTATAAAATCCACACAGAAGATATGGTCACATTTCCCAACGGCCTCTCCCTATGTCTCCTCTTAGATCTTTTTTTAAAAAATCAACTCCCCTGGTAAGTAATGTAATTCAACTTGTAAAACATCCATTTGTGCTTAGCCTTTCAGATGAGCAACACCTATGCCGGAAGTTGTGTTCATTCTCATATACCTGTGATACATGTACACAGGTCACACATCATGGGAGCAAATAACTTCTGATGACAGAGGCTCCGCTTGTCGGGTACCACAAGGCTTCCCCTCTGTGCCCAGCAGGGTCTGGTTCGAGTCCTAGGATGGCACTTCCTGCCTATGTGGTCCTGTGCAAGTGGCTTGTCTTTCTGCTCTGCCTTTTTCTCTTTTGTCCACAGAGGAGTCATGAAGATTAGAGGTAATGAACATTAGCAAGGTGCCTAACACAGGGGAAGGTCTAATAATAGCGAATTTACAAGGTTGTTGGAATGGTTGCACGAAGCAGCAGATGTGCCTGGCCCATGGGAGCTGCCCAAAAAGTGAAGGCAGCTGAGGATCCCGGGTTAGATATCCACACGGCTTTCCCAAGATCCTACAGGACTCTCTGTCACATGCGACCACTTCCTTCCCCCTCATTTTTCCCCTCTGGCTCTTCCTTTCTTGGTTTAGTTTTCCCTTCCATGACCTCATTGACAGAGCTAGTCAGATTGGAGGCATCCTACCTCCAAAGCCCCTGCCCCGGCAGCTGGAGGGTAATGTGGAGGAGATGGGGTACAGAGGCTCCTGAGAGAAAGCAGTGTCTCCGTGGAATTTTCCTATCAGATATGGTCGCAGTGGGGCACGAGGGGGCTGCCCAGCATGCTATTCAAACTTGGACATCTCTGCAAAATGCTGCATTCACAGAGGGATACCAAATAGATCGAAAGAAGAGGATATTCATCCTACAGTTTTAAACGTATATTTTCCCTCATGCATTGCTATACGAGTGGTAACTGGTACAACCACTTCAGAAAACTAAACATACGCATACCCCAGCCAAGAGAAATGGGTGCATATATCCACCAAAAAAAAGAGTGTCCAAGAATGTTGACAGCATTTTCCTCCTAATAGCCCCAAACTGGATGCAACCCAAATGCCCATTTCAGCAAGAGAATGGGGAATATATTGCAGCATAATCACGTAATGGAATTCTACTCAACAATAAAAAGAATAAACCACTGCCATATGCAAAAACATAGGTGATTTCACAGACATTATGTTCAGAGAAAGATACCAAGCACAAAAGAATATACACTGTATTCTTCCATTTATAGGAAATCCAAGAACAGGTAAAACCAATCATTAGGTGATAGAACCCATAACGGCACTGACCTCTTCGGGGGTACTGACTTTGAAGGGGGGTGAGAGAAACTTCTAGGTGCTGTAAATATCCTGATGTCGGTAGTGGTTATGGAGGTATATACATATATAAAAAGCAAGTGGAACACCTAAGATCAGTGCACTTTCCCCATACTTCGTGCATTATACCTCAATGAAAACTAAAAAATAATTATATTCTATAGGGAAAAACTCTCTCCAGCCACATTTTTCCTCAGCTGTCACACCACAGCAATCAACACAGAATTTTTATGACCAAAGGTATGTGTGTTTCTTCCCCACACACCAAGCAGCGGACCCCAGGGGGGTGTCCTCCAATTCAGTTCAGACACTACGATAGCGTCAGCTCCCACAGGCTGAGGGCTTAGTCCCCGTGACTGCCCTCCAGCACACACCAGTGGCAAGTCCAGGCCTCTGAAACTTCTGACTGATTGGCTTCACAATTGCCCCCACCACCCTCTTTGTGTTCAATTAATTTGCTGGAGCAGCTCACAGAACTCAGGGGAACACTCGCATTTACCAGTTCATTATGAGGAATATCGCAGCCAGGCACAGTGGCTCACGCCTGTAATCCAAGCACGTTGGGAGGCCAAGGTGGGCAGATCACTCGAGGCCAGGAGTTCGAGACCAGCCTGGCCAACATGGTGAAACCTCGTCTCTGCAAAAAATACAAAAATTAGCCAGGCGTGATGGCGCATGCCTGTAATCGCAGCTACTCAAGAGGCTGAGGTGGGAGGATGGCTTTAGCCCGGGAGGTAGAGGTTGCAGTGAGCCAAGATCACACCACTGCACTCCGGCCTGGGCACAGAGCAAGACTCTGTCTCCAAAAAAGGATATTGCAAAGGATACAGATGAAGAGATGCATAGGGTATAGGAGAAAGGGCGTGGAGCTTCCATCCCCTCCCTGGGATACCAGGCTTCACACGTTCAGCTATCCGGGAGCTCCCCCAACCCAGTCCTCTTGGGTATTTATGGAAGTTTCAAAGCATTTTCCCCCCAGGGTACAGGGTGGGACCCTCTCTGAAGAAAGCCTTAAGACCCACAATCAGAAAGGCAGGGGAAGTTGAGGCTGGGTATAGTGGTTCATACCAGTGATCCCAACACTTTGTGAGGCTGAGGCGGGCGGATCACCTGAGATCAAGAGTTCAAGACTAGACTGGCCAACATGGTGAAACTGTGTCTCTACTAAAAATACAAAAATTAGCTAGCCATGGTGGTGGGCACCTGTAATTCCAGCTACTCAGGAGGCTGAGGCAGGAGAATTACTTGAACCCAGGAGGCAGAGGTTGGAGTGAGCTGAGATTGCGCCACTACACTCCAGCCTGGGTGACAAAGCGAGACTCCATCTCAATAAAAAAAGAAAATGAGAGTCCTATCTTGAGTTAGGTGAATGGAGGGCAAGAGAGAGATTCTGTTTCCTGAAGCCTGCCCCTGAGGCCTAATACACCCAACATTATAAGTAAAGGCTGTAACAGGGGCTATGGGAGATATGAAGCAGAAGCCGTGGACAACAGCCCATCTATATCATAACACCACGTATTCCATTACCGGGTTCTACTGTGTATGTGAGCTGGGAATGAATAAATCCAGTAACTGTCTTGGGAAAAGCACATTTATATTGCATCTTATTTGTTTTTATAATAATGGCCTTGATTTTAAACATGCACACATTTGAAGCACACCACAATTTTTGCAATCCGTTTTGACATTTCTCCATTGTTTAATAAACCAAAGCTTAAAGAAAGGACAATGTTCTGGCCCTCTCTGAACCTCCAGGAGGCCCCATCATGAACATAGCCACAGGATGGGCAGAGACAGGGAGGAGTCCAGAGGGGCTGTGTTCTCCACAAGACACAGCCTGGAGGTGGGGTGGGGCTTCGCCAAGTGCCAGCCCTCGGGGGCACCGATGAGGCAGAAGATGGGCTGGGGCACCCAGTCTTGGCTTGAGCCCTCTCTGCCTGCTGCTCAGAAGGAACCTGCAGCAACCCAAGCTTTCTAAAGCCCAGGCTGTGCCATTCTTTTTCATAGCTGTCAGGGCGGTATAAAGCACATTGCCTGGGCCAAGGTGCTTTTGTCCCCCTGGAAAAGAGGGCTGGAAGCTGGAAGACAGCCAGGGAACTGCCCAAAGGGGTAGTCAGGGCCAGCTTCCTGGGCATCTGTCCTGTGCAGTCACACAGGGCCTCATACTGAGAAGGGCTCCACAGTTGGTTAATACTCTGCCGTCACAGTCTTAACACTTTTTTTTTTTTTTTTTTTGAGACGGAGTTTCACTCTTGTTGCCCAGGCTGGAGTGCAATGGCGCGATCTTGGCTCACTGAAACCTCCAACTCTCGGGTTCAAGCGATTCTTCTGCCTCAGCCTCCTGAGTAGCTGGGATTACAGGCATGTGCCACCACACCTGGCTAAGTTTTGTATTTTTAGTAGAGACGGGGTTTCGCCATGTTGACCAGGCTGGTCTTGAACTCTTGACCTCAGGTGATCCACCTGCCTTGGCCTCTCAAAGTGCTAGGATTACAGGCGTGAGCCACCATGCCCGGCCTACATTATTTTTATTTTTAATTTTTTAGTTTTTTATATTTAAAAGATAGAGACGGAGGTCTCATTATGTTACCCAGGCTGGTCTTGAACTCCTGGGCTCAAGCGATCCTCCCACCTCAGCATCCCAAACTGCTTCAGCCACTGCACCCAGCAGTCTTAAAGTCTTAATCTTTGTTGAACAAGAGGCCCTGCAGTTTCATTCCCCTCCCACTCCCCACAAACGTAATGGTCAGTCCTGGAGTAGCAGACTGTGGCATTAATAGCCTATGTCTGGAGTCGGGGTTCTATTCCCAGCTCTGCCCCTTGCTGCCGGGGCATCTTGGTCAAGCCATTTAAGCTCCATGCCTCAGTGCCCTATCTGTAATATGGGGGTAACAGCTATACCCGTTCAGAAGATGTTAAGAGAATCAAATCAGCCTTCAGCTCCCAGCTTGGCACATTACAAAGTACTCAATGAAGCTCGGTGATTAGCGCTAAGATGATTGAGGGCGGATTACAGAGGCAGTACTCTTGCCTGGACCTGCCTCAGAAATGCCTTTTCTAAAGGCAGGAGCAAAAGAAAGAAGCTTTGGGATTAACTCTTCCAAAATAGCAAATGTTCTCTCTTCAGCATTAGGGCTAACACCAGTGGCATTATTACACCCCAGGAAAAATGTGTCCTCATCAAGTCACAAAAGCCTGGTTTCAACCCACAGAGGGAACAACAACAAAAACGTCTGAAATGCTGAAAAAGCCAAGAGCGTCGGGTACACGTTATCCAGCCCATCTTTGATTTGGGAGTTCACTGAAGCATGACTGATGCATGGTTATCTTGGGTCCTATATGTCTCTTCCGTAAATAGACTTTTGTTACAAGAAAAAAAATGGACTGACTTGGAAAAACAGAAAGAAACACAAGGAGCAGCGAGACTTTTTCCCTTCTCACAAAATGGACAGGTCTGAGAACTCCCAGGATCCTGGCTGTTCACAGATCAATTAACCTCCTGTAGCCTCAGTTTCTGCCCTTGTAAATGGGGAGTATGCAGGAGTGATGAGGAACACAGATTCTGGAGACAGACTCCCGGGGGCATCTTAACAATCTCACTTACCGGTTGTGTGGCCTGGGACACACACTAGGCTTCTGTGCTTCTGCTTCTACCTCCTGTAGAAGCTACAGTACCTACCTCCTGGGGTCGTTGGGAGGGTGAAGCAGGATAATATACATAAAGCGTAAGGAATGGTGCCTGGCCCAGAGTAAGTCCGCAATAAATGTTAGCTGCAGACCATGAACCTAAATCCCCCAGCTGCAGTTGTGCTGAATAATGGGAGAAGTAGTCGTAGCAGTTGTTGCTATTGTTATTTAAACTGCCGCAGGACCTCTGATCTTGTGACTTCAGGTTCCTTCTGCATATGCCTCCAAAATGTAGGAGACCCTTAAGGAGCATCAGCGATTGGTCAAGGCCTAGGGATAAGCTAAACTCAGATGAGATCTTCCCAACCTTCCCCACCCAGAGGACCATGATCATAGGCCTCAGAGTCATTTTAATGTCAGAGAAGAAAAGAACCAGCTGGGCGCAGTGGCTCACGCCTATAATCCCAACACTTTGGGAGTACGAGGCAGGCAGATTGCTTGAGCCCAGGAGTTCAAAACTAGCCTGAGTAACATGGCAAAGCCCTGTCTCTACTGAAAAAAAAAATGCAAAAATTAGACAGGCATGGTGGCACATGCCTGTAGTCCCAGTTACTCAGGAGGCTTAGGTGGGAGGATCACCTGAGCCCAGGAGGTCGAGGCTGCAGTGAGCCACTGCACTGCAGCCTGGGACACAGAGTGAGACTCAATCTCAAAAAAAAAAAAAAAAAAAAAAGAATCTTGTAGGTCAGCACGTCCACATTCCTCATTTATAGATGAGGAACTAAAGCTCAGAGAAGGCAAGTGACCTGCTCAAGGTCACACAGAACAGGAGCTGAGCTAGGAAGACAGCTCAGAGTTCATGACTTTGCACATCCGTTCCCTTCCTGTTCCCGCTTACAGCTTATTCTGTTGGAGTCCCTGGCCCCTCACAAGGTCCCCCGACCTCTCTATCTCCCAGGTGAGCATCTGTCAGGTTATGGACTCATCTAATTATTGGCCACATCCTACTAGAGACCCATTTTTCTTACTGAATCAGGCCACCATTAGGTCCTGAAAGCCCCATAAAGTCTTCTACGGATGAGCAGATCCTTTAATCTATTATTCCCGAGTCCTATTTATATATATTTATCCATATGGCTATATAAATAGGGCTTTGAGATGTATACGTGGCAGGTTATTGCTGTAGCATAGCTGTTCTCCCCAAGAGGAAAACAAAAATGATGTATGGCAGAAGCTCTTTTCCATGCAGAAAGCTCCTGTCTGATTTATTAAGAGTTAGGTTGCAGTCACATGCTCTGAAGTAGTGAATCTATTGCAAAGTTATCTAAGAGCAGGACACTCTCAGCTCCAGAAGCCAAAACAGCAAGTCTAGGGTGTGGCAAGAGCTCAAAGAATCTTACAGCAGTCACTCGCTAGGTACTTGCCATATCCCACGGTATTAACTAGGATTCCTTTGGTTGCAAGTTTAAGCAAAAAAGGGAAGCTTGTTATAAGGATATTGGGTGTCTCCAGGAACTCAAGGAGAGGCATGGGGCTGGGTCTCAAAATGGCTACAGATGCTTCTCTCTTATGCATCTCTGCCTTTCTCTGGTCCTTAGCTCCATTCTTCCCTCTTGCTCCAGATTATCATTCTCCATATGGAAGAAAACATGGCAGCCACCAGCTCCCAAGTTTTGCCTCTTACAGTTTCCACGAGCTGACTTTGTACTTTCTCTGGTCCCAAGTACAAGGAATGGAATCCAAGTTCCCCGTGTGGCTCAAGGGTCAGGAGCAGGGTCACGAACCCAGAGCAGCTGCTGCAGGAAGCATTCAATGAACTGGGTGTGGGCAGGAACAGTTCCCAGACAGTGTGGGAGAATTTTGTGTGTCATCAGACAAAGCAACCCGAATGCTTTTTCTCTATACTCACTGTGTGGACTTGGAAAAGGCACTTAGCCTCTCTGGGCTTCAGCCTCCTTCAGTGTAAAATTGGGATAATGGTGTGCTCCATAAAGGCAGTAGTTTTTTATTGTTTTGTTCACTGATATATCCCCAGTGCCTAATCAATGCCTGGAACATGTTTATGTTTAATAGATATCTATTGAATAAATAAATGAAGCTGGGCACAGTGGCTCATGCCTATAATCCCAGCACCTGCTTGTTGGGAGGCCAAAACAGGAGGATCTCTTGAGCCCAGAAGTTCAAGACCAGCCTGGGCAACATAGCGAGACTCCATCTCTACAAAAAATTTAAAAATTAGCCAGGTGTAATGGCGCATGCCTGTGGTCCCAGCTACTCTGAAAGCTAAAGTGGGAGGATTGCTTGAACCTAGGAGGTTGCGGTTGTGGTGAGCCATGTTTGTGCCACTGAACTGCAGCCTGGGTGACAGAGACAGACTCTGCCTCAATAAATAAATAAATAAATAAAATACATAAATGAATGATAACTCTGTTATTAAGATGGTTGGGAGGATTAACTGAAATAAGAAAAAGAGCTAACATTTAAAAACACTTAGGTGCCAGGAGCTGTTCTAAGCATACAACATTAATATATAGAAGACACTTCGAACAGTGCCTGGTGCATGTGTGCCCACGTAAGAGAAAACTAGGGTTCAGGAAGCAAGTAACTCGCCCGAGGTCATTAGCTAGCAAGTGGCAGAAGCAGGATTCAAATCCAGGGCTTTCTGAAACCACTATGCTCTCTTCCCCCTTCACTGACGTTCTGTAGTCCAATATTTTCCAACCCTGGGTTGTGACTGTGGGGTGGGGAGATGGGGGGAGGGTGAATAAACATAGGGTATGGAGTATGAGTCCATATGTGTAAAAAGCGTTGTGGATAAACTGAATAAATATACTGATCACAGATACATGCAGAGCCATTTCAAAATGTCTTACATATTACAGTGTTTAATGAAATACAAATTAATAATGTAAATTATTACTGAATTCAGAGTCACCTAGGATCAGGTATTTTCTCAATCAGCAAATACTACAACTACATCTGCTATTATGGAGGAGGTTTGTGAAATTGTAATTAAAAAAAAAAAAAACATTCAAAGGGCCAGGTGCAGTGGCTCACACCTGTAATCCCAGCACTTTTGGAGGCTGAGGCAGGTGGATCACCTGAGGTCAGGAGTACAAGACCAGCCTCACCAACATGGTGAAACCCAGTCTCTATTAAAAATACAAAAATTAGCTAGGCACGGTGGCACACGCCTGTAATCCCAGCTACCTGGGGGACTGAGGCAGGAGAATCACTTGAACCCGGGAGGTGGAGGTTGCAGTGAGCCAAGATTGCACCATTGCACTCCAGCCAGAATGACGAGACCAAAACTCTGTCTCAAAAAAAATACAAAAGCAAAAACAAACAAACAAAAACACTCAAATTATGAACCTCTGAGCTACGCCTACCTCCTCATGTCACAAATAAGGACAGTCAAAGTCACTCAAGGTCAAGAAGTGAGCGAGAGCAGACTCAGGGCAAGAACCCAGGTCCTGGGACCATCAAGGTTTCTAGAGTAGAAGGGGAAACTTCCTCCTTCCATTCTGATAGTACCAAGCACCAGTGAGGATGTGGAGCCACAGGGAGCCACTCTCTGCTTATGGAAGGAAAAAAAAATGGTGCTAACTAAATGACCCTCAAGAGAACAGATAGAATGAAGCATGCAATGGCTTTCTATCCGAGCATTTAGGAAAAATAGCCAGTTAAATCCATCCATAGAAATGAATCTCATGGTGGAAATATGACCACCATGGGCTTATCCTCTGCTTGCGAACACTCAGTCCTTTATCCTCTCCAGGCCCCAGTTTTCTTTCTTTCTTTTTCTTTTTTTCTTTTTTTTTTTTTTTGAGACAGAGTCTTGCTCTGTTACCCAGGCTGGAGTGCAGTGGCATGATCTCGGCTCATTGCAACCTGTGCCTCCTGAGTTCAAGCAATTCTCTTGCCTCAGCCTCCCGAGTAGCTGGGATCACAGGCATGCGCCACCATGCCCGGCTAATTTTTGTATTTTTAGTAGAGATGGGGTTTTATCATTTTGGTCAGGCTGGTCTTGAACTCCTGACCTCAAGCAATCCACCCCCATTCGGCCTCCCAAAGTGCTGGGATTACAGGCGTGAGCCACTGCACCTGGCCTCCAGGCCCCAGTTTTCTTATCTGTAAAATGGGAACTGAGGATGAGACCAGTGGTTTTCAGATTGTGTTTGCCAAAGTCCTAGCGATGCTTCACAGGGTCTGCAAACGTTTAATCTAAACATCATCTTTCAAAAATATTTAAAACTATTTTAAAACTAGAGGCAACAACGTGCATATTCTAATGTGCTTTGTTCAAAATGATAACCCCTTGCAGACCAGCGCTGCACTCATGTGGACTATCTGCTTTCCCCATTCTTCTAGAGAACTCGAAATGAGCCTCTCTCGCCTTCTCAGTTTAATTGGTGCATATCCTACGACCGCAAGGCGAGCAGCTGTCAAAATCTGTTGCCATTTTGGACTGCTTAGCTGGGAGAGTCAAGATTTTTTCAATATTGTATCACCAAAGCAAAACATGGCAATAATTTATATGTTGTGGAAGATGCTAATTGTCATCCATAACCGTAATTTCAAATTTGTATTTTTTGTTTGTTAAATCTATTTACTAATGCAATAAGAAATATTTTTTTTTTCCCTGACCAGGAAACAAACTTGGGCTGCACCGGTGAGAGAGGCACCACATCCTAACCACTAAACCTCCAGGGATGCAATATACATTTGTTAAATACACTTTCTCTTTAGGCCAGGCAAGGTAGCTCACACCTATAATCCCAGCACTTTTGGGAGGCTGAAGTGGGTGGATCACCTGAGGTCAGGAGTTCAAGACCAGCCTGGCCAACATGGCGAAACACCGTCTCTACTAAAAATACAAAAAAATTAGCCGGGCGTGGTGACACACATATATAATCCCAGCTACTTGGGAGGCTGAGGCAAGAGAATCACTTGAACCCGGGAGGCGGAGGTTGCAGTGAGCCAAGATTATGCCACTGCACTCCAGCCTGGGCGACAGAGTGGGACTCTGTCTCAAAATAAATAAATAATAAACTTTTTGGGAATAATTTTATATTCACAGAAAACTTGTAAAGATAGCACCAACAGTTCCTAAATACCCCTACCCCACTTTCACTTTTTCCTAATATTACCCACATCCATTACCATTTATCAAAACTAAGAAACCAACAGCGGTATGTCACTTTGAAGTGAACTCTAGATTTTATTCAGATTTCACTTGTTTTTCCACTGATGTCGTTTTTCTGTTCCAGGATCCAATCCAATATATCACATTGCACGTGGTCAACTTTGTATTTTCATCAATCTCGATGTCCTTATTTAATAAGTAAATATTATAAATGTGTGCATGTAGTTTCATGCTAACAAAACATCAATGTTATATGTTTTGTATAATGAAATTCCAGAAAGATTTCTTTGAGGAAAAAAAGAGGGGATCCACTGTACCTTTTTTTTTTAAGTTTGCAAACAACTAGAGGCGCTGTTCCTTAAGGCCTGGGGAGACTCTGACAGCCGTGTGATTCGGTGTCAGCACAGGATCAGGTTGCATCAGGACTTACTAAGTGAGCTAAATGTGCTCATCTCTCAGTATGGAAATTACACATCCTGTTCAGATTGAAATCGCCCTTGGCTATTCATCCTGGAGGGATGGGGACTCTCTTTTCCAATAGAATGAACGTGAAACAAATGTCCATTTATCCACTCATTCTTTTGACAAGTATTTAAGCACCTACTATGTGCCAGGCCCTCTAGGGGTGGGGAATTGTGATGAACAAAGCAGACTACTTACTGCCCTCAGAGAGCTTACAGTCCAATGGGGGAGACAATGATAAACAAGAGAGAAGTAAACTATGCCGTGCAATGGTGACTCCTGCCAAAGAGAAAAGTCAGCCTGGGAAAGGGAAAATTAAAGGGTGGTGGGGTGAAATTTTACTTTATGTAATGTAATTTTAGAGTCAGGGTTTCACTCCGTCGCCCAGGCTGGAGTGCAGTGGTGTGATCATAGCTCACTGCAGCCTCGATCTCTGGGGCTCAAGCGATCCTCCCGACTCAACCACCATGCCCAGCTAATTTTTTTTTTTTTTTTGGAGAGACAGGGGTCTTGCTATGTTGCCCAGGCTGGTCTTGAAGTCCTGGGCTCAAGTGATCCACTCACCTCAGCCTCCCAAAGCACTGGAATTACAGGCATGAGCCACCGTGCCCGGCTGAAATTTTAGGTATAAGGTGGCCACAGCAGGCTTCCTCGAGAAGGCGACTTTTGAGTAAAGGCCTGAAGGAAATGAAGGAGTACTCACCTGAGGGAAAAGCATTCTGGGCAGAGGGAAGGGCACGTGCAAAAGTGCTGGGGCAGGAGTACACCTGTGTGCTTGAGGAACAGCAAAGGGCCAGTGTGGATGAAGGGGATTGAAGGAGAGGGAGAGACTAGTCAGGAGGCGGGGATGGAAACATGGGAGACTGCAGTGAGAAGAGCCTCCTTGAAACAGCTGGGAGGCTTGTGCGGCCCCAGCAGAGGCTGAGACTTTGCAGTGCTCGCTTCCAGGGGAGTGTGGCCATGTGTGCACGTGTGTACCCCTGGGGAGGCCCAGAATGTGCCCTGACCGAGTGGAGAGGCACAGCTGTGTCTGCTTGGAGCGAGCTGAGAGCAGGGCTTGCCTGGGCTCCTGACCAGCTCCCTGAGGCACGGTGTGAGCCTGCCTCCTATGCCCACGCTGCCCTGTGAGGGGCCGATGGGGCAGAGCAGTGAGGAGCCTGGCCCAGAGCAGGAGACTGAGCAGCTTACCTGTGCTGGCAGCAGGTCCTGAACTTACTGGCCCAGGGAGAAATTAACCCTGCAGCTCTTGGAGCACTCCAGAAATGAGGAGAAACTCAGGAAAAGAGAGGAACTTCTTACAATTCATGATATGGGATGTGGGAGGCATTTTCATTTAAATGTTAAACCCAAATGTCCTTCAGCAGGTGGCTGGATTAACAAACTGTGGTACAACCATTCAGTGGAACTCAGCAGTAAAAAGGAAAGAACTATTGATACACAAAGCAAATGAATAAGTCTCAAAAAGTGATGCCGGGTGAAAGAAGCCAAGTAGAATCATACGCCTGATTCCATTTATTTAAAATTCCAGAAAATGCAAACGAATCTCCAGTGATGTAAAGCAGATTGTTGGTTGTCTGGGGGATGGGAGGGAGGGGCAGAAAGGACTACCTAGAAAAAAGTAAACTTGGGGGGTGATGGATATGTTCATTATCTTGATTGTGGTGATGAGTTCACAGATGTGTACATAGGTCAAAACTTATAAAGTTGTATGGCCGGGCGTGGTGTCTCACACCCGTAATTCCAGCATTTTGGGAGGCCAAGGCGGGTGGATAACTTGAGGTCAGGAGTTCAAGACCAGCCTAGCCAACATGGTGAAACCCCATCTCTACTAAAAATACAAAAAATTAGCCGGGCATGGTGGCGGGCACCTGTAATCCCAGCTACTCTGGAGGCTGAGGCAGCAGAATCACTTGAACCCGGGAGACAGAAGTCACAGTGAGCCGAGATTGCGCCACTGCACTCCACCCTACGTGACACAGTGAGACTCTGTCTCAAAAAACAAAAAACTTTTAAAGTTGCATACTTTAAAGACGTACAGTTTATTTTATTCTAATTATACATCAATAAAGTTAAAAAATGTAAATGGCCTATACACTTCAAATACAAGTTAGAGGTGGTCAGAACGGGGAAAGTAAAAGATGTGACTTTATTTTGTGTTCCAAGATATTATTTATATTACATATATTAAAAATATGATTATGTATTCTACATTTTATGTATATATATATGATTACATACTAAAACGTATATTTATACGTGTATTTATATTAAATATATTTGATTTTCTCATTTATATTTTCATATGATTTCATAGATTTATAAATGTCTTATGTTGTGTGTTACATATAATTGCTTGTATGCATTTTTAGATTATGAAAATACTGGAGAGCTGTGTTTATATAGAGAATCCCAGATGTCAGCTGGGGTCTCCTGGCCCCATAAGGTGGGTAGCATTGATTAGACCGCCCATTTCTATTTCCACAGTCCAAAACTATCTCCAAAATTTCTCCAAATTCCAGAGAGCTGAGTTTCTAGACTTCCAGCCTCCCCCAAATCCTGCTCAGCCCTGGGTCTCCTGGCTGTGGCTTTATCTCCACTCTGGTTAAGCATTCATAAATGAGACATCTCTTCCTTTCCCTCCTCGTTTCCTGGCCCGACACCACCTCACCCCCAGCCCCATCTCCAAGCACCTCAAATACAAGGCTGCTACCCGAAACCGAATCGGCACCACAGGGCAAACACCTTAAAAGGGCGCGTGGTATTCCTCAGGCCGCCCTGGCCGGGACTTCCTCCCCTGCGGCCACGCCACCCCAGCCTTCCCTCCCTCCCCATCTCCCCTTCCAGTCCCCTCTCTCCTCTTTGTTCCTCCCTGTGGGATCAGGTTCTTCTCTGCCCCCAAATTCTTCCCTTTTCAGAGCAGCGCAATTCTGCTGGTCCAGAACCTCCTCCCAAACTCTCAGATGCTCGGCAGAACAGAAGGCCCACAGAGAGATAGCTGCAACTGCCAAGAGCTATTTTTTTCTGCCTCCCGCATCTGTAGGTTTGTGACTCTACGCGCCTTCGTAGCCACGTGCATCTGCACGCACGCTTACACGGGGAAGAAATACCCCAAGATGCTAACCCGAAAAGCAGAACCTGGGAATTGGCAGGCTACCCCTCTTGGGTTCCCTCCTCCCCTCCCCACGCCCACGTTCCGGGGCCCTCAGGACTCCTGCCTCGCCCCCTCACTCTCTGAAGTGTCTTTCCTTCCTGTCCCAAACTGTTGCTCTGCCTTCCCACTCTGCCTCAAAGGCCTGCCTTTCCTGAGCGAGTAGCAAGCCAGCCAGTACAAAGGCTGAATAAACAGTCAGTGGAAATTAACTTGAACGTTCAGGGAGAAGAACAAAGACTTTCCATGTGAGCTGGGGAAGGAATCATAATTGCCAGAGAGAGAGGGGCGGCCCAGACGCCCGGTTGCAAGAGACACAAGAAGCTGCGTTGTTGACAGTGGCGGAGACAGACAGGCACGATGCTGATTTGATAAGTGGAAGGGCGAGAATTCTAATGTAATGATGCTGATGGAGAGGGAAATGAGGACTCAGAGCGGAGAGGCAGGTGAGGGGTCCCTAAGGCAGCCAGCTGAGGTCTTTGTGCCTGAACGGGGGATCCCAGCTTCGCACCCTGAGAGCAGGGCCTGGGCAGCAGGTGTTCTGATGGCAGCTGCACCCTGGGGCCATAATTACAGCCAAGGAGCATCCCATGGCGGTTCCAGGGGAAAGTGGAGGGAGGACTGGCAACTGGGTCTCCAGCGTGGGGGAAATGACGGGCCCCTATGGACCTAGAGAGATGGGGTAGCCGCGACTCTGGAAGAACGCATAGAAGCAGACACAGCTGGCCTGCTTGAGATTTCTACAGAGAAGCATTCAGCAGATCTTGTCTTCAGGCCGCAGCTAAGGGACATAAATAATAAAATATAGATTGAGTGCAACCTGGATGCCAGGGCTTCATGTTTAAGTCCTACAATCACCTTTTGAGGCGGCACTATTATTGACCCTAGTTTATAGAGGAGCAAACTGAGGCCCAGAGAAGTGGAGTAACTTCCCGAAGATCACACAGCTCTTAACTGGCACAGCCAACCCAGAACTGTCCAGGCATGTACATTTGCCTTTGCAGGTTGGGAGGTTTCAGCCTTAGTGACACATTGATGTGGTCAGAGATCTAAGGTTCAAGGGTCTAAAGCCTGGCAGGATCCGGCTTTTTCTTCATATCACTCACAAGTATCCTGACAGGCCTAGTCTGCATCCACCAGAGGCTAAGATGGCACCACCTGTCCAAAACCTTCCACGAGTCACAAGGTGCAGAGGAGGTTCCCTGCCACTGGTGTGAGCTGCTCACTGGGTATTCCGCACCCATTTTCTCATCAGACCTTACCTGACCCCAAAGTGGGGTGCTTAGAGGGAATATAAGGAAGGCCCTTTCAAAGGGGCCTGAGATGCTGGAACACACAAGACAAGGATGCAGTCATGGAATTCCCTTTGGGCATCTCACCCTCTGTTAAATGCACCTCTATCTATAGTATTTGCTTGGGGGAAATGGACTTACTTGTTTATTCATTCGACAAAATATTTTTGAGAGCAGATGATGTTCTGGGTCCTGTTTTATATGCTGGGGTTACATAATAAAAAACTACGCCCTGCTCTGGAGGGGCCCACAGTACCAGCAGCTGAATCACAGCAGGCCATGGGAACTGAGGGGCCGCCATTCCACACCTGGGGGGAGGCCAGGGTGAGGGTTCAGAAATTCTTTCTGGAGAAGGGAGCCTCAGAGTGCAGTGTTAGGGGAAAGGCAGGGGGTGGAGGTGGGGAGAGAACGCAGACTTTCTGCAGTTTAGAAGACTGGAAGTGGGGCTTGGTGAGCCAGGAGGCTCTGGTGGCCATGGGGTTCTGGGAGCCTTTCTGGATGGTATTGGAAGCCTCTGTTGGGGGCACTAAGAATGGCTGGTGCCTCTGATCCAGCTGGAAATGGGGATAAAAGAAAGATTCCAGGCCAGGCGCAGTGGCTGACACCTGTAATCGCAGCACTTTGGGAGGCCAAGGTGGGTGGATCACTTGAGGTTAGTAGTTTAAGACCAGCCTGGCCAACATGGTGAAACCCCATCTCTACTAAAAATACAAAAATTAGCCGGACATGGTGGCACACACCTGTAATCCAAGCTACTTGGGAGGCTGAGGCAGGAGAATTGCTTGAAACCGGGAGGCGGAGGTTGCAGTGAGCTGAGATCACACCACTGAACTCCAGCCTGGGCAACAGAGCGAGACTCTGTCAAAAAAAAAGAAGAAAGAAAAGAAAGAAACAGAAAAAGAGAGAGGGAGGGAGGGAGGAAGGAAGGGGAAGGGGAAGCAGAAGGGAAGGGAGGGAAGGAAGGAAAGGAAAAAAGAAAGAAAAGAAACAAAGATTCCAGAGTGTTTCTCTCCCTGCAAGAAATGGAGGAGACTTCCCAGGACCCTTGCTGGGTATCCTGGGGCTGGTCTGCCAGGATCTAAAACATGGGAACCAGCATCTTCCGGAGGGAAGCCACACCAGGCCACCTCCATACCTCCCAGTAATTGACAGGAGGGATGCTCAGGGTCTCCGTTGCTCTCTGAGTCACACCATGTTCTATATGTACGTGGCCTGAGGACACGCTATAAATATTCATGGCTGGAAAAACAAGGTGAGAGTACAGTCATGCTCCAGAAGAAACCACGGAGGGCAACTGGCTTTCACTGGGCAACTTTGCTTCCCGCCTTTAAATGCTAGGTCAAAGCCCGAGGAAGAACTAAACCTTCTAAAACCCAGTTTCCTTAATTTGTTTAACAAAAGACATCTCCATGCTCTGTGGCCTCTTAATTTCCGTAGATGTTAAAGTGCAGAGAATTAAAGAATCAATGGACAATTAAGGAGGCACTGGCAGATTCTGGCCAAGAGCATATTATTTATTTATTCAGCCAGCCATGCTCATTTTTAAAGCGCTAACTTTCCATTTTGTTTCTGACATCAAAAATAAATCAAACTGAACTGTACACGTCATAGCTGAAAAAAATTATTTGCATGATACATTGCCCCTTTGAAGCCTCAGTAGCCATCTGCAAAAGGAATTTTTGTCAGTGTCAAAACAACAACAAAAAGATACGCGTTCATTCCGGCACCAGCTTTTTCTTAGGAAACAGACAGGATTGAAAAAAACAGAAATAAGATTTTAATTCACTAGTGATTTTTCCATGCAGTCTCAAGCTTCTTTTTGATTTCTGAGCATCCATTTTCCTGGGTCATCTAGAGAGGGTTGCAAGATTCTAGTCCATTAACACAGTGGTAGTTTGGTGAAATCTCAACAGGCAGAGACAAGCAGCCAGAGTGGGGACACAGGTTGGCTGAGGGCTCCCTGCAGCACTCAGCCAGCCCCTGTGTTTCTGCTCCTGGTCCAAGACCTTGCCCCTAAGTTGTGGGTCCCCTAGTAACCCCTCCTTTCCCTCTATCCAGCTGACAGCATTGGATATGTCTTACCTAAAAAGGAAAATACAAAATTGCCATCCGATATCTTGTTCCTTAAAGGTTCCCTGATTGGGACAAGCGCTGTGGAATTGTTCTTGCACTGTGACCTTCACTCAGCAGCCCTTCCTCAGTCCACCCTCCCTCACCCCCTCCAGCCCACCCTCCCTCACCCCCTCCAGCCGGCCCACCCTCACCCCCTCCAGCCCACCCACCCTCACCCCCTCCAGCCGGCCCACCCTCACCCCCTGCAGCACACCCACCCTCACCCCCTCCAGCACACCCACCCTCACCCCCTCCAACACACCCACCCTCACCCCCTCCAACACACCCACCCTCACCCCCTCCAGCCCGCCCACCCTCACCCCCTCCAGCACGCCCACCCTCACCCCCTCCAGCCAGCCCATCCTCACCCGCTCCAGCACACCCACCCTCACCCCCTCCAGCCCGCCCACCCTCACCCCCTCCAACACACCCACCCTCACCCCCTCCAACACACCCACCCTCACCCCCTCCAGCACACCCACCCTCACCCCCTCCAGCACACCCACCCTCACCCCCTCCAACACACCCACCCTCACCCCCTCCAGCACGCCCACCCTCACCCCCTCCAGCACGCCCACCCTCACCCCCTCCAGCCAGCCCATCCTCACCCGCTCCAGCACACCCACCCTCACCCCCTCCAGCCCACCCACCCTCACCCCCTCCAACACACCCACCCTCACCCCCTCCAACACACCCACCCTCACCCCCTCCAACACACCCACCCTCACCCCCTCCAGCACACCCACCCTCACCCCCTCCAGCACGCCCACCCTCACCCCCTCCAGCCGGCCCATCCTCACCCGCTCCAGCACACCCACCCTCACCCCCTCCAGCCGGCCCATCCTCACCCGCTCCAGCACGCCCACCCTCACCCCCTCCAGCACGCCCACCCTCACCCCCTCCAGCACACCCACCCTCACCCCCTCCAGCACGCCCACCCTCACCCCCTCCAGCCGGCCCATCCTCACCCGCTCCAGCACGCCCACCCTCACCCCCTCCAGCCGGCCCATCCTCACCCCCTCCAGCACACCCACCCTCACCCCCTCCAGCCGGCCCATCCTCACCCGCTCCAGCACACCCACCCTCACCCCCTCCAGCACGCCCACCCTCACCCCCTCCAACACACCCACCCTCACCCCCTCCAACACACCCACCCTCACCCCCTCCAACACACCCACCCTCACCCCCTCCAGCACACCCACCCTCACCCCCTCCAGCACACCCACCCTCACCCCCTCCAGCCGGCCCATCCTCACCCCCTCCAGCACACCCACCCTCACCCCCTCCAGCCGGCCCATCCTCACCCGCTCCAGCACACCCACCCTCACCCCCTGCAGCCGGCCCACCCTCTATTTCACCGCTTCCTGCTCACTTCTTCCCAAGTTACCCAGAGGCTGATTCTAGGACCGTGATTTTCAAACTTAAGTGTGCATCAGGACAGTGTGTTAAAAGAGTTTGGATTCAGGAGGTCTGGGGGAGGACCTGAGAATGTGCGTTTCTATTAAGTTCTAATAATAAGATCGCTTGGAGGACGGCTGTTCTAACTACTGGGTGCGGGGTGGGGGTGGGGGGAGGTGGAAGGCGGGGAGGACACTTCCAGTAGCTTGTGCTGTGGCGCCATCTAGTGGTCTAAGACACAGTGGCAGCAATCTGTGCTGTGTGCATTGAGTAACCCTGAAATCTAGCCCTCTCCAAGCGCCTTCACCTTTATCATCTCTATTTTTTTAAGTAAGTGTTTTATTGAAGATAAATGATCACTTTTCATACTCTGAACAACCACAAGAGAATGGGATCTTTACAGACTGTGTCCTGCCCAAAGTCCCACAGCGACAGAACTGAGACTGGAAGACGGCTGTTTTAAGGCGAGAAACTTTCAACTGTGCAAATAGACTTTGGTATTTGTCCTCGGGATACTTCCAGCCTAAGGCAAGACATTGGAAGACAGCAACACAGCCACCCAGATTACACAATAATTAAACCCTAACTTAACCAAAAACTTAGTCCCGAACACTTCCTAGCAGCCAAGTCAACGTAGGAAACAAGGATTCCATCAATTCACAACCTAAAGCAAGGGAGCATGCCTGTTTATGAGTAAAATCAAATGGTCCCTAGTTATAGGAGCAGTGGGCATGAGTTTAGCCTGGGAGGCTTATTGAAAATGTAGAGTCCAGGTCCCAGCACTTTGCTTTTTTTAACAAGCACTCCAGGTAAACTGAGGCTAATGGCCTGAGCTCCCTCATTTGAGAAACACTGTCTGAAAGGGTATGACCTCCTATAATGATGTTCCTCCACCCCATGCTGTCCAACAGGACTAAGAGGCACACATGTGATCTTAGCATGTCCACTAGCCACCCTTTAAAAAAACAAGTGTAACCGGTGAAACTCCGTCTCTACTAAAAATACAAAAAAAAAAAAAATTAGCCGGGTGTGGTGGCGGGCACTTGTAGTCCCAGCTACTCAGGATGCTGAGGCAGGAGAATGGCGTGAACCCGGGAGGTAGAGCTTGCAGTGAGCTGAGATCGCGCCACTGCACTCCAGCCTGGGTGACAGAGTGAGACTCTGTCTCAAAAAAAGAAAAAAAAAGTGTAACTATGTTTTATTTAACCCGCAATGTCCAAAATAATATTTCAATGTGTAATTATTATTTTTCTTATAAGGTGTATATTTTATATTTATAACACTTCTCAATTCAGACAAGTCACGGTTCAAATGCTCAATAGCCCCAGATGGCCAATGGCTACCCTATTGGATAGTGGAATGCAGTCCATTAAAACTTTCTGTGACGATGGAAGTCACCTGCATTCAGGCATCATTTATTGAGTAATTTCTATATGCCAGGCCTTGTGGTAAGAGCTTTACATGCTCTAGGCCATTTCAGCCTCACATCAACCCTATGTTAGTAGTCTCAAGATAGAGAGGGTGTTGTGAATCTCCGACTCCCACTACCACGTTCATATATTCAGATGGCCGTATTCAAAATGACCCGGAGAACACAGAAGAAAGAATTTTGTCAAGAGTCTGAGCTAGGCGGCAGCAGATATTGAGGGCTCTGGCAGGGGAGACAGGAGGTTGAGACTGAAATCCAATCAACAGTGATAATAGGAAGAGATGTAAACACTGAACCGGAGGGCCGGGTGGGAGTTGTACTGGAACTGTGTGTCTGGTTGGATAGGGCTCATTGGTGGCAAGCAACAGAAATGGATTAGGGATTTATTGGAAGGCTACTGAGGAAACTCACAGAACGGCTGCTGGAAGAGCTCAACCACTGCCCTCAGAGCAGCACTTGGCAGCATGAGTTGACAGCCATCTCTCTAGAGCAAGGATTTTTTTTTTTTTTTTTTTTTTTGAGATGGAGTTTCACTCTTTCACCCAGGCTGGAGTGAAGTGGTGCGATCTCAGCTCACCGCAACCTCCACCCTCCGAGTTCAAGCTATTCTCCTGCCTCAGCTTCTCAAGTAGCTGAGATTATCGGCACCTGCCACCATGCCTGGCTAATTTTTGTACTTTTAGTAGAGACAGGGTTTTACCATGTTGGCCAGGGTGGTCTTGAACTCCTGACCTCAGGTGATCTGCCCACCTAAGCCTCCCAAAGTGCTGGGATTACAGGCTTGAGCCACTGTGCCCAGCTGGGAACAGGGATTCTTGATTCCAGCAGCAAATCAGAATCACCTGGTGAGCTTTAACAATCCAAATACATAGATGGGCGAGGTGGCTCCTGCTTATAATCCCAGCACTTTAGGGGGTTGAGGCAGGAGGACTGCTTGAGTCCAGGAGTCCTAGACCAGTCTGGGCAACATGGTGAAACCCCATCTCTACAATAAATACGAAAATTAGCCAGGCATGGTGACACGAGCCTGTAGTTCCAGCTACTTGGGAGACTGAGGTAGGAGGATCCCTTGGGCCCAGGAGGCAGAGGTTGCAGTGAGCCAAAATTGTGCCACTGCACTCCAGCCTGGGCAACAGAGATCCTGTCTCAAAAAAACAAAAAAAAATCCCAAGACACAAATAATTACTGGAGCTAAACATGTTCCTGCTCTGTGGTGTGTGACCCTCACAGGTGTGTGCCCAAGAGAAATGAATACATGCATCCACTAAAAATACAAAAATGAAGGATAGGAGCTTTATGCATTACAGCCTAAAACCAGAAACCTCAATGAACATCAAAGAATGGGTAAATAAATTGTAGTATATTCATACAGTGGGATGCACACAAGAGAGCTGAGGTACGTGCCATCTCAGGCAAAACGGTGAGTGCAAACACTAAGATGCAAGAGTGCAGACTGCATCATCCCATTAACACGAAGTTCCAGAGTAGGAAAATTAACATTTTATTTATTTATTTATTTTTTTTTGAGACGGAGTCTCGCTCTGTCATCCAGGCTGGAGTGCGGTGGCGCGATCTCCGCTCACTGTAAGCTCCGCCTCCTGGGTTCACGCCATTCTCCTGCCTCAGCCTCCCGAGTAGCTGGGACTACAGGTGCCCGCCACCACGCCCGGCTAATTTTTTGTATTTTTAGTAGAGACGGGGTTTCACCGTGTTAGCCAGGATGGTCTCGATCTCCTGACCTCGTGATCCACCCTCCTCGGTCTCCCAAAGTGCTGGGATTACAGGCGTGAGCCACCGCGCCCGGCGGAAAATTAATCTTACAGCGATAAAATTACAGTTCCCTAGGGGACAAGGTATTGACTAAACAAGGGCATGAGGTCAACTCCTGGGATCCTAGAAATGTTCCTTTAACTTCCTCTGGTGATGGTTACCCAGATGCACAAGTTTGTGAAAATGCATCATGATCTACACTCAAGATGTGTGCACTTGGTGTGCTTTGGTGTACACGTTACACTCCAAAGGTAATACTTTTTCTAAATCTCTCCCAGTGCCCAGGGTGTAGCCCAGACCAATTAAATCCGTGTCTTTGAAAACAGGTCTCTGGCATCAAGTCATTTAAACGTTTTTTGTTGTTGTTGTTGTTTTTTTAGCCATAACTTAAGCATGTCCTGCGAAGGCATCAGTAGTTTTCAGAATGATTCCAATATGCAGCCAGGGTTGAACATCCATGCCCTGGGCTCATCAAGTGTTCAAACTTTGATGAATGTATGAATAGCCTGGGAGTCACAAAAATGAGGATTCAGGAGGGTGGAGCCTGAGATTCTGCTCCCAGGAGCTGCCAGCGCTGCAGGTTCCTGGACCACACTGCTGTCTAAAGAGGGTCTTCCCAGTCTATCCTGAGAAGACTGCCCACCCTCTGGGGGTGGAGGGTTCTGTGCCTGATCACTCTACCAGGAACAAGGCAGGTACCAGGAAGGAGGTCTACAAGGCACAGAGCTGCCTACTATCATCACAAGGAAGCTGAGAGTCTGCAATTTTCAAAATCTAAAGAACTCATGGTTGGCCCGGCACTGTGGCTCATGCCTCTAATCCCAGCACTTTGGGAGGCAGAGGTGGGTGGACTGCTTGAGCTCAGGAGTTCGAGACCAGCCTGGGCAACATAGTGAAACCCCATCTCTACTAAAAATACAAAAATTAGCTGGGTATGGTGGTGCACACCTGTAATCCCAGCTACTCACAAGGCTGAGGCAGGAGAATTGCGTGAACCCAGGAGGTGGAGGTTGCAGTGAGCCGGGATGGTGCCACTGCACTCCAGCCTGGGTGACAGAGCGAGACTCTGTCTCAAAAAAAAAACAGACCAAAAAAACTCATGGTTGGAAAAGAGGCAAATAAATATCAAAGCTGCATTTAAGTTTGATTAAATGGAGGGTGGTGGGGGTTAGGAATTGCACACGAGTGTTTCCAGCAGGGGCCAGCAAACTTTCTGTGAAAAACTAGATATTTTTGGCTTTGCAGGGCATCCAGTCTATTGTAGGTACTCACCTCTGTGGCTGTAGCACAAACACAGCCACAGGCAATACGTAAACAAATGGTCATGCCTGTTCCAATAAAACTTTATTGACAAACCCCGGCCTAGTGTGTGACCCTGTTTATGTTATGCTATCATCTATGTGTGCTGGGTGTGCAGGGATTGAACCTCTGGTAAGAAACACAAGAAACTAGATATAGTGTCCTCCAGAGAGAAAATCTGGGTGTCTGGGGGAAACAGGAAGATTTCCTTTTTTCTGGTTATCCTTAAGTATCTTTGGAATCATGTATTATGTGTTTATTACCTATTAAAAGATGAAAAAGACAGGACTTCTATAAGTGATGTTTTCACAGACAGCTTCCTGTGATGATGTCATCCTCTCACTTTATTTTTATTTTTTAGAGACAGGGTCTCACTTTATTGTCCAGGCCGGAGTGCAGTGGTGCAATCATGGCTCAACTACAGCCTCCACCTCTTGCCTCAGTCTCCCAAGTAGCTGGGACTACAGGCGTGCACCACCACACCTGGCTAATTTTTGTATTTTTAGTAGAGATGGGGTTTCACTATGTTGCCCAGGCTGGTCTCCAACTCCTGGGCTCAAGTGATCCTTCCACCCCGACCTCCCAAAGTGCTGGGATTGTAAGTGTGAGCCATCGTGCCCAGCCCCTGCTCTTTTACCATCTCCTTTTCCAAGTGTCCATGAGCCAGATCACAGGACCAGCCCCAATCTCAGCAGGAAGTGCCTCCCATCATGGCAATGACCCTGGCCATGCAGCTTCTCCCTCACCTGCCATGCCACTCTGTTCGGCTTCCTCTTCCTTCAAAGCCTGGACGAGGCCAGCTCTGGAGAGGAGCCCTCCCACCTGTCGCCTCATTCATCCTTCTTGTCAACATGTCCCTTTGGTGCTCGGGCCATCATAAAGAGAAGCAGAGGCATCACATGCAAGCAAAGACAGAGTCTGGAGTGCAGAAGACCCGGTTCAAGTCTGGCTCTGCTGATTTGAAGCCTCAGTTTCCTTCCTACCTCACCAGCAATTGCCAGGATCCCATTACAAAGTGGGAGAAGGCACCCACTCAGGAAAGCACCATCTGCACCGAGATCATCAAACCCCACTCCCAAAACAGAGAAGCTCCCTAAAGGCTCAATGTTTGTTTCATCTTTGAAGCCCCCAGCAGGATGCTTGGCATACAGCAGGTGCTCAATGGAGAGAAAGAAATCAGTGGGAGCAGTCAGAGCTCCTGCCTGTCACCAAGCCAGGGAGGCTGGTGAAAGACAAGAAATCCATCCCAGCTCCAGGTAGGAGGTATCCGCCTTCCTTGCCCAGAGCATCAGGGCTTCTCAAATACCGTCTGTCCCCACCAGATGTCAGTTGGGCCTATTTCTAACAAGAAACAGCCAAGATCTCTCTTAGATGATTTGCTTTGTAAAAATACAAGTCAGCCTCATTAAGAGGAATCTTCAGGAAGGCTCTTATTCACAGATCAGTCAAAAGTCAAACCTGGCAAGCATGTCAGCACTCACCTAATTCACCCCCACTGTTTACAGAGGGGGTTATGAGAAGAGAGGGCGAGGAGCTTGTCCCCAGTCAGGCATAAGAACATGGTACCCTGGCAGCTTCTATGGCCAGAGCTCTGAGCCCTTGGAGGAAAGGTGTGGGACCCTAGAATGACAGGCCATGGGGAACACACAAGCCCCAAACCTCAGAGGCTCATGTGAGATGTTTCACAAACCACACACCCATTGAGAGCTGGCTGCAGCCCTGTTCCACGTTATCTTCACACTGGGACCCAGGTGGGTGGATGGGTATCTACCTGGCATGTAGCTGACGCTGGTGCAGAGGGAGAAGACAAGCGAACCACATACTGGCTCAAGGCATCTGCCTTGGTGACTTGTGCCACCTTTACCCATCTTCCACTGACCAGGATGAGTCCATGCCTGAGTCCAACAAAACACAGTAGGATGTACAATCCTACCGTGAGGAAGACAGAATTTTTGGCAAGGAGACATCCAGTCTACCAGAGATGCCCAGCCAAACTACAAAAAAATATGTTGATGTACAAGGTCTCATACATGCTCTGACAACAATTTCAGGGCTGGGTGCAGTGTCTTGTGTCTGTAATCCCAGCACTTTGGGGGCTGAGGCAGCGGAGATCGCTTGAGGCCAGGAGATCAAGACCAGCCTGGGCAACATGGCAAGACCTCATCTCTACAAAAACAATGAAAAAACAAATTAGTTCGGTGTGGTGGCATGCGCCTGTGCTCCCAGCTGCTCAGGAGGCTGAGGAGGGAGGATTGCTTGAGTCAGGGAGTTCGAGGCTGCAATGAGCTGACTGCACCACTGCACTCCAGTCTGGGCAGCAGATCGAGACCCTGTATTTAAAAAAAAAAAAAAAACCAGGGAAGGAGAGGGCGAGAAAGGAAAACAATAAATTCAAATATTTTACACACCCAACTTCATAGATTATATAAAACTTTATACCAACTCAATAGCGTGCATTATTTTCAAATACCAATAGAATATTTAGTATGGCCCCCTTCCCTGCAAAATGATTCTAAAGTTCATCTGGAAAAATAAATGTGCAAAAGGACATACAACTTTTTGAATAAGGAAGAACATAAATAAGGCTGTCAGTATCAGTGTGATAGTGATCAATGGAATAGTCCAGGCCTACACTGTCCAACGTGATAGCCACAAGCCACACGTGGCTATCATGCCCTTGAAATGTGGCCGGCCTGAACAGAGATATGCTGAAGTGTCAAATGCACACTGGACTTAGTAGGAAAAACACTGTAAAACAACTCCTTAATGTTTCATATCCATTACATGCTGAAATGATATGACTTAAAGTATTATGAAAATTAATTTCATCTGTTTCTTTGCACTTTTTAACTGTGGCTCCTAGAAAGTTTTAAATTACAGATGTGGCTCACATATTTCTATTGGCCACTGCTGGTCTAGGAACAGACCCAGATTTTCCATCCACATCCTTTATGATATTTCCCAATGGAAACTTAGAGATTTGTCTTGGGTTTTTTCTTTGTTTTGATTTTTTGAGACAGTCTGGCTCTGTCACCCAGGCTGGAGTCCAGTGGTGTGATCTCAGCTCACTGCAACCTCCGCCTTCTAGGTTCCAGCGATTCTCCTGTCTCAGCTTCCCAAGTAGCTGGGATTACAGGTGCGTGCCACCATGTCATTTTTCTTGTAGAGATGGGGTTTTTGCTATGTTGGCCTGGCTGGTCTCGAACTCCTGGCCTCAAGTGATCCACCCAATTCAGCCTCCTGAAATGCTGGGATTACAGGCGCGATCCACCGTGCCTGGCCAGTTTTCCTTGTTTTACGTTATCACGGATTCAAAACGTCCACTCTCTGGCCCTAGCTGCTGCAGGTGTCTCTTGGCTTTATGTTACTTAAGATTTAAATTTTCCATAAAAGCAAAATCATTGATCTCTCTTGTCATGGTATCTTTCCCACTCTAAGTTCCAAAGCTTTTCCATGGACTGATCATTTAATCACTGTGGCATTTATTTGGGGATGTGGACTGGGGCAAGATGAATCCACGCTGCTTTAGGGGTGGTGGTGAAGAGCACCTGGCCTGGGGTAGCAGCCTGGTTTTTAGTTTCAGCTCTGCTCTATCCACGAACCACTTTCCAAAATCACCATCTTCTACCTCTTGGGTCTGCTCATCTACGGAGTCCCTGCCTCCCTGGGTTGTGTCAAGGACTCAGTGTTACCTGTAAAAGAGACAGCACCTGACACAGTAAGCACTCCCTAACTCTAGCTACAACTCTCATTTTATCTTAGAACTGACATTAGTTATCGTCTGACAGATGTTGATGTCTACAAGTGGCATACCTGAAGTTGTACAAGGTATAGCAGTAACCCTAAAACCCAGCCTCCATGGTGATGCCCCAGAGACCAGAGGGGCAGTACTGACACCAATGCCTATAATGAGAACAGGGTGGAAGCTCTAGCCTCCTGCATCCAGCATTCCACCCCTCTCCCCTACACCCTGGGCAGATTGCCAGATCTCTTGCCAGCACTGGCTTCTCCCGTGAGTTTCCAATTCACACCAAGACATCCCCTGGATGCCCCACAGGTAATTAAAAGAGGGCGTCTCAAATGCACTTGCCCGGGCAGCTGACTTGCAGAGGGATGGAGCGAGGACCTTCATAAATCTGCTCCTCCTTAAGAACAATGAGATTTCTGGCAAAATGGTTAAAAGTCAAGTTTTTCAGAACTCTGGAAATTAATCAAAGGCAACAATCTGAGAAGCATTTATTCGAGGAGTACAAGTCCTTCACCAGCCTCCAACTTGCTCTTCCTCCAGCATTCCAAACCGAGTTTAATGGAGGCACCCTTGCAGGGTAGGACTCTAAGGCGTGGGAGTCCCGGGTAGCAGCCCATCCCACTCATCAAAGCCCAAGGGGCTTTATCTGAGGATCCTGACTTCATCACGTCTTGTCTGTCCCAGGCTCCATCCCAGGGGAATCCCTTTTTTCTCATGTCTACACCTCCACCTCACCCACCCTTCTCCCTGCACCAGAAGCATGTTTTAATGTTTGAAACCCCTCAATGGTTCCCTGGAGATAAAAGCTAAATCTGCACACCAGGCTCTGTGAGCATTCCCTAAGTTAGTCGGAAGGCTTCCGTAGACCTTTTCATGCTCCAGCAATGCTGGATTATAGAGGAAAAGCTTAGACCTGGGTGTATGGTGACCTGGCCAAAGTCACACCCAATTCCTGCCAGGACTTAAAGCCAATAGTGGCTAAGGAACTGCAGGGGAGCTCCCTGGGACCAAGCACTGTAGAAGCAGAGGGCATTTCCATGATTAAATTGCCTTATGAGGTTATCTCATCTTACAGATGAGGGAAACAGAGGCTGTTAACCACACAGGCGAGAACCTGGATGGAGGGGAAGATGGGCACCTGACAATGGCCACAGCTCAGGCTTGGCCAGGACAGAGACGGAAAGAACAAGCCAGCTGGGTTGGAACTGGGAGGAGCTCCCAGGAGTGGGTGTGCGGTGGGAGGATATCTCCAATCAGAATGACCCTCAGGCTACGTCAGCTCTCTAAAAACTAGAGCTCAAGCTCAACAGCCCTGCAGCCAGAGGCCTCAAACGTAGGGGGCAGGGGCGGGGCACTGGGGTAGGCCTGGGCTGCAGTGGCCAGCCTTCTTTAAGAGCAGGGGCTATTAAATTGAGGCAGTATCTCATCCCATAACTTACATGTATTTTTTACATCATTCTTATCACTACAGTAAATTAAATAACTTCACGAATCTATTAAGAATGACAACCAAAGAAGGCACAACCCGTTTTGGAAGCCAGTGCTTTAAACTGAGTCTGGCCAGTTAACATGCAGTGAAGAAGTCGGAGGACGCTTGGCTGCCACCTGGTGGGACAAGGAGAGAGAGGAAAAGGCCAGATAGAAATTTCTGGCCAAATTGTCTTCAAAAAACCATGGGTCTCCTGCAGAGGCAGTTGTGTGGGGCCTGTGATCCAGCTCGCCACACTCACCACCCCCCCCCCGCCAATTCTTCACCACTGGAAAAAAATGGACTCAAAGCTGCAGTTCATACAATTGAAGATTTATGTAAGTTACTTACTTATTTTTAAACTGCACAATGCTGAAGCCAGTCTAAAAAAGAATCAAACACACCACTGCAAGTTAATTCAATGAGTTACTTTTTTTTTTTTTTAAACAGATTTGTACAGCAAAAAGTTCCCAGATCACAGTCTCTACCATACAGTCACCTGTCCAGTGTGCAGGAAGCCACAGGGGCCCTGGCCAGAGGGGCCAAGAGCAGAAGCTGCACTGCAGAGTTTACTTCTACCTACAGGTGACATGTGGCTGGAAGAATCTTGAGTTCCCTTTGTTCTCCAGTGTATCTTGTACAAAATATTACATTTGTTTAAACACATATTTACAGAGTTTGCACAAATAGAAAATGGTTACAAATTACAACCAGGCTTGGCAGGATACCAGTTCCCCTCCCCACTGACCAAGGTCAGATGTGATGACCATTTCATATTTACAGTTGCAATTTAAAAAGTCTGTGTTTAGAGACCTAAATGAAGTTTATAAAAACTGGTTAAATATCATCAACTCATTTATGTAAGCTGTACAAGTAGTGGATACCAATTAGTCAGTTCATGTCTTGCTCCCTGAAGAAAGATTTTGAAGTAAAAGAAACCCTCTCAAGCAAGCAACATACATCCCTGGCCTGTCTGCCAGTTTGTTTGGTTTTTGCCGGGGAAGGAGATAGAAGGAAGAAGAGGGGAATGGAACAGGGGGAATAGGACAATCTGGTTGAAACTGTTTCTATTCCTTTTTTTTTTTTTTTTTAAACAGCTGAGAACCAGCATAAGCCAGCTGGCTTGTTAAACACTATCCTTTGGCTTTGCGAAGAGAACCCATAGTTCCATCCTTTTTTCTCAGAGACGAAATGTCTTCTCAATAGGACTACAGTATGGAGAAAGAAAGGACTTTCTGGAGAGGACAATGTTTGTTATTCCGATGTTCATCTTTGACTTGAGTGCCAAGCCCAATTTCAACAGTGCAAAAAAAGACTCTCAGGAAGCAGCATGGGGGTCAAAGGCTTGTGTAGTAGCTGTCTACCCACTGGGCAAGGCCTCGCTCCACCAGGGACCGGTTTATCAACACCACCTAGAAAAGAAAGTTCCCTTAAAGCTTTTGTCCATGGCATCCTGGGGCCATCTCCCTAGCCAACATGAGTTCTCCCCTCCCCGGTTGCCACTGCAGGCAACAGATGTATGAGAGTAACAGTGTAGGCCAGACGCAGTGGCTCATGCCTGTAATCCTAGCATTTTGGGAGGCTGAGGCAGGTGGATCACCTGAGGTCAGGAGTTCGAGACCAGCCTGGCCAACATGGTGAAACCCCGTCTCTATTAAACATACAAAAATTAGCCAGGTGTGGTGGCAGGCACCTGTAATCCCAGTTACTGAGGCTGAAGCAGAATCGCTTGAACCCCGGAGGCGGAGGTTACAGTGAGCCAAGATCACGCCACTGCACTCCAGCCTGGATAACAAGAGCAAGACTGTCTCAAAAAAAAAAAAAAAAAAAAGAGTAACAGGGTGGGGGACATGGCTTATGCTCTAGCCAACAGGAACATTTATTTAAGTATTCTGTTGGCTGCTGTGGCATAAGGATAGGGTTTTTTTGTTTTTGTTTTTGTTTTTTGAGACAGAGTCTTGCTCTGTCACCCAGGCTGGAGTGCAGTGGCACAATGTTGGTTCACTGCAACCTCCGTCTCCCAGGTTCAAGTGATTCTCCTGCCTCAGCCTCCCAAGCAGCTGGGATCACAGGTGTGCATCACCACACCCAGCAGATTTTTGCATTTTTAGTAGAGATGGGGGTTTCGCCATGTTGGCCAGGCTGGTCTCAAACTCCTGACCTCAAGTGATCTGCCCGTCTCGGCCTCCCAAAGTGCTGGGATTACAGGGGTGAGCCACTGTACCTGGCCAGGATAGGCTTTTTAATATGCTGAAGAAATCTAAGCTTTCATACCATAAGATAGAGGACAGAAAAACTCAACAGACAGAAGGTCCCAGAAAGTCTCGCACAGGGTTTCTCCACCTTGGCGCTATTGACATTTGCGGTTGGATAATTATTTGCTGTGGGGGGCTGTCCTGAATACTATGGGATGTTTAGTGGCATCCTTGGCCTCTACCCACTAGAGGACACTGACATCACCACTGCCAATCAGGACATCCAAAGTGTTCCCTAGGAGGTGCTTGTCTACAGTTATATCCTCTGATTAACTCAAGAGGAAACAAATCCCAGGACCAGCTCCTAATCAATCCATTACTTCGGGCCAGCAACACAGAAGGAAAAGAAGGGCAGAACTTACTTCATCTCCAACCACACTCCACAGCTGAATCAGAGGAAGACCAGTTGGACTGTAACTTGTCACCTGAAGAAGGGGGGTGGAAAGAATAATATGGTTAGGTTTTGTGTCCCCACTCAAATATCATCTTGAATTGTCATCTCCATAATCCCCATGTGTCGAGGGAGAGACCTGGTGGGAGGTGATTGGATCATGAGGCGGTGTGCCCATGCTGTTCTCGTCATAGTGAGTTCTCATGAGATCTGATGGTTTTATAAGTATCTGACAGTTCCTCCTTCACATACTGTCTCTTGCCTGCCCATCATGTAAGACGTGCCTCTTCCCTTTCTGCCATGATTGTAAGTTTCCTGAGGTCTCCCCAGGCCCGCAGAATTGTGAGTCAATTACACCTCTTTCCTTTATAGATTATTCAGTCCCAGGTATTTCTTTACAGCAATGTGAGAACAGACTAATATCAAGTATTAGCTACTTCATGCACCTTTCCTTAAATACTGCTGGTCAATCCAGGGCCAAGCCACAGGAAAGAAGGCATTGAAAGGTCAGTTCCCAAGAACCCAGCCAGCCTGCCTCCCCCACCCCTGCCAACCACACACCTGAGCAAGCAGTGCTGTATTCCCCGTCATCTCGCTCATGGCGGCATCTGCTTCCGGTGAAAACTGGTCATCGTCTTCAGGAGGAAAAGGAAAAGCGGCATTTAGGCTCTCACTGAGGCAAGGCACCCTTGTCATGTACACAAGTTTCAGGTGCATTCCAAGTAGAATGCTTCAGATGCTGTGGAACTTGAGAACTGCACTGGGGAGATCCACCCAGGTCAGAGACAGAGCCTAGGCCTCCATATGACTCCCAGTGGATAAACTAAGGGCCGCTACTGCATGTTGCCCACTGGTGCAGCACAGACAACAGATGGACAGAAACTTCACCACTAACACCACCACCAATACCACCAGCAGCAGCACCACCCCCACCCCCACCAACTCGGATGCTGGCAGTGCAGAGCATATGTGTTCTTCCACAAAATTAGTAACACCAAGTGCTATCCCCACTTTACAGGAGAGAACACTGAGGCAAAGGTGGATTCCTGAAGGTCAACCAGCTCCCAAGTGGTGAAGGTGGGAATCAAACCCAGGCAGTTGGCCACACAGCCCAATAAGGCCAGCCACTCAGAGTGGGCAAGGCGCTGCGGCAGCATTCAGCTTTGCTGGATTACAAAAGTTACATAGAACACCATACCCAAGGCAAGCAGTGGCAAGGATGGGAGAGACAGGGGTTTACCAAGGAAGATCCGGGAAAATCTTACGAAGGAGAAAGTTTCAGCTGGGTCTGGACAGATCGCTTAGATGGACAGAAGCAGAGAGGAAGGAGGGGCAACAGCAATAAAAGAAGCAAAACAAAGATCTTGCCCCAGTGCTCCCTCTAAGCCGACTCCAGCTAGACTGTAGTATTTCTAACGCATGCAAATCGCTTAAGACAAGCAAGAAGGAGATCAGAAGGGGCAAACCTGGGGAGGGAGTGGGATGGGATGAACTATCACCTACAAATATAAAATTCCTAGCCATAAACAGCTGCCATTTCGCCACCCTCTACACACCAGATCTTAGGTTTATGTAATTCTCACAGCCAGCATCAAAGACAGGTACCATTCCCATGTTCTGGGGTGAAAATTGAGGCTAAGTCATTTACCCAAGATTTTGCCAGTCCTCTTCCCTCTGACAATGCTTTCATAGTCTAAGACACCAGATAGGGTGTCCCCACTGTGCCCTATGGAGCTATGGCCTGGCTGAGCAGTATCAGTGACCAGCACGCCCTCAACCACCGGGGCTAAGACTCTGGGTCTGGACTATAATCTGGAAAGTGCCTTTGTTGGAAGCCCCTTGATGCCTGAGGTCTGAGTACAGTCTAGAGCAGTGGATCTCAAAGGATCAGCAGCACTGGTCTCACCTGGGAACTTGATAGCAATGTAAGTTCCTGGGCCTAAGCCCAGACCTATTCAGTCAGAAACTCTTGAGTGGTAGCAACTTATGTTAGCATAAATCCTCCAGGTGAGAACGGAGGCTCTGAGAAAGACCTACTCTCAACAACTGTCCCCAACAATCCCCCAAGCCAAAGGCCTCAGCTGTTACCTGACAGGGGCATCACACTGTCCAGAAGGACTTCTGCTCCCTGAAACGGCAGGGTGACAAAGTCAGACCTGGGAAGGCAAGAAAGGAACAAGTTTAATGTGGACATGAAGGCTGACTCCACTCCAAGCCAGTATTCATCTTTGTACAGTGACGCCCATAACCTGGGATGCAGCAAAGCAGAGGGTTCGTACTTTGCAGGAGGCCACGGCTCACAGCACACCCAAACACAGCCAGCCGACCCTGCTGCAAGCCTGACCTCAGAGGGACTTCCTATGACAAATTCCTAAAAAGGAGCCTGCTTCACTTTTTTCCTTTTTTGTTGATGTTGTAGAGATGAGGTCTCGCTATACTGCCCGGTCTGGTCTTGAACTCCTGCACTCAAGTGACCCTCCCAAAGCGCTGGGATTTGCAGCAGGCCACCACGCCTGGCCCAGCTTCACTTTTGAAGGATGATGCTGGGGATTCTTCCACAATACAGGCCTTCTAGCTCAGTTTGGCTAAGCGAGTAATCGAGTTTGTTTCTATCAGACTCTGCTAAAACACAGTAGGCAGCAGGAGGGAAGAAGTAACCCTCACCCAAGCCCTGGCACAACTGAGCCAGCCACGCAGAGATCACGCATCCCAGAACAAGCAGGGCGTAGGCCTGCCTGAGGCATCTCCGCTCACCTGATTTGCCGGAGCACGTCTACTTTCACCCTCTTATATCCGCCGTAGTCCACGTATCGAATCTCCACTTCGTTGGTCTCCTCGTAGGAGGCAACCACTTGGGCTCGCCACCAGGCCCCGTCCGCACCAGGGGCGGCACAGATGACCGTTACTGCAGGGTAGGGAGCAGAGTGCGTGGAACGCCTGGGCCAGGGCAGGGCACCAAGGGCCACCTGGCCACTACCCACCTCCCTGCGTTACCTCTCAGAGGCCTGCAACCTCCACAGTGCAGGGGACAGGAACAGCAACCGGCCCCAAGCAAAGCCTCCCCCAAGCCCAAGACCAGCCGAGGGAAAAACCTGGATGTGAGAAGTTCAGCCTAGCAAGTGTGCCGCCCCCGAGGCCATCCAGACTGAGAAGCATTCAGTCTAGATCCATTACTCCAAAACTTCTGGGACCCAAGAGGGACACAGATGAATAGGAATAAACCAAGTAAATATAGCACTCGGGGAATGGGGGCCAGGGCCAGCCTTACATTTAAAAGAAAGTCCCTGAAGAAATCAAGTGCAGCAGATCTCAGCATCCTCATACCTAGGGTGTGCTCCAGCCCACAACTCAGCTGGAGAGCTTGACCAGAAGGGGCCTCCTGGGCCTAAACCCCCTTCTTCTAGCCTTTGCCTCTGGAAGGTGCTGACAGCACCTGGGCAGCCACCCAGGATCAAGGAGTCACTAACCCACTGTGGGTCAGAGGCAGACGAGACCAGGAGGTAAACGTTCCCAGCAGCACCCCAACAGCTGCCCACGCTGGCCAGGATGAGGACCTGTGACATGAGGCTGACTGTGCTGGGTCCTGACCCTTGGAGAGAACCCCTGGCAGTTACCCCTCAGGCTCCAGTTCAGTCTTTACTGCTGGGTTAAGGCAACTTTAGAGAAGCCAATGAAAACTAAGTCCTTATCCTTCCAAAAGGAAAAAATCCACACAAAAGGCTACAGAGATCACTTCAGAAGGTTTTCTACTGCACTGAGTGACCCTGCCATCCCCTGGTGAGGAATGGGTGATGTTCTGACATTCCATCCTCTGTGATAAGGACAACAAAGATAATAATGACAAAGGCTGGGCTCAGACCCCAGATCCTGCTCACTTGGGCAAGTCACCTGAGGCCCAGTTTTCTCATCTGTTAAATGGAGATGACCCAACACGCTGCACAGGCTTGTTGGACTTGGGGATTTTTTTGTGGTAACCATTATATGCATAAGTGCTTTATATGTAATACATACAGTATTCAACACTAATTCCTGGAACAAGTGGGTATCACCCCCTTTAACAGATAATAAATAGGTGGCAGATACTATGACACTGGCTTTGAGGGAAAAAAAAAAGAAAAAATTAAAAAAAAAAATTAGTGGCAGAGCTGGGATCTGAATCCCTGTGTCAAAACTCTACTCCAACACCCATCACTCTGCCAGCCAGTGGAAACCCCAGCTCTGCCTTGCCAGGAAACCCACCCCAGCTCCATAACAATGGCAAGAATTGAAGGATGCTGCTTCCATGAAGGATCGCAGAACAGCCTCCTCCTGATCAGGATCCAGGGCAGAACAGGCAACCCCAGGGGTCCCCCTTCCCGACCCCTCAGGGCACTGCTTACTTTCCACTGGGGTGGGCAAGGTGGGGATTCCAGGCTGAGAGTAACAGAGGTACATCTGCTGGTCGAGGCTGCGCAGCGCGTGGAAGGTAGGGTGTGTGTGCTGCTGCACGAACAGGTGCCCGGCATTGACCTGGTTGACCACAATGACCTCCACGGTGATGCCATCAGGCAGCATGAGCTGTAGAGGGGAAGGGGGAGCGGTCACTGAAACAATCCTTCTTATCTCATCTTTGAATAAGTCCCGAGACCCAAGGGCAAGTCTCTGGGCTAGCATATCTTTGAAAAGGGCAACTCAAGACAACATGGCACCCAGAAGGTAGAGGTTGAAGGACTACTTTAACAACAGAAAGTGTTCGACACCCCTGTGGCTGTTGTCCTGCAATACCACGAGCAGCCATTAGGGGCAGTCTCACCTCAGGGCCAGGCAGGGAGGGTCCCACAGACACTGGGCAACCAAGAAGCAACTGCGGAGGTAGTGCTGGGCCTTGCACAGGCCTGGGCAGGGTCCACCTACCAGCAGTGCCCTCCCTCCCACTTCTGTTGATGAATCTATAAGACCCAGGGAGGGCAACACAGGAATGAGGTGGCCGCTGAGAACAAGACTCCTGAAAATAAGCAGTAGGCAGGCCCCAGGCCCTTTAGCCAACTCCTGTGGACTGGCAGACAACCCCAGGAGCCTATGGTCTGACAGCATCTACGCTGCCCTCCCAAGAGCAAGCAGTGGCCTCAGGTCAGGTCCATGGTCAAGGTCTAGCAGAGTCTGCTTCCTATTTGCTCTCCCTCCTACTGCTTACCCTCCTGAGGTCAGGAGTTCAAGACCAGCCTGGCAAACATGGTGAAATCCCATCTCTACTAAAAACATACAAATTAGCTGGGCATGGTGGAGCACACCTGTAATCCCAGCTACTCAGGAGGCTGGGGCAGGATAATCGTTTGAACCTGGTGGGCAGAGGTTGCAGTGAGCCAAGATCATGCCACTACACTCCAGACTGGGCAACAGAGTGAGACTCTGTCTCAAAAAAAAAAAAAAAAAAAAAAAAAAGAGAGTGAGTCTACGACCGAGCCTCCTGGGAAAAAACTCTTGATTCAGGAGTAAAGCATAAAGTGGTATTCAGCCTACTCTCACATATCCACAGGAAAAAGATATCCCAATCCTTTCCCTCCAGCCCAAGGGCCTTTGCAAAGGGGAAGACACAAAACTGAAATGCCTACCATCCATAAAAAAACAAAAAAACAAAAAAAAAACACGAAGGAGGACAATTTCCTTGGAGCTATAGTCAGCCCATCTGTCCATCTGTGTAAAACGTAGTCAACAGTCGTTGGCCCACAGAATTCTGCAATTCTACTCCCAGTGAGATAAGACCCAACCAGGGCCAGAGGCACACGGCAGGATATGGGCCACGGCCCTGAGAGACCCTGCAGTCAGCAGCACACAGGGGCCCTGGAGATAGCAGCTCTTCCCTCTGCCAAACTCCTGGGGCAACCTCCCAAGAGTCACTGGACTTCCGGGCCTGGTGGGGAGTATTCATTCTTCTTTGTAATTTAGGCACCTCCTGGGGAGGGGAAGGGGAAGGAGATCCTTCACCAGGGCCACTGTTAAGGCCTGACTCAACCAGAAGAAAGAACAAGCGCCATCCAAACCCATGATTCTAGTCCCACCCAGGTCTCAGGTGGTGAACGGCGACCCTGGACACACCCAATCTCCTGTCCGAACTACACCATCCTTTCTAAGCAAACGCCTAGAAAACTTAAAAGGTGCCCAGGGGGAGAGCCAGGAAAAGTAGTCCTCCCATGTGGGGACCAAGAGGCCTCTGGTTTCCTGCCAGCGCTATCACCACCTAAGCCCTGTCCCCAGAACACAGTCCCATAGCAGAACCGACCAGCAGAGGCCAGAGAAGAGAGGGCGCAGGCACTCATGTGCACTTGGCCTTCTTAGCCTGAGGTCTGGGGAGTTTCTTGTTTGGGGTAGGTTTGGGGGAAAGTGGCAAGAAGTCCGGATCACCCAGTAGCACGCTCACCCAGGATGTCATCGGCAGAGAAGGCAGTGCCAGTGAAGGCAATGGGGGAGCGTAGATATTGGTGAGGTTCAGCTCTTTGAACTTCTTCCCAATCAAGTTCAGCGCTTTGTCTACATGATGTTGAGAGCCTAAATAGCGGATGGGGGCAGGACATACAATCACTGTAAGAGGAAACTCACACCCACACTCACAAAAACACAGCCACAGACCCCACTCCACTGGACTTTGCATAGAGTTCAAGTGCATCTTTGAGGTAACAAAACACTTAAGCTCTGCTTTAGGAAGAAAGGCATCTAAGCCTTTCAAATGATACCTCTGCCATTATGATCCATGCTTTCAATGCAACAGAAGAGGCAGGCAGCTGTGAAAATGCCAAGGGGGAATTGCACACAGGGCACTTCTGCTTTGAGAGAAGCCTTTATGGGGTGGTGGGCACTATGAACCCAGGACCCAGGCCCCGCCCAACCAAGCACCCACACTTCTCCTGGCCAAAGATCAGAGTAGGGAGGGACCTGAGTCTCCCGCAGGCACCTGAAATGGGGAAAAGGCTGCAGGGAAGATACCTAATGCTCCCTTCCCTGGGATGAGAAGCAGGGTTTCCTATTCCAAAAAGATAGCAATTGAAACTCAGATGCTATTCACTTCTATTTAATATTTCAGGTAAGAGGCAATACAAGCAGCAGATGTTACTGACCTTCTATGTGGCAGATCTGGACGCTCTGGGTGTAAGGCAGGGTTGAAATGTAGATCTTGGCACCAGATGTTTGCTTCAGAAAACTCACATAGCGCCCCTGCTTGCCAATTAGCCGACCGACTAAGTGCTTCCAGAAAGACAAAAAGAGATGAGAGGGTTAAAGGGAAACCAATTCCCTGGACACCCAAAGACCTACTTCTGTTTTACACAAGATCATGCTCAAACATATTAGCTGTTACCATGTCAGCATTTATTTTCCAGGACTATTCTAAGCACTTACATTTACTCATAGTACCTGTGAAACACAGATAACTTTATCACCATTCTGTATATGGGGAAACAAGCCCAGAGAGGCTAAGTAACTACCTTAAGGTCACACAGCTGCTAACCAGGAAGTCGAACCAGGCAGTCTGGCTCCAGGACCAAGCAGTTCCCATTTCATCCCAACAATGTGGCCCAGACCCGGAAAGCTGCAAAGGCAGCAGCATCTTCTCCTCTAAAAGCCATGCTGAGAAGTTTCACCAGCACACAGTTTCTCGATTTCTCGTGCCCCTCTCCCTCAAGTCTACTCAGATCCAAAGATAAAGGGGCTCGATTTGAAAATGAAGGTCTAAGAACCCTGGGCTCCCGCTGCCAAGTGACAGCAGGCTGAAGCCTGCAGAGCAGGAGGCATGCAGAAGTGCCCAGTGCGCCAGAGTTCAAGGCAGATAGAAGCAGCCAAACTTAGCCCTTACGTAAGATGGGCTCCCACACAACCGCCAACGACCCCCTCCCGGAGGAGCTACTGGGGACATGGTCCATCCTCAGGCACAGCCTTTCTCTTCATGCCCTTTGTAACCACTGAAGGAAAAGCAGGCAGGACGGATAACAGGGCCCCCCAGGGAGGAAACCACCAAGAGACCTCGCAACCCAGGGTCAAAACAGCCACTCTGACCCAGAGTTCAGACCAAGCCAAGTCTCCACCTGAGCACAGAGCCCAGGGCCCTGGGAGAATGCGGTCTGACAAATTATTTCTGAGCCCCAGAGATAAACATCAAGATCAAGCTAATATGTTGTAAGTTCTAATAGCAAGAAGCTCGAAACCACTTAAGCACTCAGGAATGGGGGACTGATGAAGTAAACTGACATCCACACAGTGAATAATGCAGTTACAGTTACATTTTCAAAGAATAACACACGAAAATTAAATTGTTAAATATTTAAAGTATTAATTAAAGCGACATAATCTCAGTTTTGTTTAAAAACCACAGGGTGCAAGATGAGAAGGAAATAAAAGTCTTTCACAGTCACTCTCAAGGGTAGGATTAGAGCTGATTTTTATTTTCTGCATGTATTTCTATACTTTTCAAGTTCTCTAAAATATGGATTTATGCTTTGCTCAATTATAAAATACACTTGGAGCACTTGAGCAGAGCTCAGTGAAGGGATTCTGGCTGGCCCCCACGGCCTTGGTGTTTTTTTTCCAAATAGATCTGAGCCCCAGAATATGCAAGAACCACCCCCAAGGGAGACACACAGGCCTGCGAGTTTGAGAAGTACAAGAATAAGATGCTCCTGGAGGCAGCTGGAGGAATTCCATGTTGCAGGAAGCTCTCTGAGCCTTGGCAAAGTGTAGCGTGTCCTTTCCCTGCGGCCTTTGGCTGACCCAGGGCTCCTTCTGGTTTACTGTCCCTCTCCCAGCCCCCTCCCTCCCTGAGGTCTAATGGCCCTGGCCCCAGGGAGCTTTGGGCTTACCACAGAACCAGCCTGGGGGACTCCGCCCCTACCTTTGGCACCTCGATCTCCCAGATGATGAGGTCGACCTTCTTAGGGTTGGAGCCTGCCTGGGCATTTTGGAAGCTCTCAGTCTTCTTGAGACTGCAACAGCTATCCACGGAATCCATGCTGTTCCTGTCAGAACCTGCAGGGGAAGAAGCAGCAGGCACGCACACACACAGACCCCACTCAGAGCAGCCAGTAACCAAGAACTTCCCAAACTCACATTCCCAGGAGGCCCTGCCCCACACCCGCTCCTCAAGCTTGGCAGGTGACTGTCAACTTACAGTCTAGAAGGCTCAGAACAACCCCAATGAAAGGAGAACTGGGGGTGTCGATACACCTAATTTTAGCCTGTCACTTACAGTCCCACTTGCTTAATTGGCAGCCGCACCCAGCCACAGCTGCTGGAGCAGAGACACAAGTGGTGAACTTGGAAGAGACAGACTGCGCCCAGGGAAGGGGAGCCCAGAGGGCGGGGGAGGAGACACGCTTGAGGTCCACATGGTCCTGAGAGCCAGACCGATGGACCACAAACACCTTGACACCCTTCCAACTATCCTACCCCCTCAGACCAAGGGTCAGTCTCCTGTCCCCAGGGCCCAGTCCCAGGGTCATAGGTACTGGCCTTCAGCCCAGCAGAGCTAGACAAAGTCCTCACTGGCCTGCCTGAGGGCCCCATTCTTATACCTAGCGGGGACCCGCTCGTTCCTCTGCCATATGTGGACTAAAAAAGGAGAGTCTCCTTTCCCTTTGCTTAGGCCTGATTCATGCAACTCTGAACACTCTTCTGGCTCAAATACTCCCTTGGTCAAAAGACTGAGCCAAAGCTCATGCCCAAGAAAACCCAATGGGAACAGACTCTGCTCCCGACCTGGGCTGTTCCACTCTCACTCAAGAGCGTGCCAAAGGGACCGTCACAAAAAAGCGGGTCCAGATCAGCTCAAGAGAAGTGGCCCTGGCTTAAATATGGATGACTCAATCACCAGAAATAGATCACTCCTGAGAGTCTACCAATTAGGTTACCTTCCACATGGTTTCTCCAAACCCTGAGTATAATCCTTTGCCAAGTAACCCATACACTGGATGCAGAGAACTAAGGCCCAAGAGATCCTGCTCCCAGCTAAGGAAGAATCACCTTCAAAATGACTTCCCCCCTTAACACTAGGCGCTTCGAACAGGATTCATGCAGGGAAAAGTACCCCTTCTGGGGGAAGACTGCTTGGCTAGCCTGCGGGAAGCATAACAGGCTGACAGGGGCTGGGCGAGGGGGCGGGGAGCTCTGCTCACTCACAGTATCCAGCCTCTGCCCCACAGAATGGGACTGGCTAACACCTGCCATCCCGATGGCTCCCAGCAGTGGCTCAGAACCACACCCGGACTCTAGCAGGCTGCACTCAAAGGCCAGCTTCCAGCTCCCTCAGTGGGGTGGTCCCTGGTCCCCTTCTCAGCTTCAACTTCCTCACAAACAAAGCAGGGCTGACATGAAGGTACATGCGAGGCACTAACCTCGTGCTTGGCACCCACCGCATGCTCGTGGACAGTATTACCTCATTTCCACGTGCCATCCCTAAACCTCCCTGCCCATCACCACGGCTTAGGTTCAAGCCTAAACTCAGAAGACTTCAACAGGTCTGAGTAGCTACTACTATCCATCTAGAGTTGGCAGACAAGGCTGCGGGGCTTGTTAATTCAGCTGAGGGGCAGTAAGCAAAGGGAAACTCCTTTATTCTTAAAAAATAAATAAAATAAAAATCACCCATTTTCAGATGCAGTATTTTAAGAAACATTTAAACATCCCGAGATTAGGATGCATCATATAGTATCTTGCCTTCTATAATCATGACTGGCAGCACTTTTTTCTTTCCAAGGTACATAAAAACAGTAGTGTCTTAACAGCATCTTGGAGGTGACAAAATGTAGCGTGTGGTACAAACTAGATGCTGCTGAAAGTGGTAAAATTCCCAATAAAGATTCCCAACCTACCCGGAGCTGAAATGGGAGGGAATGGCTCCAGGACAAACAAGTCAGAGAGCCACTCGGGATATTCGTGGCCTCTCTCCATGAGATAAATGAAAACACCCCAGGGTGCCTGCAGAAGCAGGGTCAGGAGCTGCTGACCTGTAAGTTAGCGGTCTGAACTGTCTACGCTGGGGTCAGCACTCGAAAAACCCAGGACACCTCGTTATCAAAGTGCCCCGCTTTCCCGGGGGTGGAGCTGCAACTGCACAGAAAGAAAATGGCTGAGGCTTTCTGCAAAGGTGACAGCGACAACTCAGGAAGCTCAAGCCTCCCACAAGTATTCAAAGCTGTGGCCGTTCTTTGGGCACTTACCCTGTAAGAGCTTCTGGAGAAGGAAAGCAGGTGAAGACATGGGAACAAGCACATGATTAAAAGGAAATAAAAACCATTCAAAACACTCACACCCATACCTGGCACTCAAGGGAAGTAAAGCTAAGGAGGCCTCTCCATTAAAACACACACACACACGCACACACAAAGAGGTTAGTGTTTAAAAAAGAAAAAAAAATGGGCTGGGCATAGTGACTCACACCTATAAACCCAGCACTCTGGGAGGCCGAGGGCGGAAGGATCACTTGAGCCCAGGAGTGCGAGACCAGCCTGGGCAACAAAGGAAGACTCCATCTGCACCAAAATAATAATAATTTTTTTAAACAAAGAAAAAGAGGCACACTAATGTTAATCAGCGAGCCCAACTTGGCGCTAGTTCCTTGGGAAGGGCTCACTGGGGAAGGTCACCGGTTGAGGAACCAAGTTACAGCTCCCATGACTTGGGGTTTCAGGGCAATCTAACTCCTCAGTTACCCACCAGCTCTACGCCGTGTCCAGACCTCTGCAGGTTGCGATAAAGAGCTGAAGAGCACTATGACTTTGCTGCACAAGTAGCAGAAGGGAGAGGCAGACTGGCAGCCTTTCTCCAAGAAATACTGGGAGCGCCCCATCCTCTAAACGAACCCGAGACCCTCCTACCTCCTGAATGATCTGCTTCCGCATCCATGGTCCATCCATCCTCAGCCCCCAAGTCTGACAACTCCCCCTTCAGCACCCCATTGCTGAAGGGCACAGTACTTTCTGGCAGTGGCGGGGTGATGGCCTTGTCCCTGGGGCTCGAGCTGGTCTCTGTGCAAGAGTCTTCAAGCCCTGAAGTGCTGAAAGAATCTGAGCAGTGTCCTGGAGAAGCCACCAAAGGGACACTTTGGCTGCTGTCTGACATGCAGGTGACACAGGTGGCATCTTCCACCAGGATGCCTGCCCGGTCCGGCAACTCTTCACTGGGGGTGGTCAGTGCCAGGCAGGAGGCCAGGGAGATGTGGTGTGCAGAGATATTTGGCTTACTGTCCTTGGTGGGGCTGGACAGAAGGCTCTTCAGGCAGCTCACGTAGGTCTTTGGTGGTGGTGAGCCCTCTGCTGGTAGGCCTGGCAAGGGGAGGCCAGCATCCGGCGGGGCAACAGCTGCCTCTGCTGTGGCAGGCTCCGCAGTGTCTGGGCCCAAGACAGTTTTCTGGTGAACTGGGACACAGCTCTCTTCCTTCTGCCCTTGGAGCTGACTGGCCTGACACACACGACCTGCAACCTTGCCAACCGTGGTGGCCAGCACCTGTTCGGTTGCTTCTGAGATCACTTGGGAGATTATCTGGAAGGCAGCCCGCTTAATCTCCTCATTTCTATCCAAGCCCTCCTCATTTCTATCCAAGCTCTCCTCATTTCTATCCAAGCCCTCCTCATTTCTATCCAAGCCCTCCTCATTTCTATCCAAGCTCTCCTCATTGCCCAGTTCTCCCTCGACACCTCTATCCTGGGCTTTGGCGTCTGCGACTGGGGGTGCTGGCGCCGCATCGTCCTTTGCCAGCTCTGTGTGAGCCGACTCGATGAACCTACTTGGCAACTTCTCTGCTACATACTCTTCCTCCTGCACTGGCCCCACCACCTGGGATGAGCTGCTCTTCCCCTTATCTTCTTCCCCCTCTAAAGAGGCCAGGCTGGGGCCCTTGCTGTTCTCCAATTCCAAGACATGCTCCCGAGACAACAGAGCTTCTTCAAGCACCTTTTCCCCCAACACGGCATCACCAGTCCCTTCGGCCCCACCTGTCTCTCTTGCCCTCTCCCCAGAGCTACGCTTCTCTGCGGGGACTACGGGGTAGCCTGGCTGGACCTTCCTTGGCACCCTGCTGAAGGGGGAATCTTGCTTACACACCTCAGCTGATTTGCTGGAGAATAGTACACCCTTTGGGGATGAAAGGGGGCACTCTAGAGGAATCGATTTGGCTTCACCACCTGTCAGGGCTAGCTCCAGCTTTGTACTGTCATCTCTGCGTGTTCCTGGTCGCAATCTCATGTCTGTGGTGTTAGGAAGAATGCCCGAGGACTCTGATCTTCGGCAAGGTGGGTGTGTCTGGAGCAATGCTGGGGGCTCTGCAGGCAGCTTGCTCACGGTGGACAGTTCCTTTTCTGGAGGCTCTGTGACACTGGGGGGTGTGGACACTACTTTGGGACAGACGTCTTCCACGGGGAGAGGTTCCTTGATGGCAGGGTCAGCCCTCAGCTGCACAGCACCAGCCTCCACCTGCTGCTCATCATGGCTGCTGACATGGCCTTTTTTACGAGAGAAAAACCACCACCAGCCGAGGAGCGCCAGCATCCCAGGCAATGCCAAGGGGAAGAGCGAACGGAACTGGATTGCCATCCTGGAGGCTTGAAGTAATTACACCTGGGGAGAGCAGGAGAGCGGGGAGGAGGGATGTTACAGAGCCAGGTAGGAGGATACTGGCAACCGCACATGCAAGACAGTCAACAGGGTAGAGCTGGAGCCATCTCCTCCGCCTTCCCTGCCCTCCAAGAGGAGCACACCTCTCAGCTCGTACCAGTCCACCCTCTGTGTGATCCACTGGGGGTCAGTGGCCAGGAAGAGGCATCTTCCCCTCCATGCTCCCCAACTCACGCACCCTCTTGAAACAAACCGAGCATTCTATTCTTTAACCCAAATCCCTCCCTTCATCACTTCATGATGCCAAATTCTCTCTATGTTCCCCAAAAAGGGGCTAGCTCTGCTCAGTGTGGCTCAGTTCTCTAAACTCACAGAACATTTTTTTCTATCAAGTGGCATCAGAGCATTTCAAACCCCCATGGAATCCACATGTGCATGGTTCCCTCACATCTACCCATAAAATCATGAGTCAATGAAATGGAACTTTGTTACTCAGCAATTAGAGACAGTGAGAATGAAGGAGGAATAAAATTCCCAATGGCTAAGGAGATGCTCCAGGGTGAGGGACCAACACAGCAAACTGCAGCATGAAGGTCCAGGTCAGACTTGGAAGATTCAAATACAGGCGCTCCCTGATCTTCCAAGGCTCAACTGAGAATTTTTCAACTTTACAATGGTGGGAAACAATACCCATTCAGTGGAAACTATACTTCCAATTTTGGATTCTGATCTTTCCCTGGACTACCAATAGGTGATGCGCTACTCTCTCGCAATGCTAGCTCCCAGTCATCCACTCTATCACAAGGGTGAACAACGGGCACTCCAGAGTGGATCGTGTTGCTAGGTGATTTTGCCCCACTGTAGACGACTGTGAGTCTTCTCAGCTCATGTAAAGTAGCCTAGGCTAAACTATGGTGTTCAGTAGGTTAGGTGCATTAGATGTATTTATTTTCGATTTATGCTATTTTCAGCTTACAATGGGTCTACCAGGATGTAACTCCATTGTAAGCTGAGGAGCATCTGTACCATCGTGGGGTCAGTGAGGGTGTCCTAGGGCCCCACTGCGTAGTCTGGACTTTATCCTGCAGACAACAGAGAACCAGCATAGGTCTGCAAGGCACACACATCAAATTGTTTCTAGAAGGCAATTCTGGGAACAGGATGAAAAGTGAATCGAGGCTGGGCGCAGTGGCTCATGCCTGAAGCCTGAAATCCCAGCACTTTGGGAAGCAGAGCTCGGCAGATCACCTAAGGTCAGAAGTTTGAGACTAGCCTGGGCAACACGGTGAAACCCTGTCTCTACTAAAAATACAAAAATTAGCTGGGCATGGTGGCAGGCGCCTGTAATCCCAGCTACTCAGGAGGCTGAGGCAGGAGAATTGCTTGAATCCAGGGGGGTGGAGGTTGCAGTGAGCCGAGATCAAGACTCCATCTCAAAAAAGAAAAGTGAAGTATATCGAGCAGAAGGAACCTAGAAACCTAAGTCAGTTAGGTCTAAGCAAGGAGGAATAGTAAGGGCCTAGAAGAAGGCAACAGACATGTAAAGGGGATAGAAAACTCAATTTTTCCTCATCTGTAAGATGGGGACACATCTCTTAATGGATGGTTGGTATAAGGATTAGCTGAGATATAGAAAGTTCTTTGCAAAGCAGTTAACACTCACTAAAGGTATATGATGGGCTTATTCTAGAACACTTACATTCAATGCTTCCTATGCCAGCAAACTTTAAATCTCTCTGCCAAAGTAATGTCTTTTTAAAACCAAAAATCCTTCAACTGACAAGCTGAATTACACCTTATTTGGGTTTGTTTTCTTTTAGAGATAACAAATGCACATGTTTTAACAACTCATATTGGTTTGACTTATATTGTTTTCTGGCAGAACCAGAACATCAGTACTTTTAAAAGTTCCCTGAGAGGTTCTACTTTCCAGCCAAGGCTGGGAACCACTACTCTAGGACTCTGCTTCTGAAAGTGCGATCCATGTACCAGAAGTCCTGAATATTGCCTAGGACCTTGCTAGAAATGCAGTATCCCAGTCTCACCTCAGACTTGCATTTTAACAAGATCCCTAGGGGATTGAGAAGGACCTTACAGTTTGTGAAGGAATGCTAAGAGGTGTGTTCTGCCCCTGAAGTGATGAAGTGGGGGCAGTGGTAGTGAGAAGGTCACCTCCATTTGAAAGTCCCTATATCTTTAAAGATAAACTTTCTTGCTGATATTTGAAGCAGCAGCAATGATAGCATTTGAAGCACAATGCAGGGCTAGGCAGTGGCCAGGGCTAAGGCTTTACATCAATTCCTCAGGGAAGAAATTTAGTGCTACCGTTTTGCTTCACATTCAAACACAGAACCTTGCTAGATTGTTTTCCTTTTATCTCGCTGTCGTCCAGGCTGGAGTGCAGTGGTGTGATCTCGGCTCATTACAACCTCTGCCTCCAGGTTCATGCAGTTCTCCTGTCTCAGCCTCCAGAGTAGCTGGGTCTACAGGCGCCCACCACCACACTTGGCTAATTTTTGTATTTTTGGTAGAGACGGGGTTTCGCCATGTTGGCTAGACTGGAACTCGAGACCTCAGGTGATCCGCCAGCCGGCCTCCCAAAGTGCTGGGATGACAGGCCACGGTGCCCAGCCAAATGAATTACTATCTTGAAGGTTAAAATAGCTCAAGGAGGCTGGGTGCGGTGGCTCACACCTATAATCCTAGCACTTTCAGAGGCTGAGGCGGGTGGATCACGAGGTCAGGAGATTGAGACCATCCTGGTTAACATGTTAAACCCTGTTTCTACTAAAAATACAAAAAAAAAAGAGAGAGAGCCGGGAGTTGTGGCGGGAGCCTGTACTCCCAGCTACTCGGGAGGCTGAGCGGGAGAATCACTTGAACCCGGGAGGCAGAGGTTGCAGTGAGCCAAGATAGTGCCACTGCACTCCAGTCTGGGTGACAGAGCGAGACTCAAAAAAAAAAAAAAGCTCAAGGCATACAGCCAAGGGATGGGTACCTAAATTCTCTCCCACATTAAATCTGGAACCCATTATTCTAGAACTGTGGGGAAGAGGCGCTATATGAGCCAAGAAAAGGGGAAGTCTGTACTACCTTTCCGGAGAGCCTTATGATAGCTCTTAAAAGCTCATAACCACATCCTACAACTCTGAAATCCCACACTTGGCATCTTTAAATTAAAAAAACAAAAACAAAACCACAACAAAGAAAAATCCACAAAGCCAAGCACCTGTGATCCCAGCTACTTAAAGAGGCAGAGACAGGAGGATCGCTGAAGTCCAGGAGTTGCCACCAGCCTGGGCAACACAGTGAGACTAGTCCCTTAAAAAATTTTTTTTCAAAATGTTTTTAACCCACGTACCTCTGCACAGGCTGAGGCATCATTTGAAACAAAATTGGGATTAACAAACATTTCAGGGGAATCACTGCTAGGTAGATTATGGAATCCACTGACATACCGATGTTACCGAAAGAAGTTGATCTCATGTGCCGACATGGAAAAAATCACCTGGATACGTAAAACAAAAAGGTACAGACCACCATGTGTATGGAATGTCTATGTTCACATAATCCCATGGAAAAACTGGGAAGGACACACAACAAGCCATTCAGTTGTAGGAGAGGGGAAGTTTCTACACACTGATCTTGTATCCTGCAAACTTGCTGAACTCACTAATTCTAACCATTTAGTAGATTTCCTTGGGATTTCTTACCTACAGATAAAGAGTCTTACTTCCTCCTTTTGGGAGGAGAGATTTTTAATTTCTTTCACAACCGGTTCTCCAACTTGGCTTCACATTAGCATCATCTGGTAAGCTTTTAAAAGCCCAAGGCCAAGGCAGCACCAGCCCTATTAAATCAGAATCTTAGAGTGAGACCCCAGCAGCAGGGTTTTTTTAAAACCAAGGTGATTACAATGTGCAGTCAAGTTTGAGAATCACTGTTCTGAGGCCAGGTGTGGTGGCTCATACCCAAAATCCCAGCACTTTGGGAGGCGGGGGTTGGGGGTGGTGGAGGGGGCGGCAAATCGCTTGAGGCCAGGAGTTTGAGACCAGCCTGGGCAACATGTGAAACCCTGTCTCTAAAAAACATTAGCCAGGTGGTATAATTCCAGCTGCTCCAGAGGCTGAGGCAGGAGGATCACTTGAGCCAGGGAGGCGGAGGTTGCAGTGAGCTGAGATCGTGCCACTGCACTTGCAACAGAGTGAGACCCCATCCTGGGGGGAAGAAAGAGAGAATCACTGTTCTGTAATAACCCGCCCACACCCAAAAAAGTGGTAATGATGGGAGATTTGCCTTGTATTTGCTTTGTGTTCAATTGTCTTTCAAATAAAAGAGTAAAGACAGGGAAGTCTCCCTACACCTATTCTAGTTTGGGGGCTGCCCAATAAAAATAATTTTATTTAATTTTTTGAGACGGGAGTTTTGCTCTCGTTGTCCAGGCTGGAGGGCAATGGTGTGATCTTGGCTCACCGCAACCTCCGCCTCCCGGGTTCAAGTGATTCTTATGCCTCAGCCTCCTGAGTACCTGACATTACAGGCATGCGCCACCACACCCAGCTAATTTTGTATTTTTAGTAGAGACAGGGTTTCTCCATGTTGGTCTGGCTGGAAAAAATAATTTAAAAAAAAAGAGTAAGGACAGTTTGAGACGGGAAAGTGGCTATGAGGAAAGGCTGCAATGGATAGGGGAGTGTGCCCGTGGCCTGCTGTCAAAAGATTCAAATCCTACCTAACAGGGCACATGCCAGCAGGAAGAGGAGTGGAGTCTAAACCCAGGTTTTCATCCGGTCAGTTTGTTTGTTTGTTTACTTATTTATTTATTTAAGACAGAGTCTTGCTCTGTCGCCCAAGCTGGAGTGCAGTGGGCACGATCTCGGCTTACAGCAACCTCTGCCTCCTAGGTTCAAGTGATTCTCCCACCTCAGCCTCCCAAGTAGCTGGGATTACAGGCACACGGCACCATGCCTGGCTAATGTTTGTGTGTGTGTGTGTGCGTGTGTGTGTGTGTGTGTTTTAGCAGAGATGGAGTTTCACACCATGTTGGCCAGGCTGGGCTCGAACTCCTGACCTCAAGTGATCCACCCACCTTGGCCTCAAAAACTGCTGGGATTATAGGCGTGAGCCACCGCGCCTGGCCAGGTCAGTAAATTTAGATTGTGATTCCTTATTAACTAGGCAATCCCATTTCACCCAGATTTATAGCTGTGACTCCCATAGCAATTATCTGATCGCAGGAAAAAGATTAAATGGGATGGGGTAGAGAAGAAAAACAATCCTAACAGCTACCCCACCGGGGGCTAGTTCTCCTTATTTTACATATCAAGGGCCCAAGGCCGCAGACTCTAATTGGCTGTCTGCTCAAAACACAAACCACCTCTCAAGATGGCTGGGAGAAGCCCCACCCCTTTAGAACTAAAAGTTGATCCCAAGGGGTCCTGCCTGTCTCCAGCAGTTAGTTGCTGGTCCCACACCACACCACCACACCCAGCCTCCCAAGATCCCATAAGGGGGCTATACTACAGTGAGGTAGAGACCCAACACTCAAAGCACGCACCTCTGCCCTGGCTTTGGTCCTGTACCCTGGGCCACCCATACCCAGTCCCCAGCACCTTCTGTCACTAGGCTCCCTGCACTTCACCTGCCCTGTTCTCAGTCCTCAGACAGAATGCACAGAATCACCACTGCAGGCCACAACACCCATCTCTGCCTGCTGCTCTGTAGTTTACCAGGACACCACCACTAGCCCTCCCTGCCCAGCTTGTTCCCCAGAGACTGAGGCTCTAAGCCCTCAGACCACCACCTCTAGAGTCACCCCTATAGTCACTGGAGCTACTGAAGAATTACTGCCTGGAAAACATGGTTTCTACAACATTTCCAAGCCAGGGATGGCCTCCTAGAAGGCACTGAATACTGCTACCCATTTCACCCAACCCACAGAATCCAGGATGTCCCACCTAAATTCCCAGTGCCCATCTCTCCCCAGCCTTCACCCCGCACTCTGGACTAGAGCCAGAGACCCAAGGCTGAGCAATCAGGAACCAGGTGTCACTGCTTCTATGCAGTGAGTGGCTCAAGATAAAGCCCTTCTCACACCATTGCTTCCAGGAACAGAAACTGCCTGGCTTGAAGCGCTCCACCAGCACTTGAGAACAGAGATTACCAGATCCCCGAAGAGCAGAGTGGAAGATGTGTTTTTTTCCTTGTTACCAGGGAATTGTGCCTAGAGATGTGAACCATCCTCCAACAAGAACAGAGCCAAGAGACCCTGGGATCAGCAGGCCTTGGCTGGGTCTCACTAAGGGCACCCATTGCCAGGAGACACCTCACAGATGCCCCTCTACCAGCCCCCACTTCCCACTAGTCAAGAAATCAGCTAGGCTAGGTGCGGTGGCTCACGCCTGTAATCCCAGCACTTTGGGAGGCCGAGGCGGGCAGATCACGAGATCAGATCAAGACCATCCTGGCTAATACAGTGAAACCCCGCCTCTACTAAAAATACAAAAAAAAAAAAAATAGCGGGGCTTGGTGGCGGGCACCTGTAGTCCCAGCTACTTGGGAGGCTGAGGCAGGAGAATGGCATGAACCTGGGAGGCGGAGCTTGCAGTGAGCTGAGATCGCACCACTGCAGTCCAGCCTGGGCAACAGAGTGAGACTCCGTCTCAAAAAAAAAAAAAAAAAAATCAGCTAGCCCCTCACTCCCTCACCCCTGAGCCACTCTCACCTCAGTCAAACAGACTTCTTGGAATTGGTAAGATGCCATTTTGCCCAATTTACGTGGTCCGACAGGGCTACAAGAGGTGGTATAAAATGCATCAGGCTTTCCTGAGTGCCCAGGTAGTGCCACCTCTTTTCATACATACACATACCCCTTTAGCCTTACAAGGCTCTTCTGACATCTTCCTTCCTGCACTGGGCCAGACTCTTCGGAGTTGCTCTCTTTGCCCTGAGGTGTTTTTTTTTGTAAACCTGAACTTCTCAACATTTAAGTGGTATCACAGTAGTCCCCAAAGCCTTCCTACTCACAAGCTAATCAAAGGCTGGCTCCTCCCCCAGGCCCAGGACTAAGGGCAGACCTGTCTGCAGTCAGAGAAAAGCCTCCCAGAAGGATGCTGCAGAGCCCTGCCCTAGGGTTGGTGGGGAGGACACTCTGTCATTTTGAATCTGTTGGAATTAAATAGCTGCCTGCTTATTTTTAGCAGGTCCATTTGCCTGGGAATAGATGCATACTGGCTAGTTGCCAAGTGGTCACACAGAGCTGAAGTTAGGCACGTGCTACAGCCACAGGCCTCAGCATTCATCTGCTCACTCCAGGTTCCAAAGGATCTCTTCTTTCTCCAGGGAGGTACCTGCAGCTTCTCAGAACAGCCCTCAGAAAAGTAATGGCCTCACTCTCAACTCAGCTGACAAACCTGGTAACTGCAGGCTACAGCCTTCTGCTAAACAAGAAAACAAATCCCTGGCAATGGTACAGAGAGTGTTGGTCCCAGTGACTAAGCCAATTTGGCTGCAGTGACTGCAAAAAGAGCCGCATGTAACTGATGGGAAAGTCCACCATAAAAACAACAGCTTAGGAGCCAAGTGCCCAACAAGCCCAATGTGGGCTTGGGCCTGGTCAGTGAAGCCACATCCACTTTGCGTTCTGAATGAACATTTACACTGGAATTTGAACATTTCTTCCATTATTCCAGTGTTCACACTGACAAAGGCTGTCCCCAGGTGTTCTACCAATAGGAAGGAGCCTGCCCAAGACACTCCACCTCCAGAGTGCCCAGCTCATTAAGTTCCTGCTGAGGGACTCTTCCCCTTGAAGGGGGTCTTCCAAGGGCAGGGAATCAGAACCTAAAGCCCAGCACTTCAGCCACTGCATTCAGAGAATGACAGCAGTCTGTGGCCAGGCAGAGGCATACTCCCTTCCATGGGAGTTTGGTCGAGGAAAATCACAAACTCGGAGTTCTCCGCAAGATTCCAAAAGCGCCTCTTGGCTTGTATCAGATGCATTTACCTATTTCCTCATCAGGTCACAGTCATTCACCTTGCTCATTCATTCAAATATGTTTAAGTTGCTATAAGCAGAAGATTCTGATCACCAGAAGCACACGATTCTGATGGAAGAATCAATCTCTCTCACTCACTCACACACACACCCCTGCGCCACAAGCAGCTGAGAAGTGGGCAAAGGGAGCCCAGGAAGGCTTTCTCAAAGAGGGCCAGGATTTCCTTAGGCTGCAGTGGGTGGGTAGGGAGGGGGACAGGACATAAATTGAGGTTCTAATATCTTTGGGCATGGGAGGGAACAGTGAGTCCCAAAGTAAAACAGGAAGAAATCCTAGGAGCTGAAGTGCTGGTCAGGCGAGACAAAGAGTTTGACCTTTGCCACAGGAGCCATAGTCGCAGCAGTTGCAACATGGTAAAGTAGAGTAGGTCACAAGAGGTAAAGGTCTCGGTGACCCTCAAGAGTGACTGCTATCCAATACTGGCAGCCACTTAGTCATGGGAGGTTACTGAGCACTTGAAATGTGACCAGTGTGACTAGGGCACTGAATTCTACTTTAGGTTAACTTGAACTCTCCACCTGCAGCTGGCAGCTACCTACTGGACAATGCAGCTCTAAAGGGTGTTCCCAGAAGGCCCCAATGAACAGGAGGGCTGGATACATGCTGCAGCCGCCAACACCTACCTTGCTGGGTAGTGCTCGGTTCTGCCACCAAGGGTGGGGGCGATGGTAGGCCTGGGCTGTGCACCCTCAGCAGCATGGCTGGGCCAGGAATCAGAGTGCTGGAGCCATGGCTCAGGTGTTGGTCCCAGCCCAGCCTCAGTGCTCACAGGACTGTTACCTTCATCCTCAGGGGCCTGTGTAAGTCACAGTAAGCTATGACTTCATGTGGGTACCCTAGAGATCCCAAATTAGCTCACAGTGGGGTTGTGAGGTCCTGTCTAGGACTGTCCCCCACCCTCCATTGTGATGGCCCACAGAGAAGCCAGGGGGGCCAGCACCACCAGACCAGCACACTTTGTGGGTGCTTCTGCCCTTCCACGTAGAGCAGCTGTCAGGAACTCGGGACACTTTCCCAGCCCAATTCACAGAAGGAAGGCCAGAAGCTTAACCCAGTAGTGTCTGAGTACCTGCTTGGCAAAGCCTTCTACGGCCAAAATGAAAACCCTGAATCCACTACCAGGTGCTCTAGGTAAGACAAGACAAGCCAAAAGCCAGAAATACCATCTCTGGACATGGCCTCAAAGTAAGAGCTCCGCCAGCCCAACTAAAAGTTAAACCAACTCCTGCTCTGGAAAACTTAGTACCCGAGGTTGAACTGCCCAGTCTCTTTCCTGCTCTGCTGGCCAAATCCATGGCAGGTCCAAGTCACATGCCTCTTTTCGTGAAGGAAAAATCATCAGCACCTCCTACAAAGGTCTTCCTAATCACTTCATTTTGGGGGTAGGGGTGTGGATTTTAAAACTTTGAAGACTATGTCACACTCACCTTGCCCCTCACCTCTGGCCTTGACAACCATCTTGCTTTACAAGTGAATTCCGCCAGGTTTCTAAAGATGGTCACAACACAGGTGCCAGGAATGCCTTCCTGGGTACATGGAGTTCCCGCCCACGACCACAGAAGACATTACACAAAACTGCCCAAAAAGTATGAAATGGCAATCTGACAACAACCTGACTTAAAAGCCAGTAAAGACATCAGAAAAGATGTTGGTGTGCAGCAAGAAACCCTTCGCAGCACCTCACATGGGCAAAACCAAAGAGGTAAGACCCTGATCTTCCTAATGGCAGACAGTGAACTACGACCACCCCAGAAATCACATAAAAGCATAGAAGGTAATTTCTATTCAACAAATAATTACTGGCACTCACAGAGAAAAGCATGGTGGGACACAAATTAATCAGGCAAGGCACTGCCCTCGAGGCACTTTCAGTCTTGGCGGGGAGTAGTGGAGGGCAGAAGAAAAAAAAAAAAAAAAAAAAAGCCCAAACAGGCCACCACGGTAGCTCACGCCTACAATCCCCAACACTTCGGGAGGATTGCTTGAGGCCAGGAGCTCAAGACCAGCCTGGGCAATATAGTGAGACCTTGTATCTACAAAAAAAAAATTTTTTTTTAATTACCCAGGCATAGTGGCGCACACCTGTAGTCCCAACTACTCGAGAGGCTGAGGTGGGAGAATTGCTTGAACCCAGGAGGCAGAGGTTGCAGTGAGCCGAGATCGCACCACTGCACTCCAACCTGGGCAACAGAGTGACACCTTGTCTCAAAAAACAAGCAATGACCTTTTCTCCAGTGGGCCTGTTACTGCCACTCTCTGCTACTGACCAACTGAAAGTTTTGTCCATAGGACATGGAAGTGCCCTGTTAGGGGTGAAGGAGGAACAGAAAATGGGGTGCCAGTGTCCTCAGACTAGAATGTTCTAGTATCTTGGGGTAGGAATGAGAGAATATAAGCCTGAATGCCAGCATTATGGGAGCCAAGGAGAGTTGGGATGCCCCATTCAATATATAGACTTTCATTCAAGACCCATCTTCAGCCAGGCACGATGGCTCACACCTGTAATCCCAACACTTTGGGAAGTTGGAAGATTACTTGAGCCCAGGAGTTCGAGACTAGCCTGGGCAATGTGGTGAGACCTCATCTCTACAAAAAAAAATTTAAAAGAATTAGTCGGGCATAGTAGTACATGCCTCTTGTCCCAGCTACTGAGCAGGCTGAGGTGGGAGGATCACTTGAGCCCAGGAAATCAAGGCTGCAGTGAGCTATGATGGCATTACTGCACTCCAGCCTGGGGGACAGTGAGACCTGTCTTTAAAAAAAAAAAAAAAAAAAAAAAGTTGGGGGGGACCCATTTTCACCACTCCCTGGTACCCAAATCCAGATCGCCACATTTATAACTTCTCTAAAAAGTGAAGCCAGACCTTCTGCTGGCCTGGCCTGGCGGAAGGGCTCCACAGGCCTAGTTGTCTGCTGACTTCAGCCACCCAACTGAAGGCCCAATCCATGCCTTCAAAGGTGCCTGTCCCTGCATGGATCGGCTGGCTTCTTGTGGGCCACAAACCACGCACACCTTCTCAGCAAGCTACTGAACGATGGGCTCCCCCAAGACAAGGAAATCAACCAAGAAAGGAGGGGCACTGGATCCAGAAACGAGACAAGAGAAGGGGAGAGGGAATTCCAAGGCTGAAGGGGAAGCAGAGCCAGGGAAAAGGGATGCGCCCAGGAGAAACGTGGAACCGTTGCGAGTACCTGGTATGTGGAGCCACAGTGAGAGCCACTTTCCCCCAATGACAGGCATTCCACAGCAATGGTGGAGGCTGCGAGGTGGTCAGGGAACTGGTGAGAGAGACAGAAAATTAAGCAAAAGAAACTAAGGAAATTAACTAGGAGAGGAGAAGAAGAAAATGAAGGAAAAGAAGAAATATGGGAAACTAAAAACCTTGCAGCCATAAACAAGGTTCATATTATAATAATGTATATTCTGAAGATCAACTTGACCAAAACTTGGGCTATCTCTACACTGGGATGATGAGGGAAGAAAAAAGCATAGGAACGAGCTAAATCCTATCTCCCACAGCAGAAAAACAAATCAGATAATAATCCTTAAAAAGAAAGAAAATAATACTACTGACAATGGTGGGGACAGCTGGAAGAATTGAAAGTAATGGGGGTGGGGGGCAGTGGGCAAAGGACTGTCCTTTCAAGCCTTGTACACAGTCAAAAGCCAAATCCTTTCTACAAGTAATGTTTTGATAGAAAACACGTTATTAAGATACATACAAGTAGCAATGCATGCTCTATTACCACACAGCTTTATGTTTCTTATTAACCATCCTAAATTTGCATTAATGTCAACTCATCTGTGTACAAACTTGTAAGGCCTTATTTTCCTATAATAATTGATGCCAATTTTGCTTCAGAGACCCCCAGCTGCCCAGCTGACATAATAGTAATATCAAAAAGAGAGCATGCTTATTGACAGGTTAGATCCCTCTGGAAGCAAGGCATTGAGGGCTAGCCAGCATCAGATGGCTGGACCTCTCAGGGCCAGTCATTTAACAAAGAGTTTAACACGCACTGTGAGCCAAGTTCGCTGGGCACATAAGGCAAAGAGATCCCTCAGGAAGCAAAGGTGGAAGGAAGGGTAGAGAGTCAAATTACAGGTAAGATACTGCAAAGATTCCGCGACTTAAATATAAAGACCTGCAGCCTCTCTCAACTGATTGAGAGAACTGAGCCCTAAGGCTGCCCTTGCATGTGATGAATTACCTATATCCCTGTGCGTGTAGCAGGGCACCAGCTGGGAGAGTTGAGGAACGGTCACCTAGTCCTTTTCTGTGTGCTGTGGTTGAAATGAGAAAGGCTGGATGGAGCACTTGGAAGGGGAAGCTGCAGACAGAATGAGGCGGGAATGCCTCTTGGAAGAGGTGGCATCAGAACTGGAACACTTGAGAACTGTGCCAAGATCTGGGGGGAAGCAGGAGGAGAGCGGGGAGAAAGTTCCAGGCAGGAAGAACATGTGCCAAAGTCCTAAGGCAGGAACAGGCTTGGCTGACTCAAGAGGTAGCAAGAGGGGAGGTGAAGATGAGGCAGAGCATGGCTCTCAGAAAAAGGGCTCTCCAACATCACTGCGCGGAAGGCCAGTCGGACTCGCAAGAACCCCAAGGGACACGGTCCACCAAACTTTCTCCAGAGGGGAAAGCGATGTGCCTGAAGAGCCAAGGGGCTTTAGTTCTTAATTAATAAGCAGAAGCTGCTTCCAGACTTGATTCCTGAAACAGGATGCCTCTGTGGCTGGTAGCATGACAGGTACACTGTGTAGGTAAACAGGGGCTTGCTTTTACCTTTAAGTTCTCAGCGAATACACTTGCCAGGAAGCCCTGTGGCCACACCACACATTAGCCTTACAGAGCCACCACTAAGGGTAAGGGATAATAAGCCCCCCTTACTCTCAGGCTCCCTCAAAGGAACCTGTTCCAATAAGGCAGTCCAGCCCCAGGAGGCGGACACACACAGCCTACGTAAGCCCTTGCCACTTCTTTGAATCAGACTTTGCAAAAAACAACCTTGCTCTCCAGCCAACATAAACCATAGGCAACAGAGGGCCTTATAAGGCTTGAAGCTTTCTTAATCAGAAACAGTTAGATGGGCTGGAGTTAGCAGCTCCAAGTTAGAGGGAAGGAGGAACTGAAAAGGAGAGAAGAAAGGGTGGCCTAGGGAACCAGCAAGCTTGCTGGTCAAACTGCTTTTTCATCCCTCTTCAGCTTCTGTGTCATCACAGTAAAGAATTCTCACCGGGGGTCTATGGCCATGCCTCCTTTCATGTTTGCATTTTGGTTTAAGCCAGAGGAATCAGACTGCCCACCAATCCACACTATTAGAGAGTTTTTAAGTGTCCATTTAGTGGCCAGCCTTTAGGCTGGGCAACTTCACACAAAAATGAAGTTATGGGGCCAGGCACGGTGGCTCACACCTGTAATCTCAGCACTTTGGGAGACCAACATGGAATGATCACTTGAGCCTAGGAGTCTTGAAATGGGTCTGGGCAAGGTGATGAGACCCCATCACTACAAAAAAAATTTTTTTAACTAGCCAGGCATCATGATGTGCACCTATAGTCCCGGGTACTTGGGAGGCTGAGGCAGGAGGATCCCTTGAACCCAGGAATTCAAGGCAGCAGTGAGCTATGATCGAGCCACTGTACTCTAGCCTGGGTGACAAAGCAAGACCTCATCTCTAAATAAATAAATAAATAAATAAATAATGTTTTTAATGGGGTTATGTGGTTTCCTGAAAAATTGCCTGCTGGGGCAACAAGGGGTCCTCACTCCCCAGGCAGCAGTCTGACACCTAGCTCCCCAGCTCCCCAGCTCCCCGGGCTGCCTCAGTCACATGCCTGCCTGCACCAGGAGGCAGGCTGGGCCCCTGCCACAGATCCAGAATAGAAAAGGCAGCCCTGGAGACCTCTTAAGCAGCCACCCCCTCCACACACCCCTTGGCAGCTTCCAGGGTGGCTTTATTCTCCTCTCTCTCCTGACGAGGCGGTGGCAGCAGAGACAGCAGCAGCTTTGGCACCAGGACCTGTCCCGTACACTGCAGCCACATGCACTTGGCCCTCCTAAAGGATGCCACCTGCTAAAAATAGCACCAGCACATGCTTGGCCAGGTGAGCCACACCAAAGCCAAAGGACAAAGCAGGGAGGTTATTTGCAGCACGGCCTTTTCTCCCAGAGACAGCTAAAGGCACAGCTGAGTGTGGGTCTCCCTCCAAGGCAGTTCAGGAAAGTGAGAATCACTCCTGCTCCTTTTTCTTGGGAGTGGCAGAAAGGAGGGGCAAGAAGGAGTGTACAGAAGACTGAACTGTCCTTCAGATCTGTCATCGACCCAACCTCACAAAGGCACATCCAGGCCCAGGCCAGAGAAGGGATGGGGGCTGGGGCTGTGCTTGAAAAGATCTTACTGCCTCCTCTAATCAGGAGGCCAGCTACTGCTGGGTGACAGCCTTTGGAGGGCCAGGAGATGGTCTGTGACCTCCAAGTGAGGTCTGACAGGTGTCGGGAAATTAGTGACTTCAGGATTGTCTTTTTCAATCAGCTCAGTCTTCAGAGCAGTTTCCCTGAGCCCTCAGGCACAGCTTTTTTTATTCATAGTCATTACTTGTGCATTTCAAAAGCACCCGATGGTTGCATAATTCTGATGATAAAATATGGCTTTGGAAAGACAAGAGAGTTAAGAGTAGGATCCTGTACTTCAGTTTCCCATAAAATGAAGATGTTCTGTAATAGGGAATATCTCCCTCACAGAGTTGTAACGAGGCTGAACACACTTAAGTCAGACTCCATATGTGGGATCAATGATTTTAATCTTTGTAAAACCCAGTTTAGTTTCCTGAATGAGGATGTGGTGATAAAGGGGCAGTAAATAAGCAACAACCAATGAGCATGGGGGGCGGCAGGGGCAGAGGAGGAGGTGGGGAGCACGCCCCAGCCCAGGTCCAAGCCAGTCCAGCCCTTGCTGTGTCCAGGGACCAGTTTACTCTACTCGGATCTTGTTTCTTCACCCACAAACTAATCACTGTACTAACCTCATAGGGCTGACAGAGAATAAAAATGACACAGAAAAAAAAAAGCCACTAATATGCCAGTAGGTGCTCATCAGTAAGTGTCCTTTATGCTGCCTGGCTCCAAGAAAAGAGATCTCACATTATATATACCAAAGGTCAATCTAGCAGGGTTCAAACAAAGCACACCCAGGACTAGAAGAGGGGGCATCTGGAAACAAAGAACTCCCCACCCCTGCCACAACAGAACACGTTAGCATCCACGCTGTGGCCCCACTCTCCCCCAACACCTTCTGTGAAGAATGGCCCCTAACATTTAGGTGGACTGGAAACAGCAGAATGAAAACACAACCTCGTTTAAGAGAAGGGCCGCACTGAGATCTGTAGGAAGTCATCAGGTGGGTGAAGGACCAAGTAACAATATGTTGACATCTGACATTTGGAGACCAAGGACAAACCAGCAGGGATCTTTATGATAATAAACGGCTTCAAACCAAAAGGGCTTTCTAAGGGCTTAGCATCTGGACCTTTGCTTCACGCTCCTGTCCCCAGGTCCTTTCTGAAGGTCCTCACTCAAACTGTTTCAAAACTGTTCGTCCACTCCCAACTGGCAGACTAGAACTCACTTGTAGTATGCCATGGAGACAACCAGTAGATAATTTGTCACCAAAGCTGTTGGGTTTATGGACTCTGGAAGACTAAGCTCAAACATGTTATGCTTTAGAGATTTACAAGTTGAGACAATTAAGCTTTTAGAGTTGGAGAAAAAAAAACTTTCTAGGCCGGCGCTGTCCAACAAAACTTTCTTCGATTATGGAAAATGTTCTTGACCTGTACTGACCAGGACGGCAGCCACTAGCTACACGAGGCCACTGAGAACCTGAAATGTGGCTAATGTCACTAAGAAATTTTTTTAAAAATACTTTGAAAAGTTTAATTAGTCACACAGCTAGCAGCTACCCTACAGACAAGGCAGCTCTAAACTCCCCACACCCAGGACAAATTTAGGCAAATAAAGCTATCTTTAAAAATAAAAAATATTTAGAACAGTAGCACACCTTAGAGCTAAGAACTTGAGATGAACAGTGAGTTGTTTTTTTTCCCCTTAAGTCTTTGACATGTACTACCCATTGAGCTGTGCTCCCCAGCCCAAACACATCACTCCAGTGGCCCCTGGGCACGTTTGGTCTAACTCCAAGGCTCCCAGGACCATAATCTGAATACTGATAATTTTGACCAAACCTCTTTTAGCCACTGAATAAACCAAGATCTGGAAGGCCAACCAGCCTGCCTAGAATCACCGCCAGGTTTCAGCTCTGAGAGCTGCAGCAAGTCCCAGGCTCTTGTCAGCTAAGCCCAGCAGTGAAACAAGCCTCATCAGCCCTAGGTTATACATATTTTTACTTCCAGGACTCACCTCAGGGCCCTTCTTTGCTCCCAAGTGCAACTGGGCCTTAGTGACACCTGGCTCGGTGAACACAACCAGCCACCATTACAGAACAGGGAACACAATGTTTACCACTGACTGCTGCAAACTATCAAACCAAGCCGGAAAAACAACCAGATGGTGAAGACCCGGACAGAATGTGGACAAGGCTGCACCATTTAGTAAAATGAAAAAGTTAAGGCAAAGGACACCTTGAAAGCTATTTATTGCTGGAAAGCTAGTTCTCAGAATGCTGAATGATAACACACACAATGTTAACAATCTACTTAGAAAGCAGCAGAAAGATTAGGAGAAAAGCCCAGGGATTTAAGAATATTCCTTGGTTCTTCTCACAAAAGCCATCCAGAGGACCTAGTTTTAACTCCACACCCACGCTTCCTAGTTCCTCTACCCCTCAATTTGAATTTGTGTGACAGCCACTGAAACAATCCAGAATGACCTCCAGCTTCACCCTCACTGTTCTCAGAGGTGTGAGGATTAAAGGATTAGTGTGCTCATAACTCACCTAGCACAGTAACTATCAAGAAAGAGGCATCCTCTCAAGTTTAGCTCCCAGCTCCCCCACTACCTGTTTCTCCAGCCAGACTCTGTCCTACTTCAAACATGCTCACTGATGATGTTTTCCACAGCCCAAGCTTCAAATTAGGTACCAAGGCCAGGAGGTTCCTTCAGTGGGATGCCACATGTGATGGGAACTTAATGTTAAATGATCATAAAAGTGAAAACTGCCTGAGGTATTACACCAGGAAGGAACATGGAAGAAACAGAACTTGCCCTAAGAAGCAAGATTTAGGACTAAAATACACCCCCCACCATAAAGATGAGCAACTCTCAAACAGTATATGAGATGATTTCAATGGGACAAGATGCCCACAGGATCTACTACCTCCCCATAGTGGAAGAAAACGCCTGAGAATGACAAGCTGAAGGTATTAACTCATACCTGAAACAACTGACTTCCCCACAATAGGAAAACAGACCAAGCTACAGAAAGGCCCAATCATTCAGACTCACAGGGAAGATTAGGAAGGAGTGACCTAGGGGAACTCTACGGCCAGCTCTCTGGGTACATTGGCTACAAGCTGCCTGCTCTTCAAAGCCCTGAAATGCACACACAATCAAGTCATGTTGCAGGCTGGGAGCAGGAGGCTAGCCAGCAAAGCTTAGGGAAACCAATTCGTTTTTCCTCCCAAACAAGCTTCTGGGTCAGAGGCTAAGGAGAGGGGTGCTTTTAATAGAATTCAAGTCACTCAAGTAATTCAAGAGAAACAAAGTCAGTCTCAGGGATTGTTCAGGGAGGAGAGGGGAAGAGCAATGCTTAAGCACCTATCACAGTCCCCAGTATCACAAATATGATCTCCATTTGTCTTTAGGACAGGAAAAGGGAATACTGTAGAGGCTAACACCAGCCTTCCCCTAAAATATGGCTGCAACCCAGCCTATGTCCAAAGCTCAAGAATAATTTGGGTTACCAGGCAGCAAGATAAATTGCTTTTAAATATTGATGTTCAGCAACCTTACACTGGAGACATATCGACTTCAGCACCTGAGCAGGCCACTTACAACAGACACCTCCACTGTCACCCTGCAGTGGCCAAGTGAGAATGCATTTCCTAGAAACAACTGGGAGATGGGAGAGATATTCCTACAAGGAACTAGACCTAGACACAAATCCATTAGACCTGTCTCACTCATTGGCTAGGATCTGTTACCTGCAAGTTCTGAGCCATCATCTGACAACATGCATGAAGACAGAGCCTATTAATCCAGTAATGGACTCAAGCTTTAGTGATTTGCATGCCTGTAGGATCCAGAGGACCTCCTCTAACCTAGGGCCATATTTCAAAGAGAATACACCCAAGAATTATGCAGAACCTACAAAACTAGTTAGAGGTTAAAGAAAAGTTCAACACAAGTCAAAAGGTTCCCAAAACATAACTTCACTTGCTTCCAGTGCTCAGGGTCTTAAATAATCAGCAGGTGAACCACTTCAATGCCAAGATCAGAGGAATTATATAAATGATCAAGTCAGGCAGCCTTCTTCATTTCAAAGATGTTCTGTACCTTTAAGAGCAAAGTGGATGGGTGGTGCTAAGAGTCCAAGCTTTGCTTTCTAAATAAAGAGTTAAAAAAAAAAAAGGTACTAATTTGGGAAGGACTTAGCAGTTACAAGAGCTTGTAAGGCTACTAGTTGCCAGAATTAATAGCTTTTTGTGAACGGTGTTCCTTGATCAGTAACTAACAGATACTGTTGCACCAGGTCCAGCAGCCTAGATTTCACTGGAGACAAATCTAAACACGAAGTAACGCGCACTACAGTAGGGGAAAGATACCCAGGTTAACCTCACTAATTGCCCTGCGCATACACCCTACCCAGCTTGAGAGGCCTCGACTCGCACCTGGAGCGAAGTCCACCGGGTTTGTGTTAACGGCGGCAGGAAGGCGCCGCCACCCAGGACATCCCCCAGGAGAGGAAGATCCCGAAACGCCCAGGGCTCCCATGCCGTTCCGAGTCGCCACAGCACCGCCTACCACGATCAGCACCTTTCTTCTCCTATCCCTCCCTGGAAGGGAAACAGGAAGACCTTCAGCTAGGGCACAAAAGAGTTGAACGCCAGAAAGCCCGCGTTCGAGGCATCCAGCCACTGCCTCTCCTAGCACATCGTAACCCCAAAACTGGCGCGGTCCCTCCAGATCGCAGACCCCGGGCCCTGGGCCGCAGGCGGGGCCGGACACGTGACCGTCGGGGCCCCCGGGCGTGAGGTCGGCAGACACCCCAGGCTGGACGGCCTCCACCCCTCCGGACACGCCTGCAGGGGCTACGAATGCAAATTCCCCCCGAGACGCCCCTGAGCCTCCGACCTCCAGACCCCAATTCGGTTCGAACGGTCCCTCAGCCCGAAACACGGTTGGATCACAACCGGCCGATGTCCCGGCCCATCTTCCCAGTTCCCCTGGCTCGCCGCACGGAACTCCCAGGGGCTGCGCCGGCGGGCGAGCCGAGGGTGAGAAGTTGGGCGAGGCTCCAGAAGTGAAGGGGCAGCTCCGGCTCAGACTGTGTACACACGACCTTTGAAAAGTAAACGCCCGCGGGGCTGGGCGACCTTGGGTGGGACGCGCTCGGGTCAGCCTCGCAGGCGGGTGTGCACGCTCCGGTTAAGTTGAGGTGCAGAGAGGCGACCCGGGCGTCGCGCCCTCGCCCCCCGCCCCCGAGGACAGTGACGCGCGTGGGGAGGACGGCGCGGCCGCAGAGCGCCGCCCAGAGCCGCGCACACGCGATCTGTCAGGAGCCCGCGGGCAGACAACCGGCGGGGAAGGACGAGAGGGGGCGCAGACGAGGGAGGGAAAGATGGGCCTGCCTGACAGCGCGCGGCGGCCGAGAGCCCCCAGGACACCTCTGCGTCCGGAGCGTCCCGCCCCCGGGGTACCTGGAGGGCGCGTCGCACCCTGCACCTGCACCTCAGGCTCCCCATCGCCCCGACCCCGCCGCCTTCGGGTCTCCGGCAGGGGGTCCCCGGCGCAGCTGCCCCCGACCTACCAGCTCCTCGGCTACCATCGGGGTGCGGGATGCGGAGTCCGCGCGCCGCCGCCGGCCCCCGGCTGTGCCCCGCGGCCCGGCCCGCAGCGCCGCGCTTCCGCAGCTCCCCCACGTGCTAGCCCAGGCGGGTGGAACACAGAGACATTAAATACTGAAGACGCGCGGCGACGTGCCCGCAGCGCGACGCAGGCCCCGCCCCTCGCCCTTGTGCCCGCGCGCTCCCGAGCCCGCCCCGCTCACCTGCGCGTGCGCGCCGCCGGCCGCTCCCGGCAGTGCCTCCGCCGCGCCTCTCCCAGCTGCGCCAGAGGGGGCGCGGTCTACAGCGCTGGGCTAACATCCCGCCGCCGCCCGGAGCCGGGTCTTGCTCGCGCTCTCGCGAGAGAGCCGTCATCTCTCCGGTGCCCGGGAGAGGGGCCGGGCGGGACGGTACAGCAACCGGAGGAACCTTGATTCCCTGCCCCGCAAGCCCAGCACCGGTTTTGCCGCCTTGTCTCGAAGGGTCAACCAGGCCATCTCCTGCCTCGGGACGGAGAGCGCCCTGGAAAAGGCGGAGGGGCCGGTGAGGAGCAGGGCTTCCCTCGCTTCGGGGCTTTGAGCTTCCCTGTGACCGTCATTTCCTTGTAGCGTATAATTGGGTTGGCCATTAATAATTGCTCGATAACTGCATAATGGTGAAACCTGGTACCACTCAAATGCAACTTTCTTGCTCGTTTTCACAAGTCGATGTTATCGAAATGAAGCACTTTTCTCTGAATTGGTGTGGGTTTTGGAATGATTTTTGCAGAGATAGTCACGGTGAGTCACTATCTCTGCCAGGACCTTGGGAAAATAAATTCCTCCAAAATAAATGGAGAGGGTAGGGTTTTGGCTGTCCAGCCCTGCTGTCATCCTTAAAACAAAGTGACTTTAAATGAACATTTGTTTGGCCAAAATATAGAAAATAGATCATGCTAAGAACTAACAATTACTTGGGAAAATGCTTAATCTTCACTAGTGATCAAATGCAAGTTTAAATGACAGATGCCATTTACTATACCTAATGAGATTTAAGTCAAATTCATATATATATGAATCCCAATTGCATGGTGTGGTAGATGTCAGGAAGGAAACAAATAGGAAACTGACATAGGAAAGAAAGAAAAAGAGCCCTATTTTTTATTTTTTTTTTTTTGTGAGACGGAGTCTTGCTCTGTCGCCCAGGCTGGAGTGCAGTGGCACGATCTCGGCTCACTGCAAGCTCCGCCTCCCAGGTTCACGCCATTCTCCTGCCTCAGCCTCCCGAGTAGCTGGGACTACAGGCGCCTGCCACCACGCCCGGCTAATTTTTTGTATTTTTAGTAGAGATGGGGTTTCACCGTGTTAGCTAGGATGGTTTCGATCTCCTGACGTCGTGATCCGCCCGCCTTGGCCTCCCAAAGTGCTGGGATTACAGGCGTGAGCCACCGCGCCCGGCCAAAAAGAGCCCAAATGTTTTAGGTCCTGTGGTCAGAAAAGGCCTAAAATGAAATTTAAACTGAGACCCATTGGATGAGAAGGAACCAGCCTTGCAAATTGTATACGGGCATAAGGGTTGGAGGAGTATTCCTAGCAGATGCACAACACAGGAAAAAGCAGGAAACAACTTCTGGTAAACTGGAAGACCAGTGTGGATGGTATGTATTGAGGGAGGGAGTGTCAGGAAAGGAGATAAAGAGGATCGTTTCTTGTCTTTGTTTTTTGGGGGAATAGGGGCCTGGGCTGCCTTAGTAAATACTTAGTATTTGCCATAGTAAATAGTGAAGCTTGGATTTTATTCTATTCTGTTCAGTCCCAAAGCCAGTCATGACTCTACCTCAGGGCCTCCCTCCACATGGAATATTCTGCAAAGCTCACTGTCTTCACCTCTTTCAAGTCCTTTGCTCAAAGGTCACCTACTCAGACTCAGTGAAGTCTTCCCTGGACTCTCTGTTTTATTTTATTTTTTATTTTTTGAGGAGTCTCTGTCACCCAGGCTGGAGTGCAGTGGTGCGATCTCAGCTCACTGCAACCTCCACCTACCAGGTTCAAGCGATTCTCCTCCCTCAGCCGCCAGAGTAGTCCCACTACAGGCACGTGGCACCATGCCCAGCTAAAATTTTTTGTATTTTTAGTAGAGACAGGGTTTCACCATGTTGGTCAGGCTGGTCTCATACTCCTAACCTTAGGTGATCTGTCCGCCTCGGCCTCCCAAAGTGCTGGGATTACAGACGTGAGCCACCGTGCCTGGCCTGGACTCTCTTTTAAATTGTAAACACACACACACACACACACACACACACACACACACACTCTCTCTCTCTCTCTCTCTCCCCATCCCTCACCCCATCTTTCCTTCATAACCCTTACCCCTGTCTAGACTTCATTTATTTCATGAGGGCAGGGATTTTTGAGGGCCTGGTACATAGAGGGTGTTCAGTAAAAATGTGTTTCGTGAATGAATAGGAAGCTATTAAAGAGGGTTAAGTAGAGAGTGACATAATTTCTGTTTTTAAAAGCAAGCTGTAGCTGCTGTGGGAAGAACAGATTAGAGAGAGATCAGTGTCGAATCAGGGAGAGTAGTGAAAGAGGATGCTGGACGTGGTTCAGGTAAGAAATGATGCTAGTTTGAGCTAAGGATTATGGCTCTGGGGATGAAGACACTGCTTTGGACTTAAGATATATTTTGAAAGAGGAGCAGACTTACTCATGTTGTTGGTGGTAAAGAAAAAGGAACAATGAATGCAATGAATGATGATTCTTCTGGCTTGAGTTACAATGTGAACTGGGGTGCAATTTCCTGAGAAGGAGAAATCTGAAGGCAGAGAAGTGTTGGTTTCATTTTTGACCCATTGTTTTTGTGACATCAAAGTATAAATAGTAATTAGGTTGGATATGCAAGTCTGGAGCTCAGAGGAGTGGTCTGAATGGGAAATACAAATATGGTTTGAAAATCATGTTTAAAAAGATATATTAAAGACAATGCTAGGCCGGGCACGGTGGCTCACACCTATAATCACAGCACTTTGGGAGGCTGAGGCCGGTGGATCACGAGGTCAGGAGTTCAAGACTAGCCTGGCCAACATGGTGAAATCCTGTCTCTACTAAAAATACAAAAGTTAGCCAGGCATGTTGTGCACCTGTAATCCCAGCTACTCGGGAGGCTGAGGCAGGAGAATCACTTGAACCTGGGGGTCAGAGGTTGCAGTGAGCTGAGATCGCATCACTGCACTCCAGCCTGGGTGACAGAGCAAGATTCCATCTCGGGGAAAAAAAAAAAAAAAAAGGAAAAAAAAAAAAGGCAATGCTTAGCAGTAGTGGAGGTAGGAATAGAAAGAAACTGAGAAAATGATGTCCAGGGATGTAAGCCCTGGAAGCATTGGTAGGAAAGAAAAACAGGAAGATGGAAGGAGTAAAACAGCGAGATGGGGCTATGAATATGGTTATGAGAAAGAAGGACAAAGACCGGCGGTGAATGAGAGAAATATGTCAGTCATACCCGATGCAAGGGGACATGGGCACAGCCTGCCAGAAAAAAGGAATGAGGGAAGAAAAGAGGAGTGTGTTAACTGGAATACTAGAGAAAGTGCAAGATACAAGTCAAAGGGGGAAAGGTGAGAAAATAGGATTGACTACAATCACCATTAGACCTCAACCCAGTACCTGTGGCTGAGGAAGTATCCACAAGGTCTGAACAGTTCCAAGGTCACCACGGTGGCCCTAATATAAGATTAGAAAGTAGAGGAATGAGAAGAGAGGTGAGGGTGGAAGGTGATCCTAAGAACTTGGCCATGAGGAAAATAAGATAAGGTTGTTAGGCTTCAGCTTTGTCAGCTCAAAAATGGGCAAGGTCTGCCTAAGGCAGGAATTTTAACCTAGGATGCATAGGAATTTAACCTGGGACATCAAGGTTGTCCACAACACCCTGAAATCATTTGCATGATCTTATAAATACGGCATTTTTTTCGGTACAGATTAGTTATGGATCATTTCTATCAGACTCTAATCCTGACCTTAACAACAACAACAACAAATTAGAATCTGGTGAATAGAGCAAAACATTTTATCCAGAAAGGAGTATGTCAGTCAGAATAAGAAGGTAAAAAATAAAAGTATTCGAAGGAGACCAAAAAAATAAAAATAAAAATAAAAATAGAAGAAGTAGTAAGTGTCTGTGAAAGGAAGAAGGTGTCCAATCTCATTTAATCAAGAAGCTGGGCTCTCTGAGAAGTCAAACCAGTCAGATCTGAACCCAATGCTATTATTCATTTAAATTCTATGACCCAAGCCCCTCACTCTGACTCTGTACCCACCCAGCAGCCTTCTGATCATTCTCACTAAGGAGAGAAGCCATGATCGGACTGATGAAAGGCACTGGTCCACCAATGACATTTTTATCATTATAAATTACATAACCTACCCTCTCTCATTTTCTGTATCTTGTACATCATGTGAATATTTTTAGTATGAGTCAGCTTTCAGTTCTGGGACTTGAACATGGTGAAGTTTCTGAACCTGTTTTAAAGCTAAGTGAGGGCTTGACACAGGACCATGGGAAAATCCATCAAGGTAAATGCCACCTTGTGAGTCTCTTTTTAAAAGGTAGTTAATTCTCATGCATGTAATCCCAGCACTTTGAGAGCCCAAGGCAGAAGGATCGCTTGAGCCCAGGAGTTCAAGACCAGCCTGGACAAAATGGCAAAACCCCATCTCTACAAAAATTTTAAAAATTAGCTAAACAGGCTGGTACTTGCCTTTAATCCTTGCTACTTGCAGAGCTGAGGTGGGAGGATTGCTTGAGCCCAGGAGGTTGAGGCTGTAATGAGCTATCATCACACCACTGCACTGTAGCCCAGGCAACAAAGTGAGACTCTGTCTCAAAAAAAGAAAAAACAAAAACAAAAAACAGTTAGCTAGTTAATGAGCCGGGTGCAGTGGCTCATACCTATATAATCCCAGAGCTTTGAGAGGCAAGGCAGGAAGATCTCTTGAGGCTAGGAGTTCAAGAGCAGCATGGGCAATGTAGCAAGACCGTATATCTACAAGAAAATTTTAGAAATTAGCTCGATACGTGGCCAGGTGCGGTGGTTCACACCTGTAATCCCAACACTTTGGGAGGCTGACGCAGGAGGAGTGCTTGAGCCTAGGAGTTCAATACCAGCCTAGGCAACATAAGAAGACCCTGTCTCTTACAAAAAATAAAAAACATTAGCTGGGCATGGTGGTGCTCACCTGTAGTCCCAGCTACTCAGGAGGCTGAGGCAGGAGGATCTGCCTGACTCCAGGAGGCTGAGGCTGCAGTGAACTGTGATTGTGCCACTGCATAGCAGCCTGGGCAACAGAGTGAGACCCTGTCTCAAAAAAATTTAAAAAAATTTGCTGGATGTGGTGGTGCACTCCTGTAGTCTTAACTACTCCAGAGACTGAGGTGGAGGGATGTCTTGAGCCCAGGAGTTCAAGGTTGCAGTGAGCTATGATCACACCACTGCACTCCAGCCTGGGCAACATAACAAGACTCTGTCTCAAAAAAAAAATTAGTCAGTTGGTTTTCTTCTCTTGGCAGTCCCTCCAATTTCAGGGGCACATGTTTGAGAAATGCCCTACTTTTCTATTGGAAGCATCTACAGAAAGAACTTTTTTAGTGCTAATAAATACGAACTGTCTCCTTTATATGTATACACTGAAGGAGCCCTCCCACACTCCGCCCCACTCCCAGTTCTCTTAAAATGGAGATGCATTTGGTTATGCCCCAGGACCATGTGTGCCTGCAGGGAAGAATAAATAACCCACTCCTAGAGAAGTCAATGGAAAGAGCTGGGGGAATAACAATACTAATGGCACTTAAGTAACTAAGGCTTAATGAGCACTTAATGCCCAGCACCATGCAGAGTCCTTTATCCTAATCCTCCATCAACCTCAAATACTAGATACTCTTGTTATCTGTATTTATTTCTGTATCACAGCAATCTGTATCACTGTATTTCTGTTCCACAGACCTTAGTCACACAAGAGCGATGGCAAGATTTTCACCCAAGCCATCTGACTTGGAACCCATGGATTAACCAACTGCCACTGGAGGCAAATCCAGAGACCAAGGGAGCAGTTTATACAGAAACAGGTCTGTTATGGGTGGAATTAGGTCCCTTCAAAAGAACGTTGAAACCCTAACCCCCAGTACCTCAGAACGTGACCTTATGTGGGAACAGGGTTATTGCAAATGTAATTAGTTAAGCTGAGGTCATCCTGGGATAGATTAGACCCCTACTCCAGTGTGACTGGCGTCTTTATAAGAAGACAACCAGGCCGGGCGCAGTGGCTCACACCTGTAATCCCAGCACTTTGGGAGGCCGAGGCGGGTGGATCACAAGGTTAGGAGATCAATACCATCCTGGCTAACACGGTGAAACCCTGTCTCTACTAAAAATACAAAAAACTAGTGCAGCATGGTGGCATGTGCCTGTGGTCCCAACTACTTGGAAGGCTGAGGTGGGAGGATCACCTGAGCATGAAAGGTTGAGGCTGCAGTGAGCTGTGATGGTGCCACCACACTCCAGCCTGGGCAAATTATGTTTTGGTCGGGCGCGGTGGCTCATGCCTGTAATCCCAATACTTTGGGAGGCCAAGGTGGGCAGATCGTGAGGTCAGGAGATCGAGACCATCCTGGCTAACATGGTGAAACCCTGTGTCTACTAAAAATACAGAAAAATTAGCCGGGCATGGTGGTGGGCGCCTGTAGTCCCAGCTACTCGGAAGGCTGAGGCAGGAGAATGGTGTGAACCCAGGAGGCGGAGGTTGCAGTCAGCCGAGATCGCGCCACTGTACTCCGGCCTGGGTGACAGAGCGAGACTCCATCTCAAAAAAAAAAAAAACAGAAGACAACCATGTGAAGGCAGGGAGACACAGAGACAGCACCATGTGACGACAGAAAATTGGATTAATATATCTATAAGCCAAAGAATGCCAGATCGCCAGCAAACCACCAGAAGTAAGGAAGAGGCAAAGAAGGATTCCCCTACAGGTTTCAGAGAGGGAGCATGGCCCTGCTGACACCTTGATTTGGACTTCTTCCCACTAGAACTGTGATACAATAAATTTCTGCTGTCTTAAGCCACTCAGTTTGCAGTATTTTGTTACAGAGGCCCTAGGAAATTAACACAGTGCCCTTCTTTCTTGAACCATGGACAGCAGTTGGTAAAAGGGAACGTGATGTCATTCAGAACATGATAAAAGAGGGCTGTCCGCTGACTCCCCTCTGAACCTCAGGTGCCCTGGCTTCCCAGGGCAGGAGCCCCATCCGGGGGCTGTGATGAAGGGGCCTGCTACCCAGGCACCATCACCACCACATACTACTTGGGAATTTTTTAGCTAGTTATTTAAGATCCTGATTCTGGTTCTGTTTAATGGGTGGCTGTCAGGAATATGGTTGGCCATATTTCCCAGCTTCCCAGAGCCCCCTCCATTCTTCCCAGCTTCTTCCAATTGGAATTTAGTTTAGAAATGGAGCCTAAGAAACTCTGCAGACTCCTTCAGGTAGGGTGAGGTTCTATCCACAGCCAATTTAGGTCCTTTAACTACAGCAAGGTTCATGCATGTAGAGAAGCAATTAAATCATCAAACACTGTTACTTACCTCATTTGATTCAATGGGAGATACCTTCTGGTCCAACTATTGAGATCCTCCTGGAGGCCACCCAACCATGCTGGATGCCTGTGTATGGGCATTTGAATTGCTTGAATCTGTAGGGAAACTGCAGTGAACCCTTTCTGGGTAAGGTTTGCAATCTCATGTACCATATTTATTTTGTTAGTTTGCATACCCTTAGGCACACAGTTGCAGCTGAGATGGTCTGAAACAGCAAGACCCAGAAGTCTCGCAGAATTTCAGGGAGACAGGAGCTTCCCTGGGGATGAGACATTTGGCCAAGGTGACCCACTCCTAGGAGTGATGGGGCAGAGTACATAGCAATATGAGAACTTAGACACTGCACCCAAATTTTCCATTGCCACCAACCTCCACACATCCCCTCCTATTTCTCTGGAACCATTTTCTGGATTTACCTATTCTAAAACCTAGCAAATTTCTTAGTAATCTCTGTCTCCCATTTGATCAGGCACACCAGTTTCCCACAGATGAATGCATTCTACCCAGGACTGCCATGAGCCTATTCAGTGGCATTATGCAAATTAGGCAACAGGTGTTCCATTCCATAGACAGGCACAGCCCTGTGCGAGGCTTCATGGTGAGTGGAGTGCAGAAGCCCAGCCTGGACTTCAGCCCCTACTTGCCCTTGGGTTGGATGCCCGTGTGCAGGGCTTGACCTGCATGGCCCTCTGAGACACTTTTGTAGTTGGAGGTGAGTCCTAACAGAGCTAGTGCTATCTACCATGACACAACCAACCAGACCTCTTAGGATTTTGTGCACACACTGCAATGGCTTCATTCATTTAATTGCTGCAAATGCCTAAAGTATTGCCTTGCCCAGCACAGATACTTTAAAAACACTTGTTTGGTGATAACCCTAGAACTGATATCAAGATTTTTGCTTACGGTTGGGTGCGGTATCTCTCATGCCTATAATCCTGGTGCTTTGGGAGGCTGAGGTGGGAGGATTGCTTGAACTCAGGAGTTCAAGACCAGCCTGGGCAACATAGCGAAACCTCATCTGTACTAAAAATAAAAATAAAACAAATTAGTTGGGCATAATGGCATGCACCTGTAGTCCCAGCTACTTGGGAGGCGGAAGCGGGAGAATCACTTGAGGCTGGGAGATCAAAGCTGCAGTGAGCTATGACTGCACCACTGCATTCCAGCCAGGGCAACAGAGTGAGACCCTGTCTAAAAAAAAAAAAAGACAATTGCATAATGTTTAAGAAACTGGGCTCTGGGAATATTAATCAGTACAACCACTTTGCACAACATTTGGAAAAAATCTAGTAAAGTTAAAGATATATGTAAACTGTAATCCAGCAACTGGACTCCTAGGTGGAAACTGTTACTGATCTGCTTAGGGAGACATGTATACAAATGTCCATTGAGACATTGTTTGTAATAACAACAAAAAAAAATTCTTTTTGGAAACAATTTCCTTCAACAGGTGAATGGCTAAATAAATTATGGTGTAGTTCTACAGTGAAATATTATACAGCATCAAAAAGCTACATATATTAATGTGGATGAATCTCAAAAATGTATTTATTGACTGAGGAAAAGCCATTTCTGGCATGGAAGGGTGTAAACAATATGATTCCTTTTATGTAGTTTTTTAAAACCCACAAAACATTGCCTGTGAATGCATGCATACGTCGAAAAAACAAAAACAGGCCTGAGTTGCCTGTCATGAGTGACACCAGATTCAGGTTGATGGTTACCTTGGGATCAAGGATAAAGGAGGAAGAAAAGGATGTAGATCAGTTGAAGTTCACTGTGTACCCTCCTAATGGCAAGTACACAAGGAACTTAAGCTGAATCTGTAATATTTTATTTATTTAAAAGCATTGTAAAGACTTGAAGCAAATATAAAAGGTTAAGGCTTTGGGGAAGCAGAAGTACATTGGTGTGTGTTACATTCATCTCTATAGTTATTTGTGTGATTGAAATGTTTTATAACGAAATATTTTCTCTTTGCAAAGTGGGGTTTGAATCTGCGCTGGCCCCTAGCAGTGTGACCTCAAGCAAGTTACCTAGCCTCTTAGTTTCCTCATCTGTAAAATGAAGATAATCATAGGACCTATTTCATGGGATCATTGTGAAGATTAAATGAAATAATCTATGTAAAATACTTTGCACAATGCTGAGCACAATAAATAAAAGCTATTATTCCATTTCAAGTGCTTTCATCAATCAATCAAGAGCAAGTCAAAGTTCATTCAACAAATATGTATTAAGTAACTTTTTTGTGCCAGGCCTTGTGTAAAAGGCTGTGGTTACCAAGGTAATTTACACCTAATCTGGTAGGGAAGGGAGACGTGTACGTAAGTTAAGGCTGCGTGCAGCAGAGTCAATGTCATGATAGAGGTTAAGTGCTAGGTGGCATGAGAGGTGGTAAATGTCAGTGAGTTTTATTCTGCTTGTGTTAGGGTTTGGGAAGACTGAACATATTGCTGATACTCTTTCTGCATTTGGTTTTCACCAAAATAAACCCTATTGCTTCAGTTATTTTTGTTGCATAACAGAGCACCTCAATATTTAACAGCATTTAAAACAACAGCTGATTTTTAGCTCATCAGGGATGGTTTGTTTCTGTTCCACATATTGCCAACGGGGTGACTTAACTGAGGATAGAGGATCCAAGATGGTGACAATCATGTCTAAAGCCTCAGCAGTGATGGCTGAAAAAGCTGGGCTGGCCACACATTTCTTCTGTGGTCTCTCTAGAAAGACTGATTCTCTTTACATAGTGGCTTGGGGCTCCAAGAGGGTGAACACTGAAGCTGTCAGACCTAAGTCTGGGTGTGATGTAGTGATGCTGCATTCTATTGGTCAAAAAAAGTCACAGGCCAGCCCAGACTTAAGGGGGGGTCAATAGACCACCTCTTGATGGGAGAAGCAGCAGGACATTGTGGATATCCTTAACCTACTGCATCTATTGTGTCTTATTCCATTTTACAGCCAATTTATGAATTAGGAGGCACCTAGCTGGTGAGATTTTGGGACTGCTTTAGGAATCAATGGTGTGAAATTAATTAGGTTGGTGCAAAAGTAATTGTGGGTTTTGTCATTAAAAGTAAACTGTAAGGCAGGGCATGATAGCTCACATCCCAGCACTTTGGGATGCCAAGGTGGGTGGATCACTTGAGGTCAGGAGTCCGAGACCAGCCTGGCCAACATGGTGAAACCCCATATCTACTAAAAATACAAAAATTAGCCGGGCGTGGTGGCGTATGCCTGTAATCCCAGCTACTAGGGAGGCTGAAGCAGGAGAATTGCTTGAGCCTGGGAGGCGGAGGTTGCAGTGAGCCGAGATCGTGCCACTGCACTCCAGCCTGGGTGACAGAGCAAGACTTTGTCTCAAAAAAAAAAAGTAAACTGTAATGGCAAAACTCACCATCACTTTTGCACCAACCTGATAGCATAGCAGCAGTTGTAAAACACAGGGTTCATTCTGATTCAAGCAGCAAAGAAAGAAAAAAGAAAACAAAAAAAAAAATTAAGTTTTTGAAAAAGACGAAATAATAAAATTTTAAAGCCCAACAATACAGGGTTCAAATCCACATTACAATACTAACTCACTGTATAACCCTTGGGCAAGGCATTAAACCTCTCTTCCCACCCTTGTCTCATCTGTGAACTGAGGAGCAGCAAGATCTAACTTCCTAGGGTATTCAGAATTATAGAATATATATTAGAATTATATAATAGAAAGAATGCAAGGAAAGTGCTGGCCCATAGAGGGTGAGATGGTCAAGCAGTGCCATAATAATACTGTTGTTATTACTAGGCTTCTTGCCTTTCTTCTTAGGTAAAGTAATAGGACTTGTATTTTTAGAGTCATTTATTGATTTGTCATGGGAAAAACCAACAGACTTCTAGTATTGTCTGCCCCTCTCTGAAAACCTCAGCAATTATGCCATGGAGTTGGGGCATGGCTTTGTGAATTTGTTCAACCTTTTGGGAAGCAATTTAGTAATCATTAACAAGAGACATAAAAAAACGTTCATATCCTTTGACCCAATAACCAGACTTCCAGAAAATTATCCCGAGGGAATTGGTTCAAAACAAAAGCAAAATCCATACATATCAAGCTCCTTAGGGCAACTAAAAATAGAGAAATAGCTTAAAGGTCTGATAGTAAAGGAATGGTTAGCTAAGTTATGATACAAATAAATACATGTTGGAATATTATGCAATTCCTAAAAATGACAATTACTGTATGGTAGCACGGAAATTTAAAAAAATGAAATGCTAAGTGACAAATTCAGAATTCCAGAATTTCTCTATATGAACAAGGATGAGAGCCAGACATTGAAAAAATATCATTTGTTTGTGTTTGGAAAGTTGTTCTGTTTTGCTTTGTTTTGAGACAGGGTCTCACTCTGTCACCCAGGCTGGAGTGCAGTGGTGCATTCACGGCTCACTGCAGCCTCAACCTCCTGGGCTCAAGTGATTCTCCCACCTCAGCCTCCTGAGTAGCTGGGACTACAGGCATGAGCTATCACACCGCTGGGATTACAGGCATGAGCTGTCACTTCTGGCCGGAATTGATTTTTCTTATTTAAAAATATTCTTTATTGTTATTTTAAATCGAAGTCAGGAAAAAAAAATGTAGGCAAGACCATTTTGAAAGATGATTTATTTAAAAAGAAAGGCCATGTAATAAATGCCAGAGAGTGAAGTCCAGAACATTTAAAAATACAAGTGCTTAAGCTTGTCACTGGAGATTCTAATTCAGAGGGTCCCAGTTGGGGAAAAACCTGTATTTTTTCAGAGCTCCTCAAGTAAGTTTGATGTGAGACCCACGAAGGTGGACACTCATTATTATCCTTTCAGATAGTGTAATAAGCACCCTGATCAGAAATAGCAGTCCAAGGAAAACTTACATAATCACAGCTTTTTTCTCCCAACAAAATATGTTCCTATTTGTGGAGCTTTTATATTTCCATTTATTTAGTTGTACTCTGTCAAATTTTTAGCCTTTGTACATAATGCAGAACACAGAAAGGACAGCTTTTGATAAACACTTGTGGTTCTGTATAATGTAAGGAAAAACACATGGCATGAGAGCTGATGGCCTGGGATTTAGCAGGAAGGGAAACAAACAAAAAAAATGTGATCTCAACATCGGTTAAAAGATACTGATGGGAATTCCAAGGACAATCTCCCACTGTGACCAGCTGTGACCCTTTCCTGAGGAACAGACATACTGGGTAGCCTCATGAGATTTAATGTGCATATTTTTCTTTCTTTCAGATGCCGGCATTAACCCACAGGGAGTTATTGTTACAGACTGAAGAATAGAAAAAGAAAAAGCCAAATAGAGCCTTATTCCACCCAGCTTAGCTTCCATAGAACATTGTGAATGAGAGAGTAGATTCTTGAGAAAATCCTGGGGTTACCCAGTTTTCATGACTCGTTTCGTTAGACCATCATTTCCCAAAGTGTGTTCTTTATAAAAAGTAGTTCTTCAGAAGGCTGGAAAGTATTGTTTGGAAGGGGGTTCCGTGATGAAGTCAGTTTGGAATGCAGGCTTTACCCAGTTTTGAGAAGATTCTTTGCAGGACTTCTCAGGGCCTTTGTGAATCTCCAAAGAAAGAATGTAGTGTGAAGTATGAAAACTTTCTCCTGGCTGATGGAACACACTTTGCAAAGCACTTCCACAGACCAATATGATTTCCAGTAAGAGCTAAATAAATTTTGTTAGTTGTTAAGGCATAAAACATTAATATAGGATATTACAGTCCTAGGCTTACATTACTTAATTTGGATTTTTTGCAAAAATTAACTTTAATGTGAAAAATTAGGAGACAATATAGAGAAAATTCAAGAGCCTCTCCAGATAAATTCTTAGAACTAATGAGAAAGTTCACTAAAGTTTCTGGATATAAAATGCCCAGGGCACCGGAGGGGGAAATACTTTCTTGTATATTAATAGCAAACAATTAGAATAATTTTTAAAATACCATTTATAATAGTACCAAAATCTATGAAGTATCTAAGAATAAGTCTATTAAAATATGGCCAAAACATTCATGGAGAAAACTTATAGCCTTTATTTAAAGACATAAAATAATTCTTAAACAAATGGAGACATTATTAAATATGTTTATGGATAAGAGAGACTCAATGTAGTAAAGATGTAATCTTCTCCATCTTTCACTTCCTTTGCTTCCTAATTAAGACTTATATCGCTCTTGGCTGCGCACAGTGGCTCACACCTGTAATCTCAGCACTTTGGGAGACCAAGGCTGGCAGATCATATGAGGCCAGGAGTTCAAGACCAGCCTGGCCAATAAGGCGAAACCTTATCTCTACTAAAAAATAAAAAATAATAATAAAAAAAAATAGCTGGATGTAGTGGTTCATGCCTATAATCCCAGCTACTTGGGAGTCTGAGGCAGGAGAATCACTTGAACCTGGGCAGCAGAGGTTTCTGTGAACAAAGATTGTGCCTCTACACTCCAGCCTGAGCAAGACTCCATCTAAAAAAAAAAACAAAAAAACGTATATTGTTCTTCTCACCCTTCTTTCACTGTCAGAATGTCTTCTGCCCATCTTAGCAAGCCTCTAGTGAGACACATTTTGGAGCTCCATCTAAAGATCCTCAATAACCTGATGTTTGTAAGGTTTCCAGTAAAGTACAAAAAGCTCTCAAGCTGGGCACGGTGGCTCATGCCTGTAATCCCAGCACTTTGGGAGGCCAAGGCGGGCGGATCACGAGGTCAGGGGATTGAGACCATCCTGGCTAACACGGTGAAACCCTGTTTCTACTAAAAATTCAAAAAATTAGCCGGGCGTGGTGGCGGGCGCCTGTAGTCCCAGCTACTCAGGAGGCTGAAGCAGGAGAATGGCGTGAACCTGGGAGGCGGAGCTTGCAGTGAGCTGAGATTGCACCACTGCACTCCAGTCTGGGGGACAGAGCACGACTCCATCTCAAAAAAAAAAAACTCTCAACGCATTTTAGTGTAATGTCAGATTCTTTTTTTTTTTTTTTTTTGAGACAGAGTTTCGCCCTTGTTGCCCAGACAAGTGCAGTGGTACAATCTCGGCTCACTGCAACCTCCGCCTCCCTGGTTCAAGTGATTCTCCTGCCTCAGCCTCCCGAGTAGCTGCAATTACAGGCATGCACCACCACACCTGGCTAATTTTTGTATTAGTAGTAGAGATGGGGGCTTCACCATGTTGGTCAGGCTGGTCTCGAACTCCTGACCTCAGATGATCCACCCACCTCAGCCTCCCAAAGTGCTGGGATTGCAGGTGTGAGCCACAATGCCCGGCCTGTAATATCAGATTCTATGAAGGGCCTATGCAACTTATTTGTGTCCTCCAACTGCTAGATATGTCTTTAAATGCATTAGCTAGAAAGGGCTTTGGTTATGCTCAAAATTGCCCAGTTTAATTTTACTAAATGTAGTGTAGTAGATGTAACTGGAGGTAGTTTCCTGGCTTACAGTTCTCCCAGCAGCCACATTCATGCTACACTTTTTTCTAATAATAGGCTCAATTCCAAATCATGGAGGTGGGCAAGTGACCCAGGTAGATCAATTATAATGCCTCATTCCTCTAGCCTGTGATTAGTCCACATAGTGGACACATGACCCAAGCTGGGCTTGATCAGCCTTTCTCCATGGAGGGAAGAATAAAGCTAACAGGAAAAGAGCAGCAGAGATAAGAGACTGACAGTTTTTAAATTCCTGGCTCTAGTCACTCCAGCACTTTCATGGTTTGAGAACATCAGCCAATAAAGGCCTCCTTTTTTGCTTAAATTAGTTCAGCGTGGCTTTCTGTTTCTTGGAACCAAATAATCCTTAAGAGTAAGTAAGCACCTGCCTGGATTTTTCAGTCTACCTAGTATATAGTCAGAGGTTATCCAGGGAAGCAGAACTACTACTTACAGGATAGGAAATGTATTCTAGGATGAGATCTTACACATTTGTAAGGGGAGCCAAGAAAGTGAAGGTCCAGGAGAAAAGTAGTGGATCAGAGAAGAGATTACTATTTGATCAATCTGAGAAGCTAAGCACATCTAGCCCCAAAATAGGATGGCAAAACAAGCTCATGGGAGGTCAGTGGGAAGCCGTCCCTTTGCATAGCTACTGCCTTTGTGCATCACTGTCAAGTATATGGTGGTGAGTCAAGAGTCACCATTGGGCTGGGTGCAATGGCTCACACCTGTAATCCCAGCACTTTGGGAGGCCAAGGCAGTTGGATCACTTGAGGCCAGGAGTTTGAGACCAGGCTGGCTGGCCAGCATGACGAAATCAAGTCTCCACTAAAAATACAAAGATTACCTGGACGTGGTGGCATGCGCCTGTAGTCCCAGCTACTTGGGAGGCTGAGGCACAATAATTGCTTGAACCCGGGAGGCGGAGGTTTCAGTGAGCCAAGGTCACGCCATTGCATTCCAGTCTGGAGGACAGAGCCAGACTCTGTCTCAAACAAAACAAAACAAAACAAACAAAAACACCATTGTTCCATAACATCAGCAGTTGGTAAGAAGAGGTAGATTGGGAGCAGAAGACAGCAAGAAAAAAAAAACGGGCCCTACACCTGGAACCAGAGGTGCCAGTGGTCATAGGCACCTCTGCATTTGTCTGTAACCACTTCTAATCACGACAGCCTACAGAGGGTAATAGCTGCTGCTTCACCTCTCTAATATCCTGCAAATTCCTCTTTTGGCGAACTCACTCTTGAAACCATATGGGGAATGGGATTCTGGGAAATGTAGATCCCAACTTATTCAAGTTTACACAGTACAAATTGCCCTAGCCTTAAGCCAGGCAGCCACAAATTGAGGACTTTATGTAAAGGTTCCCCAGCAAAGAAGGAGAACCAGTTGTTACATCATTTGACTTATCCAGGAGCCCTGCAGCAGTCTGCCCCTGCTCTTCTCATTGGGAAAATTTTCTCACACCCTTTCTGGTTCCTAGCCTTTCCAGCCCTCTTCTCTATATCTCAGAGCTCTTGAACCTCCTTTGAACCTGGAGGCTCAGCCCTGCCACAATTTTTAGGAGCGATCCTGATTTTAGAAAGAAAGAGTAGGATGTTTGGCTTGGTACTGGGGAATACAACACAAAGTAAGTTTGCTCTGGGGTCTGCTTGGACTTCTGGCCCCTGTCTTAGGTTCTGTTGGCTAGCTTCTGCCTCATTCCCGGGGCCAAAAGTCCTCCCCCAACCCCAACTTTTTTTTTTTTTTTTTTTTTTTTTTAAGACACAGGATCTGCACCCAGGCTGCAGTGCATAGTGCAGTGGTGTGATGATGATCTGCTGAGCACTCCCTCCAGGCCTTCCGGGACTAAGTCCCTCCCCATGCTCCACCCATCCAGCGGTGCGGGGGTGGGGGGGGGGGCAATGTTGCTGCTTACCTGCTGACATGCTTTCCCAACAACAGCTCCCACAAGCTTGATTTCTGATTACAGCCAACCCATAACATGCTTGAGCAACACTTTTCCAAGCCTTTTTGAATCTCTGTGTTGTTTATGCAGATGCCCCTTTTTCTCCAGAATCAAAGGCTTGCTGCTGCTTGTGGATAGCCTCACGTCTCATGTTAACCTCCTTTTCAACTTTCACTAAAGTTTAACTCTCCTTTGATGACCCTTTTTGGGGTCATATTCAAATAGCTTCTTCAATGTCTTTTTTTTTTTTAATTAGAGTATAAGTGGGGGCCAGGGGCAGTGGCTCATTCAAGTAATCCAGCACTTTGGGATGGGCAGGAGTTAGAGGCTGTAGTGATCACACCATTGCATTCCAGCCTGGGTGACAGAGGGAGACACAGAGAGAGAGAGAGACAGACAGACAGACAAGTGCAAGTGGGCCTGGTCAACCCCTTCTAGCCAAGCACAGCTGAGTTTCACATTCAGTTATATTTCATTTTCTGGCTGAATTTCTCTTCAGTTTAATACCAGTAAGAAGCAGCTGACTTTTTTCCAAAGAAAAACCACTGTGGTCATTTTTATTTTTTTAATTACCGAAGGAAAATTTCTGCATACCCAACCATGAACAAAGAAACACAAAGTTATGGTGAGATGGAATGCCAGCCATTCACTTAAGTCGTTCTTAGGTCCTCAGGTGTTTAAGATCCTTGTCCTGGCAAAATGGCAAATGACTACATATCATGGATCTCTGGGATCACCCCACAGTATTTTGAATGGTGACTGTGGTATCCAAGAATGCCAAGGGTGTTAATTAAACATCTGATCTGTTGCTACACTCTGTCCACCTCTTGTTATACGAGATGACTCTGAGGCCTCCCATTTTACTATAAAACTGTTTATTATCAGCTTCCTTGCACCCCAAGTTCCAAGTTCTGCCTGCCATACTGGATGGCCTCCCGGCACCCACACTCATGGGCTTCCCTCCCAGGACATGCCCCACCCCAGTGGGCGTGTCACGTGCCAGGTGTCCACACCTCCCAGTGCATCTTGTTTCCTCAATACTAGACCCAGTTGGCTAGAAGGACTGTCATTACCAATAGCACATTTAGCACTGAAGGTACTGACTCATGGAAATTGTTTCAAATACCTCTGCTTGCTCTCCAGGGAAACAGATCAAGAGAAAATCTTTGAGGTATGTTTGGATCATCAAACCATCTCATATGAGCCATGCTAAGGTCTAACTAATCCAGCAAGATTATAATTGACCACATGATAGCCATCAAATTAGGCTTGAGTTCAAGCGTATGATCCAGTGGTACTTCTATGTGCTCTACAGTTCATTGGACTCCCTGTGTAATCACTGTGTAGAGTACCTCAAACCCATTTTATAGAAGCTGGAGTGGCACGTGTTTATTGTTTTAGGTGATTACAGATTTTTATAATCTTTTAGGATGTATTTTTGACTTATTCAGTTCTGAGTCCTTGGTCAGGAGTACGTGGTCCCGTTTTACTAGTTTTCCTATGGTAAAATGCAATGTACCTATTTTTTTCATTCCATGAATATTTTAATGTTTAAACAATCCACTCTACACTAAGCACATAATGAGCGTTCAGCCTCTGACTTGGCACTGAGGTTATGGGCATGTGTGGCACAGGATAGTGGGGAGGGCTTGAGCATGAAACTTCGTGAAATAAGTGTGATCTTTGGGCAAGGCAGGTGGCTCACACCTGTAATCCCAGCACTTTGGGAGGCCAAAGCCGTCACTTGAGACCAGGAATTTGAGACCAGCCTGGCCAACATGGTGAAACTCTGTCTCTACTAAAAATACAAAAGTTAGCTGGGTGTGGTGGCGCACATCTGTAATCCCAGCTACTCGAGAGGCTGAGACAGGAGAACAGCTTGAACCTGGGAGGTGGAGGTTGCAGTGAGCCAAGATCACGCCATTGCACTCCAGCCTGGGTGAAAGAGCTAGACTCTGTCTCAAAAAATATGTGTGTGTGTGTGTCTGTGTGTGTGTGTGCATGTGTGTGTGTGTGTATAAAATCTTTGGAGGAAAAGCTCTGTTCTAGGACTTGTAACTGTGACAAGTTTCCTAAAAGGTAATAAATAAATAAATAGAGTAGGGAGTAGAATAGGGAGACTGCTGGTTAGTTGGGATGGGCCTTGGCCAGGTTTTCTCTCGTCTTAGTTCATTTTCAGTTCTTTATAACAGAACACCTGAAACTGGGTAATTTATAAATAAAAGAAATTGCCAGGCATGGTGGTTCACACCTGTAATCCCAGCACTTTGGGAGGCCAAGGCGGGTGAATCACAAGGTCAGCAGTTCGAGACCAGCCTGGCCAACATGGTGAAACCCCGTCTCTACTAAAAATACAAAAATTAGCTGGACATGATGGCGGATGCCTGTAATCCCAGCTACCCGGGAGGCTGAGGCAGGAGAATCACTTGAACCCAGAAGGTGGAGGTTGCAGTGAGCCCAAACCGTGCCATTGCACTCCAGCCTGGGCGACAGAGCAAGACTCTGTTGCCAAAAAAAAAAAAAAAAAAAGAAGAAGAAAAAGAAGAAGAAGAAATGTATTTCTTATAATTATGGAAGCTGAGAAATCCCAGGTCGAGAGCTTGCATTTGCTGAGGGTCTTCTTGCTGGTGGGGTCTCCCTGGAGGCAACTCAGGGCATCACAGGGCAAGGGGCTAAGTGTGCTAGCAAAAGTCTCTTTCTCTTCTTATAAAGCCACCAGTCTCATTCCCATGATATCTCATTAATCCATGAACCCATTAACCCTTTAATCCACGAATGAGCTAATCCATTCATGAGGGTTCTGCCCTCATTACCCAGTTACCTCTTAAATGTGCCACCTCTCAACACTGCCACATTAGGAATTAGATTTCAACATGAGTTTTGGAGGAGACAAATAATCAAACCATAGGTCCTCCTAAGTAAGACTCAACACCCTCAGCTTCCCCTAGTTTTCCTCCTGTGGAATTTCAGCTTGTTCTTTGCTCTTACTCTGGACAAAATGGAGTCATTCCTTTGTCCCTAGCCCTATTTTGGCTACAGGCCTGAGCACTCTTCCTCTGTAACCGTAGCCCCTCCTATTAAGCACCTATTGTAGGCCAAATCATGGCTCCCCAAATATCTTAATCCTCAGAACCTGTGAATATGCTACCTTACACCATAAAGGTGTCATTGAGGTGGAGATCTTGAGATGTGGGGCGATTATCCTGGATTATCTGTATGGGCCCACTGTTAACACAAAGGTCCTTATAGGAGGGTCAGAGTCAGAGAAGGAGATGTGAATATGGAAGCAGAAGTCCAAGCAGTGCAGAGCCATGAGCCAAGGAATATGGGCAGCCTCTGAAAGCTGAAAAAGGCGAGGAACAGAGTCTCCAGGAGAAAGATAGCCTGACCACCATCTTGATTTTAGCCCTGTGAGACACATTTTCGATTTCTATCTCCAAAGCTGTAAGAGAATAAATGTGTGCCATTTTATGGCACTAAGTTCAGGGTGATTCATTCCAGCAGCAATAGGAAACTACTACAGCTTCCCAGCTAGCGCTGATGGGAAGATAGAGGCAGAGCCATGCTGCCCAATATGGTAGCCGCTTGCCACATGTAGCTATTGAGCGGTTGAAATGGGGTTAATATGAATTGAAATGTGCTGTAAGTATAAAATACACACCAGGCCTGGCGTGGTGGCTCATGCCTGTAATCCCAGCACTTTGGGAGGCCGAGGCAGGTGGATCGTTTGAGGTCAGGAGTTTGAGACCAGCCTGGGCAACATGCTGAAACCCCATCTCTACTAAAATACAAAAATTAGCTGGGCATGGTGGCGGGTGCCTGTAATTCCAGCTACTCAGGAGGTCAAAGCAGGAGAATCACTTGAACCCGGGAGGCAGAGGTTGCAGGGAGCCAGGATCGCACCACTACACTCCAGCCTGGGCGACAGAGCAAGACTCCATCTCAAACAAAACAACACAACAAAACAGATTTTAAGGACTCAGTTAACATGTTAGATACAAGGGGTTTAATAAAATATTAAAATTACTTTCATCTGTTTGTTTTTACTTATTTAAATGTGACCACTAGAAAATTCAGAAGCATACATGTAACTTTCATTGTATTTCTATTGATCAGGGCTGCTCTAGATGAATCTCACTACTGCAGTTTCTTTTTTCTTTCTTTCTTTCTTTTTTTTTTTTTTTTCTTTTTTGAGACAGTCTTACTCTGTCGCCCAGGCTGGAGTGCATTAGCATGATCCCGGCTCCCTGCAACCTCTCCCTCCCGGGTTCAAGTGATCCTCCCACCTCAGCCTCCTGAGTAGTTGGGACTACAAGCATGCGCCACCACACCCGGCTAATTTTTGTAATTTTTGTAGAGATAGGACTTTTCATGTTGCCCATGACAAAACTGGACTCAAGGCATCCACCTACCTTGGCTTCCAAAAGTGCTGGGATTACAGGTGTGAGCCACCATGCCCCACCTCACTGCTGCAGTTGCAGAAGTCACTCTAAAACCCTACTGGATTGTCCCAGACCTTCTGCTCCCAGCTCATATGCCTTTGGTTCCTGTCAAGTATTCCAGGACACTGCCAGAAGAGAACCCTGCCCTGAACTACCCTGAACCTGTCTGGTTTGGGCTCTGATATCCTGCCTTAAGTTTTTCAAACTTCACTTTTGTGAGCTGGGAGCATCTTCAAGAAAAAGAACACAAAATCAGCAAGCACTAAAACCTTGGCGCAATCTGTACAAATGAGGGACCTCAAAACTTAAGCTTCATTTGCCTCATGGTAAATCTGCCTCTGCCCTGTCTCTCAAATCTCACCTAGCGTGGCTCCTTTCCCTATTCTAGTCTGCCGAAGATCCCACTCTCCAGAGATCTTTGACTAGTTCCTAAGACGACATCCAAAGTGACCACTGCCCTTAACCCAGGCAAGCGGGGAACTTGAGCTTTGGAGGACCACACATATAACAAACACAACACATTTGTATACTAAAGAATGTATGGGTGTCTGCAACTTGATATTTGCCCCTTAGTGCTGGCATGATACAACCAATATACCCCACCCATCTGTTCTCATGACTTACGCTGTTTCAGGGCCCAAGAAATTCCTTCTTTACACCCTAGTCCTATGTCCTTGAAACAAAAAAAGGAAATTAATCAGAATGCCGTGGAGATTTGTAAGTTGTGCCGCTGCTAACATAGAGCTAGACACTGCTTTAGATCTCAGGGAGGAGGAGACATTAATAAAAAAAGACTAATGAACTTGTCAAATCTTCTCAGCACAAGTGCAATAGATTCTTGCATAACAAGGTACCATTTGTTAGTGATGCATGATTCTGGTATTTGCAACAGTTGCAAGTGACAGCTGAATATTTTGTAACATCAAATAATTCTTATTATTCTTATATTTGTATATACTCAGGTGTAGAGACAACATTCATCAAACAATATGAATTGACAACTACATGGACAAATACAATGATAACCAGATTGACACTGAATGCTAGAGTTATGAATTTTTATAAAAACATTAGTATTTCCAGAAATTTAAATACAAATTCAGCCTTATTTAAATATTTTTACATAAAATAATTTAAAAATTCTTTAAATAATTTGAATAAGTATAATTTAGTAAGTATAAATAAATAACTTAAATAAGTATAAGTCAAGATCACATTGAGATAGAAAATACAGAAATGGGCTGGGCACGGTGGCTCACACCTGTAATCCCAGCACTTTGGGAGGCTGAGGGCAGGCAGATAACTTGAGGTCAGGAGTTCGAGACCAGCCTGGACAACATGGTGAAACCCCGTCTCTACTAATAATACAAAAAAAAAATTAGCCGGGCATGGTGGCACACGCCTGTAGTCCCAGCTACTCAGGAGGCTGAGGCAGGAAATGTGCTTGAACCCGGGAGGTGGAGGTTGCAGTGAGCCGAGATTTCACCACTGCACTGCACTCCAGCCTCGGCAACGAGTGAAACGGTGTCACAAAAGAAAGAGAGAGAGAGAGAAAGAGAGAGAGAGAAAGAGAGAGAGAGAGAAAGAAAGAGAGGCAGAAAGAGAGAGAGAAAGAAAGAGAAAAGAAAGAAAAAGAAAGGAAAGAAAGAAAGAAAGAAAGAAAGAAAGAGAGAAAAGAAAGAAAGAAAGAAAGAAAGAAAGAAAGAAGAAAGAAAGAAAGAAAGAAAGAAAGAAAGAAAGAAAAAGAAAATACAGAAGTGGAACTTAGAGAACAAAAAGCCTGAAAGAAGAGAAAATAGAAAGCAGTCTGCTTAAATTTCTTTCTTTTTTTTTTTTTTGAGAAGGAGTCTCACTCTGTCACCCAGGCCGGAGTGCAGTCGTGCGATCTTGGCTCACTGCAAGCTCCGCCTCCCGGGTTCACAGGACTACAGGCGCCTGCAACCACGCCCGGCTAATTTTTTGCATTTTTTTAGTAGAGACGGGGTTTCACCGTGTTAGCCAGGATGGTCTCGATCTCCTGACCTCGTGATCTGCCCGCCTCGGCCTCCCAAAGTGCAGGGATTACAGGCGTGAGCCACCGTGCCCGGTCCAGTCTGCTTAAATTTCTAAAAACTGGCAACAATGAAAGTGAATCGACGTCTGCTGAGCATGACTCACATAAAATTTGCAGACAAGACTTTCACAAATTCCTTATTTAATAAAGATTTAATTACTAATCGTATGAAAATGAACAAAAAATATCTTCAAACCCATAATTTGAAAAGATCCGTTGAAATCCGTACAACTTGACATTCTTCCCTAAGTGAAGACTGAATTATTGATCAAAACAAGAACAAGAAAAGAATTATTTGTAACAAATTTATAACTCAAAAACCCAAATGCAACAACTCCAGCATGTCCATTAGTATGTGAAGAAAACTGCATTTATAAAAGCTGCAATTGAATGTGAAAATCAAAAACCTCTGGGGCTTTATTATGCTTTTTGGATGGTGATCCTAAAAAATGGTGATCACATCCTTCTAATAGCATAAAGATGTTTCTAGCAAAATGCAATTCAATTCAAATTAATGAGCCAGTTGCGGTGGCTCACACCTGTAGTCCCAGCACTTTGGGAGGCCGAGGTGGGTGGATCTCCTGAGGTCAGGAGTTCGGGACCAGCCTGGCCAACGTGGTGAAACCCCATCTCTACTAAAAATACAAAAACATAGCTGGATGTGGTGGCAGGTGCCTGTTGTACCAGCTACTCGGGAGGCTGAGGTAGGAGAATCACTTGAATCCAAGAGGCAGAGGTTGCAGTGAGCCAAGATCATACCACTGCACTCCAGCCTGGGTGGCAGAGAGAGAGAAAAAAAAAGAAAAACCCACAAATTAATCATTACAACTTCCCACTGCACGAACATGGCAGATAATTATTTAATTTTATGTAAAAATTATTTTAGATGGAGAAAGAAATTGCAGAAATCGGTGTTACTTTTTTTATATATTTTTTTATAGCCTAAGTACAAAGTATTTTGTTACTACTGTGACAGAGTTTTACAACAAATTCTGGGCTACAGAGAAATACCCTCTCTCAATAAATAAATAAAGGCAATTTTACAAAAAAGCATTGAAAAGATCAAGCATAGGCCGGGCGCGGTGGCTCACACCTGTAATCCCAGCACTTTGGGAGGCCGAGGCAGGCAGATCACTTGAGGTCAGGAGTTCGAGACCAGCCTGTACAACATGGTGAAACCCCATCTCTACTAAAAATACCAGAATTAGCCAGCTGTGGTGGCGGACGCCTGTATTCCCAGCTACTTGGGAGGCTGAGGCAGGAGAATCGCTTGAACCCAGGAGGCAGAGGTTGCAGCGAGCCGAGATCACACCACTGCACTCCAGCCTGGGCGACAGAGTGAGACTCCGTCTCAAAAAAAAAAAAAAAAAAATCAAGCATAATGATATTTGTGTCAATGACAGCTCAATGTTTATAGAAAAAAGTGGACATTTTCTAGGTTTTATAGAAATTATGTGATGCAAAAATGTTTATCATGTAATACAGGTTTTAAAAAATGCATTAAATGACCAGGCACAATGACTCATGCCTGTAATCTTAGCACTTGGGTAGGCTAAGGTGAGAGGATCATTTGAGCCCAGGAGTTTGAGACTAACCTGGGCAATATAGTGAGACTCCATCTCTGTAAAAATAAAAATAAAAATAATTATATATTTTAAAATGCACTAAATGATCGCCATGTAGAATGGAGAACTCAAAATGAGATTACCACTTTAATTGGTTTTAAAGTGAGAGAAGAAATCATAGACAACATATTTAGAAGTAACTCTTACTCAGCTTAAATAGATTATATTATGGACAAAAAGCATGGAATATTTAAACATTTTTAAATATTTGTGATGAGCCCAGTGAATACTATAGGTCTCTTTCAGTTGCAAATGGAAAAAATTAAATTAGAACTGGCCTAAGCAGAAAAGGGAATTTATTTACTGGCTCACCTAAATCTAGGGGTTGTTGGCTTCAGACACAGTTGGATCCAGGTACTCAAATATGTCATCACTCATCAATCTGTCCTTTGTCTGGGCTTTGTTCTCAGTGGATGTCTCCCCAGGTCATAACAAAAATGGCCTTCAGCAGCTTCACATTTATTTCCCATCAACTATGAAAGGGTGGATCATCTGAGGTCAGGAGTTTGAGATCAGCCTGGCCAACATGGTGAAACTCCATCTTTACTAAAAATACAAAAATTAGCCAATCATGGTGGCATGTGCCTGCAATCCCAGCTATTCAGGAGGCTGAGGTGGGAGAATCACTTGAACCCGGGAGGCAGAGGTTGCAGTGAGCCAAGATCGCACCACTGCACTGCAGCCTGGGTGACAGAGTGAGACTTCATCTCAAAATAATAATAATAATAATAATAATAATAAATAAATAAATATGGTCTAACTCCCTACTTTAACAAATATAGCTTTATAACAACAAAACAAATACTTTAATGACAATGAAATTTTAAAACTTCATAGAACTGTGGTTTTTACATGACTGAAAGTAGGGGAAATAGCAAAGATAACTGAATGTAATGATTACTGCAGATGTACAACCAATGAAATATTAATTGATTTCAATATCTTTGTTTTTTCTCCCTTCTGGTTGTTCATCAATATGTATACTACATGATACATGTTGTCCATGATTTTTGTCCATAATATAATCTATTTAAACTGAGTAAGAGTTACTTCTAAATATGTTGTCTATGATTTCTTCTGTCACTTTAAAACCAATTAAAGTAGTAACCTCATTTTGAGTTCTCCATTCTACGTGGCGATCATTTAGTGCATTTTAAAATATATAATTATTTTTATTTTTATTTTTACAGAGATGAAGTCTCACTATATTGTCCAGGTTAGTCTCAAACTCCTGGGCTCAAATGATCCTCTCACCTTAGCCTACCCAAGTGCTAAGATTACAGGCATGAGTCATTATGCCTGGTCATTTAATGCATTTTTTAAAATCTGTATTACATGATAAACATTCTTGCATCACATAATTTCTATAAAACCTAGAAAATGTCCACTGTTTTCTATAAACATTGAGCTGTCATTGACACAAATATCATCATGCTTGATTTTTTTTTTCATCACAAATATTCTCTTTCCTTTTCCAAACATGCAGTAGGCATGTACTTCCACGCTCTCTTTGAAGTGAGGTATGGTCATGAGACTTGCTTTGACAAAGGACATGAGAGCCAATATGTGAGGAGTCAGTGCATGCATGACCTGCCACTTACCCTTCTTCATCCCTTTTTCCGTTTTTTTTTCTTTCTTTGAGACGGAGTCTTGCTCTTGTTGCCCAGGCTGAAGTGCAGTGGCACAATCTCGGCTCACTGTAACCTCCACCTCCTGGGTTCAGGCGATTCTCCTGCCTCAGCCTCCCGGGTAGCTGGGATTATAGGCATGCGCCACCACACCCAGGTAATTTTTTTTTTTTTTTTTTTTGAGATGGAGTCTCACTCTATTGCCCAGGCTGGAGTACAATGGCACAATCTCCGCTCACTGCAGCCTCCACCTCCCGGATTCAAGCGATTCTCCTGCCTCAGCCTCCCAAGTAGCTGGGATTACAGGCGCTCACCACCATGCTCAGCTAATTTTTGTATTTTATTAGAGATGGGGTTTCACCATGTTGGCCAGGCTGGTCTTGAACTCCTGAGCTTGTGATCCGCCCGCCTCGGCCTCCCAAAATGCTGGGATTACAGGCATGAGCCACCATACTCGGCCTAATTTTGTATTTTTAATAGAGACAGGGTTTCTCCATGTTGGTCAGGCTGGTCTTGAACATTACCTATCTGGTATGAAAAGAAAAAAAACGGCAGGCCCCAAACAAGGCTGAAGTTCCATGTCATCAAACCAAACCAAAGTTGCTTACTTGTAAGATCAGATCTTCAAGAAATCAGGAGAGAGATGATAACCAAATCCTATTAAGCCAGTAAGATTTCACTTACATTCTTACAAGGAAAGTAATCTTGAAATGATTAATCCACCATTTGTTCATTGTTCCTGCTTTCCTCTGTCTCTTTCTGCCTATAAAACTTACCCATTCTGTCTAGCTCATTGGCGCTCCTTTCTGTTTTGTAGATTGGATGCTGCGTGGTTCATGAATTGCTAATAAAAGCTAATCAGATTTTTGAAACTCAATTTGTTGACCTTTTGTTCTTTGATGACCACTTCACCTCCAATTTTAGGTTCTTTTTCTTTCTTCATCAATAGACCTGTCTATACTTCTCATTAAGCAGTAATGGCTAAAAACCATTATAGCCATTTGAGAAGCACTTTCTTTTTATAATCTTTTTGCCTTGCTCCTCACTAGCATAGTGTTTAAGAGGACAGACTCTAGAGTCCAGCAAGCCAGACTCAAATCCCAGCTCTATCACATACTAGTTTTGTGACCTGAGCCAGTTAGTTAATTTGTCTGTGCCTCCATTTTCTTGTCTCTAGAATGGGGACAAAAATAATACCTGCTTTTTACGATTGTTGTGAAGATTGAATGAGATATTTCACATAAACACTTAGCCCAATGCCTGGTACAGAGTGAGTGCTGAATAAATATTAGCTATCATTTATTAGTGCCTTATTAGTGCTTTATTGCTCTAAGCTTCAGCTTACCCTGTAATTCTGGCATTTCTGGCCCACCAGTGCAAGTTACAGTCAAGGAGTCTGTATCACAAAATAGAACTCCTATATAATCCAGCAATCTTACTTCTCGGTATACAGTCATCCCTTGGTATCAGTGGGGATTAGCTCTGGGACCTCACATTGATACCAAAATCCACAGATGCTCAAGTCCCTGATATAAAATGTTGTAGTATTTTAGCTGGGATTGGTAGCATGCACCTGTAGTCCCAGCTACTTAGGAGGCTCAGGTGTGAGGATTGCTTCAGCCCAGGAGATCAAGCCTGCAGTGAGCCATGATGGTGTCAGTGTACTCCAGCTTGGGTAATGGAGTGAGACGCTGTCTCAAAAAAAAAAGTTGTAGTATTTGCATATGACCTGTGCACATTCTCCTATATACTTTAAATCATCTCTAGATTACTTATAATACTCGGCACAATGTAAATGCTATGTAAATCATTTTTGTCACTCAGGCTAGAGTGCAGTGGCACAACACAGCTCACTGCAGCTTCCACCTCCTAGGCTCAATGCGTCCTCCTGCCTCATCCTCCTGAGTAACTGAGACTACAGGTGTGCACCACTGTGCCAGCCTACATTTTCTACTTTTTTTTTTTCTTTGAAAGGAAGTCTCACTCTGTCACCCAGGCTATGGTCCACCCAGGCTGGAATGCAGTGGCATGATCTTGGCTCACTGCAACCTCCGCCTCCCAGGTTCAAGCGATACTTCTGCCTCAGCCTCCCAAGTAGCTGGGACTACAGGCACGTGCCACCATGCCTGGCTAATTTTTTTTTTTTTTTGTATTTTTTAGTAGAGATGGGGGTTTCGCCATGTTGGCCAGGCTGGTCTCAAACTCCTGACGTCAAGTGATCCTCCTGCCTCAGTTTCTCAAAGTGCTGAGATTACAGGCATGAGCCACCGTGTCCGGGTAAATTTTCTACTTTTTGTAGAAACAGGGTGTCCCTATGTTGCCCGGGTTGGTTTTGAACTCCTGGGCTCAAGTGATCCTCCCATCTTGGCCTCCCAAAGTGCTGGGATTACAGGCATATGCCACTGCCCATGGCCTAAATAGTTGTAATACACTGTTTGTTTGTTGTTTGTTCGTTTGTTTGTTTTGAGATGGAGTTTCACTCTTGTTGCCCAGGCCGGAGTGCAATGGTGTGATCTCGGCTCACCGCAACCTCCACCTCACGGGTTCAAGTGATTCTCCTGCCTCATCCTCCCGAGTAGCTGGGATTACAGGCATGCACCACCACGCCTGCTAATTTTGCATTTTTAGTAGAGACAGGGTTTCTCCATGTTGGTCAAGCTGTTCTCGAACTCCTAACTTCAGGTGTTCCACCTGCCTCAGCCTCCCAAAGTGCTAGTATTATAGGCGTGAGCCCCTGTGCCTGGCCCCAAAGTCCTGGGATTACAGGCATAAGCCACTGCTCATGGCCTAAATAGTTGTTATACTCTATTGTTTAAAAAACAACAATCAAAAAAAGTCTGTTCATGTTCAGTAGAGATGCAATATTTTAAAATATGTTTGATCCTTTGTTGGTTGAATCCATGGATTTGGAAACTACAGATATGGAGGGTCAACTGTATATCCAAAGTAAATGAAATCAGTATCTAAAAGAGATATCTGCACCCCCATGTTCATTGCAGCCTTATTCACAATAGCTAAGATGTGGAAACAACCCATGTTCATCAACAGATCAATGGATAAAGAAAATGCGGTATATATACATACATAGCGGAACATTATTCAGCCTTTAAAAAGGACTTTCTGCCATTTGGGACATGGATGAGCCAGGAAGATATTACGCTAAGTGAAATAAACCAGGCACAGAAAGACAATTACTCTATGATTCCACTTGTTTGTGGAATCTAAAAAAGTTGAACTTGGCTTGGCGTGGTGGCTCCCACCTGCAATGCCAGCACTTTGGGAGGTTGAGGTGGATTGCTTAAGCTCAGAAGTTCGAGATCAGCCTGGGCAACATGGCAAAACCCCATTTCTATAAAAAATACAAAAATTAGCCAGGTGTGGTGGCATGTGCCTATAGTCCCAGCTACTTGGGGGATTGAGGTCAGAGGACCACTTGAGCTTGGGAGTTCAAGGCTGCAGTGAGCTGTGGTACCACCAGTGCACTGCAGCCTGGGTGACAGAGCAAGCCCCTGTCTCAATAAATAGATAAATAGAATAAATAAAAATTTAAAAATTAAAAAGTTGAACTCATAGAAGCAGAGTAAAATGGTGGTTACCAGAGGCTGGGGTGTGAAGGAAGTGAAGAGATGTTGATGAAAGGGTACAAACTTTCATTTATAATATGAACAAGTTCTGGGGATCTAATTTACAACATAGTGTACATTACTGTATCAATTACTTGAAATTTGATGAGGGAACAGAATTTAAATGACCTTAGCCCACCACACACAGACAGTGGTAACTATGGATGATGACAGGTATGTTAATTTGATTGTGATGATCATTATATAATGTATATGTATATCAAATCATGTACATATTAAATATATACAATTTTTATTCGTAAATTAACTTTTTTAATTAAAAATATTGACTGCTGCAAGCCCAAAAGACTAAAAGGAAAAATAAAATGGATGCTATGTCTCAGACGTCTCCCGTTTCTTCATTTACCTGTAGCTTTGCTCACACTTCTTGCCTCTCCCTGCAAGGGACTCATAGCTGATCCACAGCCACTTGGGAGCACCCTCGAGTTAGGGCCAATCTGTTCTTCCTCCTGACAGGTGCTTCAGATCCCAGCCAGCAAAGATCATTTTCAGAAACTTTCACTTTCATATCTAGCCAGAGCTGGAAACTGGGCATGTCCTTCCAAACAGTTGGCAGGAAGCTGGTTCCCAACCGCTAAGAAGCAATAAAACCAAGGCCACTCCTGCAGAAGAAGGCTTCTAACAGCACAGGATTCAAGCTCTATAGAGGTAACTCCCAGCCATAGCAGCAGTGTTTGTAAGTGTGGCTGGATCAGTATTTCAGAGTTCCCCTTCACTGTCATCAAATTCCCTTAGGACCTCCCTGCAAACCTCACCTTTTGTAACTGAGTCACCCGCCTGCAGAACCAGATAACAAAGAAGGTGAATTCAGGACAGTTATATGCAAAAATGCTGCTGGGCTGAGCCAAGACAAAAGTTGGAGGACACATTTGCAGAGGAATATGATTGTGTTTTTTTGCATGTTTGTTTGTTTTCGTGTGAGACAGAGTCCCCTCTGTTACCCAGGCTAGAGTGCAGTGGCGCAATCTCGGCTCACTGCAGCCTCCACCTCCTGGGTTCAAGCAACTCTCCTGCCTCAGCCTCCCAAGTAGCTGGGATTACAGGCATGCGCCACCATGCCTGGGTAATTTTTGTATTTTTAATAGAGACGGGGTTTCTCCAATGTTGGTCAGGCTGATCTTGAACTTCTGACCTCAGGTGATCCACCCACCTCAGCCTCCCAAAGTGCTGGGATTACAGGCATGAGCCACGCACCCTGACAATGATCTGGAAAATATAAAACTACAGAGACAGTAAAAAGATCACTGGTTGCCAGGGATTAGCTACTCGGGAGGCCGAGGCATGAGAATCACTCAAACCCAGGAGACAGAGGTTGCATTGAGCCAAGATCATGCCACTGCACTCCAGCCTGGGCCACAGAGCCAGACTCTGTCTCAAAAAAAAAAAAAAAAAAATATATATATATATATATATATATATATATATATAAAATATATTTATATATAAAATATATATATTATATATTTTATATATAAATATATAATATATTATATATAGTTATAGAGTCACACAATATGTATTACTTTCAGATTGGCTTCTTATATTTAGCAATATGAATTTAAGTTTCCTCCATGTCTTTATGTCTTTTTTGTTTTGTCTTGTTTTTCTTTTTTTTCCTTTTTTTTTGAGATGGAGTCTCACTCTGTCGCCCAGGCTGGAGTGCAGTGGCATGATCTCAGCTCACTGCAAGTTCCACCTCCCGGGTTCAACAATTTTCCTGCCTCAGCCTCCCGAGTAGCTGGGACTACAGGCGCCCGCCACCACACCTGGCTAATTTTTTTTTAAAATTTTTAGTAGAGACGGGGTTTCACCATCTTGGCCAAGCTGGTCTCAAACTCCTGACCTCGTGATCTGCCTGCCTCGGCCTCCCAAAGTGCTGGGATTACAGGCATGAGCCACCGCGCCTGGCCTTGTTTTGTCTTGTTTTTCGATTTTTGAGATGGGGGTCTCACTGTTTTTCCCAGGCTGGTTACAAACCTCCATGTTTTTTCCTGGCTTGATGCCACATATCCCCCCCTCCCCCATTTTTTTATTGCGGTAAAATACACACAACATAAAATTTACGACTGTAACCTTTTTTTTTTTTTTTTGGTGGAGTCTTGTTCTGTCACCCAGGCTGGAGTTCAATGGCGTGATCTCGACTCACTGCAACCTCCACCTCCCAGGTTCAAGCGATTCTCATGCCTTAGCCTCCAGAGTAGCTAGGATTACAGGCACGCACCACCACACCCAGCTAATTTTTGTATTTTTAGTAGAGACATTGGCCATCTTGGCCAGGCTGGTCTCAGACTCCTAACCTCAGGTGATCTACCCACCTCGGCCTCCCAAAATGCTGGTATTACAGGCACGAGCCACTATGCCCAGCCCACTGTAACCATTTTTAAGTGTACACTTTAGTGATATTAAATACATTCATAATGTTCTGGTACCATCACCAGTATTCAGCTCTAGAACCCTTTTCATCTTGTAAAACAGAAACTCTATATCCATTAAGTAATAAAATTCTCCTTCCTCCTTGTTTTTTAGAGATGTGGTCTCATTTTGTCCCCCAGGCTAGAGCACAGTGGCACAATCATAGCTCACTGCAGCCTCGAACTCCTGGGCTCAAGGGATCCTTCTGCCTTAACCTTCAAAGCAGCTGGGATTACAGGTGTGAGCCACTGCACCTGGCTTTTCTGACAGGTTCTTGAATGGAATCCATTAAAGCCTAATGAATCAGAGGTATCCTAGGAGTGAGCTTTCCTTCACCCTTTTGTATAAAGCTTCTCTTTGCTTTGTGAAGATCTGAGTGGCTATTGTTACAATGTGAATCAGGTTTCACTCTTAGGCAGTGGGCTCAGGAATAGAAAAAACACCAACTTGCTCAGACACGTGTATCAAATGGCAAGATGATCTCACCAAGCACTGTCCTCCTCAGAATTTATTTTGGGTGCAACACACATTAAGGACATAGTGGTAAACCAGGCTTCGAGCCATCTGTGTGAGAGATTTGCCAGAGGCACGAAGACATCGTATCCCCGGTGTCTCTGAAAAGGAGAGCTCTTTGCCTTCCATCACAGGCATAGGCAAGTACCCTGCAAATCGCTTCCCACTCAACACAATAGTTCTTGTTGCTATTTTATTTGTGAGCTACGTCATACATGCAGAGGAGTAAAGAAAACATATATGTGTCATTCAATTGTCATTATAAATTGAACACCCATATAACCACCACCAGGTCTAGAATAGTATTCAGCCCCCTCCCAGCAGCCCCTGTGTGTCCCCCTATTCCATCTCCTTCCCTCCCCCAGAAGTAGCCACTATCCTAACTTGTGGAAACCGTTTTCTTTCTTTCCTCTTTAGTGTTACAACTAAATGTGCCCCATAAACAAGCATCAGTTTGTGAATATCATATAAATGGAATTAGACCGGGTGTGGAGGTTCATGTCTGTAATAGCACTTTGGGAGGCCAAGGCAGGTGGATCACCTGAGGTCAGGAGTTCGAGACCAGCCTGGCCAATGTGGTAAAACCCTGCCGCTACTGAAAATACAAAAAAATTAGCTGGGCATGGTGGCAGGCACCTGTAATCTCAGCCACTCGGGAGGTTGAGGCAGGAGAATTGCTTGAACACTGTGGAGGTTGCAGTGAGCCGAAATCACGCCACTGCATGCCAGCCTGGGCAACAGAGGAAGACCCTGTCTCAAAAAAAAAAAAAAAAAAAAAAAGAAAAAGAAAAAGGAATGATATTGTATATATTCTTTGTGACTTGTTTCTTCCTCACAATTGTTCTTAGACAATGTGTGAAGAGGCCTTTTTGGTGCCTGCTGATGTTTTCCGGGATGGTGGATTCAGGAGTATGCTGTCTTCACAAACATTTCTGGCCTCAAAGTCACATTGAGCAGCTTGGGCCTCCTAGCTCAGCCACTTAGTGTGTGACCTTTCTTGTCCTCCTTTGTAAAATCAGAACAAATTATTCCTGTAGACATGAGCACCTCAAGAGCAGGAGTGTTCCTCATTTGCCATTCTGTTCTCTAGAACTTGCAGTGCCTGGTGCCTAATGAATCCTGAGTGAACACAGGAGACATGGTGAGATCATGTATGTAAGGGCCTAATACCACCCCTGATTTATAGCAACTGCTCAATACATGGGAGCCAATCTTATTATTGCCACAGTGTTATTTATTTGAATATGGGAGGCAGCCTCTCAGATGGCCGCCAGGGAGTCCCACCTCCTGGTATTCTTGTATTTGTACATTCCTCGACTGTACACTGGATATATTCACTCACTCCTAAGAAATAGAATGCAGCAGAAGGGATGGAATGTCACTTCCAAAATTATAAAAGACCATGGCTTTTATTTTGGGTCCTCTTTCTCACTGAGGTCTCTTGGATTGCTCACCCTAGAGGAAGCCAGCTGCCATGTCATGAGGCAGCCCTGTGGGGAGGCTCATGTGATGAGGCGACTGAGTCCTGTAGACAACAACAAATGTGAGCTTGGGAGTGGATTCTCCATCCAGTTGAGTCTTTGGAGGGGGCTGCGGTCCAGGCTGACAGCTTGACTGCCACGTTATGAAAGACCGTCAGCCAGAGGCACCCAGCTAAGCCATGCCTGGATTCCTGACCCACAGAAACTGTGAGATAACAAATGTTTGTTGTTTTCCACGACTACATTTTGTGGCAATTAGTTACACAGCGATAGATAACTAATGCAGTGCCTTTTCTTGGGTGAAAGAGTGCTGACAATTTTTAGAGCCTGTGGCAGACAAGGAGATGCACTGTTCAGATCCCCATTTAAGGGTGGGCTCACTGCCCAGCTGCAAAGATTTCAGTTCACTGACAGCCTTCAAGTCCAGCTCAGCTTTCCAGCTGAGATCATGCTCTTCTTGGGACATTCTCCCTAGTCAATGACTGGGCAAGGGGGTGGAAGAACGGCCTAGCCATCTCTGCTCAATGCTGGACCCCTCCAGTGGGTAGTTTTTGCTTCAGAGCTTCCTGTTTGGCTGGTAGAGACTTTGATAGGTCTCCTTCCATGGGTGTTGCTCCCCAATAAACCTTTCTATTTTCCATTCCCATCATAGCTTCTGCTTCCAGAGAATCCATTCTGTAATGAAATATCTACTACACAGAAACTCAAGCTTTCAGCCAGGTGCAGAGGTGCTCACCTGTAATCCCAGCACTTTGGGAGGCCAAGGCAGGAGGATCGCTTGAGCTCAGGAGTTCAAGACCGGCCTGGGCAACATAGCGAGACCCTGTCTCTGTGACACACACACACACACACACACACACACACACACACACAAATTAGCCGGGCATGGTGGTGCATGTCTATAGTCCTAACTATTGGGAGACTGAGGCAGGAGAGTCACCTGAGCCTGTGAGCTCTAGGCTGCAGTGAGCCATTATCGTACCTCTACTCCAACCTGGGCAACAGAGTGAGAGCCTGTCTCTAACAAACAAACAATCAAATAAAGGCTCAAACTTTGTAGCCAACCCAGACCTGAGTCCAAATACAGACTCTGCCCCTTGCTAGCTCTGTGACCCTGGGCAAATTACTTAACTTTTCTGAGCCTTGATTTTCCTACATGTAAAATAGATGACAAATAATGTAGGAGCTGAAATGGGATACTTATAGTGTAAAACAGAGTTCCCAGCTTCTAGTGATAGTTAAAGGATAATTTTTTTTTTTTTGAGATGGAGTCTCACTCTGTCACCCAGCCTGGAGTGCAGTGGTGTGATCTCAGCTCACTGCAACTTCCGCCTCCTGGGGTCAAGTGATTCTCGTGCCTCAGCCTCCCAAGTAGCTGAGATTACAGGTATGCGCCACCATGCCTGGCTAATTTTTGTATTTTTAGTAGAGATGGGGGTCTCACCAGGTTGGCCAGGCTGGTCTCGAACTCCTGACCTCAAGTGATCCACCCACCTCGGCCTCCCAAAGTGCTGGGATTACAGGTGTGAGCCATCGCACCCAGCCAGGAGAACTATTGTCTATCCACAGACTACACATCAACTAGTATCTTTACATTTTCCATAAAATGTTACTGGCAATTGATTAAATACATTGCCTATTATATCTATAGTAGATCTTTGACATTTGTGAGGATTATATCCTTTACCTTTATGAAAACTCAAGCTACCAAAGACCACTGTAGCACATATTGTCACATATAAAACAAAATAAAGTACAACTGAAAATTACACATTACTCTGGTGTGTGTGTGTGTGTGTGTGTGTGTGTTTCAAGACAGGGTCTCACTCTGTCACTCAGCACCCAGGCTAGAGTACAGTGGCATGATCACAGCTCACTGTGGCTTCAAACTCCTGGGCTCAGACAAGTCTTCCATCTCAGCCTCCCAAGTAGCTGGAACCACAGGTGCACATCACCACACCCGGCTAATTTTTATTTTATTTTTATTTTCGTAGAGACAGGGCCTTGTTAGGTTGCCCAGGCTGGTCTCGAACTCTTGGGCTCAAGTGATCCTCTTGCCTCAGTGCTAAGTGCTGGGATTTAACAGGCGTGAGCCCCTGTGCCCGGCCTTCACTACTCTTTTAAGTCCTTAACAGTTCTATAAGTAAGGAACTAAAGCTGTATAAAGCTATTAAAAATAAGTGTGGCTTCAGTAATGCCAAAGCAATTTGGAGGATTGTTTCTCTTGTTGGCACTGAACCTTACCACATCAGAGGGCTGAGCCACTGCTGAATGCCACCCTTTTAATAAACCCAGACATCTGAAATTTAACAGGTCAAAACCTGTTTCTCCTACAGTCTGTGTCACCTTGGTAGATAATTCCAAGCCAGAAAACAGGAAGCCATCAGTGATAGCTCCCTCTTATCCCTTACCTCCAATCCAACATCATGTCTTATTTATCTATTTGTTTTCCTTCAAAATGGCCTAAATCCCCTCACCCCTTTCCATCCTCGCTGGTACCACCCCAGCTTCTTCTCTTTCAAGAGCCTGTTCACTTGCTCTCCTCTAGTTTATTCTCCATGATACAGCCAGATAGCTCTTTTTAAAATGCAAACAATGATGAATTTCCACAATTCCCCATGCATTTGGAATAACGGCTATACTCTATCTGCGCAAGCTACCCCCAGCCCCTCTCCACAATCTGACCTGCACTCCCCAAACATCCCCTTCCAGGAGTCAATTTCTGTCTTGTCTTGTCTTATTCAGCGCTGGCCATAGGCATTCCCTGTGTCTGGAACTCTCTTCTACAAGCTGTGGCTGCAGGCTCCTTTTTCTCCTTCAGATCTGAACCTAAACATCACCTCCACATGGAAGCCTTTATTAAGCATCCTCTGAAATAGGTTCCACCACATAAAGCTTCCTTCTATTATTCGCAACCACAGTACCCACGTCATTTCCTTCTTTGCATGCACCCCTGTTGGTCAGGACACACTTATTGGTTTATTTGGAGGTTTCCCTCCATTTGTTGCAGTTTCTTTGAGTGCAGAGGGCTTATTCCTTGTGTTCATCCAGAGCCAATCCCAGTGCTGACCACAATACAGATTTCATAAATACAGTAAATCCAGTAGTTCCCCCTTACCCATGGGGGACATGTTCCTAAACCCCCAGTGGATGCCTAAAATCACAGATAGTACAAAACCTTTTTTTTTTTTAATCTTTGTAGGTAGTGTATTTTAAATAGCTTTCAAGACACACATATTTTTTCCTTTAAAAAAGTCTGTTGGTGGCCGGGCGCGGTGGCTCACGCCTGTAATCCCAGCACTTTGGGAGGCCAAGGCGGGCGGATCACGAGGTCAGGAGTTTGAGACCAGCCTGGGCAACATGGTGAAACCCCATCTCTACTAAAAACACAAAAAATTAGCCAGGCGTGGTGGCACACGCCTGTAATCCCAGCTACTCAGGAGGCTGAGGCAGAAGAATCGCTTGAACCCGGGAAGCGGAAGTTGCAGTGAGCCGCCGAGATTGTGCCACTGTACTCCAGCCTGGGCGACAGAGCTAGACTTCCTCAAAAAAAAAAAAAAAAAAAAAAAAAAAAAAAGTCCGTTGGAGCAGTTTTGTTCCTGAATTTTGCTGGTCATTCTCATGGTCCCGAGCCCCCAAACTCCAGGTCCTGGAGGCAGCCGAGGGGAAGGCTGGGAGCCCACGCGGCCTATTCTGACGGCGCTCGCAGCACTGGTGGAGCAGCGGTGCCCCGTCTTGCCACAGATCATGCATGGCCGCCATGTGAGCTAAAACTTCCATTTATTTCAAAGCAGTAATAATTTAAAATTCTAAAAATCTTTCCACCGCTGAACGTTTAGAGGGTGAGGTTAGACAAAAGACGGGGAGGCTGAAGGCGCCCCAGAGGGGACCATGTGGCCCACGCCTTCCCGAGCCAGGGAGCCGGTGGGCCGGTCCAGGATCCTGCCCTGGAACAGGCGGGGCCTGTAGCGCTGACCAGCCAAGACTGGCGCCTCTGGGGCACCCAGTCTGTGGGTGCCGTGCGGCCCTGGCTGAGGGTGGTTGGGAAAGTCCCCGCGGTTTCCCCGCAGCCTCAGGCGCAGCGGGCAGTGGTGGGTGCCGGCCCACGCGGGCTCAGGAGTTACTTGTGGCGTTCTCTTTACTGGGCGAGCTGGAGGAGGGGGAGGACGACGAGGAGGAGCAGTTCATCCCAGTCGGGCCCGGGGCGGGGGTGTTCGTGGCCGTGTTGTGTCCCGGGAGGCTTTTTCGGCAGACGGGGCAGCTGTCGTGCTGCTCCAGCCGGTGCACTATGCAGCCATCGTGGAACAGGTGGTTGCGGGGCAGCTGCTCGCCCAGCGCGTAGTCGTCCTTGCACACGGGGCACTCGAGCCCGGAGCCTACGTGCTCCTCGGTGACGGGGACGGTGGGGAGGTACTGGATTTTCTCTTCATCTGCCGGTGGGGGGCCCGTGTTTTCAAACTGATTGAGGAGCTGTGCGAAGGCGTCCAGGCCGTTGGCCACTCAGGCGTAATCCATAGGGTTTGAGTGCAGGACTCCCCAAGGACCCAGGCTGGGGATGGTGGCGGGCGTGATGATGCCGTTGACGAGCTGCTGGATGATCCCTTCTAGCGTGGGGAGGCCTTCGTGCCGGCCGGTGGCCCGCCGCGTGGGGAGGCGGAGGCGGGGCTGCCGGGCGCAGTACGGGGCCGGGACTGATGCTCTGTCTCCCACGGTCTCTCAGGGTCCTTGCTGCCGTCAGCCTGCGCCCCAGGAGAGAACGTGGGGATCTCGAAGCTGTCGTCAAAGATGCCGAAAGCAAACTGTCCGTAGCCCTGCGGCAGCGTGAACAGGTGCTGGTCCGCGTTCTCCAACGGCGGCCGGCTCTGGTCCGTGGGGGCAGTGGAAGGGGCAGAGCTGTTTTCTGTGCTCCTGGTCTCTTCAGGAAGCTCCTCGATAAAATCAGACGCACATCTTGGGCAGATATAATCCGATAGGCGCGGGACGGTGTCCAGGGAGCAGCAGTGGCAGAAGAACCGTCCTAGCTGCTGCGACGCCTCGGCCCTGGCCACCGCCCCCTACTCTGCGCCGCCCGCCCCCCGCGAGGCGCCAACCGCCGGCCATTTGCTGCTCCCTCGCTGATCGACGCCCAAACCTTTTATATACTATGTTTTTCCTACCTACATATCTATGATCGAGTTTAATTTACAAAATAGGCGCTTACTAAGGAAGCGATTAACAACAATAACGAATAATAAACACAACAATTGAGTCAAATAAGGGTTACTTGAACACAAGCACTGCAATACCATGGATTGGTCTGATAACTAACAGCTACTAAGAGACTAATGGGCAAGTAGCATCTACAGTTCAGATACACTGAACAGCCGGAGGATTCACAGGCCGGGAGGGGTGAAGCAAGACGGTGTGAGATTTCATCACGCCACTCAGAATGGCAAGCAACTGAAAACATGAATTATTTCTGGAATTTTCAGTTTAATATTTTTGGACTACAGTTGACCGCAGGTAACTGAAACCGTGGATAAGGGGGTACTACTGAATGTGTATTTTGAATTTTCTAGCTAAGAATATCGCCTTTTTTTTTTTTTTTTTGAGATGGAGTCTTACGCTGTCGCCCAGGCTGGAGTGCAATGCCACGATCTTGGCTCACTGCAACCTCTGCCTCCCGGGTTCAAGTGATTCTCCTGCCTCAGCCTCCGGAGTAGCTGGGATTACAGGCACCCACCACCACACCCAGCTAATTTTTGTATTTTTAGTAGAGACGGGGTTTCACTATGTTAGCCAGGCTGTTCTCCAACTCCTGACCTCAGGTGATCCGTCCGCCTTGGCCTCCCAAAGTGCTGGGATTATAGGCATAAACCACCGCCCCCGGCCAGAATATCACTTTTTTACAACTTTTTTTTTTTTTTAATTTTGAGACAGAGGTTCTTTTCGTCGCCCAGGTTGGACTGCAGTGGCGCCATCACAGGTCACTGCAACCTCTGCCTCCTAGGCTCAAGCAATCATCCTGCCTCAGCATCCCTAATAGCTGGGACGACAGGTGCCCGCAACCATGCCTGACTAATTTTGTGTTTTTTGTAGAGAAGTGTTTCACCATGCTGCCTAGGCTTGTCTTGAACTCCTGGGCTCAAGTGATTCACTTGCCTCAGCCTTTCAAAGTGCCAGGATTACAGGCATGAGCCACATGGCCAAGAATATCACTTTTACCTTTAACAGATATTTTTCTTTTTCTTTTTCTTTTTTTTTTTTTTTGGAGACAGGGTCTCACTCTGTTGCCTGGGCTGGAGTGCAGTGGCATGAACAAGGCTCACTGCAGCCTCAATCTCTTCGGCTCAAGTGATTCTCCCACCTTAGCCTCCCAAGTAGCTGGGACCACAGGCATACACCACCCTACGTGGCTACCTTTTAAAATTTTGTGCAGAGACCAGGTCTCACTATGCTGCCCAGGCTAGTCTCGAACTCCTGACTCAAATGATCCTCCCACCTCAGCCTCCCAAAATGCTGAGATTACAGGCATGAGCCATCACACCTGGCCAACAGTTATTTTTCTTTACTGCAAGAACCTTACATTGTCATAGTAGAAAAGATTAGACTCCATAGATTAAATAAAAACATAAAATCATGTTACCCCACATTTAGAGATAGCCACTAATAGCCTTCAGATATATTCCTCCAGGGCCTTTTTAATGAATCTCGATGCAGGGATATATATGCTCCCAAGTCCTTCAACTTTCTGTGGTCGCCTGTTCTTTGACAGCCAAACAAAATGTCTTGGTCCCATGCCACGTGCTGAGGGACATCAAGCCTTCTTCTGGTAATTTTCCAATCCCTGGTTCAGCTGAATCCCCACATCCGTTTCCTAAAGTTGCTGTCTGCTCTCTTCTCTGCTTTGTCCCTGCACCCTCTACTTTGTCTCCATCTATCTCCTCCTTTGTCCCCAAAGGTCACCAAGTACTAAGTGGATAACAGATTCTTCTTTACTGGAGTTCGGGATCAAGAAGGTGACCCCCAACCAAGCACAATGTGGGAGATGACATAAGGCTCAGCGCTGGCCATTGCTGCCAGCAATGGAGATTTCTTGTGTACTTCTGCGTCCAAGGTCTTGGCCTGCTGCCATCTTGGTCTTCTCCCTTTCACCTCTAACCAGGTCCTTCTCTGCTTTGCTACACGTGTCAGGACCTTGAAAATAGAGTCTTTCTGACCTATCAGAAAGAAAGATCAGATTCCTGGCACTTCTGTTGTGCAGAACAGCTTAGCTCATCTATACATCTAAACTTTTCTCTCCTGATAGAGCTTGTCCAGGTACCTGCTCTTTCATAGAAGAGGGAGGGGTGACAGTGGGGTGGGGATGGAGACAAAAAAAGGCAGAGATATCAAGAGAGTTTCCAAAACTAAGAAACAAGGTGTCACAGGGCCCTAAGACCACCCTCTGGCTCAATGACTCATTTGAAGTGCTCAGAGAACTCAAAAAAATGGCTAGACTCATAGTTTAGTTCATTGCATTGAAAGAACACAGATTTACATTCTGATCTAGTTTGAATGAAAAAAGAGAAAGAAAGAAAGGAAGGAAGGAAGGAAGGAAAGGAAAGGAAAGGAAGGAAGGAAGGAAGGAAGGAAGGAAGGAAGGAAGGAAAAGGAAAGGAAAGGAAAAGAAAGGAAAGGAAGAAAAGAATACAGATTACCAGCCTGGGCAACATGGTGAAATCCCATCTCTACCAAAAATAAAAATGAAATAAAATAAAATAAAAATTAGCTGGGTGTGGTGGTGGGCACCTGTATTCCCAGCTACTGGGGAGGCTGAGGTGGGAGGATCACCTGAGCCTGAGAGGCAGAGGTTGCAGTGAGCCAAGATCACACCACTGCACTCCAGCCTGGCAGATGGAGAGAGACCTTGTCTCAAAAAAAAAGAAAAAAAAAAGAAGAAAGAAGGAAAGAAAGAAAGAAAGAAAGAAAGAAAGAAAGAAAGAAAGAAAGAAAGAAAGAAAGAAAGGAAGGAAGAAAGAAAGAAAGAGAAAGAAAGAAAGAAAGAAGAAAGGAGGAAGGAAGGAAGGAAGGGAGGGAGGGAAAGAAAGAGAAAGAAAGGGAGAAAGAAAGGGAGGAAGGACCATTATTTACTTAACTGATCCCATATTATTAGACATTTACTTGTTTTCATTTTTTATTGTAATAGATAACACTTTAACAACATCCCTGTAATTATGATGGTGGTGCTATGTCCAGTGCTGTTATGACTCCAAGAGAAATTCCCACATGATTACGTACTGGTTCACCTTATGAGGAGGGAGAGCTCCCCTCAGGCTAAGTCCTAACACATCCAGTCTAGGGGGCTTTACAAGTGTTGTGGCCCCAGGATAGTTACGGGGGGCTGTTTACAGACAATGGGACAATGAGAAGCTGGCTGCCTTGACTCCCTGCCCCATCCTCCAAATGGAAGGTGCCGCTCTCTAGAATCCACCTTGAGGGCTCCGGATTCCTCCTCCTCATTTTCCTCTTCTGCTGTTGTCCCTCCCCTCCCCCACCTGACCCCAAGCCCCGGTGCATCTCATCTTGGAGTTGTGAGGGAGAAGGCTCCAGACCCTTCCTGTGTCTCAGTCCAGCAACTGCTTTTACAGAGCTGTAAGCAGGGAGGAAGGCAAACCAAACCTTAGGGTACAGTGAATTAACAAGAGAAGGAGAGGAATACATCAAAAATACTCATTGTGAGTTGGTCACGGTGGCTCATGTCTGTAATCCCAACATTTTGGGAGGCCAAAGCAGATGGATCGCTTGAGCCCAGGAGGTGGAGACCAGCCTAGGCAACAAAAATTAGCCAGGCATGGTGGTGTGCACCTGTAGTCCCAGCTACTTGGGAGGCTGAGGTGGGAGAATCACCTGAGCCCAGGAGGTTGATGCTGCACTAAGCCATGATCTAGCTACCACACTCCAGCCTCGGTGACAGAAAAAAATATGCATTGTGACATTTGGAGCTACAACTCTGCCATAAAACAAAAGCAGCATCTGCATCCTTCATTCAATATTTCCTTAAGATAGTTTACTACATATTAGGCATTGATATGGTTTGTCTCTGTACCCACCCAAATCTCATCTTGAATTGTAGCTCCCATAATTCCTAAGGGTTGTGGGAGAAAGCTGGTGGGAGATAATTGAATCATGGGGGCGGTTCCCCCCATACTGTTCTCGCGGTAGTAAGTCTCACAACATCTGATGTTTTTATAAGGGGTTTCCACTTTCGCTTGGGTCTCAATTATCTCTTGCCTGCGGCCATGTGGGACGTGCCTTTCTCGTCCACCATGATTGTGGGGCCTCCCCAACCACGTGGCGCTGTGAGTTCATTGAACCTCTTTTTCTTTGTAAAATCCCCCGTCTCGAGTATGTCTTTGTCAGCAGCGTGAAAACAGACTAATACAGGCATTGATTGTTACAAGTGCTTTCCAACTATTAACTTAAATTTCCTAGTATCCTATGAGCTTAGGAACTTTTATTATCCCCACATTACAGATGAGGAAATTGAGGCATGAGGACATTGAATAATTTGCTCAAGGTCATGCAGGTGTAATTGGCAAAGATGAGGTTCCAACCTAGGCTGTCTGCCTCTCTGTTTGCTATGTGGCCTCTCCTTAGGAGGGAAATTGAAAAGAATGCATGCATTTCAAGGGTTTCAAAACAGGTGCCCTCCTGAAGGTTGTTTTCTATTTTAAACTTCTGTGTAGACAGAACAGTATTCATTCAATAGTTATTTGTTGAGTGCTTACTACGTGCCAGATGCCAGGGCCACATCGATGAACCAGACTTAAGCCTGCTATCAAGGAGTTTCTAGAAAACAGGACAAACACCATACTTGGCTGGCTGTGCTGTGGTATAGACAACAGCAGGGTGCCCTGGAGCAGTCAGAACCATACTTAGTTTAGTTTTAGGGTTAGAAAAGACCTAGAAAAAAGTTTTAGGGCCCAAGTGCAGTGGCTCATGCCTGTAATTTCAGCATTCTGGAAGGCCAAAGCGGGAGGACTGCTTGTGTCCAGAAGTTCAAGACTAGCCTGGGCAATACAGTGAGATCCTGTCTCTATAAAATTTAAAAATTAGCCAAGTATGGTGGTGCATGCCTGTGGTCCCAGCTGCTTGGGAGGCTGAGGTGAGAGGATTGCTTGAGCCTCGGAGGTCAAGGCTGCAATGAGCCATGACTGAGTCACTGCACTCTAGCCTGGGCGACAGAGACCCTATCTCAAAAAAAGAAAAAAGACTTCCTGCAGGGCAAGATTTATGAACTAAGAGCTGGACTGATGAGGAAGAGTTAGCCAGGAGAGGGGGGACTTTGGAAATGTAAACAATGGGGCTACCTTATAGCTTTTGATGGCCCTAGGCATTTTACTTTCATGGGCCCCTCCCTCTGTTAAACAAATATATTAAAATACATATTTTATGGCTGTGTTGGTATAAACATATAAATTACTATTATATATTAAAACACCTTTTGTGATTTAAAAGTCCATTGTTTTTCTTTCTGATTTTAAAGAAATTAAAACATGTTCGTGGATCCCTAAAAATATTGTGGTCCCCAAGTGCTGTGCCTTCAGAAGTCAGCAGAAATGGAGCCTGGAGGTGGCAGGTGCAGGTGAGAAAGACCTTTGTCAGCCAAGGAAAGGGTTTAGATGTGATCCTAAAAGTTCTAGGAGCTACATATGGGTTTTAAGGAGGGCAATGTGAACGGGTTCATTTCAGAAAGCTCCTGTAGCTTCAGTGTAGAGCATGGCTGGGAGGGGAGGCTGGAGGTGGAGTCATGAGCTCTGAGTGTGTCAGAGGGATCCAGGGGAGATCTGAGGGCACACTTCAATCAAGGAAGGAGCCCAGGGAAGGGGACAGACAAACTTAGAGACTAACGGGGTAAAATCAGCAGGACTTGGCCATTGGTCTAATGCAGGGGTGAGGAGAGGGGGCATCCAAGGAGATTCCCAGGTGTGTGACTTAGGCGCCTGAATAGAGTCATTTGTTACACTGCAGATGAAAAGAAAAGGAACAGATTGGAGCGCATGGTAGGAAAAAATAGTTAAGCTTTTATTTTTTAGCAGTATTGAGTTTGTGATGCCTTTGAAATATCCATAAGGAGAGGTTTTTCAGAGGCAATGGGTCAAATGGTTCTAAAAAAAATTGCAGTGATTTAAAAAGTATCATGCCACTATCCACTGTCAATAGAACATATACTCTATATTTTCAAGGCACTTTAAAGTCCTTAAGGTAATGTCACATGTGTTTTCATTTTGTGCTTATACTATCATGGTTAAGGGCATGAACTCTAGGCCAGGCATGGCTCACACCTGTAATCCCAGCACTTTGGGAAGACAGGGTGGGCAGATGGCTTGAACCTAGAGTTTGAGACAAGCCTAGGCAACATAGGCTTTATCTCTACAAAAAAAAAGTAGCCGGGTGGCATGCACTTATAGTCCCATCTACTCAGGAGGTTAAGATGGGAGGATCCCTTGAGCCCAGGAGGTTGAGGCTGCAGTGAGCATGATTGTGCCATTGCACACTCCACCCTAAGTGACAGAGTGAGACCCTATCAAAAAAAGAAAGGGAAAGGAAGGAAGGAGAAAAAGCAGAAGAAGAAAAGAAAAAAAGAAAGAAGGAAGGAAGGAAGAGAAAGAGAGAGAGCATGGGCTCTAGCCACAGACTACATGGTTCAAATCTCATGAGTGCCACCTTGTAACTGTGTCATATTGGGAAAGTTATTTAAACCTTCTTTGCTTCATGTTCTCCATCTGTAAAATGGGTAGAATAACAGTCCCAGCTCAGAGGTATATGATTAAGTGAACAAACAGCTATAAAACACTTAGAGCAAGTGCCTGGCATTTAGCAAGCACTCAATAAGCACAGCTGTTACTATTCCTACCGCAGCAGCATGCCTATTGTCTTCCCCACTGCTTAGACCTTTCTGTGGTAGTGGAATTTGCAGGAATCCTCATCTGCACTATCTTTCATTGCATCTCCTCCTGGCCACTGTTGCTCATATCTGCCATATGGATGAGAAAGGAGTGTGATGGTGACCAGCGTTTTCTGGAGGGTCGTCCATGATGGGGCTTGGCATCCTGGGAGGAGTCAACATTACAAATGGAGGCATTCAATGGCAGACGCCTTTATGAAGGTCTTGGAAGGAGGGAGGAGTTGCTAAAATGAGACCTGTTCAAAGCTGGAGGAAAGGGGGTAACATTTGGTTCATAGTAAATGAGCTTGACTTCGTTTAGTCCATGTTGGCCAATAAAAGTTTCCCGGAAGTTCTCAAAGCAACTCCTTTCGCTGACCTGACACTGTAGCTGCAGTCAGGGTTCAGCCAACCTGCGTAGCAAGATGCTAAGGTGAGGCCAACTGGCTTCCCAGATAACACAGAAGGAACAAATCCCAGAGTTTGTTTAATTCTGGCCAAACTTAACTGAATGTAGGAAAAAAATTTATTTCCTAGGAGGTCTGAGAGCTGTTGAGAATATGTGTATAGTAAAGCAGACTAGGGCAGGGGAGTCCCAGATCGTCTTGTGATCAAATCAGATGGACAGGACTTTGCCAGGTGCTTTTCGTATTAGTTCACCCCCTCAACAATCCCACTAGCAAAGTGTTATTCACCTCTTTAACAGAAAAGTTAAATAATTTTCCTGCAGTGATCCAGCCAGGAAGGGGTAGAGCTGGGACTGGAGCTGGGTCTGTTTGACTCCAGGACCTAAACTCTTTCTGTGGATCAAAAAGACAGATAAGCCAGGTGCAGTGGCTCACACCTGTAATCCCAACACTGGGAGGCAGAGGTGGGAAAATTGCTTGAGCCCAGGAGTTTGAGACCAGCCTGGGCAACATGGTGAGACTCCATCTCAAAAAAAATAAACAAAATAAATAAAAAATTAGCCAGGTGTGGTAGCACGTGCCTGTGTTCTCAGCTACTTGGGAAGTTGAGAGGGGAGAATCACTTGAGCCCAGGAAGTTGAGACTGCAGTGAGCTGTGTTTGCAACTCTACACTCCAGCCTGGGCAACAGAGCAAAACCCTATCTTGAAAGAAAAATTAAAAAGATGGATAGCAGTGCTGAGCTTTGGGGCTGTTCATGGCACTGTTCTGTGTTGTTGTTAGCAAATAAAAACAATTAATATTTATTGCCCTGTGCTAAGACTCTTATGTATATAATTTCATTTGCTTCCCCTAGTAACCCTATAGAGAAGGTACTATTATTCCCTTGCTTTTGCAGATAAGATTAAGGTATGGAGACTCTGAATAATGTGTCCAAGGTCACACACCTAGTAAATGGCAGAGCTAGGACTCAAGCCCAGGGAGTCTCCAAAACCCATGCATTCATGCCGCATGCTGTTCTCCTACCGGAAACAGGAACCAACAGCTCTCAGCACTAACCCTAACCCCAACAGTTCTAAAGTCCTGTTCAAGGGCAGGAGGAGGAAACTTCAGGACCAGGTAATTCTTCCATGAGCTTTGGAACCAGGCAGCGCTAAATTCACACTGAGCCTGGCAACTCACAGTGAAGACTGCTTCTCAGCTTGGCCTCCAGCCTCCTTTTCTCCACCCAGACCCAGCTGTGGCTGCCTGCTCCTTTCTGCCATTTTCCAGGATTGTGATGTGAACACACAGGGAAACAAAAGTGCTACAACCCCGTCTGTGTCCAGCCCCGTTCTCTCTTGCTTTCCGCCCAACATCAACAGACCACAGTGCCCTCTCAGTTTCCCCAGAAAGAGGTTGCTTACCTACACTCACAACAATGGTGAATGATGTGAAATTTACTGAAAGTTTCAAGGCAGAGCTGGGGAAGGGGATCTACTGAAAACAATTTCATTTTTATTCTTCCATACTTCTTTTCAGCCTACCACCCATTTCTTGTCACCCCACCACCTGGCTTTTCTCTCCACACATCCCCTGCCAGGGTAGGGGTGGTGACCCAGAGGGGACTTCTCTATTCTCCATGTCTTGCTCTTCTCTGTGGTTTTTCTTGGACCCCTGCTCTTGTTAACCACCATCTTTTCTTATCCAGCACACCGTTGGGCGCCTCCCTCCAGCCCAGGTGGTTTGTTAAAGTATTTCTTCTGAGTAAGCGCCATTCTCTCCCTGCAAGGGGCTTCCTTGGCCACTACTCCTTTGCTAAAGCTCTTTAGTAAAAGGACTACAGTGAAAATGGTCATTACAGCTGGAGCTATAGTGCCTATCTTGGGAAGGGAAGCGCGACTGCCTTTGCCTGCACTGGCCTTTCCCTCTTTTCCTGCATTTCCAAAGGTCACTGGTTTCAAAGGTCTCGGCAAGTCTGCCCTGAGCTCCTCTTTTCCCATCTGTGGGTTTCTACCTCCTCCTAACAGCAAGAGGGATTTTTCTCTGAAGGTTGCCAAAGGGAGTGGCAAGAACCTCTCAGAGAGCAATTACCTTGAAGAGCCCTCCCTGGAGAACAGGCTCTTTCTCTTCCAAATTGGAAAATCCTCACATTGTGCCAATTTGTCCAGAGGGCACTTGGAACTTTACCAGCCGAAACACTCACAACTCTTAAAGGGAAAGTGAGCAACTAACAAAGGCAACCTTCAAGGGGCTGTGGCAGGAGCCAGGTGGCTTTCAAAGAAAAAGCACAAGGTAAGAACGAGCTGTGACCCTGGTGGAACACAGCGTTAAATCCATCTCAGAAACAACCATGATTGATGAAGTGCGGGACTTTTTTCTCCTGAGAAAGTGTAGATTTCATTGCCAAGTACTACAGCCAACCCCAGTACCCTGGAAGTGAAATGTCTATTTTGAAAAAGACAGAAACATCATCAGAAACATCAGAAACATCCTAATGCCCATAAGTAAAGGGATTATATGACCCACTGAAGGTTAATTGTTTATTATAGTAACAGAATAGCCCCAGCCTGGACAACATAGAGAGACCGTGTCTCTACCAAAAATTTCAAAATTGGCTGGGTGTGGTAGTGTTCACCTGTGATCCCAGCTACTTGGGAGGTTGGAGGATCACTTGAGTCCAGGAGGTCGAGGCTGCAATGAGCTATGACTGCGCCACTGCACTCTAGCCTGAGTGACAGAGCAAGATCCTGTCTCAAGAAAAAAAAAAAAGAATGGCTGTCCAGGCGCAGCACGATGGCTCACATCTGTAATCCTAGCACTTTGGGAGGCTGAGGCTGGTAGATTGCTTGAGCTCAGGAGTTTGAGACCAGCCTGGACAACATGGTGAAACCCCATTTCTACAAAAAATACAGAAAAATGGTGGTTCATGCCTGTACTCCCAGCTACTTGGGGGCTGAGGTGGGAGGATCCCGTAAGCTTAGGAGGCAGAGGTTGAAGCGAGCCGAGATTGCGCCACTGTACTCCACCCTGGGCGACAGAGTGAGACCCTGTCTCAAAAAAAAAAAAAAAACAAGAATGGCAAACATGGTTACATGTTTCTTTTTAATCATATTGGCTTTGGGGTGCAGTGTAAGATTTATTTTGAAATATATTTGCTGCCTTTTTTATACTTTGCCAAAGACAACATCCAACTTTGTTTGCTGTCCCCAGGTGAACAGCCCCTGATTGTTTGGAGGAGTCTGAAGGTATGCAGGCTGGCAGAAGGAAGCTGGCTTGGATGAACATCTTGCCATATGGAGTCACAAATTGAATGGCCCCTTTTCAGCTTGGTTGAGAGCAAGCTCCTGAAGCTTTAATCTGGGGTCAGTTTGGGGAAAAGAAGAAATCTTGCAGAAACTTGTCAGGACATATCACATGTAGGTTGGAAGAGGGACATTGACAGGGGCAATCTAGTCTAGGGTGAGTTCTGTATGCCAGAGGACACCAGACTAAGGTATGTCACTGATGATGCTATTTAATTCCAGAGGGAGTCAGTTGGATGCAGCTCTTGGTTTTGAGTCTGGCCCTAATGCTCTCAGCTGACAAATTCCTTTTTCTTCTTTTGAGGCAGGGTCTCACTGTCACCCAGGCTAGATGCAGCGGTGCCATCACAGCTCACGTGGTCCTCCCACCTCAGCCTCCCAAGTAATTAGGACTACAGGCATGCACCACCATACTTGGCTAATTTTTGTTTTTTTTTTTGTAGAGGCAGGGTTTCACCGTGTTGCCCAGGCTTGTCTATAACTCCTTGGCTCAAGCGATCCTCCCACCTTGGCCTCCCAAAGTGCTGGGATTCCAGGCATGAGCCACTGTGCCCAGCTTGGCTGACAAATTCTAATGGCAGAAAAGATCAAATACCAAGATTGCTTGTAAACATCACAGCAAAATATTGCACTTACTTCACTGCCCCCTGAAGTGACCACATTTTTCTTTTGTTTTGAGACAGGGTCTCACTCTGTCACCCAGGTTGCAGTGCAGTGGCATGATCATAGCTCACTGCAGCCTCAACTTCCTGGGCTCAAGTGATTCTCCCACCCCACACTCTTAAGTAACTGGAACTACAAGCATGCACCACCATGCCTGGCATTTTTTTTATTTTTATTTTTATTTTTATTTTTATTTGTAGAGATAGGATCTCACTATATTGCCCAGGCTGGTCTAGAACTCCTGGGCTCAAATGATCCTCCCACCTTGGCCTCCCAAAGTGCTGAGGTTACATGTCTGAGCCATTGTACCCAGTCAGTGACCACTTTTGAGAAACAAAAATACAAATTCCCAATCCTAACATATAGATCTGAGCCCCAAAGCATCTGTGTCTTCACCAGATTTGATTTACTTTAAGTACATTGTTTAAAAAAAATTAAAATAAATAGAGAGAGGGTCTCCCTATGTTGCCCAGGCTGGTCTTGAACTCCTGAGCTCAAGCGATCCTCCATGTTGGCCTCCCAAAGGGCTGGGATTACAGGTGCGAGCCACTGCATCTGGCTTTAACCAAGTACATTCGAACACATGTTCTTTTAATTTAGGGTTTTGGGGTTTTGTTTGTTTTTTTTTTTTCTTTGCTTTTTTACATTGGTATAGTTATTTTTAAATATTTTCTCAGCAGTTGCTTTTTCCTAATTCAGATGAAAACAGGGCCTGGCTTGGGCTTTAGCCAATTAAAACAGGCTATGCTTCTACGAGCAGAGTTAAATGTGTTCCCAGAGAGTTGCCAGTGCCACTTTATTTTTGGTTACAGTTCTCTCAAGAGGACCTTTTAATAGCTCTTGAAGTAGGGGCAGTAATCCTTGGAAACAAGACAAACCAGTTTTCTCCCCTCTACCCCACAACTCCTTTTTGCCTTTACACTTGAAGCAACTAAATTAGAAGTTGGACGTCACGAATCCTATAGTTTTACTTGAAATTTCCTGCTGCTGACACTAATGTTTTCTTTTCTGTTAGAATCAGGAACACTTAAAAAGTCAAACCTCCTCGTGACCTGATCTCAAAGTACATTTGAAATTTTTTTTTTTTTTTTTTTTTGAGACGGAGTTTTGCTCTTGTTGCCCAGGCTGGAGTGCAGTGGCACGGTCTCGGCTCACTGCAATCTCCGCCTCCCAGGTTCAAGTGATTCTCCTGCCTCACCCTCCTCCTGAGTAGCTGGGATTACAGGCACCTGCCAGCACACCCAGCTAATTTTTGTATTCTTAATAGAGACGGGGTTTGACCATGTTGGCCAGGCTGGTCTCGAACTCCTGACCTCAGGTGATCTGCCAGCTCGGCCTCCCAAAGTGTTGGGATTACAGGCATGAGCCACCGTGCCCGGCCTGTAATGTTTTTTTCCCATGGCAACATTTCTCAGCTACTCTGGGCTTATGAAGAAGAGTATAACAATGCCTGTCCCAGTTTTAAAACCACATTGTATTTAGTCAGAATTAGGCATGGCTGTAAGTGGTAGAAAACCCAAACCAACAGTAGCTTAAGACAAAAATTTATTTCCATGTAAAGAGAGAAAAGGAGTACAAAGGTGGAATGGTGGCTCCAGTCCTCAAAATCCTCGGGGACCTCGGCTCATTCTAGCATATCTTCCTACCATGATCCCAAATGGTTGCATTCACATTCCAGCCAGCAAAATAAAAGAGGGTGAAAGGGAACAAAAGGTACACCAAAGGGGACGGTTTCCAGCTGCTGCCAGAACACTTCTGTTTATATCCCGGTGGCCAGAACGTAGTCACGTGGCCACACTTAACTGCTGGGAAATGTAGTATTTTTTTTTTTTTTTCTGGATCGCTGTGTGCGCAGTTAAAAATTCTGCCTCTATGCTATACACCCTAGGGCCTATGGTCTTAAAATTTACCAATTTCTATCAATTTTGCCTTGAGAATTTGAAACACCTCTTGAGATTACTAAATAACAATATAAGGTGGTATAAAATCAGTATCAGAAATACCCCCACTCTTTATAATATTTATACAACATTTTACCAGAATTTTGCTTTTGGGAGTCCATAGTAATTAAATAACTCTAAAACCAGAAAAAGCTTTAAGCAAAATAATGTTCATCACAGTTATTTATAATCAGAAAAACTGAAATGACACTTTGAGAGGCCCAGGTGGGCGATTGCTAGAGCCCAGGAGTTTGAGATCAGTCTGGGCAACATGGTGAAACCCTGTCTCTACAAAAAAAATTTAAAAAATAAGCCAGGCATGGTGGTGCACACTTGTAATCCCAGCTACTTGGGAAGCTGAGGTGAGAAGATCACATGAGCCAGGGATGTCGAGGTTGCAGTGAGCCAAGATGGCACCACTGCACTCCAGCTGGGTGACAGAATGAGACCCTGTCTGAAAAAAAAAAAAAAAAAGAAAAGAAAAACTGAAATTTGAATAAATGTCAAAATATGGAGGACTGGTCAGATGAAGTGTAGAACATTTTCTTAATGGAATATTATGTATCTGTTAAAAAATGATATTTACAAGGCCAGACACAGTGGCTCAGGCCTGTAATCCCAGCCCTTCAGGAGGCCAAGGCAGGAGGGTCACTTGAGGCCAGGAGTTCAACACCAGTCTGGGAAACAAAATGAGACTTTGTCTCTACAAAAAATTGAAAAATTAGCGGGGTGTGGTGGTGGCACCTGTAGTCCCAGCTATGCAGGAGGCTGAGGCAGAAGGATCACTTGAGCACAGAGGTTCAAGGCTGCTGTGAGCTATGACCATACCACTGCACTCTGTTCTCCAGCTTGGACAACAGAGCAAGACCTTCTCTCTTTAAAAAAAAATTATACTGACAAAGAACCCACAGTAACATAGATAAATTCTTATAATGCCCGTTAAATAAAAAATATAGGGATATGAATTAAGCCAAATGACTTTTTTGGGTAATGAGACTTTTAATAACTATTTTCCTACATTTCTTTATTTTCTAAATTTTGTTACTATTACACTTATTATTTTATTAGAAATAAAAAATATTGCTGGGCGTGGTGGCTCATGCCTGTAATCCCAGCACTTTGGGAGGCCAAGACGGGTGGATCACCTGAGGTTAGGAGTTTGAGACCGGCCTGGCCAACATGGTGAAAACTGTCTCTACTAAAAATATAACATTAGCTGGTTGTGGTGGCACATGCTTGTAATCCCAGCTACTCTGGAGGCTGGGGCAGAAGAATTGCTTGAACCCGGGAGGCAGAGGTTGCAGTGGACCGAGATGGCGCCATGGCACTCCAGCCTCGGCAACAAGAGTGAAACTCCATCACAAAGAAGGAAAAATAAAATAAAAAATATCCTATCCTCTAGTCTCTCTAGTTACCTACACTTTACCCATCTTTAGGTACCTACACTCTACCCATCTCTAGATACCTATACTCTACCCATCTCATAGAGCTCAGTTTAATCTGACCTCCTGTCCAAAAGCTTTTCTGGCCATTCCCTCTCTTCTGCATTATTGCTGACACCACTTGTAATGGGAAGTCATTTCTTTTTTTTTTTTTCTTTTTTTTTGGAGCGGGGGAAGAGCCTCACTTAGTTGTCCAGGCTGGAGTATAGTGGCATGATCGTGGCTCACTACCTTGACCTCCCAGGCTCAAGCGATTCTCCCACGTCAGCCTCCTTGAGTAGCTGGGACTATAGGTGCTCACCACCATGCCTGGCTAATTTTAAAAATTTTTTGTAGAAATGGGGTCTCCCTATGTTGCCCAGGCTGGTCTTGAACTCCTAGACTTAAGCAATCCACCTGCCTCAGCCTTCCAAAGTGTTGAGATTACAGATGTGAGCCACCGCGCCTGGCAAAACTCTTTTTTTTTTTTTGTCTTGCCAGCATCAGGCAGAATCCTCTGATGAGAAGCTATTGGGGCCTCAATGAGGTTATACCTTTCCTCTCTCTCCTCCTTGGTAGATACAGAGTAGTCCTGTAGACCCACTAATCAGATGCTCCAGCCCAGGAATTTGAATTGGTGGAAATAAATTTGTAGTCTACGTGGGCTTTGGATATTTGATGATACTAAGATATTTTTCACTTGGGGGGTAGTAGGGGAGTGATGATGGTATTATGGTTGTTTTTAAATTTTATTTTAAAAATGTAGGTGTTCAAGCCCAGCAGAAATGTCCTATCTCCCCATATATTGGAACCTAATTGCCTATGGGATAGTACTAAAGAAGTGGGGCTAGGGGCCAGGGGCAGTGGCTCACACCTGTAATCCCAGCACTTTGGGAGGCTGAGGCAGGTGGATCACCTGAGGTCGGGAGTTTGAGACCAGCCTGACCAACATGGAGAAAGCCCATCTCAACAAAAAATTAGCCAGGCATGGTGGAGCATGCTTGTAATCCCAGCTATTCTGGAGGCTGAGGCAGAAGAATCACTTGAACCCCAAAAGCAGAGGTTGTGGTGAGCTGAGATCGTGCCATTGCACTCCAGCCTGGGCAACAAGAGTGAAACTCCATCTCAAAAAAGAAAAAGAAAAAGAAATGGGACTGGCACAAGTGCCTCTTGCCTGTAATCTCAGCACTTTGGGCGGCCGAGGTGGGAGAATTGCTTGAAGCCAGAAACTTGAGACCAGCCTAGTCAAAATAGTGAGACCCTCTACAAAAAAATAATTAAAAAAAAAAAGAAATAGGGCCTTTAGGAGTGGTTAATGGGAGCGGAACCCTCATGAAAGGGCCCTCACCAGACACCAAACCTGCTGGCATCTTGATTTTGCACTTTCCAGACTCCAGAACTATGAGGAATAAATTTCTGTCATTTATAAATGCCCTAGTCTAAGGTAATTTTGTTATAGCAGCCGGAAAGAACTAAGACACTATGTAGCTTCAATGACACCAAACACAAGGCATTTAGAATAAAAAGGGTTTTCTTCTTCACAACGAAAGGAAAAACTCAGTACTTCACTTGTGACACCAGATGTGTGTGTGTAGCAGGGGTTCCTATACCAAGCAATTCTCCAATTCTCTGGAGATACCAGCTGGGTATCCTACAATTCAATTCAGTTCTGACATGATCTATCTGAAGTTAGTACCTACCCCACAGTCGGTTGCCAATCAAAAGTCCAGCTTGTCACCTGGTGCTTCTGACAGGCTATGAGTCAGAGGGTCCCATGATCCCTTTCTTGAGTTTAATCATTTGCTAAAACAGCTCACAGAACTCAGGTAATGTTTGTTAGTCCATTCTCACATTGCTATAAAGAAATACCTGATTGGGAGGCCGAGGTGGGCGGATCACGAGGTCAGGAGATCGAGACCATCCTGGCTAACACGGTGAAACCCCATCTCTACTAAAAATACAAAAAATTAGCCAGGCGTGGTGGTGGGCGCCTGTAGTCCCAGCACTTCGGGAGGCTGAGGCAGGAGAATGGCATAAACCCTGGAGGCAGAGCTTGCAATGAGCCGAGATCGCACCACTGCACTCCACCCTGGGCAACAGAGTGAGACTCCGTCTCAAAAAAAAAAAAAAAAAGAAATACCTGAGACTGGGTAATGTGTAAAGAAAAGAGGTTTAATTGGCTCATGGTTCTGCATGTTATACAGGTAGCATGGTGCTGGCATCTGCTCGGCTTCTTGGGAGGCCTCAGGAAACTTACAGTCATGGTGAAGGTGAAGGGGGAGCAGGCACCTCACATGGCCAGAGCAGGAGCAAGAGAGAGACTGAGGTGCTGTGAGAGGTGTTTGAACCAGAACGACTCCATCTTGAATAGGGACTGGATGAAATAAGGCTGAGACCTTCTGGGCTGCATTCCCAGGAGGTTAAGGCATTCTTAGTCAGAGGATGAGACAGGAGGTCAGCACGAGACACAGGTCATAAAGACCTTTCTGATAAAACAGGTTGCAGTAATAGGAGGCACCACAGATCCCATTTGGGGAAAAATGTCTATTGTCTTCATGGAAACCCAGGAAATAAAAGTGGGTAGATTCCTCTCAAAATCTAAGGCTTTGTCCTGTTTTGCATTGCATTATCTGATATTTTTAACTTTTTGGGGTATCAGAAATTACTTTACATTATTAGAGAGCTTTGGTATAAGCTTTACCTAGTATAACAACTGGGTAGGAATATACTTTTGGGGATAGCTAATGGCAGTTATGGGGGAATACGTGGCTCTTTGCATGTTTGCATTAGAGAAGCATGCTCTTGACTACCTAGAAGGTATGGAAATGACCCCACCCCCACTGAGAGATAAGACTCCCATGGGAGATGGGCTGAATCTCTCTTTTGGGGATCCAGGATCTGGATCTGGGACCCTTAAATTTTGGGAATCTGTTTTGTTTCCAGCTGTGCCTACTTATTAGGCTGTAGAAATGGCATGCTTTCCTGGCTGTGTTCCTCCAAGGGCTCCACCCTGAAGCCAGTAATCCAATTAAGAAACTGGCAAATGAAAAATCTTTCAACTACTGGATCTTCTTCTGTCTTTGTATTTATATGTGTTATGTGTATAATGTTTCTATATGAAAGAGCTTTGATTAATTGGCTTAAAAATAATAAGTGCTTAAATCAAATATTTTGTCAGAAAAATAAAAACTTTAATGCCTTTTGGTTCACATGACTTTAGTAAGCTTTGGGAAACACAGTTTTAAAGATTATTGGTAAAACAAAAATGTTTTCAAAATTTAGGCATTTGGTCTAAATTATGCAGGTCAGGTATTAGGTTTGCTTAATGCTTTAAGGTCATAAACTGCTTCTTTGACTTTTGAAAATTGTTCAATTTACCTACTTTGGAGCATTAAATTCTAGATGAAACCTGGGGACATGTGGAGCTATCCATACCCCCTGGCTATGCTGAGAAAAGTCAGACCTTATCTGTACTTCTCTCTGGGTCCTAGGCTCCACACACACCTGGTACGTAATTAAAATCACTTATTGGCCAGTCACAGTGGCTCACACCTATAATCCCAGCACTTTGGGAGGCTGAGGTGGGCAGATCACTTGAGGTCAGGAGTTTGAGACCAGCCTGGCCAACATAGTGAAACCCTGTCTCTACTAAAAAAAAAAAAAAATACAAAAATTAGCTGGGCATGGTGGTGGGTGCCTGTAATCTCAGCTACTAGAGAGGCTGAGGCAGGAGATTCACTTTAACCTGGGAGGTGGAGGTTGCAGTGAGCCAAGATCATGCCACTGCACTCCAGCCTGGGCAACAGAGCAAGACTCCATCTTAAAAAAATAAATAAAAATAAATAAATCACTCATTAACCAGGTTTTTCACCAAAAGTAAAAGTTAAGAGTTAACACTGTAACATGTAATTGAGGCTACTGAAGAAACAATTTTACTTGCAAGGTGTATAAGTAAAGTAAAATGTACTTTTGGCAAAAGATTTTAAGAAGGCATGGGAATGTGGATTTTTCTGCCTAGATTAAAGTGTTAAAGGATTGTATTCAGTTAGGATAAATCTAAAGGTTTGGACAAGTTATGGAAGGTTTGTGAAAAATTATTCTTGTAAAAGAAATTCTATGTGTGAAAATATTGGCTAAAGTTAAAGGAATATTATTCAGTTTTTCCATAAATTGAATATTCAAATAAAAGCACAATGAGGTTTTCTCTCGGAGAATTGATCTGCTCTTTAACAAAAATTGTAAAGGCTATAAAAAAGATCTATGAGAATCTTACCTTTTGGTCAGACATTAAAATTGGATAGATTTGTCTATAAGGTTTTATTAAGGATTGGGTTTGACATCAATAATGCATTAATGCAATGGTAAAGTGTGGCTCATTTGGTATAAAACCATGCAGGAAACATTGTCAACTATGAGATGCTGTTTGGCTTTCTTTGGGCTGTATATGTATAAATATGTTATTGGTATGTGTTCAAAAAGTATACAATTCTAACATAACAGTGCATGTTATTCATAGTTATAATTGTTATGTAAAATTGTTTATGCCACAGAAGTAACCAAAATTACCTAGTCAACTGTGGCTTTAATAGTGGCTGTCCTAAGACATTTTGTCATCCACAAACAATGATGGTCTTGTTTTGATCCTCTTTAAAAGGTGGTTTGTAATCAGCTATAGGTCTCTAACAGGTGTTCTTGAATGCAAGTTTCTGATAACTTTGGAGACTGTGACATTAGAACAGAGGAAAAAAACTTTCAGTGTTCATGGAGAGATGAAATGTTGATGAATATCAAGTAGAACAGAAGTTAACTGCGTGGACTGAACTAATAGAAGAATGAAGTAACCTTTTTTGACTTTTTGCTTAAAATGTTGCTGATCCTTTGTTTTGTTTTTCAGAGTTAAAGAGACTTTTCTTTAGAACTGTTTACAGCTTTTAACAATTGAGTAAAGAATACCTGTGAACACAATTTGGAGCATATTTGTTTCTCTCTACCTGATTTATCCAGAATTTAAAAACTATTTGTTGAGTATTCTTAATTTATGGCAATATAGTTACCTGCATAAGTGCAATAAGAATTCGTTTTCTTTTGTAACAAGACACAATTGGAGATACTGGTTATTTTACCAAGGCTTTGACTGGAATGGTGTACTTTCCTTTAAGGAATCAAACTTGACTTATAAAGCCAATAAAAGCCCCTTGGGAAAACTGGCCTCATACCTTGTCTACACAGTCCCTGTACAGGGTTTCTGACCTGTGGTGAGTAAAGAATATCACTTTCTTACAGTCCCAGGGTCCCCAAGTTATCTTGGGACTTCAAGAGGAGAGGAATTCACCCAACTCACAGGTATTTGAGGGTATAAATGCATGGCTGTGCTTAACTTTAAAAAGACTCTTATCTGAGATTCCTGATGGAACAGAGTCCATTAAAGCCAATTTTAGATCAGGCGCCATGGCTTACACCTGTAATTCCACATTTTGGGAGGCCAAGGCAGGTGGATCACCTGAGGTCAGGAGTTTGAGACCAGCCTGGCCAACATGGTGAAACCCTGCTTCTACTAAAAATACAAAAATTAGCCAGGTGTGGTGGCAGGTGCCTATAATCCCAGCTACTCAGGAGGCTGAGGCAGGAGAATCATTTGAACCTTAGAAGTGGAGGCTGCAGTGAGCCAAGATCATGCCACTGCTCTCCAGCCTGGGCAATGGTGAGAGACCCTGTCTCAAAAAAAAGAAAAAAAAAAGCCTATTTTAAAAGCCTATGTGAACAATAATTATTCTTGCTGCTCTTTATAGAAATAATCAGGCCAAGTATAATAAAGCAAATTGGTCTTGCCATGATTTGTTTTTAATAAAAATGGGAGACTAGAGAGAGAAAAATTATGTTTCAAAAACTTGTTCTTAGATTCTAGTCTCATCAGTTATTTTTTAGTTTTTTCCTGCAATTTAGACTAACCCTACTTATTTCTGTGAACCAACCAGTGAGCTCTGGCTGCAGTTCAGAAGAAACAAGAGGGATGGGTAATGTAAAAATCTGGATCAATATTCTAATTCTGGTCACATTTTGGAATCAGCTAATGTCCCCATATCAGCTTGGTTTCAACAGTTGCCCAGTTCATGGAAAGCCTTCTTATTTCATTTACTTGGGATAATTTTACTTATTTTGCTTTGCTGTTGTGGAACATATTGTGGTTGTACTCTTTGCGTAGAGATGCAGGATAAGTTTACTTAATGGTTTCTTAAATTGAACACTTATTAATTTTCCAGATATCACCTTTTCTCAGAGTTATGAATGGCCCTCACCATGCCTATGCTTTCTGACTGAGCTCCTCTCTACCCTGAATGCAAAAGACCCTAATAGTCAGGAATATCATTGCCTCTATTCAGCCTTAAGAAGTTACAGAAGATACATCTTTATCCCTGTACAACCCTTAGGATTAAGGGTTCTCTTATAAAAGGAAGAGGGGAAATACGTCAGAGGCATTTGAACCAGAGCAACTCCATCTTGAATAGGGGCTGGGTAAAATAAGGCTGAGACCTATTGGGCTGCATTCCCAGGAGGTTAAGGCATTCTAAGTTACAGGATGAGATAGGAGATCAGCATGATATACAGGTCACAAAGATCTTACTGATAAAACAGATTACAGTAAAGAAGCCAGCCCAAACCTACCAAAACTAAGATGGTGACGACAGTGTCCTCTGGTTGTCCTCACTGCTACACTCCGACCAGAGCCATGACAGTTTACAAATGCCATGACAATGTCAGGTAGTTGCCCTGTATGGTCTGAAAAGGGGAGAAACCCTAAGTTCTGGGAGTTGCCCACACCTTTCCCAGAAATCTCAGGAATAATCCACCCCCTTGTTAGCATATAATCAAGAAATAACCATTAAAAAGGGCAACTAGTAGCCCTTGGGGCTGCTCTGTGCCCCCAGTTTTTTTTCTTTTCTTTTTTTTTTGGAGACAGAGTGAGTGCCATGTCGCCTCATTGCAACCTCCACCTCCTAGGGCTTAAGCAATCCTCCCACCTCAGCATCACAAGTAGCTGGGGTTATAGGCATGTGCCACCATGCCTGGCTAAATTTTTTTTTTTTTAATTTTAGTAGAGATGGGGTTTTGCCATGTTGGCCAGGCTGGTCTCAAACTCCTAGGCTCAAGCAGTCTGCCCACCACAGCCTCCCAAAGTGCTGGGATTACAGGCATGAGCCACTGCACCTGGCCTCACCCTAAATTATTTCTTGCAGGAGATTCAAGAGCCCTCTCTTGGGGTATAGATGGGGATCCCTTTCCAGTAACAGTGCCACCCAGTTTTAAACAGCCAAATCTTATGAAAAGTCACTCACTATGGTGAGGACAGCAACAAGGGGTTGGTACTAAACCATTTGTGAGAACTCAGCCCCCATGAGCCCATCATCTCCCACCAGACCCCATCTCTAATACCAGAGATTACAATTCAACATGAGATTTGGGCAGGGACACGTATCCAAACTATATCACACTTCATTTACTAGATTACCAGATTGTTATAAAAGGATACAACTCAGAAACACCCAAATGAAAGAGATGTATGGGGCAAGGTGTATGGGAAGGGGTGTGGAGCTTCCATGCCCTCTCCAGGCATGCTACTCTCTCGGCACCTCCACATCCTCACCCATCTGGATCTGGTCCTTTTGGGTTTTTGTGGAGGCTTCATTATGTAGACATGACTGATTAAATCGTTGGCCATTGAAATGAACCTAATCTCCAGCTTCATCTCCCCTCCCCTAGAGATGGGGGTGGGGTGTGGGGCTGAAAGTTGTAATCCTCTAATCACTTGGTTGGCTTCTTGGCAACCAGTCCCCCACCCAGAGGGGGTTTCCAAAAGTCACCTAATTAACATATACTTTAGTGTGGTTGAAAGGGGCTTGTTAGGAAAATCAAGATGCTTTTTTCACTTTTACCACTTAGAAAATTCTCAGGGTTGTAGGAGCTCTGTATCAGAAATGGGGTTGAAGTTCAAGTATATATTTCTCATTATAAATCACAGTATCACACAAGGTGATCCAGAATACATTCTAATAAGGGCATTGCTGACTTTCCCCGCTTGCTTTGTCAATAGCTTCAGGATTTGCATTGTGCTATGGTTTGAATGTAGCCCCAAAAAGCATGTGTTAGAAATGTAATCTCCCAATGCAACAGTGTTGGGAGGTGGGACCTAATCAGAGGCGATTAGGCCATAAGGAATCTGCCCTCACGAATGGATTAATGCAGGAGGGGGCTCCACATAACAGGATGAGTTCAGTCACTTTATTGCATTCTTTCTCTCTCTCAATGTCTCTTCTTCTGTCACAGGCTGACACAGCAAGAAAGCCCTCACTGGATGCTGATCACTTAGTCTTGGACTTCTCAGCCTCTAGAACCATGAGCCAATAAATCTCTGTTGATTATAAATAAATATTGTAAATATAAAGTCTCAGGTATTCTGTTACAGCAGGACAGACTAGGTGCTATTAAAACAACATGACTAAAAGAAGTTATTTTTCCTGCTTTAGTAAAACTATTTATCAAGACTCTAAAGAGGCCAGACACAGTGCCTCATGCCTGTAATCACAGCACTGTGGGAGGTGAGGTGGTTGGATCACTTGAGGTCAGGAGTTCGAGACCAGCCTGGCCAAACATGGTGAAATCCTGTCTCTACTAAAAATACAAAAATTAGCCAACCATGTTGGCATAAACCTGTAATCCCCACTACTTGAGAGGCTGAGGCAGGAGAATCCTTGAACCCAGGAGGCAGAGGTTGCAGTGAGCCAAGATTGCACCACTGCACTCCAGCCTGGGTGACAGAGAAAGATTCCGTTTAAAAAAAAAAAAGATAATGGAAAAAAAACTGTAACCCAAGATTTTCAAGTTGGCCAACGCTAATGTCTAATGGACATAACTCTTTAGATGATACAAGGAATATGCTGCATCTGGCAAGAGTTCATCTAATGTCTCAGAGTGATGCAAGAGACAGGTGAACCATTATTTATTAAGACAAGCTCATCAATGTCTGGGGTGGATTGCATGGTGAAAGGGATATCTCATATCACTTAAGTCCCAAAGGAAACTTGATGGAAACCATTAACCGGAAATGCATTTCTCAATTTCTTAGTCAAGCTCCAGGTTCTCTGTGTGATACTCCCAATTTAGTTCAGTTCGACAAATATTTACCCAGTGCTATGTGGCAGGCACTGGTCCAGGTGCTAGAGATGTAAAGCTGAGTAAGACACATTCTGTTCTTGGAACCAAACTGCCTAAGGCCAGCTCCTGGAATTCTTAAAGTGAAAGGCATGGCTCAAACATTATGGCATCAGGGAAGTAGTGGTATAGGTTTTGTGATCAGTGAGGATGCATGAAATAATGCTCTAGTGGGGGTGAGCTGAAGCTCAGCCCCATTACTACTCTGTCTCATTAGCCACTGAGAGATTTCACTCTCCTTATTCTTAAGGAGAAAGGTCCAAAGATCTCATCTTCTGAAGCTACTTCCTGCTGAAGCTACTTCCCGCCTAACCGTGCAGGGCATGGAGATCTCTTCCTGACTGCTCTAAAGACCTATAGAGACTAGGCACTGTTGAAACCTGGAAGACATAAATTTTAACCATCCATACTCCTATTGAATATAACAAATAATTATTTTAAAAAATTAAATAATACCCAGTGATAATAACATGCTTAAGCTCAGTTTGATCTTTTTTTTTTTTTTTTTTTTTTTTTTTTTTTTTTTTTTTTTTTTTTTTTGAGACAGAGTCTCGCTCTGTCGCTCAGGCTGGAGTGCAGCAGTGCGATCTTGGCTTACTGCAAGCTCTGCCTCCCAGTTTCACGCCATTCTCCTGCCTCAGCCTCCTGAGTAGCTGGGACTACAGGCGCCCACCACCACACCCGGCTAATTTTTTGTATTTTTAGTAGAGACGGGGTTTCACCATGTTAGCCAGGATCGTCTCGATCTCCTGACCTCGTGATCCGCCCGCCTCGGCCTCCCAAAGAGTTCGATAATTCTTATAAGAGATCAGATGCCGTTAATTTAGGTGAATAGTCCAGAGAGCCAGTCTCCTGTTGCCTGAAGTATAAAGCAAACAGACTTTTAATAAAAGGCACTTCCCAAAAATGGAATAAACAGGAGAAAAACAAATGTTAATAGTGGGCATAATCTATCCAGATGTTAGACTCAAAGTATCTTAGTTACAGAGGAGGAAGGCAGTGACAATCTGACGTGCTCTTATCACGTGTATCACAAGGAATAAGCTTCAGCTTGCAGGGCCTTCGGAAAAAGGTAGTAGCAATTCTATTGAGTTTGTAAACCAAAAAGTATCTGAGACAGGTCTCAATCAATTTAGAAGTTTATTTTGCCAAGGTTAAGGATATACCCAGAAGAGAGGTCTGTGTCTTTCTCCAAAGATGATTTTGAGGGCTTCGATATGTAAAGGAGAAAAGTGGACTGGAAGCGAAGAGGGAGGGTATGGTCACGTTACTGAATCACATGTTGCAAGAGAAAAGGAGCAGGTAGGGGAATAGTAAATTATGTATTTGTCTTGCCCTCAGTAAGACAGAACTTTGCATAAGATAAGGTGAACATAGAGTAGTGACCTGTGGAGATACTTAACCTTTTATCTGTAGCTGTCTGCTTAGAAACAAAAGGAAAGGCAGTTTCTTGCATGACTCAGTTTCAGCTTAACTTTGTCCCTTTGGTATAGTAAATTGGGGTCCCAAGTTTTTATTTTCTTTTCACAAGTTTAAGTTAGAAAAATGGAAGAAAAATTTCCAAACATTAGTTGGGAGACTTGCAGCCCAGAAAAGGTTTAAGATTCAGTCCATGTTGTAAAAATCATATTTAAAAAACTCAAAAATAACAGACAAGACTAGAACCTAATAGCAGGTGTATTATAATATTTTTTCTCCAGTCTTTCATTTTTAATCAAAGACAAGTCATGGTAGGACCAATGTGTTTGCAAAATAAGTTTTAGTCATATTATACTTGGCCTGATTATTTGCATAAAGTGCAGCAAGATAATTATTCTCTTTTTAAATTGGCTTTGCTAGAACTTCGTTCCGTAAGAATCTCAGATTAGATTGTTTAAAGCCTGGAGCCCAGCCATGGATTTATCTCTGCCTGCAAATGCCTATATGAAATGGGTGAATTCTCCTTTGGAGGTCCCAAGATAACTTGGAGCCCCCACACTCAGTCCTCAATGGAGCACTGCCTAGTGGAGCTGTGAGAAGAGAACCACCATCCTCCAGACCCTAGAATGGTAGATCCACCAAGAGCTTGCACCATGTGCCTGGAAAAGCCCAGGGCACTCAACGCCTACCGTGAAAGCAGCTGTGGGGGCTGGACCCTGCAGAGCCACAGGGATGGAGCTACCCAAGGCCTTAGGAGCCCACCCCTTGCATCAGCATCACCTGGATATGAGCCATGGAGTCAAAAGAGACTATTTCCTACCTAGATATTAAACATCAATGCTAAAATTTTTTTTATAATGCAAGGTAATTTTTGATGCCTCCAAGAGTCAAGATGATCAGGTAATGCAATGCAAAATGAGCAAAACCTTAGATTTTGAGAGGGATCTGTCCAGTTATAATTTTGGGGGTTATGTTAGGGAAATAGGAGCATAGCAGAGCCAGGGTGATGCCATTTTGAGTTCAGCTCATCTTGAGACTAACAAGGCGCATTCCATGCTTGTCACAACTCACAGTCATGAGATGTTTACAGTTCAGGAAACAGCTTGAAGATACCTGCAAAAGACACATTCTTACAATGATGGAAAGTCCAGATGTCCCAATATTCATAACGATACATGCTTTTAAGATTGCTATGCTTTGGGCCAGGCGCGGTGGCTCACACCTGTAATCCCTGCACTTTGGGAGGCTGAGGTGGGCGGATCACTAGGTCAGGATATTGAGACCATCTTGGCTAACATGGTGAAACCCCGTATCTACTAAAAAAAACCTCAAAATATTAGCCGGGCGTGGTGGCGGGCGCCTGTAGTCCCAGGTACTTGGGAGGCTGAGGCAGGAGAATGGTGTGAACCCGGGAGGCGGAGCTTGCAGTGAGCGGAGATCGCACCACTGCACTCCAGCCTGGGTGACAGAGCGAGACTCCGTCTCAAAAAAAAAAAAAAAAAAAAAAGATTGTTATGCTTTGGGTGGGCACAGTGGCTCACACCTGTAATCCCAGCACTTTGGGAGGCCAAGGCAGGTGGATCATTTGAGATCAGGAGTTCGAAACCAGCCTAGCCCACATGGTGAAACCCCATCTCTACCAAAAAATGCAAAAATTAGCCGGGCATTGTAAGGTCAGCTGAGAGAAAGGACGAGAGAGAGAGACCCAAGTTCAGGCAAGTAAGTTTATTGAACCTGCTGGCTGCTCGGTTACAGACAGAGGAGGCAGCCCTGAGTTTACAAAATGAGGGGTTTATATGGGGGAGAGAGACCCCAGGGTCGTTTGTTGGTTAACTCTGCCACATATCACCTGTGACATTTATGGTACCGGAGGATGTAGGTAAAGTTTGTTGATGCTTCCCATGACCTCCCCCTGTGGGGTCTGGATGGTTTGTAATTGGGGTTTGCTTTATAGCAGCAAGTCCTGATAGGTAAAGTCTGCCGGGTTCACTGCAGTGCCTAGATAAGGGCTTAGAAATGTAAAGAGGCTTGGGGCAGCATGGAGAGGAGTTGCAGAGTGGGGAGGGGCGGGCAGCACCAAGAAGCTTTTTGGAGCAGTTTGTCTCTAACAGGCATCATGGCAGAATTGGAGCGGGAGCCAACAGCAGGGAGAAGACCGGCAGAAGGGCAGGCACTTCTGAGCCTAAAAGGGCAGGGGGGCCTTCCTGAGCCCCCAGGAGTGGGGACTTGTGGTGCCTCTTCTGAGTTGGCCCATGTACCAATCGGCATACACTTCCTCCCCCTCTGAGATCCATAAAAGCCCGGGGCTCAGCCAGAGCAGGGCAGAGGATGGAGAGATGATGGGATGACCAGCTGCAGAGAGCAGCTACCCACTCTTCTGAGAGCTGGAGATGACAGGATGATCAGCTGCAGAGAGGAGCTACCCTCTCTGCTGAGAGCCACAGACTTCAGGATGACCAGTTGCAGAGTGGAGCTTCCCTCTTGAGGGCCTCCTCTGTGCTGAGAGCTGAACACCCGACGAGAAGACCTGCCTACAGAGGAGCTACCCACTGCAGGTCTCCTCTGAGCTGTTGTAACACTCAATAAAGCTCCTCTTTATCTTGTTCACCTTCCACTTGTCTCTGTACCTCATTCTTCCTGGACTCAGGACAAGAACCCGGTCAAAGGGGCCACCAGCACAGAGGTTTCCAGCCAGAAAAGTGACACCCCAAAGATCCCATAACACTATCTTAGAACCACAGGCCAAAGCCTCTTAAATTTCTTAATTTTGTAGTAAGTTAACTTTCACTCGCGTCTGTGTGAAGAGACCACCAAACAGGCTTTGTGTGAGCAACATGGCTGTTTATTTCACCTGGGTGCAGGCGGGCTGAGTCCGAAAAGAGAGTCAGCGAAGGGAGATAGGGGTGGGGCCGTTTCATAGGATTTGGGTAGGTAAAGGAAAAAGGGGGGTTGTTCTCTGGCAGGCAGGAGTGGGGGGTCACAAGGTGCTCAGTAGGGGAGCTTTTGAGCCAGGATGAGCCAGGAGAAGGAATTTCACAAGATAATGCCATCAGTTAAGGCAGTAACAGGCCATTTTCATTTCTTTTGTGGTGGAATGTCATCAGTTAAGGCAGGAACCGGCCATCTGGATGTGTACGTGCAGGTCATAGGGGATATGATGGCTTAGCTTGGGCTCAGAGGCTTGACATTAACGGTTTGTGTTCTGAACTTTCCTCAGTGTTTAGAAAACCAATACTGACCGTCACACCCAGGCCTCCCTGGTGCCTTCCTGAAAGCTAGCTGGGCGTTTCTGGCACCCTGTCTCGGGCAGTCTCCCCAAACCAGCAGGACTACACATTTGGACAGACTCCCAAAGAGAGAGAGAGAGAGATTCTTGGGACTTAAACTCAAATCAATTTAGGCCAGGGGATGGGTGTGACTCATCCCACTGCCTGCTGGGTTAACCAGAACTGGATGGTCAACCCTTTTAATTCATCCTGTGTGGATGTTTATTCAAGTGACCCAGACCAGTAAATCAGGAAAATCATGTCAACCCATCCCTCATGGATGTCTAATAAGGCAACCCAAACCAGAAGGGATTAGAAGAGGAGGGGCGAAGCACCCCAAATGACAGAAAAAAATAGAAAAGGGATAGGAAAGACAGAGAAAAGGAAGGGAGAAAAGTGTTGCCTTGAGGTTTGGGCGAGGTGTTCCAAGGGGCTGGAGACTGATCCATTGTGGTGACACTGAGTCAAAAGTTCAGGCAGCTGCTGTCAGCCACTAAGGGATATTGTCCAGCAGTCCCATCAGCCCTCAAGTCTCCCCACTAGCAGAAGAAAAATCTCCCCATGTAGCCTGATCCCAGATGAGCCCTCAAAGAACGTGTTACCAACCATGGGTTCTTGGGCTCTCAAAGCAATAGAAATTGACCTGAGCCTGAAAAAGTTTTCCCAGACAAGGCCTCCTTGGAGCTTATGTCCTGAGGTAAGCGAGGCATAGAGAGCCAGTAGGGCTTTTTTTATTATGCAAAGCATGGGCATTGACAGCAGGGTAGGTTATGTAGGCTGGGCTGAGCAAAGCCGGTGAGGGGTGGGGTATGCAAGGCAGCATATCTAGTTGCGATGGCTATCTTGAGTAATGGGCCACTTGGTGGTCTGGCCTGCAGCAACAAGGCTGCAAATCAATTGTGCAGCATCCCTTCCCTAGGTGGGACACTCCACAACCTTCATTATCTCCTAAGAACCATGCTGGAATTCTTTAAGTAAAAGAGGAGTGAGGTAGTGGTGTGGGTTTTGGGATCAGTGGGGATGCATGAAAGAATGCTCTAGAGCAGGTGAGCTGAAACCGAGCCCTGTTTCTACTCTGTCTTAAGAAGACTGAGGATTACAAAGTACAGGTAGAGTGCTTAGAGAGTGAGCAAAACAGGGTTCTACCTTAGCTTGGGGGATCAGAGAGGGCTTCTTGAGAGATTCATATTTATTCTGAGAGCTGAAGAGAAATCAGAAAGCAGCTAGGTAGAAGGGGCAGGAGGTTTCCAGAAAGCCAGGCACATGGAACATTCAGTGTTGAGGGTTGAGGAGCTGGGAGAGAAAAGATTTCTTCCCCTTTTCTTGTTTCTAAGTCCTCCCTAAAGACTTGCTTCTAAAGAAGAGGCAAAAGTAATAAGATGTCACTTCTGAGATTTCATTATAAAAGATCATGACCTAGGCCAGGCACGGTGGCTCATGCCTGTAATCCCAACACTTTGGGAAGCCGAGGCGGGCAGATCACGAGGTCAGGAGATTGAGACCATCCTGGCTAACATGGTGAAACCCCGTCTCTACTAAAAATACAAAAAATTAGCCAGGTGTGGTGGCGGGTGCCTGTAGTCCCAGCTACTGGGGAGGCTAAGGCAGGAGAATGGCGTGAACCCAGGAGGTGGAGCTTGCAGTGAGCCGAGATCGCACCACTGCACTCCAGCCTAGGGGACAGAGCAAGACTCCGTCTCAAAAAAAAAAAAAAAGATCGTGACCTTTGTCTTGCACATTTGCCCATGCTCTCTCTCTCTGGCTCTCTCACTCTTTCTTTCTCTGTGTCTATCTGATGAAGCCAGCTGCCATATTGTGAGCTGCCCATGGAAGGGTCCACATGACAAGTAATTAAGGGAGTCCTTCAGCCCAACAGCCTATGAGGAAGCGAATCGTGCCAATAACCTCATGGCTGAACTTGGAACCACATTCTACCCTAGTTGGGCCTTGAGATGACTGCTGCCCTGGCCAACCCTTGATTGCAGTCTTGTAGAGGTCCTAAAGTAGAGGACCCAGCTAAGCCACAGGTGGACTCCTCACATACAGAAACCGTCAGATAATAAATGTTGTTTTAAGCCACCAAGTTTCTGGGTATTTTATTTATTTTAATTTTTTAAAAATTAATAGGGACAGGGCCTCGCTATATTAACCAGGCTTGTTTTGAACTCCTGGCTTCAAGCAACCCTTCCACCTTGGCTTCCCAAAGTGCTAGAATTACAGGCATGAGCCAGCATGCCTGGCCTTCTGCGTAATTTTTTATACAGTAATAGATAACTAATATATTCATCAAATAAGGAGTCCCTGGATTTATCATGGACTTTGCATCTTACCAAAGTTTTGGGTTCATCCTGAAGCTGGGAACACAACAAATTCTGAGCACTCATGTCATTAGGAAGGAAACACTCCCTAAGTCCTAAGGGACACAGGAAATAAGTTCCCAATAATTATTATCCAAGAGCTGGGCATTCACCGCCCTTAGGCAACTGAAGAACTGTGAGGACCATATAGCTCCGCCACATCTAGGCTTCCTGAATAAGAATTAAGTGGACAATCTGAAAAATAACCAGATAATCAATTAGATGATTATATAACTGCCCTCATTCAAAGATACAGACACATAAAAAAGCAAACACATAAACATAGGGAAAAAACACCTGCAACTAAAATGGAGGAAATTAACACAAAGCACAAAAGATAAATGAGGAACATCCCTTGGAAGCTTTGCACTGGGAAACTACAAATACTTTTCTCGCTCTCAAGGAAATTAAAGCAAACCGGGAGCCTGTGAAATAAGAAATGTAAAATGAGATGAAAAGATAAGGTGAAACAGCAGCTGGCATAACTAGGGAAAATAAATTAAGGAGAAAGATAATTATAGAAGTTAAGAATCCTTTAGAAACTCAAAGTCTAGCCGGGCGCAGTGACTCATGCCTGTAATCCCAGCACTCTGGGAGGCCGAGGCAGGCAGATCACGAGGTCAAGAGATCAAGACCATCCTGGCCAACATGGTGAAACCCCATCTTTACTAAAAATACAAAAATCAGCCGGGCGTGGTGGTGGGCGCCTGTAGTCCCAGCTACTCAGGAGGCTGAGGCAAGAGAATTGCTTGAACCCAGGAGGCGGAGGTTGCAGTGAGCTGGAATCATGCCACTGCACTCCAGCCTTGGTGACAGACGGAGATTCCGTCTCAAAAAAAAAAAAAAAGGAAAAGGAAAAAAAAGAAACTCAAAGTCTAGAGTGACATTACCGAAAATGAAGTAATGATGTTGACGGGAGTCTGGAGAAAAAGTATCTAGAATGAAAGCTAAAGGACAACAAAGTGGGAAAATATCTTAAAACAATATTCAAATAAATACTGGAAAGCATTGCTGAACTGAAGATCAGAGCCTGGGGATCTAAAAGCTCACGACACATCAGGCAAAATTCATTAAAAGCTAAACATCAATGTAACCATCAGACGTTCCCGGTTTACATAATTTAACAAAAATATTTGGCCGGGCGCGGTGGCTCACGCCTGTAATCCCAGCACTTTGGGAGGCCGAGGCGGGCGGATCACGAGGTCAGGAGATCAAGACCATCCCGGCTAAAACGGTGAAACCCCGTCTCTACTAAAAATACAAAAAATTAGCCGGGCGTAGTGGCGGGCGCCTGTAGTCCCAGCTACTTGGGAGGCTGAGGCAGGAGAATGGCGTGAATCCGGGAGGCGGAGCTTGCAGTGAGCCGAGATCCCGCCACTGCACTCCAGCCTGGGCGACAGAGCGAGACTCCGTCTCAAAAAAAAAAAAAAAAAAATTTACAGCAACCATTTATTAAACTGGTTGGCTAGGTGTGGTGGCTCACATCTGTAATCCCCGCACTTTGGGAGCCCAAGGAGGGCGAATAGCTTGAGTCCAGGAGTTCGAGATCAGCCTGGGGTAACATGGTAAAACCTAGTCTCTACTAAAAATACAAACAAAAGTTGCCGGGCTTGGCAGCAGGCCTCTGCAGTCTCAGCTGCTTTAGAGGCTGAGGTGGGAGAATCACCTGAGCCCAGGAGATGGGGGAGGCAGTGAGCCAATATCACGCCACTGCACTCCAGCCTGGGCAACCAGAGTGAGACCCTGTCTCAAAATAAATAAATAAATAAATAATAAAAAATAAAATAAAATAAACTCATTATTTACAAAGATGAAAAAGAAGTGAATTGGTTTCAAATTTCTCAGCAACATTAGGTGGCAACACTAAGAACGATGTGATTTGAGAGTATCTGATCAATTGTTGCTCACAAGTATAGGCAACGGAAAGACATCAGATATGCAGATTCCAATTGTGGAGAATTTTGAAGCCATTAAAATAATAAAGTTTTGTATCAATCAGGATTCAATCAGCAGCTGAGCACAGTGGTCCCTGCCTGTAATCCCAGTACTTTGGGAGGCTGAGGTGGAAGGATTGCTTGAGGGCAGGAGTTTGAGACTAGCCAGGCCAACATAGCCAGACCCTGTCTCTACAAAAATAAAACTTAAAAAAGAATTAGCTGGTGGCCGGGTGCAGTGGCTCATGCCTATAATCCCAACACTTTGGGAGGCTAAGACGGGCGGGTCACACAAGGCCAGGAGTTGGAGACCAGCCTGGCCAACATGGCGAAAACTCATCTGTACTAAAAATACAAAAATTAGCTGGGCATCATAGCACGCGTCTGTAATCCCAGCTACTCGGGGGGCTGAGGCAGGAGAATCACTTGAATCCAGGAGGCAGAGGTAGCAGTGAACCGAGATCATGCCACTGCACTCCAGCCTGGTGACAGAGCGAGACTCTGTCTCAAAATAAGTAAATAAATAAATATATAAATATATAAATAAATAAAAGAATTAGCTGGGAGTGGTAGCACGCACCGATAGTCCCAGCTACTTGGGAGGCCGAGGCAGGAGGATGGCTTGAGCCCAGAAGTTCGAGGCGGCTGTGATCGCACCACTGCCCTAAAGCCTGAGTGACTCTATCTCAAAAATAAAAAAGGATTCAATTTCAGAAGCAGAACGGTGTGTGCGTGTTTGCATGTGCACAGCCGTGCGTATGGGGGAAGGTGTAACAGGGATTTGACTTATGCAGTGTGGAGCTGGTTAAGAAGTCTTCATAAGGCTTTTGTCTCCAAATCTGATGCTGGAGATTGAAGTACACAGGGCAAGCAGTCAGGAAGGAACAAGGAATGTAAAGTGGAGAAGGACAAGAACAATGTGAATCCCACAAGCAAGAGATGGAGTCCATGGGACTGAAACGCATGTCAGTTCTTGGGTCCCTCTTAGTGCTAAGCACACTCACCTGGCCCGGGAAGCAGACATGCTCTAGGAGGATCCGGGGGAAGGGGGAGCAGCTGAGCTCAGCTGAGCTGAGCCAGCAGAAAAACGATAACATGCATGAATGAAAAACTGTTGCTGCTTCACTTCACCCTCCACATTTTCCGAAGAATTTCTCTTGTGGGCCACCCTAATCAGAAACATACAAGAAAGGTAATTCTGAAAAAGTTAGCCTAGGCAAGTTGAAACATTACAAAAACACTACAGTCCACCCCTTGTCAACTTGGCACCCATAACATTGCCTTAAACCACACTTAATCTCCAAATAAAGTCAATAACAAAGTCATACTCTGCTTACCATGACACAACTGTCCTTCCTATACCCAGAAATACACATCTTTTTCCCCAGAAGAGAATCAGAGTCCACTTTTTGTCTTTGGATGATGCTCATTCTTTTACTAGCTGTTTCACATTCCTTCCTTGACATCTTGTAATATAAATATTTATATGTAAAGTTAGGTACAAGCATTTTGGGAGGCCAAGCTGCGAGGATTGCTTTAAGCCAGGAGTTGAAGACCAGCCTGGGTAACATAGCAACACCCTGTCTCAAAAAAAAAAAAAAAAAAAAAAAGCCAGGCACAATGGTATGCACCTGCAGTCACAGCTACCTGGGAGGATCGTTTGAGCCCAGGAGATTGAGGCTGCAGTGAGCCGTGATTGCACCACTGCACTGCAGCCTCGGTGACAGAGCAAGACCCTGTCTTAAAAAAGAAAAACAAAAAAGGTTAAATACTATTAGCACATCAGAGACGATAAAGGAATGAGAGATAAAAACAAAAATATTTGGTTCACCAGATGCAGCTGTGGCTTATGCCTGTAATCCCAGCATTTTGGGAGGCAGAGCATTTTGGGAGGCAGAGGCGGGCAGATCACTTGAGCCCAGGAGTTTCAGACTAGCCTGGGCAACATGGTAAAACTTCATCTCTACAAAAAATACAGAAATTAGCTGGGTATGGTGGTGCATGCCTGCAGTCCCAGCTACTGGGGGCGCTGAGGTGGGAGGATCACTTGAGCCCAGGGAGGTGGGGGGTGAAGGCTGCAGTGAGCTGTGATTGTGCCACTGCACTTCAGCCTGGTTGACAGAGCATAACCCTGTCTCAAAAAAAAAAGTTTTTTTGTTAATATTTATTAAAATAGATTCACATCAAAAGAAGAAAGAAATACTCATAATTATTACAGTCCTCGTTTCTACAGTGGGTCACAAGGTCATAGTACTTATGACTGCCCTCATCTATGATTTATTCTGCGTATCTTTTGCCCTCGGCAAGCACTTCAGTTGGTCGTGGCTTTTTGCCTGATGGAATGACTTAAATCTTTTGTGAAGGGTCTGGGCCATTAGCGGTCTTAATTGGGTTGTTGTAGCTCTCCATTGACCTTAATCACAGGATATGGCAGTACTAGGGGGTGCCCCAAAGGATCTCCTGCATTCTTCCTTCTTACGTCCATTGTGTAGGAGCAACCCCATTTCCTCTTGATAGTCAGATCAATCACTGCAGACAGCACTTTGCCTGTTGATGCAGTGCCCAAAGAGGCCAGATGGTGGCTTCAAGCTCCAGTTCCACGGATTATCTGCTGTGTCTCCTAGAGAAAACATTTCTCCCGTTGTAACTAAGACCTCTAGACCAGCAAAACCTAAAGTTGCAGGGATGGGAAGCAAAAATTCTACCACTGGATCACTAGGGTTAACAGTGAGAGGAGTCGCTTTCATTTTTATCCCTTGATAACTGGACTCATGAATCCTGGGTATGGGAGAAACAAGGCGGTTGATTTAGAGCATGTACCACATACTGGAGGGCAGCACCCCAGCCCTGCAATCTATCCCCTCCTAGCTGGCCCTGTAACTGAATTTTCAGTCATTCAACCATCTGTCAGGGCAGTTGCTTCAAGAGGATGGGGAACATGGTGAGAGCAGTCAATTCCACTTGTGTAAATTCACTGCTGCCTTTCATTTGCTGTGAATACCATAGTCATGGATGAGACACTCCGTAGGTCCACAGATGCTAGTTTTGGCAGAAGCATTGTGGGAAAGGAAGGCACATCTATGTCCAGAGCAAGGGTTAATTCCATTGAAAACACAGTGCTGCCTGCCTCATAATAAAAGTGGTCCAATGTAATCAGCCTAACACCAGGTAGCCGGCTGATCTCTTCAGCAGTGATGCCACATTAGGGGCTCAGTGTTGTTTCTTCTGCTGGCAGATGGGGCACTCAGCAGTGGCTGTGACCAGGTCACCCTTAGTAAGTGGAAGCACATGTTGCCAAGCCCATGCATAGCCTCCATCCCCGCCGCCATGGCCACTTTGTTCATGAGTCTACAGGAATGGCTGAAGGAGGCTAATAGCCACAGAATGGGTCATCTACCCACCTGATTATTAAAATCTTCCCTTGCCCTAGTTGAGTATTCAGATGGAAAACAATGATCTTCATACTCGGCCATTCAGAGATCTAATCTCATACCTCTTCCTCAGAGCTTCTTGTCATCAATTTTCTAATCAAGTTTTTTTTCTTTTTGAGACAAGGTCTCACCCTGTCACTCAGGCTGGAGTACAAATATGGCTCGCTGTAGCCTCAACCAACCTGCCAGGCTCAAGTGATTCTCCTACCTCAGCCTCCTACACAGCTGAAACCACAGAGGTGCACCAACATGCTGAGTTAATGTTTTTATTTTCTGTAGATACAGGGTGTTATCATCTTGCTCAAGCTGGTCTTGAACTCCTGGACTCAAGGGATTCTCCCACCTCAGCCTCTCAAAGTGCTGGTATTATAGGCATGAACCACTGTGCCCAGCCTTCTAATCAAGTTTCTTCCAAGTCCCTAAATACCCAGCTAAATCATGAATTGGTGCACTTATTCTTCTGTTCATTTCCCCTTCCAGGGAAAGTGAAGAGCTGAGTGCACTGTTCCAAGTTCTGTCCACTGGGAGGATTTCTCTTCACACCATCTTTCAGGGCTGTCCTGGAGTGTGGCCGTGGTGCCATAGCGGTCCACATTCAGGTGATGCATGCATACTGTGGAGCCCCGTCTGTAAATCAAGCCTGAGAGTTGTCTTCCTTTGTCAACTGATCACAGGGATTCCCTAGGAAGGTAGGGGTGTGGGTTGAGAGAGAATGTTATACAGCAGGAATAAGAGCCCTGGGCAAGTCTAGGAATTTACTACAAGATCTTAGGACAAGACATGATTAACCTGCCCGGACAGCAATGGAAGGGCGGCTTCTAATGGCCAAAAAGGTTTGAGGTCCCCTAGCTTCATCTGTGCAGGTGACTCATCTCAATGTTCAGAATTACATTTCTTCTCAATCAATGCACTAACTTTTAACAGAAGAGACTCTGTGAGGTTGGGAATTCAACTTGCTTTATGATTCACTGCTTTGTTGGATGGTTCACCAAGACTCACAAGGCTCAGTAGCAGGTTATACTAATAGCTAACATTTTTGTAACAAAAGATGCATATCAAAAGCGGCAGGTAAAAACGATACACATGGGTGATGTCCAGGGGTATCCAGCACAGGCTTCTAAGGTTCTTGCTTTCCATGGGCACACTGGAGTTCTTGCCAACAGTGAACCATAGGGACATGTGTAGTCTCTGTCCCAGGAGCCTGTTTTTAGTCTCAGGGTCTGAAGGGGTTAGTCACGTAGACATAACCTGCTGTTAACTGTTTCCTCACAGTCTGCAGGAATAAGCTTTGGGTTTGTTATTTTTTTTAATTAATTAATTTATTTATTTATTTTTGGGACAGAGTCTTGCTCTGTTGCCCAGGCTGGAGTGCAGTGGCGCGATCTCGGCTCACTGCAAGCACTGCCTCCCGGGTTCACGCCATTCTCCTGCCTCAGCCTCCCAACTAGCTGGGACTACAGGTGCCCGCCACCACGCCTGGCTAATTTTGTGTGTGTGTGTGTGTAGAGATGGGGTTTCACCGTGTTAGCCAGGATGGTCTCGATCTCCTGACCTCGTGATCTGCCCGCCTTGGCCTCCCGAAGTGCTGGGATTACAGGCTGGAGCCACCGTGCCTGGCTGTTTTTTTAAATCTCAGCCTTTGGCCAGGCTTGGTGACTCATGCCTGTAATCCCAGCACTTTGGGAGCCCAAGGCAGGTGGATTGCTAGAGCCTGGGAGTTCGAGACCAGCCTGGGCCACATAGTGAGACTCCAACTCTACGAAAAAATTTTAAAAATTAGCTGGATGTGATGGTGCTTGCCTGTGGTACTAGCTACTTGGGAGGCTGGGGCAGGAGGATCATTTGAGGCATGATTGTGCCACTGCACTCTAGCCTGGGTCACAGAGTCTCAATAAATAAATAAATAAAATCTCAGCCCTGCAACTACAAGAGGTGATATTTCTTTCAGACAGTCCTAGAAGCTGTTAGATCCCCTATGCAGATTTTTTTTTCTTTTTGAGATGGGGTCTCTGTCACCCAGGCTGGAGTGAGTGGCTTGATCATGGCTCACTGCAACATCAACCTCCCTGGCTCAAGTGATCCTCCTGCCTCAGCCTCCTGAGTAGCTGGGACTACAGGTGTGTGCCACCATGCTCGGCTAATGTTTTTATTTTTTTTGTAGAAATGGGGTCTCCCTATGTTGCCCAGGCTGTTGTTGAACTCCTGGGCTCAAGCATTCCTCCTGCCTCGACCTCCCAAAGTGCTGGGTTTATAGGTGTGAGCCACGGCATCAAACCTCCTTATGTAGATCTTGAGCTATGAATAAAAAGTTAAAAGTCCTGAGCTAATTATTTTGATTTTAAGGAAATGTGGCAATCCTCTGACTAAATAATTACACTTTTATGAATTTATTCTAAGAAAATAAGGAGGTACAAAAAAATCTAACTATCAGGGTGAATCAACAGAGCACTATGTATAATAGCAACAAACTAGAAATTATTATACTTGTCGGAAACAACTGGGAATTTTGTAAATAAACTAGAGTACAACCATAAAGTAGAATGCTCCACAGCCATTAAAAATGTTAGAGAAGAACATTTATTGACATGAAAAGGTGTTTCAGATATACTGATATGTCAAACAAATAGTAAAACAACATAGAGTAATGATTCATTTTGGTAAAAAATATATATGTATATATAGAAAAAAAAATTCTGCAAGGACATATGCTAAATTGGTAACAGTGCTTACCCCTGGGAAGGGGGTATACAGATGTTGATTTACTCTTTGGGTACCTGTATTTCCCAGTTTTTCTATAAATCACATCATTTGCTTCTGTCATAAGAAAAAATAATATCTATTATCATCCTTTATTTTGATCAAAACAAATCAATTTTTTAAAAAATCTTAGGTTTTTTTAAGAAGCAGAAATAATTTCCAAATTGCCTCCAGAGACAATGATTTTATCCTCTGCAGAAGCTGGTCAGAACCTTCTTGATCACAGCCCCAGTTAGATACAGGGAAGAATGGCGCTTCCTACAGCTTCAGCGGCCTCAGCTCAGCTCTGTGCCCCAAGGCCAAACCAGCTCATCTCCAGCCCCATCCATCCTATTCTTGCTGAGTCACCAGTCTCATCATCTTCAGAGCCATGTCCCCTTGGTCAGAAGGAACCTAGAAAAAAACAACATCTGAGTTAGTGCTCCTGGTGCTATTCCTGGGGCTGGGGTCAGAGGCAACATCCTGAAACCTTGCTCCCAAAAGGGAGCCAGCTCTGTGACAGCAACCTGTGCAGACACCTGGGCACATCCCTGAGAGAGGGTCCTTCCTGAAAATGACTCCTGCACTGGATGAAAGCTCTTCTGGGCCCTGACTGGGCTGGGTGGCAGGGACCTGGAGAAGTCAGCATTTAAGACAAGAACCTTCTACTCCATTTGGAGCTGATCTGTTGATTTCTTGGTAAGGGTCATGCTAATGATACTAGACCTAGCCTGTTCAAGGAAGAAGGAAGATTCTAAACATTTTAAAGGCATCTGTCTAGAAGGGATCCCGGATTGAGAATAGAGAAATGGCTGAGAAGGGAGCTCACAGCAGAGAGCCGCAAATAATAAAAACAAACAGGGCCCTTTGGGTGGCATCCGATTTTCGCAGTTATTCAACTTTCTTTTGTTTTCCCTCAGATTTTTAGAATAAGTCCTTTAAAATTTCCTTCCCACACAGCATCAAAAGGGGGAAGGGCAGAGGCCTCAGTTTCTCCCTACACAGAAGGGGTTGGAGTATATGGTCTCCCCGTTATGTAATTCCCTGGCTCCATGATTCTCTATGGCACACCCATCCTTGACTCTTCTGCCAAGAGTCCCCAGGAGGCACAGGCAAGGTGGGTTATCCTAAAATGTCATTTAATCAATGAAAGGGGAAGTGGTTTGGGGACGACTTAACAACAGTCTCCAAGGGCTATTTTAAGCCTGTCCCCAACTGATCTGTTGTTCTATATGTGACAAACCAACAGGAAATGGGCCTGAACTCTAGTATACAGAGCGCGTGGTTGGCTTGTTCCATGCCTTCCTACCAGCCTCGTCAGGGACTTCTCTCTAGGGCAGGCTGAGCATCCCTCATTGGAAAATCCAAAATGCTCCACAATTCCAGCCTTTTTGAGTGCCACCATGAGGCCACAAGTGGAACATTTCACACCTGCCCCATGGGCGGCTGCATTCAAAATGCAGGCGCACAACACACAGTTTATTTCTGCATCCCCAAGGGGGTTACAGTACAGTAACCTTTTAATCAAAACACAGCATTGTAGGTAGAGACCGAAAGCTGCTGTTGCTTGCTGTTGCTGTTGTCTAGCAGCTGACACAGGTATTCTGGTCATGCTACTGTGCTGCTCAGTTACTCTGAACACACAACTTTTCCACTGTATTAATGGTATGTTGTATTTCTTACTGTGAAGTACTTATGTGTGACTACATGCAAGAAAAAGATTGCTTATCGGCAGCATATAAATTTGGAGTCAGAAATGATATGATGCCTAACAACCACAGATTGGTTGAAGAGCCATGGGTGGCTGAAATAGCCACCCTTTGCTCTCTAATAACTCAGTGCACACAAACTTTGCTTCATGCACAAAATTATTTAAAATATTGTACGAAAGTACCTTCGGTCTATGTGTATAAGGTGTATATGAAACATAAATGAATTCCATTGCCTAGACTTGGGTCCCATCCCCAAGATATCTCATTATGGATATGCAAATATTCCAAAATAAAAAAAAAATTAAAAATCTGAAACATTTCTGGTTCCAAACATCTCAGATAAGGGGTACTCAACCTGTAACAGTGCTTGCTCTAAGACGTTCTAATTTTCTTTCTTTTAGTCAATATTGAAGGTACTCAGATCCTGAGAGCCATAAATAATGCCCTCTCCCTCTGTGCCCTGCTGCCTTGTTTGTTCTCCCTTTAGATTAAGTCTATTTGTTTATTTATTGATTTACTTTTTGAGACAGAGTCTCACTCTGTCACCCAAGCTTTCAGGCTCAATCAATCCTCCCACCTCACTCAGCCTCCAGAGCAGCTGAGACCACAGGCAGGCGCCACCGCGCCCAGTTGATTTTTGTTCTTTTTTGAGACAGAGTCTCACTCTGTTGCCCAGGCTGGAGTGCAGTGGCGCTATCTCGCCAGCTGGATGCAATGGCACTATCTTGGCTCACTGCAACCTCTGCCTCCCAGGTTCAAGCGATTCTCCTGCCTCAGCCTCCTGAGTAGCTGGGATTACAGGTGCCCACCATCATGCCCAGCTAATTTTTGTATTTTTAGTAAAGATAGGGTTTCTCCATGTTAGCCAAGCTGGTCTCATACTCCTGACCTCAGGTGATCCACCTGCCTTCGCCTCCCAAAATGCTGGGATTACAGGTGTCAGCCACCATACCCAGCCTAGATTAAGTGTCTTTTGAGAGTGGGCTGCTTTCTCTGGCTTCTTAAAGGAAGCTACTGTCTCTTCTCCTCACTACTCATTCATTTTCTCCAGTCTTTCCAATCTGGCTTCTGAGCTTGCCACCTCACCAAAATATCTCACCAACGCAGGTGCCAAGGACATCGGTGTAAGCACATCATCACTCACGTTTCAGCCCTTCCCCTGAGTTCTCACTTAGCACTGCGGGCCCCTCCCTGCTTTGGGGATGCCACGCATCCCTGGTCTCCCTTCTCACTTATCTGGCTGCTCCTTTCTCAGTCTCATTTGTAGGCTCTTCTTCTGCCTTCTGTTCTATAGGCAATTCAAACTCAGCTTGTGCAAATTCCCTCCATCGCAAACCACAATGCTGGAGCAGAAACCTGCAAGCCACCCTTCAGTTCTTTTCTACCCCAAATGATTACCAAGTCCTGCCAATTTTCCCTTCTTTACACTTCACCAAATCCATCTACTTTCCTCCTTTCTGGATTTACCTGACAGCCTCATTGATTGGTCTTTGGCCCCAGGCTTGCCCCATGCCCTCTACTGCTAGAATGGTATTTCTTGGACAAATCTGTTAATTTCACTCCTTTGCTTAAAACCCCTGCTTGGTGCCCTACTGTCTGAACTCCTTAGAGTGGTATGAAAATTCCCCCTCTGCAGCCACCTCCCTCCAGTGTCCATTCCAAGTCCTCGCTGTCTGAGGCTCCTGTGGACCTTGTATTCACTGCTCTCCATGCTCCCCACCTCCTCCTCTTTCCTTAAATCACTCCTACGCATCACGTGGGGCACAATCTTCCAGATCTGCATGCCTGGGCAGGGCACCCTTCCCTGGGCCAAGCCAGCTGTTGACAGTCTCCTTGCCTGTCTGTCTCTAGACCACAAGCTCCTTGAGGACAGGGACTGGGCACCACTCACCCTTGTGCTCGCAGTCTCTAGTGCTAATAGCGGAATTTTGTTAGGAAACTCAAAACACTCCCAAGCCCTAAGTATTTCTTTTTTAATTTTTCTTTTTTTTTTTTTTTTTGAGACAGGGTCTCGCTCTGTCACCCAGGCTGGAGTGCAGTGGCATGATCTTGGCTCACTATAGCTTCTAACTTTCAGGCTCAATCAATCTGCCCACCTCACTCAGCCTCCTGAGCAGCTGAGACCACAGGCATGCGCCACCGTGCCCGGTTGATTTTTGTTCTTTTTTGAGACAGAGTCTCACTCTGTTGCCCAGGCTGGAGTGCAGTGGTGCTATCTCGGCTCACTGCAGCCTCCACCTCCCGGGTTCAAGTGATTCTCGTGCTTCAGCCTCCCAAGTAGCTGGGATTACAGACATGTGCTACCACACCTGGTAAATTTTTGTAGAGACAGGGTTTCGCCACGTTGCGAAGGCTGGTCTTGAACTCTTGAGCTCAAGCGATCCACCCGTCTCAGCCTCCCAAAGTGCTGGGATTGCAGGCATGAGCCTCTGTGCCTGGCCTAATTTTCATATTTTTTGTAGAGACAAGGTTTCTCCATGTGGCCCAGGCTGGTCTCAAACTCCTGGGCTCCAGCAATCCACCTGCCTTGGTCTCCCAAAGTGCTGAGATTACAGGCATGAGCCACTGTACCTGGCCCTCGGGCCCTCGTACTTCCTACAAGACCCACCTGGGCAGTGGACAGAGGCATAATAACCGCCTGTGGCTTCCCTCTCAGGATGATTTTTAAGTCTGGAACAAAAGCTCTTTCTTACCATATGACCAGCTTTCAGAATCCAGTAGAAAGCAAGGTTCTTGTAGGACTTGACAAAAGCAGATGTTTCCAAAGATTTAGGGTCACTGTACAGGGCCTTCCACTTCAGCTGACTGAATTTAGGCAGTTCTGGCCACTTCAGTTTCCGCACCCAGGCCTCCTGACCTGGTGAGAAGGACAAAGAGAAAGGCCTGGCATTAACAGCTGGATAGAATAGGAAAAAAGTCTAGGTCCTAAAAGTTGGTGCTTCCCAAACTGCAATATGCATGAAACTCACTCAGGATCTTGTTAAAATGCAAATTCTGATTCAGAAGATCAGGGTAGGGCCTGAGCATCTGCATTTCTGACTCCCAGTGAAACCTAGGCTGCTGGGAGAAACCTAACAGCTGCAAAGCCTGACTGATTTTGCCTCTGCATCTCTCACCGCCATCTGCTCTTTAGGAAGGGAACTGGGGACCTCTGGAGGCAGACAGGCCTGTGAGGAGGACTGAGAGATGTCGTGAACGAGATAGTGATAAGGATCACCTGGGATGTTCATCGAGAAATGCAGCAGCTTTCCAAATTGTCCTTGGTGTCTCTTGTTTACCCATCACAAAAATATTCAATCCTTCTGGTTCACGAGGCGTGTCACATCCGTCAGACCTTGTGCCTCAATTACCCTGCCAGTTCAGAGAACCTGTCTCTGAGCCTCCACCAGGCCCTATTTAATTTGGAAGTGAGCAAATTAAACAGGTGGTAGGTGATAGGGCAGGAGTCAGGATTCCACAAAGACCATTTCCCCTGGGTCTTCAGGGTTACAGTCATTAGGGTTTAGTTTTAATTCACTCTGCAGTGGTCAACATCGACTGTGATGTCGCACAAAAATGAGGCTCTCCCTTAATTAAACAGCGCATTTGCCCAATAACCAGGAAAATGTCTAAGTTTTGTGGTAGAGACAGGTGGTGTTCTTTTCTTTAATCATACCTAAGGGCCCCCAAACCCAGGTAGGCTCAGGCTTCTGAGGGGTCACAGCCACGTGCAGCTCCCCACCCTTTGAATAATCAAGGTCGGGGTAGACGGATGTAATGGGAAATGGCCTTCCACCTGGCATTTCAACATCACCCACCGCAAGACTGACATGTCCAAGGCCAGTTCCCTTCCAGTTGAACCCATAAAACTGCCTCTAGGTGCCTCTCAGAGTCAATTCCTACCCATGGTATCTACGATGAGATCCAGCTGTCCATTATACACCGTCACGTTGATCCCTGCCTCCAGCAACTCGTCCACAATGCTAATGACTGGCTTCATGAAGTCCTCCTCCATGTTCACAAAGACGTTGGTAGCCTGGCCTGCACATGGGGAAGGAGAAAGAGGGAGTAGCTTGGAATCTGCCAAAACAGGAGGTACCTTTCAGCCCAGAGCATCTTGGGCTCCAGCACCGAACAACGACTGAATGCACAGATGCTTCACAAACAGGGATGAACCAGCCCAGAAATTTGTGCCGACTGGTCAGGTGTAAGGCACACATAAATAGCACATGTGGTCCATTCTCTTGAGAGCTTGTGATGACAGCAGGCACCATTTTTAATGAGGAATTGACACCTGGAATAGGCTACTGTCCAAGGAAACAGGGAGGGAGAGGCCCAGGAAATACTCATTAGGCTGGTACACTCAGGGAATAAATTGTGCTTTGGGCCAATGTCAGTTTTCCTGTTTTTTTGAGTAACACCAGGGCCAAGTTTCAAGTTCTGAACAGGTAGGCCTACCTTATAATAAACCAGATCAAACCTAAACCAATTCAGAGCTGGCCCTCAGGAAAGCCAAATGAATAACAAGCCCCAGGCAAGAGAGGAGCTAGTACTCTTGCTAGCTCCTGCCCATCAGCATTATCCTAACACTGAATGACAGCAATAAGAGTGGCAGCCACCATTATTTGCTAGTCACTGCCAAGGAGGCATCTGACAAGCAACATCCCATTTTCTTCTTCATTACCTTGGGAGATAAGAAGTCTTCTTTTAAAAAAATTTAATTTTTATTTATTTATTTACTTATTTGAGACAGAGTCTCACCCTGTCACCCAGGCTGGAGAGCGGGGGCACAATCTCAGCTCACTGCAGCCTCTACCTCCCAGGCTTAAGCGATCCTCCCACCTCAGCCTCCCAAGTAGCTGAGACTACAGATGCACACCACCACGCCCAGCTCTTTTTTTTTTTTTTTTTTTTAGACAGAGTTTCACTCTTATTGCCCAGGCTGGAGTGCAATGGCACAATCTTGGCTCACCGCAATCTCTGCCTCTCGGGTTCAAGCGATTCCCCCACCTCAGCCTCCCAAGTAGCTGGGATTACAGGCATGTGCCACCTCACCCAGCTAATTTTGTATTTTTAGTAGAGACAGGGTTTCTCCATGTTGGTCAGGCTGGTCTCGAACTCCCGACCTCAGGTGATCCGCCCACCTTGGCATCCCAAAATGCTGGGATTACAGGCGTGAGCCACCACACCCGGCCACACCCAGCTCTTTTCATTTGAGCTAATTTTTCTTCATTTCTAAAATTCTCCCAGCACTCAGGAGTAATGAAAAAACCAGGGATGGAATGAGACCTCTGGTGACTGCAGGTTGGGAGAGGAGGGCCCATGTCCCCTGAGAAAGCTCCCAGCAGCAGCAAATCGTAGGCTCCCAGCAGCAGCCGCAGGACCACTGACCCCATATCCTTGGGGTATCTTGAACACACATGAAACAAAACCCTCTTAGGTTTGGAGTATTTTCCCTTCAGAAACCTGAGATCTCTGCTTGCTCAAGGCCTCCCTATAGGACTAAAGTAGGAACTTAACCAAGATTTCTACCTGGCCCTGGTCTCTAAGGATTTCATTATTTCCTCACCATGGCCTTGAGACCAGAACGCAGTAATGCCTGGCCATATCCAGCATCAGGATGCCTGGGGAGGTCAGCAAGAGAGAGCTGGTCAAAATCTGCCCGAGCACCTGGGTGTCTCTGACATCCTGCAAGGACCTTTGGCGCGAAATCTCATCTGCAACCAACTGTGGCCTTCGATGTAGCTTTTTTATCTTAATTTTTTATTATGGAAAATTTCAAATGGATAGAAAGGAGAAGCATACAATGCTCCGATGTACCCATACCAGGCTTCAACAATTATTAACTCACAACCAATTACACATTATTTCCCTCCCCACTCAGCTCCCTACCAACTCCTTATTTTGAATCAATTTTGATGTCTTTTTTTTCCCCTTTTTAAGAAACAGGGTTTCTCTCTGCTGCCCAGGCTGGAGAGCAGTGGCATAATCATAGCTCACTGTACCCTCAAACTCCTGGGTTCAAGCAATCCTCCCACCTCAGCCTCCCAAGTAGTTAGAACTATATGCCACATGCCACCATGCCCAGCTAATTTTTCTATTTTTTTAAAGAGATGGGGCTTTACTATGTTGCTTAATTGTGGCCTCAAGCAATCCTCTCAACTCAGTCTCCCACAGTGGTGGGATTATAGGCGTGAGCCACTGCATCCAGCCCTGACAAGTCATTTACTGTCTCTGTATCTATTTGCTCACCTACAAAACGTGGATAGTAATATTGTTTACCTATAACCTATCATCACCAACAACAAAACCCACCCTACAAATTCAGGTCTCTGAATTTGCACCTCTTTTCTCCCCATAACTGTACAAACGGCACTTAATTAGGTCATATAAGTACCTCCCCAGGATTGATCCTCAGGAATAATTTTGAGCTTCTTTCTGATGGGGCCATTCATGAGCTGGCTTAAGGCATCTCGTTGTAGGTGTCTCACGTGGCGCTGACAAAGACAAACTAAAACCAAACTGGTAGATAGTGAGTCAAAGGGCTGGAAGTAAGGCCAAGAGGACATCTTTTTTTTTTTTTTTTGAGACAGAATCTCTCTCTGTCTCCAGGCTGGAGTGCAGTGGCACGATCTCGGCTCACTGAAACCTCCGCCTCCTGGGTTCAAGCGATTTTCCTGCCTCAGCCTCCCGAGTAGCTGGAACTACAGGCACCCGCCACCATGCCCAGCTCATTTTTGTATTTTTAGTAGAGACAGGGTTTCACCATGTTGGCCAGGATGGTCTCGATCTCTTGTCCTCATGATCCACCCGCCTCAGCCTCCCAAGTGGTGGGATTACAGGTGTGAGCCACCACGCCTGGCCATGAGGACATCTTTACCAAGCTGCTGGGGATGCTGCACAGCAAGAGGGAGGGTTTCAGATTCAGCTGGAAAAGGAAAAGCGTCACCTTGATTCACCCCCAGCGGGAGGAAGGAAGTCAGAAACACATTGAAAGTGGAGAGGCTTTATTATTAGGTTGGTGCACAAGTAACTGCGGTTTTTGCCATTAAAAGTAATGGCAGAATTTCTCAAATTCAATGGCACTCTGGCCTGGGCAACAGAGTGAAACCTTATCTCTTAAAAAAAAAAAGGGAAAAAATAGATTTGTCAAAATTGGTTCAAAATAAGGGGTTGGTAGGGAACTGGGTGGGAAGGGAAATAATGCTTCATTAGTTGTGAGTTAATAATTCTTGAAACCTGTCAAAAACCACAGTTACTTTTGCACCAACCTAATAGTATTGATTATACATTCTATAGACTTGGGGGCCATTGGGATTCTCCAGAACGGCCAAAGAGAATCATCTAGAAAGTGGAACCTAGGGTATCCTGCAGCCTTTATATGCTTCTTGGTTGGCTGAAAGATGACTAAATTCAGTCTTGAACTGATGTTGTAATTTGGTGTATGGAAGCTGGTTTCTAAACTTCAAAAACATCATGCTATGTGACAGAAGCCAGTGCAAAAGACTAACTATTGTGCGATTGTATTTATATAAAATGTTCAGAAAAGGAAAATCTAGAGAGACAGAAGGCAGATGAGTGGTTGCCTGTGGCTGGGAGTGGGAATGAGAACTGTCTGCAAGCAGACACGTGGGATCTCCTTGGGGTGACAGAAATGCTCCATAACTGGATTGTAGTGATGACTGCACAACTCTGGGAATATACTGAAAACCACTTACAGTGAGTTAATTTTATGGTATGCAAATTATATGTTAATAAAGTTTTTTTTTTTTTTAATAAACAGGTTTCTTTTTGCATGGAGGCTGAGGCAGGGACTTTAATAACTTCAAGGTTCACTCACCTAGGTGGCTCTGTGTGAATTCTAGACTCGACTCCATTGTAGACGTGGGAGTGCTTTTAGTTAAGATGTTATAGAAGTTCACCCCATCTGTGTTCTGAAATATAAAAGTTTATTTGGCTGTTTGTTTCATTTTCCTATCATCAAAGCTGCCAAACAGAAGGACACATGGCTCTTTATCTTATCCAAGGACAGGTTTAATTTTGTATATCTGCTTGGATCAGAAAGAAATAGAGCTTTGGCTGGGCCTGGTGGCTCATGTCTGTAATCCCAGCACTTCGGGAGGCTGAGGTGGGTGGATCACTTGAGCCCAGGAGTTCGAGACCGGCCTGGTCAACATGGTGAAACCCCTCTCTACTGAAAACACAAAAATCAGCCGGGCGTGGTGGTGCTCACCTGTAGTCCCAACTACTCTGGAGGCTGAGGCATGAGAATCACTTGAACCCAGGAGGCAGAGGTTGCAGTGAGCCGAGATCGGGCCACTGCACTACAGTGTGGGTGACAGAGCCAGACTTAGTCTCAAAAAAAAATAAAAAAGAAAGAAAGGAAAAAGAGGCCAGGCGCGGTGGCTCACGCCTATAATCCCAGCACTTTGGGAGGCTGAGGTGGGTGGATCACCTAAGGTCAGGAGTTCAAGACCAGCCTGGGCAACACGGTGAAACCCCTTCTCTACTAAAAATACAAAAATTAGCTGGGTGCGGTGGTGCGTGCCAATTATCTCAGCTACTCGGGAGGCTGAGGCAGGGGAATCACTTGAGCCCAGGAGGCAGAGGTTGCAGTGAGCCAAGACTGTGCCATTGCACTCCAGCCTGGGCGAGTGTCTCAAAAATAAATAAATAAATAAATAAATAGAGGAAAAAAGAAAAAGTAAAAAATAAAATAAAGAAAGAAATGCAGCTCTGAAGTCTCAGAAACCAGCTGTGTCAGCCCACTCTCCCTGGAGTGGTGAGCATCTCATATGAGCAGTGATCAGGCCCTGCAGGGAAAAAACCAAGGGCCTAGGTGTTAATTTACAGGGAGAACAGAGCTGCAGAGGGGCCTACACTCCCAAGTCCTTAGCCTACGCATTCTTTCCTTCTGGCTCTCTGGAGTCAGAATGTTGCTTGGCAAGGGTCCCAATAAGGGAATGTGTTTTCTCCACACACTCACCTCTGCAAGACAGTCTTTTTTTTTTTTTTTTTTAATAGAATCCATACATTTAGTGAAGGACAAGCAAGTCTTGCAGGCCTGGGTGGCTTTCTGACTCTGTAAGGAGCCACTACATCACTGCTTAGACCCAAGAGATTTATTATCCAGCATGCAATCATTTGCAGATATGTGGGGAGCCTCAGTGTAGACTCCAAGTTTGACAACACCAACCATGGGCCCTGTACCCACCAGAAAAAGCCAAGCAGGCTCGCCTCTGAGTGTTTCCCCTTTTTACCTGTTCAATGATCATTTCTGCTTTCCCCCACAGCTCTGTGGCCTCTCTGTAGAGCCCCTTATTTACGGCATTCAGTACTTGCTCTGCAACCTTAGACACCTCTGCCAGACCTTTGTCTTCGAGAAGAGACTGGAATGCAAACCAAGAGCAAAAAGACCCACTTTACTTGGGAACGTCAATCTGGTATTGCTGCAGTTAGGGAGGGGTAGGAGAAAGAGGGGAAGGAAGGAGAACGGGAGCTCACATATCAAAGTGTATTGTTACAAGCCACATGTTTATTGGATGAAACACAGCAAATTGTTAACTGAACCTAAGTAGGTATTCACCGTGATCTTTCAACATTTCTGCATATTTGAAAATTTTTGTAATAAAAATTTAGGGCATTGGAAAAATGTGTTTCTTATATCTGGAAAAAAGTGATGTGTGCTGATTTTCTTTCAATTTGTCCCTGAGGCGAGCTCTTGCTTTGGGTCTCCAACTCTATGTGGATGACTAGTCCCTAAAAAGCAGTGTCAACCACATAGGCAAACTCATCCAGCATCTCTTTTCCTGGGGTCACAGCCAGAAGAGATCTGCTGGGCTGTTTGCCCAGAGGGTGCAGATGTGTATCTACTTACCATGCTGTACAGGTAAGGTCCCCAGGAGAGCACCGAATCTAAAGGAAATCACATATGTACAAATCAAGTATGTCATACCTCTGTCTTTCCAAAGACAAACCTACTGTCTTCTCTCTAAAGAAGAAAGAGACAGAAGCAAGAAACCCGGTGGCTTTGGATTGGAAGGCTCCTCAATTCACCTGTACCCATGCAGGAGGCGGGCTGATGTCTCAGTGTCTGGAAGGTGGGATAAGGGTGTGGGGGCCTTTCTGTTGACTCTTAAGACTAATGGCACATTAATTTGGCCTGATACTGGTCCAGCAAGTGAGTCATTGCCGATGACAGCATCCCCACAGGCAGGCTGTAGGTATGCAGGTGGAGGCTCTTATCTGTGGACCTCTAGGCCTTTTGACAGCTTAAAATATTTCCCCACCCTCACATTTCTGCTCTACATCTTATTTGCTCCTCCAGTTTGGAGATATTAGCTTCTGCCAAGGAGCTAAATAAGGAAGATGACTAATGAGTTTGCAACAGTGCAAATGGCTATATTGCCAATTGGCTTATTCCCATCCCACAAACATATTGAGAATTTACTAAGGGTCTAGAGGCAGCAAAAGCTTAAGATATAAATGTGAGTAACATAATGCCTGTCCTCAAAGAGAATAGTAGTTGACCTTGGTTTAGACAAGCTCACAACTATTAAATACTGTATCACTAGGTAAGACAAGTGCTATTGAAAGACACGCCAACAAAGAATCAAGGACCTCAACTTATAAAGCACATTTGAGTATGTCTCTCCTTAGCTTAAAAGTATTCAATGGCTCCTTAAGGCAAAGTGTCTCAAAGTAGGTTTCAAGTAGTCTTAGTTCTGCAGGAACTAAGTCCATGTTGCCCAGTCTGGTCTCGAACTTTTGGGCTCAAGCAATCTGCTCGCTTTGGTCTCCCAAAGTGCTAGGATTACAGATGTGAGCCACTACACCTGGCCTGGACTGGTATTCTTTTAGAGTACTCTCTGAGAAATGCAAGCACACCAGGACTTCCGTGGCCTAGCTGTTAATCACCTCCCGGGCTTAACCTTCAAACTTGTTTCTTAGTTTCTTAAAACACAGGATTGGCTGCAGTTCTCCAATGCATCCCACTTCCTGTTTGATCTGGGCCAGAGACTGGTAAACTTTCTGTAAAGGGACAGATAGTAAATAATTTTGGCCTGGTAGGCCAGCCTATCTCGGTTGAACTACTCCACTCTGTTCTTACAGCCTCCAAACAGCCATAGACAGTAAATTAACTTTTACCGGCTGGGTGCGGTGGCTCACGCCTGTAATCCCAGCACTTTGGGAGGCCGAGGTGGGCAGATCACCTGAGGTCAGGAGTTGGAGACCAGCCTGGCCAACATGGTGAAACCCCATCTCTACTAAAAATACCAAAAACATTAGCCAGGCGTAGTGGTGGGCACCTGTAATCCCAGCTATTCAGGAGGCTGAGACAGGAGAATTGCTTAAACCTGGGAGGCGGAGGTTGCAGTGAGCCGAGATCGTGCCACTGCACTCCAGTCTGGGCAACAAGAGCAAAACTCCATCTCAAAACAAACAAACAAAAACAAACAAACAACAAAAACTTATTTACCAGAGCAGGCGGCAGGGCAGACTTGACTCATGGGCCCTTGTTTACCAATCTTTGAAGTAGGCCTGCATTGTTCAATAGAACTTTCTACAGTAATGGAAGTGTTCTGTATCTGTGCAGTCCAAAATGCTAGCTAATAGCCACATGTGTCTATGGAGCACTTGGGTGTAGAGAGTGCCCCTGAAAAAATGAAATTGTATTTAAAAATTATAATTAAATTTATATAGTCACATGTGGCAAGTGGTTACCATACTGACATGGTCACATGGGCTTAGTGACAGTGCAGATCAAGACCTTCTTGAAGATCAGGAGCTTATCTGTGTATCTTTTCCTAGCACCTAGAACAGTATCTACTACCTAGCAAGCAATTAACAATTGTTCATGGAAATTAACAATACTTCTCCCTCAAAAACCAATGTTTCTGGGATAGAGGGGCAATACTTAAAGTGGATCTGGAAGGATGGATTACGATCCAGACAAACAGATTCATAAGGTAAAGTGGGTCACGGCAAGGAGAAAAAGGTAGATTCCAAACACAATGAATAACACTTGCAAAGCCAGGAAGCGAAACGTACTGATCTTGGAGAGACAATGTAGCAAGGTGGTTAGGTTGCTTGGATTCCAGTACCTGCTGCCTGGATTTGAATCCCAGTTCTACCATTTAGCTAGGTGACTCTAAGAAAGTTGCTTAACCTCTCTAAGTCTCAGTTTCATCATTTACAAAATTAGGATAATGATAGCATCCATCCCATGGAGTTGTTGTAAGGATTACATGAAGTTAGCACATGTAAAGTACTTAGTGCTACTGTGAAACTGAGGAGACCCCATGAGGAAGTGAGAGGGCCAGCATCATAATTTTGAGTCATAAACAACTCTTATCTGTGTTCCCAGTGAGGATGCTCAGTTATGAAACAGCACACCTCTGGGTTGCAAGACCTGATGGAGACTTTGTCTTGCCATCAACATGAACAAAAGAGCAGTATCTGACAAGAAACTCTCATGCTTCTCTAAGCTTCTGCAGTTTTATGATGTCCTACGAGATCCATCCAGGAAGGAAAGACAGATAAACGAATAGCAGCCCTCCTCTTCATGCTGACTCAGTTTTATGCTACTTCAGTCCTACCCTGCAGATGGCAAACATGAGGGCAAGAAATACTATTCCAAGTCGTAATGGTTATTGGGAATATGGCTCTGTAACAAGCAAATCCCTATCTTTTAGGGGTAAATATTACCTTTTATAAATGATTATTTTTAAAAAACTGAGCCATAATCACAAATCACAAGTGTACCTTCAGAAGAGTTTTGATGAATGCATATGCCCGTGTAACCACCCCCTGCAATCAAGATATATTTCCCTCATGTACCTTTCCTGCTTATTTCCCTCCTTTGCCCCTAGGCAGCCTCTCTTCTGATTTCTAACTCGATAGTTTGGTTTTGCCTGGGGAAATCACGTTTTGTTAGGTTAGAACAATGGTTCTCAATCAGGGATGGTTTTGTTCCCCAGGGAGACATTTCTGGTTGTCACACTGGAGCGGTGCTACTAGCATCTCCTGAGTAGAGGCCAAGGATGCTGCTGATAATATCCTACAATGCACAGGACAGCCTCCCACAAAAAGAACTATATGACCCACAATGTCAACAGTGCTGAGAAACCCTGTGTTAGAGTGAACGCCACCAGGATGATTGTTTCAGATGTCTGGGGCCACACCCTGGGTGTCTGCAACATAAACAACTCTTATTTATGCTCGCAACACGGATGCTCAATTACAAAACTGCACACTTCTGAGTTGCAAGACCAGACGATAACCTTGTCTTGCCATCAATATGCGTAACAGACGGGAATTTTACCCCAAACACTTATGTCAGCATCAGGGAAGTAGAGGGGGCAGGATGACAAAACAGATTTGCCTTTGTACTGAGCAGCACAGACCTGGATTTGAATCCTGACTAGGCCACTCATCCTACGTGGCAGATAGCACATTTCTTGACCTCTCTGAGTCTTCAGAATGCCTCCAATTGTAAAATTTGATCCTTTTGTTGTGATAATTAAATTAAGAAAACTCAGTTCAGCCCTTAGTGGTCCATGGTAGGCACTCTGTCTCTATATTTCTTGGATGTAGCAAACACTTTCTCTAAGGGCCCAGAACATTCTCCTGCTTAGCTCTTTGATCTGGACAACACAGCCCAAAGTCCCAGGAAAGGATGGGCAAAAGGGGAGTGAAAAAATGCCTGAAAATGCCACACTTACCAACAGGGGAGATCCAGGAATCACCCAAGGCAACCCCCGCAAAGTTGCACTTGATGGTCCCTCGCTGAATGGCCTGAAAGAGGAAACAAGAAACGTCCTCAGGCCAGGTGCAGTGGCTCACGCAGTAATCCCAACACTTTGGGAAGCTTAGGCAGGAGGATCGCTTGAGCCTAGGAATACAAGACCAGCCTAGGCAATGTAGTGAGACCCCCATCTCTACAAAAAGTTAAAAAATCAGTGGGACATGGTGGTATGTGCCTTATAGTCCCAGATACCCAGGATGCTGAGGTCAGAGGATCACTTGACCCCAGGAGGTCGAGGCTAGCCTGGGCAGCATGGCAAAACCCCATCTCTACAAAAAAATACAAAAATTAGCCAGGCACGGTAGTGCTCGTCTGTAGTCCCAGTTACTCGGGAGGCTGAGGCAGGAGGATACTTGAGCCCAGGAGGCAGAGGCTGGAGTGAGCCATGATCATGCTACTGTACTCCAGCCTCTAGTCTGGGCAACACAGCAAGATCCTGTCTCAAAAAGAAAAAGTCTGAATATTTGAGATGAAAATTTACAGAAATAGAAAGTTGAGAACTACTGATTGAAGAAAGCAGGCTGAAACCAGTATGTATAATATGATCTCATTCAGCTAAACAATTCTATATAAATGTGCACAAAAATATTTAGAAAGCTATATACCCAGATGCTAACTATAGTGATCTCCATCAGGTGGGAAGGTGAAGTTTTCATTTTTAATTTATGCTTGTTACAGTTTCCAATATTCTATAATGTACATATGCTGTTTCTATAAGTTTTTTAAATTAATAAATCTTAAAAAAAACCCTTATTTAAGCTCACTGATATTCAAACATAGGAGATAGAAGGAAATGTGAAAGTCTTTTACTTTGTCTCATTTGTGCCCTCACACTCACCAACTGACTGCAGTTAAGTGTGTCATGTATCCTTCTAACCCTTTTGTTTGCCGTCACAGCATACAAATCTATCTCCACATATGGAAGTGTTTTTGACTTACAAACAAAGTTATCTCATATCGTTCCACAACTAAATACCCAAAGGAGAACTTTCCACACTCAGTATATATAGCTCTCTGTATTCTTTCTTTTTTCTTTCTTGTAGAGACAGGGGTCTCACTATGTTGTCCAGGCTGGTCTCTAACTCCTGATCTCAAGCAATCCTCCTACCTCAGCCTCCCAAAGTGCTAAGATCCATTCTTTTTTTTTTTGAGAAAGAGTCTCGCTCTGTCACCCAGACTAGAGGCGCAATCTCAGCTCACTGCAACCTCTGCTCCCTGGGTTCAAGCAGTTCTCCTGCCTCAGCCTCCCTAGTAGCTGGGATTACAGGCGTGCACTACCATGCCCAGCTAATTTTTGTATTTTTAGTAGAGATGGGGTTTCACCATGTTGGCTAGGCTGCTCTCCAACTCCTAACCTCAAGCGATCTGCCGGCCTCGGCCTCCCAAAGTGCTGGGATTACAGGCATGAGCCACCGCGCCCGCCTGGATCCATTCTTTATGCTGGCTGCAAAGGGTTTCATCTTGGAAAGATATACCTACTTTATTTAAGCAATCCTCTACTGACAGCCAACCAGCTGTTTTCAGTTTATAAACATTATAAACAATGGCATAATAAACATTCTCTGACATATACATATGTATAAGTATTCCCATAGGACAAAATTATTGGGTGAAATGACACATATCTTTAAAAAATTGACATTGTCAAATTGTCCTTTTAAATTTAAATTAATTTGTATTCCCATCAAAAGTGCACGACAGCACTTATTTCCCTGACTTCTTACCAAAACTGGGTGTTATCAGTCTTTTAAATATTTACAAATCTCATGGACTTGGCTTACTAATAAAAGCTGAAGATTTTTCTTATGTCTAAAGGCTGTTTATATTTCTTCTACAAATTGCTTGTCCACATTTTTCTACTAGGACATTGGTTTTGGTTTTTGTTTTCATTTTTTTCCTGAGACACAGTCTTGTTCTGTCACCCAGGCTGGAGTGCAGTGCCATGATCACAGCTCACTGCAGCTTCAACTCCTTGAGCTCAAGCGATCCTCCCACCTCATCCTCCCAGGTAGCTGGGATTACAGCCAGGAGCCACTGTGCCCAGCTTATTATTTTTTTTTTTTTTGTAGAAACAGGGTGTCGCTATGTTGCCCAGGCTGGTCTGGAACTCCTGGTCACAAGCAGTCCTCCTGCCTGGGCTTCCCAAAGTGCTGGGATTATAGGCGTGGGCCACTGCATTCTGTCCTAATTTTTATTTTTATGTTTAGATTTTAATCCATCCAGAATTAATATTTTATACAAGGCAAGAATACAAGTTTTCTATTTTCCAAAGTGATAGGTATTTGTCTCCATTATTTTTATTTTTATGTTTAGATTTTAATCCATCCAGAATTAATATTTTATACAAGGCAGGAATACAAGTTTTCTATTTTCCAAAGTGATAGGTATTTGTCTCCATAACATTTATCGACATTATATCCATGCCCCAATGATTTGAAACGTTATCTTATATTTATATATGATCATATATATTTATATAAAATACAAATATATGATACACATACATATATATGTGTGTGTGTTTCTGGATTCTGTATCCTGTTGCAATTAACCTATTTGTCTATTGCTATGTTAGTACCACATTCTTTTACTCACTCATGCTTTATATCTTGTTCCAGATCTAGCAGGGCAATCTTCATTCTTCTTTTAAAAACTTTTTATGGTTATTACTACAGATTTAATCGTACTCTGCATGTACATGGCCCTATTCAAAGTATATTTAATAGCACGTGAGTACATAAAAGTAACATAATTGATTTTCTGTCCAAAACCATAACAACAAAGTTATTTTCCATTACCTTATAAAGCTCTAGACCAATGCCAGCTGCCATTTTTCCTCCATAGGACTCTGAGAAAATGTAGAATGGAACTGTCTAGCAAGAAAAGGAATTACACAGAATTAACTACCTTGATTGCTTTTTGAGTCACACAAATTAATTTCAAATTTCTATTGCACGTAATGACCAGAAAAAACAAATCTGCTTTGTCTTCCTCCCCCACCACTCCATATCTGATTATTGCGTCTGATTAGAATGCTCACTCCAAGGTCATTCTTTCAAGTTAAATATCAACTTTAGAGATGACAGAAACAAAAGTCCACAACCCAATCTTGGGAATTAAAAAGTTTTCTCTGAAATCAGCTAGGCATTAAACTCTGGAGGCAGTTCAGGTTTATGCTGATGGATGTAGAGTTGATATTGCCAGCCCTTTACTTAGCTGTTCCTGAGTCTTTGCTTACCTGGAATTCTTTGTGGCAACTGAAGAAGGTCTTCAGGAGAACCATCATGTCTGAAGCCACCATAGCCAGGTCCTTGGCATAGGCACCACTACCATTCACATAACTGAACCCAGTGCCCACGGGATTATCCACAAATAGGAGACTGGCAGCCTGGAGCTATGTACCACGGAGGAAAACGAAATGTTGCAATCAGACATTTGGTCACCAATCATCTTTGGATCATTTTCTACTAGCTCAGCAAAACCCACACATGTGAGGATACCAGCGTGGTGATGATATCCCTGTTGCTAAAAGAGATTTTTAAAAATAAGGGACAGGAACATAGAAAAAAAAACAAAAACAAAGAAAGGCCAACCGCCCCCGCCGCCGCAAAAAAAAAAAAAGGGAGAGGCAGGAAGGAAAGATTAACACACACGGGGATCAAATAATCTGGGCTGTTGCTTTTCATACAATACAAATGTACTAAATGTAATAAACTAGCGCAGAAAGAAGCATGCAGAGACAGTCTATGCACTAACTCGAAGAAGCCAGAGGACACTCAAAGTCTGGACACACATCAGTTTTCTTGGAAATGCATCAAATTTCCACATTGTCCTGGCTTCTCTGTACACTGCAAGAGCAGAATTTATTCTAATACCTTTTCCAAAGAGGTTGAAAGTTATAAAATTTACATATAAAAGATCCTGAATAATGACACAGTCCAGCCATGTCCCTTGCTGATGAGGAAATTAAAGCCCAGAAAGAGCCCAGAATGTGCCTAAGGTCACAAGATCGGACAGGCAGTGGCAGCATCAGGACTGGGACCATGGTCCTCACTCATATGGCCCTTTTAGTTCTAGGAGGCTTGGGGACAATGGGGGTGGGGAGTGGAGGTAGGGGATGACTCTACAACCACTCCTGGAAGTGAGACTTCTGTTGGAACCAAGCACAGGAAAGGCCCAGGCCAAGAGGACAGCATGTACAAAGACCCTGAGGCAAGAGTAGGAAGCACTTAAGAAAGACCAGAGGCCGCGCACGGTGGCTCACGCCTGTAATCCCAGCACTTTGGGAGGCTGAGGTGGGAGGATCACGAGGTCAGGAGATCGAGACCATCCTGGCTAACATGGTGAAATCCCACCTCTACTAAAAATACAAAAAATTAGCCAGGCGCAGTGGCGGGCGCCTGTAGTCCCAGCTACTCAGGAGGCTGAGGCAGGAGAATGGTGTGAACCCGGGAGGCGGAGCTTGCAGCGAGCCGAGATAGCGCCACTGCACTCTGGCCTGGGCGAAAGAGCGAGACTCTGTCTCAAAAACAAAAAAACAGAAAAAAAAAAACAAAGAAAGACCAGAAAGTGGCCGGGCACAGTGGCTCACACCTGTAATCCCAGCACTTTGGGAAGCTGAGGCAGGTGGATCACGAGGTCAAGAGTTTAAGACCAGCCTGACCAGCATGGTAAAACCCCGTCTCTCCTAAAAATACAAAAATTAGCCGGGCGTGCTGGCGCATGCCTATAATCCCAGCTACTCGGGAGGCTGAGGCAGGAGAATCGCTTGAATCCAGGAGGCAGAGGTTGCAGTGAGCTGAGATCGTGCCACTGCACTCTAGCCTTGGTGACGGAGGGACATTCCATTTCCAAAAAAAAAAAAAAAGAGCAGAAAGCTTAGCTTCTAATGCGAGAGGGAGGCTGGAGGAGGAGCACTGAGGAAAGTGGAGAACATTCATAGCAATAGGTGCAGCCGGGAGAGTGGGAGCACAGAGAGAGGAACAGCCACAAGCCCTGAGTGGGGCCCACGCTGTGCAGCAGCCCCAGGGTGGGTGTGCAGTTCTGCCCATGGGCAGCCTGGGCGTAAGGGCTAAGCAGGTGGACAGTGGGAGTGACCCAAGGCTGGGTTTGGCAAGGCTGTAAAGGGAGAAGGATATGGGAGTTGACCACAGAGGGGTGAGGGAAGGAAGAGACGATAAGAATGAGGGGGAGGTGTGAGAAGGGCAGCAAGAGAGACATTGAAAGGGGAAGTCAAGATACAAGTAGGAGGATAGGAGAGAGAGAAAAGGACTGGGGGCTGTGGCTGGAGGGTGCAACCATGGTGTCTGAGGCCGCGGAGATGGCCAGCGTGCATAACACAGGGTCCCAGGTGTCTGCTGTAGTAGGTTTTTGAAGGCAGCTGGAGAGAGGGGTTGTTTTGGAGAAGGCGAGGCAGACTGGTGCAAGATAAGCTGTCCTGAGAAATGGGAGAGAAGCTAGGCCAGAGAGGAAGCCTGCGGACAAGTGCCCATGGCCTCAGTAGTCACAGGAAAAGGAAAAGGACAGCGAGGGATTGCTACATTTGTGGCCCCTCCCAGAGTTGGGCAGGGCCTCTGAGAGGCCACGGGGCAAGGTTTAGCTCAGGACTGTCCTCACTGTACCCAGGTGGTTTTCCGTGGTTTGAGATCACTGTCAAGGGGCCCAATTTCCTCAAAGTTTCCAAATCCAGTGCTAGAACCGCCTGGACCGCCCTATGGAAGAGAGAAGAAACAAACAAAAATTTTAGTCAGATCTTAGTCTTTACAATGAATGACCACATTTGCTATAGATGGTTTATGAGTTAGTGATGGCTGGGTCAATTTGCACAAAAGACACAATTTCTCTAGTGAACCAGGGACTTCCACATTAGCAAAGCTCCCCTAGTAACTGCTGAGGTTTTTCTCTGAAAGGAGCAGAGCTGAGCTAAGAGGTCCACAATGGAATGTTCCTGACTCCTGATTTTTTCTTTTCTTTTCTTTTCTTTTCAGACAGAGTCTAACTTTGTCACCCAGGTTGGAGTGCAGTGGTGCAATCTCGGCTCACCACAGCTTCTACCTCTGGGGTTCAAGTGATCCTCCCGCCTCAGCCCCCTCAAGTAGTTGGAACTATAGGCGCACACCACCATGCCCAGCCCGGCTAATTTTTGTATTTTTTGTAGAGGTGAGGTTTCACCATGTTGCCCAGGCTGGTCTCAAACTCCTGGGCTCAAGCAATCCTCCCGCCTCAGCCTCCCAAAGTGCTGGGATTACAGGTGTGAGCCATCACACCCAGCTGCCTCCTGATTTTCTGAGCTGGAGCCTTGGCCTGCCGTAGGCCTTGCTGACCTGAAGGAGCTCTAACCGGACTAGACACTGGGCCTTCTGACTCTTCCTCCATCACCCTCTCCCCAGGAGATGGGAGACTCTTCAGAGTCCCTGTGGATTGATAAGGGACCCAGACTTAGAAGCAGTTTGATCAAGCAGATTCTGTGGATATAATGCAGCAGTTTCTAAAGTCCCAGGGCAGGGAGAGTTTGATACTGTGAGCATCCATGGGAGAGGGAAAGGCAGGATTCTGAACCACAGCTCGGTGTTGGGGGCAGTTCTATGGGCTCTGAGGGCTTCAGAGAAAAAAGAAACTAAGAGGCAAATAGGACAGGTTGGGTGGGCTTTCTAATTGAGACAAGAGGAGGCTCTTTGGGAGGTGGTCAGGGGAAAAGATGGTCAGTGCTTTTTCTGGACAAATCCAGGGGCCAATTGAGGTGGGGAGTCTATGAGAAGGGCCCTGTCAGCTGAGGCGAGGGAAAGGGCAGAGGACCTAGAATAAAAGGATATGGCCTCTCTGTGCACTAGCAGGATGGGTAGGAAAGGGAGATATGAAAAGACGAAATGGGGACCGGGTGCGGTGGCTCACGCCTGTAATCCCAGCACTTTGGGAGGCCAAGGCAGGCAGATCACTTGAAGTCAGGAGTTCGAGAGGAGTTCAAGTCCTCCCTGGCCAACATGGTGAAACCTTGCGTCTACTAAGAACAGGAAATTAGCCGGGTGTGGTGCGTGCGCCTGTAGTCCCAGCTACTCGGGGGGCTGAGGCACGAGAATCACTTGAACCCAAAAAGTGGAGGTTTCAGTGAGCCGAGACTGCGCCACTGCACTCCAGCCTGGGTGACAGAGCGAGACCTCATCTCAAAAAAGAAAAAGAAAAAAAAGATGAAAGGGAATACCTTGGGCAAAACAAAAGCCAGGGCAATTTGTGTAGGGAAATCTAAAGAAAAAAAAAAAAAAGACAAGATAGAGTCAGGGCTAAAGGGTAACTAGCAACGGCAAGAGGGCCCCAAAAGGGAAAGACTTTACAACACTAATGTTTTGAACCTGGACCAACCTAACTCTGATAAAATTGGAAGGCTATACATCCCCCTGATCATATGCCCTTTGTATCTTAAGATTTCCTAAGCAGTAAAAAGTTCACAAACCAGATGAAGATGTTAACCGCAGTCCTATTAAAAATAACAGAAGTAAGGGTGCAACTCAAACGTCCCCCAAATAGGGGAACAGGTTAGGCAACCATACCACATCTACTGCATGGAATGCTACACTGCCACTTAGAATCATGAACTACGAAAAATGATGTGGCAACATTGAAAAATATTTATAATGCAATATGCAATAAATTAAAGCCAGGGATCTACCCTCCAATGAAAGCTGGGTTCCTTTTTCCTAATGGACTTATTAGGATGAGGTAGGATCAAAGCAAAAGGAGAAAAGCTGGAAATCCTAGGGGTTGGGTCTTTGTGGGAGAAATCTCAGTTCTCCTCTGCTTCTGGTATGCCAGGGAGACAGCAGAAGATGACCTCTCCCTCTCCTCTCTCCTCATTCCCCTCTCCTCAAAAGGCAATGAGATGCTGGATGGAGGAAGCCTCTGTTCTACGTGAATATATCCTATTGTAAAACCTCTTTTTTGTCTAGAACTTTGGGATAGGGTGCTAGCATGGCCCAGGGCTATCCAGAAACTCTGAGACACAGTCAGTGTGTCAGTGGACCAAGTGAAACGCTTCGAAGACTTGAAAGTGTCCCTAACATAGTTTGCTAACCCACTCAGAAGACATGACTTCGATTCTCAAAGATTCCCCCGAGAGAAGTCAGCACCATGTCCTCAGTAGGCTGCTAAAATAGATCTCCTTTTCATCTAAATTAGTTATTTCTTCTGTAAGCATAATCTTTCTTCTTCTCTCTTGGGTCTCTGGGTAAGTGAAGAGCAATTTATTCTCTTCAGTTGATAAACTTCAAAGGAGAAGCCTCAGCCTCAGCACTTGTGCTTTTGTCTGCTTTGTCTCCCCTTTGTAAGCTTTCATTTGGGGGTAAAAAAAAAAAAGAAAAGTTCTGCTGATGAACAAAAAGTTTGAAAACCACCAAAATCTCCCAGATTAGACAGCCAAGGCCCAGAGGAGGAAGTATCTTGCCATGGCTCTAAGTGGCAGGTAGGCACTGAAAACCCGAGGCCCCTGACGGCAGGCCTGAGCTTGTCCACGGCCTGGCTCTCCCTGCCAATTGTGCCGCACCTTTGTCTCCAGCCACCGGAGGTGAACAGGGCTCCCCAGGCTGACATACAAGGGTTCTTTTTCTGCATTATCATAACCGCACCTGGGGCTGAGCCTCAGCTCTAGCCCTCAGAGGTGGCACAAGTGATAATTCCAAAAGAGAAAGGCCCCTCCCTGAAAACTGCTCATTTTCGCTCTATCTCACCAGAAAGTCTGCATCGACCATCCTGGGAGGCAAAACCCAGGTGGTGGGAGGCTGCTTATAAATACCAGCATTGTTGGAAGACGTCCCAGTAGCATCCTATGGAGGTGAGCACCAGGGTCCCTATTTACTGATGAGGGGCCCAGGGTTCCAGCTGGGCCATGCCTACATTTTCCAGAGGCAAGACCATGTTCCTTAATTCCTCCCTGGTGGGTGGTCTTCCGGGTGGGGGTGGGCCATCTCTGGACAGATATTTCAGAAATGCCAGAAAAGAGCCTCTGCCTGTCCCTACAAATCTTTCAACCAGCTCCCTGCCTTCCATCCTACAATCAGAGCTCAAGGTTAAAATGCAAACACACTCAGGGAAAGGGGGAAGGCGCAACAGTCACACGAAGGTGCAGAAGGCTTGTAGCAGTCCCTTCAAAAGATCAGGTTTTCTGGGGGTAAGAAGTTAGGGTTCAGGAAAGGATTGTATGGAGAGGAAGGGAGGGTCAGGCTACCTCAGGTCTTTGCTTTGGAACCTTCCATAACACTTTCTTTTCTTTTTTCTTTTGAGATAGGGTCTTGCTCTGTCGCCCAGGCTGGAGCGCAGTGGCACGATCTCAGCTCACTGCTACCTCCGCCTCCCGGGTCCAAGCAATTCTCATGCCTCAACCATCTGAGTAGCTGGGATTATAGGTATGTGCTACCATGCCTGGATAATTTTTGTATTAAATATTTTTAGTAGAGACAGCGTTTCACTATGTCGGCCAGCCTGGTCTCGAACTCCTGGCCTCGTATGATCCACCCACCTCGGCCTCCCAAAGTTCTGGGATTACAGACATGAGCCACTGTGCCCGGCCTCAAAACACTTTCTATCACTATGTATTCAAATGTATCATCAGGAGTTTTCAGTGAGCCTTCTTGTGACCGTCTGGAAATATAAAGAGACTCTGGCAAAAGGCTAGAACCCCCTCGCCCTCTGATTTAGCCTCCTTGGCTATACCATTGCCTCAGCCTACCTCAGAAGCACGCCGAACCCCCAGGTCACACTGCTGGACCAAATCCGCCCTTCACTGCTGAGACATCAGCCCAAAAAGCAAGCAAAGAGCCACACAGAGGAGACTTGGCTTTGACCTCAGGCCAGGCTGGGAAGCTACTTTACCTGAAGCCACATGACCAGGGGCAGTTCTGAGAAGTTCTTGCAGGAGTTGGTGGCATAATAGAGCCACCAGAACATGTAGGCATCCTTGCGGACCGTCACATAATCCCATACTTCCTTGCCCTCCTCTGTGGGCCAGTCAATGACAGCTCCTGAAACAGAAGTTCAATTTCACTCTCCAGAAGAGTGCCTAATGTACAGGTAAATTCCAAGCCTGGTAGAGACAGCCATGCTAGGCTAGAGATGATTTGTTTTATAGTTTGGTAATTTAGCCACCCCAGTACATTGCAGGAATAAGGAAAAAACCTCGGCTATGAAAAAAGAAACCAAACTTAACAGCGGCATAGGAGGCCAGGGGCTTTCACTTTTTCCTCTACACTTTTCTGTAATGTTTGGATTTTTAACAATAAATATGAAACACTTTTTTTTTTTTTTTTTTTTTTTTGATACGAAGTCTCGCTCTTGTTGCCCAGGCTGGAATGCAATGGCGCAATCTCGGCTCACCGCAACCTCTGCCTTCCGGGTTCAAGCGATTCTCCTGCCTCAGCCTTCCAAGTAGCTAGGATTACAGGCATGCACCACCACGCCTGGCTAATTTTGTATTTTTAGTAGAGATGGGGTTTCTCCATGTTGGTCAGGCTGGTCTCGCACTCCTGACCTCAGGTGATCTGCCCGCCTAGGCCTACCAAAGTGCTGGGATTACAGGAAATACTTTTATAATTCTGTAAAAACAAGAGAGATTTATATTTTGAGTAAAAAAGTAAAAATCTCAGAATGCAATATACTGGTTTTTATATCGTATTTAATACATGAGTAAGACACCAGGCTTGGTGGCTCACTCCTGTAATCCCAACACTTTGGAAGGCCAAGACAGGCTGATAGCTTGTGCATAGGAGTTCAAAACCAGTCTAAGCAACATAGCAACACCCCATCTCTACAAAAAATGCAAAAATTAGCTGGGCATTGTGGCATATGCCTGTGGTCCCAGCTACTCAGGAGACAGAGGTAGGAGAATCGCTTGAGCCCAGTAGGTTGAGGCTGCAGTGAGCTGTGATCACACCAGTGCACTCCAGCCTAGGTGACAGAGGGAGATCCTATCTCAAAAAAACAAAAAACCAACCAACCAAACAAACAAAAAACATGAGTGAAGAGGCATCACAAATTAGTGGGGCTGAGAATATTCAATATACAGTAATGGAGCAACAATTACCTTTTTTGGAGAAAAAAAGAGAAATTTAGGTCCTCTCAACACTATAAACGAAATAAGTTCCATGAGGATCAAGCAATTAAATTTTAAACTTTAAACATTAAAAAAATACAAAAATATAGTTAAATATATTTCTAATGTCTGGATGAGGAAAGAATCTAAGCAAACCCCAGAGACTGTACAAAAGAAACAATGATGGAGGTGAGAACAGAAACTTGTTATATTTCTATACAACAAAATTTCTGTAAATCAAAAATAAAAAGGCAAACAGCAAGGAAAGAGCTACAACAAATATGAAAAAGGGCAATTTTCCTAACTCATGTAGATGATTTTTTTAAACTGAACGATATATATCTGTGTATGTGTGTTTAATATACGTATCCTATAATCCCCTAACTCCAATTTTCCTTACTTAACTTTTCTAGCATCCACAAAATATGTTTTAGAAAAGAGTAGGCTAAATACATTTTCTTTGTCACTTTTTGCTAACGTAACAATTTCCAAGTTATAGCATCTTTTTTTTTTTCCTCCAAAACCACTCTGGGAAAAAAAAAAGTAGAGGGGCTGTTGTTAAAAGATGATGGGGGGGATCCCCTCGGTGACTGGAGTTTTCTGCCTTCTATTTCCTCCCTTCTCAAATTTCAAGCCCCATTGGTCAGTAAAAGAACACTGGTCCCAACAGCTAAAGAGACAGGAGTAGAGAGGAAGACAATGAGACAACGTCTTGTAAATAAGAAAGAGCCAGGGTGGTGGCCTGTGTCTGCAGTCCGGGCTACTTGGGATGCTGAAGTAGGAAGATCACTTGAGTCAGGCAGTTCCAGACCAGCCTGGGCAACATAGTGAGACCCTGACTCAAAACAAAACAACAATGAAGATTAAGAAAACCAGAAAGTGTCCTGAGGAGCAAAACAGATGACTAAAACATTACAGACTTAGCTATAAGGTTCTATATACAAGTAACACACGATTATATTGTCCTTGACAATAACAGATAAGGCTGCGCTCCCTTGAGAATGACAGATAAGGCGCAGGTACCTTTTGACCTAACCCCAGGCACTTCTCCCTTGCCTGGCAGTGACTACTGGTAAAATTGGCAGAGCTACTTATTTTACAAAATCTCCCAGACACTCGCCTAAGGGCCAGATGATCCCCATTTTAGAAAAGGAAAACAAAACTGTTCAACAACTTGCCTAAGGTCACAAGGCAAGCTTGTGGCCAGTTCCAATTCTCAGTGCTTGCTTCAGACTAGGAGAGGTTTTGCTGAAAATCAATTTGCAAGTCATCCTATTAAACACAAATCTGTTTTTTGCCAAAAAAGATCGCTGTGGGGGAAGATGTTATCTTGTTTGTTTTGATCAAGAAAAGAAAGGGCCTTATCTCAATGAAATGTCCCATTCGTGGTAGGATGTAAGGGTACTTTTGACCGCAGATTTCAGCTTAAAATAAAACGACCTTATATCCTCATTTAGCAGCCAATCATGGCCTTTGAATCGGGGAAACCTCATTGACCAGCAGTTTCCCCAAATCATACATTTCTGCACACAGCTTCTATCTAGGCGTAGGAGAGAACGGAAGCACTCAGACCACCCAGAGCCAGAAAAGGACAAAAAAAGCACTTTGAATTTTTTAAGGAAAAAAAAAAAAAAGAGTGAGATTCAAAAGCAATATAATTACACAAGGTAAGAACCGGGGAAAAGAGACATGTTTTCAAAAGCACAAACCCAGTAACAAACTCTCACGCCTGGAGAAAAAAGAGGCATGGCAGCTGGTGCGCCTCTTGCTTGAACCTACCTGCGTTCAGGCCCAGCAGCAGCGGCAGCAGCAGCAACCACCGCGGGACGGGAGAGCGCCGCAGTGCCAGCTCCATGACAAGTACCGCACGGCAGCATCAGCAACAGGCTGGACCCGGCGCCCCATCACGTGACGGAGGCGGACGGGGCGGGTCGGGGGCGGGGCCTGCGGGTCGGGGGCGGGGCCTGAATGGGCATGGGGCGGGGCCTGGGCGGACCCGGCAGCTTGCTGAGACCCGCACGCCCTCTGCCCGGCAAGCCCACCAGGACCCCTGCAAATGCGCAGGGGCCGTTCTGTCCGCCTGGCCAGGTTCTCTGTCATTTTAGGGAGAGTATTTCGGAAAGGAGACATTTGATGCAGATGTTGGATTTAGGTTGTGTGACCGGATCGAAATACTAAAGGGAATAACCACCGCCCTTTCTACCCCTCCCATCTCTTCCTTCCCTCAGCAAAAGAACCGACGTTTTCCAACACTGCTACATCTGCGAAGTCAGATTAAGCCAGCTGGTCGTTGGCAAACAGCGGGGTTTCATTTTCAGATATGTATTTTTTAAATTATTTTTCTTTTAAAGTTATGTATGTTATAAACGTTTTGGAAATATGAACAAAAAAGTTATACATAACTATTGTTGGCATTTTTTCCCATAGTCTTTTACGTCATTTTAAAAAACACTAATAAAGATTTTTATTTTTTTTTTCTTTTTTGATAATTTGTCATTAGTATTACTCTGTGTTACGTTATCTTCACAGCAGTCATTTTAAAGAGAGAATCGAGGGTCTGGGGACGGGAAAGGAAGAAAAAGTGGATGACAGAGCTGTTTTCCTCTGTGTGTGTGTGTGTGTGTGTGTGTGTGTCTGTCTGTCTGTCTGAAGGTCATTTTTACGTTAGAGGGTACTGAATAACTCACCTCACAGCTAGGAGACAAGCTACAGCAGGGGCTGTAGGAGAGGCTACTTCTAAATACTGCTTCAAAAGTACATGTAACAAAAAGCAAAAAACAAATCAAAGTACATGTGGCCACTTCTCCTCTTTCCCTGCTCCTTTCTCCCTCCCCTCGCCCTTGACCCCCATAAATGGAAGTGCTTTTTACTCTGCAGCCATTGTCTGGACAGAGCCTTGACCCCGCCCTGCCTGTGAGGTGCCCCTGCACTGAAAGCTGCGGCAGAGAAAAATATGCCGCCGGGTTCTGTCATGCTTTAAGCATGGGATGGTCCCGAATGCATAAAATCCATAATGCCTGGGCAACATATTGAGACCCCCTCTCTACAAAAAATAACAAAAATTAACTGATGTGGTGACACGCGCCTGCTGTCCAAGCTACTCAGAAGGCTGAGGTGGGAGGATCACTTGAGCCCAGGAGCTCCAGGCTGCAGTGAGCAGGTGTTCCATGCCATATGGGAGATACATAAAAGTACATGCTTAGTTAAAAATAAATAACTATCTAGCAAACTTTTCCTGTCTGAAGCTTCCAAGTTGGTCTGTATCACTAGGGCTTGAAATACACTTACCCTTCCACTGCAGTCAGAATTTTAGGGTTTCAATTTTTTTGCCACAAAAATAACACTACAGCCCAGGGCGCAAGGTGGCTCACACCTGTAATCCCAGCACTTTGGGAGGCCGAGGTGGGCAGATTACTTGAGGTCGGGGGTTTGAGACCAGCCTGGCCAACATAGTGAAACCCCATTTCTACAAAAATACAAAAATTAGCTGGGTGTGGTGGCACTTGCTTGTGGTCTTAACTACTCGGGAGGCTAAGGCATGAGAATCGCTTGAACCCAGGAGGTGGAGGTTGCAGTGAGCCAAGATGGTGCCACTGCACTCCAGCCTGGGTGACAGAGTAAGACCCCATCTCACACACGCACAAAAAAATTGTGCATTTTATAATACGCTAATATGACTTCAAAAGGAAAAAATATAAATAAAATGTCACCTCTAGTTAATGATATTCATATTAAAGTGTTTAGGGGAAGGTGTACCAATGTATACAATTTTCTTTGAAATGTATCCAGATGCTGGCACAGTGACCTATGCCTGTAATCCAGCTCTTTGGGAGACCAAGGTGGGATGATTGATTGAGCCTAGAAGTTTGAGACCAGCCTGGACAATATAGTGAGACCATGTCTCTTAAAAAAAAAAAAAGTATCCAGAATATAAGATGGATTGATGGATAGGATGGAAAGAAGGTTGGATACATGGATAAATACATGATATCAAGTATTACAGTAACATTTTCTTTTTTCATTACAGTTTATAATCACAGGAACAAAATAAACAAAAACCACATGTAGAAACCAGATTAAAGCTTGTTATCCTTACAGGCAGTGGCGAAATTCCAATCTTCAGGGTTGGAGTGGTCTTTGTTTAAGAAAAATACCTCCTTGGTTCATTGAAGTTAGGAGTTGGGAGCTGATGGCATAGTAGCTGCAGCCAAGGCAACAAAAGATAATTGCCAAACTGTGCGGCCCAGGAGAAATTTTGTTTTGCTCCTAGGAGAGGAAAGAAGAGAGAAAGATGAAAAGAAGTGAAGGCTACATATAGAGAAAGATTAGCCAAAGAGAGTTGAGGCTGGAAGAAGAGCCAGTAGAAATTTCTCCGATGAGGAGTGGCTATGTAATCCCCCAATGGGTTCTTTTTGCCTGCTGCCCAGATAGAGCCAGCCAATTTATGAAGGCAGGGGAATTGCAATGGGGAAACAGTTTAATTCATGCAGAGCTGGCTGAAAGGAAGACTGGAGTTTTATAATTACTCAAATCAGTCTCTGAGGAGTAGTTTCAAAGACAGTTTAGGGGTAGGAGCAGAGGTGGCTAGGCAATGGATGCTTGCTGCTGATTGGTTGGGTTGGAGATGAAATCACAGGGAGTTGAAGCTGTCTTCTTGCGCGGATTTGCTTCCAGGTGGGGCCGCAGGAGCAGTTGGTAGGTCCAGGTGGAGCCAGGTGTCAGACATGCAAAAAAACCTGAAAAGATATCTCAAAAGGCTAATCTTAGGTTCTACAATAGTGATGGTGTCTGCAGGAGTAATTGGAGAAGTTGCATATTTTGTGACCTCAGGAATAATGGCTGGCAATCCTTAGCAGAATTCAGCCTCCTCTATTTTCTTAGCCTGGTGGTCATTTAGCGTAAAGTTTGGGGAAGGGCCATTATCATTTAACCTATAACCTAAATGCCTCCCAAAGTTAGCTTGGCCCAGAAGTCCAGGAATAATTAAAGGTAGCTTGAAGGCTAAAGGCAAAGGCAAGATGCCGGTTGGTGAAATCAGATCTCTCCCACTGACAAAATGTTCTCACTGACACAGTTTATGCAAAGGCTGTCAGCTACAGAACATTTTTTAAAAGTTATGCTTGTGGTTCAATTTGAAGTGGATTGCATTTCTACAATGTAAACCTGTCCTCTTGGGGCAGCTAAAAACTATAATAGGACTGGGCCAGGCGCGGTGGCTCGCGCCTATAATCCCAGCACTTTGGGAGGCCAAGGAGGGTGGATTGCCTCAGCTCAGGAGTTCCAGACCAGCCTGGGCAACATGGTGAAACTAAATTAGCCGGGTGTGGCGGCTTGTGCCTGTATTCCCAGCTACTCGGGAGGCTGAGGCAGGAGAATTGCTTAAACCCAGGAGGCAGAGGTTGCAGTGAGCCGAGATCGTGCCACTGCACTCCAGCCTGGGTGACAGAGTGAGACTCTGTCTCAAAAAAAAAAAAAAAATTATATATATATAAAATACGGCTATAAAGGAGGCAATAGGACTGGAAAAAAGATACTGGGTACTGAACCTCAAAACTGTTTTTAAAATTATATGTTTATTCTGAGAAGGGTTTGGGAGGGAGGCTAATGGAAATTGGTTGGGAGTTCCTAAAGGCCCATCCATCGAATTCTTGGTGCAGATGCTTGTGGTAAACCTTGGCATTACGTGACTGTCTTCTCATGTGTCTTCACATCATCTTCCCTTTGAGCATATCAGTCTCTGTGCACTTGTGTCAGGCAACCTAACCAGAGTGACTCCATCTTGAATAAAGGCCAGAAAAAGCCAAATCTGCTGGGTTATATTCCCAGGGGGTTGGGCACTCTTGGTTACAAGATGTTTATGGTTGAGGGAACTAGTTAATAATGCTAACTAACAGCCCTTTCCCAAAACAAACCCCCTTCTTGCCTGGAGACTAGACTGCCTTTGCAGGACTAACAAATTAGCCACAAGATTAGAAATTATGGTTTAGGAGTAATGCGGCTGGAGGCTGCAAGATTCTGAGCCTTCCCAAATTGCTCCTGGGGATAACATCACTATAGTTAAACCTAAGATCAGTGCTTGAGATATTCAGCAGACCCTGCGCTGGATGGATCAGCTGGCATCACCCAGATCGATAAACTGGCTCATCTGTTCTGGTGGCCCCGACCCAGGAATTGACTCAGCACAAGAGGACAGCTTAGATTCCCTATGAGTTCATCTTCAACCTGACCAATCAGTGCTCCCGACTCACTGGCACTCCACCAACCAAATTATCCTTAAAAACTCTGGTCCTTGAATGCACAGGGAGACTGATTTGAGTAATAATAAAACTCCTGACTCCTGCGCAGCCAGCTCTGCATGAGTTACTCTTTTTGTTTTGCAATTCCCCTGTCTTGATAAACCGGTTCTGTCTAGGCAGTGGGCAAGGTGAACCCGTTGGGCAGTTACAGCAGGGGCCACCATGTTCAGCCCCAAACTTCTTTTCTTTTAATTTCCATCCATAAAACTCTACTTGATGTAGGTGCAGACATTCTTAATAAAATATTAGCAAATAGAATTCAGCATTTCATAAAAAGAATTAATTCACCATAACCAAATAGAATTTATTGTAAGGAAACATAGATGGTTCATTATTTGAAAAACAATCAAAATGATCAACCACATTAAAAGGAAAAAGAAGAAAAATCATATAATCATATAAATCAGTGCAGAAAAAATACCTGACAAAATTTAACATCACAAGTTTAACACACAGTTTTTAAATTTATTATTTAAAAAATTCAGAAAATGGGAATTGAGGGGACCTTCCTCAACTTGATAAAGAGCATTTACAGGCAAGCTACTGTGGCTCACGCTGGTAATTCTAGTGTTCCTGGACAAAACTGAGGGTTGGGCTGCTATTTCTTGTGCCCCAATAATGAGATGCAGATGAATTGGGGAGAGAGTTTTTATTTCTGTAACCAGTTACAGGGGGAAGGCCTGGAAGTTATTGCCAGACCAACTCCAAATTACAACATTTTCCAGAGCTTATATACCTTTTAAGCTATATGTCTACGTGTAAGTGTGCATTCATCTAAAGACATAAGTGATTCACTACTTTTAATCTATAATTAAGGTCTGAGTCCTGAGGATCTTCCTCCGGAGCATCAGTAAATTTACTTAATCTAAATGGGTCCAGGTGCTGGGGTGGTTACCCTTATCTTGTCTCCTGCTAAATCATGGAGGTTTAGGGAGTTCCTTCAGACCTGCAATAAACTTGTATGTGGAGGCCTGGAAAGCTTCTTCAGACTCATGATAAAACTTGTTTAATCCTAAATGGGTCCTGTTAAGAATTCCTTCATTATTTTGTCATGCTTTAAGGCCCAGGAAAGGCCTACGCAAAACTCTTGGTGGGCTTTTGTTCCATCCCAGCCTTTGTATAAGGGCCACTGGCTTTTAATATTTAACTTAACCACTCAGTCAATACTGAAACAGTTGTTACAGAAGCCTGCTTTAGTGAGATCCGCCTGCCACAATCTCCACTGTCAATTTGCACATGATATCTATCATGCTTGTATATTTATTTATCACGAGGATTGTAGGGAGATGGGACATCATAACCTTTCTGGCTACTTCCTGCTGAGAGAGGGTCGTCGTTATGGGGCACCAAACACAGCACTGGAGTGGAAGAGGTCGATTTGTTCTTGGTAGCACTCTCTGCTTCAGGGCTTAGAGGCAGCACCTGTTGAAACATACTAGTATGCAACAGCAACACATGTAAATAGTTTGCAACAGCGTAATAGTATGCAACAGCAACATATAAATAGGTTGCTGCTGTTTTCTTCTGAAATTTAAGTTGTTTAGTTCACAGGGCTTTAAGTAAGCACAGCTTAAGTTTCAGTGATTTCCAATTGAAAGAATGGGGAAAAAGGAAACTAAAGAGGAAAAAATTGAAAACATTATTTTGGAGACCTGTAGCCAGAAAAATTAGAACTTCATCCAAACTGTAGAAAGTAATAAAAACTGAAAAACATCAGGCAAGACTAGAATTTAACAATAGGTGTACTATAGTTTTTGAAACATAACTTTTCTGTCTCCAGTTTCCCATTTTTACTAGAGACAAATCATGATAGGACCAATTTGCTTTATTATACTTGGCCAGATTATTTGTTTGTTTGTTTTGTTTGAGACAGAGTCTCAGTCTGTCACTATGCTGTAGTGCGGTGGCACAATCTTGGCTCACTGCAACCTCCACCTCCCAGGTTCAAGCAATTCTTGTGCCTCAGCCTCCCGAGTAGCTGGGATTACAGGCACGTACTACCACACCCAGCTAATTTTTGTATTTTTAGTATAGAAGGGGTTTCACCATGTTGGGCAGGATGGTCTTGATCTCCTGACCTCGTGATCTGCCCACCTCGGCCTCCCGAAGTGCTGAGATTACTGGCATGAGCCACTATGCCCAGCTGGCCAGATTATTTGCATAAACTGCAGCAAGAAAAATTATTTTTCACATAGACCTTTTAAACTGGCTTTGATGGAACTTTGTTCCACAGCAGGAATCTCAGATAAGACTTTAAAGCCAAGCCCAGTCATGGATTTGTACCATCAAATACCTATGTGTTGGGTGAATTTCTCTCCTCTTGAGGTTCCAAGACAACTTGGGGTTCCGTTGGCTCCATAAGTCAAGTTTGATTTCTTAAAGGAAAGCACACCATTCCAGTCAAAGCCTTGGTAAAATGATCAGTTTTTTCAATTGTGACCTGTTACAAAAGAAATCAGATTTTTATTCCACTTATCCAAATAACTATATTGCCATAGATTAAGAATACTTACAAATAGTTTTCAAATTCTGGAGAAAATCAGCTAGAGAGAAACAAATATGCTCAAATTTTGTTCATGGGAGTATACTAAATTGTTAAAAGCTGTCAATAGTTCAAAAGAAAAGTTTCCTTGACTCTGAAAAACAAAACAAAGAATTAGCAATATTTTAAGCAAAAAGTCAAAAGATCACTTCAGTCTCCTATTAGTTCAGTTAATGCAGTTAATTCCTGTCCTGCTTGATATTAATGAGCAGTTTAGCTCTTCAAGAGTCCTGAGGCCTGGCACGGTGGCTCACACCTGTAATCCCAGCACTTTGGGAGGCTGAGGTGGGCGGATTGCCTGAGGTCAGGAGTTTGAGACCAGCCTGGCTACCATGGTGAAATCCCATCTCAACTAAAAATACAAAAAAATCACCAGGCATGGTGGCACATGCCCGTAGTCCTAGCTGCTCGGGAGGCTGATGCAGGAGAATTTCTTGAACCTGGAGGTGGAGGTTGCAGTGAGCTGAGATCACACCACTGTACTCCAGCCTGGGCGACAGAGCAAGACTCTTGTCTCAAGAGAAAAAAAAAAAAAGTCCTGAACATTTTTCCTCAGTTCTGATGTCACAATCTCCAAAGTTATCAGAAACCTGCATTCAAGAGCACCTGTTAGAGCTTTATAGCTGATTATAAAACCACCTTCTAAAGAGGACCAAAAGAGGAGAACAATTGTTTATGGATGACAAAAAGTTTTAGGGTAGCCATAGTTAAAGATACAATTGACAAGGAAATCTGTTACCTCTGTGGTACACAATAACTTAACATAACTATTATAATTATTATTGATAATGTACACTAAGATATATTAGAAATATAGGAGTCTCCCATAACTTTGGAACACATACCAATAACATATTCATACAAATATAGCCCAAAGAAAGCCAAACACCATTTCATATTTGACAATTCTTCCTGCATAATTCTTATACCAAATAAGCCAATTACACCTTTACATTAGTGTACTATTAATGTTAAACCCAATTCTTAGTAAAACCTTATAGACATATTTACCCAATTTTAATGTTTGACCATAAGGTAATATTTTTATAGACCTTTTATAACCCTTTACTAAAAATACAAAAGATTAGCCAGGCATGGTGGCAGGCACCTGTAGTCCCAGCTACTTGGGAGGCTGAGGCAGGAGAATGGCGTGAACTCAGGAGGTGGAGCTTGCAGTGAGCCAAGATCGCACCACTGATCTCCAGCCTGGGCAACAGAGTGAGACTACGTCTCAAAAAAAAAAAAAAAAAAAGCCTTTACAATTTTTGTTAAAGAGCAGGTTAGTGCTCTAAGAGAAACCCAGTGTGCTTTTATTTTAATGCTTAATTGAGAAAAACACTGGATGATACACCTTTAACTTCAGCCAATATGTTTACACAAAGAATTTCCTTTACAATCAACCTTCCACAACTTGCTTAAACCTTCGTCTTTATTTTGTTCAACTTAAAACAATCCTTTAACCTTTAAATTTAGGCAAAAATCCACATTCTCATGCCTCGTTATAATCTTTTTACCAAAAGTATATTTTACTTTCCTTACACTGCTTGCATGTGAACTGTTTCTTTAACAGTCTTAAATACATGTTACACTCTTAACTCTTGGCAAACTTTACTTTTGTGAAAACCTTGCTAAGTTTGGGATTTTAATTATCTACTAAGTGTGGAGCCTAGAACCTAGACAGAAGTGCAGGTAAGTCTGACTTATTCCAGCATCTAACTCCATGTGTCCTAGGCCGTACCTAGCTGTAAAGCAGGCAAGTTTTACAGCTAAGAGTCATAGAGGCAATTTTTTAAATAAAGTATTTAGGAGGTCTAATCACCTTTAAATTGTACAACATTTCTTGTGTAAATTCCCTTTCATAAATTCTTTCTTGACTTACACAGGCAATCTCTGACATGCCTCAACTTTCTGACTTGTCCTAAATAGCCCTTTCTTTAAACAACCAGTTATTTTACTTTATGGCAACAATTTACCATATGAGATCTTTTCTTACATAAATTCTCTTTTCTTTAATACCTTGTTTTATATATAACCTTTAAATAAGTTTTGAATTAGACAAAAATTAGTTACCCTTTACAAAGGACACAATTTTTAGAATGTTTTCCTACCATATATATATATATATATATATATATATATATATATATATTTTTTTTTTTTTTTTTTTTTTTTTTTTTTTTTTGAGACAGAGTCTCACTCTGTTGCCCAGACTGGAGTGCAGTGGCGTGATCTCCACTCACTACAAGCTCTGCCTCCCGGGTTCACATCATTCTCCTGCCTAAGCCTTCCGAGTAGCTCCTACAATATATTTTTACTGGAAAATAACCAAATAATAAAATCTCTGTTGTTTAATATAACTTTAGATTCTAAATTATGACAAGTTTGTTTATGAGTATTTATCCCATTACATTTATCTAATTATTTATTTTAATCATTTACCTAGATTATTCATGAAAACTGTGATAGTCTTCATTTAAAGTTATGAAACTGCCATTGCAAAATTATAACTGAGCACCAACATGGCACATGTATACATATGTAACTAACCTGCACGTTGTGCACATGTACCCTAAAACTTAAAGTATAATAAAAAAATTATAACTGAGACAGTGAAAACGATCTGACCTAACTGACTCCATCTTGCTTCTAACCTCCAAGCTATTCTTGTTCATTAACTTAGAGTTTAGCTTTGAAACAAAGATGATAACAGTCCTTTTGCAGAACAAACTTCCTTCATGTCTATGGACTAGACTGCCTAACACAAGATTAGAAGTTTGGGTATTTAACTAAATAATTCAAGATGTAGCTTCTTCATTAAACCAATATTAATGTTTCATTTATTAAAAATTACACAAGCAAAGATCATTCTGTATTGGGCTGAGTCATACTTTTGTAGCCTCTATGCCAAATTTTGACACCTTCTAGTATTTAGCAGAGATAAGTATGAAATTGCTTGATCAATAAATGCAAACAAAAATGTACACTGGCAGCTCCTAAGACATTTCTAATATTACTTTACCAATAATTTTTAAAGCTAGCTTATTTATTAAAGATGTTACTTAAGTCACATAAACTTGAAAAAGCATTTGACTAGTCTTTCCTTTGTTCTGTTAAAGCATTTAAGTGCTTTTATTTTTCTTTGAGCCAATTAATTAGAACTCCTTTATATATTTTCAGTAGTGAAACATGGTGTACACAAGACACAAATATATAGATGCATTAGGCATGCCAACAGAAGCACATTTTACAGATTCATAAGATGTCGTTTTTCCTCTTTTAACTGGATCTTTGAGTTCTGGGCAGAGCCCATACCTAATCTTGGGTTTTCAAAAGGGAGACTTATTATGAGGCTAGACCATGTGACCAGCTTTTACTGTGCACTTAAAAAATATTTTTTCAAACAAAGTGTCTAAATTATACTTTTTCTTAAAAACCCTAGAGTAGGCCAGGTGCGGTGGCTCACTCTTATAATCCCAGCACTTCGGAAGGCCAAGGCGGGTGGATCACAAGGTCAGGAGATCAAGACCATCCTGGCCAACATGATGAAACCCTGTCTCTACTAAAAAGTACAAAAAATATGGCGGGCGCCTGTAGTCCCAGCTGCTTGGGAGGCTGAAGCAGAAGAATGGTGTGAACCCAGGAGGAGGAGCTTGCAGTGAGCCGAGATCGCACCACTGCACTCCAGCCTGGGCAACAGAGAGAGACTCTCCATCAGAAAAAGAAAATAAGAAAAAAACCCTGGAGTAGCTTCTGTTGCAATAGCTATTAATGAAGAAAACAGAATTCAGTCAACCGAGAAGAAAAATCTTTGCTCAAAAAGACAAGGTCCTAGGAGAGAAATAAACAAACATGAAGGCCTTTTATTTTTATTTATTTATTTTTTGAGACAAAGTCTCACACTGTTGCCTGGGCTGGAGGGCAGTGGCACAATCTCGGCTCACTGCAACCTCTGCCTCCTGGGTTCAAGCGATTCTCCTGCCTCAGCCTCCTGAGTAGCTGGGATTACAGGCACCTGCCACCACACCCAGCTAATTTTTTTGTATTTTTAGTAGAGATGGGGTTTCACCATGTTGGCCAGGCTGGTCTCAAACTACTGACCTCGTGATTTGCCTGCCTCGGCCTCCCAAAATGCTGGGATTACAGGCATGAGCTGCCATGCCCAGCCCATTAAGACCTTTTAAATACAATATGCGCATGTACATATACACACCTTGAATGCTAGCTTTTAATTAAGCTGACTTTTAGCCATTGAGCTCATAAAAAAATTTTTTCCTTCCCAGAGGCTTCTCAGCAGCAATGGACCCAATACCTCCCATTTTCATGTTTATATGATATCAAAGGGTATAAGACAGATACACAGATAAGTGGACACAAATTTTGGGCAACAAAAGGGGGAGTGCACTCAGGCAAAACAGACTCAAAACCAACTCAAAAGCTGGTCAACCAAAATTTAAAGCAGGTGTATGCATGAGCCCTGTTGCTTCCCTTGGCGGTACTGGACAAATGGCTTAACAAGTTGAGACAGGAAAACAATAGGCTCGCAATTAACTCACCCTTTGAGTGCATCCACTCCTGATCTCCATTCTTCCCCAGTAGTGAAAGAGATGTGCAATTTTCTGCATGAAACAGCCTTCAAGAGGGTCCTTGGGAAATCTCATCAGCAGCTGCTGGGATCCTCCTGAAGACTGTCTCATTGCAAGCTGCTAGCCGCTGAACACAGCACCATCCCAGTCTCTCCTGGCTGGCTTGCCAAATTTTGTTCCCAGACCAGAGTGAGGGTCGGGCTGCTATTTCTCATGGCCCAATAACGAGATCCAGATGAACTGGGGAGAAAGAAAGATTTTATTTCTGCAACCGATTACAGGGACAAGGCCTGGAAGTTATCACCAGACCAACTCCAAATTACAAAGTTTTCCAGAGCTTATATACCTTCTAAGCTATATGTCTACATGTTAAGTGTGCATTCATCTAAAGACATAAGTGATTAACTACTTTTAATCTATAATTAAGGTCTGAGTCCTGAAGACCTTCCTCTGGAGCCTCAGTAAATTTACTTAATCTAAATGGGTCTAGGTGCTGGGTGATTACCCTTCTCTTTGTCTCCTGCTAAATCATGGAGGTTTGGGGAGTTCCTTTAAGGGAGGAGACCACCCCTCATACTGTCTTATGCCCAATTTCTGCCTCCAAAGAAAGAAAAAGTAAAAACTAAAAGGCAGAAATGAAATCCACAGGCAGACAGCCCAGAGCCGTGCCCCGGGTCTGGTTAAAGATTGACCCCCGACCTAACCGGTTATGTTATCTATAGATTCCAGACATTGTATGGAAAAGCACTGTGAAAAATCCCTGTCCTGTTCTGTTCCATTATGATTACCAGTGCATGCAGCCCCCAGTCATGTACCTCCTGCTTGCTCAATCACGACCCTCTCATGTGGACCCCCTTAGTGTTGTAAGCCCTTAAAAGGGACAAGAATTGCTCACTCAGGGTACTCGGTTTTTGGAGATGTGAGTCTTGCCGAAGCTCCTGGCCAAATAAAGCCCTTCCTTCTTTAACTCGGTGTCTGAGGGGTTTTGTGTGTGGCTTGTTCTGCTACATTTCTTGGTTCCCTGACCGGGAAGCGAGGTGATTAACGGACAGTTGAGGCAGTCCCTTAGGTAGCTTAGGCCTGCCCTGTGGAGCATCCCTGCGGGGGACTCCAGCCAGCTTGAGTGACATGGATCCTGAGAGCAGTCCCTGGTAGGCAATTGCCCTGGTGGAATGCCTCATCAGAGCAGTGCATGGCAGGCCCCTGTGGAGGATCAACGCAGTGGCTGAACACCAGGAAGGAACTGGCACTTGGAGTCCGGACATCTAACAACACCTGTATGGGATTTGTATGCTTAAAACCACACAACGCTGATGAACGAAATCAGAAAGCTGAATAAATGGAAAGACATAATGTGTTCATGGATTTAGACTCAACATCCTAAAGATGTCAATTCATACCAAATTAATATATAGGTGTAGCACAATTTCTACCAATATCGCAGCAAGATTTTTTGGAGATATACACAAACAACATTATTTTAAAATTTATAAGAAAAGGAAAAGGAAGTAGAATAGCTAAAGCAATTAGGGCAAAGCATAAATACAGTGGCTCACGCCTGTAATCTCAGCAGTTTGGGAGGCCAAGGCAGGCGGATCACTTGAGGTCAGGAGTTCAAGACCAGCCTGGCCAACATGGTGAAACCCCGTCTCTACTAAAGATACAAAAAATTAGCCAGGCGTGGTGGCACCTGCCAGGAGATTGAGATCAGTCTGGAAGACATAGTCCAACACTATCTCTACAAAAAAATTAAAAATTAATGGACATGGTAGTCCTAGCTACTTGAAAAGCTGAACTGGGAGGGTCACTTGAGCCCAGGAGTCTGAGGCTACAGTGAGCTATGATCACACCACTGCTCTGCACTGTGGGCGCAATCTGTCTCTAAAAGAAAACAAGGGCCAGGCGCGGTGGCTTAAGCCCATAATCCCAGCACTTTGGGAGGCCGGGTGGATCACTTGGGGTCAAGAGTTCCAGACCAGCCTGGCCAACATGGTGAAACCCTATATCTACTAAAAATGCAAAAATTAACCTGGCATGGTGGTGTACACCTATGAAACCCTGTATCTACTAAAAATGCAAAAACTAGTCTAGCGTGGTGGTGCGCACCTATAGTCCCAGCTACTCGGGAGGCTGAGGCAGGAGAACTGCTTGAACCTGGGAGGCAGAGGTTGCAGTTAGCCAAGATCACGCCACTGCACTCCAGACTGGGCAACAGAGTGAGACTCCCTCTCAATAAAAAAAGAAAAGAAGAAAAGAAAAAAGACTGTATGGTGTTGGTGGAGGGAAAGACATATAGATCAATGAAACAGAACAGAGAATCCAGAAATAGATGTACACAAATATGCCCAACTGATTTCTGACAAACATTCAAAAGATTCAAAATGGAGGACATATAGTGTTATTAACAAATAGTACTGGAGCAATTGGACATCAAGAGGCAAGCAAACAAACAAAAATGAACGCTGATATAACTCTTACACAAAAATTAACTCAGGCTATGGCTCACACGAGTAATTCCACTGCTTTGGGAGGCTGAGCTGGGAGGATTGCTTGAGCCCAGAAAGTAGGGGCTGCAGTGAGCTATGATCTTGCCACTGCACTCCAGCCTGGACAACAGAACAAAAAACAAACAGGCTGGGCACAGAGGCTCCCGCCTGTAATCCCAGCTCTTTGGGAGGCCGAGGTGGGCAGATCACCGGAGGTCAGGAGTTCAAGACCAGCCTGACTAACATGGTAAAACCCTATCTCTACTAAAAATACAAAAATTAGCCAGGCGTGGTGGCGGGTGCCTGTAGTCCCCAGCTACTCGGGCAGCTGAGGCAGGAGAATCACTTGAACCTGGGAGGCAGAGGTAGCAGTGAAGAAAAAATTGATCGACCAGACTTCATCACAATTTAGAACTTTTGGTCTGTGATAGGCCCTATTAAGAGAATGATTAAAAAAAAAAAAAAGCTCCAGAGTCAAAGAAAATAATCCGCAATCCACATATCTGACAAAGTACTGTTACTGGTGGAGGGTGTTCTTGGCATCTTGAACAGAGAATTGGACAAAACGCACAAACAAAGCAAGGAAAGAATGAAGCAACAAAAACAGAGATTTACTGAAAATGAAAGTACGCTCCACAGGGTGGGAGCAGGCCCGAGCATAGGGGCTCAAGGGCCCTGTTACAGAATTTTTGGGGGCTTAAATACCCTCCAGAGGTTTCCACTGGTTTCTTGGTGTATGTCCTATGTAAATGGAGAGGATGAGGTAAAGTTAGAAAGTCATTTACTCCTCGTATGCCCTATGTAAATGAAGAGGATATTTCCTGTCACAGCTGAAGTGTGAATTGGCCTTATGTTCCCTGCCTCCAGATCCTATTTTCCTGCCTCAGTACTACTATCTAGAATACATAAAGAACTCTCAAAATTTAACAATCTAATAAGAGTAGATGTAAAAGACTTGAAGAGAATTTCACTGAAGAAGCACATAAACACAGGAAAAATGTTCAACATTATTAGCCATTAGAAAATACAAATTAAAACCACAAGAGGCTGGGCATGGTGGCTCATGCCTGTAATCCCAATATTTGGGAGGCTGAGGTGGGAGGATAGCTTGAGCCCAAGAGTTTGAGACCAGTCTGGGCAATGTGGCAAAACTCCGTCTCTACAAAGATTACAAAATTTAGCAGGGCATGGCAGTGCATGCCTGTAGTCCCAGCCACTCAGGAGGCTGAAGTGGGAGGTTCATTTGAGCTTCAGAGGTGAAGGCTGCAGTAAGCCTTGTGATCACGCCACTGCACTTCAGCACTGGAGACATAATGAGACCCAGCCTCAAAACAAACAAACAAATAAATAAAACCACAACATACCACAACACATCTACCAGAATGACTAAAAAATAGTGACAATGCCAAATGGTAGTCAGGATGTGGAGAAACTGGGATTACAGGGGTGAGCCACTGCGCCCAGCCGGAAATGCCCAAAAGTTATCCTGTATGGTGTAAAAGGGGAGTAACCCTCAGTTCTGAGGGAAATCCCTGCCCCTTTCCTAGGGATACAGAAAACTCATGAATAATCCATCCTTTGTTTAGCATACAGTCAAGAAGTAACTATAAGTATACTTGACTGAGTATACTTATAGTATGGGCTCGCTGCTCTGTCTATGGAGTAGTCATTCTTTTATTCCTTTAATTCTCTAATAAACTTGATTTTAGTCGGAGGTGGTGGCTCATGCCTGTAATCCCACCACTTTGGGAGGCCAAGGCAGGCAGATTGCTGGAATTCAGGAATTCGAGACCAGCCTGGCCACCATGGAAAAACCCTATCTCTACAAAAAATACAAAAATTAGCTGGGCTTGGTGGCTCACACCTGTGGTTCCAGCTACTAGGAAGGCTGAGGTGGGAAGTCACTTGAACCCGGGAGGCAGAGTGCACCACGGCACTCCAGCCTAGGTGACAGAGCAAGACTCTAAAAAAAGAAAATCCAAAAACCCTTACTTTCAGTTAAAAAATTTTGTTTTCAATTCATCTACTGACTCCCTGGTATCTACAACTTAACTAGTCTAGTGAACTTGGGGAAGTTACTCCTTTTTTTTTTTTTAAGACAGAATCTTGCTCTATTGCCCAGGCTGGAGTGCAGTGGCACGATCCTGACTCACTGCAACCTCCACCTCTTGGGTTCAAGCGATTCTACTGCTTCAGTCTCCCGAGTAGCTGGAATTATAGGCACATGCCACCACACCCGGCTAATCTTTATATTTTTAGTAGAGTTGGGGTTTCACCATTTTGGCCAGGGTGGTCTCAGACTCCTGGTCTCAAGTGATCCGCCCACCTTGGCCTCTCAAAGTGCTGGGATTACAGGCGTCAGCCACTGCTCCTGGCCTCTAGTTACTTCTTAAACTCTCTGAACCTTGTTTTTTTTAAATCCTCTAAATAAGGATAACAGTTCATAATTCCTAACTTTTGTTATGAAAATTAAAGGAGTTAATATATATTATGTGGAGAAATGTAAATTCTAGTTCAAAAAATAGAAGAAATAATGTAAATACTGATTTATTTATCTGGTGAGAAATGCAAGGACATTTTTGTTTGGTGGTGGGTATTAAAAGGCTAAGGTATTTATATTCCACTGGATACATTTGGAAGAATGATTAACAGTGTTATTTCAAAATTTCAACATTGAGAACACACTAGGACTTACATCTTTTTCAACTCATCATGATGAAAAATTTTGTCAGCGAAATGTGTTAGGATTGTTTTATAAAAATCTTTCACGTCGATGAGCAAATATCTTAGAAGACTACTGCTGAGGAGAAATGTTATTTATCCAGAGAGTTGCCTTAATTAGGAGACCCTACATAGCGCCCAGTAGAAATGTAATAAAGGCATTTCACTTATTCCCTTCCTCAGCCCTGCCGTGAACAAAATTGAATGAAATCAACCACGCTCCGAGTTCTCGCCTAGACGCAGCCTGTAGTAGCCAGGTTTCACCACTAGGTGGCACACGCCAAAGGCTCCGGCGGGGGCGAGCCGCCCGAGCACGCCTCTCGGTGGCCCCGTGGTATCTCTCGGCTTCCGTTGAGCACCAAGCAAGATGGCAGCTTCCGAGACGGTTAGGCTACGGCTTCAATTTGATTACCCGCCGCCAGCTACCCCGCACTGTACGGCCTTCTGGCTTCTGGTCGACTTGAACAGATGCCGAGTCGTCACAGATCTCATTAGTCTCATCCGCCAGCGCTTCGGCTTCAGTTCTGGGGCCTTCCTAGGCCTCTACCTGGAGGGGGGGCTCTTGCCCCCCGCCGAGAGCGCGCGCCTTGTGAGAGACAACGACTGCCTCAGGTGCGCGGCGCAGGGAGCGGGACGGCCGGGTGGGCGGCGGGCGGGGGACGCGCCTGCGCACGCCCGGGCCTGAAGCCGCTAGACCTGGTAGTGGAGGGGATGGGGGATGGGGAAGGGGACGAGGGTTGGAGGGGGGTGGGGCTGTAAAAATGCACGTTCGCGAACCCCGGAGATCCTGATTGGTGTAGTCAACTTTGGGGCTCAGGAATCTGCATTTTATTATTATTTTTTATTATTATTTTTTTTTTTTTGAGACGGAGTCCTGCTTTGTCACCCAGGCTGGAGTACAGTGGCGCGATCTCGGTTCACTGCAACCTCCACCTCCCGGGTTCAAGCAATTTTCCTGCCTCAGCCTCCCGAGTAGCTGGGACTACAGGCGTCCGCCACCACGCCCGGCTAATTTTTGTATTTTTAGTAGAGATGGGGTTTCACCATATTGGTCAAGGTGGTCTCGAACTCCTGACCTCAGTTGATCCGCTTGCATCGGCCTCTCAAAGTGCTGGGATTGCAGGCGTGCACCACCGCATCCTGCCCCTATTATTTTTATTTTTGAGACTGAGTCTCATTCTGTCACCCAGGCTGGAGTGCAGTGGCGCGATCTCAGCTCACTGCAGCCTCCACCTCCCGGGTTCAATCGATCCTCCCACCTCAGCCTCCCGAGTAGCTGGGCTTACAGGCGGGCGCCACCATGCCCGGCTAATTTTTTGTTTGTTTGTTTGTATTTTTAGTAGAGACGGGGTTTCACCGTGTTGGCCAGGCTGGTCTTGAACTCCTGACGTTAAGTGATCCTCCCGGCTTCCCAAAGTGCTGGGATTACAGGCGTGAGCCTCCGCGCCTGGCTGGAATCTGCAGTGTAACGAGCATCCTTCCCGGGATGCTTCTGATGACAGGAGAATCAAACTTGGAAAATCCCTGATGCCTAAGGGCAGGGCCAGGCTTTCTTTCAGCCTTGATTTAGCACATCCGCGCTTAGCTAGGCACTGTGCGACTCTGTTGCGTGCCCATGGTGCAGATGTGCCGGAGACCCGGCCTTACCCATGGCGGCCTTCAGGGTCAGGTGCAGGAAGCTGACAAAGGGGAATCGTTGTGTTTTCTTCATAACCTGCTGTTGTCCAGCCTTAGTTCTCATGTGCCCAGTGTCCCCTGAGACTTCTGGTGGCGTATCATTTTGTGTCTCACCCAGACATTTTGGGATTCTCTCAAATAAGTGTCTTGAGTCCTTTTGGGCTGTAAATTGGGAAACACAAAATAATCTTAAATATGCTTTTGGAAGTTAAAAAAATGATAATGAGATGAGTATCCAGGAGCAATTGTAGTGTGAATTGCTGAAATGTGGTTGAGTTGCCACAGTAAGATGATGGTATCTGATCATTCCAGTTTGGATTCATATCTTGGACTGATTTATTCAGACTTTTTTTTTTCTTTTTTAAATAAAGAGACTGGGTTTCCCATGCCCAGGCTGGAGTGCAGTGGTACGATCATAGCTTGCTGTAACCTTGACTTCCTGGGCACAGGCAATCCTCCCACCTCAGCCTCCCGAGTAGTTGGGACTTCAGGCCAGGCAACCACGCCTGGCTAATTTTTGTATTTGTTGTAGAGACAGGGTTTCGCCATGTTGCCCAGGCTGGTCTCGAATCCCTGGGCTCAAGCTGTCCTCTCACCTCAGCCCCCCAAAGCACTGGGATTACAGGCGTAAGCCACTGTGCCAGCCTTCCTTCCCCCACCCCCTTTAAGCTTCAGCTACAGTGAATTAATTCCAGAGTTGTGAACCAGGCTATTTTCTCTTGCTGCCCTTTGTCGTTGAATATTCCTTACCCTCAAGCATGTCAGATTCCGTAAGATTTCTTCAGAACATCAGGGAATTTAATTTGGAACAGTAACTGCATCTTTAAATCAGGATATTATGATTTATTGAATAATGTTCAACTGTTTCAAATGACAATTTGAAATAATCCAAATTTCAAAGAGTTTTTTTTCCCCCTTTTTATTGACTGTGAAATAGGTCTCTATTCTCTCTGCAATTCAAGGATTATTTAAATGTTACAATTCTAAGGATTGTGTCCCATCCTATTAAGTTTACTTTCTGAACTGTCTCTTGCCTAATGAGTTAATAACTTGTGCTAACTATAATTATACTTTAATGAATCATGTGGGCATTACATTCTTCATAATGAAGTTAACAATGACAAAAACAAACCATGAAAACTGTTATAAGTAATAATTACAACACGATGACAGGCAAATCTTTCCTAAATGCTTCAAATGCACAGCTGCATGTGGCAAAAAATACCTCTCTAGTGGCTTCAGTGGCAAATGGGCAGACCGTAGAAAAAGATGAATCTGGAAAGTTCGTCTTTGTTTTTGTTGTTTTATGTCCACAATCATTGTTTTTCCCTGGCAAATTCACTTTTCTTCAGAGCTACGGAAGAACACATAGTCTCTATTCTCAAAGTACCCAATATTGTTGGACTGGGACCCAAATAATGAGTCTCATGCTTTTGTATATTACCTTCTGTGATACAGACAATTAGACTGAATAGTTAGACCAAGTTATATGGTAAGTGCAGAAGCTGGTTGAGAAAAGGGAGATCAGCATGGAACAAAATGGTTAGGGAATTGAGCAGTACCTTGAAGAATGGGTGGGAAATGTTGGATGATCAAAGCACAGTTATAGAGACAAAAGCTGGCTGGACTTGGTAAAAAGATGAGTCTGACCAGCCAAAGCATTCTGTTGGGATCATTGGCAGTACTGAGAAGGCTAATGAGGAAAAGTGGAACTAGGTTGTGGGAATCCTGAGAAACAGCCTTTGAGGCTTTGGATGCACCACACACTTGTGTTCCACTGCTGTTTCCTCATAGCCCATTCTCTTAAGCCCCAGGAATCTGGCTTCATCTGCCCCCAGGTTTCTGACAGCGAGTTCCTAAAGGTGGTCTCTAACTGTCCTGGGAGGAGGAGGAGGTGCTTCTATTGGCTTGGAGCCCCCTGTGTTAGTTTGCTGGGGCTGCTATAACAAAATACCACAGACTGTATGGCTTAAAAAATGGAAATTTATTTCTTACTCTTCTGGAGACTACAAGTCCAAGATCAGGGTGTTGGCAGATTTGGTTTTTTTATTTTATTTTAATTAATTAATTAATTTATTTATTTTTCTTGAGACAGAGTCTCACTCTGTTGCCCAGGCTGGAGTGCAGTGGCACGATCTTGGCTCACTGCAACATCTGCCTCCCAGGTTCAAGCGATTCTCCTGCCTCAGCCTCCCGAGTAGCTAGGATTACAGGCACCCGCCACCATGCCAGGCTAATTTTTTTGTATTTTTAGTAGAGATGGGGTTTCACCATGTTGGCCAGGCTGGTCTCGAACTTGTGACCTCAAGTGATTTGCCCTCCTCAGCTTCCCAAAGTGCTGGGATTACAGGAGTGAGCAACTGTGTCTGGCGGTTTTTAATTTTTTTTAATTAATTTTTAAATTTTTTTTAATCGTGCAGCCCTCAGAATTACAGTAGATTCAGAGAGACTCCCTTATTTTTTGAGACAGGGTCTCACTCCATTGCCCAGGCTGGAGTGCAGTGGCGCAACCTTGGCTTATACAGCCTCGAACTCCTGAGCTCAAGGGCTCCTCCTGCCTCAGCCTTTTGAGTAGCTGGGACTACAGGTGCAGTTTTTTATTTTTAGTAGAGAGGTCTCACTAAGTTGCCCAGGCTGGTCTCAAACTCCTGGGCTCAAGTAGTCCTCCCGCCTTGGCCTCCCAAAGTGTTGGGACTACAAGCCTGAGCCACTGCCCCCGGCCTGAGAAACTCCCTTTTGAAGAATCAATTCTGTAAGGAAACAGTGCATTCTGTCTTCCCTGACCCTTTTAACTCTGGCAATTAATACTTGATGAAGGCTGGGCGCCATGTCTCATGCCTATAATCCAGCACTTTGGGAGGCTGAGGCAGGCAGATTGCCTGAGCTCAGGAGTTCGAGACCAGCCTCGACAACATGGTGAAACCCCATGTCTACAGAAAAATACAACAAAATTAGCTGGGCATGGTGGCACATGCCTGTAGTCCCAGCTGCTTGAGGGGCTGAGGTGGGAGGATCATTTAAGCCTGGGAAGTAAAGGCTTCGGTGAGTTGAGATGGTGCCACTGCGCTGCAGCCTGGGCGACAGAGTGAGACCCTACCTCAAAAAACAAACAAACAAACGAACAAAAAAACACATTGATTAAATGTTAGAGATGGGCCAGGCATGTTGGCTTATGCCTGTGATACCAACACTTTGGGAGGCCGAGGTGGGAGGATCACTTGAGTCCAGGAGTTTGTGAGCAGCCTGGGCAACACAGGGAGACCCTTATTCTACCAAAAAAACCCCAAAAAACAAACAAAAAAAATTAGCTAGGCTCAGTGATGGATGCCTGTAGTCCCAGCTAGTTGGGAGGCTTAGGTGAGAGGATCACTTGAGCCTCAGAAGTTGAGGCTGCAGTGAGCCATGATCGTGTCACTCCACTCCAGACTGGGCAGCAGAGCAAGACCGCATCTCAAACAAAACAAAATATTAGAGACGAGTTCTCATTTCATATTGCTGTAGTTAGTGGCTCCTTGGATAGTCCAAGATAAAAAGTTTCCTACTACTTTTATCATATACTTTTTCCCACACCTCACTCTCCAGAAGTATCCTTGGTTAAGTTTGGGGTATGGGGTATATCTTAGAGCCAGATTTCTATACATGTGCAACCATATGTACTTATACTTTTAAACTACAAATATCATAACATACTGTTCTGCACCTTGCTTTTTTACCTATCATGGGCTATCTCAGTATATAAAGTGTGTGATGTATGTCATTCTTTTCTGTTTGCTACATAGTGCTTTAGTGAATATTCTTGTATTTTTTTTGTACTTGGAAAATTATTCAGTTGGATTTATTCTTAGAAGAAATACTCATTGGTCTAAGAGAAGGTACATATAAAAATTGATAAGTACTGTCAAATTAGCTTCCAGAAAAGTTGTACAGACTTGTACAACTTTTAAAAATTCACCAACTTACCCATGATAGGACTAACAACATTCATTGTACTAATAAAAATTAGAGCTAACATTTGGATATCACTTGTTCTGAGTCAGGCATGCTCTCTCTGCATAATAAGTCACTGAGTACTGTAATTATTGTCATTATCCCCATTTTTATAGATGAGAAAGGCTGAGGTAATGATTTTAAAAAAAATTACAGTGGCAGAAATAGCATTTGAACCCAGGCATTCACGTTGGCCTTGGCAGGCAATGGGTAGGGAGCATCAGGTTGGACAGATGGGCATGTCAGTGTTTCTGCATAACAGAATCCTAGACAGTAAATTGTAGATTTTAAGGGTGGACTTAGATTTTGATAATACCACTCAGTTTGCCTTGCAAAGAGTTAGAATGAAAAGTGGGGATAGCTGGGCATGGTGGCTCACGCCTGTAATGCTAACACTTTTGGGAGGCCGAGGCGGGCGAATCAGCTGAGGTCAGTTCGAGACCAGCCTGACCAACGTGGCAAAACCCCATCTCTACTAAAAATACAAAAAGTTAGCCAGGCGTGGTGGCAGGCACCTGGAATCCCAGCTACTTGGGAGGCTGAGGCAGGAGAATCGCTTGAACCCAAGGGGAGGAGGTTGCAGAGAGCCCAGATCATGCCACTGCAGTCCAGCCTGGGCGACAGAGCAAAATTCCATCTCGAAAAAAGAAAAGTGGGGATCTGTTTTTTGGAATCAACTCTTTCGTCACTAGTGACCTAGGTAATTCACTTCTACTTGTGAAAGGACAAATGCATGCACTTTTGTTTGTAAAAGGATAGCTCTATTCTTTGTCTGTGATCCAGGTAAAGAAATAGAGAATATTGCCAGGGAAGGTGCACCTGACAGGAATGGTAACTAAGCAGACCCAGGAGAACCATTTCTTTTTCTCTGGATGGTATTTTGCCTCTCAATCTTAATATTTTCTTTTTTTTTTTCTTCCCAGATGAGGGCTCACTGTGTTGCCCAGGCTAGTTTTGAACTCCTGGGTTCAAGTGATCTTCCCTCTGCCTCCTGAGTAGCTGGGATTACAGGCATGTGCCACCACACCAGTTTATAATCTTAATATTTTAAAAACTGAAATTATTCTCTTGGGGAACAGTAGGTAGTGGGGCTGCAGGAATCACAGGTCATACCTTCAAGCCAAATAGCTGTAGATGCATGGTCTTTTTTTTTTTATTTTTTGGAGACAGAGTCTCTATCTGTCGCCAGGCTGGAGTGCGGTGGCGTGATCTTGGCTTACTGCACCCTCTGCCTCCTGGGTTCAAGCGATTCTTCTGCCTCAGCTTCCCGAGTAGCTGGGACTACAGGCGCATGCCACCATGCCCAGCTAATTTTTGTATTTTTAGTAGAGACTGGGTTTCACCATGTTGGCCAGGCTGGTCTCGATCTCTTGACCTTGTGATCTGCCCACCTCAGCCTCCCAAAGTGCTGAGATTATTACAGGCATGAGCCACCGCGCCCGGCCAATGCATGGTCTTAAGAATGGATGAGACGATGCTAAGAGCTGTTTTGGAAGGCGTGAGGGTGTTGCCAGCTTCCAGGAAAGGAAGGGGTTCTCATCAACTGGATGTTACATGTGCTGTTTTCCAGGGCCTTAATAAACCACAGTGACTGAACAGAGACTTGCAACCATTTTCAACATTTGACAGAAAGTTTGGTCCTATTTGGTCATCTCAGAATTGAAGCTTGGATCATTGCTACAAGTGAAAACAAATTGATCAGAAATGTCAAGAAAAAAATCTGATATTGTAGCGCTTCCATGGTAGTTCTTAGATTCACAGGATGCCAAACTGGCTTTTGCCAGATTAAGAATTATTTCCTTGCTATTAGATGCCAAGCTGGGAACAGAGGGGAATGTGTTTTTATAATTTAAAATCCCTGGTCACTCAGCATTTTATTTGTCTCTTTCTCCTACTCCTGATATCAGTAACTCTTATTTTATCTTGATTTGTTTGTCTGTATAGTTAGTTTTCTGACAAATAATTGAGGATTTTTTTCAACTACCGCATTGAGGTAAATCCACAGGATTACTATGCCTTAAAAAATTTAAAGAATGCTTGTCACATATGCTCCTATCATTCACCAGTTGTTCTTTATTTTCAAATATGATTGTCTACATCTTTCCCTGGCCACTGAAAAAACTTGATGAAATATATAGCTGAATGTAAATGCCTTGTAAGTATAATGTGTGTTTTCAGCAGTGGCGCAATTACAGCTCACTGCAGCCTGGACCTCCTGGGCTCTAGTGATCCTCCTACCTCAGGTAGCTGGGCCACAGGCATGCACCAACCATACTTACCTAATGTTTGTATTTTTTTTTTTTTTTTTTTTTGAGACGGAGTCTTGCTCTGTTGCCCAGGCTGGAGTACAGTGGTGTGACCTCGGCTCACTGCAAGCTCCACCTCCCAGGTTCACGCCATTCTCCTGCCTCAGCCTCCCGAGTAGCTGGGACTACAGGCGCCCGCCACCACGCCTGGCTAATTTTTTGTATTTTTAGTAGAGACGGGGTTTCACTGTGTTAGCCAGGATGGTCTCGATCTCCTGACCTTGTGATCCACCCACCTTGACCTCCCAAAGTGCTGGGATTACAGGCGTGAGCCACCGTGCCCAGCCTGATGTTTGTATTTTGTAGAGACAGGGTCTCCCTATGTTGCCCAGGCTGGTCTTAAACTCCTGGGCTCAAGCCACCCTACCACCTTAGCCTCCCAGAGTTTTGGGATTATAGGCATGAGCCACTGTGCCTGGCCAACAGGCATTTTTGAGTACTCACAATTTGCTTAACATTGAGGACAGTCTCAAGACTTCCATCATCATCAGACTGCACATACTAGGATTAGCTGTTGCCTGTTGATGGAGGAACAAAATTGCTTTCCTATAGTGAAATTTTGGATGAAGTAGGGTTATTCAGAGAAACATAACCAGTAAGACACACACACACACACACACACACAAATACTCACTCACAGACATGGGATTTATTGTAAGGAATTGGCTCATAGGATTGTGGAGATTGAGAAGTCCTAAGTTCACTTAGTAAGCTATAGACCAAGGAGAGCCAATGGTATATTTCTAGTTCAAGTTCGAGTTTGAAGGCAGGAGAAGACCGATGTCCCAGCTTGAAGAGTCAGGCAGAGAAATGAATTCTCCCTTACTCAGTCTTTTTGTTCTATTCAGGCCTTCAGTGGGTTGGATGAGGCCCACCCACATTGGAAACGGCAATGTACTTTACTCAGTCTAGCAATTTAAATGTTAATCTCATCCAGAAACAACCTTGCACATACTCCCAGCATAATTTTTTTTCCACTGAGGCAATATATTTGTAAATACGTATTACATCGTTATAAAAAGAATCCCAGGATTTTTCTTCCTATGTGTTTTCGTCTTGCTTCTTCGTGGTCTATGATGCCAGCCGAGGTTGTCAGTACAGTGAAACCAAACTGGTGGGATGGGAGCAGGTTATTCTGCCATTTTTCTAGATCTTTGAGTTGCACGTCAAATCTGAGGCTGATTATTCCATACTTGTTTAGCCTGCCTGTGAGGTTCACAACAGTTTTCCCAGCTCTATGATCATCAGTGGTTTCAGATTTGCCAGTGTAACCATGCTTCATCATTATAGTTAGAAACTGGACGATGGGGCTGGGTGCGATGGCTCATGCCTGTAATCTCAGCACTTTGAGAGGCCAAGGTAGGCAGATCACTTGAGCACTTGAGGCCAGGAGTTCAAGATCAGCCTGGCCAACATGGCAAAACCCCATCTCTACTAAAAATACAAAAATTAGCGAGGCATAGTGGCAGGCGCCTGTAATTCCAGCTATTTGGGAGGCTGAGGCACGAGAATCTCTTGAACCTGGGAGGGAGAGGTTGTAGTGAACTGAGAAATGCACCAGTGCACTTTGGCCTGGGTGACGGAGTTGGGACTCCGTCTCAAAAAAAAAAAAAGAAAAGAAAAATAAAAATAAAAAAAAGAAAACGGACAGTTACTTTGGAGCTCGGCCTAATAAGAACCTGGCATTTACCTTGCTTTTCAGCTTTGTTGATGCTCTTGAGAGCATCAGCCAAGACATTCATGTGCACCACTGTGGTGGTATGGAAAGAGCCAGCGTAATTTTAACCAGATATCTGGACGTCCAATAGCCCGGACAAATTGATACATAAAATTAAGCTTCACAGAGTGTTGTGGAATTGTACAGATGGCTGTCACTACCCTAGAGAACATAAATTGTTTAGTATTCACCTAAATTAAAACAGGAGTAAAATCTTATTAAAGAAAGAAGCCCACATTCTGAAACAAAATGGATAATCAGCATTATCACCTTTTAGGGTAGGTGACATGCATATTGTAGAAAGATTGTGAGTTTGAAGTTAGACAAACTGAAGTTTGAATTGCGTTTCTGCTACTTATCAGCTCTAGATTTGGGGCAAGTAACTTGTCTGAGCTGTAATTTTGCGATCTGTAAAATTAAAAATACCTACTTTGTGTTGGTGTTTAGATTAGAGAAAAACGTATTAAAAATGTTTAGGATGCAGTAGCTATTCAATAAATAAAACTAGCCATTTGAAAGTTGACTGTGAGTAATGCTACATAGGCCATTTTGCCAGAAAGAGTCTTTTGTCTTTAAGTGATGTGACATTTTTTCATTGACTGATGGTAGTTACATTTTGTAGAGTCATCTCAGTATATAACTATGTCCTGGAGATGTGTTTATAAATTGCTCACTCTAGCTTTCTCTCTTGTTCTTTTGACAGAGTTAAATTAGAAGAGAGAGGAGTTGCTGAGAATTCTGTAGTCATCAGTAATGGTGACATTAATTTATCTCTTAGAAAAGCAAAGAAGCGGGCATTTCAGTTAGAGGAGGGTGAAGAAACTGAACCAGATTGCAAATATTCAAAGAAGCATTGGAAGAGTCGAGAGAACAATAACAATAATGAGAAGGTCTTGGATCTGGAACCAAAAGCTGTCACAGATCAGACTGTCAGCAAAAAAAACAAGAGAAAAAATAAAGCAACCTGTGGCACAGTGGGTGATGATAACGAAGAGGCCAAAAGAAAATCACCAAAGAAAAAGGAGAAATGTGAATATAAAAAAAAGGCTAAGAATCCCAAGTCTCCGAAAGTACAGGCAGTGAAAGACTGGGCCAATCAGAGATGTAGTTCTCCAAAAGGTTCTGCTAGAAACAGCCTTGTTAAAGCCAAAAGGAAAGGTAGTGTAAGCGTTTGCTCAAAAGAGAGTCCCAGTTCCTCCTCGGAGTCTGAATCTTGTGATGAATCTATCAGTGATGGTCCCAGCAAAGTCACTTTGGAGGCCAGAAATTCCTCAGAGAAATTACCAACTGAGTTATCAAAGGAAGAACCCTCTACCAAAAATACAACTGCAGACAAACTGGCTATAAAACTTGGCTTTAGCCTTACCCCCAGCAAGGGCAAGACCTCTGGAACAACATCTTCCAGTTCAGACTCTAGTGCAGAGTCAGACGACCAATGCTTGATGTCATCGAGCACCCCGGAGTGTGCTGCGGGTTTCTTAAAGACAGTAGGCCTTTTTGCAGGAAGAGGTCGTCCAGGCCCAGGGCTGTCATCACAGACTGCAGGTGCTGCTGGATGGAGGCGTTCTGGCTCAAATGGTGGTGGACAGGCTCCTGGTGCTTCTCCCAGTGTGTCTCTCCCTGCTAGTTTAGGAAGAGGATGGGGTAGAGAAGAGAACCTTTTTTCTTGGAAGGGAGCTAAGGGACGGGGCATGCGGGGGAGAGGTCGAGGACGAGGGCATCCTGTTTCCTGTGTTGTAAATAGAAGCACTGACAACCAGAGGCAACAGCAATTAAATGACGTGGTAAAAAATTCATCTACTATTATCCAGGTAAGTATTATTTTTTGTAAGTTATCTCCTCCCTTTCCCCTTAGAATGTGTGTGGAGTTCATGTCATGGATTCACATTTTCTCACCAGTGATGATGTCACATGACTAACACTGTTTTTCAGAATCCAGTAGAGACACCCAAGAAGGACTATAGTCTGTTACCACTGTTAGCAGCTGCCCCTCAAGTTGGAGAAAAGATTGCATTTAAGGTATATTTCAAAAGAACAGTCACAGCAAAAAAGGTTCATTCCCCTTCCAAATAAACTTACTTAGAAAATCAGGTTAAATGTGTTTGTAAAAGCCCTTCCCACTGGAACCCCAGTGTTGTTACGGGTTCCTGGTAGGGCTCCCAGACTGGTCGGGGTGGACACGCCAACATGGCATGATGGAGGAGCTGTGGGAATGGGAGAGGATAAGAGGGCTTATGTATTTGTGGGTTTTTTCTTCTTTTTTAGCTTTTGGAGCTAACATCCAGTTACTCTCCTGATGTCTCTGACTACAAGGTAAGGATGTTTATTTAAAAGTAAGTTGTCAGTGTATTATTAAAACTAAAGTCATATTTAATACTACTTGTATGGATAATACAGATTTGTTTTTTTACTAAATAAAAATGCCAGAAAGTAGAAAATGAAAACATTAATCGAAATGTCAACTCTTTAATAGTATCACTGGGAAGTCTCCCTGTGTTATTTGCCTTATACTTGGGAAGAATAGAGTAGGAGAATGATGAGCTTAATTTTTACTTTTTTAAAAAAAATATATTAATTTTTTGTTTTTAAATAGCGACAGGATCTTGCTATGTTGCCCAGGTTGGTCTCAAACTCCTTGGCTCAAGCAATCCCCCCATCTTGGCTTCCCAAAGTGTTGGGATTACAGGTGTGAGCCACTATGCCCAGCCAGTTTAATTTTTTTAGTTACTTTTTTCTAATTAGTTTAGACCAACTTATTTGGGTATTCATTCCTTCATGATTCTAAACTTTGAAAGAAAATAATAAATAGTTCTCAGCAAGAAGATTTGATTATTTTCATCATGGGAATCTATTTTACATATTTGTGAATTACTTCTGGTTGTTATGATCTAGTATGATTTCTTCTGCATTATCAGGTAACCACAGGTAATTCATAAATATTATCCGTGGAATTTACTTACTTAATATCTGTATGAGTCTTTATATTGGCATGTGAGGTTTTTCATAGTTCAGTAAAAGCTTGACTCAGTCAGAGGGATCACAGAATTACATGTTTCTTTTTCACCCACCAACATTTTGTTGAAAATCTTGTTAAAGTGCATTCTTTCTTTTTTTTGATGTACTATATGGAATGTAAGACCATTTTTTAAGGTAATAATTGGTAGTGTTAATATAGTAACATAGATAAAATACAAGGGAATTTGATTTAATCTGGATTGATGCCTTGGAAGACTTAAAATCTTTATAGAAACCTTTCCTCAAGGCTGGGCTTGGTGGCTCCCACCTGTAATCCCAGCACTTTGGGAGGCCAAGGTGGGTGGATCACGAGATCAGGAGATTGAGACCATCCTGGCTAACACAGTGAAACCCCGTCTCTAGTAAAAATACAAAAAAAAAAATTAGCGGGGCATGGTGGCGGGTGCCTGTAGTCCCAGCTACTCAGGAGGCTGAGGCAGGAGAATGGCGTGAACCCGGGAGGCAGAGCTTGCAGTTAGCTGAGATCACACCACTGCACTCCAGCCTGGGTAACAGAGCGAGACTCCATCTCAAAAAAAAAAAAAAAAAAAATCTTTCCTCAAAAGCAGGCTGGAAGAATCAGTTAATGAAGGGATCTGGTGGGTTAGTTCTAGGTCGTTGGTGTTTTGTTTTTTATCTTCTTAGGCACTTACTATCTCCTATGGATGAGGTGATCATGTAATTTATCACCTGAATCAGGATACTTGTGAGTCAAAGGGATGCTATTAATAGTTATGCTGGAAAGATGTACAGACCTGTCTTGAACAAACCAGGGTGTTTTGTCACCCTACCATAGAAAACATTTAATTGTGTGATATATGAGGAAATGGAAATGAATATTGTATTGATACATCCCACAACCTCTATAAATTGTAATTCTAGATGATACTGATTTTTAAAAATTGCTTATTAATGGCCAGGCACAGTGGCTCATGCCTGTAATCCCAGCACTTTGGGAGGCCAAGGTAGGTGAATCACTTGAGGTCAGGAGTTCGAGACCAGCCTGGCCAACATGGCAAAACCCCATCTCTACTAAAAATATAAAAATGAGCCTGGCATGGTGGCGTGCACCTGTAGCCCCAGCTACTCAGGAGACTGAGGCACAAGAATCACTTGAACGCAGTAGGTGGGGGTTGCAGTGAGCTGAGATCATGCCACTGCACTCCAGCCTGGGTGACAAAACGAGACTCTTAAAAAAAATTGCATATTAAATTGGTATTAGTTGTCATAGTTATTAATGTTGGAAGGTGTTTTGCCTACTTTAGTTGGCAAAATTTTTTGAAGATTTTTGAAATTGCTTTCAAAAACATTTTAAGAATGAAAATTGGTCCTACTTTTTTGCTTTGACCTCAAACGCAGTTATCCAGCTTGATCATCTGCTTTATTCATTAACCTTGTCTCCAAAAATTAAATTGGTTCAATTCTGTACTAAAAAATGTAGTCTCCCAAGCCCCTGATTCCCTGTTGAGTCTGGTTTTAAAAAAAACTGTTGACTGTGCTCAGAAATTCCAGGTAGAGGCAGGAGGAACTGGTTGCTTGGCCTCTCAGTATATACCCCCGGAGGCTACCATGTGTCTCCCCATCGCCCACGTGCATGGGCAGTGCATCCTCTTGATGCATTAGAAAATCAGCTCCCACAGCTGGAGACCTGGGAGAAGGAGAATTGGGATCTTAACAGTGATAAAGTGCCTTCTGGTTTCTCCTGGGGGGTTGTGATCACTGTTTTAGAAGGGTTCTAAAAGCATCAGGAACCGAGGCTGCACCATTAGGATATATCTAGTCTCTCCTGATGAATGCTGTGATGGTCAGTGCTCACTTGAATATATCAGCCTGGTGTGATTTTTTTCTCCTTTTCCCTTATTCAGTCACTTTTGGTTCCCTGGTGTAATCTTTACTTTCATCGAGTTATTTAAGATAGTGTCTGCCATTTATGATTTAAATGTTTTATTTTGCCTCTAAAGATATTTCTGTATATTCACATAAAGTGTTTATCAGTCCACCTGTTTTTATTTTCTCTATATGTGGATTTATTTCTAAATTTTTCAACTGAGATAAAATTCACATAACATAAAATTCAACATTTTAACCATTTTAAAGTCTACAATTCAGTGGTTTTTAGTATATTCACAGTGTTTTACATGTTGATTTTGACTTGGACTTTTATTTTTGAAAGGAAGGAAGAATATTAAGCCACAATCCAGAGACCCAGCAAGTAGATATAGAAATTCTTTCATCCTTACCTGGTGAGTCTTTTAGAAAATAATTTGAAAATGTAGGCTCTATCTACAGTGGTTTATAAATAGCTTTTATACACAGGAGATGTTCTCTTCCTTGGCCTCCATATAACTGGCGCTCCCCACTTCTTTCAGCACACTTTAGCCCTGGGGGCTCATAAGAGATGTTGGATATATTCCAAAGCTGTTGGGCTAGTTCTTATTACTGTAATTATATAATTTCATAAAAGATTATATGAACTGATGAAAATCGATTATAAAAAGAATTATTCCTAGGAAGCCTAAGTTGAATGCTGACTCAGGAAATGCTATGAAATTATGGATGAGTGGGTCAGCTATAAAAGATTGGGAGGAATTTTGTAAAAACTGAGGAAGATTCTGCACTTAGATTGCCTTGCAAATTTTTGCAATCTTGCCTTATTTAAGAAAAACCCAGGCTGGGCACGGTGGCTCACACCTGTAATCCCTGCACTTTGGGAGGCCAAGGTTGGTGGATCACTTGAGGTCAGGAGTTTGAGACCATCCTGGCCAACATGGTGAAACCCTGTCTCTACTAAAAATACAAAAATTAGCCGGGCGTCATGGCACACGCCTGTAATCCCACCTACTGGAAAGGTTGAGGCAGGAGAATCGCTTGAACCCGGGAGGTGGAGGTTGCAGTGAGCCGAGATAGTGCAACTGCCTTCCAGACTGAGTGACAGAGCAAGACTTAGTCTCAAAAAATATTTTAAAAACCCCCAAACTGTAAATTGTGGAAATTGCAGACAATACAATGGTATGGTTTATTAAAAAAAGAGCTCTATTCAGTGAACTCATAAGACCTACTCAGCTCTATTTCAAAAGATTGTCAAATGAATATACTTTTGTATATTAAGTCAAAACAAAATGTCTGAAGTGTGTGTATACATACACTTTCACATATCATTTTAAATGGTTGCTGGATTTATCTCTGATGAACCCCACCTGGTACTGGAACTGAATGCGTGGAATAAGAGGGCTTTTATAATATGTAGCTTAACTTGGGGTGTACTGTAGGGGTCCCTGGCCAGAGGGCAGGGGAGATTCCTTTTCCTTTAGAAGATCCTAAAGCAATTAATTGTTTTCCTTTTTTTTTTGACAGAGTCTCACTCTATCGCCCAGGCTGGAGTGTGGTGGCACAATCTTGGCTCACTGCAGCCTCCGCCTCCCAGGTTCAAGTGATTCTCATGCCTCAGCTTGCAGAGTAGTTGGGACTACAGGCACACACCACCATGTCCAGCTAATTTTTGTATTTTTAGTAGAGATGGATTTTGACATGTTGGCCAGGTTGGTCTTGAATTCTTGGCCTCAAGCAATCCACCTGCCTTGGCCTCCCAAAGTGCTGAGACTACAGGTGTGAGCCACTGTGCCCAGCCTGTTTTCTGTTTGTTTGTTTGTTTGTTTGTTTGTTTATTTTTGAGACGGAGTGTTGCTGTCGCCCAGGCTGGAGTGCAGTGGCGCTATCTTGGCTCACTGCAAGCTCTGCCTCCCAGGTTCGCACCATCCTCCTGCCTCAGCCTCCCGAGTAGCTGGAACTACAGGCGCTGGCCGCCATGCCCGGCTAATTTTTTGTATTTTTAGTAGAGACGGGGTTTTACCATGTTAGCCAGGATGGTCTCGATCTCCTGACCTCGTGATCCACCCACCTTGGCCTCCCAAAGTGTTGAGGTTACAGGCATGAACCACCGCACCTGGCCTTCTGTTTATTTTTAGATAAGGGATTGAATAAAAGATTCAGCTAACAGAAATCAGTCGAAAGAGTTTTTGAACAAAGTTCGTTTATGATATTAAGTAAATGTTTATATATAACTTACACTGGGTTCCTACCTTTCTTTTTTTTTTGAGATGGAGTCTCACTCTGTTGTCCAGGCTGGAGTGCAGTGGGCGATCTCGGCTCAGTGCAAGCTCCGCCTCCCGGGTTCACGCCATTCTCCTGCCTCAGCCTCCCGAGCAGCTGGGACTACAGGCACCCGCCACCACACCTGGCTAATTTTTTGTATTTTTAGTAGAGATGGGGTTTCACTGTGTTAGCCAGGACGGTCTCGATCTCCTGACCTCGTGATCCTCCCACCTCAGCCTCCCAAAGTGCTGGGATTACAGGCATGAGCCACCGTGCCTGGCCAGGTTTCCAACCTTTCTTCTGATGAGATTTCATTTATAGAAATCCCCTTTCTTAGGAACGGTGGACAGAAAAGTTTGTCCACTGTCAAATTCTGTGCATACAGCCTGATCAGTGCTTGTCAGGTGATTAATAGTGATGACATCCACTTAGAACTTTTCTTCTTTAGGGCATCAAGAAATGGCTTCGGGGGCGAAGGTGGGAGGATCACTTGAGCCCAGGAGTTCAAGACCAGCCTGGGCAGCATAGTGAGACTCTGTCGTAAAAAAAAAAAACAAAACATAGCTGAGTGTGGTGGTACATGCTTGTAGTCCTCGCTACTTGAGAGGCTGAGGTGGGAGGATCACTTGAGCCCAGGAGGTCGAGGCTGCAGTGAGTCATGATTGCGTCACTGCACTCCAGGCTGAGTGAGCAAGACCCTGTCTCAAAAGCAAAAAAGAAAGAAAGAAATGGATTTATCTGTTCTCTAATAGCAATGTCACTTGTCCTTGATGTGGTGGTTCTGATATACATATATTTCAGTTACCCTGGTTTAGTTAAGTAATACTAGTCCCCCAGCAACATTGCATATGTTAACTGTAAGTGCATGAAGTACTGCTAGCTCTTTAGTCCACATATCACTATATAACATAAATAACAGATACGCGTCATGATCCATTACCAGTCAAGTCAGTACTTTCAGAGTCCGTCAGTGACTGGTCACTGTGCATCTGTTATTCAGTTCACATACAGAGCAGAGCATGCAGTTGTGGTGCCTCCTTGTCTCTCACTTATAAACCTGCATGACATTTTACAACACGTATAATCGAAGTAGGGAATTGGCCCACAAAGATAAAGGCACAGCAAAGAAACAAAAGTGGTAATGCTGAAAGTGCCATCCAAACTGAGTTTAAGGAGAGTCTGTAGAAGAAATAGCTCACTGTAGGAATGTTGACACTGCCAGTGAGGTGAACTTATTGACATAAATGAGGAAAGTGGTTGTGGCAAAAAGGATGAAAATGTCCCCAAAGTGACACCAGCAAAAACAAAGATTTTACAAAGTAAAAAACAAATTCTTTGAGCTATTTCACGACATTAGAAGTTCAAAGGATAAAATGTAGAAAGCAGTTTCAAACTTAGAAAAGAGTATAACAGTTGCACAAAGCATAGAGAAGATGCTTGCTCTGTATTGTAAGTTACAGGGCAAGAACACAAGCACTGTTCAAACTCCCCCTGATAAGTTTCTTACAAAGAAATAAAACGTGTAGAAGGAAAGAGAAAAAGAAAGTTAGTTCTTAGTGTTCCTAATGTAATTACAGTGTACTCATAAGTACAATATATTTATTTTACTATTTTTTAATTTCCCTATGTAGTAAAGGTTTTTAATGTTTTGGCAAAATTTTTTAAAACTCGTAAGACGATAATAATTTTTCCTATTGATTATTAAGATTGTTTTGCGTGGTTTCAGCTTGCACAGTCATTTTTCCAATCCCATTTTACCATAGAAAGCAAGGACTGAGGCCGGGTGTGGTGGCTCACGCCTGTAATCCCAGCGCTTTGGGAGGCCGAGGCGGGCAGATCACTTGAGGCCAGAAGTTTGAGACCAACCTGGCCAACATGGTGAAACCCTGTCTCAACTAAAAATACAAAAATTAGCTGGGCATAGTGGTGCATGCCTGTAATCCCAGCTACTCAGGAGGCTGAGGCACAAGAATCACTTGAACCCAGGAGGTAGAGGTTGTAGTGAGTCGAGATTGCGCCACTACACTACAGCCTGGGCGATAAAGCAGGACTCTGTCTTAAAAAAAAAAGGGGGACTGCCTGTGTTACCAAGTAGTAGGAAGCATATGTGATTTCTAAGGACAGAGCAGCATTTCATATTACCTTCCCTTGTTGAAACACATAAATTAATTAATTTTGGGGATTATCTTGTGGTGCCATATTCAATTCTGGTAGTACTAATGACAGTTCATCAAGCTTATGAAGGAAAGATTTTCTCTGATAAATGGCTGAGAAGTCCCCCTGGTCCAGAGTTTTTCTCAGGATCCCCCAGTATTGAGCACCCTGTGCTTTCCTGTACATACCCAGCCTTCACATTAATTGACAGTTTGTTTGTGGTTGTTTTCTTAATGATATAAATTCCCCATAGAGGAACATTTTTAACTATTGAAAAATGACTTACTCTCTTTCCTCCCTATCTTCTTGTTTCAGCCTTGAGAGAACCTGGGAAATTTGATTTAGTTTATCACAATGAAAATGGAGCCGAGGTAGTGGAGTACGCTGTGACACAGGAGAGCAAGGTAGGTGTGCTTCTCTTCTTGCGTTGCTTGGCCATTCGTTCTCTCTTGACCAATTACCTGTGGTTTGGAAGGTGACATTGCACTACAGGCCCTGGGGGGAATCTGACCTTCTTATGGTGTGGCAATACCAGTGCCAAATCAGGGCGCCATCTTGGCCCTCATAGAGCCTATGTGACAAGATGCACAAATAACAAACTTTTCTTTAAGAGTGTACAGTTGTTTAAAATTATAGCTATATAAGGATTCCAGTAGGAAAGGGTAGCATATTTAGAAACTTTATTGGCATACACGTTCAGAGAAGTGCATATAACTACATGGCTTGAACAACTTTCACATGAACATACCCATGTAACCAGACCCAGATCAGGAAATAGAACATAACACCCACTCCCAGAAGCCTCTATTATGTCCCCTTGCTGTCACCACTATCCCCCAAGTGTTACCACAGTTCCAACTTTTGTTTTTTTGAGAGAGTCTCACTGTGTTGCCCAGGCTGAAATGCAGTGGCATGATCTTGGCTCACTGCAACCTCCACCTCTCAGGTTCGAGCGATTCTCATGCCTCAGCCTCTGGAGTAGCTAGAATTACAGGCGCTTGCCACCTCACCCAGCTAATTTTTATATTTTTGGTAGAGACGGGGTTTTACCATGTTGGCCAGGCTGGTCTTGAACTGCTGACCTCAAGTGATCTGCCCACTTAGGCCTCCCAAAGTGTTGGATTACAGGCCACCGTGCCTGGGTGAGCCACCATGCCTGGCCCGAGAGTTCCAACTTATAATAGCACAACAGTTTGAAGAGTGACATAAAATGATGATCTCATCCTCTGACTTTCTTTAAATCCTTAAATTGCCATTTTGGGAAGTATATGGTTTATACCTTTTTTTTTTTTTTTTTTTTTTGAGACAGAGTCTAGCTCTGTCACCCAGGCTGGAGTGCAGTGGCGTGATCTCCGCTCACTGCAAGCTCCGCCTCCCGGGTTCACACCATTCTCTTGCCTCAGCCTCCCGAGTAGCTGGGATTACAGGCGCCTGCCACCACGCCTGGCTAATTTTTTGTATTTTTTTAACTAGAGACAGGGTTTCCCCGCGTTGGCCACGATGGTCTCAATCTCCTGACCTCGTGATCTGCACGCCTCGGCCTCCCAAAGTGCTAGGATTACACGTGTGAGCCACCGCGCCCGGCCGATTTATACCTTTTTAAGCAGCCAGACCTACCAGAGTTGCTGGCAGTGGCTAGCTCATTAGGTTATGGTGGCATTAAATGGAAGTTAGATTTAAGAAAATGCTCTCTTTTAAGGTGTTTATACTTGAAATGTTATAGATATTATTCTGTAAGTTTCAATATTGCAAACATATTTTTTCTGAAGTGTGAACTTGTAGAAACCCTAGCCAGACTGTGTTTTACCTTGTCTTTAAGGTAGATGACACTTTTAGGGATTTATTCCAGAAACACATTTTTAGTGTTTGTGGTAGGATCAGCAGATTTGGCCTGGTCTCCTGTATTTCTTTATTTGCAATAGTTTTTTTTGGTTGAAATTGGAAACCGCATTGGAAAATTAAACCTTGGAGGCTTTTCTCTCTATGCCCTAAACAGAGACTTGAAGTAGAATAGAAAGCCTGTAATTAGGCTGGGCACCGTGGCTCATGCCTGTAATCACAGCACTTTGGGAGGCTGAGGCGGGCCGATCCCTTGAGTCCAGGAGTTCAAGACCAGCCTGGGCAACATGGCGAGACCCCGTCTCTACAAAAAAATACAAAAATTAACCGGGAGTGGTGACACATGCCTGTAGTCCCAGCCACCTTTGGGGGTGGTGGGGGCGAGGCAGGAGGATCGCTTGAGCCCAGGAGGTGGAAGGTGCAGTGAGTCCTGAATGCCACTGCATTCCAGCCTGGACTATAGACGTGATACCCTATCTCAAAAACAAAAAGCCTGTAATTACCTTTTTTGACACTAGATGGCCCTCATTATTCATTCATAGGACCAAGCCTTAGAGTTTTTCTCTTGGTGGGCTGTGAAATAGTTCCTGTTTTTAGGTAGTGTAGGATAAGAACTACAGAGCGGCGCAAAAGGGCATCAGCAGCCTAATGATACCCATCTGGACCATGTCTAGTTGCCAGAAGGTCTCCAGGCCACCTGTCCACAGGGCAAATCAAATGCAGGGGTTGGGGGAGCTACTCCCTCCCGCAACCCCTGCATCTCCTGCTCTTAATCAAAGAAAGATGAAATATGTTTAATGTAAAATTTAGCTTCATTCTAAGTAAATGAGTTATTTATTTATTTATTTATTTATTTTCCCAGCACAGAGTTTCACTCTGTCACCCAGGCTGGAGTGCAGTGGCGCGATCTCCGCTCACTGCAACCTCCACCTACTGGGTTCAAGCGATTCTCCTGACTCAGCCTTCCGAGTAGCTGGGACTACAGGCATGCGTCACCATGCCCGGCTAATTTTTGTATTTTTGCAGAGACACAGGTTGGCCAGGCTGGTCTTGAACTCCTGACTTTAGATGATCCGACTGCCTTGGCCTCCCAGAGTGCTAGGATTATAGGCGTGAGCTACCATGCCTGGCCTCTTTTTTTTTGTTTTGTTTTTTAATTAAAAAAAATAATAGAGATGGGGTCTCACTAGGTTTCCCAGGCTGATCTTGAACTCCTGGGCTCAAGCATTTCTCCCCCTCGGCCTTCCAAATTGCTGGGATTACAGGTGTGAGCCACAGCGCCTGGCCTAAAGAGTTACTATACTGCAATTGAACTCAGTTTATTGGAACCCAAATTATTCCCGTTCTTCAATCATTCTACACAGACGGAAAATTTACGTGGCTGAATTAACCGGTATGACCTCAAAATGAAGTGCCTAAACTGGGTATTTTGTCTTTTTCCTCAGATCACTGTATTTTGGAAAGAGTTGATTGACCCAAGACTGATTATTGAATCTCCAAGTAACACATCAAGTACAGAACCTGCCTGAGTATGACCTCTCCACCTTATAGTTTATGAATGTCTTGTTTGTGAAAGTGACTATAACCCAAACTTTTTTTTTTTTTTAAAGAGGATTTGGAAGTTGTATGGATTTTTTTGTTATCTTCACTTTACTGCATAGGAAACAATCTACCTCATCATTTAAAATGACATGGGTGTCGGTTTTGTAGATCTTTGGTTTTTTTGTCAGGTTTAATTTCAGTTAACAAAATGTAAAACATGACATTCCCTGCAGATATTGTTGTATACCAGTATGGTTTCTTCTCTTTCTTTAAATGTTTTTGGCCATCAAGTAGCAGTCGTCAGTAGGAGTTTATAATACCAAGAATGTGCTGCGTATCTTGTCTCAATAAGTTTTAAGTAACATTTAAAAATATTAAAGCATGTTATTTGACCTAATTTTTTAGCATTTGAGTTGTTCCATTAAATGGAGCATCTTGTAAATTTCAAGTATTTTATACTTGCAATTGTTAAGAGTTAACAGGTAGTTGGATTTGTCGCAGACAATGAGTTAAGGAATCCTTTCACGTTTTTCCCAACTTTAAAATTAAGGATTCTCAGGTCCCTGTGTAGAGCAGTGAAAATAAGATGTGCGTATGTGTGTGTATGCCTGGAGAATTGGTGTTTCACTTCAGTGAGAGGATTGGCTGTGAGCTTCAGACCAGGAAATGTGTCATCTTGCCAGGCACCTGGCTGAGTGTGCTGGAGTGAGGATCTTGAACAGAAACTTCCTTTTCTGTTATTATTCACTACGAAGCTAAAATGGCCAAATATATACCGTGAAAATTGGTTTCATTTAACAAAAGATCAGATCCCTCCTTCAGCTGTACACATTTTTAAATAAAATCATATTGAACTAAACATCTCTACCGAGTTATCATGTTGAGTATTGCAAATTATTGTCTTATTTTACAATAACGTGAGAGATTACAATTTTCTGTAATAAGAAGGTTTGCTTTGACTGATGAGTCTGATGTTGCAAAGTTTGGTTCAGTGGAGTTCATCTGATCTGGGAGCCACTGTGCCAGTGGAGATGCTGGCCAGTTTTACTTTGCATGACATGAATGTGTTTCAAAATGTGCATTTATTGATTTGTAATGAGAAGTATTACTCCCGAAAGGATGAGAGTAATGTGAACGGTGGGATCTTGGCACTGGGGTTCTGTGTAGCACAGTTGCCTTCCAGGGTTTGGAAAACAAATTAAGATAACTAGTGAACATTGACCAAAGGAAAATTTTGACCTCAGGGTGTGTTTTTCTCAGATTATTATCAGTTTATGAGTCACTCCTTTCCTCTGTTGTGTTTGTCAGACTATGAATAGAGTCCCCAAGAAGGATTATGAAGTCAATTTAGGGGGACCATGACCAGCATTTTGAAAAATAAAATACAATAGAATAGAAAAACAAAAAGTGCATTACATCCAGCGATGCTTTTCTTTTTTTGAGACCAAGTCTCACTCTTTCGCCCAGGCTGGAGTGCAGTGGCATGATCTCTCTCGGCTCACTGCAACCTCTGCCTCCCAGGTTCAAGTGATTCTCCTGCCTCAGCCTCCCCAGTAGCGGGGATTGCAGGCGCCCGCCACCACGCCCCGGCTAATTTTTGTATTTTTAGTAGAGACGGGGTTTCACCATGTTGGCCTGGCTGATCTCAAACTCCTGACCTCGGGTGATCCACCCGCCTTGGCCTCTCAAAGTGCTGGGATTACAGGCATGAGCCACCACGCCCAGCCACTATTTTTCCGTTGTCTTGAAGTGCTTAAGTTCTCCAACTCCAACCATATCACTGATACAGTTGGTCTCTTCTTTGCTGTCCTCCTGTTGGGCACTGCGGTGGTAACTTAATTACCTGCTAACTTTCCTTTTTAGCTACTTCCAAGTCTGGATTTGTTGGGTCATTCACTTTCTGCTCCCTCAACTGTTCCGAAGGGATGACATCACAAAAACTCTTTTTCACAGGCAAAAGAACTAGCCCACTCAACACGTGGATACCATTTGGTTCTAATTTTCCACTTCTTTATACTTAACAGCAGCTGTTGCAAACTTTTTCCTTAAGTCTTCTTCCCCCAATGTCAGCTTGACAACCTTTTGCAGTTCACAAACCAAGACAGGCAGGAACATGTACCTCTCCTTTGTGCCCTTCGCTTCATTGTAATGAATGCACTGATGTGTTTTTCTCCCCACTTGACTGTTCACAGCTCTTGCTTACAAGACCTGCTATGTCAGTGTAGGTCTAATCAGGAGGGAGAAACCACATAGTGATCCAAACAGGAAGAGTTTAATATAAAGAATTCCTGATTCTCACTGGGATCGGAGTGATGAGGAACTGGCTAGTAAGAAGTAAAGAGAACTCAAAATACAGGAATAGCAGATACAAGAACCAGCTACTACCCGGGGGCTGAGATATACACCCAAGGAAGAGCCCCCAGACTCTGCCCTCAGGCTGTGAGCAGACTCCTTTGGGAAGGCATGGCTCTACCTCACTGAAGGACATGAGGAGTCACCACGATACTGCACCAGCAGAACTTGCTGGAAACCTGTCATCTTCTAAATCTTGACACATTTAATTAAGCGATATTTTAAAATTGCATTTGTTAATATTGCCAAATATGTGATCTTATCAGGAAAGTCTTAAGTATTGGGAAGTTGTCAGCTCACGATGGCAGATACAAGTTTTCCAAAATTCTAATTTTTGCTTGAAAGCTCAGTTTTTCATTGGCAACAAATACTGTTTGTTCTTGAATTAAGTGGCTCACTTTATTGTCAAGAAAATGTGGGCCGGGCACAGTGGCTCACGCCTGTAATTCCAGCACTTTGGAAGACCAGCCTGGCCAACATGGCAAAACCACATCTCTACTAAAAAATACAAAAATTAGCTGGGCGTGGTGGCACGTGCCTGTGATCCCACTTACTTGGGAGGCTGAGGTAGGGAGAACTGCTTGAACCCGGGAGGTGGAGGTTGCAGTGAGTGGAGATCGTGTCACTGCACTCCAGCCTGGGCAACAGAGCGAGACTCCGTCTCAAAAAAGAAAATGTATACCAATCCCCAAGTCTGAATGACCACAAGTTTTCTGTCAGTATTT